>NC_000014.9:20861713-22111713 GCF_000001405.40 Homo sapiens
CTAGCAAGGCAGGCCAAGATTCAAATTCAGGAAATACAGAGAACGCCACAAAGATACTCCTTGAGAAGAGCAACTCTAAGACACACAATTGTCGGATTCACCAAAGTTGAAATGAAGGAAAAAATGTTAAGGGCAGCCAGAGAGAAAGGTCGGGTTACCCACAAAGGGAAGCCCATCAGACTAACAGCTGATCTCTCGGCAGAAACTCTACAAGCCAAAGAGAGTGGGGGCCAATATTCAACATTCTTAAAGAATTTTCAACCCAGAATTTCATACCCAGCCAAACCAAGCTTCATAAGTGAAGGAGAAAAAAAATCCTTTACAGACAAGCAAATGCTGAGAGATTTTGTCACCACCAGGCCTGCTTTACAAGAGCTCCTGAAGGAAGCACTAAACATGGAAAGGAACAACCGGTACCAGCCACTGCAAAAACATGCCAAATTGTAAAGACCATCAATGCTAGGAATAAACTGCATCAACTAACGAGCAAAATAACCAGCTAACATCATAATGACAGGATCAAATTCACACATAACAATATTAACTTTAAATGTAAATGGGCTAAATGCTCCAATTAAAAGACACAGACTGGCAAATTGGATAAAGAGTCAAGACCCATCAGTGTGCTGTATTCAGGAGACCCATCTCATGTGCAGAGACACAGAGACACAAATAGGCTCAAAATAAAGGGATGGAAGAAGATCTACCAAGCAAATGGAAAACAAAAAAAAAAACAGGGGTTGCAATCCTAGTCTCTGATAAAACAGACTTTAAACCAACAAAGATCAGAAAAGACAAAGAAGGCCATTACATAATGGTAAAGGGATCAATTCAACAAGAAGAGCTAACTATCCTAAATATATATGCACCCAATACAGGAGCACCCAGATTCATAAAGCAAGTCCTTAGAGACCTACAAAGAGACTTAGACTCCCACACAATAATAATGGGAGACTTTAACACACCACTGTCAACATTAGACAGATCAACGAGACAGAAAGTTAACAACGATATCCAGGAATTGAACTCAGCTCTACACCAAGCAGACCTAATAGACATCTACAGAACTCTCCACCCCAAATCAACAGAATATACATTCTTCTCAGCACCACACCACACCTATTCCAAAACTGACCACATAGTTGGAAGTAAAGCACTCCTCAGCAAATGTAAAAGAACAGAAATTATAACAAACTCTCTCAGACCACAGTGCAATCAAACTAGAACTCAGGATTAAGAAACTCACTCAAAACCGCTCAACTACATGGAAACTGAACAATCTGCTCCTGAATGAGTACTGGATACATAATGAAATGAAGGCAGAAATAAAGATGTTCTTTAAAACCAACGAGAACAAAGACACAACATACCAGAATCTCTGGGGCACATTCAAAGCGGTGTGTAGAGGGAAATTTATAGCACTAAATGCCCACAAGAGAAAGCAGGAAAGATCTAAAATTGACACCCTAACATCACAATTAAAAGAACTAGAGAAGCAAGAGCAAACACATTCAAAAGCTAGCAGAAGGCAAGAAATAACTAAGATCAGAGCAGAACTGAAGGAGATAGAGACACAAAAAACCCTTCAAAAAATCAATGAATCCAGGAGCTGGTTTTTTGAAAGATCAACACAACTGATAGACCGCTAGCAAGACTAATAAAGAAGAAAAGAGAGAAGAATCAAATTAGAGGCAATAAAAAAGGATAAAGGGGATATCACCTTCCATCCCACAGAGATACAAACTACCATCAGAGAATACTATAAACACCTCTACACAAATAAACTAGAAAATCTAGAAGAAATGGATAAATTCCTCGACATATACACCCTCCCAAGACTAAACCAGGAAGAAGTTGAATCCCTGAATAGACCAATAACAGGCTCTCAAATTGAGGCAATAATTAAGAGCCTACCAACCAAAGAAGTCCAGGACCAGATGGATTCACAGCCAAATTCTACCAGAGGTACAAACAGGAGCTGGTACCATGCCTTCTGAAACTATTCCAATCAATAGAAAAAGAGGGAATCCTCCCTAACTCATTTTATGAGGCTAGTATCATCCTGATACCAGAGCCTGGCAGAGACACAACAAAAAAAAGAGAATTTTAGACCAATATCCCTGATGAACATCGATGCAAAAATCCTCAATAAAATACTGGCAAACTGAATCCAGCAGCACATTAAAAAGCTTATCCACCATGATCAAGTGGGCTTCATCCCTGGGATGCAAGGCTGGTTCAACATATGCAAGTCAATAAACGTAATCCAGCATATAAACAGAACCAATGACAAAAACCACATGATTATCTCAATAGATGCAGAAAAGGCCTTCGACAAATTCAACAGCCCTTCATGCTAAAAATTCTCAATAAATTAGGTATTGATGGGACATATCTCAAAATAATAAGAGCTATTTATGACAAAACCACAGCCAATATCATACTGAATGGGCAAAAACTGGAAGCATTCCCTTTGAAAACTGGCACAAGGCAGGGATGCCCTCTCTCACCACTCCTATTCAACATAATATTGGAAGTTCTGGCCAGGGCAATCAGGCAGGAGAAAGAAATAAAGGGTATTCAATTAGGAAAAGAAGAAGTCAAATTATCCCTGTTTGCAGATGACATGATTGTATATGTAGAAAACCCCTTCGTCTCAGCCCAAAATCTCCTGAAGCTGATAAGCAACTTCAGCAAAGTCTCAGGATACAAAATCAATGTGCAAAAATCACAAGCATTCCTATACACCAATAACAGACAAACAGCCAAATCATGAGTGAACTCCCATTCACAATTGCTTCAAAGAGAATAAAATACCTAGGAATCCAACTTACAAGGGATGTGAAGGACCTCTTCAAGGAGAATTACAAACCACTGCTCAATGAAATAAAAGAGGACACAAACAAATGGAAGAACATTCCATGCTCATGGATAGGAAGAATCAATATCGTGAAAATGGCCATACTGCCCAAGGTAATTTATAGATTCAATGCCATCCATATCAAGCTGCCAATGACTTTCTTCACAGAATTGGAAAAAACTACTTTAAAGTTCATATGGAACCAAAAAAGAGCCCGCATCGCCAAGTCAATCCTAAGCCAAAGGAACAAAGCTGGAGGCATCACGCTACCTGACTTGAAACTATACTACAAGGCTACAGTAACCAAAACAGCATGGTACTGGTACCAAAACAGAGATATAGACCAATGGAACAGAACAGAGCCCTCAGAAATAATACCACACATCTACAGCCATCTGATCTTTGACAAACCTGACAAAAACAAGCAATGGGGAAAGGATTCCCTATTTAATAAATGGTGCTGGGAAAACTGGCTAGCCATATGTAGAAAGTTGAAACTGGATCCCTTCCTTACACCTTATACAAAAATTAATTCAAGATGGATTAAAGACTTAAATGTCAGACCTAAAACCATAAAAACCCTAGAAGAAAACCTAGGCAATACCATTCAGGACATAGGCATGGGCAAGGACTTCATGTCTAAAACACCAAAAGCAATGGCAACAAAAGCCAAAATTGACAAATGGGATCTAATTAAACTCAAGAGCTCCTGCACAGCAAAAGAAACTACCATCAGAGTGAGCAGGCAACCTACAGAATGGGAGAAAATTTTTGCAATCTACTCATCTGACAAAGGGCTAATATCCAGAATCTACAAAGAACTTAAACAAATTTACAAGAAAAAAATCAAGCAACCCCATCAACAAGTGGGTGAAGGATATGAACAGACACTTCTCAAAAGAAGACATTTATGCAGCCAACAGACACATGAAAAAATGCTCATCATCACTGGCCATCAGAGAAATGCAAATCAAAACCACAATGAGATACCATCTCACACCAGTTAGAATGGCAATCATTAAAAAGTCAGGAAACAACAGATGCTGGAGAGGATGCAGAGAAGTAGGAACACTTTTACACTGTTGGTGGGACTGTAAACTAGTTCAACCATTGTGGAAGACAGTGTGGTGATTCCTCAGGGATCTAGAACTAGAAATACCATTTGACCCAGCCATCCCATTACTGGGTATATACCCAAAGGATTATAAATCATGCTGCTATAAAGACACATGAACATGTATGTTTATTGCAGCACTATTCACATTAGCAAAGACTTGGAACCAACCAAAATGTCCATCAATGATAGACTGGATTAAGAAAATGTGGCACATATATACCATGGACTACTATGCAGCCATAAGAAAGGATGCACTCGTGTCCTTTGTAGGGATATGGATGAAGCTGGAAACCATCATTCTGAGCAAACTGTTGCAAGGACAGAAAACCAAACACCACATGTTCTCACTCATGGGTGGGAATTGAACAATGAGAACACTTGGACACAGGATGGGAAACATCACACAGTGGGGCCTGTCGTGGGGTGAGGGGAGGGGGGAGGGATAGCATTAGGAGATATACCTAATGTAAATGACGAGTTAATGGGTGCAGCACACCAACATGACACACGTATACATATGTAACAAACCTGCACGTTGTGCACATGTACCCTAGAACTTAAAGTATAATAATAATAAATTAAAAAGGAGAAAGAAAAAAAAGTTAGGAAATTTGGAAAAGTCATAAATCTAAAAACAAAATTTAAAAAAAAACTAGTCAGCTATAATCTCACCAACCAAAGATAAACACTCTTCAAATTTACAAGTTTCCAGCCAGGTTTTTTGCTGATTATATTAAAAACTAAAATGTGGGTACTATTTTATGGCTGCTCTCTGTCTCTCTCTCTTTTTTTTTTATTGCTTAACAACATAAAGGGAATGCTTTCCCATTTCCATACATATTCTCCTCGAGTGCATTTATAATGGCAGCATAGTTTTGCATCCTACAGATGTGCCATCACCTGTTTGGCTTTTCTCTTATTGCTGAGTATTTCAATTATTTTTCCTACTCAAGAAAACAGCCTGGGAGCTCATTAACTGTTTGAAATTTTGCCCTCGGTGGTAGTGGCCTCTTCCAAAGAGGTGTTTTGAGTGCATGTGACTACCAGGGTGGGAACTTGTTCTTGTTGAAGTTCTTGTTCTTTGTTTCAGTTTAGAGTGTTAAAAACATATGTCACTGCTGGCAAAAGGACACTACATGCAATTTGAACCAAAAACCCTTATTTATTAACCCACTAAAAGATATCTACATCAGCCTACAGGGCTATTGACATTCTATAGACGAAGTCAAAGTGCAGGAGGGAGCAAGAACAACCTCAGACCCATGGTGTGCTTGCTTGACTTCAGATACTTATAATTTTGTTCTCCTTCAAATCTTCTCCAGGTGAGCATAAAAAAAATGGATGTACTCTTCCAGAATTTTCCTTCACCTACTTTATGAAAATAGTCATTTTTCACCTTCCTCCAGATTTCAAAAACGCCAGCAAAGCTTGATTTGGGAAGTGGTGCCCCCTGCTGCAGAGATGTTGCAGAGAGAAAATTCCTTGTGCTCTTCTGTCAGTGAGGAACTGCTCCAAGTCATTCACACTCCTTCACCTCGGTTTCTAGTAGGCTGATGACAGGGAGTGAGAGATGGAAACTCAGTTCCCTCAAAGGAATCTGGCCAGCTCAGGCTGTGGGCCTCAGTTGTGGGGAAGATTGAGTTATGATGGGAGATTCCTTATAGTTCTAAGACATGTGGAGATGAATTAGAAGGAAGCTAACCAATATTGCACAGATATTGTGCTGTGTATGATTCGTTTATGTATTTATAAAGGATGCCTCGTTCCCCACTAAAGTGCATTTGTTTTGATAGAGGGTTTTCACTCCACTTGGTCAAATTACAAATATGTTGTTATTAAGAAATTTCATAACTATGTTTATGTAAAATGTGGTTTTAAATGTAATTTTTGAGAGAATTTATTTAAAAGGGAAAAACATGCTTATATGTGAAAAGTGGGTAATATAAACATGTTGCTTGTTTTTGAGAGAAAGTCTGTGGAAGAACTAATGAGAATCTAGGCTAAGGCTCCTATAAACTTCAATCTCTAGTGAGAGTTTTATCATAAAGTCCAGGCAGCTGTGCTGTCATTGAACATTGAGCATCAGTATCCCCATATCTCTAAAGGGGAATGCTAAGCTGAGTTTTCTGCAGACCACGACCACCAGCTTTTGAGGTAACTTTAGCCTCCTTATGCAGAAATGAGGAAGAAAATCTTGTAGGTGAGGATCAATGATGCACTAGCTGGGCATCAGTGGCAGCCTGACAGTAAGACACTGATTGTTCCTCTTAAGTTGGTGTATGTCTGTCACTATTACCCTACACATTAGCTTGCTCCCTGCTAGCTTATTGACAGAAACAAATGTAAATGCTGCATTAATCAAGTGTATATGTGTCATAAATATTTTCTCTTAGTATGGCCTATACTTTGAAATCCTGAACCTAAGGGTTTTGGGTTTAACCTTTGGTTATCACTCAAAATGAAACACCTATGTTTTCTTGTAGATCTTGTCCAGAATGGCCTGCTGAATCCTTGAAAGCCGTAAGAGAGACGTATAGCAACCTATTCTGAATCAACTTGTTCAATCTAGCAATTCTGTCACTCTAAGAGAATCTTCTCAGCCTCGTACTCCTTTCTTGGACAACCACTACTTTAAAAGCAGGATCATGTTCAATGGCATTCTGGCAATACAGATGTCCATTAAGTAGAAATGCACAATGTCTACTTGTTGAATATCTAATTGTTCTCCAAATTTATTAACAGGATCTTCTATCTTGATAGGAAAAAAAAATTCATATTTTGAAATCTATCTATCTATCTATATAGATAGATAGATATATTTTCTTTCTGAGAATATATATATTTTTTCTTTTTGAGATGGAGTTTTACTCTTGTTGCCCAGGCTGGAGTGCAATGGCACAGTCTCAGGTCACTGCAACATCCACCTCCTGGGTTCAAGCGATTCTCCTGCCTCAGCCTCCCGAGTAGCTGGGATTACAGGCACCTGCCACCATGCCTGGCTTATTTTTGTATTTTTAGTACAGACGGGGTTTCACCATGTTGGCCAGGCTGGTCTCAAACCCTTGACCTCAAATGATCCACCCGCCTCGGCCTCCCAAAGTGCTGGGATTAGAGGCGTGAGCCACTGCACCTGGCTATATATATATTTTTAGAACTCCTTCTTTCCACAGTGTAGAAAGTACACATTACAAAGCTCAGTCAAATGCCAGGAACTTAAACATCCACACATTAGCATAAATTGTTAATTAATTTCTCAAAAAAAGAAAAAAATGCATCTCACTTGAATTCCAGGGAATCAACCTAAAGTATACTGAGATTCCTAAACTGAACCTTAAAACACAAGACACAGAATCAAAAGTCAAAGAACAAAAGGAACATTCTTCAGCAGGAGATAGGGAGCTGGTTTTAGAAACAGGTGGAGATCACCGAGTCTCAGCATAAGCAAAAGCAACACAGAAACCTAGGCTTTTGAAAAATGTCTAAAATACAGCAAAAGAGAAGGCATTCGAATGTTTTTGTGTAGTAATAGCAGGCTACTAATACAGGAATACAGACTATATTAATCCATGACATTTCAGTGAAACAATAAAAACAACTCTTTGGACATCCAGAAACAAAGGATGTTTTATCTAGTTAACTTTTTTTTTTTTTGAGACAGGGTCTGGCTCTGTCTCCCAGGCTGGAGTGCAGCAGCCCAACCTCGGCTCACTGTGACCTCCACCTCCTAGGCTCAAGCGATCCTCCCACCTCACCCTCCTGAGTAGTCGGGACTACAGGCGTGTGCCACTACGCCCGGCTAATTTTTGTATTTTTTGTAGAGATGGGGTTTCACCATGTTGCCCAGACTGGTCCCAAATTCCTGGACTTAAGTGATCCACTCACCTCACCCTCTCAAAGTGCTGGGATTACAGGCATGAACCACTGCCCCTGGCCCCCTTTTTATTCATATGTGAAGACAATAGAAAGACATTCTTCCATCACTAATATTTACTTAATTAACATTTCTGAGTGCCTTTGATATGACAAGCACTATGCTAAGTGCCATATAGGGAGAGGTGAACAAAACAGACAGGTGCTTGTATCCTAGAAAACTTTGCCTCTGCACACCTTGCTTGTGATAATAATTATAGGGCATATGCCAAACACTGAGCTATAAATCTATGAAGGAAGGATGTTGCTTACTTATCACAAGTGATAACCAGTGATACCAGTATCTATGAGCCATAGAAAAAAAGATTGCCTATTTCCCTGACTAGCTCAGAGGGATACAGCTTAATTCAGAAGATAAAACCTTTTCTTTTTTTTTTCTTTGAGATGGAGTCTTGCTCTGTCGCCAGGCTGGAGTGCAGTGGCGCAGTCTCGGCTCACTGCAACCTCCACTTCCCGGGTTCAAGCAATTCTCCTGTCTCAGCCTCCCGAGTAGCTGGGACAACAGGTGCACGCCACCACGCCCAGCTAATTTTTATATTTTTAGTAGAGACAGGATTTCACCATGTTGGCCAGGTTGGTCTTGATCTCTTGACCTCGTGATCCGCCTGCCTCAGCCTCCCAAAGTGTTGGGATTACAGGCGTGAGCCACTGCACCAAGCCAAGAAAACTCTTTCTTTATGGCAGCATTAGGCACCCCCAATAAGAGCCCACTCACATCATCATGATAGACAGAAACACTGCAGGGGGAAAAATGATCTTGCCTTTGGGCACCAGGACATTGGGACCTCCCAAGTAGTCTGCATCAGTGGATCATAAGGACCAACCATTTATCAAATCTGGGAAAGACAAAAGGCAAGCATAAGATTAAAAAGTAATGCAGGTCTTCGCCAGATGGCTCTGCTGCTTAATAAGTAAAATCACAATCACAGAAGGTGATAACCAAGGATAATTAGGTAAACGACCACACTCCATTTAATCACAGTTCAGAAGATCTTCCCTAATTTCTGCTGAAGTCTCTTCAATAATTTCACCTACCTCTGGAAGAAACTAGAGGACTAATGGGAAGAGTCCATTGGTGTTTATGTGGGAAAAGGAAGGTGCAAGCCATTTCAGCTCAAGGAAAGAAAGGAAGGGAGGGAGGGAGGAAGAAAGAGAAAGAGAAATGAGGAAAGGAAGGAACGGAAAAGAGAGAAAAGAAGAAAGGAGGGTAGAAGAAAGAAAGGAGGGAGGGAGGAAAGAAGAGAAACTGACTTTCCAAAGACACAGCTGAAGCAGCAGCTAAGAGGTAACATTATGAAAGTATGGGGTATCATTCTTCAGGATGCAGTGTATTTATTAAATCAGAGGCCTGTAAAGGGTACTGTGTTCCCAATAGGAAGAATACACGGATCCAGGAACCGAGAAGTAGAAGCAGGAGTAGCTCCACTTACCATCTCTCTGATTGACCCACTCAGATATGTTGTGCTTTCATTTCTGTAACTCTAGGCTCTGCAGGGTCAAAGGTCCAGGTCCCCAAAGAAGATGCACCCTTGCCAACTTACACAGAAAGGTCTCATTGAACTGCAAGCTACAGCTTTTCCCAGGACACTTTGGATTTCTCGTGTCTAGGGACCAGCAGACGTGAAGAGGAGTTGCCATACTGTCAAGGCTAAGTAACCTTGATTAGCAGGAGGGAGGTAGGGCTGCTTTTACCCAATAGAGGCAGAAAAGAATTTATGTAGAACCCAAGTAATCTACTTGGGTGCTTTCTGTTACTCCCATGCTCCATTTTAACTGTGAATGTAAGTGTGTAGCCACCTCAGCCTGAGAAAAATATGATTACCAAGGGCTTAACCCTCAGAACTGGTGAGAGGGTAAATAAGAATAAGCAACTAAGACCTAAGGGTAAAGGGAGATTAGAATACATAGTAAAGGAAGGAGTGGATGGGTGCTAGTTACAGCCCCAAGATCTGCGGCATTGACAGTGACTACAGTTTGTTTGTCCACAGTAAACTTCCTCTTAAGTTTCCCTTCAGGAACAGAGACTGGTAGGAAGCCTGGAGGAGTTGTCTCTTGAACCTGTCTGGGGAAGCAGATCTGTGTGGCTCAAGAGGTGGACCTGGCCAGGCACGGTGGCTCACACCTGTAATCCCAGCACTTTGGGAGGCTGAGGAGGGCAGATCACCTGAGGTAAGGAATTCAAGACCAGCCTGGCCAACATGGTGAAACCCTGTCTCTACTAAAAATACAAAAATTAGCTGGGTGTGGTGGCGCATGCCTGTAATCCCAGCTACTCAGGAGGCTGAGGAAGGAGAGTTGCTTGAACCCAGGAACCGAAGGTTGCAGTGAACCGAGATTGTGCCACTGCACTCCAGCCTGGGTGACTGAGTGAGACTCAATCTCAAAAAAAAAGACGGACCCATTCTAAAAAAGTTTCTACATGAGTTTATAAGTACTCGCTTCTGCATGTCTGAAAAAATCTCTGTCTAATAAGAGAGACACACCTCAAAAGTTTTATCAATAAAAAAGGTACAAAAAAGTCAGAATAAAAATAGGACATAAAATCAATGCTATAAATATTAAACAGATTATGAATAACTTTGTGCTAATATATTTGGGAACTTTAGACGAAATGGATAAATTCCTACGTGGGAAAAAACAATCTACCAAAGCTTTCTCAAGAAGAAATGGAAAAGTTAGCATCTCTTTAACCATTAAGGAAATTGAAACAGAAGTTTAAAATAGTTTGAGGCTAAGCCTGGTGGTGTGTACCTGTAGACCCAGCTACTCTGGAGGCTGAGGCAGCAGGATTATTCGAGATCAGGAGTTCAAGCCCAGGAGTTTGAGGCACCTGAGACCGAGTGTTCAAGGATCAGTTGAGACCAGTAATTCGAGGTATGCTCTGTGATTGCACCTGTGAATAGCCACTGCACACTAGCCTGGGCAACATAGGAAGACCCATCTCCAAAAAAAAAAAAAAAGGAAAAGAAAAAAGAAAAAGCAGTCTCAAAGAAAATAAGAAAATATCAGGACCAAACAGCCTTACATGTGAGTTCTACCAAGTATTAAAATAACATATAATTCCAGTTACAAAATAAAGAAGGACTACTCCCCAATTCATTTCTGGAAGCTAACATATAACCTAGATACCAAAATTAAACAAGGCAATACAAAAAATTACAGACCAATCTCATTCGTGAACATAAATGCAAAAAAAATTTAACAAAATATTAGCAAATTAAATTTAGTCATATATAAAAAAGATTATATCACATAACCAAAATGGGTTTATCCCAGGAATACAAGGTTGGTTTAGTATTCTAAAATCAACTAATCTAATTCACCCCATTAACTGATTAAAGAAATATGCTGTATAATCCCATCATTCAACGAAATTCCCAATCCATTCAAGAGACATAAACAGGAGCAGAAGGGAAGAAACTTTTCTAATCTAAAAATGGGCATCTACAAAAGATCCACAGCAACAACCAGACCTACCAAAATGGCCCCTTAAAGATTTCTTGAAGGCACTTTTATAGCGAGCATTAGGCTAAGTGCTGAATGTCAAGAACAAAGGCAAAACAGCTATACCTCCTGGCATCGGGGGAAGGAATGAAAGTAATAGTATCCAGTTTTGTCACTGGATTATTCCAAAAGGGTAAAATCCTCACGCAACTCTGTTCCACAGGCACCGGGCTAGTCAGTTAATGGACGGCTGCCCTAGAGTCAAGTGCCCTCCTTTGCTTCAAAACCTTGTCACCATTCTGCTGGAGTCACAGGGTAGAGAATATGAACACCTTTGGATGCTTCCTCTCGTGGATAAAATAACCTCCTTCAGAAGGGGATCGGTGATGTAATGGATTCCATGAAAGAAATAAACTCTTCTCCAGCGCAGCTGAACTGTAAAGCTCATAACACAAGTAGGTCCTCAGTGCATATTCACTTCCTTTCCTTCTTACCTGAGGTGCTGCAGTGTGAATCTGAAGGTGGCAGGTTCAACGTTAAAGTGCTGCAGTGTATGAAAGTTATGGTAGACTCAGAAATCTGTTCTTCAACAGTTAGACTGTATTTATGCTGGCTGGATTTTGTTTATTCACCTATTATCGTCTACCCGTGTCAGCAACCAAGAAACCTGCAGCCTGTCTCAAAGGAAACCAAGAAAGAAGTTTTGGACTCTTGTGCAGGAAGCTTGTGGCGCGGCGCCCCCTGCCGACCAATACGACGGCCACGGGAACTGGGAGACCACGAAGGCTCTGGGCCTGCGGAGTTGCCCAAGCTCCTCCGGCTTCTCCGGAAACGGCTTTTTCCGGTGACACCCCTGGAGCCACAGTGATTTGTTTCCCTAAAGGAAGCGGTTTCCCGCCAGGGTATCGTCCCTAATACCCTCCGAAGGAGCCCATTGAGGAGAAAGGCATAGAATGTCCCGCAGAAGGCAGAAGGACCCTATGATCCAGGAAACCTAGGGCCAGCCATCAGGAGGTTTTATGAGAGCAGCTGGTGGGAAGATCAGCCCCAGGAGAAGGGGATTGTCTAGCAGCTTGGTTGGAGCAAGTCTTTTCCCGAGTATTATTTCCGTAATTCAGGCTCCCTCCCACCAACCCTCCACTGCAGCCTTATCCTCCACCAAAAGCCCTGACACTGTGGCAGGGGTAGGGCACATGGGGTTGGTGGGGAACAGGCTGTAAGAAAGACGCAGGAGCCTGCGTGCAAAGGACGAAGCATTTACAAAGAAGACCTTGACAGTGCTGCACAGATTTGAAGGCGTAGGGTGCAAGTCATTCAGGTGCCGTTGTCAGGAGGAACCTAGCCATCCAGGTGAACAGATGCCCCCTTCTTGCAGCCCACTCGCATGGGCCTGGTGGACTCCTTCTTATTTTTGGTAGTGGCAGTGAAGAGGTCGGGTCCCTGTGCTGGCAAAGCAGTCAGTGACATTGACATCATGAGTACTGTTGTGGCAGCTGCACATGGAGGGGCTGTTGGTACAGGGCAGTGGTGGAGTTCTGCAGAAATCTGCTATGGTGGTCAGATTCTATGAATGAATGTGTGGATCTGCTCGCATTTACCCCTATAGATCAGCCAACGGCACCTCATCATCACATCACAGTATCGGTGGTGTCCTCTAGGGACCCACGACCTGGGGTTGTCTAAATGTCGTGTTGAGAAGGGCAGGGCTGGAATGAAGACAGTTACGTCCAAAAGGAGGAAAAGGAGGAGGGTCCACATCAGATTCATGTTTCCTGTGAAAGCATTTCAAAGAAGAGCAGAGTCAAAAGAACAAGCCACGGTCCCTTGTCCTGTTCCTAAGAAGTCTTGGCCCTATACTTAATGTTCCCAGTTCTCCCCTCCTGCCTTTTCTACACTTATTCTTTGTGTACTCTTGGCAACAAGTGTTCTCACATCCTTTTTCCACCTCCTTGTCAATAACGGAGATGACTACCGCCCTCTCAACCCTTTATGGGATTGTCCTATGTACAAGGTTATTTCCAAACCCCAAAGTGATTCTTGCTCCTTACCTAAGCAGACCAGTTAAACTAAAAACTTTCATCTCTGAGGTGTTTGCATCTATCAGTCCATCTGCTGCTCACCCATAGCCTGTGAGGTGAGGCAGGTATCATTGCCAACCCCTTTTTAGAGTGACCTAACTCAGAAGAGAATTGACAGATCCATATGACCTGCATCTTAGAAAATATTTTCACTTCCTTAAATACAAATGTCTGTTTAAACGCTGTTTTTAAAAATGTGAGCATTTCAATTCTAAGGGAGTAGAGTTTATGTTTCCCCCACATATTTCTCTGCCTCAAAATAAAGATTCCCAACTCTTCCATGTATAGAGCCCATCTTCCAGAAATGTTCTAATTCTTGGTGATCAGGGATTCTGGGTGACTGTGTGTGAGCCTTCTGTCTCTAGGTCTAATATCTGACTCTTTTTTTACATACCTGGTAGTTCCAAGAAAGGGTTTTCTGCAGAGCAGATGACATCCACAGAGATGGATATATCCCTCTCAGAGGTTGATACTCCTAGTAGAAATGGAATCCCCGTTGCCTCTCTCCTTCCTCTAATCTTGTAGAAATTTCATTGTGGATATTTTCTTCCCAGAGGTTAGGGTGCAGGCCGTATGGAAAACTCTCAGGCCTGTCAATGATCTTAAACAGATTGCCAGGTATTACTAATTTTATGCTTACTATTTCACACCTAAAATGTTCACCAGCATCACACAGAGTGCCTATGACATCACTGCAAATATGCAGAAACTTGGGGTTTAGTGTCTATCATAAGCTTGCTACTGGAGCTTGGCAAATCACCTTATCCTTCTACTCCTCATCACTAAAGTGAAGATTATAGACAAAAGATCTCTTTCAGCTCTCACATTCTGTATTTTTTTTATACATTACTGTGTGGGTTCATGTGTGATTTTGTATATGTGCATATTGGTATACACATGTTCAAGTAAGGAGAAATAATTAGTTTGCAAATTGAGTTTCCATTTGAGAATTGTTAATCTAATTAAGTGCAATTTTTCCAATTTTAAAACTCTATGATGGCTGGGCACGGTGGCTCACGCCTGTAATCCCAGCACTTTGGGAGGCCGAGGTGGGTGGATTGCCTGAGGTCAGGAGTTTGAGACCAGCCTGGCCAACATGGTGAAATCCTGTCTCTACCAAAAATACAAAAATTAACTGGGCATGATGGCAGGCACCAGTAATCCCAGCTACTCAGGAGGCTGAGACGGGAGAATCACTTGAACCCGGGATACAGAGGTTACAGTGGTCCGAGATTGCATCATTGAACTCCAGCCTAGGTGACAAGAGCAAGACTTCATCTCAAAAACAAACAAAAAAAAATTATGGGTATGTAGTAGGTGTATATATTTAAGGGGTACATGAGATATTTTGGTACAGGCATCCAATGCCTAATAATCACATCAGGGTAAATGGGGTATCCATCCCTTCAAGCATTTTTTCTTTATGCTACAAACAAGCCAATTTAAATCTTTTAGTTATTTTAAAATGTACAATAAAATTATTATTGATGATAGTCACCCTATATTTGTGCTATCAAAACTAGATCTTATACATTCTTTTTTCTTTTTGAGACCGAGTCTTGTTCTGTCGCCCAGACTGGAGTGTAGTGGCATGATCTTGGCTCAGTACAACTTCTGCCTCCTGGGTTCAAGTGAGTCTCCTGCCTCAGCCTCCCAAGTAGCTGGGATTACAGGCATATGCCACCATGCCCAGCTAATTTTTGTATTTTTAGTAGGAACGGTGTTTAGCCATGTTGGCCAGGCTGGTCTTCAACCCCTGACCTCAGGTGATCTGCCGCCTCAACTTCCCAAAGTGCTAGGATTACAGGTGTGAGGCACTGTGCCCAGCCTATTCATTCTATTTTTTTTTTTTTTTTTTACCCATTAACCATTAACTTCCCCCTCACCCACCCTCCAATGCTAGGCACTTTGAATCAAATAAAATGAAAGGGTGTTAGAATCAGCCTCAGAACCAAGGACTTTCTTAACTTCTCCTGTTTTGCCCCTAAGTGCAGGATGAAACTCTTCCTTTCTGAAGTTACCTTATCCAAAGCTCCTCCAGAAAGAACCCAGTGGACTTTGATCACCTCCCTGAGATTTTCTTAACCAGAGAAGATTAAACTCACAGCAGAAAGTGAGACTGAGGGATGTCACCACACCTAGGCAGACTTTGTCAGAAGCTGTTGTCTATTCTTTGTCATACTCCAAAGAGTTTCCAAAGAGTATAATTTACAAACTATGGTAGGTTCTTTGGGCCCATTCAACTCTCCTAAAAATAATTTCCTATTCCTCAAAATTGCCTACATTCCGCCATCTCTCTCTCTCCTGTGAAGAAGGGCATATAGATTCTGAACCTCACTGGGTTACTGGGAAGTCACTCTCTCATCATTCCCCCATGAATACAATAAACTTGCCTTTTTCTGCAGCTAATCTTCCATCGGTTAATTTCGGCAAACTCAAACCTTAAAGGGAAAGGGAAATTCCCCTTTACCCCTACATATGCAAATTAATTATTTAGATTAATAATTGCTAGATATAAAATTGGCATATGGTTTATTTATTTTTATATTTCAGCACAGGGGAGGGAAAAATGACTTCCTTCCACCCTCTTAGGTTTTTTGTGGCTGGGCTACAAGTTAAATTACATAAGACGGATTAACACAAGAAAAACTGTATTAAATTATGTGTGTATACATAGGAGTCCCACAAAAATATAAGACTCAAAGAAAGGCCAGATGAATAAAGCTTATATAGCATCTTAAGCTACAGAAAGAAACAGAGGCTTGGGGCTTCTGGAGAGTGGTGGTGCAAGTTACCGGAGCGTGAGAGGAGGAAACATATAGTAAATACATGGTAAATAAAGGTTGCCTTGTTATGCAGATAAGAGTCTCTCAGGGGATAAAAATTGCCTTGGAGCAGCTCTCTTCCTGATCAAAAACACCTTTACCAGTGAAAATTTCTTTTATAGATCTAAATTTCTTTTACAAAAGGGCAGCTTTTCAGAGCTAACTCCTGTGCGGGCAGTTTCTCTAAATAAATAGTTAATAATCAATATGCTAGAGAGGAATATTTTGGAGTGATGTGTTCTGAGCCCTAACCCCAGCAACAGGCAGAAACTGAAATGTTAAAATGATTCAATTTGCAATACTATTAAAAATATTAAGTTCATAAGGAGAAAAACTAGGAAAAGATAAACAAGAACTTTATGGACAAAAGTACAAAACTTTATTGTGAGACATTAAGGTAACCAGAGAGTTAGAGCATGTTTATAGATTGCAAGACTCACTAATTTAGATACATCAATTTTTCTGCAAATTGACCTATAGATTTGTAATTGCCTGATGGGTTCTTCCTGCCTGCTGCACAGACAAAATCAGTTCACTGAGACCATGGCATTGCAGTAAAGAAAGGGTTTCATTGACACAAGACTGGCAACGAGGGAGACAGAGTTATTACTCAAATCAGTCTTCCTGCAGGCTTGGAGGTTAGGGGTTTGCGAGGATAGTTTGGTGGGCAGGTGGCTAGAGAATGGGTGCTGCTGATTGGCTGGGAATGAAATCATATAGGTGTGAAAAACAATCCTCGTGGGCTGCCTCGTGGGCTGAGTCTGCATCTGGGTGGAACCACATGACTGGTTGAGTTATGAGCCCTGGTTCCATAGGTTGCCAGAATGCAAAAATCTGAAAAAACATCTCAAAAGACAAAACTCAGGTTCCACAGTAGTGATGTTACCTATAGGAGCAATTGGAGAAGTGACAAATCTTGTGACCTCTGGTCACGTGACCCTTGAGCAGTAAGGGATTATAGAAAATACATTTCATCAGAATTCAGGAGCCTCTCATAATCCTAACCTTGCAGCCTTTCACTAGTTTTACAGAGTTTTGGGAAAGGCTACTATCATCCTCACTTTACAGTTGAACTATAAACTAAATTCCACCTGATGTAGGTTGGCCTATGCCCAGGAATGACCATGGACAGCTTGGAGGTTAGAAGCAAGATAAAGTCAACTATGTCAGATTTCTCTTACTGTCAAAATCTTTGCAAAGGCAGTTTCAGATTCAGTACAATTCCAATCAAATTCTCAACCCAGTTTTTGTTTGTTTAGTTTGGGAACTTACTGATTCTAGAGGATATATAGATGTATAAGAATAGCAAAGACACCTTCAAAAAAAACAAACTAAAAAACAAGGTGAGAGAGTTTGTTCTACCAGAGTACATATAAAATAGAAAACAATATCTTGTTACATAAAAGCCTAGTATTGCTCATTGACAGGTAGCCTTGTTCCATGTATCATTCAGAGACACAGATTACTTCCATCTTGTGGTTCTGTCATTTCCTCATCCATTTAATGTAGCTGGCAAACAGAATAGAAGGTGGAGAAGCACACTTTCTCAACTGCGTTGGCCATTTTTCACTGGCATGGCCTTCAAGTGGGAACTATAGTTCCTACCTGAGCTGTCGCTTCTCAGCATCAACCCTACACCATGCAAGAGTGAGCATAAGCCTGAGGGCAGCTAGTTACTACAGCCACAGCAATGTAAATGGTGTTGCCAGTTTCCTCTTTGTCACAGATAGGACAAGAATAGATGCAATACAGTTAAATATGAAAGTAGAGAGAAATCTAACACAGAGTTTCCCAAAAATGAGTTAGATAAGACCCAGGAACTTGTGCAAACTCTCATCAGTGATCGACACCATGTCAACAAACTTGCAAGGAGAAAGAAAGGTCAATCCCAAAACTGGACCAAAAACACTTTATCTCCTTATTAGAAAACAATGGCAACATTAATAATACTACACTGCAATATCATATTTAGATGTATGGGCCAGAGAAGTGGGACGTGGACATTAAAAATGAGTCCTAGGAGGCCTGTGATAATTGGGTACTGGCTGCTCAAGAGAGGCCAAGTAACCAAAAAAAGAGCTATCATGTAGGACAGCACACATTTAAGGAAGCCTACCCTGTGCCAGAACGGGGCTGGGAGACGGACTCAAAGATAACCAAGACATGGACCCTTCTCTCAGGAACTGTCAGCCCAGTGGTTCTGGTACCAGAGGGGAAGGACCTCCTCTTAGCAGGTGCAAAGGTGAATAAAGTGATGATGGAGCTGTGGCCCACTAGAGGATGATGCAAGTACAGACATCGGGATGGGGAATACTGGTTGTTTGGAGGTGAGCTAGTTTTCTTTTTGAAAATCATATTCCTGTTTTATTTGAAAAACCAGTCCTCCACCTTGCTCCCGTCTGTGGCTTGGATGGACTGGCTCCACCCCAGCTCCAGTAATGAGCTACTCAGTGTGTGTGTCTCATTAGATGAGATGGGCACTTGTCCCAGTCAGAGACCTTTGCTAGGAATATTGGGAGATGAAGGCAGGACTTCATCTTGAGAGACTGGAAGATGTGGAGTTGCTGCTGTCATCTTACAGATATACAAGGAACATCTGCCTGATAGTGGGACTATGATAGAGGAGAAAGAAACAGGAAAATACAGAGAAACCATGTACTGTTTTCATCGTCTAAGTTCTGATAAGCTGCTCATTAAGCCATAACAGTTTGTTATGGCTTAGGAGAGTTTAACTGTACATTCAGGTTCTTAGGCCCTCAGAAGAGATCAAGTTCTTGGGGGTAAGGGGTTTCAGTTGTGCTAAGTGGCCAAAAGAAGATTCTAGAGAATTTTGTCTTAGAACTCCATGAGCGTCATTTATTCATTTCCATACTGGTAGCCTTTAATTTAATATAATTTTTATTTATTTATTATTATTATTATTTGTAGAGACAAGGTCTTGCTATATTACCCAGACCGTTCTTGAACTCCTGGGCTCAAGTGATCCTCCCACCTTGGTCTCCCAAAGTGCTGGGTTTACAGCATGAGCCACCATACCTAGCCATGGGTAACATTTTAAAATAAAGTAGTCAAAATAGATCTCCTTGAGAAAATTATTATTATTATTATTATTTGAGATGGAGTCTAGCTCTGTTGCCAGGCTGGAGTGCAGTGGCGCGATCTCTGCTCACCACAACCTCTGCCTCCCAGGTACAAGTGATTCTCCTGCTTCAGCCTCCGGAGTAGCTGGGATTACAGGCATGCACCATCACGCCTGGCTAATTTTGTATTTTTAGTACAACAGGGGTTTCACCATGTTGGCCAGATGATCTCCATCTCCTGACCTCATGATGTGCCCACCTTGCTCTCCCAAAGTGCTAGGATTACAGGCGTGAGCCACCGCGCCCAGCTGAGAAAATTATTTTTAAGCAAAGACTTAGAGAGAGAGGAAGTTAGCTATGCACATTGTGGGTGCGGTGTGGTTAGGGTGGCCCTGAGATAGAGATATGCCTGGTGTGTTTACGGAACAGCTAAGAGGACAGGGAACTAGAGGAAATTGAGTGGGAAGGAGAAGAGTAGGAGATTAGTTTTGAAAAGCAAATGGTTTGGGAATATGGATCATGTAAGAGCACATGAGATTTTATAAGGATTTCATTTTACTCAGGGTGAAATGAAGAAGCACTAAAAGATTTTGAGTAGAGTTTCATGATCTGACTTATGTTTTAAAAGGACCCTCTAGCTGCTTGGGCTATCAGTGGTGGAAGCAGGAAGGCCAATGAGAATGCTTTTCCAGTAATTCTAGTGAAAGGTGATGGTGGCTCAGAACGGTGGTAGCAGTGAAGGCCATGAGAAGTGGCCAGATTCTGTGTGTGATTTGAAGGCAGAAAAAGACTTCTCTGACAGGTTGGATGTGGGATATACGAGAAAAGAAGGTTATTCAACAATTAGAGAAAATGGACTTACCTTCTCTTGAGATGAGGAATACTGAGGGAGGAACAACTTCGGGGGAAGAGTAGGAAAAGATGATCAGTGTTTCCTGGGGACATGCTAGGTTTGATATACTTATTAGACATTTAAGAAGAAATGTCACATAGAAAGTTGCTGTACAAGTATAGGGTTCAGGAGAGAGAGGTGTACTGAAGATTTGGGCATTGTTAGAAAATTAATGATATTAAAAGTGTAGAGGTAGAAAAAGTATGATATCTCTCCTCTCCCCTCATAAGGGTCTGACACTCCTATAGCAAAAGACAGGTTAACAAGAGAAAAGCATAACAAATTTACTTAAAGTTTTATGTGACTCAGAAACCTTCAGAATGAAGACCCAAAGACCCAGGCAAAACTGTCTAGATTTATGCTCAGGTTCAGTGAAGGATGGACAGCCATGTAGCAATGTAATTGGACAAAAAGGGTATGAGTTGATAGTAATAGGCTGAGGGAGGAACCCAGCACGGCCTGTCTGTTTAGATTTTTCTTGGACTCTCTGTATAGGAATTCTCCCTCCCAGCTATACAGCAAGACCCCCTCTGGAATCAGTCTTATGACCTACTATCAGACAAGGTAGGTCAGGTAATTTCTTTATGGCCAGCTCCTACACAGAATGGCAGAGGGAAGACTAGAGTAATATTTCTAGATTTTATGGGTGATTTGGGGAGAGGGGAGCAAGAGACTGGAAGACAGGAGAAGGTCAGAGAGACCTTGGTTCTGGAGGCTACTTCACGGAAAGTTAAGCCTGTTGGGGAGAAATGTCTTACTCCAAGTGCAAAGCTTCCCTCATGACCACTGTTGATGGGGTGGAAGAGTCTGGGGAATTCATTGAAGAGATATCCACATTACTGGATCTAGAGAAAGAAAATCTTGTCCTGGAGGTGAACAGGAAGAGGGTCCACATCTGTGTCACGTTTTCATCTCAGTGGAGGGAATAAGGAGAAGGAGAGTAGGGCATTGGTGTCTCAATGCCCGGAGATATTGTTCTCCTCTTAAGCATACCCCAGACCTCAGTACTTCTCGCATTTGTCTCCATCTCTCTTCGCTCCTCTAAGGACCCATCTGAGCTATTCACTTTACCACATCCTCCTTCCCTCTTACACATTCATCTCCGTATCACTCTCTTTTCTTTTCTTTCTTTTTTTTTTTTTTGACACGGAGTCTCGTCCTCTTGCCCAGGCTAGAGTGCACTGGCGTGATCTTGGGTCACTGCAACCTCCACCTTCCGGGTTCAGGCGATTCTCCTGCCTCAGCCTCCCGAGTAGCTGGGATTACAGGCATCTGCCATCATGCTCAGCTAATTTTTGTATTTTTAGTACAGATGGGATTTCACCATGCTGACCAGGCTAGTATCAAACTCCTGACCTCAACTGATCCACTCACCTTGGCCTCCCAAAGTGCTGGGATTACAGGGGTGAGCCACCATGCCCAGCCCCTCTCTCTTTTCTTCCTTCCCATTTCACTACTCTGGCCCTGCAGGTTTTCTTGGAAGTTTAGAGAGATTACAGACACACTCATCTCATTTTTTACAGCTTTAATTGAGGTATAATTTACAAATAAAACTTGTATATATTTAAGTTTTACAACTTCATGTTTTGATATACAAAAGCACTGTGAGATAATCATCACAATCAAGCTAATTGACATATCTGTCATCTCACATAGTTACCATTTTCTTTTCTTTTTCTTTTTTTTCGTGGTGAGAACACTTGTGGTCTATCCTTTTAGTAAATTTCAAATGTGCAATACAAAATTGCTAACTCTATTCATCTTGCTAAACACTGCATCTCCTGACCCATCTCAGTTTTGAATTGTACTAATAGAATACACATAGTACTAATATAATTCTCAAAGCAAAAATATATTTTCTTTTTTTTTCTTTTTCTTTTTTTTTTTTTTTTTTTATGAGACTGAGTCTCTCTTTATCACCCAGGCTGGAGTCCAAGGGCGCGATCTCGGCTCACTGCAACCTCCACCTCCCGAGTTCAAGCAATTCTCGTGCCTCAGCCTCTCGAGTAGCTGGGATTACAGGCACCCACCACCATGCCCGGCTAATTTTTGTATTATTAGTAGGGAAGGGTTTCAATATGTTGGCCAGGCTGGTCTCAAACTCTTGACCTCAAGTGAACACCTACCTCGGCCTCTGAAAGTGCTGAGATTACAGGCATGAGCCACTGCGCCCAGCCACAAAAAGATATTTTCTAATACTCAGTTCTATCATTATTTTTTTTAGTGTGCTTAACAGATCACTCTACCATTACTCTTCCTCAGCTGGAAAGTGAGGGGTTGGTATAAATGTCTTTAGGAGTTCCTTCCAGCTCAGACTATTTAGAAATCCGATACTCTGGAGCATAGGTATGTGTGTATGCATGTGTGTGTGTGTGTGTGTGTGTGCGCGCGCGTGTGTGTGTGTAGGAAAAAATGTAAAGGAAATTTGGTTGATATTTTTGTATTGTTTGTCTATGTATATCTGATTTTCCTAAATCATTATGAATTTAGGCAGAAACAGGCATAATTATCTGAAATAAAATTATTATATACAGATTACATCATTATTTTTAAACTATGCAAAAAAAACACGCTTGTAATCTATCTTATTGTAGAGAAGATATGAGGTCCTGTCATTTAGAACTGTCATTTAATGGAGCAAGAGAAAACATTAGCGCAAATACTATGGGATGAGCTCAAGCCCCTGAGATCTAGATTAGAGGACTGGTTAATAGCCTGGGAGATAACTCTCAGTAAACAAACAATAATGTAGTAGTTCCTCTTCTTGGTTATCTCCCTTCCCTTCACCTACCTCCAGTCTAATAGGTGACCAGGGGGCCCAAAACTCATTACATCCAAGAGGAAGCTTTGTTTGGCAGGTGCTATCTAGCCAAGAAAATCTCAGCATCACTGAACATTTACATACATTGTAATTTTTCACTAAGCATTGGAAAAAAGAAGGAACCCAGCACCACATGGGGGTAGCCATTTCATTCAAGGCATTTTTATTAAGGCTCACAAAAGGACTGTCTTGTAGGTAACCCTCGCTTCTACTATTTTAGAGACACCGTAGACTTTCACCTGTGCTCAGGATGCAGGGTGTCCCACCACCAGACTTACTAGGTTTGTGTATTTGTGATATAAGAAACAAAGAATGTTAACATTTCCCTGGTAGAAAAGAGAAGATAAGTGCCTTGTTTGAGGTCCCGTGTTGGTGAATAGCAGAGTTTGTGAAGTGAAACTCTAATCTTTTTTTAAGTCCATTACTTTAGATGGACAACCAAGCTTGTTCCTCTTAAGGGAAGGATGTGAGCCAAATAGGAGATTCAAAGAGATGGAGTAAGGGATGATGCTCCATGAAGGAAAATATCCGGGTTTCAAAGGAAGAGCATGTCTTGACAGGGTAAGAGACCAAGAATCCCTTTGAAGAAAAGGTACCATTTACTAAAAAATATCAGTCATAGTGACTATAGGTGAGAAATAAATGAACGCTCACAAATTGAGAAATGTAGGCAAGTAGGCTATTGACTTCGGCAAGCCCGACTCTCTATCTCAGGGTTTCCCAGACATCAGGCATCCCTGGACCATGCCCCCATTCCATTTGTACTATTGACTAATATTATCTGTTTTATTCACTCTTGCATTTATACAACATGGTCCTAAGCAATAATATAGATAACATTATGGACTAATGTGTTAATTATTCACTCCCATTAAAAGAAACACATAACAGTGAACAATTTTTACTATTTACGTGTACTTTCTAACATCAGTCACTTCACTTTCCACCTGTTGTACATATTTCATAATTTTGTGTTCAGTTTCATCTATGGCTGTAAATTAAACAATTCTACCTTGGAAAATATTTTCACAGAAGAATAAAGGATCCAAGGACAGTCGAAAAAAAAATGAAGCTCAAGGTCAATGATTTGGTCAAATTCATCAAATTCTGTACAAAACAGAGACTAAATCATGCAGGTACTATACTTTTATCATGAAAAGGTGCTCTAATTATCTGCTAAGGCAGTTCCTTAAATTTACCACCAAATTGACAGAAGATATAATTTTTATGATGATCTATTTCCCTTTGTTCTGACTTCACAAGTAAATGCAAGATGTTAAAAGGTGATTTATTCTATCTCAGTTTGTGTAAGGGTCCCTGAGAAACAGAGGTCCTATCAAAATGACTTGCTGTCCACCTAAGAAGCACTTGGTCAAAAACAGACAAAACCCTGATTTCTAGTTCTAATGCCTTCACTCTGGGGAGTAAGGAAAGGAAACAAGCATACTCTATTATTGCAAACACCACAGAGGGGATAGTGCAGTAACGGATACTACACTAACACTTTGATGCTTAAGACTGATTGTCCTTATCAAGATTTCTTTTTCCTTTTGCAATATTTTATGCTACATGTTTCCTTATTTCGTGCACACACACACAAATTACCACATTAAATTTCCCCTACAAACCAATGTATGTGTTGTTGTATTTTACAGATTATGAAACAGAGGCATAGAGAGAATGAATAACCGTCCAGTTCTTTTTTTTTTTTTTTTTTTTTTTTTTTTTGAGACGGAGTCTTGCTCTGTATCCCAGGCTGGAGGGCAGTGGTGTGATATCGGCTCACTGCAGCCTCTGACTCCCGGGTTCAAGCAATCCTCCTACTTCAGCCTCCTGAATAGCTGGGATTACAGGTGCACACCACAATGCCTGGCTAATTTTTGTGTTTTTGGTAGAGATGGGTTTTTGCCATGTTGGCCAGGCTGGCCTCAAACTCCTCACCTAAAGTGATCCCTCCGCCTCTGCCTCCCAAAGTGCTGGGATTACAGGTATGAGTCACCGTGCCTGGCCCTGGACAACTCTTACAGTAAGAGTCTCAAATGGAAAAAGTCAAGAGCTGGCCGAGCGCAGTGGCTCACGCCTGTAATCCCAGCACTTTGGGAGGCCGAGGCGGGCAGATCACGAGGTCAGGAGATCGAGACCATCCTGGCTAACACGGTGAAACCACGTCCCTACTAAAAATACAAAAAATTAGCCGGGCGCGGTGGCGGGCGCCTATAGTCCCAGCTACTCAGGAGGCTGAGGCAGGAGAATGGCATGAACCCGGGAGGTGGAGTTTGCAGCGAGCGAGATTGCGCCACTGCACTCCAGCCTGGGCAACGGAGCGAGACTCCGTCTCAAAAAAAGAAAAAGAAAAAGAAAAAGTCAGAGCTGGTATCTGGACAAGACTATACATAATCTATACCTGACATCACTGTGACACAAAACTCATATGACAACTTCATTTACAGAGACACTAACCTATATAATAATTCATTTCCTGTGAGCTCTGAAATCTCAGCAAATGCATCTATATGCTCAAAATGCAATGGGGATAAAGAGAGGTGGCTTAATGGGTACAAATATAAGAAATGATATAAAAAATAAGACCTGGTGTTTGATAGATCAGGAGGACGATTATAGTTAGTGATAATCTACTGTGCACTTCAAAATAGCTAGAAGAGAATAATTTGAATGTTTCTAACGTAAAGAAGCAGCAAATATTTAAGGTAATGGTTATCCCAATTTCCCTGATGTGATCTTTACATATTATACGAATGTATTAAATTATCACATGTACCCTGAAAATATGTACCCCTATTCTGTATCAATAAACAGAAATAAGGCCAGGTGCAGTGGCTTATGCCTATAATCCAATTATTTTGGAGGTCGAGGCATGCAAATCACCTGAGGTCAGGAGTTCAAGACCAGACTGGCCAACTTGGTGAAACCCTGTCTCTACAAAAATACAAAAATTAGCTGGGTGTGGTGGTGCACACCAGTAGTCCCAGCTGCTCGGGAGGCTGAGAAAGGAGAATCCTTTGAACCCAAGAGGCGGAATTAGAAGTGAGCCGAGATCGCGCCACTGCACTCCAGCCTGGGAGATAGAGTGAGATTTCATCTCAAAAAAAAAAAAGAAAAAAAAAGAAATATTTTTAAAATATGCAATGGTACATGAATGCAATTTTCCAGTTTCCTAGGAAACACCCTTTCTTTCATCCCTCCTAAGACACACCTCTCCATAATTCCACCTGAGCTCTGTTTCCATTTCTTCCCTTTCCAGATAGGGAAAGAACTTCTTATAGTTGAGGAAAAAGAAGAAAGGCTTAGTCCTTTCCTCTTTCATGCCAGAAACTTGATCAAAGGTGTCAGATCTACTTATTCAATGGTTTTCAGAGGAGACATGCAGGAGGACCCACACAAGAAGGAAGGCCTAGGGCCACCTTTCTGAGGTTCAAGAGACCAGGAAGAGCTCAGTACACCAACTATCTTTAGAACTTAGGTAAGTAAAATATTACTCCATTTGCTGCAATTTAATTAACCTGCACCATATTATTATGACAATCTTGTATTACTTTTAATGGCAAAAATCGCAATTACTTTTGCACCAACCTAGTAAATAGTGTGCATTGTCTTTCCCATAGATAGCCACTGCTGCATTAGGGAAATCTGTGTGCAGGAAGGTATCGATGGTTTGGTACCTCCCTGTCAGCAGGTTAAGAGCAAATATTGCAAGGGTACCCTGGGGCTGAAGAAATTGCAAGCATTGAACATTATATTTTTGCACATAAATGCTATGCAAAAAAGACATTGATCAATGCAGTGTACTCAACAGTGGTTTTTACCACAAATGCAGAAGTCTTTGTCTGGGATAATATTTTACAATGTTCATCGGTTTCCAAAAAATGACTTAACACTAGGGCGTAATTCTGACTATTCCTCTCATTGGAAGTGTGGATCAGGTCTGAAAATGTGTCGTTAAATTAGGCTGCAAGACAAGTTATGCTAATAAAATAAAGAGCCCGGGTGAAGTGCCTTGTGTCTGTTCAAGACAAAATCATGCTGAAGTTACAGAGAATTTTGTTTCGATTACAGAGATCATAACAGATAATTTTCTTTAATGTTGACTTATACTTTATTCCTGCTTCATATAAAACATCTTCTCTCAAAGGTCATAAATATCAAAGTAGATCATTTGTACTACTTCTGCTGGCAAATGAAGGTAGTTGGAAATGTACGCAGGAAATCTACACAAGGGACAATCAGAAAAACCTTATGAGCATGTTCTGAATGCAATTTTTATGGCTGGGAGCAGTGGCTCATACTTGTAATCCCATCACTTTGGAAGGCCGAGGTGGGCGCATTACCTGAGGTCAGGAGTTTGAGACCAGCCTGGCCAACATGGTGAAACCCCGTCTCTACTAAAAATACAAAAATTAGGCGGGCATTGTGTCGAGCGCCTGTAATCCCAGCTACTCAGGAGGCTGAGGCAGGAGAATCACTTGAACTTGGGAGGCGGAGGTGGAGGTTGCAGTGAGATCACGCCACTGCAGTCCAGCCTGGGTGACAAGAGCAAGACTCCGTCTCAAAAAAAAACAAAAAACAAAAAACTCCACAATTTTAAAGGATGAATATGGTTGCAAATTGGGCAGGTTATGGTCTGCTTAAGACACTTCAATAAGTCTGATATGTCATAAGCACAGATGTCTTCAGGAGCCAGGCAGGTGTCATCACTGAACAGATAGGATAAAAGTCAGGAGGGAGAGTGGAGTCAGAGAACAGCCCTGAGCTAGAGCCCCTTCCACAGACGCAGCTGTTACTCAGCTCTAATTGATACAACACCAATGGTGCACCAACCACCATCATGTGATTTTTAAAGATAAGACAGTAATGAAAACTTTTAGTGAACTATTCCAATGTCAAACTTTATCTTCCAAACCAAACATCATAAATAGCACTGTGTATGCTGAAAAGAAGCACTGTTTAGCCAAGTACCTGCCCTGGGGCTGCAGTCTATGTCTTTTGCCTCATACTATAGACACTTAAGTGCAAATGTTTCTAGCCAGTGTGGCTGTCAGCATCACAGAGGGGATACTCTACGTATCATTCACCTTTACATTCTCATCACCTACAAAAATGATCTCCACACAATATACATGAAAAAATAAACTTGCCTCATGATAAAGCTGCTAATGAATGTCGGCCAGAACAGGACTTCAAGGCAGAGCAATATTAGCTGCGCATTGAGTCCTCACCAGGTCACCATTGTGTCCACATTTACCTAAGGACCCCAGTGATAAAATTATTGCATTTCTAAATGACAGGAAAATTGGACGGTAGTAAAAATTAGGCAGATTAACTGTTGGAAGGTATATTATATCATTTAAGGGTCTACTTTCCATTTTCTAATCTCAAAGCTAGACCAGATTTAACATCTGTTAGTACCCAGGCCTTACCTTTGCAATTCACTTCTCACCTCTGTACAATTTCCCCACATCATCCCCTGTGCCCAGAATGCTCATCTCTTCTCTAAATCCCCTGAAAATCCCCTGCTTATCCTTTAGGACCTGCTGAAATAAACTTTTTTTTGAAGTTTTCCTTATTTCTCAAGCCAAGTGATTTCCTTCACCAGCAGTGTCCCTATGACACCATGTTCACACAAATGCTATTACCTCTATCACACTGTAATACAATTATATGTCTACAAGTACTTTCCTGTGTTTCTCTGAGGGCCAAGAATAAATGTATGCTTTGTGTATCAAACTGTACACTTGACCTCTATACTTTCAGGAATACAGTGCTCTGTCCTTAAATGTTCATTTGTAAATACAGAACCATATTCTTGTTAATATCACAAAATGAAACTTACCAGGAAGATGAATGACAACCCCAGAACACACTGTTTTGTAGAAAATACCATAGGCTGAAAAGATCACAGGAATACCGAGTGCTAGGTTGGAATCTTTCATGACACCAAATGTTCATTCATCCTCTGCCAGATTTTACAACTGTCCTCGGTGTGTTTTTAGGTTATGTAACTTTACACAAAGTGGAATCAATAATCAGGGCAAGACTTAAGAGAAAGTGGATCCAATGCAAGAGGAGTAAAGAAAAAAATTCCTCAATTGTATGGAGCAGATTGTTTTAATTATCTACAGAATCTTGTGCCCCAAGAAATTAATAGCTCAAGTTTCCAGCAAGAGTGGTGGATGAGATGGAGAGCATTTATGTGAGAGAGAACCAAGGATATTACTAAAAATGGAAGGGAAGCTGGGTTTCTCCTGGGCAAACAGCCCTCTGTGGCTCTATTTCTCCTAACTACTATGCCTGCCTTCGTGTCATTTAGTCATTTAGGGGCCTGCCAGAGGACAGTTATAAAATCTGTGGTCATTCTGCCGGCAGCGTATAGTTTTCACCCAGAGTCCAGATCCCACCGGCAAAACTCTGTCTAACACAGGATGACTTGGAATTAGAGTCCGTATAGCAGAAAGAGCAGCAGGGCTGTCCTTGGGTATCCGTTGCTCAGCCAAGTCATCAAATAAAAAGGATGATTGCACAAGTGGACCATGTGTCAATCTGTGGGTTTCTGCATGGCCAGACCCACCAAGGGAAGCTTTATTTAAACAGTTCCAAGTAGGGGAGACCAGCTGCCCCTGAACCCCAGAACAACCAGCTGGATCAGTTCTCACAGGAGCCACAGCTCAGAGACTGGGTAAGTCAACAATCCCCAGAGCTGGGACAGGAGGGGCAGCGACAGGGCAGCACCTGAGGGAGAGGTGAGCTGAAGTTAGTGCTTAGGAGATGTGGCACACTTTGGGGACAGGAAGAAAAGGAAATGCGACCCCAGAGTGGCAGCAGAGGGGCCTGTGGGTTGAGACACTATAGAGTGTGTCATAACCGAGACCGGATCGGGGAGTAGTTACTTCTCTT
The DNA here is from genome assembly GCF_000001405.40 of Homo sapiens. Taxonomy (NCBI): domain Eukaryota; kingdom Metazoa; phylum Chordata; class Mammalia; order Primates; family Hominidae; genus Homo; species Homo sapiens. Next base: position 20,891,670 of record NC_000014.9, read on the forward strand.
CTTTTCTTACAGGAAACATGGTTCCAAAACTGTTCACTTCCCAAATTTGTCTGCTTCTTCTGTTGGGGCTTATGGGTGTGGAGGGCTCACTCCATGCCAGACCCCCACAGTTTACGAGGGCTCAGTGGTTTGCCATCCAGCACATCAGTCTGAACCCCCCTCGATGCACCATTGCAATGCGGGCAATTAACAATTATCGATGGCGTTGCAAAAACCAAAATACTTTTCTTCGTACAACTTTTGCTAATGTAGTTAATGTTTGTGGTAACCAAAGTATACGCTGCCCTCATAACAGAACTCTCAACAATTGTCATCGGAGTAGATTCCGGGTGCCTTTACTCCACTGTGACCTCATAAATCCAGGTGCACAGAATATTTCAAACTGCACGTATGCAGACAGACCAGGAAGGAGGTTCTATGTAGTTGCATGTGACAACAGAGATCCACGGGATTCTCCACGGTATCCTGTGGTTCCAGTTCACCTGGATACCACCATCTAAGCTCCTGTATCAGCAGTCCTCATCATCACTCATCTGCCAAGCTCCTCAATCATAGCCAAGATCCCATCCCTCCATGTACTCTGGGTATCAGCAACTGTCCTCATCAGTCTCCATACCCCTTCAGCTTTCCTGAGCTGAAGTCCCTTGTGAACCCTGCAATAAACTGCTTTGCAAATTCATCTGGAAGTGTCTGTGTGTCTTCCTCGGCCGCTCTGCTGTCATTTAGTGACAATCTGCTCTAGAGATTTGGGTTTATCATGAATCTCTCCCCCTCAATATCTGACCAAATTCCTTAATTCCCCCATCATCCTTCATGTGATACCTGATTCCAGGCCTGCCTTAAAAAAAAATCCAATTGAGTCAACTTAGCATTGGTCTCCCTAGCCTTAATATCTCCTCTAAGCAATTTTCCATCCACTGACTCCTCCCCCAACACCAACCTATAACTTGTGTATAGATCTCCACTTGTTTTAGTTGTATTCCAGAATTGAGCCCAATTTGATATTGAGGTCCCATTTGATGCTTTATGGTCCGACTATGGTTTTTATTGACATGATTTCTATCCCAAGAAAAAAAGAGCTGCAGTGAATCAGCTGAAAATGCACGTGCTTCATTATGATTTATGAATGATAAATTTTGATAGAATTGAACGTTATGATAGAAAATAGAAAAGAAGAAAGTAGAAAAAGTCAAGAATGCTATAAATAAGGTGAAACCAAGATAAAGAAAAGTTTAGCCTCAGGGATATTTCTTTTAAATGGGCACATCAAGTCTCCAGCTATTAGCAATCGTAATAGAGGTGGAACCAGGGTTTGAGTCAAATGTGCAATAAGATAAATTGTTCCGACAGCAGTAAGGACAGATTGTAATGCTGACTGGAGGAGAGGTGGACATCTTTCCCAAAAGTTCCATGTCCTGGAGATGGGGAGCCGCTGGTCACGTGGGAAGGAGAAGGGGGAGGAGGAGGAGGAGGAAGTGGGAGCACTCATGAAGGTGAGTTGGCTCCTGCCCATTCTGCCCTCCATAGATGTTCCCAATGGCGAGTCAAAGGTTCATTCAACACCTGTCAGGAAGGGCACAGCCTCGAGAATTCAGGATTTGTAGACCCAGAGAGAGAAGAAATGGATGATGAGAGCCGCTGCCCTGGACTCCAACACAGGGCTTCACTCAGGAATCCATGAGAAACAGGGGAGAAAAAGGGGAAGCCCCTTCCTGCAAGTTGTGGACAGGTGCAGCATTCAAGTGATTGTTCCAGGAACAGAGTGGGTCTTTTTGAATGGCCCGACTCAGAATGCAAGAGAGGTACGATGCCATCAGATCTGCACCTTGGTCCTTCAGTCTGAGATTTCTGACTTCTATATTTCTCCTCCTCTTCCAGACCCTGAGAAACAGCAATTTCCATTCCTCAGATGACTCCATGTCAGTAATGGTGCTTTAATTGGCATCAGACAGCAGCTGTATTGAAGTCTCTCCTCTGGAGAAGCTATTGAGATCTTGCTTCTCCAAGGTCGGGCTGTGAACTTAAAAGTTTGCACAGAGACACTGAGTTTGGGAAATCTCAGTGCTCAACAGAATCCACTGACTCTAGGTAAAACAGGGCATGTCAGGAAGTGAGTGCAGTCTTCCCATAACCTCAGAGTAGCAGAAGGAGAAGGTGGGACTCTGAAAGCTGGAGCCACGTTTCCTGTGAAGAAAGATGGAGTGGACCTTCCTTGCTTCAGGTACCAGATCACAGGTCTCTTCTCAGTCGGGGATGCCTCATCTCTAAAACCACAGGATAGAGGGATCAGTCCCCACCTGCCCCCACACCCTCTCCACCTTGTGACTTCATCCTCTCTCGTCATTCATTCCTTCGTTCATTCATTCATCCAGCAGTCATCTACTGAGCAGATACCTTGCTCCAGGCACAGTTTGAGGGAGTGATGATGCAACACAAACCAAGACAGGTCCCTGCTCTTTTGAGGCCACATTATACAAGGATAAAAATAAACATACAAAATTGTTCTAAGCATACAAAATTTTGCTAAGTGTCAGGAGGAAAAATACACAGCATAGTACACAGAAAATTACACAGAGCAGCACAATATAGAGGTTCTGTATGTGCCACAAAAGTGACAGGGCAGAGTGTCACCAGGAAAGACTTATCTCAGAGAATGAAATCTGAACAGGAGGAAAAGCAGCCAGTCATGCAGACACCAGATGGAGAATCATCCCAGCAAAGAGAAAGAGAGTTCAAAAGTCCTGACAAATACCAAGGCTGTAAGAAGACTTTTCGTTCTGTGTTTACGATAAGTTGATTAAAACATCTGAAGGAGAATGACTACCATTATTCGCATCTTTGTATGTATTTATTCCTTAATGTAATAAAACATTTTCAGTTTTAAAAAATGGTCCTGAATGGATAGAGGTTTGGCGTGTTAGAAGCACAAAAGTTGTTTGGTCAGGACAAGATCATCATAGCCATGAGTGTTAATGATAGGAGTTAATGAGGTTCAGACCCTTCATGCCTGTGAAGATGGAAGAATAAAGTAAGTTCCTCATGGGGCACAAATCGAGCATGTTACATGCAAGAATAACATTGCCTAAAGATCTGTCCAGCTGCTGTGCAAAACACAACTATTTGGGAGACAAGAGTGGAAGCAAGGCCCCAATGAAGGACCACAAGTTGAGGGAGAGGGAAACAAGAGTCTTCCAATCTCAGTGAATCTCACCATCATCCTCTCATGGTGCAGCCCCATGCTATTCCCCTCCCTGTTGCCATGGCCTCTCTCCAGCCCCTCCATGCCTTCCACATCATCTTCCTGCCATCCCCATGCTGATGACTGGGCTGAGGTCAGAGGCAGCTCCCCTCTCCCAGGACGTGAGACGATTCAAACAAGACCAAGGAGGATTCTGTGCTTGACCATCAGGAAACCCTGGCTGGACTCACTGCCCCTTCTGCAGTAGACATCCAAGATTTTCTGATTGCCCTGGACCCAAGGCCAGCACCACAGAGACTACCATTAGAGAAGTTAAGTGGTCACATCCGCATGTTCCAAAGACGTGATCCTTGGAGTCCACTTCTTTTCCTTGAACCTCCCATGTCTGATTTTATAAAATTCTCTTAATATCAAATCTTCAGGAAGTCTTGCAGGAGTAAATGCCGTTAATTGTTCTGTAAGCCGGCAGGGAGGGTCTCCAGGAATTGTAAGAATTTAATCAACTTGAGCAATCAGCCTGTTTTACAAGCTTGCTGGTGGGAACCAGCTCCTGGCATAACCCAGCAACTTACAGACAAACTGGCATGAACATTCCTCATTATCATGCTAAAGTCTCCACCCAAGGAGGAGGCTCATTACCATAACATGTGAACTATGTGCTGGCAGAATCACTCACTGTGTATGGGCAACTGGGACTCCTCCTCTACAAGTGATGATACACCCTCTGCCCTCTCCATCACCACATAGAATGTTCTTCTCACTTTCCATCAGGAAGACACTGCTTTGGAGAATACTCCCAGTGGGCTTCTTACTTGAACCAAGTAACAAAACTTATTTATCAAAATGTACATTCTCATAGAGAGTCTTTGTTACTCACCAGGGAAACAAGCCCTGGTTTTTTCAGCTACCAGCTCTAACATATTCTGTAAAGTCCAGCACAGAAGGAAGGTTAATTCACAATGCTATTGCTTTCATTTTATTTCACTTTTTAATAATTGGGTACATATCAGGGCAGATGTCTTTAGGTGGGGGTTGAATGGAAGGTCAAGGAGACAAATCATCAACCTTGGAAAGATATTCTTGCAGAGATTATGACTACACTTGGGATTCATGAATATGAGACCCCACCAGCAAAGTAGCCTGCAATGTTCAAGGATATCCAAGTAGATCAAGCATTTTAATGAGAAAACGATAGGCTTTGTCTTTCAAGATGTCCATGAATTGACTTTCCAAAAGGGAAAGAAGGACCCATTTTCAGGGCAGAAGAGAGAAGAGGAGAGGGGTTTAGGCTAAACATTGTAATCAATTTTGCCTGATAATGACTTTTTGTTTCTTGGTTCATTTTTATTTATTTATTTATTTATTTATTTATTTATTTATTTATTTTCCCAGGCTGGAGTGCAGAGGTGCAATTTCGGCTCACTGCAGCCTCTGTCTCCCAGGTTCAAGCGATTCTCCTGCCTCAGCCTCCCGAGTAGCTGGGACTACAGGCATGCACTGCCATGCCCAGCTAATTTTTGTATTATTAGTAGAGACGGGGTTTCACCATGTTGGCCAGGCTGGTCTCAAACTCCTGACCTCAGGTGATCTGCCCTACTCGGCCTCCCAAATTACGAGGATTACAGACCTGAGCTGTCGCACCCAGCCTCTTAGTTCATTTTTAGAGATGAGGTCTCCCTATGTGGCCCAGGATGGATTTGAAGTTGTGGACTCAAGCAATGTTTTTGCCTTAGCCAGCCCAGTAGTTGGGTCTATAAATACACACCACTGAGCCCAGATGATACTCTCATTTTATGAGCTGTGTTTCCACTCTGATTACATAAGGAAGTGAGGCAATTAGTAGGGATAGGAGCATAGAAATTCTGTCTACATTCCTATTTCAAATTACCTATGAAAAACAGACTTGTTTCTAAACTAAAACTGGATTTTGGTTAATAAATGTTTTTCTTTATTAAAATGCATTAGACTTATGACAGAGTTGTCACTTTTGTCTCACGTCTGATCTACAATGATTTCAAAAGAAGATCAATTGACTACTTCAAAATTCTCATTGTTTCAAAGATATTATGGATGTAAAACTGGGTGATCTGAGATAATTTAGCATATAGGGCCAGCCAGGTTACCCAAATGAATATCTGGGAAACTGAGTACATTACATGCTTATCACACATCTCCACTGATTTAGAAAATATGACTGTATTAGTCAGAGTCATCAAGAGAAACATTGCAGATGTAGGTAGAAAGAGACAGACAGAAATATAGATACAGAAGGATTTATCATGAGAAATTGGCTCAGGCAATTATGGAGTCGGTGAAGTCCCACAATCTGCTTTCTGCAAGCTGGCAGACCCAGAAAAGCCAGTGGTATAATTCGGTTCAAGTCCTAACGCCTGAAAAACAAGGGAGCCGATGACATAGATGTCAACCCAAGTGTGGGAACGATGACACAAGATGTCCTAGCTTAGGAAGTGAGGCAAGAAAAATGATGAATTCCTCCTTTCTCCACTTTTCATTCTATTCTGGCCCTTAACAGATTGGATGATCCCCATCCAGACTAGCAATGCAAACTACTTTACTTAATCAACCAATTCAGCTGCTAGTCTTATAGAAACACCCTCTCAGACACACCCAGAAATCATTAATTATTTAATTAATTATTAATCTGGGCACCCACAGGCCCAGGCAACTTGAAATATAAAATTCACCATCATGATGACCTATGGTTTCCAAGGTGCACCAGTAGATGTTACCAAAATGGCACCACCAGCCAGAACCCACATACATTCACCAGGTCAGTGCACTTCTCAATTCGCCGGAGATTCATTTTCTTCTGTGACATCACGTTCACCTGGAGTGGAGCCAAGAACCAGGCCACAGCTAATAATGAGAAAGAAAGGATTCTTTATTTGCTTTTTTACAAATGAGAGAAAAATTTGCCAAAATCCTTTGGTAATAAGTAGTTATCTCAAAGACAAAGAGACTCAAAATGAAAATGAAAAAAGTCAGTTACCCTTCCCACTGCCCATGTTCTTCCTCCACATATAAAAATAGGTATTAAGTTCACCCTTTCTGGTATTAAGGACTAGAGTCTAACCCAATAACTCTGAATCTGAGTGTGCAGATGTTACCAGATTTTTCATTACAGAAAATGACAGAGACGTTCTTCCACTACAGTAGCTATTTTGTGGTGACAACTTTTACTTTCCCAGGATTCCTCGGTTAAGTGACACACACGGGCAACTGGAAGTATTTACTGTTTTCACCCACAGCTTCCACACTTCACAGATGTGCAGGAGCTTCAGTACAGCAGTTCCTAGGAACATGGATAGGACATGCGTGACTTGTTAACCACAATGCAATAGCAAATATATGGGGTTCGGTGTTGGTCTTTCATTCGGAATATACAGTTCAGAATTGTTTAAAATAGTACATTTAGAAACAAATAATATATCCTGCTGAACTGGTTAAATTGGATTGTATATCTTTACAATGGAATTTTATGCAGCATTCTTTTAAAATTATACTTTAATTTCTAGGGTACATGTGCACAACGTGCAGGTTTGTTACATATGCATACATGCGCCATATTGGTGTGCTGCACTCATTAACTCGACATTTACATTAGGTATATCTCCTAATGCTATCCCTCCCCTCTCCCGCCAGCCCACGACAGGCCCCCGGTGGTGATGTTCCCCTTCCTGTGTTCAAGTGTTCTTATTGTTCAATTCCCACCTATGAGTGAGAACATGCGGTGTTTGGTTTTTTGTCCTTGGGATAGTTTGCTGAGAATGATGGTTTCCAGTTTCATCCATGTCCCTACAAAGGACATGAACTCATCCTTTTTTATGGCTGTTATACAGCATTTTTTTAATGCAAAAAAGTACGGTTGATCCCTTGCTACTGGCATGGAATATTACCAAAATATATTGTTAATGAGAAAGAGGAATGCTGTAGGCCACTGTAGTAATCTGCTCAGGCTGCTATAACAAAATACCACAAATGAGTAGCCGAAACAACAGAAATTTCTTTCTCCCAGTCGAGGAAACATCAGCTCTTCTCCTCCATACTCACACTCACACTTCCGGCCACCAAATACGGGAGGGTGCTTTCTTACAGGAACTGATTCCAGCTGCGTATCCTACAATTCAATTCGATTGTGACACTAACTGGAGTGAATGCAGACCCCACAGGTTAAGGGCTCCGTCCCACAAGACTATCAGTATCAAGAAGCAGATCATTATCTGTGCTTTTGACCAATGAACTATAGTTTGGAGGATCCCGTGACTTCCTCCTCAGTTTGATCATTTGCTAGAATGGCTCACAGAGCCCAGGGAAACACTTTACTTAGGTTTACACATCTATCATAAAGGTATACTAAATGTACACACAGGGAGATAATGGGGCAAGGCTTGGAAGGGTCCTAAGTGCAGAATCTTCTGTCCCTGTGGAGTTGGGGTGTGCCACCCTCCCAGCACAGGGATATGTTCTTGTGTACTGTATTGATCTGTTGTAACACTGCTATAAAGAACTACCTAGGGCTGGGCATGGTGCTCATGCCTGTAATCCCGGCACATTGGGAGGCTGAGGTGGACAATTCATAAGGTTAGAAGTTCAAGCCCAGCCTTGCCAACATGGTGAAACCCTGTCTCTATTAAAAATACAAAATTAGCTGGGAGTGGTGGCACACACCTGTAATCCCAGTTACTTGGGGGTGCTGAGGCAGGAGAATCACTTGAACCCAGGAGGCAGAGGTTGCAGTGAGCCAAGATCATGTCATTGCACTCCAGCCTGGGCAAAAAGAGCATAACTCCATCTCAAAGAAAAAATAGAAAACTACTTGAGACGAAATAATTTATGAAGAAAGAAGTTTAATTGACTCACAGTTCTGCAGGCTGCACAGGAAGCATGGCTGGGGGGCCTCAGGAAACTTATAATCATGGCAGAAGGGTGATGGGAAAGCAAGCACACCTTCACATAGCAGCAGGAGAGAGTGAAGGGGGAAGAGCTATACACTTTTAAACAATGAGATCTCATGAGAACTCACTCACTATAACAAGAAATTGTATAGTAGGGGGAAATCTGCCCCCATGATGCAATTACCTCCCACCAGTTCCCTCCCCCAACATTAGTAATTACAATTTGACATGAGATTTGGGTGGGGACACAGAGCCAAACCATATCATTCACCAAATCCGGAAACTTACCAAAGTCTCTCTCTCTCCTTTTGGGGTTTATGGAGGTGTCATTACGTTGGCATGACTGATGAAATTATTCGCCACTGCTGATCAATTTAACCTTCAATCCCCTTTCCAGGGGGTTAGCTAGGGTGGGAATGGATGTTCTAACCCTCTAATCACTTGCTAGAGTCTGCTGGCAACCAGCCCCCATCCTAATGCTACGCAGGTGCCACTCGTCTCATTAACGTACTTCATGAGGCACTTATTCAGAAATTAGACACTTATTCAGAAATTTTAAGAGTTTTAGGGGCTCTGAGTCAGGAAACAGGCAGGAACATTAAATATATGCTTTATATTTTTTTAGAGATGGGATTTCACTCGGTCACCCAGGCCAGAGTGCAGTGGTGCCATCATAGGTCACTTTAGCCCCCACCTCCTGGGTTCAAGCCATCCTTCCGCCTCAGTCTTCCAAGTAGCTGGGATTATAGGCTGCAGCCACCATGCCCAGCAGTTGCATTTCTCATTATAAATCACAATATCACAATCACAGCTCTGGACACTGGGAAGTTCAAGATGAAGGTTCTGGCAGGTTCAATTTGCAGTGAGGTCTCCCTTCCTGGCTTGCTGACAGTTGTTCCCCCACCACTGTGTCCTCACATAGGCAAGGAAGGAGTAAGCTCTCTGGTGTGTCTCTTGTTTTTTTGTTTGTTTGTTTTTTGTTTTTTGTTTTGTTTTGTAGAGATGGCATCTTGCTATATTGCTGTATTAGGCTGCTCTTTCATTGCAATGAAAAAATTCCTGAGATTGGGTAACTTATAAAGAAAAGAAGTTTAATTGGCTCATGGCTCTGTACGATGCTCAGGAAGTATAGCCCTGGTATCAGCTTCTAGGAAGGCCTCAGGAAGCTTATAATCGTCGCAGAAGATGAAGCAGCAACAGGCACTTCATATGGGGAAAGCAAGAGCAAGAGAGAGTTGGAAGTCGTAGGGGGAGGTATCACAACTTTTAAATGACCAGTCTCAGAAGAACTCACTCATTTTCTCCAGGACAGCACCAAGGATTTGGTGCTAAACCATTCATGAGAAGTTTGCCCCTGTATTAGTTCTTTCTCACATTGTTACAAAGAAACACCTGAAACCGGGTAATTTATAAAGAAAAGAGGTTAAATTAGCTCTCAGTTCTGCAGAATTTACAGAAAGCATAGCAGTTTTTGCTTCTGGGGAGGCTTCAGGAAGCTTCCAATCATGGTGGAAGGCACAGGGGGAACAGGGGTCTGACATGGCAGGTGCTGGGGCAAGAGAGCAAGGGGGAATGTACCACAATTTGAACAACCAGATCTCACGAGAACTCACTCACTATCAGGAGAACAGCACCAAGGGAATGGCGCTGATTCACGAGAAATCCAGCCCCAAGATCCAATCACTTCCCACCAAGCCTGCCTCCAACACTGGGAATTATATTCCAATATCACATATGGATGGGGCAAATATCCAAACTGTCCCAGTTGCCCACAATGATCTTGAGCTCTTGGCCTCAAGTGATCTTCCTGCCTCAGGTGCCCAAAGTGCTGGGATAACAAGTGAGAGTCACCAACCCAGCTGGTGGTGTCTCTTTTTATAAGGATACTAATCCTCTTGAATCAAGGCTCCACCTTTATGACATCATTTAACATTAAGTTTATCCTTATAGGCCCTCCCTCCAAATACAGTGACACTGGGGGTTAGGACTTCAATATATGAATTTTTAAGGGACATAATTCAGTCCACAGTAAACACTATATATAGCATATTACTGTCTGACAGGGAAAAAAGAGGAATTAACACAGAAATCTATGAAAATGAGAAAAAGCCTTATACGTATTATTCATATATGCTTAGACTCAGCATATGCATTATAGAAAGGGTACTAAAAAACTGAATAATTATTCTTCCTAGAATACAAATCTAGCTTCCATAAAGAAAGGTAAATGAAGACATCCTTTTCACTAGATACCATTTTTAATTATTGAATTTACATTTTCACCATATGAATGTATATGCATTCTATATATGCACTTACATATGTATGCACGTACTTATGTGCATATATCTATATATGTAGAGATGTATACATTTGTTAACCACAGACTCCCTACTACTAGAACATTCAAACAAAGGAGATGTAATCAAGTAAAACTAAAAGAACCATAACAAGGCAGCACTGGATGACCTGGAAGGCTGAGGGTCACTCAGCTCGCCACCCCTCACCCCCCAGCTGGGAATCAGAGAGTGATGGAGCTATCCCTCACTCCACCTCCTGCTCTCTTCCTTCTGCAGTCCAGCCACCTGGTCACAGAGTGAGGCTCTAAACTGGCCCGTATTACATGTGTCTGTCCCTCCCCTTCTCACTTTGGAGGAAGAGTGTGACTATCCCAAGTCAGCACGTAGAGTGAGACAGAGCGTGAGACCTGCTAGCTGAGGAACCGTAAGAACCTTGTGCTTTGAAAGCCGATCTGCTTTGTGATATTGAAATCCTCCGAGTCCATTCTCTCATTATTACAGGAAAGGTGTGTAAAATATCCAGGTCATGTCACTACAGGACAAAAGCTCTGGATGTTCAGCCATAATCAAAGCTCTTGAGATCCAGCAATTTCCTTGAACAATTTTTCTACCACACACACTTCTCAAAATATAGTGCATACCCATATTTAGGATTGTGGTAGAGGGCCATTACATGATCTTGACTGTATCAATAAAAGTCTCAGGGCAAAACTCTGGGGGATTCATGCAGATGGCCTACCATTTGGATGTGGAATCTGAGCAAATCATCCTAACATTCTGCTACCCATCTCCAAAAATGGGCTTCAATAAAATGGCTATCTCAGACACTTTGCAATCTATGAGTCTGCAATGAAGAATGAATGTGTGTGTGTGTGTGTGTGTGTGTGTGTGTGTGTGTGTGTGTTTTAAAGAGGCATATATGTGGTTTACTTGGTTTATGTATATGAGTTACTTGATTACTTATAAGGGAGTATTCTGAATAATGGATTAATTGAATAAATGAAATATAATTACACCATGTACAAAACTTTACATAGTTTTTTCTGCTTGATCATTATTCCTGTAAGTCTCCATAGTAATATCTAATTGTATTTTTAGTGAAGAAGCTATTTTGGTCTGACCTTCAAAACTGTCTTTGCATTTGGGTAGGACAAAAGACTAGCAAAAAAAAGCCTGAGGGATTATCTTAAGTATTCTTAGGATTTAGTGTTCTTCAGACTATCTGGGTTAGCTGACTTGTGAAAAAACTAATAGTTCACTCCTCAGTATTTCTGGAACAGGAAGGATTTTTCCTCATGCCCCCAACTGCCTCTAGCCAAATAAAAAAGCAAGAGGACAAAATTCTTTAAATATTAAAAGGAAGTTATGGGTAAGCAGTGACATATAGAGACATATAGAGACATATAGATGAGCACGTAGTTCATCAATTTTGTCTCCCTGGGATATTCATAATTAATCCCTAATGACTAATAGCCAATCTTCTATAATAATAAACTATATAATCAAATATTATACACAAATTCATTCATAATGTTCTCTGCCAGCATGTAAGTGGCACACCTAAAAAACTTCAAACATTAAGTATTTTCCATTTGGATCACATGGGGGAAGTTTTGCACTATGGATTCGTGAGCTCCATTCCAGATATACTCACACAGAATGTCTGCACATGGAGCTCAGGATTCTGCATTTCCAATCACATCCTCAAGTAGTTTTCCAACAACCTATCTCCAGCCCAACTTTGAGATCCATTTGTTACCAAACATTGACTTCAGAAGCCTTCATGTGCATCGGAAGTAATCTTGGCGTAGGGAAATTCCGAAGCACAGGAGGCAGCGATACCATTTGCATTATTCCTGAGATGATTCTAGCTACATACACCTATTATCCAGCATTTATGTCTTGATTTGAGGCTTCTATTCAGTTGACCCTATTGATATCCAAGTGTACACAACTGACCTGTCAGGCTATAGCAACACTCTTCACTTATATGTAGGGAGAATTTGTACAGGGCTTAACTGAAGCTCATCATGGGGTATGAATTGACTTGGTCTCATTGCTGTAACCCTTGGGTTCAGAAGACACTGAGCAAATGCTTAAAAAACTCTTTTGGGTTAATACATGAAGAGATATTAACTCCTCAGATAGCCAAAGAATCAAGGGGAAGGGGTAAAAGAGGATGGCCATATAGAAGTATCCATTGATTTCACCCCCACACATACCAGCAGAAACACCACATTTAACAACTATCTACACACAAAAAAGGACCTACATAGGAAATAAAAATCAGGTCAACCATCATTGTACCTGATTTTAACTTCGTATCACTGAAAAAGGCACTGAAGAGATGAGGAAAGACAATTTTGAATCACTGAGGCCACCACTCCCCCATGTCCCAGTAGCTGCCACTGGAGCTGAGACAGAAACTCAGTGCATGGGGGAGGGAGAGTGCAGCAATTGTGAAAATCTGCATTGAACTCAGTGCTGCCCTGTCAGAGCCCACCCACAGAGGGAGCATTCAGACCAACCTTAGCCAGAGGGGAATCAATCGCCTATCCAAGCAGTCAGTATGTGAGTTTGGGAAAGCCTTGCCAAAGCAGGCTAAAGTGCTCTGGGGTCCTAAATGCATTTGAAACTCAATCTAGGCCACAAGAACTACAACTACAAGGCAAGTCCCAGTGCTGTGCTGGGCTCAGAGCCAGTGGACTTGGACACCACTAGTGTGACACTTGTCAGGGCAGCTAAGGGAGTGCTTGCACAACCACTCCTCCAACCCCAGGCAGCACAGCTCACAGCAGTGAAAGTGACTGCTTCCTTCTGCTTGAGGAAAGGAGAGGAAAGAGTAACTAGGACATTGTCTTACATCGTAAATGTCAGTTCAGCCACAATAGGATAGGGCACCAGTCAGAGTCATGAAGCCACCATTCCAGGCACTCGCTCCTGAAGGACATTTCTAGACACACCCTGCACCAGAAGAAAACCCACTGCCTAGAAGGAAAGGACCCAGTCCTGCCAGGATTCATCACCTGCTGACTGAAGAACCCTCAGGCCCTAAATAACCAGCAGCAATACCTAGTAGTACACTCCATGGGCCTTGGGTGAGACTCTGAGATATGCTGGCTTCAGGAGAGACCCACCATATTCACAGCTGTGGTAGTCATGAAGAGAGAATCCTTCTGCTTGAGAAAAGCAGAGGGAAAATAAAGGGGACTCTGTCTTGCAGCTTAGACAGCAGCTTAGCTACAGCGGGGTAGAGCACCAAGCCAGCTCTTGGAGTCCCCAGTTCCAGATCTTGGCTTTTGGTTGGCATTTCTGGACATGCCCTGGGTCAGAGGGGAGCCTACTGCCCTGAAGGGTGAGTCCCAGGCCAGGCAGCATTCACCACAAGCTGGCTAAAGAACTCTGGGGCCTTATGGGAACACTGGCATCATCCTGTCAGTATTCCCCTTGAGCCTGCGGTGGAGGTAGCTGCAGGGAGAGGCTCCTCTGCCTGTGGAAGAGTAAGGGAAGAGTGGAAGGACTCCAGCTCAGCCACAGTAAAACAGAACACCATGTAAACCTCCCAGGTTGTTTACTTCAGTCCCTGGCTCTCAGACAGTACCTCTGGACATGCCTGGGCCTAGAGGAACTCATCACCCTGAAGGGAAGGACACAAGCCTGGCTGGTATTGCCACCTGCTCTAGGGCCTTGTAGAGCTCTAGGGCCTTGAGTGAGGCCCTCACTTCCAAGAAAGAAATAAACTCTTTTCCACTGCAGCTAAACTGTAAAGCTCATAACACAAGTAGATCCTCTGTGCATATTCACTTCCTTTCCTTCTTACGCAAGGTGCTACAGTGTGAATCTGAATGTGGCAAGTTCAACACTAAAGTCCTGGAGTGCAGGAAAGTTATGGTAGACTCAGAAATCTGTTCTTCAACATTTAGACTGTATTTATGATGGCTGAATTTTCTGTCTAGTCACCTATGGTCCTCTACCTGGGCGACAGAGTGAGGCTCCGTCTCAAAAAAAAAAAATAGTTTAGCATGCCAAAGTACCATCCTTTGGAGTATAGTGTGCTGAGCCCCAACAAAAGCCATGAGATTAGATATGATCATGAAGAGAGTGCATGAGTCCATAGAAAAGAAAGAATAGCTAACCCCTAGGAACCTCCACCATCAAGATGCTGGAGAGAAAGGGGAAGAATTAATGAAGCAGACTGAGAACATGAGTCCAGGGACTTAGAAGAAATGATCAGGAAAGGGTGGGGTGTTGTAACTCAGCACACATCCTTGACAAGACTGTCTGCCTTGAGGGCACCAGGCCTGATCTCACCAGACTTTTCATTCTGTTTCTGTCACAAGAAGATCATTCTCAGGTCAGCTTCATCAAGGAGCAGGGAGAAATCAACTCTGTCAAATGCTGCTGAGCATGGAAAGTTAACACTGTCAGGGGAGAAATGTCTTACTCCAAGTGCAAACCTTCCCTCATGACCACTGCTGATGGGGTGGAAGAGTCTGGGCAATTCATTGAAGAGGTATCCAAATTTCTGGGTCTAAGGAAAGACAATCTTACCAGGAGGTGAACAGGAAGAGGGTCCACATGTGAGTCACGTTTTCATCTCAGTGGAGGGAATAAGGCAAAGGAGAGTAGGGTTTCTGTGTCTCAATGCCCGGAGATATTGTTCTCCTTTTAACCATATCCCAGACCTCAGTACTTCTCACATTTGTCTCCATCTCTCTTTGCTCCTGTAAGGACCCATCTGAGCAACTCACTTCACCACATCATCCTTCATTCATCTCCATATCACTCTCTTTTCTTTTCTTTTTCTTTTCTTTTCTTTTCTTTTCTTTTTTTTTTTTTTTTTTTTTTTTTTTTTTTTTTGAGACTGAGTCTTGTCTTCTCACCCAGGCTGGAGTGCACTGACGTGATCTCGGCTCACTGCAACCTCCACTTCCCAGATTCAAGCGATTCTCATGTCTCAGTCTCCTGAGTAGCTGGGATTATAGTTGCCCCACATCATGCCCAGCTAATTTTTGTAGAGACAGGGTTTCAATATGTTGGCCAGGCTGGTCTCGAACTCTTGACTTCGAGTGATCCACCTATCTCGGCCTCCCAAAGTGCTGAGATTACAGGCGTGAGCCACCATGCCTGGCCGCAAAAAGATATTTTCTAACATTCAGTTCTATCAATTTGTTTAGTGTGCTTAACAGATGACTCTACCATTACTCTTCCTCAGCTGGAAAGTGAGGGGTGTGGTATAAATGTCTTTAGGAGTGCCTTACAGCTCAGACTATTTAGAAATCTGATACTCTGGAGCATAGGTATGGGTGTATGCCTGTGTGTGTGTTTGTGTGTGTGAGTGTGTGTGTGTGTGTGTGTGTGTGTGTGTAGGAAAAGATGTAAAGGAAATTTGGTTGACATCTGTGCATCATCTGTCTATGTAAATCTGATTTTCCTAAATCATTATTAATTTAGGCAGAAAAAAGCATAATTCTCTGAAACAAAATTATTATATACAATTACATCATTATTTTTAAACTATGCAAAAAAACATGCCTATAATCGATTTTATTGTAGAGAAGATGTGAGGTCTTGTTATTTAGAACTGTTATTTAATGGAGCAAGATAAAACACTAGCACAAAGACTATGTGATAATTTCAAGCCCCTGAGAGCTAGATTAGAGGACTAATTTTGTGTTCAGTTTCATGTAGAGCTATAAATTAAACAATTCTACCTTGAAAAATATTTTCACAGAAGAATAAAGGATCCAAGGACAGTAGGAAAAAAATGAAGCTCAAGGTGAATGATTTGGCTAAATTCATCAAATTCTGTACAAAAAAGAGACTAAATCATGCAGGAACTATATTTTTATCATGAAAATGCTCTAATTATTTGCTAAGACAGTTCCTCAAATTTAGCACCAAATTGATGGAAAATATAATTTTTATGATAATCTATTTCCCTTTGTTCTGACTTCACAAGTAAATGCAAGATGTTAAAAGGTGATTTATTCTATCTCAGATTGGGAAGGGTCCCTGAGAAACAGCGGTCCTATCAAAATGACTTGTCCACCTAAGCAGCACTTGGTCAAAAAGAGATAAAACCCTGAGTTCTATTTCTTATGCCTTCACTTTGAGGAGTAAGGAAAAGAAACAAGCATACTGTCTTATTGTAAATACCACAGAGAGGATAGTGCAGTAATGGATACTACATTAACACCTTGATGCATAAGACTGATCATCCTTATCAAGATTTCTTTTTCTTTTTGCAATGTTTTATGCTACATATTTTGTTATTTCATACACACACACACACAAATTACCACATTAAATTTCTCCTACAAACCAATGTATGTGTTGTTGTTTTTTACAGATTATAAAACAGAGGCATAGAGAGGACGAATAACCGTGCAACTTTTTTTTATTTGTTTGTTTTTTTTAAGAGACAGAGTGTTGCTCTGTCTCCCAGGCTGGAGGGCAGGGGAATGATATCAGCTCACTGCAGCCTCTGACTCCTGGGTTCAAGAGATCCTCCTACCTCAGCCTCCTGAGTAGCTGGGATTACAGGTGCAAGTCACCATGCCTGACTAATTTTTGTGTTTTTGGTAGAGATGGGGTTTCATCATGTTGGGCAGGCTGGTTTCGAGGTACTCGCCTGAAGTGATCCCTCTGTCTAGGCCTCCCAAAGTGCTGGGATTACAGGCTTGAGCCACCACGCTTGGCCCTGGACTACTGTTATAGTAAGAGTGTCAAATAGAAAAAGTCAGAGCTGGTATCTGGACAAGACTATACAAAATCTACACCTGACATCACTGTGACACAAAACTTATATAATAACTGCATTTACAGAGACACTAACCTATATAATAATTCATTTCCTATAAGCCCTGAAATCTCAGCAAATGCATCTATGTGCTCAAAATGCAATGAGGATGAAGAGAGGTTGATTAATGAGTATAAATATAAGAAGTGATATAAGAAATAAGACCTGGGGTTTGATAGAACAGGAGGATGGCTATAGTTAATGATAATCTACTGTACACTTCAAAATAGCTTGAAGACCAAAATTCGAATGTTTCTAAAGTAAAGAAAAGTCAAATATTTAAGGTAATGGATATCCCAATTTCCCTGATATAATCTTTACACATTATATGACTGTATTAAATTATCACATGTACCCTGAAAATATGTACCTCTCTTATGTATCAATAAAAAGAAATAAGGCCAGGGGCAGTGGCTCATGCCTGGCTGAGGTGTGCGGATCATCAGAGGTCAGGAGTTCAAGACCAGCCTGGTCAACATGGTGAAACCCTGTCTTTACTAAAAATACAAAAATTAGCTGGGCATGGTGACGTGCACCTGTAATCCCAGCTACTCGGGAGGCTGAGGAAGGAGAATTGCTTGAGCCTGGGAGGTGGAGGTTGCAGTGAGCTGAGATCTCACCACTGCACTCCAGCCTGGGTGAGACTCCATCTCAAAGAAAAAAAGAAGGAAAGAAATAAGAAAGAAAGAAAGAAAGAAAGAAAGAAAGAAAGAAAGAAAGAAAGAAAGAAAGAAGGGAGGGATGGAGGGAGGGAGGGTAGGGTAGGGGAGGGGAGGGGTGTGGAGAGGAGAGGAGAAGAGAAGAGAAGAGAAATATTCTAAAAACATGCAGTGGTACATGAACGCAACTTTCCAATTTATTCGGAAACACACTTTATTTCATCTCTTCTAAGACACACCTCTCCATAATTCCATCTGAGCTCTATTTCCATTTCTTCCCTTTCCAGAGAGGGAGAGGACTTTATAGTTGAGGAGAAAGAAGAAAGCCTTAGTTCTTTCCTCTTTCATGCCAGAAACTTGATCAAAGATGTCAGATCTACTTATTCAATGGCTTTCAGAGGAGACATGCAGGAGGCCCCACGCAAGAAGGAAGGCCTAGGGCCACCTTTCTGAGGTTCAAGAGACCAGGAAGAGCTCAGTACACCAAATATCTTTAGAACTTAGGTAAGTTAAATATTACTTCATTTGCTACAATTTAATTAACCTGCACCATATTATTATGGAAATCTTGTGTTACTTTTAAAGGCAAAAATCTCAATTACTTTTGCACCAACCTAATAAATAGTGTGCATTGTCTTTCCCATAGATAACCACTGCTGCATTAGGGAAATCTGTGTGCAGGAAGGTATTGATGGTGTGGTACCTCCCTGTCAGCAGGTTAAGAGCAAATATTGCAAGGGTACCCTGGGGCTGAAGAAATTGCAAGCATTGAACACTATATTTTTGCACATAAATGCTATGCAAAAAAGACATTGATCAATGCAGTGTACTCAACAGTGGTTTTTACCATAAATGCAGAATTCTTTGTCTGGGACAATATTTTAAAATGTTCATCAGTTTCCCAAAAAAAGACTTAATACTGGGACATAATTCCAACTATTCCTCTCAGTGGAAGTGTGGATCAGGTCTGAAAATGTGTCATTAAATTAGGCTGCAAGACAACTTATACTAATAAAATAAAGAGCCCAGGTGTGTTAAAGACAAAATCGTGGGGGCCGAATAGGAACAGCTCCGGTCTGCAGCTCCCAGCGTAAGCGACACAGAAGATGGGCGATTTCTGCATTACCATCTGAGGTACCGGGTTCATCTCACTAGGGAGTGCCAGACAGTGGGGACAGGACAGTGGGTGCAGTGCCCAGTGCGCAAGCCGAAGCAAGGCGATGCATTGCCTCACTAGGGAAGTGCAAGGGGTCAGGGAGTTCCCTTTCCTGGTCAAGGAAAGGGGTGACAGACGGCACCTGGAAAATCGGGTCACTCCCACCCAAATACTGTGCTTTTCCGAAGGGCTTAGGAAATGGCGCACCAGGAGATTATATCCTGCACACGGCTCGGAGGGTCCTACGTGCCCACAGAGTCTCGATGATTGCTAGCACAGCAGTCTGAGATCAAACTGCAAGGCAGCAGCGAGGCTGGGGCACTGGCGCCCGCCATTGCCCAGGCTTGCTTAGGTAAACAAAGCAGCCAGGAAGCTCGAACTGGGTGGAGCCCACCACAGGTCAAGGAGGCCTGCCTGCCTCTGTAGGCTCCACCTCTGGGGGCAAGGCACAGACAAACAAAAAGACAGCGGTAACCTCTGCAGACTTAAATGTCCCCGTCTGACAGCTTTGAAGAGAGCAGTGGTTCTCCCAGCACACAGCTGGAGATCTGAGAACGGGCAGACTGCCTCCTCAAGTGGGTCCCTGACTCCTGACCCCTGAGCAGCCTAACTGGGAGGCACCCCCCAGTAGGGGCAGACTGACACCTCACATGGCCGGGTACTCCTCTGAGACAAAACTTCCAGAGGAATGATCATACAGCAGCATTCGCGGTTCATGAAAATCTGCTGTTCTGCAGACACCACTGCTGATACCCAGGAAAACAGGGTCTGGAGGGGACCTCTAGCAAACTCCAACAGACCTGCAGCTGAGGGTCCTGTCTGTTAGAAGGAAAACTAACAAACAGAAAGGACATCCACACCAAAAACCCATCTGTACGTCACCATTATCAAAGACCAAAAGTAGATAAAACGAAAAAGATGGGGAAAAAACAGAGCAGAAAAACTGGAAACTCTAAAAAGCAGAGCGCCTCTCCTCCTCCAAAGGAATGCAGTTCCTCACCAGCAATGGAACAAAGCTGGACGGAGAATGACATTGACGAGTTGAGAGAAGAAGTCTTCAGATGATCAAACTACTCCGAGCTACAGGAGGAAATACAAACCAAAGGCAAAGAAGTTGAAAACTTTGAAAAAAATTTAGATGAATGTATAGCTAGAATAACCAATACAGAGAAGTGCTTAAAGGAGCTGATGGAGCTGAAAGCCAAGGCTCGAGAACTACGTGAAGAATGCAGAAGCCTCAGGAGCCGAAGCAATCAACTGGAAGAAAGGGTATCAGTGATGGAAGATGAAATGAATGAAATGAAGTGAGAAGGGAAGTTTAGAGAAAAAAGAATAAAAAGAAATGAACAAAGCCTCCAAGAAATATGGGACTATGTGAAAAGACCAAATCTACGTCTGATTGGTGTATCTGAAAGTGACGGGGAGAATGCAACCAAGTTGGAAAACACTCTGCAGGATATTATCCAGGAGAACTTCCCCAATCTAGCAAGGCAGGCCAACATTCAGATTCAGGAAATACAGAGAACACCACAAAGATACTGCTCGAGAAGAGCAACTCCAAGACACATAATTGTCAGATTCACCAAAGTTGAAATGAAGGAAAAAATGTTAAGGGCAGCTAGAGAGAAAGGTCGGGTTACCCACAAAGGGAAGCCCATCAGACTAACAGCGGATCTCTCAGCAGAAACTCTACAAGCCAGAAGAGAGTGGGGGCCAATATTCAACATTCTTAAAGAAAAAAATTTTCAACCCAGAATTTCATATCCAGCCAAACTAAACTTCATAAGTGAAGGAGAAATAAAATACTTTACGGACAAGTAAATGCTGAGAGATTTTGTCACCACCAGACCTGCCCTAAATGAGCTCCTGAAGGAAGCACTAAACATGGAAAGGCACAACCGGTACCAGCCACTGCAAAATCATGCCAAAATGTAAAGACCATCGAGACTAGGAAGAAACTACATCAACTAATGAGCAAAATTACCAGCTAACATCATAATGACAGGATCAAATTCACACATAACAATATTAACTTTAAATGTCAATGGACTAAATGCTCCAATTAAAAGATGCAGACTGGCAAATTGGATAAAGAGTCAAGACCCATCAGTGTGCTGTATTCAGGAAACCCATCTCATGTGCACACACACACATAAGCTCAAAATAAAAGGATGGAGGAAGATCTACCAAGCCAACGGAAAACAAAAAAAGGAAGGGGTTGCAATCCTAGTCTCTGATAAAACAGACTTTAAACCAACAAAGATCAAAAGAGACAAAGAAGGCCATTACATAATGGGAAAAGGATCAATTCAACAAGAAGAGCTAACTATCCTAAATATATATGCACCCAATACAGGAGCACCCAGATTCATAAAGCAAGTCCTGAGTGACCTACAAAGAGACTTAGACTCCCACACAATAATAATGGGAGACTTTAACACACCACTGTCAACACTAGACAGATCAACGAGACAGAAAGTTAACAATGATACCCAGGAATTGAACTCAGCTCTGCACCAAGTGGACCTAATAGACATCTACAGAACTCTCCACCCCAAATCAACAGAATATACATTTTTTTCAGCACCACACCACACCTATTCCAAAATTGACCACATAGTTGGAAGTAAAGCTCTCCTCAGCAAATGTAAAAGAACAGAAATTATAACAAACTGTCTCTCAGACCACAGTGCAATCAAACTAGAACTCAGGATTCAGAAATTCACTCAAAACTGCTCAACTACATGGAAACTGAACAACCTGCTCCTGAATGACTACTGGGTACATAACGAAATGAAGGCAGAAATAAAGATGTTCTTTGAAACCAATGAGAACAAAGACACAACACACCAGAATCTCTGGGACACATTCAAAGCAGTGTGTAGAGGGAAATTGATAGCACTAAATGCCCACAAGAAAAAGCAGGAAAGATCCAAAATTGACACCCTAACATCACAATTAAAAGAACTAGAAAAGCAAGAGCAAACACATTCAAAAGCTAGCAGAAGGCAAGAAATAACTAAAATCAGCAGAATTGAAGGAAATTCTGACAGAAAAAACCCTTCAAAAAATTAATGAATCCAGGAGCTGGTTTTTTGAAAGGATCAACAAAATAGATAGACCACTAGCAAGACTAATAAAGAAAAAAAAAAGAGAATCAAATAGACGCAATAAAAAATGATAAAGGGGATATCACCACCAATCCCACAGAAATACAAACTACCATCAGAGAATACTACAAACACCTCTACGCAAATAAACTAGAAAATCTAGAAGAAATGGATAAATTCCTCGACACATACACTCTCCCAAGACTAAACCAGGAAAAAGTTGAATCTCTGAATAGACCAATAACAGGTTCTGAAATTGTGGCAATAATCAATAGCTTACCAACCAAAAAGAGTCCAGGACCAGATGGATTCACAGCCGAATTCTACCAGAGGTACAAGGAGGAACTGGTACAATTCCTTCTGAAACTATTCCAATCAACAGAAAAAGAGGGAATCCTCCCTAACTCATTTTATGAGGCCAGCATCATCCTGATACCAAAGCCAGGCAGAGACACAACCAAAAAAGAGAATTTTAGACCAATATCCTTGATGAACATTGATGCAAAAATCCTCAATAAAATACTGGCAAACTGAATCCAGCAGCACATCAAAAAGCTTATCCACCATGATCAAGTGGGCTTCATCCCTGGGATGCAAGGCTGGTTCAATATACACAAATCAATAAATGTAATCCAGCATATAAACAGAACCAAAGACAAAAACCACATGATTATCTCAATAGATGCAGAAAAGGCCTTTGACAAAATTCAACAACACTTCATGCTAAAAATTCTCAATAAATTAGGTATTGATGGGACGTATCTCAAAATAATAAGAGCTATCTATGACAAACCCACAGCCAATATCATACTGAATGGGCAAAGACTGGAAGCATTCCCTTTGAACACTGGCACAAGACAGGGATGCCCTCTCTCACCACTCCTATTCAACATATTGTTGGAAGTTCTGGCCAGGGCAATTAGGCAGGAGAAGGAAATAAAGGGTATTCAATTAGGAAAAGAGGAAGTCAAATTGTCCCTGTTTGCAGACGACATGATTGTATATCTAGAAAACCCCATTGTCTCAGCCCAAAATCTCCTTAAGCTGATAAGCAACTTCAGCAAAGTCTCAGGATACAAAATCAATGTACAAAAATCACAAGCATTCTTATACACCAATAACAGACAAACAGAGAGCCAAATCATGAGTGAACTCCCATTCACAATTGCTTCAAAGAGAATAAAATACTTAGGAATCCAACTTACAAGGGACGTGAAGGACCTCTTCAAGGAGAACTACAAACTGCTGCTCAATGAAACAAAAGAGGATACAAAGAAATGGAAGAACATTCCATGCTCATGGGTAGGAAGAATCAATATCGTGAAAATGGCCATACTGCCCAAGGTAATTTATACATTCAATGCCATCCTCATCAAGCTGCCAATGACTTTCTTCACAGAATTGGAAAAAAATACTTTAAAGTTCATATGGAACCAAAAAAGAGCCCGCATCGCCAAGTCAATCCTAAGCCAAAGGAACAAAGCTGGAGGCATCATGCTACTTGACTTCAAACTATACTACAAGGCTACAGTAACAAAAACAGCATGGTACTGGTACCAAAAGAGAGATATAGATCAATGGAACAGAACAGAGCCCTCAGAAATAACACCGCATATCTACAACTATCTGATCTTTGACAAACCTGAGAAAAACAAGCAACGGGGAAAGGATTCCCTATTTAATAAATGGTGTTGGGAAAACTGGCTAGCCATATGTAGAAAGCTGAAACTGGATCCCTTCCTTACACCTTATACAAAAATTAATTCAAGATGGATTAAAGACTTAAACGTTAGACCTAAAACCATAAAAACCCTAGAAGAAAACCTAGGCATTACCATTCAGGACATAGGCATGGGCAAGGTCTTCATGTCTAAAACACCAAAAGCAATGGCAACAAAAGCCAAAATTGACAAATGGGATCTAATTAAACTCAAGAGCTTCTGCACAGCAAAAGAAACTACCATCAGAGTCAACAGGCAACCTACAAAATGGGAGAAAATTTTCGCAACCTACTCATCTGACAAAGGGCTAATATCCAGAATCTACAATGAACTCAGACAAATTTGCAAGAGAGAAACAAACAACCCCATCAAAAAGTGGGCAAAGGATATGAACAGACACTTCTCAAAAGAAGACATTTATGCAGCCAAAAGACACATGAAAAAATGCTCATCATCACTGGCCATCAGAGAAATGCAAATCAAAACCACAATGAGATACCATCTCACACCACTTAGAATGGCAATCATTAAAAAGTCAGGAAACAACAGGTGCTGGAGAGGATGTGGAGAAATAGGAACACTTTTACACTGTTGGTGGGACTGTTAACTAGTTCAACCCTTGTGGAAGTCAGGGTGGCGATTCCTCAGGGATCTAGAACTAGAAATACCATTTGACCCAGCCATCCCATTACTGGGTATATACCCAAAGGACTATAAATCATGCTGCTATAAAGACACATGCACATGTATGTTTATTGTGGCACTATTCACAATAACAAAGACTTGGAACCAACCCAAATATCCAACAATGATAGACTGGATTAAGAAAACGTGGCACATATACACCATGGAATACTATGCAGCCATAAAAAATGATGAGTTCATGTCCTTTGTAGGAACATGGATGAAATTGGAAATCATCATTCTCAGTAAACTATCGCAAGGACAAAAAACCAAACACCGCATGTTCTCACTCATAGATGGAACTGAACAATGAGAACACATGGACACAGGAAGGGGAACATCACACTCTGGGGACTGTTGTGGGGTGGGGGGATGGGGGAGGGATAGCATTAGGAGATATACCTAATGCTAAATGACGAGTTAATGGGTGCAGCACACCAGCATGGCACATGTATACATAAGTAACTAACCTGCACATTGTGCACATGTACCCTAAAACTTAAAGTATAATAATAATTTTTTAAAAAAAGACAAACGATCATGCTGAAGTTACAGAGAATTTTGTTTAATGTTGGCTTACACTTTATTTCTGCTTCATATAAAACATCTTCTCCCAAAGGTCATAAATATCAAAGTAGATCATGTGTACTAGTTCTGCAGATAAATGAAGGTAGTTAGAAATGTACACAGGAAATCTATACAAGGGAGAATCAGAAAAATCTTATGAGCATGTTCTGAATACAATTTTAGTGATCAGGAGCAGTGTCTCACACCTGTAATCCCATCACTTTGGGAGGCCAAGTGGGGCAGATCACCTGAGGTCAGGAGTTTGAGACCAGCCTCGCCAACATAGTGAAACCACATCTCTACTAACAATCTGAAAATTAGCCGGATGTTGTGGCAGATGCCTGTAATCCCAGCTACTCAGGATGCTGAGGCAGGAGAATCACTTGAACTCGGGAGGCAGAGGTGGCAGTGAGCCGAGATCGTGCCACTGTACTCCAGCCTGGGCCACAAGAGCAAGACTCCATATCAAAGACAAACAAACAAATAAAAAAAACTCGCACAATTTTAAAGGATGAATATGGTTGCAAATTGGGCAGGTTATGGTCTGAGTTATTTCTTAAGACACTGCAACAAGTCTGACGCGTCATAATCACAGATTTCTCCAGAAGCCAGGAAGGTGTCATTACTGAACAGACAGGATGTAAGTCAGGAGGCAGAGATGGAGTCAGAGAACAGCCCTGAGCTAGAGCCCCTTCCACAGAGGCAGCTTTACCCAGCTCTAATTGATACCACACAGCAACGGAGACACAGTGCACCAACCAACATCATGTGATTTTTAAAGATAAGACAGTAATGAAAACTTTTAGTGAACTATTCCAATGTCAAACTTTATCTTCCAAACCAAACATTATAAATAACACTGTATATGCTGAAAAGAAGCACTGTTTAGCCGAGTACCTGCCCTGGGGCTGCAGTCTATGTCTTTTGCCTCACACTATAGACACTTGAGTGCAAGTCTTTCTACCCAGTGTGCCTGTCAGCATCACAGAGGGGATACTCTACGTATCATTCACCTTTACATTCTCATCACCTGCAAAAATGATCTCCACACAATATACATGAAAAAAGAATTTGCTTCATGATAAAGCTGCTAATGAATGTCGGCCAGAAGAGGACTTCAAGGCAGAGTACTGTTAGCTGTGCATTGAATCCTCACCTGATGACCATTGTGTCCACATTTACCTAAGGACTCCAGTGATAAAATTATTGCATTTGTAAATGACAGGAAAATTGGATGGTATATGATATCATTTAAAGGTCTGATTTCCATTTACTAATCTAGAAGCTAGACCAGAGATTTAACATCTTTTTGTACCTAGGTCTTACCCCTGCAATTCACTTTCCACCTCTGTACAATTTTCCCACATCATCCCCTGTGCCCAGAATGCTCATCTCTTCCCTAAAGTCCCTGAAAACCACCTGCTTTGCCTTTAGGACCCTGCTGAAATGAAACTTTTTTTTTTTGAAGTCTTCCTTGTCCCTCAAGCGAAGTGATTTCCTTCACCCTCGGCGTCCCCATGAAACCATGTTCACACAAATGCTATTATCTCTATCATACTGTAATACAATTATGTGACTACAATTACTTTCCTGTATATCTCTGAGGTCCAAGAATAAGTCTATGCTTGGTGTATGAAATTGTACAGTTGACTTCTATACTTTCAGGAATACAGTGCTCTGTCCTTAAATGTTCATTTGTAAATACAGAACCATTTTCTTGTTGATATCACAAGATGAAACCTACCAGGAAGATGAATGACAACCCCAGAACACACTGTTTTGTAGAAAATACCATAGGCTGAAAAGATCACAGGAATACCGAGTGCTAGGTTGGAATCTTTCATGACACCAAATGTTCATTCATTCTCTGCCAGATTTTACAACTGTCCTCGGTGTGTTTTTAGGTTGTGTAACTTTACACAAAGTGGAAGCAATAATCAGGGCAAGACTTAAGAGAAAGTGGATCCAATGCAAGAGGAGTAAAGAAAAAAATCCCTCAAATGTATGGAGCAGATTGTTTTAATTATCTACAGAATCTTGTGCCCCAAGAAATTAATAGCTCAAGTTTCCAGCAAGAGTGGTGGATGAGATGGAGAGCATTTATGTGAGAGAGAACCAAGGATATTACTAAAAATGGAAGGGAAGCTGGGTTCCTCCTGGGAAAACAGATCTCTGTGGCTCTATTTGTTCTAACTACTATGCCTGCCTTCATGTACTTTGGTCATTTAGGGGCCTGCCAGAGGACAGTTATAAAATCTGTGGTCATTCTGCCGGCAGCATATAGTTTTCATCCAGAGTCCAGATCCCACCGGCAAAACTCTGTCTAACACAGGATGACTTGGAATTAGAGTCCGTATAGCAGAAAGAGCAGCAGGGCTGTCCTTGGGTATCCGTTGCTCAGCCAAGTCATCAAATAAAAAGGATGATTGCGCAAGTGGACCATGTGTCAATCTGTGGGTTTCTGCATGGCCAAGAGCCAGACCCTCCCTCCTGGCTCTGCTGGCCCAACCCACCAAGGGATGCTTTATTTAAATAGTTCCAAGTAGGGGAGACCAGCTGCCCCTGAACCCCAGAACAACCAGCTGGATCAATTCTCATAGGAGCCACAGCGCGGAGACTGTGTAAGTCAACAATCCCCAGAGTTGGGACAGGAGGGGCAGCGACAGGGCAGCAACTGAGGGAGAAGGGAGCTGACGTTAGTGCTTAGGAGATGTGGCACACTTTGGGGACAGGAAGGAACAGGAAATGGGACCCAAGAGTGGCAGCAGATTGGCCTGTGGGGTGAGACACTATGGTGTGTGTCACAACCGAGACAGAATCGGGGAGTAGTTACTTCTCTTCTTTTCTCACAGGAAACATGGTTCCAAAACTGTTCACTTCCCAAATTTGTCTGCTTCTTCTGTTGGGGCTTCTGGCTGTGGAGGGCTCACTCCATGTCAAACCTCCACAGTTTACCTGGGCTCAGGGGTTTGACGTCCATCAGTAGGAACCAGCTCCAATGCACCAATGCAATGCGGGTAATTAACAATTATCAACGGCGATGGAAAAACCAAAATACTTTTCTTCTTGCAACTTTTGCTAATGTAGTTAATGTTTGTGGTAACCCAACTATAACCTGCCCTCATAACAGAACTCTCAACAATTGTCATCATAGTGGAGTCCAGGTGCCTTTAATGTACTGTAACCTCACAACTCCAAGTCCACAGAATATTTCAAACTGCAGGTATGCGCAGACACCAGCAAACATGTTCTATATAGTTGCATGTGACAACAGGGATCAACGACGGGACCCTCCACAGTATCCAGTGGTTCCAGTTCACCTGGATACCATCATCTAAGCTCCTGTATCAGCACTCCTCGTCATCACTCATCTGCCAAGCTCCTCAATCATAGCCAAGATCCCATCCCTCCATGTACTCTGGGTGTCAGCATCTGTCCTCTTCAGTCTCTATACCCCTTCCACTTGCCTGAGCTGAAGTGCCTTGTGAAGCCTGCAATAAACTGCTTTGCAAATTCATCTGGAAGTGTCTGTGTGTCTTCGTCGGCCACTCTGCTGTCATTGAGTGACAATCTACTCTAGATATTTTTCCTTCCTCCAACCCGAGACTTGTGGGAAATGGAGAGATTTGAGGATAAGAGACTCTTTCTGTCATGAAGCAGCACAGACTTATCCCTCTCCCTGCTTTAGGCTGAGAAGCCGAGGTCTCAACTGATACCTACCAACTGTTGAAGACTCTTCCCTTGACCAAATTTAGTCATCTCCCCTGGCCTCTTCACAAGTAGGTCATTCTGTTGGGTTTCCTAGTCCTTCCTTGTAGAGTCAGGTTTGTATTTATATTTACATTTATATTTATATTTATATTTATATTTATTCATTTTTTGAGAGAGAGTCTCGCTCTATCACCCAGGCTGGAGTGCAGTGGCACAATCTCGGCTCATTGCAAACTGTGCCTCCCAGGTTCAAGCGATTCTCCTGCCTCAGCTTCCTCAGTAGCTGGGGTTACAGTCATGCACCACCATGCCTGGCCAATTTTTGCAATGTTAGTAGAGATGGGGTTTCACCATGTTGGCCAGGCTAGTCTTGAACTCCTGACCTCAGGCAATCCGCCTGCCTCAGCCTCCCAAAGTGCTAGGATTATAGGCGTGAGCCACCAGTGCCCAACCTAGGGTCAGGTTTAACAGAAGTCTTCCTAACCTGGTTTATCATTAATATTCACCCTCAATATCTGACCAAATTCCTTAATTCCCCCATCATCCTCCTTGTGATACCTGATTCCTGGCCTGCCTTCAAAAAAAAAGAAAATCCAGTTGAGTCGACTTAGCATTGGTCTCCCTAGCCTCGATGGTTCTTCTAGGTAATTTTGCATCCAGTGACCCCTCCCCCCACACCAACTTATAACTTCAGTATACCTCTCCACTTGTTTTAGCTGTATTCCAGAATTTTGCTCAATTTGGTGCTGAGGTCCCATTTGACACTTTATGGTCTAAGTCTGGTTTTTATTGACATGATTTCTATCCTAAGAGATATAGAGGCTGCAGGGAATAAGGTGAAAATGTACATGTTTGATTATGATTTATGAATGATAAATTTTGATAGAATTGAACATTGAGATAGAAAACACACAAAAAAAGAAAGTAGAAAAAGCCAAGAATGCTATAAATATGGTGAAACCAAGATAAAAAGTTTAGCCTCAGACCTATTTCCTTTAAATGGGCACATCAAATCTCCAGCTATTAGCAATCGTACTAGAGGTGGATCCACGGTTTGAGTCAAATATGGAATGAGATAAATTGTTCAGACAGCAATATGGACAGATTGTAATAAATATTGCCTGAAGGAGAGGTGCGCATCATTCCCAAAACTTCCATGTCCTGGAGATAGGGAGTAGCTGGTCACCTGGGAAGGGGAAGGGGAACGAGGGAGACTGGGGAGTGGGATCACTCATGAAGGTGAATTGGCTCCTGCCCGTTCTGCCCTCCACAGTTGTCCCCAAAGGTGAGTCAAAGGGTTCATTCAACACCTGTCAGGTAGGGCACAGCCTCAAGAATTAGGGATTTGTAGACCCAGAGAGAGAAGAAATGGATAATGAGAGCCCTTGCCCTGGACTCCATTACAGGGCTTCACTCAGGAATCCATGAGAAACAGGAAGGGGAAGCCCTTTCTTGCAAGCTGTGGACAGGTGCAGCATTCAAGTGATTGTGCCGGGGACAGAGTGGGTCTTTTTGAATGGCCTGACTCTTGGCCATACAACAGAGATACAATGCCATCAGATCTGCACCTTGGTCCTTCAGTCTGAGAGTTCTGACTTCTATATTTCTGCTCCTCTTCCAGACCCTCAGAAATAGCAATTTCCATTCCTCAGATGACTCCATGTCAGTAATAGTAGCTCTCATTGGCATCAGACAGCAGCAGTATTGAAGTCTCTCCTCTGGAGAAGCTATTGAGATCTTGCTTCTCCAAGGGTGTGGCAGGGCTGTGAACTTTAAAGTTTGCACAGGGACACAGATTTCACGAAATCCTGGTGCTCAATAGAATCCACTGACTCTAGGTAAAATAGGGCATATTAGGAAGTGAGTGCAGTCTTCCCACAACCTCCAAGTAGCAGAAGGAGAAGGTGGGACTCTGAAAGCTGGAGCCACGTTTCCTGTGAAGAGAGATGGAATGGACCTTCCTCACTTCAGGTACCAGATCACAGGTGTCTTCTCAGTCAGGGATGCCCCGTCTCTAAAACCATAGGATAGAGGGATCAGTCCCCACCTGCCCCCATGCCCTCTCCACCTTGTGACTTCATCTCCTCTCCTGTCATTCATCCTTCACTCATTCATTCATCCAGCAGACATCTACTGAGTAGATACCTTGCTCCAGGCACAGTTTGAGGGAGTGATGACGCAACGCAAACCAAGACAGGTCACTGCTCTTTTGGGGCCACATTATACAAGGATAAAAATAAACATACAAAATTGTTCTAAGCATACAAAATTTTGCTAAGTGTCAGGAGGAAAAATACACAGCCTAGTAAGCAGAAAACTACACAGAGCGACACAATATAGAGGTTCTGTATGTGCCTCAGAAGTGACAGAGCAAAGTGTGACCAGGAAAGACCCATTTCAGAGAATGAAATCTAAACAGGAGGAAAAGCAGCCAGTCATACAGACACCAGATGGAAAATCATCCCAGCAAAGAGAAGGAGACTTCAAAATTCCTCACAAATATCAAGGCTATAAGTAGACTTCAGTTCAGTGCTTACAATAAGTTAATTAAAACATCTGCAAGAAAATGACTACAACTATTTGCATCTTTGTATGTATTTATTCCTTAATGTAATAAAACATTTTCATTTTTAAAAAATGGTCCTGAATGAATAGAGGTTTGGCATGTTAGAAGCACAAAAGTTGTTTGGTCAGGACAAGATCATCATAGCCATGAGTATTAATGATAGGAGTTAATGAGGTTCAGACCCTTCATGCTTGTGAAGATAGAAGAATAAAGTAAGTTCCTCATGGGGCACAAATTGAGCATGTTACATGCAAGAATAACGTTGCCTAAAGATCTGTCCAGCCTCTGTGCAGAACACAACTATTTAGGAGACAAGAGTGGAAGCAAGGTCCCAGTGAAGGACCACAGGTTGAGGCAGAGGGAAACAAGAGTCTTCCAATCTCAGTGAATCTCACCATCATCCTCTCATGCTGCAGCCCCATGCTATTCCCCTCCCTGTTGCCATGGCCTCTCTCCAGCCCCTCCATGCCTTCCACATCATCTTCCTGCCATCCCCATGCTGATGACTGGGCTGAGGTCAGAGGCAGCTCCCCTCTCCCAGGACGTGAGACGATTCAAACAAGACCAAGGAGGATTCTGTGCTTGACCATCAGGAAACCCTGGCTGGACTCACTGCCCCTTCTGCAGTAGACATCCAAGATTTTCTGATTGCCCTGGACCCAAGGCCAGCACCACAGAGACTACCATTAGAGAAGTTAAGTAGTCACGTCAGCATGTTCCAAAGACGTGATCCTTGGATTCCACTTCTTTTCCTTGAACCTCCCATGTCTGATTTTATAAAATTCTCTTCATATCAAATCTTCAGGAAGTCTTGCAGGAGTAAATGCAGTTAATTGTTCTATAAGCAGGCAGGGAGGGTCTCCAGGGATTATAAGAATTTAACCAACTTGAGCAATCAGCCTGTTTTACAAGCTTGCTGGTGGGAACCAGCTCCTGGCATAACCCAGCAACTTACAGACAAATTAGGATGAACATTCCTCATTACCATGCTAAAGTCTCCACCCAAGGAGGAGCTATAGCCTCATTACCATGACATGTGAACTATGTGCTGGCAGAATCACTCACTGTGTATGGGCAACTGGGACTCCTCCTCTACAAGTGATGATACACCCTCTGCCCTCTCCATCACCACATAGAATGTTCTTCTCACTTTCCATCAGGAAGACACTGCTTTGGAGAATACTCCCAGTGGCCTTCTTACTTGAACCAAGTAACAAAACTTTTATTTATCAAAATGTACGTTCTCATAGAGAGTCTTTGTTACTCACCAGGGAAACAAGCCCTAGTTTTTTCAGCTACCAGCTCTAACACATTCTGTAAAGTCCAGCACAGAAGGAAGGTTAATTCACAATGCTATTGCTTTCACTTTTTAATAATTGGGAACATATCAGGGCAGATGTCTTTATGTAGGGTTAAATGGAAGGTCAAGGAGGCAAATCATCAACCTTGGGGAGACACACTTGCAGAGATTATGACTACACTTGGGATTCAAGAATATGAGACCCCACCAGCAGAGTAGCCTGCAATGTTCAAGGATATCCAAGTAGATCAAGTATTTTAATGAAAAAACAACAGGCTTTGTCTTTCAAGATGTCCATGAATTGACTTTCCAGAAGAGAAGGAAGAAGACCTCATTGTCAGGGCAGAAGAGAGAAGAGGAGAGGGATCTAGGCTAAATATTGTAATCGATTTTGCCTGATATTGACTTTTTGTTTGTTTCTTAGTTCATTTTATTTTATTTTATTTTATTTTTTTGCCAAGACTGGAGTGCAGTGGTGCAGTTTTGGCTCACTGCAGCCTCTGCCTCCCAGGTTCAAGCGATTCTCCTGCCTCAACCTCCAGAGCAATTTTTGTATTACTAGTAGAGACAGGGTTTCGCCATGTTGGCCAGGTTGGTCTACAAACTCCTGACCTCAGGTGATCCGCCCACCTCAGCCTCCCAAAGGGCTAGTATTATAGACATGAGCCATCGCGCCCAGCCTCTTAGTTCATTTTTAGAGATGAAGTCTCCCTATGTTGCTCAGGCTGGACTTGAAGTTCTAGACTAAAGCAATGCTCTCGCCTTAGTCTTGCCAGTTGTTGAGACTATAAATACACACCACTGAGCACAGCTGATACTCACATTTTATGAGCTGTTTCCACTCCAATTACATAAGGGAGTGAGGCAATTAGTAAGGATAGGAGCATAGAAACTCTGTCTACATCTCTATTTCAAATTACCTCTGAAAAACAGCCTTGTTTTTAAACTAAAACTTGATTTTGGTTAATAAATGTTTGTCTTAAAATGCACTTAGAATTATGACAGAGTTGTCACTTTTGTCTCAGTTCTGACCTATAGTGATTTCAAAAGAAGATCAGTAGACTACTTCAAAATTCTCATTATTCAAAGTTATTTTGGATGTAAAATTGGCTGATGTGAGATAATTTAGAATATAGGGCCAGCCAGGTTACCCAAATGAATATCTGGGAAACTGAGCACATTACATGCTTATCACACATCCCCACTGAGTTAGAAAATATGACTGTATTAGTCAGGATCATCAAGAGAAACATAAAAGATTTAGGTAGACACAGATAGATAGAAATATAGATACAGAAGGATTTATCATGAGAAACTCGCTCACGCAATTATGGAGTCTGTGAAGTTCCATAATCTGCCCTCTGCAAGCTGGCAGACCCAGGAAAGCTGGTGGGATAATTTGGTTCGAGTCCCGATGCCCAAAAACCATGGAAGCTGATGATGTAAATGTCAACCCAACTACAGGAAGATGACATAAGATGTCCTAGCTTAAGAAGTGAGGCAAGAAAAAGTGATGAATTCCGCCTTTCTCTACTTTTCAATCTATTCTGGCCGTCAACAGATTGGATGAGCCCCATCCACACTGGAAATGCAACCTACTTTACTTAATCAACCAATTCAACTGCTAGTCTTACAGAAATACCCTCAGAGACACAGCCAGAAATAATGTTAATCTGGGCACCCACAGGCCCAGGCAACTTGAAATATAAAACTCAACATCATGATGACCTATGGTTTCCCAGGTGCACCAGAAGATGTTACCAAAATGGCACCATCAGCCAGAACCCACATACATTCACCAGGTCAGTGCATCTCTCAGTTCACCAGAGATTCATTTTCTTTGTGACATCACGTTCACCTGGAGTGCAGCCAAGAATCAGGCCACAGCTAATAATGAGAAAGGAAGGATTCTTCATTTGCCTTTTTACAAATGACAGAAAAATTTGCCAAAATCCTTTGGTAATAAGTAGTTATCTCAAAGACAAAGAGACTCAAAATGAAAATGAAAAAAAGTCAGTTACCCTTCCCACTGCCCATGTTCTTCCTCCACATATAAAAATAGGTATTAAGTTCACCCTTTCTGGTGTTAAAGATTTTAGTCTAACCCAATACCTGTGAATCTCAGTGCACAGATATTACCAGATTTTTCATTACACAGAAAATGACAGAGACATTCTCCCACTACAGTTGCTATTTTGTGGTGACAACTTTTACTTTCCCACGATTCTTTCGTTAAGTGACACACACGTGCAACTGGAAGGATTTACTGTTTTCACCCACAGCTCCCACACTTCACAGCTATGCAGGAGCTTCAGTACAGCAGATCCTAGCACCCTGGATAGTACAAGCGTGACTTCTTAACCACAATGCAATAGCAAATATATGGGGTTCAGTGTCGGTCTTTCATTCAGAATATACTGTTCAGAATTGTTTAAAATAGTAAATTTAGAAACAAATAATATATCCTGCAGAACTGGTTAAAATAGGATTGTATATCTTTACAAGGGAATTTTATGCAGTATTTTTTAATGCAAAAAAAGTACGGTTAATCTCTTCCTACTGGCATGGAATATTACCGAAATATATTGTTAATGAGAAAGAAGAATGGTGTAGGCCACTGTAAGAATCTACCCAGGCTGCTATAACAAAATACCACAAATGAGTATTCCAAAACAACAGAAATTTCTTTCTCCCAGTTGAGGAAACATCAGCTCTTCTCCTCCATACTCACACTCACACTTCTGGCCACCAAATGTGGGAGGGTGCTTTCTTGCAGCAACCGATTCCAGCTGGGTATCCTAAAATTCAATTGGATTGTGACACTAACTGGAGTGAATGCAGACCCCACAGGTTAAGGGCTTGGTCCCACAAGACTGTCAGTCTCAAGTAGCAGATCATTATCTGTGCTTTTGACCAATGAACTATAGTTTGGAGGATCCCGTGACTTCCTCCTCAGTTTGATCATTTGCTAGAATGGCTCACAGAGCCCAGGGAAACACTTTACTTAGGTTTATACATCTATCATTAAGGATATACTAAAGGTACAGACAGGGAGATAATGGGGCAAGGCTTGGAAGGGTCCTAAGTGCAGGATCTTCTATCCCTGTGGAATTGGGGTGTGCCACCCTCCCAGCACAGGGATATGTTCTTGTGTACTGTATTCATTTGTTCTCACACTGCTATAAAGAACTACCTGACGCTGGGTACGGTGGCTCATGCCTGTAATCCCAGCACTTCGGGAGACCAACGTGGGCAGATCCTAAGGTCAGGAGTTTGAGCCCAGCCTTGCCAACATGGTGAAACCCTGACTCTACTAAAAATACAAAATTAGCTGGGTGTGGTGGCACAGGCCTGTAATCCCAGTTACTTAGGAGGCTGAGGGAGGAGAATCACTTGAAGCCGGGAGGCGGAGTTTGCAGTGAGCCTATAACATGCCATTTCTCTCCAGCCTGGGCAAAAAGAGTGAAACTCCATCTCAAAATAAAACAAAACAAAACAAAACAAAAAAAACTACCTGAGACTGGATAATTGATGAAGAAAGAAGTTTAATTGACTCGCAGTTCTGCAGTCTGCACAGGAAGCATGGCTGAGGGGAGCTCAGGAAACTTACAATCATCGCAGAGGGTGAAGGGAAAGCAAGCACATCTTCACATAGCAGCAGGAAAGAGTGAAGGGGGAAGTGCTATACACTTTTAAATAACCGGATCTCGTAAGAACTTACTCACTATCACGAGAACAGCAAGGGGGAAATCCGCCCCCATGATCCAATTACCTCCCACCAGGTACCTCCCCCAACATTAGTAATTACAATTTGACATGAGATTTGGGTGGGGACACAGAGCCAAACCATATCATTCACCAAATCCAGAAACTTACCAAAGTCTCTCTCTCTCCTCTTGGGGTTTATGGAGGTGTCACTACGTTGGCATGACTGATGAAATTATTCGCCACTGCTGATCAACTCAACCTTCAATCCCCCTTCCAGGGGGTTAGCTGGGGTAGCAATGGATGTTTTAACCCTCTAATCACTTGCTCAGCTCTGCTAGCAACCAGACCCCTCCTGAGACTACACAGGTGCCACTCGTCTCATTAATGTACTTCATTAGACACTTATTCAGAAATTTTAAGAGTTTTAGGGGCTCTGAGTCAGGAAACAGGCAGGAACATTAAATATATGCTATATATTTTTTTAGAGATGGGATTTCACTCGGTCACCCAGGCCGGAGTGCAGTGGTGCCATCATAGCTCACTGTACCCCCACCTCCGGGGTTCAAGGCATCCTTCTGCCTCAGTCTTCCAAGTAGCTGGGAATATAGGCTGTAGCCACCATGCCCAGAAGTTGCATTTCTCATTATAAATCACAATATCACAATCACAGCTCTGGACACTGGGAAGTTCAAGATGAAGGATCTGGCAGGTTCAGTTTGCAGTGAGGTCTCCCTTCCTGGCTTGCTGACAGTTGTTCCCCCACCACTGTGTCCTCAGATAGTGGAGGAAGAAGTAAGCTCTCTGGTGTGTCTCTTGTTTTTTTGTTTGTTTGTTTTTTGTTTTTTGTTTTGTTTTGTAGAGATGGCATCTTGCTATATTGCTGTATTAGGCTGTTCTTTCATTGCTATGAAATAATTCCTGAGATTGGGTAACTTATAAAGAAAAGAAGTTTAATTGGCTCATGGTTCTGTACGATGCTCAGGAAGTATAGCCCTGGTATCAGCTTCTAGGAAGGCCTCAGGAAGCTTATAATCGTGGCAGAAGATGAAGCGGGAACAGGCACTTCACATGGGGAAAGCAAGAGCAAGAGAGAGTTGGAAGTCGTAGGGGGAGGTATCACAACTTTTAAATGACCAGTCTCAGAAGAACTCACTCATTTTCTCCAGGACAGCACCAAGGATTTGGTGCTAAACCATTCATGAGAAGTTTGCCCCTGTATTAGTTCTTTCTCACATTGTTACAAAGAAACACCTGAAACCGGGTAATTTATAAAGAAAGGAGGTTAATCTAGCTCTCAGTTCTGCAGGCTTTACAGAAAGCATAGCAGTTCCTGCTTCTGGGGAGGCCTCAGGAAGCTTCCAATCATGGTGGAAGGCACAGGGGGAACAGGGGTCTGACATGGCAGGTGCTGGGGCAAGAGGGCAAGGGGGAATGTACCACAATTTGAACAACCAGATCTCACGAGAACTCACTCACTATCAGGAGAACAGCACCAAGGGAATGGCGCTGATTCACGAGAAATCCAGCCCCAAGATCCAATCACTTCCCACCAAGCCTGCCTCCAACACTGGGGATTATATTCCAATATCACATATGGATGGGGCAAATATCCAAACTGTCCCAGTTGCCCACAATGATCTTGAGCTCTTGGCCTCAAGCGATCTTCCTGCCTCAGGTGCCCAAAGTGCTGGGATAACAAGTGAGAGTCACCAACCCAGCTGGTGGTGTCTCTTTTTATAAGGATACTAATCCTCTTGAATCAAGGCTCCACCTTTATGATGTCATTTAACATTAAGTTTATCCTTATAGGCTCTCCCTCCAAATACAGTGAGACTGGGGGTTAGGACTACAATATATGAATTTTTAAGGGACATAATTCAGTCCACAGCAAACACTATTATTTTAGTTTTTAAATAGAGCATGTTACTGAGGGGGGACATAGAGGAATTATACGAAGAAATCTGTATAAATGAGGAAAAGTGAGTATGCTTATATGTACTACCACATATATGCTTAGATTCAGTATATATATTATAGAAAGAGTACTAAAAAACTGAATAATTATTCTTCCTGGAATACAAACCTAGCCTCGATAAACAAAGGTAAATGAAGACATCTTTTTCACTAGATACCCTTTTTTAATAATTGAGTTTACATTTTCACCATATGAATGTATATGCATTCTACATATGCATATGCACTTATGTGCATATATCTATATTCGTAAAGATGCATATATTTGTTAACCACAGACTCCCTACTATTACAACATTCAAACAAAGGAGAAGCAATCAAGTAAAACTAAAAGAACCATAATAAGGCAGCACTGGATGACCTGGAAGGCTGAGGGTCCCTGAGCCCAACACCCATCACCCTACAGCTGGGAATCAGACAGTGATGGAGCTATCCCTCACTCCATCTCCTGCTCTCTTCCTTCTCCAGTCCAGCCACCTGGTCACAGAGTGAGGCTCTAAACTGGCCCGTATTACATGTGTCTGTCCCTCCCCTTCTCACCTCGGAGGAAGAGTGTGACTATCCCAAGTCAGCAGGTAGAGTAAGACAGAGCGTGAGACCTGCTAGCTGAGGAGCTCTAAGAACCTTGTGCTTTGAAAGCCGATCTGCTTTGTGGTATTGAAATCCTCTGAGTCCATTACCTCTTTATTACAGGAAAGGTGTGTGAAAGACCCAGGACGTGTCACTACAGGACAAAAGATCTGGATGTTCAACCACAATCAAAGCTCTTGAGATCCAGCAATTTCCTTGAACAATTTTTCTACCACACACACTTCTCAAAATATAGTGCATACCCATATTTAGGATTGTGGTAGAGGGCCATTACATGATCTTGACTGTATCAATAAAAGTCTCAGGGCAAATCTCTGGGGGATTCAGTGCAGATGGCCTGCCAGTTGGATGTGGAATCTGAGCAAATTATCCTTATATTCTGCTACTCATCTCCAAATAACAGGCTTGCATCAAACGGCCATCTATCTCAGACACTTTGCAATCTATGAGTCTGCAATAAAGAATGAATGTGTCTGTGTGTGTGTGTGTGTGTGTGTGTGTGTGTGTGTGTGTGTTTTAAAGAGGCATATATGTGGTTCACTTGGTTTATGTATGTGAGTTACTTGATTGCTTATATGGGAATATTCTGAATACTTGATTAATTGAATAAACGAAATATAATTACATCATGTACAAAACTTTTCATAGTTTCATCTGCTTGATCATTATTCCTGTAAGACTCCATAGTAATATCTAATTGTATTTTTAGTGAGGAAGCTATTTTGGCCTGACCTTCAAAACTGTCTTTGCATTTGGTAGGACAAAAGACTAGCAAAAAAAAGCCTGAGGGGTTATTTTAAGTATTCTTATGAATTAGTGTTCCTCAGACTGTCTGGGTTAGCTGACTTGTGAAAAAACTAAAGGGACAGGATACTCAGTAAGTATGAATGTAACAGTTCACTCCTCAGTATTTCTGGAACAGGAAGGATTTTTCCTCATGCCCCCAACTGCCTCTAGCCAAACAGAAAAGCAAGAGGACAAAATTCTTTAAATCTTAAAAGGAAGCTATGGGTAAGCAGTGACATATAGAAACTAGCACATAGGTCATCAATTTTGTATCACTGGGATACTCATAATCAATCCCTAATGACTAATGACCAATTTTCGATAATAATAAACTATATAATCAAATATTATACACAAATTCATTGATAGTGTTTTCTGCCAGCCTGTAAGTGCCACACCTGAAAAAACTTCAAACTTTAGTGTAGTTTCCATTTGGATCACCTGGGGGAAGTTTTGCACTATGGATCCGTGGGCTCCATTCCGGATATACTCATACAGAACGTCTGCACATGGAGCTCAGGATTCTGCATTTTCAAGCATTTCCTCAAGTGGTTCTGAAACAACCTGTCTCCAGCCCAACTTTGAGATCCATTTTTTACCAAACTCTGGCTTCAGAAGCCTTCATGTACATCGGAAGTAATCTCAGTGTGGGGAAATTCCAAAGCACAGGAAGCGATGATACCATTTGCATTATTACCCAGATGATTCTAGCTACATACACCTATTATCCAGCATTTATGTCTTGATATGAGGCTTCTATTCAGTTGACCCTATTGATATCCAAGTGTACACAACTGACCTGTCAGGCTATAGCAACACTTCACTTATATGTAGGGAGAATTTGTGCAGGGCTTAGCTGAAGCTCATCATGGGGTATGAATTGACTTGGTCTTATTGCTATAACCCTTGGGTTCAGAAGACACTGAACAAATGCTTAAGAAACTGTTTTAGGTTAATGAATGGGGATATATTTAACTCCTCAGATAGCCAAAGAATCAAGAAGAAGGGATTGAGCTGGATGGCCCAATAGAAGTGTCCATTGATT
Organism: Homo sapiens; assembly: GCF_000001405.40. NCBI lineage: Eukaryota > Metazoa > Chordata > Mammalia > Primates > Hominidae > Homo > Homo sapiens. The sequence continues at coordinate 20,932,465 of NC_000014.9, forward strand.
GCACCCCCACACATACCAGCAGAAACACCACATTTAACAACAACTATCTACACACAAAAAAGCACCTACATAGGAAATGAAAATCAAGTCAACAATCATAGTACCTATTTTAACTTCATATCACTGAAAGAGGCACTGAAGAGGTTAGGAAAGACAATTTTGAATCACTGAGGCCACCACTCCCCCATCTCCCAACAGCCACCACATGGAGCTGAGACAGAATCTGAGTGCATGGGGGAGGGAGAGTTTAGCAATTGTGGAAATCTGCATTGAACTCAGTGCTGCCCTGTCACAGCCCATCCACAGAAGGAGCATTTAGACCACCTTAGCCAAAGGGGAATTGCCTATCCCAGCGGTCAGACACTGAGTTTGGGAAAGCTTTGCCACAGTAGGCTAAAGTGCTCTGGGGTCCTAAATATATTTGAAACTCAATCTAGGCCACAAGAACTACAACTACAAGGCAAGTCCCAGTGCTGTGCTGAGCTCAGAGCCAGTGGACCTAGACACCACTAGTGTGACACTTGTCAGGGCAGCTAAGGGAGTGCTTGCACAACCGCTCCCCCAACCCCAGGCAGCACAGCTCACAGCAATGAAAGTGACTCCTTCCTTCTGCTTGAGGAAAGGAGAGGAAAGAGTAACTAGGACTTTGTCTTACATCGTAAAGATCAGCTCAGCCACAATAGGATAGGGCACCAGTCAGAGTCATGAAGCCACCATTTCAGGCACTCGCTCCTGAAGGACATTTCTAGACACACCCTGCACCAGAAGAAAACCCACTGCCTAGAAGGAAAGGACCTAGTCCTTCCAGGATTCATCACCTGCTGACTGAAGAACCCTCAGGCCCTAAATAACCAGCAGCAATACCCAGTAGCACACTCCATGGGCCTTAGGTGAGACTCTGAGATATGCTGGCTTCAGGTGAGACCCACCATACTTACAGCTGGGGCAGTCATGAAGGGACAATTCTTCTGCTTGAGAAAAGCAGAGGGAAAAGTAAAGGGGACTCTGTCTTGCAGCTTAGATAGCAGCTCAGCTACAGCGGGGTAGAGCACCAAGCCGGCTCTTGGATCCCCAATTCCAGATCTTGGCTCTTGGCTGGCATTTCTGGACCTGCCCTGGGTCAGAGGGGAATCCACTTCCCTGAAGGGTGAGTCCCAGGCCAGGCAGCATTCACCACAAGCTGACTGCAGAGCTCCGGGGCCTTAAGGGAACATTGGCAGTAGCCTGGCAGTATTCCTCTTGAGCCTGTGTTGGAGGTAGCAGTGGGGAGAGGCTCCTCTGCCCATGGAAAGGTGAAGGAAGACTGGAAGGACTCCATCTCATGGCTTGAGTGCAAGCTCAGCCACAGTAAAACAGAACACCACGTAAACTTCCCAGGTTTTTTACTTTGGTCCCTGGCTCTCAGACAGAACCTCTGGACATGCCTGGGCCTAGAGGACCTCATGACCCTGAAGGGAAGGACACAGCCTGGCTGGTATTGCCACCTGCTCTAGGACCTTGTAGAGCTTTAGGGCCTGAGGCCCTTACTTCCAAGAAAGGAATAACTCTTTTCTAGTGAGCTGAACTGTAAAGCTCATAACACAAGTAGGTCCTCAGTGCATATTCACTTCCTTTCCTTCTTACCTGAGGTGCTGCAGTGTGAATCTGAAGGTGGCAGGTTCAACACTAAAGTGACGGACTGCAAGAAAGTTATGGTAGACTCAGAAATCTGTTCTTCAACATTTAGACTGTATTTATGCTGGCTGGATTTTCTGTTTATTCACCTATTATTCTCTACCCCTGTCAGCAACCAAGAAACTCGCAGCCCATCTCACGCTGTCTTAAAGGGAACCAAGAAGTTTTGGACTCTTGGCCTGCAGGAAGCATGCAGCGCGGCGCCCCCTGCCGGCCAATACAACGGCCACGGGAACTGGCAGACCACTGAGGCTCTGGGCGGGGCGGAGTTGCCCCTTCTCCTCCCACTTCTCTAGCAGCGGCTTCTTCTGGTGACACCCCGGGAGCCACAGGGATTTGGTTCCCTAAAGGAAGCGGTTTCCCACCAGGGTATCGTCCCTAATACCCTCCGAAGGAGTCCATTGAGGAGAAAGGAACAGAACGTCTGGCAGAATGCAGAAGGACCCTATGATCCAGGACATGTAGCGCCAGCCATCAGGAGGTTTTATGAGAGCAGCTGGTGGGAAGATCAGTCCCAGGAGAAGGGGTTTGTCTAGCAGCTTGGTTGGAGCAAGCCTTTTCCAGAGAATTATTTCCGTAATTCAGGCTCCCTCCCAACCCTCCACTGCCACCTTATCCTCCACCAAAAGCCCTGACACTGTGGCAGGGATAGGGGACGTGGGGTTGGTGGGGAACAGGCTGTAAGAAAGACGCGGGAGCCTATATGTGTCTGGGAAAAATGAGGGGTCCACGTGCAAGGGAAGAAGCATTTACAAAGAAGACTTTGACAGTGCTGCAAAGATTTGAAGGCGCAGGGTGCAAGTCATTCAGGTGCCGGTGTCAGGAGGAACCTAGCCATCCAGGTGAACAGATGCCCCCTTCTTGCAGCCCACTCGCATGGGCCTGGTGGACTCCTTCTTATTTTTGGTAGTGGCAGTGAAGAGGTCGGGTCCCTGCGCTGGCAAAGCAGTCAGTGACATTGACATCATGAGTACTGTTGCGGCAGCTGCACATGGAGGGGCTGTTGGTACAGGGCAGTGGTGGAGTTCTGCAGAAATCTGCTATGGTGGTCAGATTCTATGAATGAATGTGTGGATCTGCTCGCATTTACCCCTATAGATCAGCCAACTGCGCCTCATCATCACATCACAGTATCGGTGGTGTCCTCTAGGGACCCACGACCTGGGGTTGTCTATATGTCGTGTTAAGAAGGGCAGGGCTGGAGTGAAGACAGTTAGGTCCAAAAGGAGGAAGAGGAGGAGGGTCCATATCAGATTCATGTTTCTTGTGAAAGCATTTCAAAGAAGAGCAGAGTCAAAAGAGCAAGCCATGGTCCCTTGTCCTGTTCCTAAGAAGTCTTGGCCCAACACTTAGTGTTCGCAGTTCTCCCCTCCTGCCATTTCTACACTTATTCTTCGTGTACTCATGGCAACAAGTGTTCTCACATCCTTCTTCCACCTCCTTGTCAATAACGGAGATGGCTACCACCCTCTCAACCCTTTATGGGATTATCCTATGTACAAGGTTATTTCCAAACCCCAAAGTGATTCTTGCTCCTTACCTAAGCAGACCAGTTAAACTAAAAACTTTCATCTCTGAGGTGTTTGCATCTATCAGTTCAACTGCCACTCACCCATAGCCTTGAGATGAGGCAGGCATGATTGCCAACCCCTTTTTAGAGTGACTTAACTCAGAAGGGAATTGACAGATTCATATGACCTGCATCTTAGAAAATATTTTCACTTCCTTAAATACAAATGTCTGTTTAAACGCTGTTTTTAAAAATGAGAGCATTTCAATTTTAAGGGAGTAGAGTTTATGTTTCCCCCACATATTTCTCTGCCTCAAAATAAAGATTCCCAACTCTTCCATGTATAGAGCCTATCTTCCAGAAATGTTCTAATTCTTGGTGCTCAGGGATTCTGGGTGACTGTGTGTGAGCCTTCTGTCTCTAGCTCTAATATCTGACTCTTTTTTTAAATACCTGGGAGTTCCAGGAAAGGGTTTTCTGCAGAGCAGATGACATCCACAGAGATGGATATTTTTCTCTCAGAGGTTGATACTCCTAGTAGAAATGGAATCCCCGTTGCCTCTCTCCTTCCTCTAATCTTGTAGAAATTTCATTGTGGATATTTTCTTCCCAGAGGTTAGGGTGCAGGCCGTATGGAAAACTCTCAGGCCTGTCAATGATTTTAAACAGATTCCCAGGTAATGCTAATTTTATGCTTACTATTTCACACCTGAAATATTCACCAGCATCACACAGAGTGCCTATGACATCACTGCAAATATGCAGAAACTTGGGGTTTAGTGTCTATCATAAGCTTGCTACTGGAGCTTGGCAAATCACCTTATCCTTCTACTCCTCATCACTAAAGTGAAGATTATAGACAAAAGATCTCTTTCAGCTCTGACATTCTGTATTTTTCTATACATTACTGTGTGTTTGGGTTCATGTGTGATTTTGTATATATGCATATTGGTTTATACATGTTCAGGTTAGGAGAAATACTTAGTTTGCAAATTGAGTTTCCATTTCAGAATTGTTAATTTAATTAAGTGTAGTTTTTCCTTAAAGCAGTTATTAGCAAGGTCAAAAAAATTGAATCACTATTATGTAAAGATTACAGCATAATCTGTTTTTGTCTCCACCATTAAAGTTATACGGGTTTTTTGGTGTTTGTTTATTTGTTTTTGAGACTGAGTCTGGCTCTGTCACTCAGGCTGAAATCCAGTGGCGCAATCTTGACTCACTGGAACCTCCGCCTCCCAGGTTCAAGCAGTTCTCTGCCTCAGCCTCCCGAGTAGCTGGGATTACAGGCATGGGCCACCATGCCTAGCTAATTTTTGTATTTTTAGTAGAGTAGGGGTTTCACCATCTTTCCCAGGCTGGTCTTGAACTCCTGACCTCATGATCCACCAGCCTCGGCTTCCCAAAGTGCTAGGATTACAAGCATGAGCCACCGTGCCCAGCCATATTCATTTATTTATATTTATTTTTATGTATTTATTTATTTTGAGATGGACTTTCACTCTTGTTGCCCAGGCTGGAGTGCAATAATGCTATCTCGGCTCACCACCACCTCCGCCTCCCGGGTTCAAGGGATTCTCCTGCCGCACCCTCCCAAGTAGCTGGGATTACAGGCGTGTGCCACCACGCCCAGCTAATTTTGTATTTTTAGTAGAGACAGGGTTTCTCCATGTTGCTCAGGCTGGTCTCGAACTCCTGACCTCAGGTGATCCGTCCGCCTCAGCCTCCCAAAGTGCCGGGATTACAGGCGTGAGCCACTGAGCCCAGCTGAAATTATATATGTTTTTATTGAAGGAGAAGCTACTTGGAACTCCAGTCTGTATTTCAGTAAGGCAAGGGAAGAAATTAGTACGTACGTTTCTCAGAACTCCAAAATCAGCTAAATTTAGGGACCTGTTAATGAAGGCAATAGGAGGAGTTGCGTATACAGTCTATCAACAAGGTGTGATGCAGTAGATTTCATAGTTTTTCTGTCTTAATAGGTCTCCTGAGCAGAAAGGCCTCAAAAGCCTTTTATATAATTAAGCAAAACTGACTAATCCATGGCAAGAAGCTGAGTTGAGATCTAATACCTAGATTTTAACATCCTTGACTTCTATCTGCTTTATAATTGGCCAAGTTGCCAAGAAAAGAGAAATGAATTCTTTTTTTTTTTTTTTTGCTTTTGAGATGGAGTCTTCCTCTGTTGCCCAGGCTGGAGTGCAGTGGCGTGATCTCGGCTCGCTGCAACCTCCGCCTCTTGGGTTCAAGCAATTCTCCTGCTTCAGCCTCCCAAGTAGCTGGGATTACAGGAACCCCCCACCATGCCTGGCTAATTTTTGTATTTTTAGTAGAGACAGGGTTACACTATGTTGGCCAGGAGGGTCTCGATCTCTTGACCTCGTGATCTGCCCACCTCAGCCTCTCAAAGTGCTGGGATTACAGGCATGATCCACTGCACCCAGCCAGAAATGAACTCTTTTTGAACTTCATGCTCAGTTATTCTTGTTTAATTCACACAACCATTCTGACAGGTATTTATTATTATGACCACTTCTGTGGATTTCATAATTTCTTGTGTTTATAGCCTCACGTAACAGGCCATGTGTTTATAATATCCAGTCTGCTGGTGATATGGTTTGGATCTGTGTCTCCACAAAATCTCATGTCAAATTATCGTCCCCAGTGTTGGAGGTGGTACCTGGTGGGACATGATTGCATCGTTGGGGTGGATTTCTCATGAATGGTTTAGCACCATCCTCTTGGTGCTGTTCTTGTGATAGTGAGTTAGTTATGAGATTTGATTGTTCAAAAGTGTGCAGCACCTCCTCCCTCTCTCTCTTGCTTCTGCTCCCACCACGTGAGACACCTCGCTCCCCCTTTGCCTTCCACTATGATTGGAAGTTTCCTGAGGCCTCACTAGAAGCAGAAACCACTATGCTTCCTGTACAGCCTGCAGAACAGTGAGCCAATTAAACCTCTTTTCTTTATAAATTACCCAGTCTCAGATATTTCTTAATAGCAATGCAAGAATGGACTAATACAGCTGTTATGCTCTGTTTGTCCGAGTACTATGAAAAAAGTCTTATTACTCATAAGCAGTAGAGCTGTAATGCAAAACGATGTCCTGTATCTTAACTTTTTGAAGAGAATATGTCGCAGACAGCAGGATAAGGCAAGATGCAGAAATTTATTCTGCAAAAAAAAGTGTCCTTATTCTGAAGAGACAGATGCCTTCATAGTGTGAGAGACTAACCTAGTCCTCCAAAGATAACCAGGAAGAAAAAAACCACACTACCTAAAGTAATAAGTAGTTGTGATTAGTGGCAGTTATGGAAGAATGTATAGCTCAGCCAACAAATATTTACCACATGAGGAGATTTAGTTTAAGGCAAATACATTTGCTTAACTGACAATGTATTCTAATAAATTGAACACAGTAGGATGTTTTTACGGAAAGATGAAAACTTGCCACGAAAGCAGAAATGAGACTATATAGAGCAGTTTCACAGGATTTGCCCAACACTGTCTGGAGGAGAGAGACCCTGTATCTGACAGCCTTTAGCTTTCTGGTCATTGTGGCATGGGCTAGTTCATAAAGCTCTTCTGGGGCATTGATGAAACATCCCTCAAGACCACTTGCTTCTCTTTACTCTGATTAAATAATCTTCATACAGCATTTTGATAACTGGTCTATCCTCACCAGTACTACTGTGTATTACTAGCACAGAAGACAAAATATTGAAATAGAGAGTCTTCAGAAGTAAACTATGAACAATGGCGATTTAGTAAATCTCATAATGCTGGCGTTTCTAACTGGTGAGGAAATAATGAATTGTTCAATCAATAGCACTTAGAATATTGGTGATCCATTTAAAAAAATAAGACTATATCCCTCTCTGATAACACAGAGTTTTTTTGTTCTGTTTTGTTTTGTTTTGTTTTGCTTTCTTTTTTGAGACTGACTCTCACTCTATTGCCTAGGCTGGAGTGCAGTGGCTTGATCTTGGCTCATTGTAACCTCTGCCTCCTGGGTTCAAGAGATTCTCATGCCTCAGTCTTCCGAGTAGCTGAGACTACAGGCATGAGCCACCATGACTGGCTAATTTGCATTTTTGGTAAGGATACGTTTTCACCATGTTTGTCAGGCTGGTCTCGAACTCCTTACCTCAGGTGATCCATCCCACTCGGTCTACCAAAGTGCTGGGATTTACAGGCATGAGCCACCGTGCCTGGCCATCATAGAATTTTAAAATTGGAAAAGAGGAAACAAAACTGTCACTATTTACAGATATAATAGTGTACATTGAAAAATCTAAAAACAATGTGTCGGGACTCAGAAACAATACTTCAAACTGTGGTGCTTTGGAATGAGGAGCACTCTGGGCTTTTTCTGTTGCTTGTTTTTAAATTTTTTAACAATATTTGTGTGGGTACAAATTTGGTGTATATATTTATGGAGTACATGAGCTATTTTGATACAGGCATCCAGGGCCTAATCACATCAGGGTAAATGGGGTATCCATCCCCTCAAGCATTTATCCTTTATGTTACAAAGAAGCCAATCATACTCTTTTAGTTATTTTAAAACGTACAATAAAATTATTATTGATGAATGTCACCCTATATTTGTGCTATCAAATACTAAATCTTATTCATTCTTTTTTTTTCTTTTTTTTATTTTAATTTTTTTTGAGACAGAGTCTTCCTCTGTCACCCAGGCTGGAGTGTAGTGCCGTGATCTCGGCTAACTGCAACCTCTGACTCCTGGGTTCAAGTGATTCTCCTGCCTCAGTCTCTCAAGTAACTGGGATTACAGGCATGTACCACCATGCCCAGCTAATTTTTGTATTTTTAGTAGGAACGATGTTTAGCCATGTTGGCCAGGCTGGTCTCCAACACCTGACCTCAGGTGGTCTGCCCGCTTCAACCTCCCAAAGTGCTGGGATTACAGGTGTAAGCCACCACGCCCGGCCTAATCATTCTATTTTTTTACTCATTAACCATTCACTTCCCTCTCACCCTCCAATGCTAAGGTCTTTGAACTAAAGAAAATGAAAGGGTGTTAGAATCAGCCTCAGAACCACGGACTTTCTTAACTTCTCCTGTTTTGCCCCCAAGTGCAGGATGAAACTCTTCCTCTCTGAAGTTACCTTATCCGAAGCTCCTCCAGAAAGAATCCAGTGGTCTTTGGTCAGCTCCCTGAGACTTTCTTAACCAGGGAAGATTAAACTCATGGCAGAAGGTAAGACTGAGGGATGTCACCACACCTAAGCAGACTTTGTCAGAAGCTGTTGTCTATTCTTTGTCATAATCCAAAGAGTTTCCAAAGAGAATAATTCACAAACTATGGTCAATTCTTTGGGCCCATTCAACTCTCCTAAAAACAATTTCCTACTCCTCAAAATTGCCTACATTCCCCCATCTCTCTCTCTCCTGTGAAGAAGGGTATATAGATTCTGAACCTCGCTGGGTTACTGGGTAGTCACTCTCTCGTCATTCCCCCATGAATACAATAAACTTGCCTTTTTCTCCAGTGAATCTACCGTCGGTTAATTTCAGCAAACTCAAACCTTAAAGGGAAAGGGAAATTCCCCTTTGCCCCTAACATGCAAATTAATTATTTAGATTAATAATTGCTAGATATAAAATTGGCATATGGTTTATTTATTTTTATATTTCAGCACAGGGGAGGGAAAAATGACTTCCTTCCACCCTTTTAGGTTTTTTGTGGCTGGGCTACAAGTTAAATTACATAAGACGGATTAACACAAGAAAAACTGTATTAAAGTATGTGTGTATACATAGGAGTCCCACAAAAATATAAGACTCAAAGAAAGGCCAGATGAATAAAGCTTATATAGCATCTTAAGCTACAGAAAGAAACAGAGGCTTGGGGCTTCTGGAGGGTGGTGGTGCAAGTTACCGGAGCGTGAGAGGAGGAAACATATAGTAAATACATGGTAAATAAAGGTTGCCTTGTTATGCAGATAAGAGTCTCTCAGGGGATAAAAATTGCCTTGGAGCAGCTCTCTTCCTGATCAAAAACACCTTTACCAGTGAAAATTTATTGTATACATCTGAATTTCTTTTACAAAAGGGCAGCTTTTCAGAGCTAACTCCTGTGCAGGCAGTTTTTCTAAATAAATAGTTAATAATCAATATGCTAGAGAGGAATATTTTGGAGTGGTGCATTCTGAGCCCTAACCCCAGCAACAGGCAGAAACTGAAATGTTAAAATGATACAATTTGCAATACTATTAAAAATATTAAGTTCATAAGGAGAAAAATTGGGAAAAGATAAAGAACTTTATGGACAAAAGTACAAAACTTTATTGTGAGACATTAAGGTAAATAGAAAGGTATAGCATGTTTATAGATTGTAAGACTCACTAATTTAGATACATCAATTTTTCTGCAAATCGACCTATAGATTGGTAATTGCCTGATGGGTTGTTCCTGCCTGCTGCACAGACAAAATCAGTTCACTGAGACCACGGAGACAGAGTTTTTACTCAAATCACTCTCCCAGCAGTCTTGGAGACTAGGGGTTTTTTGGTTTTTTCCTTTTTCGTTTTTTGTTTTTTTTTTTTTTTGAGAGAAAGTCTCACTCTCTCACCAGGCTGGAGTGTAGTGGCATGATCTTGGCTCCCTGCAACCTCCCCCTCCCGGGTTCAAGTGATTCCCCTGCCTCAGCCTCTGAAGTAGCTGGGACTACAGGCACGCACCAACACACCTGGCTATTTTTAGGTATTTTAGTAGAGACGGGGTTTCATCATGTTGACCAGGCTGATCTAAAACTCCTGACTTTGTGATCCACCCGCCTCGGCCTCCCACAGTGCTGGAATTATAGGTGTGAGCCACCACGCCCGGCCAGGAAGTTAGGGTTTTTCAAGGATAGTTTGGTGAGCAGGTGGCTAGAGAATGGGTGCTGCTGACTGGCTGGGGATGAATTCATAGGGATGTGAAAAACAATCCTCGTGGGCTGAGTCTGCCTCTGGGTGGAACCACAGGACTGGTTGAGTTATGAGCCCTGGTTCCATAGGTTGCCGGAATGCAAAAGTCTGAAAAAAAATCTCAAAAGACCAACCTCAGGTTCCACAGTAGTGATGTTACCTATAGGAGCAATTGGAGAAGTGACAAATCTTGTGACCTCTGGCCATGTGACCCTTGAGCAGTAAGGGATTATAGAAAATACATTTTATAAGAATTCAGGCACATCTCATAATCCTAACTTTGCAGACTTTCATTAGTTTTACAAAGTTTTGGGAAGTGCTACTATCATCCTCACTTTAAATTTGAACTATAACTTCCACCCGAAGTAGCTTGGCCTATGCCCAGGAATGACCAAGGACAGCTTGGAGGTTAAAAGCAAGACAGAGTCAACTATGTCAGATTTCTCTTACTGTCATAATCTTTGCAAGGGCAGTTTCAGATTTAGAACAATTCCAATCAAATTCTCAACCAAGTCTTTGTTTACTTATTTTGGGAACTTACTGATTCTAGAGGATATATAGATGTATAAGAATAGCAAAGACACCTCCAAAAAAACAAACTAAAAAACAAGCTGAGAGAGTTTGTTCTACCAGAATATATATAAAATGGAAAACAATATCTTGTTACATAAAAGCCTAGTATTGCTCGTTGACGGGCAGCCTTGTTCCATGTGTTATTCAGAGACACAGATTACTTCCATCTTCTGATTCTGTCATCTCCTCATCCATTTCATATAGCTGGCAAACAGAATAGAAGGTGGAGAAGCACACTTTCTTAACTGCCTTGGCCATTTTTCACTGGCATCACCTTCAGGTAGGGAACTATAGTTCCTACCTGAGCTGTCGCTTCTCAGCATCAACTCTACACCATGCAAGGGTGAGCATAAGCCTGAGGGCAGCTAGTTACTACAGCTACAGCAATGTAAATGGTGTTGCCAGTTTCATCTTTGTCACAGATGAGATAAGAACAGATGCAATACAGTTGAAATATGAAAGTAGAGAGAAATCTAACACAGAGTTTCCCAAAAATGAGTTAGATGAGACCCAGGAACTTGTACAAACTCTCATCAGTGATTGACACCAGTGTCAACAAACTTGCAAGGAGAAAAAATGGTCAGTCCCAAAACTGGACCTAAAACACTTTATCTTCTTATTAGAAAACAGCAGCAGCATTAATAATACTATACTGCAATATCATATTTAGACTTATGGGCCAGAGAAGTGGGATGTGGAAATTAGCAATGAGTCCTAGAAGGACTATGATAATTGGATATTGGCTGCTCAAGAGATGCTGAGTAACCAAAAGAAGAGCTAACATGCGGGACAGCCTAAAAATATCATGTGAGCACACATTTAAGGAAGTCTACCCTGTGCCACAACGGTGCTGGGAGATGGACACAAAGATAACCAAGACATAGCCCCTTTCTCTCAGGAACTGTCAGTCCAGTGGTTCTGGTACCAGAGGGGGAGGACCCCCCCTTAGCAGGTGCAAAGGTGGGTAAAGTGATGATGGAGCTGTGGCCCACTAGAGGATGTTGCAAGTACAGACATCGGGATGGGGAATACTGGTTGTGTGGAGATGAGCTAGTCTTTTTGAAAATCATATTCCTGTTTTATTTGAAAAACCAATCCTCCACCTTGCTCCCGTCTGTGGCTTGGATGGACTGGCTCCACCCCAGCTCCAGTAATGAGCTACTCAGTGTGTGTGTCTCATTAGATGAGATGGGCACTTGTCCCAGTCAGAGACCTTTGCTAGGAATATTGGGGGATGAAGGCAGGACTTCATCTTGAGAGAATGGAAGATGTGGAGTTGCTGCTGTCATCTTACAGATATACAAGGAACATCTGCCTGATAGTGGGACTATGATAGAGGAGAAAGAAACAGGAAAATATAGAGAAACCATGTACTGTTTTCATCATCTAAGTTCTGATAAGCTGCTCATTAAGCCATAACAGTGTGTTATGGCTTAGGATAGTTTAACTGTACATTCAGGTTCTTAGGCCCTCAGAAGAGATCAAGTTCTCGGGGGTAAGGGGTTTCAGTTGTGCTAAGTGGCCGAAAGAAGATTCTAGAGAATTTTGTCTTAGAAATCCATGAGTGTCATTTATTCATTTCCATACTGGTAGCCTTTAATTTAATATAATTTTTATTTATTTATTATTATTATTATTTGTAGAGACAAGGTCTTGCTATATTACCCAGACCATTCTTGAACTCCTGGGCTCAAGTGATCCTCCCAACTTGGTCGCCCAAAGTGCTGGGTTTACAGCATGAGCCACCATACCTAGCCATGGGTAACATTTTAAAATAAAGTAGTCAAAATAGATCTCCTTGAGAAAATTATTATTATTATTATTATTATTATTATTATTATTATTATTTGAGATGGAGTCTAGCTCTGTTGCCAGGCTGGAGTGCAGTGGCGCGATCTCGGCTCACCACAACCTCTGCCTCCCAGGTACAAGTGATTCTCCTGCTTCAGCCTCCGGAGTAGCTGGGATTACAGGCATGCACCACCATGCCTGGCTAATTTTGTATTTTTAGTACAACAGGGGTTCCACCATGTTGGCCGGATGATCTCCATCTCCTGACCTCATGATGTGCCCACCTTGCTCTCCCAAAGTGCTAGGATTACAGGCGTGAGCCACCGCACCCAGCCGAGAAAATTATTTTTAAGCAAAGACTTAGAGAGAGAGAGGAAGTTAGCTATGCACATTGTGGGTGCGGTGTGGTTAGGGTGGCCCTGAGATAGGGATATGCCTGGTGTGTTTACGGAACAGCTAAGAGGCCAGGGAACTAGAGGAAATTGAGTGGGAAGGGGAAGAGTAGGAGATTAGTTTTGAAAAGCAAATGGTTTGGGAATATGGATCATGTAAGAGCACATGAGATTTTATAAGGATTTCATTTTACTCAGGGTGAAATGAAGAAGCACTAAAAGATTTTGAGTAGAGTTTCATGATCTGACTTATGTTTTAAAAGGACCCTCTAGCTGCTTGGGCTATCAGTGGTGGAAGCAGGAAGGCCAATGAGAATGCTTTTCCAGTAATTCTAGCGAAAGGTGATGGTGGCTCAGAATGGTGGTAGCAGTGAAGGCCATGAGAAGTGGCCAGATTCTGTGTGTGATTTGAAGGCAGAAAAAGACTTCCCTGACAGGTTGGATGTGGGATATAAGAGAAAAGAAGGTTATTCAACAATTAGAGAAAATGGACTTACCTTCTCTTGAGATGAGGAATACTGAGGGAGGAACAACTTCGGGGGAAGAGTAGGAAAAGATGATCAGTGTTTCCTGGGGACATGCTAGGTTTGATATACTTATTAGACATTTAAGAAGAAATGTCACATAGAAAGTTGCTGTACAAGTATAGGGTTCAGGAGAGAGAGGTGTACTGAAGATTTGGGCATTGTTAGAAAATTAATGATATTAAAAGTGTAGAGGTAGAAAAAGTATGATATCTCTCCTCTCCCCTCATAAGGGTCTGACACTCCTATAGCAAAAGACAGGTTAACAAGAGAAAAACATAACAAATTTACTTAAAGTTTTATGTGACTCAGAAACCTTCAGAATGAAGACCCAAAGACCCAGGCAAAACTGTCTAGATTTATGCTCAGGTTCAGTGAAGGATGGACAGCCATGTAGCAATGTAATTGGACAAAAAGGGTATGAGTTGATAGTAATAGGCTGAGGGAGGAACCCAGCACGGCCTGTCTGTTTAGATTTTTCTTGGACTCTCTGTATAGGAATTCTCCCTCCCAGCTATACAGCAAGACCCCCTCTGGAATCAGTCTTATGACCTACTATCAGACAAGGTAGGTCAGGTAATTTCTTTATGGCCAGCTCCTACACAGAATGGCAGAGGGAAGACTAGAGTAATATTTCTAGATTTTATGGGTGATTTGGGGAGAGGGGAGCAAGAGACTGGAAGACAGGAGAAGGTCAGAGAGACCTTGGTTCTGGAGGCTACTTCACGGAAAGTTAAGCCTGTTGGGGAGAAATGTCTTACTCCAAGTGCAAAGCTTCCCTCATGACCACTGTTGATGGGGTGGAAGAGTCTGGGGAATTCATTGAAGAGATATCCACATTACTGGATCTAGAGAAAGAAAATCTTGTCCTGGAGGTGAACAGGAAGAGGGTCCACATCTGTGTCACGTTTTCATCTCAGTGGAGGGAATAAGGAGAAGGAGAGTAGGGCATTGGTGTCTCAATGCCCGGAGATATTGTTCTCCTCTTAAGCATACCCCAGACCTCAGTACTTCTCGCATTTGTCTCCATCTCTCTTCGCTCCTCTAAGGACCCATCTGAGCTATTCACTTTACCACATCCTCCTTCCCTCTTACACATTCATCTCCGTATCACTCTCTTTTCTTTTCTTTCTTTTTTTTTTTTTTTTTTTGACATGGAGTCTCGTCCTCTTGCCCAGGCTAGAGTGCACTGGCGTGATCTTGGGTCACTGCAACCTCCACCTTCCGGGTTCAGGCGATTCTCCTGCCTCAGCCTCCCGAGTAGCTGGGATTACAGGCATCTGCCATCATGCTCAGCTAATTTTTGTATTTTTAGTAGAGATGGGATTTCACCATGCTGACCAGGCTAGTATCAAACTCCTGACCTCAACTGATCCACTCACCTTGGCCTCCCAAAGTGCTGGGATTACAGGGGTGAGCCACCATGCCCAGCCCCTCTCTCTTTTCTTCCTTCCCATTTCACTACTCTGGCCCTGCAGGTTTTCTTGGAAGTTTAGAGAGATTACAGACACACTCATCACATTTTTTACAGCTTTAATTGAGGTATAATTTACAAATAAAACTTGTATATATTTAAGTTTTACAACTTCATGTTTTGATATACAAAAGCACTGTGAGATAATCATCACAATCAAGCTAATTGACATATCTGTCATCTCACATAGTTACCATTTTCTTTTCTTTTTCTTTTTTTTCGTGGTGAGAACACTTGTGGTCTATCCTTTTAGTAAATTTCAAATGTGCAATACAAAATTGCTAACTCTATTCATCTTGCTAAACACTGCATCTCCTGACCCATCTCAGTTTTGAATTGTACTAATAGAATACACATAGTACTAATATAATTCTCAAAGCAAAAATATATTTTCTTTTTTTTTCTTTTTCTTTCTTTTTTTTTTTTTTATGAGACTGAGTGTCTCTTTATCACCCAGGCTGGAGTCCAAGGGCGCGATCTCGGCTCACTGCAACCTCCACCTCCCGAGTTCAAGCAATTCTCGTGCCTCAGCCTCTCGAGTAGCTGGGATTACAGGCACCCACTACCATGCCCGGCTAATTTTTGTATTATTACTAGGGAAGGGTTTCAATATGTTGGCCAGGCTGGTCTCAAACTCTTGACCTCAAGTGAACACCTACCTCGGCCTCTGAAAGTGCTGAGATTACAGGCATGAGCCACTGCGCCCAGCCACAAAAAGATATTTTCTAATACTCAGTTCTATCATTAATTTTTTTAGTGTGCTTAACAGATCACTCTACCATTACTCTTCCTCAGCTGGAAAGTGAGGGGTTGGTATAAATGTCTTTAGGAGTTCCTTCCAGCTCAGACTATTTAGAAATCCGATACTCTGGAGCATAGGTATGTGTGTATGCATGTGTATGTGTGTGTGTGTGTGTGTGTGTGTGTGCGTGCATGTGTGTGTGTAGGAAAAAATGTAAAGGAAATTTGGTTGATATTTTTGTATTGTTGGTCTATGTATATCTGATTTTCCTAAATCATTATGAATTTAGGCAGAAACAGGCATAATTATCTGAAATAAAATTATTATATACAGATTACATCATTATTTTTAAACTATGAAAAAAAACCACGCTTGTAATCTATCTTATTGTAGAGAAGATATGAGGTCCTGTCATTTAGAACTGTCATTTAATGGAGCAAGAGAAAACATTAGCGCAAACACTATGGGATGAGCTCAAGCCCCTGAGATCTAGATTAGAGGACTGGTTAATAGCCTGGGAGATAACACTCAGTCAACAAACAATAATGTAGTCATTCCTCTTCTTGGCTATCTCCCTTCCCTTCACCTACCTGTAGTCTAATAGGTGATCGGGGGCCCAAAACTCATTACATCCAAGAGGAAGCTTTGTTTGGCAGGTGCTATCTAGCCAAGAAAATCTCAGCATCACTGAACATTTACATACATTGTAATTTTTCCCTAAGCATTGGAAAAAAGAAAGAACCCAACACCACATGGGGGTCGCCATTTCATTCAAGGCATTTTTATTAAGGCTCAAAACAGGACTGTCTTGTAGGTAACCCTCGCTTCTACTGTTTTAGAGACACCGTAGACTTTCACCTGTGCTCAGGATGCAGGGTGTCCCACCACCAGACTTACTAAGTTTGTGTATTTGTGATATAAGAAACAAAGAATGTTAGCATTTCCCTGGTAGAAAAGAGAAGATAAGTGCCTTGTTTGAGGTCCCGTGTTGGTGAATAGCAGAGTTTGTGAAGTGAAACTCTAATCTTTTTTTAAGTCCATTACTTTAGATGGACAACCAAGCTTGTTCCTCTTAAGGGAAGGATGTGAGCCAAATAGGAGATTCAAAGAGATGGAGTAAGGGATGATGCTCCATGAAGGAAAATATCTGGTTTCAAAGGAAGAGCATGTCTTGACAGGGTAAGAGACCAAGAATCCCTTTGAAGAAAAGGTACCATTTACTAAAAAATATCAGTCATAGTGACTATAGTTGAGAAATAAATGAACGCTCACAAATTGAGAAATGTAGGCAAGTAGGCTATTGACTTCGGCAAGCCCGACTCTCTATCTCAGGGTTTCCCAGACATCAGGCATCCCTGGACCATGCCCCCATTCCATTTGTACTATTGACTAATATTATCTGTTTTATTCACTCTTGCATTTATACAACATGGTCCTAAGCAATAATATGCATAACATTATGGACTAATGTGTTAATTATTCACTCCCATTAAAAGAAATGCATAACAGTGAACAATTTTTACTATTTACATGTACTTTCTAACATCAGTAACTTCACTTTCCACCTGTTGTACATATTTCATAATTTTGTGTTCAGTTTCATCTATGGCTGTAAATTAAACAATTCTACCTTGGAAAATATTTTCACAGAAGAATAAAGGATCCAAGGACAGTAGAAAAAAATGAAGCTCAAGGTCAATGATTTGGCCAAGTTCATCAAATTCTGTATAAAAGAGACTAAATCATGCAAGTACTGCATTTTTATCATGAAAAGGTGCTCTAACTGTTTGCTAAGACAGTTCCTCAAATTTACCACCAAATTGATGGAAAACCTAGTTTTCATGATGATCTAGTTCCCTTTGTTCTGACTTCACAACTAAATGCAAGATGTTAAAACGTGATTTCTTCTATCTCAGATTGGGAAGGGTCCCTGAGAAACAGCGGCCCTGTCAAAATGACTTGCTGTCCACCTAAGCAGCACTTGATCAAAAGGAGACAAAAACCTGAGCTCTAGTTCTAATGCCTTCACTATGGGAAATAAGGAAAGGAAACAAGCATACTGTCTCATCGTAAATACCACAGAGAAGATAGCGCAGTAATGGAAACTACGCTAACACCTTGATGTATAAGACTGATCGTCCTCATCAAGACTTTTTTTTCCTTTTGCAATGTTTTATGCTACATATTTAATTATTTCATACATACACACACACACAAATTACCACATTAAACTTCCCCTACAAACCAATGTATGTGTTGTTGTATTTTACAGGTTATAAAACAGAGGCATAGCAAGGATGAATAACCGTCCAACTCTTTTGTTGTTGTTGTTGTTTCTTTTTAAAGAGACAGGATCTTACTCTGTCTCCCAGGCTGGAGGGCAGTGGCGCAGTATCGGCTAACTGCAGACTCTGACTCCCAGGTTCAAGTGATCCTCCTACCTCAGCCTCCTGAGTAGTTGGGATTACAGGTGCACTCCACCATGCCTGGTTAATTTGTGTGTGTGTCTGTGTGTGTGTGTGTTTTGTTTGTTTGTTTGTTTGTTTGTTTTGAGATGGAGTCTCACTCTGTCACCCAGGCTGGAGTGCAGGTGATCTCGGCTCACTGCAACCTCTGCCTCCTGAGTTCAAGCGATTCTCCTGCCTCAGCCACCCGAGTAGCTGGGACTATAGGCCCGTGCCACCACGCCTGGCTAATTTTTTGTATTTTTAGTAGAGACAGGGTTTCAACATGTTAGCCAGGATGGTCTCGATCTCCTGACCTCATGATCCGCCCACCTCAGCCTCCCAAAGTGCTGAGATTACAGGCATGAGCCACCGCGCCCGACCTAATTTTTGTGGTTTTGGTAGAGGCAGGATTTCTCCATGTTGGCCAGGCAGGTCTCAAACTCCTCGCCTGAAGTGACCCCTCTACCTTGGCCTCCGAAAGTGCTGGGATTACAGGCATGAGTCACAGCACCTGGCCCTGTACAACTCTTATAGTAAGAGCCTCAAATAGAAAATGTCAGAGCTGGTATCTGGACAAGACTATACAAAATCTATACCCGACATCGCTGTAACACAAAACTTATATAACAACTTCATTTAAAGAGACACTAACCTATATAATAATTCATTTTGTGTGAGCTCTGAAATCTTAGCAAATGCATCTGTGTGCTCAAAATGCAATGGGGATGAACAGAGGATGTTTAAGGGGTACAAATATAAGAAATGATATAAGAAATAAGGCCTAGTGTTTGATAGATCAGGAGGATGACTATAGTTAATGATAATCTACTGTATGCTTCAAAATAGCTAGAAGAGAATAATTTGAATGTTTCTAACATAAAGAAGAGGCAAATATTTAAGGTACTCGATATCCCAGTTTCCCCGATGTGATCTTTACACATTATGTGAATATATTAAATTATCACATGTACCCTGAAAGTATGTACCTCTATTATGTATCAATAAAAAGAAATAAGGCCAGGCGCCGTGGCTCACGCCTGTAATCCTAGCACTTTGGGAGGCTGAGGTGTGCGAATCACCTGAGGTCAGGAGTTCAAGACCAGCTTGGCCAACGTGGTGAAACCCTATCTCTACAAACATAGAAAAATTAGCTGGACGTGGTGGTGCACGCCTGTAATCCCAGCTACTCGGGAGGCTGAGAAAGGAGAATCATTTGAACCCGGTAGGCAGAGGTTGCAGTGAGCTGAGATCTTGCCACTGCACTACAGCGTGGGTGACAGAGTGAGACTCCATCTGAAAGAGAAAGAAAGAAAGAAGGAAAGAATGAAAGAAAGAAAGAAAGAAAGAAAGAAAGAAAGAAAGGAAGGAAGGAAGGAAGGAAGGAAGGAAGGAAGGAAGAAAGAAAGAAAGAAAGAAAGAAAGAAAGAAAGAAAGAAAGAAAGAAAGAAAAAGAAAAAGAAAGAAAGAAAGATTTTAAAAATATGCAATGGGACACGAATGCAATTTTCCAGTTTCTTAGGAAACACACTTTATTTCATCCCTCCTAAGACACACCTCTCCATAATTCCATCGGGGCTCTATTCCCATTTCTTCCCTTTCCAGAGAAGTAAAGGACTTGTTATAGTTGAGGAAAAAGGAGAAGGCTTACTTCTTTCCTCTTTCATGCCAGAAACTTAATCGAAGGGGTCAGATCTACTTATTCAATGGCTTTCAGAGGAGACATGCAGGAGGCCCCACATAAGAGGGAAGGCCTAGGGCCACCTTTCTGAGGTTTAAGAGACCAGGAAGAGCTCAGTACACCAAATATCTTTAGAAATTAGGTAAGTAAAATATTACTCAATTTGGTGCAATTTAACCTGCACCATATTATTATGACAATCTTGTATTACTTTTAATGGCAAAAATTGCAATTACTTTGGCACCAACCTAATAAATAGTGTGCATTGTCTTTCCCATAGATAGCCACTGCTGCATTAGGGAAATCTGTGTGCAGGAAGGTATCTATGGTTTGGTACCTCCCTGTCAGCAGGTTAAGAGCAAATATTGCAAGGGTACCCTGGGGCTGAAGAAATTGCAAGTGTTAAACATTATATTTTTGCACATAAATGCTATGCAAAAAGTCATTGATCAATGCAGTGTACTCAACAGTGGTTTTTACCATAAATGGAGAAGTCTTTGTCTGGGACAATATTTTACAATGTTCATCGGTTTCCAAAAAATGACTTAATACTGGGGCATAATTCTGACTATTCCTCTGAGTGGAAGTGTGCATTGGGTCTGAAAATGTGTCGTTAAATTAGGCTGCAAGACAAGTTATGCTAATAAAGAACCCGGGAGAAGTGGCTTGTGTCTGTTCAAGACAAAATCATGCTGAAGTCACAGAGAATTTTGTTTACCGTTGGCTTATACTTTATTATTCCTGCTTCATATAAAACAGTCTTCTCCCAAAGCTCGTAAATATCAAAGTAGATCTTTTCTAAAGTTCTGCAGGCAAATGAAAGTAGTTGGAAATGTACACAGGAAATCTACACAAGGGAGAATCAGAAAAATCTTATGAGCATGTTCTCAATACAATTTTAGTGATCAGGAGTGGTGGCTCATGCCTATAATCCCAGCACTTTGGGAAGTCCAGGGGGGCGGATCACTTGAGGTCAGGAGTTTGAGACCAGCCTGGCCAACATGGTGAAACCCTGTCTCTACCAAAAGTACAAAATTTAGCCGGGCATTGTGAAGGGTGCCTGTAATCCCAGCTAATCGAGATGCTGAGGCAGGAGAACTCGGGAGGCAGAGGTTGCAATGACCCAAGATCGCGCCACTGCACTCCAGCCTGGGCAACAACAGCAAGACTCCATCTCAAAAAAAAAAAAAAAACCACAATTTTAAAGGATGAATATGGTTGCAAATTGGGCAGGTTATGTATGGTCTGAGTTATTTCTTAAGACACTGCAACAAGTCTGATGCGTCATAAGCACAGATGTCTCCAGAAGCCAGGCAGGTGTCATTACTGAACAGACAGGATGAAAGTCAGGAGGCAGAGATGGAGTCAGAGAACAGCCCCGAGCTAGAGCCCCTTCCACAGAGGCAGCTTTACCCAGCTCTAATTGATACCACACAGCAACGGAGACACAGTGCACCAACCAACATCATGTGATTTTTAAAGATAAGACAGTAATGAAAACTTTTAGTGAACTATTCCAATGTCAAACTTTACCTTCCAAACCAAACATTATAAATAGCACTGTATATGCTGAAAAGAGGCACTGTTTAGCCAGGTACCTGCCCTGGGGCTGCAGTCTATGTCTTTTGCCTCATACTATAGACACTTGAGTGCAAGTCTTTCTACCCAGTGTGTCTGTCAGCATCACAGAGCGGATACTCTACGTATCATTCACCTTTACATTCTCATCACCTGCAAAAATGATCTCCACACAATATACATGAAAAAAGAATTTGCTTCATGATAAAGCTGCTAATGAATGTCGGCCAGAAGAGGACTTCAAGGCAGAGCAATATTAGCTGCGCATTGAGTCCTCACTGGGTCACCATTGTGTCCACATTTACCTAAGGACCCCAGTGATAAAATTATTGCATTTCTAAATGACAGGAAAATTGGATGGTAGTAAAAATTATGTAGATTAACTGTTGGAAGGTATATTATATCATTTAAGGGTCTAATATCAATTTTCTAATCTGAAAGCTAGACCAGATTTAACATCTCTTAGTACTCAGGTCTTACCACTGCAATTCACTTCCCACCTCTGTACAATTTCCCCACATCATCCCCTGTGCCCAGAATGCTCATCTCTTCCCTAAAGTCCCTGAAAACTCCCTGCTTATCTTTTAGGGCCCTGCTGAAATCAAACTTTTTTTTTTGAAGTCTTCCTTGTCCCTCAAGCCAAGTGATTTCCTTCACCCTCGGCGTCCCCATGAAACCATGTTCACACAAGTGTAATACAATTATGTGTCTACAATTACTTTCCTGTATGTCTCTGAGGGCCAAGAATAAATGTATGCTTTGTGTATCAAACTGTACACTTGACCTCTATACTTTCAGGAATACAGTGCTCTGTCCTTAAATGTTCATTTGTAAATACAGAACCATTTTCTTGTTAATATCACAAAATGAAACTTACCAGGAAGATGAATGACAACCCCAGAACACAGTGTTTTGTAGAAAATACCATAGGCTGAAAAGATCACAGGAATACCGAGTGCTAGGTTGGAATCTTTCATGACACCAAATGTTCATTCATTCTCTGCCAGACTTTACAACTGTCCTCGGTGTGTTTTTAGGTTGTGTAACTTTACACAAAGTGGAAGCAATAATCAGGGCAAGACTTAAGAGAAAGTGGATCCAATGCAAGAGGAGTAAAGAAAAAAATCCCTCAAGTATGTGTAGCAGATTGTTTTAATTATCTACAGAATCTTGTGCCCTAAGAAATTAATAGCTCAAGTTTCCAGCAAGAGTGGTGGATGAGATGGAGAGCATTTGTGTGAGAGAGAACCAAGGATATTACTAAAAATGAAAGGGAAGCTGGGTTTCTCCTGGGCAAACAGCCCTCAGTGGCTCTATTTGTTCTAACTACTATGCCTGCCTTCATGTACTTTGGTCATTTAGTGGCCTGCCAGAGGACAGTTATAAAATCTGTGGTCATTCTGCAGGCAGCATATAGTTTTCATCCAGAGTTTGGATCTAACCAGCAAAACTCTGTCTTACACAGGATGACTTGGAATTAGAGTCCTTATAGCAGAAAGAGCAGCAGGGCTGTCCTTGGGTATCCGTTGCTCAGCCAAGTCATCAAATAAAAAGGATGATTGCACAAGTGGACTATGTACCAATCTGTGGGTTTCTGCATGGCCAAGAGCCAGACCCTCCCTCTGGGCTCTGCTGGCCCAACCCACCAAGGGATGCTTTATTTAAACAGTTCCAAGTAGGGGAGACCAGCTGCCCCTGAACCCCAGAACAACCAGCTGGATCAGTTCTCACAGGAGCTACAGCGCGGAGACTGGGTAAGTCAACGATCCCCAGAGCTGGGACAGAAGGGGCAGCAATGGGGCAGCAACTGAGGGAGAAGAGAGCTGACGTTAGTGCTTAGGAGACGTTGCACACTTTGCAGACAGGAAGTAAAGGAAATGGGACCCCAGAGTGGCCGCAGAGGGGCCTGTGGGGTAAGACACTACAGTGTGTGTCATAACCAAGACCCGATCAGGGAGTAGTTACTTCTCTTCTTTTCTTACAGGAAACATGGTTCCAAAACTGTTCACTTCCCAAATTTGTCTGCTTCTTCTGTTGGGGCTTCTGGCTGTGGAGGGCTCACTCCATGTCAAACCTCCACAGTTTACCTGGGCTCAATGGTTTGAAACCCAGCACATCAATATGACCTCCCAGCAATGCACCAATGCAATGCAGGTCATTAACAATTATCAACGGCGATGCAAAAACCAAAATACTTTCCTTCTTACAACTTTTGCTAACGTAGTTAATGTTTGTGGTAACCCAAATATGACCTGTCCTAGTAACAAAACTCGCAAAAATTGTCACCACAGTGGAAGCCAGGTGCCTTTAATCCACTGTAACCTCACAACTCCAAGTCCACAGAATATTTCAAACTGCAGGTATGCGCAGACACCAGCAAACATGTTCTATATAGTTGCATGTGACAACAGAGATCAACGACGAGACCCTCCACAGTATCCGGTGGTTCCAGTTCACCTGGATAGAATCATCTAAGCTCCTGTATCAGCACTCCTCATCATCACTCATCTGCCAAGCTCCTCAATCATAGCCAAGATCCCATCTCTCCATATACTTTGGGTATCAGCATCTGTCCTCATCAGTCTCCATACCCCTTCAGCTTTCCTGAGCTGAAGTGCCTTGTGAACCCTGCAATAAACTGCTTTGCAAATTCATCTGAAAGTGTCTGTGTGTCTTCATTAGCCGCTCTGCTGTCATTTAGTGACAATCTACTCTAGAGATTTTTCTTCCTCTAACCTGAGACTTCCGGGAAACAGAGAGATTTGAAGATAAGAGACGCTTTCTGTCATGAAACAGCACAGTCTTATCCCTCTCCCTGCTTTAGGCTGAGAAGCTGAGGTCTCAACCGATATCTAGCAACTGTCGAAGACTCTTGCTTTGATCAAGCTTTAGTCATCTCCTCTAAACCCTCTTCACAACTAGGTCATCCTGTTGGGCTTCCTAGTCCTTCCTTGTAGAGTCATTTGTATTTATTTTTTATTTTATTTTATTTTATTTTATTTTATTTTATTTTATTTTATTTATTTTATTTTTTGAGACAGAGTCCCGCTCTGTCGCCCAGACTGGAGTGCGTGGCGAGATCTCAGCTCACTGCAAACTCCACCTCCCAGGTTCAAGCTATTCTCCTTCCTCCGCCTCCCGAGTAGCTGGGATTACAGTTATGCACCATCATACCCAGCCAATTTTTGTAATTTTTAGAGAGGGGGTTTCAAGATGTTGGCCAGGCTGGTCTCCAGCTCCTGACCTCAGGCAATCCGCCCTCCTCAGCCTCCCAAAGTGCTGGGATTAGAGGCATGAGCCACCAGTGCCAGACCTAAAGTCAGGTTTAACAGAAGTCCTCCTAACTTGGTTTATCATGAGTCTCTCACCCTCAATATTTGACCAAATTCCTTAATTCCCCCATCATCCTCCATGTGATAACTGATTCCTGACCTACCTTCAAAAAACAAAAATCCAATTACATCAACTTAGCATTGGTCTCCCTAGCCTTGATATCTCCTCTAGGTAATTTTCCATCCACTGACCCCTTCCCGACACCAACCTATAACGAGTATAGATCTCCACTTGTTTTAGTTGTATTTCACAATTGAGCCCAATTTGATACTGAGGTCCTATATGATGCTCTATGGTTGAAGTCTGGTTTTTATTGACATGATTTCTATCCCAAGAGATATAGGGGCTGCAGTGAAAAAGCTGAAAATGCACATGTTTCATTATGATTTATGAATGATAAATTTTGATAGGATTGAATGTTACAATAGAAAACACAAAAACAGAAAGTAGAAAAAGTGAAGAATGCTATAAACATGGTGAAACCAAGATAAAAATAAGTTTAGCCTCAGAGATATTCCTTTTAAATGAGCACATCAAATCTCCAGCTATTAGCAATTGTACTAGAGGTACAACCAGGGTTTGAGTCAAATGTGCAATTAGATAAATTGTTCAGACAGCAATATGGACAGATTGTAATGCTGCCTGGAGGAGAGGTGGACATCTTTCCCAAAACTTCCATACTGGGATACTCATAATCAATCCCTAATGACTAATAACCAATTTTTGATAATAATAAACTACATAATCAAATATTATACACAAATTCATTGATAGTGTTTTCTGCCAGCCTGTAAGTGCCACACCTAAAAAACTTCAAACTTTAGTGTAGTTCCCATTCGGATCACCTGGGGGAATTTTTGCACTATGGATTCGTGGGCTCCATTCCGGATATACTCACACAGAACATCTGCACATGGAGCTCAGGATTCTGCATTTTCAAGCATTTCCTCAAGTGGTTCTGAAACAACCTGTCTCCAGCCCAACTTTGAGATCCATTTTTTACCAAACTCTGGCTTCAGAAGTCTTCAAGTACATCAGAAGTAATCTCGGTGTGGGGAAATTCCAAAGCACAGGAAGCGATGATACCATTTGCATTATTACCCAGACAATTTTAGCCACACACACCTATTATCCAGCATTTATGTCTTGATTTGAGGCTTCTATTCAGTTGACCCTATTGATATCCAAGTGTACACAACTGACCTGTCAGGCTATAGCAACACTCTTCACTTATATGTAGGGAGAATTTGTACAGGGCTTAGCCGAAGTTCATCATGGGGTATGAATTGACTTGGTCTCATTGCTGTAACCCTTGGGTTCAGAAGACACTGAACAAACGCTTAAGAAACTGTTTTAGGTTAATGCATGAGGAGATATTTAACGCCTCAGATAGCCAAAGAATCATGGAGAAGGGGTTGAGGTAGATGGCCCAATAGAAGTGTCCATTGATTGCACCCCCACACATACCAGCAGAAACACCACATTTAACAACTATCTACACACAAAAAAGCACCTACATAGGAAATGAAAATCAAGTCAACAATCATAGTACCTATTTTAACTTCATATCACTGAAAGAGGCACTGAAGAGGTTAGGAAAGACAATTTTGAATCACTGAGGCCACCACTCCCCCATCTCCCAACAGCCGCCACATGGAGCTGAGACAGAATCTGAGAGCGTGGGGGAGGGACAGTGCAGCAATTGTGGAAATCTGCATTGAACTCAGTGCTGCCCTGTCACAGCCCACCCACAGAAGGAGCATTTAGACCACCTTAGCAAAAGGGGAATCGCCTATCCCAGCGGTCAGACACTGAGTTTGGGAAAGCCTTGCCACAGTAGGCTAAAGTGCTCTGGGGTCCTAAATATATTTGAAACTCAATCTAGGCCACAAGAACTACAACTACAAGGCAAGTCCCAGTGCTGTGCTGGGCTCAGAGCCAGTGGACCTAGACACCACTAGTGTGACACTTGTCAGGGCAGCTAAGGGAGTGCTTGCACAACTGCTCCCCCAACCCCAGGCAGCACAGCTCACAGCAATGAAAGTGACTCCTTCCTTCTGCTTGAGGAAAGGAGAGGAAAGAGTAACTAGGACTTTGTCTTACATCATAAAGATCAGCTCAGCCACAGTAGGATACAGCACCAGTCAGAGTCATGAAGCTGCCATTCCAGGCACTAGACACACCCTGCACCAGAAGAAAACCCACTGCCTAGAAGGAAAGGACCCAGTCCTGCCAGGATTCATCACCTGCTGACTGAAGAACCCTCAGGCCCTAAATAACCAGCAGCAATACCCAGTAGTACACTCCATGGGCCTTGGGTGAGACTCTGAGATATGCTGACTTCAGATGAGACCCACCATATTCACAGCTGGGGCAGTCATGAAGGGACAATTCTTCCGCTCGAGAAAAGCAGAGGGAAAAGTAAAGGGGACTCTGTCTTGCAGCTTAGGTAGCAGCTCAGCTACAGCAGGGTAGAGCACGAAGCAGGCTCTTGGAGTCCCCAATTCCAGATCTTGGCTCGTGGTTGGCATTTCTGGACCTGCCGTGGGTCAGAGGGGAACCCACTGTCCTGAAGCGTGAGTCCCAGGCCAGGCAGCATTCACCACAAGCTGACTGCAGAGCTCTGGGGCCTTAAGGGAACATTGGCGGTAGCCTGGCAATACTCCCCTTGAGCCTGTGGTGGAGGTAGCCACAGGGAGAGGCTCCTCTGCCCGTGGAAAGGTAAGGGAAGAGTGAAAGGACTCCATCTCATGGCTTGAGTGCAAGCTCAGCCACAGTACAACAGAACAGCACGTAAACTTCTCAGGTTTTTTACTTTGGTCCCTGGCTCTCAGATAGTACCTCTGGACATGCCTAGGCCTAGAGGAACTCATCATCCTGAAGGGAAGGACACAAGCCCGACGGGTATTGTCACCTGCTAATTGTAGACCTCTAGGGCCTTCAGTGACCATAGGCAATAGCCAGGTAGTAGTTACAGAGGGCCTTGGGTGAGCCAGAGCTATGCTGGATTCAGGTCTGACCCAGCACAGTCCCAGTGGTGGTGACCACAGGGGTGTTTGTGTCACCCCACCACCAGCTCCAGGCAGCTCAACACACAGAGAGAAACATCATTTGTTTGAGAGAAACATCATTTGTTTGAGCGAAAGTAAGGAAAGAAAACAAGAGTCTCTGCTTTGTAATGCAGAGAATTCTGAAAAAATTCTGGAGTTTAAAATGCAATCGACACACTGAAGAATTTCATGAGAATATCTTAATAGTAGAATTGATCAAGCAGAAGAAAAACTTCGTGAGCTTGAAGATAGATGAGTTGAAAAATACATTATCAAAGGACACAAAAGAAAAAATAATGAAGCACAGCTACAAGATCTGGAACATAGCCTTCAAAAGGGCAAATTTAAGAATTATTTATCTTAAAGAGGCAGTAGAGAAAGAGATGGGGTAGAAAGTTTATTCAAAGGGAAAATAACAGTGAACTTCCCAAAGGTACCAATATTTGAGAAAGATACCAGTGTTTGAGTGCAAAAAGATTAGAGAACACCAAGCAGATTTAACCCAAAGAAGACTACATCAATGCATTTAATAATCAAATTCAAGAAGTCAAGGATAAAGAAAAGATCCTAAAAGCAGCAAGAGAAAAGAAACAAATAATACACAATGGAGCTCCAATATGTCTGGTGGCAGACTTTTCAGCGGAAGCCCTACAGGCCAGGAGAGAGTAGCATGACATATTTAAAGTGCTGAGAAAAAAAAATTACCCTAGAATAAAATATCCAGTGAAAATATCCTTCAAACATGAAGGAAAAGTAAAGGCTTTCCCAGACAAACAAAAGCTGAGAAATTTTATCAACATTAAACCTTTCCTATAAGAAATGATAAAGGGAATACTTCAATCAGAAAGAAAAAGACATTAATGAGCAATAAATAATCACCTGAAAGTATAAAACTCACTGGTAACAGCAAGTACATAGAAAACACAGACTATTATAACACTGTAATTGTGATGTATAAATCACTATTATCTTAAGTGGAAAGAAAAACACGAACTGATCAAAAGTAACTACAACAACTTTTCAAGACATAGTACAATAAGACATAAATAGAAAAACAAAATGGTAAAAAGTGAGGGAATGAAGTATAGGGCTTTTTTTTTTTTTTTTTTTTTTTCTGAGACGGAGTCTCGCTCTGTCCTCCAGGCTGGAGTGCAGTGGCGCGATCTCGGCTCACTGCAAGCTCCGCCTCCCGGGTTCGCGCCATTCTCCTGGCTCAGCCTCCCGAGTAGCTGGGACTACAGGCGCCCTCTACCGCGCCCGACTAATTTTTTTGTATTTTCAGTAGAGACACGGTTTCACCGTGTTAACCAGGATGGTTTCCATCTCCTGACCTCGTGATCCGCCCGCCTCGGCCTCACAGAAGTATAGGGTTTTTATTAATTTTCTTTTTGCTTGTTTATCCATCTGTTTGTTTAAGCAATCAGTGCTAAATTGTCATCAGTTTAAAATAATGGGTTATAAGATATTGTTTGGGGGCCTCATAATAACTTCAAATCAAAAAACATAAAACAGATACTAAAAAATTAAAAGCAAGAAATTAAATCATACACCAGAGAAACTCAATTTCACGAAAAGAAAGACAGGAATCAAAGAAAGAAGGAGAAGACAACAAAACAACCATAAAACAAATAACAAAATGGGAGGAGTTAGTCCTTACCTATTAATAGCAACATTGAATGCTAATGGACTATCCTCTCCAATCAAAAGATATAGAATGGCTGAATGGTTTAAAAAAAAAGACTCAATGATCTATTGCCTACAAGAAACACACTTCACCTATAAAGACACACAGAGACTGAAAATAAAGTGATGGAAAAAGATATTCCATGCCAATGGAAACCAAAAAAGAGCAGGAGTAGTTATATCAGACAAAATAGATTTCAAGACAAAACCTATTAGAATAGACAAAGAAGGTCATTATATAATGATAAAGGAGTCATTCAGCAAGACGATATAACAATTGCAAATATATATGCATCCAACTCTGGAACACCCAGATATATAAAGCAAATATTATTAGAGCTAAAAAGGGAGATTGGCCCCAAATACTGGATAGCTGCAACACCCCAATTTCACCATTGGA
The DNA here is from genome assembly GCF_000001405.40 of Homo sapiens. Lineage (NCBI taxonomy): Eukaryota > Metazoa > Chordata > Mammalia > Primates > Hominidae > Homo > Homo sapiens. Next base: position 20,962,249 of record NC_000014.9, read on the forward strand.
CAGATCTTCCAGACAGAAAATCAACAAAGAAACATTGGGCTAAATCTTCACTATAGACCAACTGAACCTAGTAGATATTTATAGAACATTTCATTCAATGGCTGCAGAATACACATTCTTCTCAGCCACATGGATCATTGTCAAGGATAGACCATATGTTAGGTCACAAACAAAATCTTAAAACTTTCGAAAGCATTCAAATAATAACAAACATCTTCTCTGACCACAATGGAATAAAACTGGAAATCAATAACAAGAGGAGTTTTAGAAACTATACAACTATACAAACACATGGAAATTAAACAATATGCTCCTGAGGCTGAGGCTGCAGTGAACTATGATCACGCCACTGCACTCCAGCCTGGGTAACAGAGTGAGACTCTGTCTCCCCAAAAAATAAACTAATAATAAAATAAATAAACAAATAATGGGCAAGATATCTGAATAGACATTTCTCAAAATAAGACATATAAGTGGCAAACAGCCATATGGAAAGGTGCTCAACATCACTGATCATCAGAGAAACACAAACCAATACTACAATGAGATATCATCTCACCTCAGTGAAAACAGCTTTTATCCAAAAGACATGCAAAAAAGAATGCTGGCCAGGATGTGGAGAAAAGGGAACTCTCGTACACTGTTGGTAGAAATGTAAATTAGTACAACCACTATGGAGAACAGTTTGGAAGTCCCCGAAAAAACTAAAAATAGAGCTACCACAAAATCCAGCAATCCGACTGCTAGGTATATACCCAAAAGAAAGAAAATCAGTAGATCACACTATTCAGCCACAAAAAAAGAATGAGATCCTGTCATTTGCAACAACATGGATAGAACGGGAGGCCATTATGTTAAGTGAAATAAGTCAGGCACAGGAAGACAAACTTTGCATGTTCTTACTTCTTTGTGGGAGCTAAAAACAAAAACAACTGAATTCATGGAGATAGAGTAGAAGAATGGTTACCGGAGGCCGGGAAGGGTAGTGGGGTGATGCGGAGGAAGCGAGGATGGTTAATGGGTACAAAAAAAATAGAAAAAAAGAATAAGACCTAGTATTTGTTAGCGCAACAGAGTGAGTATAGTCAATAATAATTTTATTGTACATTTAAAAATAAGAGTATAATTGGATTGTTTGTAACACAAAGGATAAATGCTTGAGGGGATGAGTACCCCATTTAACCTGATATGATTATTACACATTGCATGCCTGTATCAAAATATCTAATGTACTCCATAAGCACATATTCTTACTAGGTACACACAAAACTTAAAATTTTTTTTAAAAAGAATCAAAGGAACTGGTTTGAACAGTCAAAAGACAGTTGTTGCCGGCTTCTGTAGTCTAAGCCACTGAGGAGGCAGAGGCAGGATGATCACTTGAGCCCAGGAGATGTGGGCTATAAGTGCGCTTAAGCCGATGGGGGTGTTCATATTAAGTTAAGCATCAATATGGTGACCTCCTAGCAGGAAGGGACAACCAGGTGGCCTAAGAAGAGTTGAACCAGCCCAAATCAGAAACAGAGCAGGTCAAATCTTCTGTGCTAATCAGTAGTGGGATCATGCCTATGAATAGCCACTGCACTCCGGCCTGGACAAGATAGTGAGACTCCATCTCTAAAGATCAAAACAAAACAAAAACCACAGCTACTGCCAAACAATTTATAAAAGATACACTGAAGGATTAACCAAGATCCCAAAAGATAATGGTGTTTTACAAGCGGCAGGAAAATGCCATTAGTAGACTGAATCTATCGTATAATTTCTCACTATTCTCTGGGATTGCTCACTCAACTTGCTTTGGCTCCACGTAGTATCAGCTGCACTGGCTACAGCAAGTGTAATCTAGGCTAGAGATTTCAAGAGAACCTCATTCCATGTCTAGTTGATCTGCTGAGATGACCAGAACACTGGGGCCTCCATCTACTCTATCTTCACCATCCAGAGCCTGTGCTTAGACTCTTCTGCAGCTATAACAGAATACTTGAAACTTGGTGATTTAAAAAGAAAAGAGGTTTATTTGACTCAGGTTGCTGGAGGCTTGTAAGTTCAAGCAGCACAGCACCAGCATTTGCTTGGCTTCTGGTGAGGACCTCCTGTTGCGTCACAACATGGCAAAGAAGTGGAAGGGGTAGCAAACAAGCTGGAAAAGGGATGAAACAAAAGACATAACCTGGCTTTATAACAACTCTTTCTCAGCCCGGGTGCAGAGGCTCATGCGTGCAATCCCAGCACTTTGGAAGCCCAGGAGTTCCAGATCAGCCTGGTTAACATGGTGAAACCCCACCTCTGCCCCCAGAAAAACAAAAATTAGCCAAGCATGGTGGCACATGTCTATAGTCCCAGCTACTTGAGAGGCTGAGGTGGGAAGATCATTTGAGTCTAAGAGGCAGAGGTTGTAGTGCGGAGGGATCGTGCCACTGCACTCCAGCATGGAGACAGAGTGAGACCCTGTCTCAAAACAAACAAACAAACAAACAAACAAAAAAACTCCTTCTCATAGTAACTAATCCATTACTAGGAAAACTAACCCAGTCTTCCAAAAATGCATTCATTCGTTTATGAGAGTGGAGCTCCCATGACCCAAATATTTCTTAAAAGATCCACTACCTCTCTATACTGTTAAAATTGTAATTAAATTTCAACATGAGTTTTAGCAGGAATAAACCACATCCAAACCATACCAACCTCTCCCTCTATGTGGTCTCTCCAGTAACAGAGCCCAATCTTCCTTTACATGCTGCTCAAGGCTCCAAGGCAGCTTGGAATAGTCCAAGCAGCAGCAAGGACTATACTTAGGGGTGTACATGGTCACCCTTTACTGAAGTCAAAGTAACCCCAAAGTCTTTGGGTCCGAGTAAGTCACAAAGTCAAGCCAGGGTCACTGTAACAAGGGAATCACAGAAAGGGATGGATGATAGGAGGCATTAATGATTGGGGCCATTCTGTAATAATTTGCAACAAACTAAGTCAACTTCATGGACGTGTGAACAGTGAAGTCACACGGGACGGAGCCCATGCTTGATTTAATGTTTCAATGTCATCATTTGAAATTTCTAAACACTTTTTGAAGAAGAGAACCCACATTTTCATTCTGCACTAGGTCCAACCAATTGTTTAGCATGTCTGACCACGGATATGTTATTATGCATTACCCTAGGTGCACCCCACCCCTACATTATGGGTCCTTCTCAACACAGGCTCTATTCATGGTTCTCTTGTCAATGAAGGATGGATGTAGCATAGGGCAAGAATACTGATTCTGGCTGCAGGAACCTGGAGGCCAGCCTGCTTGAGTTCAACTCTTGTCACTGAAGACTCCACCCTCACTTTTTTGATCCCAGTCAAGCAGGAGATTCCTATTGACAGATGCTCTGAACCACCTGATGTTACAAGTTATAACAGGGCTGACTCATCATATAGAAAATATATTAAAATCAAAGCCATGATTGACAAAGGGAGCATAGGCTGGGCACAGTGGCTCACGCCTATAATCTCAGCACTTTGGGAGGCTGGGCGGGGGTGGTGGATCACGAGGTCAGGAGTTCGAGACCAGCCTTACCAACATGGTGAAACCCCATCTTTACTAAAAATACAAAAATTAGCCAGGCGTGGTGGTGGGCATCTGTAATCCCAGCTACTCAGGAGGCTGAGGCAGGAGAATCAGTTGAACCCAGGAGGCAGAGGTTGCAGTGAGCTGAGATTGTGCCATTGCATTCCAGCCTGGGCGACAGTGCCAGACTCTGTCTCAAAAAAAAAAAAGAAAAAGAAAAAGAAAGAAAAGAAAAAGAAAACAGAAAAAAAAGAAAAAGGGGGCATCATAAATGAGGTGTCTCTCATACTTAGAGATGGCAGGGCAATAACAGAAAATACTTCTATGGATCTCAAATCTGCAGTTTGCTAAAGGCAAACGCATAGGCAAGATTCACTGAGTTGGACACAAGAATGAGGCATCAGTGATCACCACATAGGCTTAGTTTCTTCTAAGGCATCTTAACAGACAACACAGAAAATCCTCACTCAATATGACCTTATGGGACTGCTCAGTACAAGAGCCCCATTCTGAGATTCTGAGGAATCATTCTGGGTCATTGATTGAGGGACCAAATGTAGATGTTTTGACATGACAAATCAGCTCCAACCAACATCCCCTTCCCACTGCCTAGGATATTAGCCTGATACTGGGACAATCTGTCACAAAGTCAAAGCACAGCAGTAGCTGCAGGGTGAGTAAGAACTCTGTTTCATCAGGGGACAAACCCCATCTCATCCACACACCCTGACCCTCCACCCAGTATTCTTTAGGATCAGGTGAGTAAGAACTCTGTTTCAGTGGGGGACAAACCCCATCTCATCCACACACCCCCACCCTCCACCCAGTGTTCTTTAGGATCACCTTACCACCTGAAAGTTTCTAAGAACCATAAAAAACCTTTGTTTATGTTGATTATTCATATTTACTTATCTCATTAGAAATTAGAACTATTTTTTAAATAACTATTAATCATAAACCAGTTAATACAATTATTACGTGTAAATATAAAGATCATACTTTTTGAAAAGTAACTCTGTTTTTTAAAACAAAAAAAATTAAAAGGAATGGCATTGTTTTACATTTTCAAAATTTCTTTAATGTCTGAGTCTATGTAGACATCTGGACACTCATGTCTGCCTGGCGTTCAGTCTGTTACACTATGTCGTTTTGCTGAATTGTATAAAGAGAATCTAGCCTCACACAAATGGGTGGTTAGGAAGGAAGCACCCCATGGATACCCCAAAAAGGGTTTGAAGACCACCAGCATTCTTGGGCCACACTTGACCTAATCAGAGCATTCATCCCATTTCAGAGGTCCTGGTGGGTTATGAGATGGGCCCTCGAAATAATCAGACATTGGCTGGGAATGTTGGGGGAAGAAGGCAGGAGACTTTTTCTCCTCTGCTTATTTCTGAGATAATATAAGGTTTTGGGGCTGTTGCAACCATCTTGCCAATATGTAAAGGACGTATGCCTGAAAAGTGAACTAAGATAGAGCATAGAGGGGTACGGAGAAAGAGTGTATAACTGGTTTCTCTTTTCATCATCTGAGTTCTGATAAGCTGCTCATTAAGCCATAACTGTCCCTTACTGTTTATAACAGTTTAACTATACTTTCAGATTCTTAGGTCTTGAGAAAGACCAAGTACTTGGAGGGAAGGTGTTTCAGGGTACTAAAAAGCAGCAAAGAAATCATAAAGAATTTAAGATATAAATCCATGCTCTGTTATTTGTTCATTTTAATATGACAATCATTTTATATAGGTATCCTTGAGAAAATTACTTTTGAGCAAAGACTTACAGGGGATGAAGAACTTAGCCCGGCACATGCAGGTGGGGTGGGACTAAAGTAGCCATGAAGCAGGCACATGCCAGGTATCCTCAAGGAACAGTAAAAGGTCAGGAAACTAGAGGGGAGTGACTGAGAGGCAAAAGAGTAGAAGGTGTGTCCTGAAAAGTGCGTAGGAGGACACATTACATTAGGGCACAGGAGATTGTAGGGATCCCAGCTTTTACTTAGTGAAATGTGGAAGCTCTATGGGGTTCTGAGCAGAGCAGCAGGACCTGAGTTATGGTGTAAAAGGATCACTGTGGCCACTGTGGTTGATGAAGGTGGAAGAAGGGCACAGTGACGGGGTTTTGCAGTTCTGCCAGTGGGAGGTGTTGGTGTCTCAGACTTGGCGGTTGTAGGGGAACCAAGAATCAGTAATCAGATCCAGGCATGTTTTGAAGGTAGAAACAACAGTATTTTCCCATAGATTAGCTGGAGTATGTTAGAGAATGAAAGCGTAAAGAATTATTTCAAACCACTTTGGTTTTCACTGAAAACGATGGAGTTATCTTCAACTGAGATAGGAATTCCGAGGAAGGAACTGGTAGATGAGGGGATTTGGGGAGATGATCAGTGTTTCCACTTGGGATGTAAAAAGTCTGCAACATACATGACACATCCATGTGGTGTTATCAAATAACAAATTGGATGCAAGAGTCTGCAGTTCAACCAAGAGAGCTGGGCTGAAGATTGGTTTGGGAGTTGATGGCATTTCATCCATTGATCCCACTGATGAAAACCAAGAGATGTCATGTGGATCAAGAAGAAGCCCACCACTGACCCTTAGGAAGCTCCAACAACAAAATTCCAGGGGGAAGAGGAGGGACTCACATAGGAGACTGAGAATGAAAGCCCTGTAGGGTAGGGGACAGGCCAGGGGACAGCAGTGTCCTACACACTGAGAGGCAGCCTGACTATCTGCCTTAAGGGCACCACGACTGAACTTGATGCTTTTCATCCCTGTTTCTATCACAGGAAGCTCATTCCCAGATCATCCCAGGTGGAGGCAGTGATACTATGTTAAATGCTTCTGATAGATCAGTAAAGTAAGAATGGAAAATTGACCCAGACAGAGGCTGGGGCTGTGGGGAATGGTCTCATTCCAAATGTCAGGGATCCCCATGACCCAAACTGTTGGAGGACAGGAGTCTGGGCAGTGGATTGAGGAGACTTTTCCAAGTTCTTGACCTAGAGAAGACAGTCTCCTCCAGGAGGTGAGAAGAAAGAGCGTCCACACTGGAGTCATATTTTCCTCCCAGAGGAGGGAATGAAAAGGAGGAGAGTAGAGCATGTATGTCTCCCTTCCCCTGAGACGCTGGTCCTCCTTTTCCATTACCCCGGCCCTCCATACTTCACATGAACTGTTTTTGTCTCCATCTCTCCTCACTCTTCTACAGACTCATCAGATCAACTCACTTGACAATTCCTCCCTCCCTCTGAAGCACCCATCTCCAGTACCTTCCTTCTCTCTAATCCCCCTCTTCTGCCCTGCCCTTTCTTGTGGAGACCTCTACAGATTACCCATTCTATTTCCTTCCTGGGGCTGCTAGAATGAAATACCACAGACTAGGTGGCTTATACAAGAGAAACTTATTTTTTCACAGTTCTAGAAACCAGAAATCCAAGGTGTATTAGACAGGGTTCTCTAGAGGGACAGAATATTAAGGATATATATATATTTATGTATATATCTGACCCACCCCACCTTCCATGTCCATGCTAATGGCAGGGTGACCTACTCAGAGCAGTCTTCAGTAAGTGACTACTTGAAATGCCTTACTGCAGTTCTCCTCAGTGACCTGTAAGAGGGATTAAGGGACTCCCCTGTGGCTGCATCCACAGCCATCAAACCTACCTTCGCTGGGCCTCACCAGTCTCTGCTTGGCCTTTCCAGATGGTCATGGCCCCAGGCTTGTGAATCATGTCTGAGTTCCTCTGTTGTTTTTCCAGGAAGCTGGCATCATAAGGCTAGTCTCTGTCTGACAAACTAACGCCTCCAGTCACCTCCCTGGATATGCCTTTCCATCCCTGCACTGACATCCCAGGCCCAGACCAGAGCTTCACCCTCAGTCCGTTGCACCCTACCTGCTTATAAAGGTTGACTAACTGACTTGTATCATACAGTTAGAGTTAGGGCTGGCACTCTCAAAATGCTGTCCGCAGTCTAAGCACTGTGCCAAGGAACTTTTGTTTACAGAAATGCAAACGTACAGATGTACGAACTCTATTTCCCGTGAGCTCTCAGGTCTCAATGGCCACCTTCAATATAACTGTTACATGCACTGGGAAACAAAAAAATGTGTGTTTTAAAAAATAAAAATTGTGGCCGGGCGCTGTGGCTCACGCCTGTAATCCCAGCACTTTGGGAGGCCGAGGCGGGCAGATCACGAGGTCAGGAGATCGAGCCCATCCTGGCTAACACGGTGAAACCCCGTCTCTACTAAAAATACAAAAAATTAGCTGGGCGTGGTGGCCGGCGCCTGTAATCTCAGCTACTCAGGAGGCTGAGGCAGGAGAATGGCACGAACCCGGGAGGCGGAGCTTGCAGTGAGCAGAGATCGCGCCACTGCACTCCAGCCTGGGCGACAGAGCGAGACTCCGTCTCAAAATAAATAAATAAATAAATAAATAAATAAATAAAAATAAAAATTGCAGTGGTCTAGTACCAAACCCACAACATCTCTGAGGTATGCCTGTAGTATGCAGACATCAAAATAGAATGAGGTATACTCTTGCTACTAGCGTGAAATATGTCTAAAATACATTGTTAGTGGAAAAGAGGTAATGTGTAGAACGTTGTGTATAGAATGTTACTATTTGTGGGGGGGGGGAATAGGAAATAAACACTCATCTATATATATATGTCAATGAGTTTATGAATATAACATGTAGATATGCATAGACAGTAAAAAGATATAAACAAACTGCAAATTGTTGCATCTGGAAAAGAAAAGTAGGATGTCTTCATCCTTTTCGCTACATTTGCCCTCCTAATATTTGAATTTACCTCTGCCATTTGCATTTACAACGTATCTGTATATGTAAAAGAAAAATCAAACAGCCTACCTCATTGTAGCCCTTTCTGAGCCTACTGAGGAATGGTCCCTGGTAATAGAAAGTTTAAGAACGAAGCTGTGAATTTCAATTTACAGTTGAATTTCACAACTGTAAACTACTCTAGCGATGCAGCATAGACTTGACCTCCAAACCCCAAGCCTGCAGCCCGCGGCAGACAGGCCGAGAGTGGGGCAGCCGTCTCTCCTTCCTCGCCCTGCCCTCCTTCTGCACATCCAGCCACCTCCGCAATGGAAAGCTCGTGGCATACAGCAGGCGCTCATTATTTGAAGCCTCTTCATTCTCCTGCTTCCTCGGTGGTTAAGGAGGCTTTTGGAAGTTCAAGTCCGTCTCAGCTAAGAACCAGGAGACACGGCTTTGGTGCCTCTCGGCCCGCTGGGTCTCGGCGGCGCAGCGTCCCCTGCCGGCCACTGTGGCGGCGGCTGGAATCAGCCTCAGCACTTAAGGGGCCGCGCGGGAGGAGTTGCCCCACCTCCAGGCAGCTCTTTCCAGAGCAGTGAGGGCAAGTCTGGGGATTATCTCCATAAAGGAAGCGAGGTGGCTCGGTGGAGGGGCTTCAGATCCCCTTCCCAGGACCCTGTGACCCGCCATCGGAAGAGAGTGGACCTCATTCTATTTCAATGTCTGCATAGTACAGACATTTGCTGTGGGCAAATCGGACCCATGAGCCCAGAGAGCATCATCCCGGGAAAGCTTTCCCGAAGCACAGGCTTCCCTGCACCACCATACACGCGCACACCCGCACGCGCTCACTCCCCCAGCCCTCCTCCCCTCCCTCACTCCCGCCCTGGAAGAAGCGGGGAGCTGAGGGGAGAGGTGGAACCAGCAGAGAAACGGGCCGGGCAGGAGCCCGCACCAGCCCGGCTTGGGACACCGCAGCCGCTCCTGCCCTCTGCTGGCTGGAAGGCGCACTTACACATTGCGGTCATCGCGGATCGCCGAGGGCCGCTGGTGCCGCTCTGCCGCCAAGGACGCTCAGCCATTGGAGTAGAAGTGAGAGAGGCCGCGGGCTGAGTAGAGAGGGGTGAGGATTCCGGAAAGGAAGCATCGTCAGGAAGCGCTGAAGTTCCTACTGATAAAGAGGGGGTTGGGCCACCAGCAACTTGTCACATGAGGAGTGGGGGTTTTCTGCATACCTTAGTGAACCTATCAGTCTAGGACTCGTGGATGGAGACTCGGCCACACCAGCAGCTGGTAAAGGCTGTCCTGGGGCCCAAATCCGTCAGTGACTCTGACATCTCAGGGACAGTGTGTGGTGGCTATAGTGCTTTGCGAAGTTGCTGCCGGGAGTTAGGCAGAAACCTCTTAGGCTGTTCAGATCCCTCTTAACTAAGGGGTTTTAGTGCTGTGAGTATTCCCACAAATGGGTCCCTGTAGTACAATTATTTTGCAGCATTCATACGGCCTACTGGGGCTCTTGATTTGAGGAGCCTTATTCAGCAAACATTTCTTGAGTACCTATGTGCCAGGTACGGTTAGAGGTATGGGAGTCATCAGAGAACGCAGGACATACGTACAAAAAAAATCTCTGCTTTCACGGAGGTCACATTCTAGTGACCTAGACACATAATGTATACTCACAGACAATAAACATATATGTAAATTACACAGACTGTTAAGGTGATAAGCTCTATGGAAAAAATAAAGCAGGAAGGAGAATGGGGGAAGCAATGGGTAGCTTTTTTTTTTCTCTCTTTGAGACAGTCTGGCTCTGTCACCCAGGCTGGAGTGCAGTGCAATCTCGGCTCACTGCAACCTCCACCTCCCGGGTTCAAGCGATTGTTGTGCCTCAGCTTCCCAAGTAGCTGGTGTTACAGGCGTGTGCCACCACACCCAGCTAATGTGGGACATGTTAAGTCTGAAGGGTCTATTAGACCTCCAAGTGAAGATGTCAAATAGACAGTCCGATGTACTAGTCCAAAGCAAGAGAGCTGGGCTGGAAGTATGTATTTGGGAGTTGTTAGAGAATCAACAGCATTTAAAACCTTGAGACTGGATAAGATCACCAAGGGATAGTGTGCAGATAGAGAAGAAGACCTATGACTGACTCCTGGGGACCTCTAACATCAAGTTACCAGAGGCAAGAGGAAAAACGTGTGAGGAGCCTAAGAATGAAAGGCCTGGATGGTAAGGAAAGAGCCAGGAGACAGGGGCATCCCAGAGACCATCACGCAGCCTCGACATGACTGCCTGCATTGAGGAACCAGGACTGATCTCACAACGCTTTTCGTCCCTATTCCTGTCACAAGAAGCCCCATTCTCAGGTCATCCTCATCAAAAAGGAGGGAATTATCCACTGTGCCTAATACTGCTGAGTGGAATATTAATCTGTTGGGGTGGGAGGTGTTACTTCCAATGCAAGGAGTGCCCCCACAACCCTCATAACTCCTACTGATGGAGCTGAGGAGTCCATTGAGAAGATTTTTTTTTTTCCGAGATGGAGTCTCGATTTGTCGCCCAGGTTGGAGTGCAATGGCGCAATCTCAGCTCACTGCAACCTCTGCCTCTCAGGTTCAAGTGATTCTCCTGCCTCAGCCTCCCCAGTATCTGGGATTACAGGTGTGTGCCACCATGCCTGGCTAATTTTTGTACTTTTAGTAGAGACGGGGTTTCACCGTGTTGGCCAGGCTGATCTCCAACTGCTGACCTCAAGTGATCCACCCGCCTCGGCCTCCCAAAGTGCTGGGATTATAGGCATGAACCAACATGCCCAGCCTGAGAAGGTTTTCTAAGTGCTGGGCCTTAGAAGAAGAGAATCTTGTCCAGGAGATGATTAGAAAGAGGGTCCACATATGAGCTGTGTTATTTGTTCTAGAGGAGGGAGTGAAGCGATGGAGAGGAGAGCATCTACATCCTTCAGATGAAAGGAAGCTCCCTTCCCCTGATCCCAGACCCCAGATCCTCAGGATTTCACATTCTCCCCATCTCTCCTCACTCCTCCAAGTACTCACCTGAGGAACTCACTCTGTCACATCCTTCTTCCTCTGACGCACCCAACACCATTGCCTCCCCGCTCTACCCTGAGTCTGCACATTCTCCTGAAGAGCTCCACAGCTTACACACAGACACACCTCATTTTTTTAACTGCCACATAGTACTAAGGGAATCCCAATAGTAAGGAATTATATGTTTAATTCCCAGTTCTAGCACTAATTTTCTATGAGGACTACCATTCTGGTCCTCAGCTATGAAATGTAGCTTGGAATAAAGGACCTCACAAATTCCTTCTAGCTCGGACTCTTGTAGTTCTTTGAAGCCCTCATAAGGAGTGTGTGTGTGTGTGTGTGTGTGTGTGTGTGTGTGTGTGTGTGTGTAGAGGAATGTCTACGGAAAATGCAATCTACATTTCTGAAATTTTTTACTATGTAGATCTGTTTTTCTTAAAATACTATACCTAAATCCAGAAAAAAATCACCTGATTAACTAAAATAAAATTATTGTCCTATATATACATGTATGTATGTATGTTATTATTGCTGTTGTTGCTACCTTAAGACTATCAAGAAAAACATTTAACTATTACATTGCAGTCAACACAGAAATCCCTATTTCTTTTCCCTTCTTCAATAGAGCAAGAGAAAATGTTAGCACAGAAGACAGTAAGATGATCTTACACCTCTGAGATTATTTAGGTTTGAGGTTAGTACACTGGGGGATATCAATCAGCAAACAGTAATGTAGTCATTCCCATCCTTAGCTGTCTCTATCAGCTTCACCTACCTCATCTAATAGGAAAACAGGAGACCTAAAAGTCATTAAACCTAAGAGGAAACTTTGATGAGTGCTTTACTGCCTAAAATATCTCAGCATCATTCAAAATGTTTATCCCTCATGGTTTTGCAAGGAGTGTTGGAAATAAGGAAGCCACTCCCTCTTTGGCACACCTATTTCACATAAGGTAATTGGGATTAAGCCTCACAACATGGTCCAGTAGGTAACACTCTACATACTTTTCTAGAGCTGATACAGGCTTTCGTCTGTGTCCACGATCTAAGGTCACCCACCATCAGGCTTATGTTTGCGTATCATGCAGGGTTTTAATGTTTCCCTTGTAGAAAAGAGAAAACGCCAGGCGTGGTGGCTCACGCCTGTAATCCCAGTACTTTGGGAGAACGAGGCGGGTGGATCACCTGAGGTCAGGAGTTTGAGACCAGCCTGGCCAACCTGGTGAAACCCCGTCTCTACTAAAAATACAAAAATTAGCTGGGTGTGTGGTGGTGGGTGCCTGTAATCCCAGCTACTCGGGAGGCTGAGGCAGGAGAATCATTTGAACCCAGGAGGCAGAGGTTGCAGTGAGCAGAGATCGCCCCATTGCACTCCAGCCTGGGTGACAGAGCGAGACTCCATCTCAAAAAAAAAAGAAAGAAAAGAAAAAAAAAAGAAAAGAGAAAACAAGGGCTGAGTCTGAGATCACAAGGTTGGTGAATAGCAGAGCTGTGAGTCAGACTCTGATATGTTTTTTTTTTTTTTTTTTTTGAAACGAGGTCGTGCTCTGTCACCCAGGCTGGAGTGCAGTAGTGGGATCATAGCTCACTGCAGCCTCAACCTCCCGGGCTCAAACAATTCTTCATTTAACCACAGATTTGATGTACTGATTATTCATTTACATTAAAATAAATATATAACAACGAACACTTTAAATGTGTATCTGCATACCCTAACATCGGCTATCTCACTTACCATCAGCTGTACATGCTTCATTTTTTCACATACAGCTTTATCTTGAACTTTAACTTAAAAAATTCCACCTGGAAAATGCTTTCACAGTAAAAGACCCAAGGACAGTATAAAAAAATGAATCCCAAGGCCAAAGATTTGGTCATATTTATCCAATTCTGTTCAAAAGAGAGGCTGAACAGGCAGGCTCTATATACTCATCATTGTGAAAATGACAAAATTGTTTACTAGGACAGTTCCTCATATTTTTCATGGAGTTAACAAAAAAAGTAATTCTTGTTTTTTCTTTTTGCTCTGATTCCTTGAATAAAGTAGTATATTAAAATGTGATTTTCAGCAGGGCATGGTGGCTCGTGCCTGTAATCCTAGCACCCTGGGAGGCTGAGGCAGGAGGATCACCTGAGGTCAGGAGTTTGAGACCACCCTGGCCAACATAGTAAAACCCCGTCTTTACTAAAAATACAAAAACTAGCCAGGTATGGTGGCGGGCGCCTGTAGTCCCAGCTACCTGGGAGCCTGAGGCATGAAGATCACTTGAACCTGGTAGGCGGAGGTTGCAGTGAGCCAAGATCATGCCACTGCACTCCAGCCTGGGTGACAGAGCGAGACTCTTTCTCAAAAAAAAACAAAAACAAAACAGGAGGTGATTCTCTGAGAGTCTCTCTGAGCCCACTCTGGTTCAGGAGGCTGCCCAGTTCAAAAACAAACAAAAAAAGGTGGTTTTCTGTGTCTCAGATTTAGTAAGTGTTCCCAATAAACAGGGCCCAATGGCCGGGCGCGGTGGCTCACACCTGTAATCCCACCACTTTGGGAGGCCGAGACAGGTGGATCACGGGTTCAAGAGATCAAGACCATCTTGGCCAACAGGGTGAAACCCCATCTCTACTAAAAATACAAAAATTAACTGGGCATGGTGGTGTGCGCCTTTAATCCCAGCTACTCAGGAGGCTGAGGCAGGAGAACCACTTGATCCTGGGAGGTGGAGGTTGCAGTAAGCCGAGATGGCACCACTGCACTCCAGCCTGGCAACAGAATAAGACTCCATCTCTAAATAAATAAATAAATAAATAAATAAATGCCAATGACTAACCTATCTCAAGTCAACCAAAGCAGGACTTGGTAAAAAGGAAGGAGATGAAATCTGTTTTGTGACCTTTGCTTGCTAGCCACCCCCAGTCTATAAAAGATCTTACAAAGGCCTAGACAGAGGTATGATTTTCCTCTGTCATACCTGATTACATGATAGTTACATTCCCAGCAAACTCTTTGCATTTTAAAACCATGCAAAATAAAAGGAGTTAGGGTAGAAGCTCAGATAATTCTAAGCTGTTTTCTTACCTACATCAGCAGCCAAGAAAACAGTGATAAATTGTGTAGGCCATGTACTAATTCTTTATTTTACTTTGCTATACTCTGAGCACACTTGTTCCCTATCCATTAAATACTAGCACTGATCTCCTCTCCACTTATTATAGTTACCAAAAATATCTCTAGAAATTTCAAAACCACAAAATCACTTAAAAAAAAACTGGTCTAGAAGTAAGATGAAAATCTGTGTAAAATTACATTTCCATTACTGTGTCGTTATGTGATGAAATAGGAATAGTTCAAATTGTATGTTAGCCATATCCTCACATCTGAACAGTATATATTTGATATCCTAAGTCTTCCACTTTTTTTTTTTTTAAGAGATCGGGTTTGGCTATGTTGCCCAAGCTGGTCTCAAACTCCTGGCCCCAAGCCACCCCTAACCCTGCCCCACCTTGGCCTCCCAAAGTGCTGTGATTACTTGAGCCACTGTGCCTGGCCAATCTTCGTTTACTTTTAAGGGATTCTAACAATGTTCAAGTATTTATTTATACAACATACATATTCCAAGTTTAACAATATGCCTGGCTTTCCTCTAGGCACTGGGGATACAAATCTGAATAGGGACAATTTGTGCCCTCGAGCCCTCTCTAATTAGAGGACTGGAAGCTTACAGGCAAATATGATATACAGAGATAAGTGAGCATTCATAGAGTTTTTTAAAACCTAAATGGCATAACACACACAAAATGTTCCTGTAACACAGCGAAGTGAGTTCCTTCCCATTACCTTTTGAATTACATAAAACTGGCAAAGAGATCCCCAGGACATCTCTAACAAGGCCTCCTATGCAACAGCCTTCCTCAATGAGGCCCAGCCACCGACCCATCCCACCTGCCCTATGCTCAGGGCAGGGGTGACCTGCTCAGTAAGTGATAACCTCAAATACCTTGCTGTAGTCTTGCCTCAGAAGCATCTAAGATGAGGAGGAAAGGACTGCTTTGTGGCCCAGATAGAATCAGACTATCTGTGTTCTTTGGTAGAAGGTGGTGTTGAAGACATTAATGCCTTATTTCCAGGAGAGAGTCCATGTCAGCATTGTTTGAGAGTTGAATTGACACTAGATTGAGGTAGAGCCTCATCTGGCAGGAGTGGAGTCAGGTCATTTGCCTGTTAGTGGGCAACAGAAAGACAACTAAAACTGATTGGAAGGAAAAAGCAGGGAGAACCAGGACTCTCCTTTCCCCTCTGCCCGTTATCCTGATCCTACTGTCCCAAAGGAATGTCTGATAAGTCATCTTCACAGCAGCCAGACTCAGGGCAGTGAGAGTCCATGAGGGATTCTAAGCTCCTTGTCTTTGAAGGGAGTGTGGGTAATCAAAGGAGAGTAAAAGTCCCTCCTGGAACATATTCTTTCCTGTCAATAACCAAATAGAGGATGCTTCCCCTTTATCACCCCGGCCCAGCTGCTGCTACTCTGAAAAGACCTAGGCGCATCCAGAAAGAAGTCTTTCAATAAACACAGTTTAAATAAATCTCTGATGTTGTAATAAGCAGCCTGATGCAGAAATCCCCAGTTCTGACTTGTGGTGCTTACTACAATATTATAAAAAGTCTGTAGCTTTGAAAAGGTGATGTGATCCCATTAAGATGTCATGAACTACGGAATTCTTTCCCCCATCTCTTCAGACATCCAGTTCTACAATTTTGCCTTGTTTTTTTGTCTGATGTCCCTCACATCCAACCTGGCCCCCCACAAGGTACTTCTTTCCACTCGGATCACACCAATTAGCCACTGAACTCTACATCCAACTATTCACACTGAGATGTAATCAAAGGTTAACTTTTACATGCTTGATTTTACAAGGTCAAGAAGAATTCTTAACCTAGTGATGGCTCGAGTACCTGAAGTATTTTTGAAAAAGTAGGAGGGAACTTACAAACTCTTCCGTTGTCTGCCATATCCATTCACTCACTTAAATTGTTTATAAGACAATAAAACACATAAAAGCAACATTTTCACCAGGCCAATCACCTCTCTCCAGCCTCATAATGATTAGCCTACATCCCTGTATCCAGATTTCCCTAAAATTAATAATGGTGCATTTTTACATTCACTTCTTGATTTTACTCAGCTCCATCCTGGAACATTAAATCTGCCTTGGCTTAGCTATGCTAGTTTGCACTTGGCCCTTCCTGATGGCCATGGTCCAGGCTTGTAAATTATGTCCAAGTTCCTCAGTTGCTGTTCCCGGGCCTGGGTGGCATGGAAGGTCCTGATATCTGCATCAGCCTTAGCTCATGCTGCTCCACATTGCCTGACTCTTTATCTTCAGAGCCATCCCTTACTGTCAACTTTCCTATTTAATTCCTGAAACATCATCAAACAGGCCAAGATATGCTTTCATTTGGTACCTTCAGGGAAGATATGCAAAAGGCCCCATACAATAAGGAAGGTCTAGGATCACCTTGCTGAACCCAAGAGACTAGGGAGAAGTCAGTACACGAGGTGTCTTTTTTTTGTTTTTAAAGACATGGGGTCTCATTATGTTGCCCAGCTTGGACTCAAACTCCTGAGCTCAATTGATTTTCCCGTGTCAGCCTCTTGCATAGCTGGGACTTAAGGTGTGTACCACCATGCCTAGCTCCCAAATGTCTTTTGAGCTAAGGTTAGTTAGCTCCCTCCATTCATTGCAATTACATTAACCTGTACCATGTTTTATGAAAAGCCTTCATATGGTACCCGCAAGTAGTATGTATTTGTCATTCCCATAGATAGCCACTGCATTAGGGAAAGATGTGTGAAAGAAGGTATTGACCGTTGGTACCTGCAGGTTAAGGGCAGATACTGCAAGGGTACTTCACAACTGAAGAAATTTCAAGTGGCAGACATCAAGGTGGCTTTGAGCAACCCTGTGGCCAATGTCCTCAACAGTTGTTTTTACCATAATGCAGAAGATCTTTCCCTGGGACTATATCTTACCACGTCCCTTGATTATAAATAATGGCGTAATGACATTATCTAATAATTTAGAGGCTGCTGTGACACTGATTTGATGCTAAAGCTAATGAAATAATAGAACAAGCCCATATTTAGCAGCCTTTTGATATTAAAGACAAACTCATGCTAAAAACCCAGGGTACTCTCCTGGGTTTTCAGCATGAGTTTATATTGATTCCTGTGTTTATATTGATTCCTGATTTAAACAAACAGGTCCTTAGCCCAAGATCTTTCCTATCATTTGGTTTTAATTTTGAGGCAGTGGAGGGCAGTTAAATATATGCAGAGGGACCTATAAAAGAAACAATCAGCCAGGCAAAGTGGCTCACACCTGTAATCCCAACACTTTGGGAGGCCACGGTGGGAGGATCACTTGAGCCCAGAAGTTCAAGATGAGCCTGGGCAACATAGCAAGATCCTGTCTCTACAAAAATAAAAACTGTAAATTAGCCATGCATGGTGGCATGCACCTATAGTCCCAGCTACTCAGGAGGCTGAGAGGAGATGATTGCTTGAGCCCAGGAGGTTGAGTCTACAGTGAACCATAATCATGCCACTGCACTCCAGCCTGGGTGACACAGCAAGACCCTGTCTCAAAAAAAAAAAAAAGGAACAATCAAAAAATCTGTTTGGAGGTGTGCTTTGAACACAATTCAAAGAAGAATGGTCAAGGATCAGGGAGAGTATTATCTGAGTCATTTCTCAGGATGCTACGATAAAAATCTAATGCATCTGGCCGGGTGCGGTGGCTCACGCCTATAATCCCAGCACTTTGTGAGGCCGAGGTCAGGAGATAGAGACCATCCTGGCTAACATGGTGATACCCCATCTCTACTAAAAAAAACAAAAAAATTAGCTAGGCATGGTAGCGGGCACCTGTAGTCCCAGCTACTCAGGAGGCTGAGGCAGGAGACTGGCGTGAACCCGGGAGGCAGAGCTTGCAGTGAGCCAAGATCGCGCCACTGCACTCCAGCCTGGGTGACAGAGCAAGACTCCAACTCAAAACAACAACAACAAAAAAAAAAAAATCTGATGCGTCATAAACAGAAATGTCTCCGGGAGCCAGGTAGGTGTTGTCACTGACTGAACGGACAGGAGAGAGGAGTGGAGTCAGTGGAGACCCCTGAGCTTTTGTCTTAAAAGCAGCAGTGGCTGCTACTTAAGAAGACATGACTGGCCAGGTGTCACTGCTCACACCTGTAATCCCAGCACTTTGGGAGGCCAAGGTGGGCAGACTGCTTGAGCCCAGGGGTTTGAGACCAGCCTGTGCAACATGGCAAAACCCCATATCTACAAAAAAATTACTAGTTGGGTGCCACCACACTACATGCCTGTAGTCCCAGCTACTAGGGAGGCTGAGCTGGGAAGATCACTTGAGCCTGGGAGGTGGAGGTTGCAGTAAGCTGAGATTGCACCACTACACTCTAGCCTGGGCAGCAGAGTGGAACTCTGTCTCAAAAGAAAAAAAAAAGAAGAAGAAGAAGACACGACTTAAGAAGTGACTGCTATTCAGCTTTAGTTGATCATCACATTGAGCTAATGGTGGCCCAGTATGGCCACATTTTTAGCTATTTTAAGGCAAGTCAGGAATCCAAATTTTTTGGTTTTTTGGTTTTTTGGTTTTTTTCTTTGAGATAGAGTCTCGCTCTGTCCCCCAGGCTGGAGTGCAGTGGCACAATCTCGGCTCACTGCAAGCTCCGCCTCCCAGGTTCACGCCATTCTCCTGCCTCAGCGACGAGTAGTTGGGACTACGTGCGCCCACTACCACACCCGGCTAATTTTTTGTATTTTTAGTAGAGATGGGGTTTCACCTGTTAGCTAGGATGTTCTCAATCTCCTGACCTTGTGATCTGCCCGCCTCGGCCTCCCAAAGTGCTGGGATTACAGGCATGAGCCACCACAGCCGGCCAGGAATCCAAATTCTTTATGTGAAAATCTCCATTTGGAAAGGTTGCCACCATATCCAAAAATTATTTTAAAAATAAATAAATAAAAGCAAACAAACAAAAAACACTGCATAGGCCAATCAGAATAGGTCTTGAGCCAGATATATCTGCTGTGACTGTAATATGTGAGTTTAGCCTCATGTTATAAACACTTGAGTACAGCTCGTTCTACCCATTGAGACTATATGCATCACAGAGGGACTACACTACACCTCAGTCCTGTTTACATCCTCATCACCTATAAAACTGCATCCCACACAACATATATTTTCAAACTTGCAGCCAGGCATGGTGGCTCATGCCTGTAATCCCAGCACTTTGAGAGACTAAAGCAGGAGGATCACTCAAGGCCAGGAGTTTGAGACACACCTGGCAACAAAGCAAGACCCCATTTTTCCAAAAAAATTAAAAAATTATCCTGGCATGGAGGCATGTTCCTATAGTCCCAGCTACTTGGGAGGCTGAGGCAGGAGGATCACTTGTGCCCAGGAGGTTGAGGCTGCAGTGAACTATGCTTGTGCCACTGTACTCCAGCCCGGGCAACAGGCTGATACCCTGTCTCTAATAAATAAATGAACGAATGAATAAACTAATTAATTAATTAATTAAAACTTGCTTAATAATTTAAGGAATTAAGGAATTCCACAGAATGAGATGGCTAAGTCCTATTAGCTCTACCTTCAGTCCTGTTCAGGTCAATATTTGTGTCCATATTCATATAAGGGCATTAACAACAACATTGCATTTTCAGATGACAAGAATGTAAAAATATAGTGAAAAATATGTGAATTAATTTTGTTGGAAGATTACATACAGTTCAAGGGTCTAATTCCAATGTTTCTCACCTAGAACTTGACCCAGTGATTTAACACCTCTAACCACTCACGCCTTCCCTACCTTCAATACACTTCCCCATCTCTGTACATTTTCCCATGCCAATCTTTTTGCATGCACTGTCCTTCCCTTCCTGAATGCCCCAGCAAACCCTTGCTCACCCTCATGACCCTGCTCAGGTGGAGCCTCCTTGTAGAAACCTTCCTAGACCCAATGGGCAAAGTAACTTCCTCCATCTCTGTGCTCCCAAAAAGCAATGTTCATATAAGTGTTATTGCTTCTATCACATATTTAGTTTCTCTGCTTCTCCATAAGCTACTTAAGGACCAAGACTACGTTTCATGTATCTTAATATATCCTGTGACTAACACAGTTTCAGGAATAGAGTGCGCAGTACATAAATGCCTCATTTATAAAGATTAAATTCCCATTTTACATAGTGAAATACAAGCCTAGGAATGTAAATGACAGCTGTGTAGAAAGAAGCACAAATGTGAATGAATGCAAGATTTTGGAAATCTAAGTTGGAGTTGTTTATACATTAGATATTCATTCTTTTTTTTTTAATCAAGAACAAACTTTGTTGAACTTTGTACCCTATTAACAGAAGTTAAAAAAAAAAAAAAAAAGAACAGACTCTGTTTTACTAAACCCTCAGCTGTTGTCCCTCCTTCCCAGCTGGGGCTGTGACTGGAGCCCTTTTCCACAGCCTTGCTGCATCTTCTCCTTAGCACCTGTTCCACCTGCCAGGAAGTAGCTAGTTTCCATGTCTCTGTGCTCCAGTTTATGGGCTCCTCCCAGGTCTGACCATCAGCAGCCTCCTCCTCATCTTCCTTTATACATAAGTCCTCAGGAAAAGGTATGCTGGCCTCTGGTTCTGAAGCCACCATACCCTTATCTGGCTTGCTATCTTGTAGCAGCTTCACGGTTCGTAGCTGCATGTTCAGAAGCTCTTACGGCTCCAGCCAGAGTAGTCACACACTCAAAAAGGGGGTCCAGCGGGGCCACCAGATTGTCCAGGTGCTGCTCTGCCTGGATCAGCTGTTGCTCCAACTGCAATGGGTGCTTCTTGCCTGACTCCTCTTGGAGAACTGCAGCTTCATCTTTCCCCTGTTGTGGAAGAAAAAAGGGGCAATACTGCAGCAAAATTGTTCTGCTCCATCACCTCAGTCTCCAAAGCCAGTAAAGAGAGGAGTGTCATTTAAGGTAGAGAATGCTATTGGGATTTTACCTCAGAGAATCACAATTACTTCTAGTCTAGTTCCTCACCCAGCACATGAAGCAACATGTCATCGTGTCCCACACATGGTCATTCGGTCTGCTGAAACACCTCCAGGAATGAGCAGCTCTCTCGCGTTTGATTGAGCTCTGGTTGTTAGACAGTTCATATACAAAGCCAGAATTTGTCCTTCATGTATCTTCTTTCCATAGCCCTGATTAGAGCCTTCCAAAATAATGGCTCTTCAACGTGATAGTTCCTCAGGAATTTGAAGACAATGGGCATACCCTTGCTCCCTTTCCTGAGTTTTTTCTGGTTTAATATCTTTGATCTTTTCAGTCAGGGCTCATTTTGCATAGTTTTCTCTGGTTGCTTTACTGAACATATAGCGCTCTTAAGGCAGTTCTGGGAGACAAAAATTCTCCAGGAATGTTCTGGTCAGTAGATAAAGCACAACACCTTGTTCCTACCATTGATTTGGGAAGTAGGTTGTTGGTTGTCACATCACACCATAAACTTATTAGTCAACGGGTAGGCCTAAGTCTCTCTCATAAGTGCTGCTGCTAAGAAATATCTTCTTCCAGACTGTACTCACGCCGAAGGATAGAATTTACTAAACTATCCTTGTTAAATTTCATTATTAAATCCAGTCACTCATCCTAGCCTGTCATGTCTACCTGGGATCATTATTAGCTATCTCTTCTAGTTTCATACATCAAAATTGGTTCAATCGGTTTTATTTTCTAATGCAAATAAACAATAGGGTCAGGGCTGAAGATACTGTCCTAGAAAGTTTACTTTCCAAAATGTACCATCAACTCATATTTAAGGGCCTCTCTCCCTAGGAGAACATGAGACCACTTGATGTCTTGAACTCTAGAAACACTATGGTTGCAGCAATCAACCCCTTGTGCCACAGTTGGCCCCACTTTAGTAGTATGAACACTAGCTGAGTGTCCAGCTCCACCAGTTGCTGCTCTGGGTGACCTCAAGCAAGTGGCTACTCTTTATCAGATTGTAGGAAAATTAAATGTGATGGTCATTATTCATTTACAGTTTACCACGTGCCTTCCACATTCAGCCTTACCTCGCTGAATCCTTAAAATTACTCTATAATGTTGGAGGCCAATCAACTATTATCTTCATTTTACAGACAGCGGAAACTGTATCTTGCTCTCAGTACTATGGTGCCCCCATGAGAGATGCAGACTCAGGGCACCCAGACCCCCAGCCATCTCTGCATCTGCAACACTTATACAACACAAAAGCCACAATGGCTGAAGTGTACAGCATTCCCAAAAGCAGCACCCTGGCCCTGGCCCCCTCATGCTGGTCCTTGAACAGCAGTTGCCCGCATTCTGTGGCCCCAGGGCCTACATGGGCCGGGTTCCCTGTGGAAGGAGGGCAAAGTAGATATTCATTCTTTTACAGATTTTACATAAAGATCTGTGTTTTTTTTTTTTTAGGTTTATGTTAGTTGACATGGAATGGAGGCATTAATCAGGTCAAGACTAAAATCTAGAGAAGATAAATCCAATGCATATGGAGCAGTGGAATCACTTCAGGAGGAACTGAACAGACTGCTTTAATTCACTGCAGAATTTTGAACAGCAAGAAATCCAAAGACTCAAGTTTCCAGCATAGAGGTGTGATGAGATGGAGAATGTTTGTATGAAGAGAGAAACAGGGGTGTTGCTAAAAACAAAAAAGAAGCTGGGTTCCTCCTTGGAATGGCCCTCCCTTGCTCTACTTGTTTTGGGTTTTAGGCTCCCCTTTATACAACATGGCTCTTTGGAGTGCTGGAGTAGGATTAAAAAGAAGAAAGAGGCCAGGCATGGTGGCTCACACCTGTAATCCTAGCACTTTAAGAGGCCGAGGCAGGTGGATCGCCTGAGGTCAGGAGTTTGAGACCAGCCTGGCCAACATAGAAAAATCCCATCTCTACTAAAAATACAAAAAAAAAATTAGCTGGGTATAGTGGCGCACGCCTGTAAACCCAGCTATTCAGGAGGCTGAGGCAGGAGAATCGCTTGAACCCAGAAGGCAGAGGTTGCAGTGAGCCGAGATCATGCCATTGCACTACAGCCTGGGCAACAAGAGTGAAACTCTGTCTTAAAAAAAAAAGAAGAAGAAGAGGAAGAGGAAGAAGAAAGAGGAGGAGGAGGAGGAGGGAGAGGAAGCTGAACTGGCTTGTAGAAGATTTCATAGATGTCTGATGCCCACAGTACTATCAGAGCTTGAACAAAAACAGCTCCACCAAATTCAAAGTAGAAATTTGGAACAAGATTTGAACAAGAAAAAAAATACCACTTCCCATAACACAGTCTCCTCCTCTCCTAGCTTTAGCCCTTAACACAGAGTGTGGCACATCTAACATGGTCAGTAAAGAATTCCACCAACTCAAGAACGAAAAATAAACTCCCTATCATGGATAAATGTCTTTCCCCATTATATATCTTTCTTTCCTCTTTATCTTCTCTTTCTTCATCCCTTTCTTCTCACATTTTTTCTTCATTTTCTGTATAATAGCAAGTCTCCTAGGCCAGGTGGCTGTGCTGGCCATTCCCAGTAGTTCTCAAAAACACAAACAGATCCTTCTGGAAAGTTCTGTCTTGAATTGGTCCCTGTTGCAGGACAGTACATTAGAAATGGTATTTCTAGAAGGCTTGGAGAAGTAGATGATAAGCCAGAGTTTCCTTCTTGGGATTCCTCTCCCGAGTCTGAACTGGAAACCATTGACCTAGTTGTTAAACAATGGAGGCCCCCAACCCAGAACATTTTAATGGGATAACTTTTAGATTTTCTTGAGAAACATGAACTGAGAATAGAAAGACTTCTACATTCTCTCACTGCCCTGGCCATTCCGGTCCCTATTTCAGGGTCTCAGTCCCTCAGGAGAGATATACGAGACCCCCAATGGGTGTCCAATCCTTGGATTTTCCTCTAAGACTTTATCCATGTGTTAAGAGTCCACAATGCACCTCCAAAGAAGCTCCTGTGTGACCACCATTCATCTTCTGAGGATATCAGCGATCCTTTCATGCCATCCCATGCCAAGACTAACACTGCTCTGTGGTGATCCCCCATCCTATATCTGTAGGAAGCCATGCTGGGTCTGCCCGAGCCAGAGTTTTCAAAATCTATAATCCCTCCAGAACCTCCTTGCTTTCCTCAACATAGATTTTTGCCAAAGGAGATCAGATCCAATTGGAAGATCCCTCCCCCGCAGCAGAATACTTTGTAATTGGATTAGTCTCAACAGCAACAGTAGTTCTGGCCTTGAATATGAGTTAATCAGCCAAGTCACAACACAAGAAAGCTGACTGCACCAGAAAACCCTGTACAATCCGTGAATTTCTTCATGGTTGAGACTCAGATGAATCATCATGTTGATCTGACTCATGCTTCTCCCTGCCTTAGGCCAAGAGACTGAGGCTTCACCTGGGATCTGCCTCTTTCCCACTCAAGAGTCAAATGAGCCCCCAAGGAGTAAGAAAAAAATGTGATTGATTCTGATTTGCACCCCAGTCTTTTTTTAATTTATCATAAAGAATCAAATATTTACATTAGAAGATATCTTGTGCTGTGAAAAAAAAGGAATAAAAGAAGGGAGGAAGAAAAGAAGTGGGAGGGTGGGAGAGAAAGGAAACAATAGAATAAGGCAGGCGCGGTGGCTTACGCCTGTAATCCCAACACTTTGGGAGGCCAAGGCCAGAGGATCGCTTGAGCTCAGGAGGTCAAGACCAGCCTGGGCAACGTGGAAAGACCCCATCTCTCGAAAAAAATAAAAAATTAGCCAGGCACAGTAGCATACACCTGTCGTCCCAGCTATTCAGGAGGCTGACGTAGGAGAATCGCTTGAACCTAGGATGTGTGGCTGCAGTGAGCCATGTTCTCACCACTGCACTCCAACCTGGGTGACAGAATGTCACCTGTCTTAAAAAGAAAACAATAGGCTAGAAAAAAAAGAAAAGAAAGCAGTAAGTGACATAAGACCAAGAGGAAAAAGGGAAACTTGAGCATCATCTGTCCTCCCAGTGGCCTACGGAGGGAAAAGAGTAGACACTTAGCTTCACAGTCCACCGCAAATCAGGCAGGGTCACTTCTGCAAACACTGGTAACCTACTAAAACCCAAGCACAGAATAAGACAGACACTGAGATTCAGAGATAAAGTCAAGATGGCTCCTACTGTTGCAGGGGAACTAGAATGACTCAGAATCCCAGACAGGTCATGTTTGAAGAGGCCATTCATTCACTCCCATTGAGGTGAAAGTTGCATCCCTTTCTCCCTTCTCTCCTTCTCTTATCCTGGAGCGCAAACATTGTGTGGAGTGCAAACATTGTGTGGAGCCCCTACATAGGCGCGGTGGCTTATGCGTTGGAGTTGAACTACTATGAAGGTACTTGAGATCTGGTGATTCCCTTGGATAAATTTCCTACAAGGAATCATTTCACAAAGTTTTATGGACAGAAAATGCCCATAATTTGGATGGTGGCTTTTGGAGCCGTGACATGATCTCAGCTATATGAATAGAATTATAAGGACAAGATGCTGAGGGATTTACTCAAGAGCTCTGACTAGCTGACAGTAGAATCTTGGCAGATCTTCCAACACACACATCTAGTATGGCCCAATCTTCAGAATTATCTGTGCATTTGGGCAAGAATAGGCCCCATCGCCAGCACCCTGGCATTTGGGCAAGACTCGCACAAAAAATGAGGGATGGCTTCAGGAGTAAGAACCTTTGAGACGGCCTGGGTTGTGGACTTAATAGTCTGGAGAGATATCAACAGGTATCAATTTAATTTAATGGTTCCATTCCTCAGATATCTCTAGGGCAGAGTCCTCAGCCCAGGGCACACACAGAATCACGACTCTGAACGTGAGCATTCTCACTGGAGGGGTAGAGGTCACTGTGGTGACCCTTTTGAGCACCCAGGAAAGATTCCCAGGTAAAAGGAGGACTGAGGAAAAGCTGGAAAAGAGGCAAGTGTCAGCCTAGGATGTGTCAGTGGGCCATGCATTCATCTACAGGAAGGGCGGTTCCGCCTGGAAGAGGCAGAGCGGCCCTTCTCCCCCTGTCCACCCATGTCTCCTCACCCCACCTCACCCCGAGATGAGGAGCCCTGAGAGAGCTGGCAGGCTGCAGTCGGTGAGGTCTGCAGATTTGGGGAAGAAGTCGAATAAGGTAGAGAACCACAGAAGGAAAGTCCAATTAGGGCGCTGGGGCCTGAGATCATCAGGCCCTAGCCTGATGACTCAGGAGTCTAGCCCTCCAGATGAACTGGCTGGTTCCACACACAGGTCAAGTGGATGTGCTGGGAGAACATCCTAAACCTGTAACGGAAATTAGGGGGCCAGGAGCCCACAGAAATCACACACTGGGTGAGCTCAAGTGTTCGGAGACTGAGGTAGCAGTTGTCCACTGTCAGGTCCCGAAAGTAGATATCGCCTTGCATATGCCATTTATCCTTCTGATGCTCTAGTGAATGAAGGTGTTGATGAGCTTGCAGACTCTGGAGACCATTCCCCTATGCTATATTATCACGTCACAATAGTGGCTGGACCCACCTGAGATTCTGCACCTCAGGTAATCAGACGGCTACTGTCTAAGTCCTGGGCCTGGGGGAAACACTCTGACGTAGCAGCAGACACAGGAGGGTCCCCGTCAGAACCATGTTTTCTGTGAAGTGGGGATCAGTCCTTTTCCCTGAAGTACCTAGCACATAGGTGTTCTCAGTAAGTGTTATGTTAGCTTACTAAGAAGACTGGTCTCATTTGAAGAGAAATTAACAAATGTAAAAAAATAAATAAACCTATTAACTAGGTTTAATATTTATCAAACTATTAACTATTCAATAATCATTTAACTATTAATTTCTGTTTTCTTCAGTCGCTTAAATCTGATTTTTCTCTTCTTTCCGTTACTGCAGTCTCCCTTTTTCACACAGGGAAACAACCCAAGACTCAGAGTTCTCCGCGGAGGAATGCAAAGAACACAGGAAGTCAGTACTCCCAGAAACAGTCTTTGCTGGCGCGCTCACACCCAACCCCATCCCGCCCCCGTCCCGTCCCGCCCCGCCCCACCCCACCCTCTTGATTTCTGGGGCCGGTGACCAGGCCCAACGCAGCCTTCAAGTCGGCCCAAACACGGTTTCTGCCTCAAGGATTATTTATATAACCATTGCTTATTGGCTGCTGGCAAACACTCGCTCTTCTCGTTGGCTGAAACTGTCGGGAGAAGTTCTGCGAAGGCTGCTCCTTGCGGCGTTGGGACTGAGGGTCACAGGCACCTGTATTTCCGTTTCCGGTTCGCCTCCGGAGCCATGGCGGCGGCACTGAAGTGTCTACTGACATTAGGAAGATGGTGCCCCGGCCTTGGAGTGGCTCCCCAGGCCCGGGTGAGTGCCTACATTCCCTGCTGTCGGAGAGACTCTGGATCTGCAGAGACATCTCCGCGCAGAGGAGGAGCGCTCCTGGCAGCCCCCGCCCTAGCGATTGCCAGCAACTTTCCTTTCTGCCAGGAAATCAACCTACCTTTCTCTGCCTGCAGGCGCTCGCCGCCTTAGTACCCGGAGTGACCCAGGTAGATAACAAGTCCGGTTTCCTGCAGAAGAGGCCTCATCGCCAGCACCCTGGCATCCTAAAGCTGCCGCACGTGCGGCTGCCACAGGCACTGGCTAACGGTGCCCAGTTATTGCTACTTGGTGAGTAACGGCGGGAAAGCGAGAAGAAACGGGACTGGACCTACATGCAAGTGATTCCGCTTTTCGTCTTTGGCCCATAGGGAGCGCTGGGCCCACTATGGAGAATCAGGTGCAAACACTGACCAGTTATCTCTGGAGCAGACATTTGCCTGTAGAGCCAGAGGAGTTGCAAAGACGGGCTAGGCATCTTGAGAAAAAATTCCTGGAAAACCCAGGTAGGACTTAAGAATAATTAAAAAGTGGGCGAGATTGAAATATCGGTTAGAAATGAAGAGTAAGAAATAATTCTACAATCTCTCAGATACTGAAGTCTCTTATTTGACTTTCTAACCAGAGCAGCAGTTGTTACAATGATGCCTTACTAAAAGAAGGTAGATTATTTTAGAGATTGCTTAGGTAAAGGTCAGAATGTCCCAGTATACTGTTTTTTGTTTGTTTGTTTGTTTTGTTGTTTTGTTTTTGCTTTGAGACAGAGTCTTGCTCTGTC
Organism: Homo sapiens; assembly: GCF_000001405.40. NCBI lineage: Eukaryota > Metazoa > Chordata > Mammalia > Primates > Hominidae > Homo > Homo sapiens. Next base: position 20,990,871 of record NC_000014.9, read on the forward strand.
ACCCAGGCTGAAGTGTAATGCTCGATCTCGGCTCACTGCAACCTCCGCCTCCCGGGTTTAAGTGATTTTCCTGCCTCAGCCTCTTCAGTAGCTGGGATTACAGGCGTGCACCACCACACCCGGCTACTTGTATTTTTAGTAGAGACGGGGTTTCATCATGGTGGCCAGGCTAGTCTCGAACTTCTGACCTCAGGTGATCCGCCCACCTTGGCCTCCCAAAGTGCTAGGATTACAGGCATGAACCACCGCGCCTGGCTACCAATATACTGTTAAAATCTAGATATTTATTTTTTTCTGCAAGTCCACTGGATTAGGACCTTCTAAGTTTTTATTCAGGTAAAATAAAGTCCCTGGATGGTCCCTGCCCAGTACTGAAACCCTCTTCTGGGATAAGAGGGTAAATATAATTCATCAAGTTAGTTTCATGATTGTGAGCTCCTTGACACTACCATTTATTCATCTTGCATTCCCTGCACACCTCACAGTACCTGGCTCACAGTAGTTCAGTAGATACTTGCTAAATAGTACTGAACTGAACAGTCATGAGACGTAGATTTTCAGATTTCTTTCCTCTCCATAGGAATAGTGGAGATCATCAAAACCTTAAATTTTGGAGAAGTGAAGAAATCCAAAAAATAATGTCCTTGGCCTACCCTTTAAAAAAAATTTTTTTTTTTTGAGACAGAGTCTTGCTCTGTTGCCCAGGCTATAGTGCAGTGGTGCGATCTCAGCTCACCACAACCTCTGCCTCCCGGTTTCAAGTGATTCTCCTGCCTCAGCTTCCCAAGTAGCTGGGAATACAGGTGCACGCCACCACGCCTGGCTAATTTTTGTATTTTTCGTAGAGAAAGGTTTTCACCATGTTGGTCAGGCTGTTCTCAAACTCCTGACCTCGTGATCCGCCTGCCTCAGCCTCCCAAAGTGCTGAGCTTACAGGCGTGAGCCACCGCACCCAGCTTACCCTTTAAATTTGTATCACACTTTCCTTTAATATAAAACAAACCTGTGGGACAGGATTGGTTAAGCTGAATAAACCATTCTTATAAATAAAATGCTATCTGATACAATCTGTTAGTGGTAGTTGTTACCGTTAATTCTTGCCTGAAACTTTTCTCTAGGTTTGTCGTCTCCCTTGAGCTTTAAGGCTTTTCTTAGGTGGAGTCGGGGAGGACTGGGTGGGCAGTATATTCAGATATTGGATCTGAGCCCTGTTCTCCCTAGGTCCTGACTTCCAGTCCTTGTTCTCACCACAGACTTATCTCAGACAGAGGAGAAACTTCGTGGAGCAGTGCTACACGCACTACGTAAAACTACCTACCATTGGCAAGAACTGAGGTAAGGGGGCCCAGAAGAGGTGCACAAGAAAGCAAAGGTAGACTTTAGAAAGAGAGTTGGGGGAGTACAATTACACAATCAATTTAGTATTTTCTTTTATATCACCTGACCTTAAAAGGATCAATTTAGTATTTGAAAAAGCTAAAGTACAAAGTTTTGAACACTGAAGTTTGAAAATTTAGTGTTTGTAAGTCTCCCCAGGACCCTTTTGTATTGGGGAGTGAAAGGCCTGAGCTGGAAGAGCCCTTTCCAAGATGTCATTTTCTAAATCTAGAAGGTAATTATGGGATTAAGGTTATTTACTAGTATGTACAACTCTGTGATTTTAATGGCAGCTACACTGAGGGACTGAGCCTGGTGTATATGGCAGCAAGACTGGATGGTGGCTTTGCAGCAGTCTCCAGAGCATTCCATGAGGTGAAAGTCCCTTAACTTCCAACCTGAACTTTTTGACCATCAGTTCCCTATTCATAAAGTAGTTTTCTAGGATGGGGATTCTTGGGACATTGCATATGCATTTTTTTTTTAAAGAGGATCTCCGCTGGACATAGTGGGCTCCTGCCTGCAGTCCCAACTGTTTGGGAGGCTGAGGCAGGAGGATTGCTTGAGCCAGTTTGAGGCTGCAGTGAGCTGTGATCTCCACTGTACTCCAGCCTGGTGACAGAGTGAGACCTCATCTCTTAAAAAAAACACAAAATAAAGACGTTCTCTTTATCCTGTGAAAGCTTTCTGTGACCCAAGAAAGGTTTAGAATCACTATTTTAGGAGATTCTTATCCCATAAGGTATTTGTATTGAATCTCAAAAGGCATTCACATCTCACATCCTCTGTGATAGCCTCCTAATTCACATTTATCAAGGTCCTAAATAAGTATCTAATTACCCTACTGTGGGATGTTGTATATTTCTTCAGATCCGGGCTCGAAATCCAGCATTTCAGCCACAAACTTTGATGGACTTTGGCTCAGGTACTGGTTCTGTCACCTGGTGAGTAACTTTCTTCAGCCCTATCTTGGTCAATTTTAGCTCTAGAAAGCCATACTTACACCACTCCAAAATTAACAGACTGGAAAACCAGAGGGAGAATAGGCAAGTTGGGAATCTATAATGTTTCTTCCATCAGATTAGGCAAGGCAGAAGAAGGTATATGGATTGGGGCCAGAACTTAAAAGAAATGTCAAGTAAAAAAAGGCGCATGTGTAGAAAAATTAAAAAGAAAAGGAATTATCAATCAAAGTTGTTTTTGCCTACAAATAGTATTTTGAGTCTACCTTTTTTTTTTCTTTTTTGAAACGGTGTCTCACTCTGTCGCCCAGGCTGGAGTGCAGTGGCACAATCTCGGCTCACTGCAGCCTCCACTCCTGGGTTCAAGTGATTCTCCTGCCTCACCCTCCCGAGTAGCTGGGACTACAGGTGCACGCCACCACACCCAGCTAATTTTTGTATTTTTAGTAGAGACGGGGTTTCACCATATTGGCCAGGCTGGTCTCTAACTCCTGACCTTGTGATCCGCCCACCTTGGCCTCCCAAAGTGCTGGGATTACAAGCATGAGCCACTGTGCCCAGCTGAGTCTACCTTTTTTTTTTTAGGAGTTGTAAATAAAACAAGAAAATAACACTATTAGTTATTTTATTACTAACTATACAACTACTTTAACATAACACTCTCTTTTCCCAGGGGTGGGGTTGGGTGTAAATGGGCCTCTTGTAGAGATGACTCTTGGTCATGGGAATTGGTGATTTATAATAATTTTGCCATCTTAGGGCTGCTCACAGTATTTGGGGCCAGAGCCTACGTGAATATATGTGTGTGGACAGATCAGCTGCCATGTTGGTTTTGGCAGAAAAACTACTGAAAGGTGAGTGCAAGAGCACTTCCAAAGTTGAGGGAGTTAAGAAAGCAAAGGGGTACTAGTAAAAGTGTTTTACTGGGAAGTAGAGAAGAGGGTAAAAATTAAGATGAATCTGGTTTACTTTTAAAGTTATAGTCAAGCAAAGGGTGGTATTAGAGGTTTCTGCTGGACTGAGGATGGGTTGGGTAAGAATCAAAGGACAGGAGGCCTAATATTCTCCCTGCCCTTTTTTTTTTTTTTTTAATTAGAGGTAGGGTCTCCATATGTTACCCAGGCTGGTCTCAAACTCCTGGCCTCAAGCCATCCTCCCACTTCAGCCTCTAGGGTAGCTGGGATTACAGGCACGCACCGCCATACCTGGCTCATCCCTGCCCTTTTTGATATACACTTTACCTATTCTTGGGGCCATGTTTCTTATCTGGATATCTCTTCAGTTTATACCTAACTTCCTACACACTCACAGTTGCCTCTTCTTTTCTCCACAGGTGGTTCAGAATCTGGGGAGCCTTATATTCCAGGTGTCTTTTTCAGACAGTTTCTACCTGTATCACCCAAGGCAAGTGGCAGTGTTTAGAATATTCTAAATGTGGAATGTGGCAGATGGAAAACTATGGCTTGAGCTTTGCAGCCCAGCACTGAGTGTTAGAAGATAAAAGAAATTTAGCGGCTAGGACTTTGTTGTATTCTTGGGATGTAGAGATGTTGAGTCTGTCATGTTCCTTGTCTTGGTCCTCAGGTGCAGTTTGATGTAGTAGTGTCAGCTTTTTCCTTAAGTGAACTGCCCAGCAAGGCTGACCGCACTGAGGTAGTTCAAACCTTATGGCGTAAGACAGGTCATTTCCTGGTGAGTTAAAATTCCTTGTTCTCCTTAAGTCTTGAAGCAGCTTCATGGATTTCATGCCTTTGCTCCTCTCATTGTCTTTATTCTTCACCATTTTTCTCCTTCATGGGTTTCTTTATCCCTCTTTGAGGGTCTCCATCCTGATTATGTAATGCCTATTTCTTTTTAGGACTCCTTCTCCCTCTATGATTGCTCTTACACAGCTACTGACATTTATACTTTCGTGTAATTCAAGTCTTCTGCATATTTTCCCCTTTTGTGAACAGGTACTGGTGGAGAATGGAACAAAAGCTGGGCACAGCCTTCTCATGGATGCCAGGGATCTGGTCCTTAAGGTAAGGCTTCTTCTTCCCTCACTCCCCCACCCATATGGCACCAATTACTGTTACTCTCTTGAAAACGAAAGAGACTGTCATGTATTGACAAGGGTGGCTCTCAGGAAACTGGGCGTATGAAGTCATTATGATACAGAGCAGTGGTTGGCAAATGAGAGCCTGTGGATCAAATCCGACCTGCCACCTGTTTTTATATAAGCCATGCTTATTTGTGCCTCTGTTGTCTGTGACTGCTTTCACACTACAAACAGCAGAGTTGAGTAGTTGGGACAGAGATAGATTTTGCCTACTCTCTGGCCCTTTAAAAGAAACTTTGCGGACTCCTAATCTAGGGCATTGCTGAGCTAAGAACCTTGTCACTGGGGGAGAGTATGAGCCAGTGTATAATCATAAATTTAATTGTCCTGGAGTGGGATTTTTTTGAGAGTGGAGGTTGCTGACAAGGGAGAGCACCGTACTATGTGCCAAGTTCTTGCCTTTCTCCTGCAGCAAAGAGAAAGTTCTTTGTTTGGAGTATTAAAGATGCAGCCAGCTTAATTCAAAGGACATAGTCAATCGTTATTAGAATTGAGTGTTAAAGGAGTCCTCAGTTTACTGAGTGCAGAGATTGAATTATGAAAATAGACCCTTGGCCCAGCTTTATTTCTTTTATTTCCTTTGATTTCAGGGAAAAGAGAAGTCACCTTTGGACCCTCGACCTGGTTTTGTCTTTGCCCCGGTGAGTATTACTTCTGCCTGTCCCACCACACGGATCTGAACTTAGGCGTGGCCGGGAAATGTAAGATGGTAAAGCTAAGCCACTCTCCACTACTTTGTGTTCCTATCCAGTTCCTACCTAATGATTCCCCTGGCTCTTCCTACCCACTGCTCCTGTCCTCCCTTCTCCCTGGCCCCTTTTGACTCTATTATTCTCAGTTTTTAAGTTTTGTGATTGATGGCTCTTTTGTCTTACCTCATTTTTTTATGTGTTCACAGTGTCCCCATGAACTCCCTTGTCCCCAGTTGACCAACCTGGCCTGTAGCTTCTCACAGGCGTACCATCCCATCCCCTTCAGCTGGGTAGGTACCTGGGGATATTGCAGCAGGAAGCAAACATCCTGGAAAAACAGGAAGAAAAAGAATCAGAGTTAGGAGGAGTTGGATAATTTGTAGAATAGCCTGGAGACTTTAGGGCCTACATGTATATGATTTATACATTGTAAAAAAGGACTGCAGGAATGGGGAAGAAGGGACTGTACAAACTTTTTTCCCATATCTTTTTCTTCTAAACAGTCTCTATGTTCCTTATCTTAGAACAAGAAACCAAAGGAAGAAAAGTTCTCTATGGTGATCCTTGCTCGGGGGTCTCCAGAGGAGGCTCATCGCTGGCCCCGTATCACTCAGCCTGTCCTTAAACGGCCTCGCCATGTGCATTGTCACTTGTGCTGTCCAGATGGGCACATGCAGCATGCTGTGCTCACAGCCCGCCGGCACGGCAGGTATGGGGGGTGTGACCAAAATCAGTGGGATGTGGCAGGAAGCTGCAGCCCACGCCAGCATCTGTTTCCACAGGGATTTGTATCGTTGTGCCCGTGTCAGCTCCTGGGGAGATCTTTTACCTGTGCTTACTCCGTCTGCGTTTCCTCCATCTACGGCTCAGGATCCCTCTGAGAGTTGATGAGGATGTGTAACAAGTATTTTCTTCTATCGTGCCTGCCAGGGCTGAAGCTGCCTGGTATCCAGGAGGGGAATGCTGGTATCCCCATATGTCTGTGTTTGTTTGAGATTTTTAATAATAAATAATAAATTTTTGAAGAATGGAAGTGGATTTTGTGATTCTTAAAAAGTGTAGAAGCTGGGCACGGTGGCATGTGTCTGCATTTCCAGCCACTCAGGAAGCTGAGGCAAGAGGATCACTTGAGCCCAGGTGTTAAGGCTACAGTGAACTTTGATTGTAACACTGCACTTCAGCATAGGTAACAGAGCAAGACGTCCTCCCTTAAAAAAAAAAAAAAAAAAAAAACATGTAAAAGGTATAGTTAATTATCCTGGCCTATCCTGTAATGAAGAGCTTCCTCAGATTTTTGGTGCCAGGCTTCCCACACAAATCTCAAGCTCGCCCTCTCCTATTGTGGCAGTTCAGAGCTCCATAAGCTCTTCGCTGTAATGATGAATGTGTAAGCTGATCATTAAAGCAGAAGTAGAAAAACCAGATTTCCATAAGCCCTTTGCTATAATGATGAATGTACAAGTTAAACATTAAAGCAGAAGCAAGAAAAATGGATAAGGAATCGGGGGAAACTGGTGCCTGAGTACGAAAGCCAGAATACAAAAAAAGCAAGCCCTTTAAAGCCCCACCTATACTTTCTCTACCTCAGATCTAGCTGAGTGATAAAAGCATTCCTGCACATACAACCCATCCCAGGACCAACTTAAGATTAAGAAACTTCTGTCTGCAAGTACTCACTCACTATGGTGGGATCAGCTGCAAAGCGAACTGTCCCATGCTCATGTTGATGGTTTTCTAGATACTGCCAACATGTTAGCTCTTTCTGGTGCCGATGAATTTCAAACGCGAACAGACACCCTTGATGTGGGTTTGCTAAGAAAATAGAAGAACAGGAAGAAAAGTTGCCAGGTTCAGACATCCCAGGGAAAAAGAAGCGTAAACAGCATTAGCAATCAGTGACTGATGATAATGCTGCAATAATGGGAATGGTTTTATTTCTAAATCAAATCGTTTATTGCTTTGTTTCTAAAAAACAAAAAAAAAACTTCTACCTGCAGACCCCTAGTTTAGATTAATTAGGAAACATTCCCGCAGGTAGTCATAGAGCTTGAATTGTATATAAAAGCTAAAGAAAAGCTTGTAACTTTGAGTTGGTCTGGTGTGCTACTCCGACCTCCCTGTAATCAGTTGCAGAAATAAACTCCCGTCTTTCCCAGTCTGTCTGTCTGCATCTCATTACCGGACCACAAGAACAAGCAGCAGGACCAGTAACACTGTAAGAATCATCCAGTAACACTGTAAGAATACTGCTTCTACCAGAGGCCAGGACTTCCCTAGGAAAATAATCTGGAGTAGCAAGGAAAGCTGCCTCCAGAGCTCTGAGAACTGGCTCAACAGGTCTCAGGGTTGTTATGTGGGCCACCTGAATAGGGGAATCAGCAGCTGCCTGGCCTCTTGTACTAACGCCTTCCCTTCTGTCTTTCCCAGGGTCCCTCAGCTACCCTAGAGTATGTATGGGAAATGCCCCAGACATTTCCATCAAGAGTGATTCCCATCAGAACTGAATCTTCTACCCCCACCTCTCTATATCCAGGTAGAATCCTCCCATTCACTCAGTTCATTTCTGTTTTCCCCTAAGCCTTGCTGTTTCAGGGCTAGAGCAGCTTCCTTTGTCTTAAACCTTAAATGTCTTTTTTTCCACAGTTCTTACCAGGAAACAGGCACAGTTAGAAGTTGTAACAGTATAAATGTTGTAATACCAGACATCTCAACTCATTCCTCTCAAAACTGATCCCAATCAAAAGAGAAAGAAAAAAAACAAATCAACTTACCACTAGACATTTCCATGCCTGGAGCTATTTTTCTGGGGTTACAGGAAAGGGTAGTTCCCTCATGTGGGTACTAGTTCCCACAGAGTAGCACCAGCACCACCTCTCAGCCCCACCTCTTTACCTCCAGGTGGCCCCAAATCTCTGAAAGCGGGTGGTTCAAGTATCAGCATTGCAACCTATAAGACTTGGGATGAGGTGGAGAGGGTATGGAAGGCTTAGATCAAACGTCCTGAGTGAGACAGGACCAGATTGTCCCCAGTACAAAATAGCTGGGAAGCAGCTACCATAGACTTTCCTATTTTGGATTAGACCAACCCCAAGCACATGAACTAAGACTATCCGTAGCTCTTGGATTAGTCATGCCATTGAAGAGGAGGAGAAGACGCCACTGGGCTGTGCCTGGCAGGGAGTCTGGAGTTTCTGGTTTCCAAGCTCAGGAAGGCGTGAACCAGGGGAGGGGCCTCCATGCAGGGGGAGGGCTAGAAGCTGGGGCAGGATCTGTCAGCTCTGCAATGCTGCAGAAGCAGAAGCAACACAGAAAGAAGATACCAACAGCCTCCTGAAACTCACGAGAGTGGACACTCCAGTGTTGACCACCTAAGATACCACTCCTGCTCCAAAGATTACAGCTCCCTTGTCATTCTGACTCCTGGGCTTACCCTACACCCCAGAGATGGAGCAACTACTAGGAATAAAACTTGGCTGCCTGTTTGCCCTGTTGGCTCTCACTCTGGGCTGTGGCCTTACTCCCATCTGCTTCAAATGGTTCCAGATTGATGCAGCCAGAGGTATAGCCCTACCCCATCTTTGTTCCATAGCCTGAGTCTCACCTCAACCCTGTCCTGATACCTTGCTCTGATTCTCTCACCATCCCCAACCTTGGGATATTGAGTGCTGCCTGCTGCTCTTTACTCACCTTTGTCTGTCTCCTCAGTGTCAAGTGGGTTGTAACTTCTGCTTTTTATTAGGTCATCACCGGCTAGTCCTCAGACTCCTGGGCTGTATTTCTGCTGGTGTTTTCCTGGGAGCAGGGTTCATGCATATGACTGCTGAAGCCCTGGAGGAAATTGAATCACAGATTCAGAAGTTCATGGTGCAGGTGAGAGCAGAGATTTCAAGCCGCAGGTCTATGAGGCCAAAATGATAAACAGGACAAAGGGAAGAGAGCGGGAAAGTGATGGAGCCAAGGACATGGGTGGAACGACAAGGAAAATGACAGCTCTTGTGTGGGATGGTGAAAGCAAGTCAGATTAGGCTTTAAGGAAAACAGAATTGCTGAAGGGACAGCACAGGAAGCTGTGCTGCTCCATCCCACATCTAATTTCTGCTGCTTTCTTCTTAGAACAGATCAGCAAGTGAGAGAAATTCTTCTGGTGATGCTGATTCAGCTCATGTAAGTACCTCCCACCATCCCCTATCTGGAGAGTGAGGAGAACCAGAGAGGCCTTTCATATCCAGACCCTTTTGAGAGGAATACATGAGGAGTACCAAGAATCCCTTCTGCTCCCTAGCTCAGACATCGTAGAGGAAAAGAGGAGCAAATCCAATCCTTTTGAGTTTATAGAATGCCAGGGAAAGCCCTTGTTTTACTCTTTCATTCTTTCCCTGGATCCTCTGATATACCTCACATCATTTGCCCATGTTTTTAACTCTATTGAGATTCTGTCCCTTAGCCCCTCTGGCAGTCTTTTGTTGTTGTTGTTTTTCGTTTGTTTGTTGAGATGAAATCTCTCTGTCGCCCAGACTGGAGTACAGTGGCACAATCTCGGCTCACTGCAACCTCTGCCTTCCGAGTTCTAGTGATTTTCCTGCCTCAGCCTCCTGAGTAGCTGGGATTACAGGCACGTGCCACCACACCTGGCTAGTTTTTGTATTTTTAGTAGAGACGGGGTTTCATCATGTTGGCCAGGCTGGTCTCAATCTCCTGACCTCAAGTGATCTGCCCACTTCAGTCTCCCAAAGTGCTAGGATTACAGGCATGAGCCACTGTGTCCGGCCCACTCTGGCATTCTTGTTGTTGCATGGCCATGTCTACTCTTGGCTTCATTTCCCCTACCCTTTTTTGTGTTCTGTTACCACATTTTCTCATTCTCTTCAATCTCCCAATTCCATGTCCATCCAATGTATTGCCTACCCTTCCTTTCCATCTCACAGCCCTTCTTTTTGTTTCTAGATGGAGTATCCCTATGGAGAGCTCATCATCTCCCTGGGCTTCTTTTTTGTCTTCTTTTTGGAGTCGCTGGCATTGCAGTGCTGTCCTGGGGCTGCTGGAGGATCGACAGTGCAGGACGAAGAATGGGGTGGGGCTCATATCTTCGAACTCCACAGCCATGGACATTTACCCTCACCCTCAAAGGGTCCCCTCCGAGCCCTTGTCCTCTTGCTGTCACTCTCCTTTCACTCAGTGTTTGAAGGGCTAGCTGTGGGGCTGCAGCCGACAGTAGCAGCTACCGTGCAGCTCTGCCTTGCTGTCCTGGCTCATAAGGGGCTTGTGGTGTTTGGTGTAGGAATGCGGCTAGTGCATTTAGGTACCAGCTCACGATGGGCAGTGTTCTCCATACTATTATTAGCTCTCATGTCCCCCCTGGGCCTAGCCGTAGGGCTGGCTGTGACTGGAGGGGACTCTGAAGGAGGGCGGGGCTTAGCCCAGGCTGTGTTAGAGGGTGTGGCAGCTGGTACCTTCCTGTATGTCACCTTCCTAGAAATTCTTCCACGGGAGCTAGCTAGTCCTGAGGCCCCTCTAGCTAAGTGGAGCTGTGTAGCCGCTGGTTTTGCCTTCATGGCCTTTATTGCCTTGTGGGCCTGAGAGATTCCTGGCTTTTCTGATGGACCTATTTAGGACAACCTCTCTATCCCCAGGGAGACCTCCCAAATGGCTTTGACCCTCAGACATTTCTTTACTCAGACTAAATAGCATTCAGTAGGACTGGACTGGACCCCAGGTTTCCTTTACATGAGATCCCATTTCTCACCCTGGACTAAGACAAAGATATTTAGGTTGAGCAGCTATTAATTGGAGAATTGGTACAGAGACGCTCCAGATTTTATTCTTATCCCATTTATGCTACTGTGTGTAATAAAATGCCCATTTTACCCTCCTTCAGCCATTCTGGATTTCATTTCTCCTGGTTGCCTAGATGCTACCTGGCACAGGAAGTGGTGGAATGGGGAATGGGAAGGATGAGTGTTGAATGCAGTATTTTATTCTGGAATTAGGGCTCCTAGCCATCCTGTCAGTTGCAGCCACACCCCTAGACATGGCACCTTGCTAAAATTCCCCTCCCACCTTACCCACTGTAGTTGAGAAAATGAGCCAGTTCCCAGCATTTAAAAGGAAAGAAAGTTAAAAGCCAAAATGACGTGGATCGATTATGTTCCTACACTTACCATAACCACCCCATTCCCAGTACCCATTATCAGCCACCGATAACATGTCCAGGCTAAATGGAGATCAGGCAGAATGGAACCTATCTCCATTAGGTTCCTGTTTTTTCACACCGAGCCCTGTGTGGCCTCAGGGACACTATTGCTCTTCTTTGAGCTTCTATCTCCTTCCAGCTGCCTTGTGTTGAGGGATTAAAAAGCAGTGTGCTTGGAGAGGGAGAAAGGTGCTAGATATTAAAATAAATGCCTGGGATGATTACTTGGCTCTTGCAGGACTCACTGGCTTTTCTCCTGCCTGTCTTACCAATTGTCTTTCCATCTAAGTAACCCCTACAATGTGTTGTTTCTCTTAAAAACTGCTGAGGACAAATACGAAAGCAGGTTAGCTGGAATTGGTAGGAACAGGATGGCTATTGCATAGCCCCCAACTCATGAGGTGGAGGAATATCTCAAACTTAGTGGAGAAATGGGGAAAGAGAAAGTGTGCCCTGTGAGTTCAGTTACCCTCACAAGTTGGCCCTTTCTAGTATTTTCAGCATGGAAGCCCAAGTACCTTAACATGGACATTCATTCTTCTTCTCAGTCTCTGTCTCCTTTCCATCCTGTTCCCCTTCCTACAAAGTAAGAAATACAAGCCTCCTCATAAGCCCAGTTTACACACCCAGAGATCAGTGAGAAGGCCAGCTTCAGGCAAAAATGATACAGAGAGAGAGAGAGGGAGAGATGATAGATATGTCTAACGCAGGAAATCATTTCCCTAAAGCACCATAGTATTGTGTTTTCTTTCCATTTAGCGTTAAATGCAGTAACATGTAATACACTCAGAACAGTTGTCCAGTGTGTAGTAGTTTCTACTGTAATAGTTTCTACACTGAACAATGGCTATGTGCCAGGTACTATTGTGGCAGGCCAGGTTTCACTAACGCAGGCCTCCATCACATTTTCGTCTCACAGCCCTTCTTTTTGTTTCTAGATGGAGTATCCCTGTCACGGGCTTATTTTGTTTCCAGTCAAGCAAAACAAGGGGCTTATCTCCCTCACAGATCAGCATATGAGATATGCTTCAGATATGTTTGCCTGTCAGACCCATAAACACAACAAGATATGCCAGCTGCAATGGAAGAGAAGCCCTGTTTCAGTTCGTGGATTACAGACTGCAACTGGTTAGGTTAAATATTAAAAGCTAAAAAAAAAGCCGGTGCCTATACAAAGGCCGTCATGTAACAAAAGCCCATCAAGAGTTTTGATTAGGCCTTTCCTGGCAAAACTTAAAGCATGACAAAATAACGAAGGAATTCTTACCAGGACCCATTTAGGATTAAACAAGTTTTATTGAGGGTCTGAAGAAACTCCCCAGGCCTCCACAAACAAGTTTACTGGGCATCTGAAGGAACTCCCCAAACCTCTGTGATTTAGCAGAAGACAAGATAAGGGTAACCACCCCAGCATCTAGACCCATTTAGATTAAGCTTACTGAGGCTCCAGGAGTAGGTCTTCCGGACTCAGACCTTAGTTATAGATGAAAAGAAGTTAATCACTTATGTCTTTAGATGAATGCACGCTTACACGTAGACATATAGCTTAGAAGGTATATAAGCTCTGAAAAACTTTGTAATTTTGAGTTGGTCTGGTGATAATTTCCAGGCCTTCTCCCTGTAACCGATGACAGAAATAAAAACTCTCTTTCTGCCCAGTTCATCGGCATCTCATTATTGGGCCACGAGAAATAGCAGCGTGACCCTCTGTTTGGTCTGGGAACAAAATTTGGAGAGCCAGCCAGGAGATAAGGATAGTGCTGCCTTCAATGGCCGGCAGCTTGCGACGAGACAGTCTTCAGGAGGATCCCAGCAGCTGTGGGGTGAGGTTTCCCCCGGGGACCCTCCAGAGGGCTGGTCCATGTGCAAATCTGCACATCCCTTTCACTACTGGCGAAGAACAGAGGTCAGGAGCGGAGAGGCTCAAAGGGTGAGTTAACTGGATCATATGCCAGGAGCCTATTGTTTTCCTATCTGGGCTTGTGAAGCCATTTGTCCGGTACCACCAAGGGAAGCAATAGGGCTCGTTCATACGCCTGCTTTGCATTTTGGTCGAGATCAGGTTTTGAGTTAGTTTTGAGTCTCTTTTGCCTGACTGCACTCCCCCTTGAAATCTGTCTCCACTTGTTTGTGTGTCTGTCTTGTTCCTTTTGATACCATGTAAACTTGAAAACGGGAAGTATTGGGTCCATTCCTGCTGGGAGGCCTCTGGGAAGGAGAAAGGTTTTTTTAGAAGCTCAATAGTTGAGAGTCAGCTTAATTAAAAGCTACCATCCAAAATGTGTATGCGTATATATGTGTGTGTGCATGTTTGTATTTAAAAGGCCTTCATGTTTTTGTTTATTTCTCACCTAGGACCTTGTTTTTTTGAGCAAAAGTTTTTTCTTCACAGTTGACTGAATCCTGTTTTCTTCATTAATGGCTAGTACAACAGAACCTACTCTGAGATTTTTAAGATAAATGTAATTTAGATGCTAGAAATGTCTTTGTTTGAAAAAAAAATTAAGTGCACTGTAAAAGCATCAAATGGTCTAGCCTCATAATAATTCTCCCCTTTTGAAAACCCAGGATTCAGTGTGGGGTCTGCCCAGAGCTCAAAGGTCCAGTTAAAAAATAGGAAAAGGAAGGCTTATGAATTTATAAAATATACTTCTATTGGCATGACTAATACGTGTAGGTATTTATGTCTTGTGTACACCATGTTTCACTACTGAAAAATATAAAAGAGTTGTAATTTACTGACTCAAAGAAAAAATAAAAGCACTTACAAACTTTAACAGAAAAAAGGAAAGACTAGTCAAGTGCTTTTTCAAGTTTATGTGACTTAAGTAAAATCCTTAATAAATAAGCTAGCTTTAAAAATTATTGGTAAAGTAATATTAGAAATCTTAAGAGTTGCCAGCATACATTTTTGTTTGCATTTATTGATCAAGCAATTTCATACTTATCTCTGCCAAATACTATAAAGTGTCAAAATTTGGCATGGAGGCTACAAAACTATAACCCAGCCCAAAACAGAATGATCTTTGCTTGTGTAGTTTTTAAGAATAAAACATTAATATTGGTTTAATGAAGATAGCTACATCTTGAATTATTTAGTAAAATACTGTAACTTCTGATCTTGTGGCCTTAGGCAGTCTAGTCCACAGACATGAAGAAAGTTTGTTCTGGGAAAGGACTGTTATCGTCTTTGTTTCAAAGCTAAACTATAAACTAAGTTAATAAACAAGAATAGCTTGTAGATTAGACGCAAAATGGAGTCAGGTCAGATCATTTTCACTGTCTCAGTTATAATTTTGCAATGGCGGCTTCAAAACTTTAAATGATGACTATCGTAGTTTTCATAAATAATCCAGGTAAACGATTAAAATAATTAGATAAATGCAATTGGATAAATACTTGTAAATAACTTGTCAAAATTTAGAATCTAAAATTATATTAAACAACAGATATCTCATTATTTGGGTATTTTCCAATAACAATATATTGTAGGAAAACATTCTTTCTAAAGATTGTGTCTTTTTTAAAGGGTAACTAATTTTTGTCTAATTCAAAGCTTATTTAAAGATTATATACAAAACAAGGTAAAAGAAACCAGGGAATAAAAGAAATATAAAGAAAGCTATAAAAATAAATAGAGTTTTAAAGATTATTGGTGAAATAAAAATATTTTCAAAAATGTAAGCCTTTGGTCTAAATTATGCAGGTCAAATATTACGTTTGCGAAATGCTTTAGTCCATAAACTGCTTCTTTGACTTAAAAATTGTTCAATTTATTTTGGCGGGTTAAATTCTAGATAAGGCCTGGGGACATGTAAAATTAGCCATGCCCCCTAGCTGTGCAAAAAGGTATTAAAGAAAAGAGAATTTATATAAGAAAGGATCTTGTTCGTGCCACTGCACTCCAGCCTGGATGACAGAGCAAGACTCCGTCTCAAAAAAAAAAAAAAAGAAAAAAAAAGGATCTTGTATGGTACATTCTTGTCCTAAAGTAAAATAACTGCTTGTTTAAAGAGAGGGATGTTTAGGACAAGTCAGAAAGTCAAGACATGTCAGAGATTGTGTAAGTCATGAAAGTTTTTTGTTTTGTTTTGTTTTTGAGATGGAGTCTTGCTCTGTCACTCAGGCTGGAGTGCAATGGCACTATATCAGCTCACTGCAACCTCTGCCTCCCGGGTTCAAGTGATTCTCCTGCCCCAGCCTCCCGAGTAGCTGGGATTACAGGCACCTGCCATCATACCCAGATAATGTTTGTATTTTTATAGAGATGAGGTTTTACCATGTTGGCCAAGCTGGTATTGAACTCCTGACCTCAGGTGATCTGGCCACCTCAGCCTCCCAAAGTGCTGGGATTATAGGCATGAGCCACTGCACCTGGCCTGTGAAAGATTTATGAAAGGGAATTTATGCAAGAAATGTTGTACAATTTAAAGGTGATTAGGCCTCCTAAATGCTTTATAAAATGCTACTATGGCTCTTAGCTGTACAACTTGCCTGCTTTACACCTAGGTAAGGCCTGGGACACATGGAGTTAGATGCTGGAATAAGTCAGACCTTATCTGCACTTCTGTCTAGGTCCTAGGCTCCACACCTAGTACACAGTTAAAATCCCAGACTTACCAAGGTTTTCACCAAAAGTAAAGGTTGCTAAGAGTTAACGGTGTAACATGTATTTTAAGACTACTGAAGAAACAGTTTACATGCCAGGTGTGTAAGGAAAGTAAAATATACTTTTGGTAAAAGATTATAAGGATGCATGAGATTGTGGATTTCTGCCTAGATTAAAAGGTTAAAGGATTGTTTTAAATTGGATACAATAAAGATAAAGGTTTAAGCAAGTTGTGGAAGGTTAATTGTAGAGGAAATTCTGTGTGTAAAATATTGGCTAAAGTTAAAAGGGAATCATCCAGTTTTTTCTGTAAATCGAGCATTGAAATAAAAGCACAATGGGATTCTCTTAGAGCACTAACTTGCTCTTTAACAAAAATTGTAAAGGGTTATAAAAAGTCTATAAAAATCTTACCTTGTGGTGAAACATTAAAATTGGGTAAACATGTCTATAAGGATTTATTAAGAATTGGGTTTAACATCCATAGTACACTAATGTAAAGGTGAAGTTTGGCTTATTTGGTATGAAAATTATACAGGAAGCATTGTCAAATATGAAATGGTGTTTGGCTTTCTTTGGGTTATATTTGTGTAAATATGTTATTGGTATGTGTTCCAAAGTTATGGGAGACTCCTATAATTCTGATATATCTTAGTGTATGTTATCAGTAATAATTATAATTGTTATGTTAAATTATTGTGTGCCACAGAGGTAACAGATTTTCTTGTCAGTTGTGTCTCTTTTTTTTTTTCTTTTTTTTTTTTTTTGAGGCAGAGTCTCACTCTGTCACCCAGGCTGTAGTGCAGTGGTGAGATCTCGGCTCACTGAAACTTCTGCCGCCCAGGTTGAAGCAATTCTCCTGCTTCAGCCTCCTCAGTAGCTGGGACTACAGGCACATGCCACCACGCCCAGCTAATTTTTGTATTTTTAGTAGAGACAGGGTTTCACCATGTTGGCCAGGCTGGTCTCGAACTCCTGACCTCATGATCCACCCACCTCAGCCTCCCAAAGTGCTGGGATTACAGGCGTGAGCCACCGCGGCTGGCCGTCAATTGTGTCTTTAACTATGGCTACCCTAAACATTTTTGTTATCTGTAAGCAATTGTTGTCTTGTTTTCATCCTCTTTTGAAGGTGGTTTTATAATCAGCTATAAAGCTCTAACAAGGCTGAGCGCGGTAGCTCACGCCTGTAATCGCAGCACTTTGGGAGGCCAAGGAGCGTGGATCACCTGAGGTCAGAGTTCAAGACCAGCCTGGCCAACATGTTGAAACTCCGTCTCTACTAAAAATAACAAAAATTAGCCAGGCATGGTGGTACATGCCTGTAGTCCCAGCTACTCAGGAGGCTGAGGCAGGAGAATAGCTCAAACTCAGGAGGCAGAGGTTGCAGTGAGCTGAGATCACACCACTGCACTCCAGCCTGGGTGACAGAGTAAGACTCCATCTCAGAAAAAAAAAAAAAAAAAAAAAAAAAAAAAAGCTGTACTAGGTGCTCTTGATTGCAGATTTCTGATAACTTTTGAGATTGTGACATCAGAATAGAGGAAAACGTTCAGGACTCTTGAAGAGCTAAAATTTTCATTAATATCAAGCAGGATAGGAATTAACTGCATGAACTGAACTAAGAGGAGACTGGAGTGATTTTGTTGACATTTTGCTTAGAATATTGCTAATCTTTTGTTTTGCTTTTCAAAGTCGAAGAAACTTTTCTTTTGAGCTATTGACAGCTTTTAACAATTTAGTATACTCCCATGAACAAAATTTAGAGCATACTTTTTTCTCTCTACTTGATTTTCTCCAGAATTTGGAAACTGTCTGTGAGTATTCTTAAGTTATGGCAATAGAGTTATTCGCATAAGTGTAGTAAGAATCTGTTTTCTTTTGTAACAGGCCACAATTGGAAAAACGTTATTTTTACCAAGGCTTTGACTGGAATGATGCGCTTTCCTTTAAGGAATCAAACCTGACTTATGAACCCAATAAAGCCCTTGGGAAACTGCCCTCATATTTTGTGTACACAGTCCCTGTACAGGGTTTCTGACCTGTAGTAAGTAAAAAATGTCACTTTCTGACAGGGCAGGAACCCTAAGGTATCTTGGAACCTCAAGAGGAGAGGAATTCACCCAACTCATAGGTATTTGATGGTACAAATCCATGGCTGGGTTTGGCTTTAAAAAGGTCTTATGTCAGATTCCTTCTATGGAACAAAGTTCCATGAAAGCCAGTTCAAAAGGCCTATGTGAAAAATAATTATTCTTGCTGCACTTTATGCAAATAATCTGGCCAAGTATAATAAAGCTAACCAGTCCTATCATGATTTGTCTTTTAATAAAAATGGGAAACTGGAGAAAGAAAAATTGTTTCAAAACTATAGTACACCTGTTGTTAAATTCTAGTGTTGCCTGGTGTTTTTCAGTTTTTATTATTTTCTACAGTTTGGATTAAATTCTAATTTTTCTGACTACAAGTCTGCAGATAATGTTTTCAATTTTTTCCTTTTGCTTTTCCTTTGTCCCCATTTTTCCTAACTGAAAATCATTGAAACCTAAGCTGTGCTTTCTTAAAGCCCTGTGAACGGAAGACTAGACAACTTACATTTCAGAAGAAAACAGCAGCAACCTATTTATATGTATTGCTGTTGCATACTATTATGTTTCATCGGGCACTGCCTCTAATCCCCCCAAACAGAGAGCGCTACTGGGAACAAATCGACCTCTTCCACCCCAGTGCTGCGTTCAGTGCCCCATAACGATGACCCTCTCTCAGCAGGAAGTAGCCAGAAAGATTACAATGCCCCATCTCCCTACGATTCTCATGATAAATAAATATACAAGCATGATAGAAATCATGCACAAATTGACAGTGGGGATTGTAGCAGGCCAGGCTTCACTAATGCAGGCCTCCATCACAACTGTTTCAGTACTGACTGGGTAGTTAAGTTAAATATTAAAAGCCAGTGCCCTTATACAAAGGCTGTAATGTAACAAAAGCCCATCAAGAGTTTTGCTTAGGCCTTTCTTGGGCCTTAAAGCATGACAAAATAACGAAGGAATTCTTAACAGGACCCATTTAGGATTAAACAGGTTTTATTGGATGGCTGAAGAAATTTCCCAGGCCTCCACAAACAAGTTTATTGGAGGTCTGAAGGAACTCCCCAAACCTCTGTGATTTAGCAGGAGACAAGATAAGGGTAATCATCCCAGCATCTAGACCCATTTAGATTAAGTAAACTTACTGAAGCTCCAGAGGTAGGTTTTCCGGACTCAGACCTTAGTTATAGATTAAAAGAAGTTAATCACTTATGTCTTTAGACGAATGCATGCTTACACGTAGACATATAGCTTAGAAGGTATATAAGCTCTGAAAAACTTTGTAATTTTGAGTTGGTCTGGTGATAATTTCCAGGCCTTCTCCCTGTAACCGATGACAGAAATAAAAACTCTCTTTCTGCCCAGTTCATCGGCATCTCGTTATTGGGCCACAAGAAATAGCAGGCCAACCCTCAGTTTGGTCCAGGAACACTATAGTGTTGCTTTCACATACATTATCATTAAGAATGACACCAAACCAGGTGCTTATTTAAAGAAAGGAGGAGGCTGGGCATGGTGGCTCACGCCTGTAATCCCAGCACTTTGGGAGGCTGAGTCGAGCGGATCACTTGAGGTCAGGAGTTCAGCCCCAGCCTGGCCAACATGGTGAAACCCTGTCTCCACTAAAAATACAAAAAGTAGCCAGGCATGGTGGCGTGTGCCTGTAGTCCCAGCTACTCGGGAGGCTGAGGCAGGAGAATCGCTTGAACCCGGGAGGTGGAGGTCACAGTGAGCCGAGATCACGCCACTGCACTCCATACTGGGCAACAGACCGAGTGAGACTCTGTCTCAGAAAAATAGAATAAAAATAAAATAACGAAAGGAGGGGATGACCCCCTGTGTATAGAATGCTAAATACCACACAGCTACACACTCCCATTTGTTGCTTCTAGTTCTAGTCAAAGACTACTTGAAACTCCTAGAAAGCAATAATTTCCTTAGACAATCCACAATCCCTGGGGGCTTGGAATGTAAATGGATGAACAAATGCCTGAAGGTACCTGATAAACTCAATATTTCATAACCTCAACAGGTAGACATTATCTCCACAGTAAGTCCAGGGAAACTGGCATTCAGAAAAGTTAAATAATTTGATCACAGAGCTAGCTGGGTTTCAAGCCCATGTTTCCGTGATTCTAAGAAAACTTCAATGTATAGATTCTCTTCTCCCTCATTACCTTTTCCTTACCACATCCTCCCATCTCCCCAGCCTATATGTTAGGATCCCAGAAGAAAGCAGATAGTACATTAGATGATTGAGGTGATATTAATAAAGGGAGTATTTAGGAAGGTGTGGGTTTGAACAAAGCAACAAATCATGGGGCAACACCCTGGGACTGAATAAAAACAATGCTATTACCTAGGCTGAAGAGAAGGGAGCAGTTGTCAGAAACTAGACAGGGCCATCCAACACGAGCTGTGGCCTTTGGTGGAGGGATGCAGCCAACTTGCAGGGACCCAACAAGGAGGAACCAGGGGAAAAAATTTACTCTCCTACTCTTTGATCTCCTGCCAAACCCAAACAGAAGCCAGAGGACAAAAATCTCTGTTGGTGCATTGCAGCCAGGTAAGCCTCATGGGGCACAGAGCATAATACCCAGATGTAAAGGGGCAAGCAGGTGTTCCACATACCATCCATTCTCTGCTACTTTCAACTTGAGTGATCTTGCTAGGACTTTGGGAGGGGTGAATTGAAAGGTACAAATGTATGTGAAAGCTAGAGAGCTATTTCTAGTACAGAGGATTTGTATGGCTGCAGAAAGGAGACTTAAGGAGAAGTACATTAGACTGTTGGAGCTCCTCACCATGTTCTGGGTCTCTACCGGCATTTGAGGTAAATGAGGTAGAGCTTGGGATATGTCAGGCATAGGTGGATGAGTCCTGAACTTTCTGCCTCCTTCTATCCCAGGAGCCCTTGGATTCCTGCTTTAGTCTCCTCTGTCCTCAGCCATCAATGCTTTCTTTCCTTTCCATGGCTATTTCCTTTCCTTTTTCCAAAATTCTTACCAACCAGGAACAGAACCATCTTTAGTTTGAACCATATTGTTTCAAGAGCTAGAATAAAACTAGAGAATGGCTCATGTAGAGAATATCAGGGAGAACATCAGGACTAGGAAACTGAAATAACCTTTTGATTGTTTTCAGAAGATATGAATTCCCAGCAAGGAGCCAGAGAGGGTTATACGGAAGCAGAAGATGAATGTGATTTCTGAATGAGATTAAAACAAGAAAGGCTGGAATAAGAACAGGCATAAGAACCCTAGGACAGGAAGGAGAGCCGAGATGCCCAGGGCATGGTGACTGCAAACCTGATTCAGGAGTAAGCCTTGATTCACTCAGCCCTAAGAGATAGCTTATAACAAATGGTAACTAGAATGGTGAGAGCTGAAAAAATAAAAAAAGAAGGAAAAGGCGAGGCACAGTGGCACACGCCTGTAATCCCAGCACTTTGGGAGGCCAAGGCAGGCGTGTCGCTTGAGCTCAGGAGTTCAACACCAGCCCAGGCAATGTGGCAAAACCCCATCTCTACAAAAAAAAATAAAAAATATATATATACACACAAAAAATACAAAAAACTAGCTGGGTATGGTGGTGCACACCTGTAGTCCCAGCTACTTGGGAGGCTGAGGTGAGAGGATTGTTTGAGCCTGGGAGACGGAGGTTGCAATGAGCTGAGATTGCACCACTGCACTCCAGTCTGGGCAACAGAGTGAGGCTCTGTCTCCAAAAAAAAAAAATCAGAGGAAGGACGTGCAGGATGGGAAAAGGGATGAGGGAAAACCAATTGGAATAGTCAGGAGAGGATTTATGTAGAGCATTCTCAAGTCTCCCCAATCCCTGTCCTCTGTCCCTACCCCTCATTCTCCACTCCACACATGTACTTTGTATATACTTAAAGAGGAAGAATATAGAACAACGATACCTCCAACTGCCCTCCTAGAGCCAGCATTCCATTTCTGCCACCAGTACATTTTTCTCTAAAGTAACCCTTTGGAACTCATCTTTCCTTTGCTTTCAAGCTGAGGGTTTGATTTGAATATTGCAGTTGTAGGATGACAATGTGTAAAGAAAGAGAGATGGGGAATAGCATCAGAGAGAAACCAGAGTTTTGGGAGTAGTGTGGGAGGTCAGTCAGAGATCAACACACAAGGACAAGACACATCCAGGAACAAAAACCAAAGAGCTCCAGACAAACTCTTACAAGAGTTTGTGCCACTTCACCTCACCCTGAAGGACAATTTTAGAATGTCTTGCCACCCTCACTGCAAGAAACAGTCCCTTGCTCCTGCCTCTGGTCTGATAAGGTACAAGGAACAGCTGCCAGAGTGTGAGTGGGTTTGTATGTGTGAGTGTGACAACCAGCCAGACACCCTCACGTTCCCCCTGACTGACCTGAGCGGGGAGCCCATTGCCACTAGCAAGGGGGAAGCCAAAGAGGTGCAGAGAGGAATGACACCTGAAACCCCAGGCACCAGTGTGGGAATGCTTATAAAATGCTGGTTGTTGATTTTTAAAAATTTTAAATTGTGTTCTTTGTTACTGTCTTCACAGTTGTTGAATGTCAAGTACACAGGACATTCAACTTTTACTATGTATTTATCCAATTAGTGGGAAATTCTGATGTTAGTGAGGAGAGAGGGTACAAACAAATGACATTGCTCTGGGCACTATTTGCCCTCACCATACCCTGGCCTCTAGTCAGAACTGACTCTCACTTTCTAGTTAGTCCTAAAATTGCTCTAGAAAGGTGGTGTCTCCCAGCCAGGCACAGTGGCTCATGCCTGTAATCCCAGCACTTTGAGAGGCTGAGGCGGGCGGATCACTTGAACTCAGGAGTTTGAGACTAGCTTGGACAACATGGGGAAAACCTGTCTCTACCAAAAAAATAAATAAATACACACACACACACACATATATAGACACATATATTTACACTATATATACATATATACACATATATATACATAAATACACATCTATATATACACACACAAAAATATATATATTTATATATACACAAAAAGCTAGCTGGGCATGGTGGCGCACACCTGTGGTCCCAGCTACTCAGGAGGCTGAGATTGGAGAATTGCTTGAGCCCAGGAGGCAGATGTTGCACTGAGCAGAGATTGCACCACTGCACTCCAGCCTGGGTGACAGAGTGAGACCCTATCTGAAAAAAAACAAAGAGAAGAAAGAAGAAAAAGAAAAGAAAGAGATAAAGAGAGAAAGAAAGGAAGGAAGGAAGACAGAGAAAGAAAGAGAGAAGGAAAGAAAGAAGAAAAAGAAGGAAAGAAGAAAGAGAAAGAAAGAAAAAGAAAAGAAAGAAGAAAAAAAGAAAGAAGAAAGAAAGAAAGAAAGAAAGAAAGAAAGAAAGAAAGAAAGAAAGAAAGAAGGAAAGAAAGAAGAAAGAGAAGGAAAAAGAGGAAGGAAGGTGGTGTCTCCCACTCCAGTATTTTCCCTTACCATTCATATACTCTCTTATGGCTAACATCCATCCCTCCTACTGCAGGTTCAGTGTACCATCAGAGACTCACCCTTTAAAATCTCTTCGTGAAATCCAGAATTTTCAAGCTGAAACCATAAGGCTCTTTTCACTCTGTTCCGGTTTTACTCTCTTTCCCATTGAATCTTCTCTTAGCTGTCTTGGGATTTTGTCCCTAAAGTCTGGGAAGTACTCACGTTCCTTGACAATAAGGGGAAGAGAGAAACAGGGGTCCTAAACCTGAAGCAGAGACAAAAAGTAGGGAGTCTGTGGTTCTGCTTCTGTAAAATCACCTCTCCTCTCCTCTGAGAGGAGACCAGCTCTGATCTTGAAAATTTTGAAAATGGTCAAGATCAATGGCCAACCATGATATTAGGACCTCCTTCCTATAGAGCTACTACACAGAACCACAAAGCACAATGGAGCTGTAAGACCGAGGAAACACCAAGGGACCTGGGAACTGGGGAAAGTTATTAAGAACCATGTCAACCACAAGGGGGCACTGTGACCCCATGGGCTAAACTGGAATGTTTAGCTGATTGACATGGAAATGGGACATGGAATATGCTCTTGATTCTTGAGCTTTTCGTCGCTCTCCAACAGAGTAGAGAGGTCAGTCAAGGACAAAACCCCCACCCCACGACTAGCTCCCAGCAGAGGGCATCTTTCTCTCTACCAAACTCAGATTTCTTATGCAGAGACATCTATGGGAAAGACACACAGTCATCACCCATTTGACACACCCACCTACATGATAGATGTGTATGCACACACTCACCTATCTACACATACATGTAATGTGCTCCCATTTGTAGAGATTGCCCTGCTGACAGTGTTATCTATGTAGGCAGATATGCAGAAAAGACTTGCCTTCCCATCCATAATACACAACAGCAGCTATTGCCAGTAAAGATTGATGCTGGTTATAGGTTTTTGCCTTTTCCTTGTGTTTTTCCGAGAAGCTAGTTGGTCCCCACTGATTCCAATTATGCCGCTTCTTTTCTTCAGTGTGGTGCTTCGCACTCTGCTGCCTGCCCTGCGTGTGGTCACCCAACACCCTCAGCATCCAATAGCGAGCTCCATAACCCTGTTTGTTACCCAATACCTCCGCTTCCCCTTCTGACCCTGGCCTACCACATTTAAAATAGACCCAGTTCTATGAAGGACAGTGATGAAATGCTCAAGAATCAAGGGCATATTCCATATCCTATTTCCATGTCAATCAGTGTGTCAGCACCAGACATCAAGTGCATTAGTCCTCAGCTCAGTTTCATTGAGGAAAGGGTATAATTGCCTGTGGAGTTTCTGTAAAGCAATCTAGCAAAAGACCTTGTAATAGTCCATCACAGTAGTGTTGTCAATAATGCTACAAGGTGCCTCCTCATTTTTACTTCTTGTGCCTCAAGACCCTAAGAATCAGCCTGCAACAGCTGCAAAATAAGAATTCCTCTTCATTGTTCATAGTTGTGAAAAAGCTTCCTAATAAACCACAAACATAGACTTAATTAGCTCCCAGATCCCTTGGATTCCATGAGGGAAGAGGAATTCTCAAGATAAATCCTCCTTTTTGCTGCACCCCTCCTGAAAGAGTCTTCAGATCAGAATGAACTATGAGCAGCCCACCCCTTACAGTTAAGTTCATGCACCCTGGTCTACTGATTGCACTAAAACATCCAAAATGGAATCTAGGTGACCCCCTAGGGAGGATCCTACAGGAAGGTGGGTCTCAAGATATCCTTGGGCACTTCTGTCATCAGTCTTCTTCAATTTTTTTTTTTTTTTTTTTTGAGATGGAGTCTCACTCTGTCGCCCAGGCTGGAGTGCAGTGGTGTGACCGTGGCTCACTGCAACCTCCACCTCCTGGGCTCAAGTGATCCTCCCACCTCAGCCTCCCTAGTAGCTGGGACTACAGGTGTGCACCATCAAGCCCAGCTAATTTTTGTATTTTTTGCAGAGACGGGGTTTCACCATGTTCCCCAGGCTGGTCACAAACTTCTGAGCTCAAGTGGTCTGCCCACCTCAGCTTCTCAAGTGTGTTGGGATCACAGATGCGAGCCACCTTGCCCAGCCTCTTCAATTCTTTCTTAAAGGTGGTGATGTTGGTGGTATCTCTGAAATCCTGTGGCCTTTCTCAGTTACCCATAGTTGATAAGGAAGTCTCCTAAGATCTAAATGGTTCCTCTCTCCCAGGCTTAAAAATACTACAATATCAAGGCAACACCGTTGTATTGGAAAAGAGCCAGTTTCTATGTGGTCATATTTTGTGAAGTGCCTATGCCACAAAGGCCCTCTCCCAGGGTTTATATCACTTTGAGAAGAGAATATGAGACGTGGACAGGGAGAAGATAGGAAGAGGAGCATGATGCAGGCACACCTAGACAAAGAATAATAACGGTACTCAGATTCCTCTACAGTTTATTGTTATAGCAGAAGTTGTGGGAGACGGGAGGGCACCCTCCACACATACTACAGTGTGGTCAGAGCCCCAGGGTAGCCCTTTCCACCCTATGCCAAGCCCCAAGCAGCCCAGCCCAAGCTTAGCTCCCTCCCCAGTCCCACTCTAGATGCACACTGAGCTACCAAAGTTAGTGCAGCCAAACGGCCCCAGGCCCCTTCCTGTTGCCCCAGCACCAATCCTTCCCCACACTCGTTCACTGCCCGCCAACTCCCATTCCAACTTCCTTTTTACACTGGATGTTTCTATCACATCCTGAGGACCACTAACCCACCAGCAAGTCTCCCCCTGACACACATTCACGTAGGTCCATACCCTTCAGAGTCCTAAAGGGTTAATGAGAAGCCACCTCAGCTTTGGTGAATGGAGCCCCAGCCCCAAATCCCCTCCCCTTGCAAATATGGGACAAGTAGGGAGAGTCTGATGGAGGCACCAGGACAACTACAACAACCTCTTACCCCTCAGCTATAGACACCTAGATCAGGACAGAGGATGCATATGCCCTCTCCACCTTAACATCAAAATGGGGGAGGAGGAGAATTTAGGGGTCTGGGTCCCTAAGAGATATTAGGACATCTCTTCCAGGAGCTGGGGGGAATCACGGGTTAAAGGTCAAGGTTAGGGTAGCAATCAAAGATCAAGGTCATCTCCCCGCATGATCTGCCCTTTTTCCCTTGCTTACGGTGGCCCAATGCCCCTTCAGCACCTCCCAGGTTAGCTCTGGGGGAGGTGAGGGCTGGGTCCCACTCTAGGGCAACAAGGGCCATTCAACAGGAGACCTCCATGGTGTGCCCCGGGGGCCCCGAAGAAAGAGTTCCAGACTCGCTGCTCTGGGACAGGGTGCGAGAGCGGGACCGGTTGCCATCAACGGATGCTGCACTGGTCAGAGAGGCTGTACGAGACCGGGACAGGCGAGTCATGCAGGATGAGGCCACTGTGGAGACAGCACGATGCACAAGCAGTCAGAGAGGAAGTGGGGAAGGGGGGCTGGCGACTCAGGGTGTGGTCCTTGGATTATGGACTAGTTATAACTAAGCCAGGGGATCAACGAGCTCGATTGGGCAGATAGCGGTGAGTCCAGGCATTCACCTAAAACGGTTCCACCCCGTCAGTGCCTATCTCTCCTCTAGTGCAGCAAGCTCTTGTCCCGATACTCACTGTAGCCCATGCCTTGCAGGAAGTACTTGAAGGCCTCGGTCAGCTTGCCTGGCTGCGGAAGTAAGAAGAGGCGAGGGAGACGGTGAGATGAGGTTAGAGGAAGAGCTGGAGCCTGAGGCTGCGGCACTGTGGGGCCGGGTGTGTGGCAAAGGGCAGAGCCCAGTGCCACCGGTATCCTATGTCCCTTCCCCATCCCATGGACGGCAGCGGCACTCACCTGAGTCAGCTGGGGCTGACCTCCGGAGTCAGCCATCTGTTCAGGAGAGCACCACCCAGAAAAAGTGAAACACACATAAATGAGCCATGCAGAGAGGTGGAAAGGGTCTCTCTTCCCTAGCTTCTTCACTCTAGCCCCTTTGTTTTGTTCTTCGTTCACCCCATTTGCTCCCATGCCGGGCCCTGGAGGCTTAGCAGCTGCATGTAGAGAGGATATATGACTGTGGACGGGGGCCCAGGAACAGGTTACTGACCTTGAGGAACGAGGTCTGGGTGGGGTCCAGTTTTGAGTTACATTCCACCTGGAGTAAGCAGGAGGCTGAATGAATGAGGTCACGCCCACTGTGGCGCCTCCCCCGTAAGGGACCCAGGAACCCAGACCCCAGTCCCTTTTCTATCAGCTCCCTACCCAGTTCCTCCTTACCAGGAATCAAATTCTTAGTGCCCCAAAGTTGATCTCCCTGTGCCAAACAGGACATCCCCTTGGCAAGATACTCTTCTGACCACCACTTTAGGACCCCAACCCTCCTCCCTCACTCACCCCAAAATTCCCTACTAACCACTGCATCTTCATGAGGTGCTTGGTCTCCTACCACCAGCATCACAGGACACCTAAAGACACAGTGTTGGGGAGAAGGCAGTGAGCCCCTGGCACTCCCTCACTGGCCTCTGCCTAGGAGTGCAGCTGGAAAAATATCTGGCTCCAAAGAGGAAAGACACTTCTGTGTCTCCCTGCTGATGCCACCAAGAGGATTCAAAGGGGGAAGACCTAGAGGGAAGTGATTTACCAAATAGGATGGGGTGGGACATGACAAGGAAGTTCCCTGGCAAAAGATTCTCCTTCTTCTAAGGGACACAAGCTCCTAGGGAAGATCCAGGGAGACAGGCAATGCATTATCTCTTAAAGTCTTACCTGAGGGTGATATCACCTCCACGCTCAAAGTTCAGGTCTCGGCGGCTAGAAAGGGGTTAAAAGAGTAGGAATTTTAGGTGGGCAATGCTATCTAACCAGATATAAGCTATCTCTCCCATGATGGAACTATCTTTGTCTAAAAATTACGGTCAAATCTTGGTTATTAAAGGTGGAAACCAAAGGAGAAAGGGGCAGGCAGGCCCCAAGCACAGCCCCTATAGTCACTTGTGCCCTAGATCCCTGGTCAGAGGGCAACAAAAGGGGAGGAAGGACACAGGACACAAGATCATCTTACTTCTGGGAGTCCAATAATCCAAAGGAGGTAAACAAGAGAAGGGGGACAGCCCCTTGCAATCCTTCCCACTGACTCTGTCCTGAAGCTGCCCCCATTGCACACTAAATGCTGCATTCCTTGCACATTGCACACTACCCAGACTTCCCTCTCCTCCTCTGTGCCTCCCCCATGACGCCCAATTACTGCTTCTGCATTTCTCTCACATGCATACACACACAGCCCACCCACTTGTTGTAGCTGTTCCAGTACAATTCAATGTTATCCAGGTTGGGTGCATGTGTAATGATATTTCTGTACTTTTGTATCAACTCAGAATTTCCAGAGAGCTCTTCCTGAAGGAGAGAACAAGGAGAAAAATTAGGGATGGAAAGAGAAAACAACAATTACTGGAGGAAAAGAGGTAAGCCTTCTTCCTTCCCCAAATCCTGTCCCAGCTAAGGAAGTTAGCCCAAGCATTCAAGTTCCCTGCTGCTCCCGTCGACTCTTCTACATCTCCTACACCCACTTACCTGGCTGAAAAGATGTCCAAGGATCATCTCCGGAATGGAAGAGGTGAGGCCTGTTAGCTATGAGGAGAAGGCAGGTGAGAAAGTTCAGGGTATTGGCCAGGCACAGTGGCTCACGTCTGTAATCCCAGCACTTTGGGAGGCCGAGGCGGGTGGATCACGAGGTCAGGAGTTCAAGACCACCCTGGCCAAGATGGTGAAACCCCATCTCTACTAATAATACAAATATTAGCCAGGCGTGGTGGCGGGTGCCTGTAATCCCAGCTACTTGGGAGGCTGAGGCAGGAGAATCACTTGAACCCAGGAAGCAGAGGTTGCAGTGAGCCAAGATCAAGCCACTGCACTCCAGCCTTGGCAACAGAGTGAGACACCATCTCAAAAAAAAAAAAAAAAAGAAAAAGAAAAAGAAAGTTCAGGATATTATAAGAGACTCAGGCAAAGTGACAGCTTCACTTTCCTGCCCCTTTACTCCCTCCTTGAAGTTCAGAGTCCATCCAGTTAGGCTATCTACCAGAGCCTAACTGGATCCATACGAGGGGATCCCCAACCGTAGGTCTCAGCACACAGGCCCCTCCAAACCTTGTGGGCTGCCCAATCCATCCAACCCTTGGCATTGGGATCAATGTTGATGAGGACAAGACCTTCAACAGTGTCCGGGTGGTTAAGCTGAGGGACAGCAGAAGGAAGGAAATGAGAAACAGGGCATGGCCTTATCCCCTCCCCGCTAAGCTCGACCCACTCCTGGACTCCCACAGGGCCTGACTCCCCACCTAGTGCCCACTTCCTCCCCCAAACAGCACTAATAAACAGTATTCTCCTAATCAGTCTGGACCCTCCTTTCCCTCCTCTGGGCTTTTTATTTCTTACAGCATATCTCGCCAGGATGTAGGCTCCAGCTCCAACACCAACTCCAATTATTGTAGAGAAACTGTGAAAGGGAAAGAAATATACGCCTCATGGGATCTGCTGTCCAAAACCTGCCACAGCCCATCTCTTCAAACTCTTCACCCTCCCTCCTGAGTCCACGGGCACAAAGAAAGGCAGACACGGACCTTTCTTTGGAGGACGCGAAAAAGAAGGGCCCAAGAAGCCAAAGGTTGGCACGGGTAGTCAGGGTAGATACCTGAAGTCTATCCCCAGCTTTCTGCTGGAGAGCTAGTGTCTTAAAAACAAACACCCATCCACCAGCCAACCAACACACTGTTTTCCCATATAGATAGCTCTTTGTCCATTCTCAATTTTCAAGAGCCAGTTCAACTTGTTCTGCTTTAGTTCCTGGTTCCTCTAGAGGAACGGGAAGAATGGAACTTAAAGCAAATGTGAAAACAGACACAATTTTAGTGAACAATGGAGAGAATGAGGAAAAGAGTGGCAAAGTGGTGAACCAGAGCTGCTGAGCCCTGGTGCCTAGGAGAAGCTTAGCTAAGAACAGCACCCAGGGGCCAGCACCTCCCTCTGAATACCAAAGACACTTGGTCTGGTGTTCTCTTCCTTCCCCAACTCTCTCTCACCCGCAGAGCTCCCCATCCACCAGGTGTGGGCATGAAGGAGAGGGGAGTGGGAGAGAAAGAGACAGGTCTATCTGGTTCCTCAGGGATTATGTCACCCCCTTTCATTCCTCCCTGACTTTCTGATCAGAGAAGGCCCTCCTTAGCCTGAGGCAGGGCCAAGCATAGACCCTTTTCCTTCCCTCCACCCATTAGGGCTATTCTGTTGACTCTGGCCAATTTTCCAAACCCACCACCTTTTCTCAATAATCAAGGCGGGAGCATGAAGGAAGAAGATATATTGAGTTCAGAAGCTGAAACTGGCTCAGGAACCACGGTGAACCTGGAAGTTCTAAGGGTCTCCTTGTGCTGGAAAGAGAACTCTGGTTTGGAGGGGTTCCCAGGCCTCTCACTTTAGGTACTGCAGGACGCAAGGGATCATGTCTGCAAGCTGGTCCAGAGATGGGTACTGATATCTGGAAAAGAGAGGCATGTTAAGGAAGATACCAACCTGCCCTCACACCCCCCACCTCAGGATGTCCTACTCATTCTCTCCCAGAATAACCACTGCCCTCCCTTTCCTCCTCCCCAGTCGAACCTTTCCCGCACCTGTCCTGTTCCTCACAGTCTGGTGAAGCAGTAACGACCTAACTCTTACCCCAAAGGGAACACAGGGGCTCCCTCTTCCATTCCAGGGGCATCCACATGAACCCGCACAAAGTTCTGAATGATTTCCTGCATGTCCTCGAACTGAAACAGTGGCTGGAAGCAAGATTTATCTAAAGAGAACCCACATCACCTCAACAATAGAATCAGACAGGGACTCGTGTCCCCCAGTCAGAACTCACCCTTCCTTTCATGCCACAGTCAGACCAGGAGAGAACTTCTCCTTCCCACACTGACCCCTCCCCTCCCTCTGGGTTTCATTTCTACCCTTCCCCCACAGCCTCTTCCCAGACAGGAGTGGGAGATGAATGAAGGTCCTTACAGTTGAGTCCCACATCGTGGTAGGTAAGGATCGCTGGGCGTTTGGGTTTGGGGGTGCCATAGACAGTGAAAGTGACAGAGCCGTATGGTGTCTCCACAGAGTGAGTCTGCAGGAAAACAGGGCACCAAGAGCTAGGCTCAGAGGAGACGAGGCCAGAAAAGGAGCAACACCAAGGTCAGGGAGCTGGGAGTGGGTGGGCAAGAGGGAAAAGGGAACAAAGAATTAAAAACAGGATCAGCAAGAATTGAGGAAAACATGATACCGGAAGATGAGTTTGAGGATAAGAAAGAATAATGAAGATTAGAGAGAGAAGAGGAGGGGAAGGAAGGAGAGGGGAGAGATAGGGAAGGGAAAGGACTAGAATAGAAGGAAAGAAAGCAAAGAGAGAAGAGAGGGCCAAGCAGAGGCCATCCTTCTACTGGGGAAGAGGACAGCCCCTCCTCCCACCTTGGGACTGCCCCCACACTGTTACCTGTCCCTGGTCCAGGAGGATTCGGGCAGCTAACTCAGCCTCCTGGAGAGACACACACGGATTCACACAGAAACACATGACCATGTGGCGTCCCAGATGGAGAGACAAACAGACAAAGAGAGGCAAGTAAAGACAGACCAACAAATGACCAAAGACAGAAAGAGATTGACAAAGAGAGACACGGAAAGGATGAAGGTTAGTGTAGTGACGAGACAAGGGCCTGACTCCCAATTATAGTGTATGGGGAGAGAGACTAGGGTAGTGGTGAAGCAGTGGTGTGAGTTAGAATAAGATCAGTACGCTTGGGAAGTTAGAAGGCAAGGGGGATGCTTAGAGGTCTGGAATTTGGGCATGGGAGTCAAACGGTCTCTAATAACCTTGGCCGCCTCAGGCGTCTGTCCTGGCAACAGTGGCTTCTCCTCTGTGATCTGCACCTCCTGCAGCTCCGCCATGGTGGCCTGGCAGGATGAGGAAATGAGACTGGGAAGTTGTCTCTACATCCCCACATCGCCTCAAACACCAGGCTTCCTCTCTCAGCACAGGAAGATGCAGGGAACAGAGGGACCCAGGGGTTGAAGACTACTCTAGAACACACAGAGGGCCTTTCCTGCCCCCAGCTCCGTTTCCAGGCTGATCGGTGGAAGCTTTGGAAGAGGAATCAGGACAGCCCTTCTCTTGATACTCACCATCCCCACTGCCACCCTCAACACCACACCTCCAGACCCCTCCCTCCTCTGCCCTGGACCAAAATACCAGGGTGGGGCAGAAGTGTAGCTCAGATTTCTCGGGCTATATTTAGGGGCCACCCCACACTCTCAGGTAGGGAGTGAAACTTGTAGCTCAGTGACTGAGTATTCTAAAGGACAGGGTACCAAAAGACGGGACTGTGAGAGTTCACAATTGACCATGACCTTCAATTAAAGCCCCAAAGTCGGCAGCTCAAAGGGGGCTAAAAATGACCAAAGCAACATGACCAATGGGGGAGGTGGGGAAAACAACATAAAAGGGACATCTGTCCAACCAACCCAATGCCTCCCTTCCTCCCAAGACCCTTCCTCCCAACTCTGAATAAACTCCGCAAGTTCAACATTAGTGGGTGAGGAGCAGAGCACCTGGACAGACCTGCACAGGAAGGAGCCTGCAGCCTGCGGGGTGGGGTCACTTACTGGGCTCCTATTGGCTGGATGCAGTGGGATTAGGGGTCAGGGTTCTCACTCCTTCTGACTCTGGGGTCTGAGAAAACACAGCAACGAGGTGAATGACATGGGAGACAGACCTGGGGTCTTTCAGGGACGGAAAGCCTCAGCCAAGACCCAGACTCCCAGGGTCATCAACCTCCTCGGGTCACTAACCCTCCCCAGTGTCTGTCTACCCCTAAGTCCAGAGAACACGTCCTCTCTAGGCTCGAGCCGGAATCAATATAGGCTACAAGGGCATCAGTTCAGGCTGCGCGGAGGAGAGAAGGAAGTGCTGATGTGGAGGTAAGAGGGTGGCCCTGTCAGAACCTCCGGATTCGAATCCCGGCTCTGCCACTCCCAGTGTGACCTTGCCCCAGTTAGTTACTACATTTGGCCTCAATTTTCTATCTGCAGGGGGACTAAACGCGGGGGAATAGGGGATCCCCAAAATTTTTGACAGCTCTCCAGTAAGAGGAGGGTAGCAGAGCATGGCTGTTTCCCTCCACAATTTAAAAACAAACACAAAGATTGGTGCCGTCGCTTCTCTCCTCTACTCAGTCTCCGTGTAGGTCCCACGAGTGGAGAAAGGGAGAGGAGAGCGGTCCCACAATCTTCTCCCGTTCTCCCCCGACGGCCCGCGAAGGCAAGCGCCATCGGGAAGGGATGGGTAGGACAGAGGAGACCGGCCGGGCCCAGCACCCGGAACCCGTCCCTACGAGTCCCTACGCAGCCCGTCCGCGTGGAGACTGACACCCTTGCGTGGCCGGTGCCAAGCGCCCCGGACCTTGCACACAACCTCGCGCGCACCCCAAACACGCCCTGCAGCTCTTGGAGCCTCAGCCTTTGTGCGCAGCAACCGAGCGCCCGCTCCGTGCTGGCCCTTTCCCCCGAGCCTCCAGCTCCAGGGGACGCGGATCAATCACACCGCCCGCCGGCCCGGCTGGCGCCTTCCAGGCCCTACGGCCCCTCGCCTGCCCCTCCCCCTACCTGCTGCCGCCGCGGCCGCTTCCACCTTCACTTGCCTTTGACTCGGGCCCGCCCCGGCTCGGGCTTCCCGCAGACCCGCCCCCGGCCCGCCCCAGCCCGCCCACGGGCGCTAGGCTCCCCGCAGACCCGCCCCAGACCCCCAGTAAACACGCCCCCCCTTTCACCCCGCCCAGACTGCCGCTCAGGAAAGGGTTGTGCTGGGGCCGGGGGGCGAGGGGCGGGCGGCTGGACGCTTCCAGGCTCTGCTCGGCTCACCAAAACATTCCACCACCCCCTCCCCGCATTGGGGCGGTGTGGGGAGTGCGGGGATCCCTCAGCCCTGAGAGGGATCCCTCGGCTGCCCTCAGCACCGCCCCATCCACGACCTGGATCTGCAATTGCACTCTGGCTCCTTCCTTCGCCCCCAGACTCAGTGGTGGGAACCGGTAGTGGGGAGACGAACCCGGGATACTGACACCCCACGAGTTCGACTCCCCCCGCCCGAACACAGAGAACTAGATTAAGAAAGGAGGAGGTGGGCGGGACCGCCGCTGAGGAGGCGGGGGTCTCGCCGGCTGGCAGGGGCAGGTGTGCTGGCGCCGAAAGGGGGCACGGGGGAACGTCGAGGGCGCAGGAGTTCCGACTCCCTCGTGCCCAGAGTCCTGGTACCTCTCCTCTCTTTGCTGCGTCCCGACGCCTGCTCTCCGGCTGCTCCGGGAGAAGTTGGACAACAAGGCGGGGAGGTGGGGGCGGGGAATGCGGGGGGCCGCTATAAATAGAGGGCGATCGCGGGCAGGCGGGGGGTGGGGAGAGGATGGCCAACAGGGACTCTGGGGTCAATGCCTCAAGGGGCGCGGGGGAGGGGCCGGGGACCCCCAGAGGCTCTGACTCCTGGGTAAACAGGCGCAGGGGCGGAGTTAACCCTGCGGGGGTGGAGTAGGGGCTTGGGGAGGACGCAGTGTCCTGGGCTGGGACCCAAGAGACCCTGTGGCTTCGCCGCTAACCCCTCCCAGTCCGGCCCAGAATAGGAGACCAGCTCAGGCCCGCTGAATCGCAATGCCCGGGGGATGGTCTCAGGGTCTGCCGCGTCCCTCTCGGTGCCCGAGTGGGTTTGCCACTGTAGACTTTACACACACACGCACACGCACACACACACACACACCCTGGAATGAGCTCTCCTTGTGCCCCTCGGAGGAAGGCTCCCTGGAATGAGTTAGTTGATTAAAAATGTGGCTTAAGGGAATTCGAAGTTGTTTAGGCAAAAGGAAACCTGACTGAATTTCTCCCCACCTGCCCCCCTTGTAGCTCCCCCAATCCCAGGATCATATCCACCCCAACCCCCTTCAGACTGGTTCCTGAGTTGCCATTTCGGGGGCTGGGCGCCAGGCCAGTCAGGAACAATGGCCAATGGAACTTGAGCTGCCAACTGCAACACCAGCACCGACTGCCCCCCCAAGACCCCCAAGTTTCCCTGCCCCCTCCTGCCTGGGAACCACCCTCCCACCACCACCCTCACCACCCGCAATACCCCTCCCATCCAAGGAACATCAATGCCCCTTTCATCCCCACTTGGCAGGGTCTACTGGAAAGAAGGAGAGGCCAAGAGGGAGGAGGTGACCCACAGTAGGAAAACTGGTCGGGCTAAAACCCAGCCTTCAACAACCCCAAATCTAAGGAGCTCCCCCTACATCCCCCAATTTGGAGCACCCAACTTTTCTTCTGTTCCTTTCTCCCACTCCCTTTATAACTTTTTCCCCAGAAACTGGCACAGAAGCTGGGCACCCTGGCTCCTCTCCTAGTCCCCTCTTCCCTCTGGATGCCAGTTTAACACTCTCCTGGACAAGGAAAAGCCTGCTGGAATAAGGGTCACAGCCAAAGGTGCGCAAGACAGGAGAGATCTCATCAGCACCAGAGGAACCTGGGGAGAGGGAGAGCCTCGAGTGAGAACTTTTGCCTGCAGGCTTTTCTTTGTCAAAAGTCGTCTTACTTGGAGTGGGGGAGGGAAGGACCTGAAGGTTCCAGCATCTAAATTCGTCTCTGGGTCAGGATGACTCAGGGGGAACCTGATAAGGGGCCTACGCAGGGGCGCAGGGCAGGCAGGAGATGGGAAATTTCCACTGACATCCATTGGCTTCCTAGACCTTGGGGTCCCACCCAGCCTGCTGCAGGCAGAAGTAAGGCTGGTTCTCCCCTAAGATATGGTTCTTCCATGTCAGGGCAGCTCCCAGCCCAACCAGGGTGTAAGTGTTGCAAGGACAATCTCTGTCTAAACTCTTTCCCTTTGGCCAGAGCAGCTTCACACTATACCTTCAAGTAAGCAACAGTTTTAAGTATCTGTTATGTGCAAGCCACTGTGTAGATGAAATTCAAAGTGTGCATCTGGTCACACCCTCTCTAGACATTTGTGATGAGAAATGACATTTTGACATTTGTCAAGAGAAGGTACAAACACAGGACAAGTTATATATAAGATCAATCATTTGGACAGTAAGTCCTATAGCAGTAGTTTCCCACCCTTCTCAAGTGGGAGATTAGAGATTTCCAACCCCACATAATAGGTATAGTATCCCCTGATGGAGAAAATGCAAACTATGAATTCATCAATACTTTGAAGTAAGTTTCTGTCACAACATCTGTAAATGCGGTAATACCTACACATGCAAGGCATATTATTTACTCAGTTCACACTCACTCTTTATACATACAGATTCTAGGGCCCTTTGCAAGATTTCAGAAATCCTCACGCCAGGAGGCTGTGGCCCACAGTCTAGAAATCATTATCTTACTATAATTCAGAGAAGGAAAAGGGCTTTGTTCCTAGGATGAACCACCAAATGAGAAGTGCAACCATGGAATACTTGAGTGGGAGTGAGGGGCATTCTATCCAGGCACAGAGAGAGCATGAAGGACAGTTTGGAGGCAGAAACATTCAGGTTACTTTGGAGAACTGAATAGTAGCTTCCCATGTATTATCCCCTAATACCGTAAGGTTAGTGTTATCGTCCTCACTGTACAGATGAGAAAATTGAAACTCAGAAATGTTTAGTGAGTTGCCCAAGTCCACTCAGCTAGTAAATGACATATCTAGGATTCATTTCCCCACCCCGGTCCATTCCACTCCAGGGACTATGCTCCTTCCACTCCCAAGTAGCCTGTCAAGTGTATAGCAATTAGGCCATATGACCCCAGCTGCAGAATAATCTGGTTCTTAGGTTTTTTGTTTCTTGGGGTTCTTTTTGTTTTGTTTTGTTTTGTTTTGTTTTTGAGATGGGGTCTCTCTGTCAGCCAGGTGGGAGTGCGCTGACACAATCCTAGTTCACTGCAGCCCCAAACTCCCGGGCTCAAGCAATCCTCCCACTTCAGCCTCCTCAGTAGCTGGGACTACAGGTGCATGCCACCACTCCCAACTAATTTTTTTATTATTATTTATTTATCTAGAGACAAGGTCTCACTTTGTTGGCCTCCCAAAGTGCTGGAATTATAGGCATGAGCCACTGTGCCCTGCCCAAGAATAATGTTGATGAGAGGTGGGTGATGTTTGGTAGGGTAGATTGGGGCCTAGTTAGTTGTATAGGTCCTTGAATGCTAAGCAAAAAGATTTAGCAATGAGAAGCTATAGTATATCTTGAGCCACAGAATATTCTTGAGCAGGAGTAATAAAAAATACTGTTTTGTGAAAATTAATCTGATGGGGAGGAGGTAATAGAGATGGATTATGGGTGGGTGGGAGTGAAGAATTAGATTTAGAAAAGAGATCATTTAGAAACCAGAGTAGTCATCCAACTATGAGATGATAAGAACTTGAATAAGGGTGGAAGCAATAGGAATGGAAAGAAAGGCATAGATTTGTAAGACAAAGAAAAAAAATAGAAAGTGGTGGCATTATTAGATGGGAAAAGGAGGAAAGTCACCAGTCTCGTTGCTCTGTTTTAGGATCCGTGAGGTTCATCTATCTGTAGTGCTTCTGGCCAGAGAAAAGGCCGAAGAGAGAAAACCCTGAGGAACATCTTTGACCTGCATAGAAACTTATCTGAAGATTTTCAGAATCTGAGCCTCACCCTCAGTCTATCCCAGTTTTATCCTGACCTGTCCACATCTGTTATACTCCAAGGCTTGCTGGGCCCAACACTGGAAGCTATTTAATGTTTCTATTGCGACTGGCCTTTTAAAGCCAGTGGGATTCTCCATGCTACACTTGAGCCTGGAGACTAGAAAACATGACAGCCTGTTTTCATTAATCCGTTTTCATTAACTGCTGTGGTCTGAATGTTTATGTTGTCCACAGATTCATATATTAAAATCCTAACTCCCGGCTGGACGCAGTGGGTCACACCTGTAATCCCAGCACTTTGGGAGGCTGAGGCAGGTGGATCACTTGAGGTCAGGAGTTCGAAACCAGCCTGGCCAACATGGCAAAACCCCGTCTCTACTAAAAATGCAAAAATTAGCCAGGCATAGTGGCTGGGCTAATCCCAGCTACTGGGGAGGCTGAGGCATGAGAGTCGCTTGAATCCTGGGACTGGAGGTTGCAGTGCCCCAGGATCATGCCACTGCATTTCAGCCTGGGCAACAGACAGCGAGACTCCATCTCAAAATAAATACGCAAATAAATAAAATAAAATCCTAACTCCCAAAGTCATGGTATTAGGAGATGGGGCATTTTGGGGGGTGATTAAGTTTTATGAGGGCAGAGCCTTTCTGAATGGGATTCATACCCTTATAAATAGGCCCAAGGGAACTCATTCACCCCTTCTACCATGTGAGGACACAGCAAGAAGGTGCCATCTATGGACCGGAAAGCAGCCCTCACCAAACACTGAATCTGCCAGCACCTTGATCTTAGACTTCTCAGCCTTCAGAGCTCTGAGAAATAAATGTCTGTTGTTTATAAGCCACCCAGTTTGATATTTTGTTCTAGCAGCCCAAACAGACTACAACACCTTCCCTGGGCTCGCCTCAGCTTCTGTTGTGGGGCAGAGCATAAGGCAATTTGACTAGGACCCAGAGGATGGGTAAGCTTGGCTGAAATGATGGAAATGTGATCATCTGAAAAGGTCAGAAAGTTGGCAGTTTGCTCAATTCGGCATGCAAGGTAGGGAGACCAAAAGCCCCCTCCTTTGAAGGCAATGGCTGTAGCTGGGGCCAGAAGTGATGTCACATAACCACTGCTGAGGTCATAGAATCTTCCCTCTCCTCCCTCTGTCTCCTCATTGCCACAGCCAACCGGCTCCCACATATCTGCACACACTTAAATACAAAGGCCGGGAAGGGTCAGACCACCATCCGGGTACTCTAAGGTACATAAAAGAGGTAGGGGAAAGAGAGGATCATTCAGTAGGTAGGATCCACACTGGTATCTCCAATGCTGGGAATGGGAGACTCATGCTGTAGTTGCGTAGGTGCAATGGGAGCTGGGAGGGAGAAAGGAGAGAGCAACAGGGAAGAGGGGAGCTGTTCCTGTTGCTGACTGATTTTACCATAACACTCATCCTCATTACTCCACAGTCCTCCCTCCCCCTTCTCCTTCACCCCCAAGTGTCTCCCACGACTGCCCTCCCCGACCTCTAGCTGACCATGGCATCAGAGGCAGAAAAAACATTCCATCGGTTTGCTGCGTTTGGAGAATCATCAAGCAGTGGCACTGAAATGAACAACAAGAACTTCTCCAAGCTGTGCAAAGACTGTGGCATCATGGATGGCAAGACAGTCACCTCCACGGACGTGGACATCGTGTTCAGCAAAGTCAAGTGAGGAGCCAAAAATATGGAGGTGGGGGTGAGAAGAACCTGCGAGGTAGTTGGCCACGGAAGGGTTCACGTGGTGGAACATTTGCAGTGGGCCTACCAAGCACCACAGGGTACCTGGCGCTGTGCTATCCTTTGTCTTCGAGACACTCACTGATTGATAGGACAAAAGAGGCCAAATCTGAGTGAGGCAAGAGTTGGACCTTGGAAGGTAATGCATTCATGCTCCAAAGTTTCTGGATTTCTGTCTAACTGACCAGGGCCAAGAACGCCCGAACCATCACGTTTCAACAGTTCAAAGAGGCAGTGAAGGAACTGGGCCAGAAGCGCTTCAAAGGGAAGAGTCCAGATGAAGTCCTGGAGAACATTTATGGACTCATGGAGGGCAAAGACCCAGCCACCACTGGCGCTACTGTGAGTGACAGCCTTCATCCCCTTGACCCTACTTCCCTAAATCCCCATTGTTCCAGTCTACCCTCCCTAACCCTGCCAACTGTGTGACTGTAGAGACAGGGCCGAAACAGACTTTAGAGATCATCTAGACATTCCAGAAGTCAGGAAAATGTGGCCCAGAGAAGGGAAGTGACTTGCCCAAGGTCCATGGCTATTTTAATAGTAGATTTAGACTAATTTCCAAGTGTCTAGTATCTGAGCCAGGCAATTAGGGCTTGGTAGCTTTTGGAGGACATTAGTGTAGAGAATTTGGTACCTGATGCCCACTCCTCTTCCAATTCTTATTTAGGGTTTAATCTCAGGCCTCCTGCCTCTCACCTACTCCCTTTTTTAATTGTCCTGTCTGAACTAAAAGCTCTTTCTACAGTGGATATTGAGTCGGGGAGTGGGAGTGAAGTCCTCAGGCAGCAGCCTAGTCAGAATAACTCCTCTGGAAACAAAAAACCTACCCTCCCTCTGCACACGCCACACTCATTCCCACACCACACTCCTCCTCCCCCATGAGTGAACGGCTCTTACCAGAGTACCTGCCCACAGCTGTATCTGGGCCCTAAGAAAGCAGCACCCCATGCCAGTGGCAGAGCAAGAGCTCCAAGCACTTGTTCTAAGTATCTCGGGCCATCTTTGGGGAAGGGATATGACAGCGTAAGGAAAGGAAGAGAGCTCAAATCCATCCCTGGCTTGCAGAAAGCAACAACAGTGGGTGCAGTGGACCGTTTGACAGACACCAGCAAGTACACCGGCACCCACAAGGAGCGCTTTGATGAGAGTGGCAAGGGCAAGGGCATTGCGGGACGGGAAGAGATGACTGACAACACAGGCTATGTGAGTGGTTACAAGGGTTCTGGCACCTACGATAAGAAGACCAAGTAGAGAGGAGCTTCATCTCAGCCTGCTAGCCCCCTGACCCTGCATGTTTAACACCAGGGAGCTTGGAAAACAATAAACATCTGTGTGTGCAGCAGCCAAAATCTCTGTCTGTGAGGGACAGATGAGCCTACTAGTGTAGAGAGAGGGAGAAGAGGCAGCACAGGAGGGTGGGTTCTCCACCACACACCCTTCGCTCTGCTTAGCCTTATGCCTACCAGCCATCAGTTAGCATTCCTCCTCAACAGCTGCTTCCAAGAACAGGATGGAAGAATATATTTGGAGTAAAGAGATGAACCAGATGTGGAGGTAAAAGTATCTACTACTTGTGTTCACACATTACTGATATCCACCTCTCCACCCCCACCCCTCAAAAGGGTGTAGCAATTCCTCACGTGATGGACTATGACTATATCACATATTAGATCCTTCCCTGTCCCTCCACCTTCCTCATCTGTTGCAATTCAGGTTTTTTGGGTGGAGGAGTAGAAGCCAGCTAAGGTTGCCTGACTTCTATTACAAATTTGTTCCAGAGCTGGGGTAAGGGGAGAGTCTATTTTCAACACCCAGC
This sequence comes from Homo sapiens, assembly GCF_000001405.40. Taxonomy (NCBI): domain Eukaryota; kingdom Metazoa; phylum Chordata; class Mammalia; order Primates; family Hominidae; genus Homo; species Homo sapiens. The sequence goes on from NC_000014.9 coordinate 21,032,643, forward strand.
CCAGAACTAAGTTTTACCCCACATCACCTCCATCATGGGGCACATGGGACAGAAGAGCTTACTGACTGCTAAGGGTAGCTCAGGAAGATGGCCAGATGAGGCAGGCTGCCAGGATTCCAAGAGCAGGAGTTCTGGTGCACTGAAGAAAAAGCAATTAAATCACAACAGAGTCAGATGTGTGTTATTAACTTTTTATTTTGAATTGATTATGGGTTGACAGGAAGTTACAAAAAATGGTACAGAGGGGGCTCGTGTGCCCTTCACCCAGTTTCCCCCAATGGTTACATCTTACATACTCAGATGTGGTTTTAGAAATTTATGTTCGATTAGAGCCGGGCCTGCCTCATTCGCTGCCTGGTCAGGGGCAGACTCTGGAGTCTGGGGGATTTGGGAGGAGCTTCTGGAAGAGAAGGGAAGCAGGAACCTCTGGGGAATGGGTGAGAGAAGATACCTTGAAATGCCAGTGAGCCAAGGTAAGAAGACTGGAAGAAAAAGAGGTTGGAAAAAGGAAGGCAGGGTGACTACGGTTGTTGGGAGTGTGGGGGAGACAGTCCTAGGCTCCATGGTAAGAGGAAGCAGGAGAGGACAGTTATATGAAGGGAGAAACCATGATTTCACAGAGAGAAGCAGGCTGGAAACTGGGGGTTGTGGGGAAGTGAGGCTAACATGAGTCTGAGGGCCTCAGGGAGGTTCCTATAGCTAGCCATATCCCCTGAGTAGGTGGGTGAGTGGAGGGAATTATAAGGGAACTGGGGGAGGCTGACATGAGAAGGCTGGTGGGGATGGGGAGGTGAGACTCGGAGCTGGTGCCTGTTGCCATGGTGTGAGCTGAGGCCCTGGGCCTCCATCCAGGACTTAGGATCTGGCCCAGTGGGTGGACAGTCACTGCCAACTGGACACAGTCAACTTCTTGGGTGGGTTTTACTGTCTCTGGGAGAGGAAGGATGATGAGGAGGTGGGGGCGAAGAGGGGGTAAACAAGCTGGAAAGAACCTAGAAGATAGCACCACTTTGCATGGTGATCAAAGCCCTGGACATTTTCGCACCCACCTGGTCTCTTGGGAGGGGACCCTGCCTGCCTCGTAAGTCAGGAAGGAAGTCTTGTTACAGGGATCAGAGTGTTGGAAATGGAGACAGCTGGCCTGTGGTGGTAGAGGTTGGGGAGTGGCTCAGGAATTAAATTCCCGAATAGAGACCAGCGATACCTATTGGATCAGCTTCATACTTGCGGGAGCAGAGTAGGTAGAGCTTCTGGTTGGTTAGGGTGCTATTGTAGTAGCAGCTAGTGGGTGGCTGTTGGTGGCTCAGGGAGCAGACCGTGATGGGGAGGGAATCCTGGGTGAGTGTGCAGTATTCATTGTAATTCTCACAGAAGCTGTCACTATACTTGCAGAACTTCTGGATGGCCTTCCAAGGGGCATGTATCACATAATGGATCTTTGGGCAATCTGAATTTTGCATCTTGCCTCGCATATAGGACATCAGACCATTACAATAGCCCCGGAAACCCTTTGGGTAGTTAACCCTGGGATAGTCAATGCTTAAGGTATAGAAGTTCCTGCTGCCAATCTGCATCTTGATGTCCATGACCAGAGTTGGCCCCAGAACAAGCTGGAGGAAAAGGAGCCGGGTCACAGCTGGTGCCATTCCTCCTGCTGGTAGAGTTAAGGTGGTTGGGGGCAGCAGTGGGCCTGAAGTGGCTGTCTGCCACATCCCAGAGCCTCCAGCATTCCCAACCCAACAGTACTTTAGAGATCATCTCACCCATAACCAAGTTCTCATGACCCAGAAAGAGGAGATGCTTGCCCAAGGCCACCCAGACAACCAGCCACCTTCAGCCAGCCCTGCTCCCCTGGTCCACCACAGAATCTCAGCCTCTGCAGAGTCCGTGAGCTACATTTGCAGAATAAGAGCTCTAACTGGTCCTTGGGTGAGAGACTCTTCCCAAGAGTCCTTGGGCCCCTGGCACTCCTGCTAGTAAAAAATGCAGAGAAGAAAGAAGGAGCAGGCTGACCTGACAATTCTCTGGCAGCTGGGAGGAAGGACAGGAGCTGAAGATAGCTGGGTAGGGACGTGTATTCTTCTTGCCAAGGCCAAGACAGTCAAGAGATGAGGAGAGGCTAGAAAGGTTTCTAGGTAAAAATCAGTCTGGGAGGAGGGAATGTCCCCGAGTTTGATGAGCCCCTGTGCTAAGAGGGTTGGATGGGTGGGAGGAAAGAGGCATTACTATCTGGTCTCCTCCTCTACAGTGTCATTGGAACACTTACTTCCAATCTCCTTGCCAAAAGTTCCTAAGTGCCTGGGCTTTCTTTGATGTTTTCTCTGTTCCATAGCCTGTGCTCTCGTGGCAAGGTGAGTAGGAAAGCACTGTTATGTTTCTGAGGAACAAAGTGCTTCTTATTCCTGACCCTCAGAGAACAGAGCATTCGCCACTTTGTCATCCCACTCACGGGAGCCCAGGAGGGCATGTACTCAGGGGCCTCCCACCAAAGTGCTGGGCTGAGAATCAAAGACCTCCATGTGGACTCCCCACGGTCCCTATCAGCCTTACTCCTGTCACACCCACAGCCTTCACCTGTGACCTCAGGCCCTGTCAGAGTTTGAGCACTACTGGAAATCTCTGCATGCTGACTCTGAAGCCTCAAACTTGGCAGTTTGGATTTGAAAGCATAACCTGAACATGAAAAGCTGTGGATGCCAGAGCCTGGCATGATCCGTTTCGTACTGTTGGTTGATCTCTGAGTGGTTTGCCATGCTGGGGAAAGGGCCACGCTCCTATCTTTTTCATCAACATCTTCCCTTTCATCAGAATCAAAGAGCCAGCTCCCTGGAAACTGCTAGCTCTTGCCCTTGACTTCCACAGGTCACTCAGCCTTGTTAGTCTGCAAGGTGTCTTCCAGATTTGGGGCCTCCTCTTAGGAGAGCCTTTTTACCTTTGCTGGGCAGCAGAAAAGGGGAGTCAGAACACAGAAAGCTGAGTGCTCCAACACCCTCAGTATAGCTCAGGAGGAGGGAGTAAGGCCGCAGAGAGAAAGATTGGTGTTCCTCATGTAGAGCCCCCTAAACTGGCACTTTCTGACAGCACAAACCACAGTCCAAAATGGAATCCATCCTCCCCATAACTTGTTTCTCTTCCTGTTTTGTCAACTCAGTTTCCCTGGTTACCTATGCAAGAAACCTGAAAGTGATCCTAGACCCCTCCACCTCCCCAATCCCAGCTACGGGGAGGCGGTCCTGCATGGTGGTTAAGATCAAGGCTTTTGAGTGAAACAGACCAGGAATTGAATCCTGCCTCTGCAGCTTACAAACTGCACACCATCTATCTGTTTACGAAACCACTGAAAGCTTCCTTGTTTCATCTGTTCATGAGGATAGTATTTTTTACCTCACGGCAGTATGAGGATCCATTAAGATGTATATCAAGAGTTTTTAGACCAGTGCCCGGCACATGGTGAGTCCTCAGTATGAGCCTGAGTCCATCAGTCACACAGCCCTGACAATCTTAAACTTTTCCCAAGCCCATCTCTTCCATTCTTATTTCTTCCTCAGTGGATGCTCTCGTCTCGCCTGGACAGCACACACACTCCAACTCCAGTAAGACTCAACTCAAATATATCTCTTATACAACTTCAAGAGAAAAAGTGTGATCCCTTCTTTCGTCTAAAAGTCTGCAATAGCTTGTTTCTCATAGGGTAGGGGTGCCCAGTCTTTTGGCTTCCCTGGGCCACATTGGAAGAAGAATTGTCTTGGGCCGCACATAAAATACACTATCACTAACGATAGCTGATGAGCTTAAAACATGCAAAAAAATTCATAATGTTTTAAGAAAGTTTACGAATTTGTGTTGGGCTGCATTCAAAGCCATCCTGGGCCACATGTGACCCGCGGGCCATGGGTTGGACAAGCTTGTCGTAGGGTATAGTCCAAACTACATCTCACAGGACATAAGACTTCCCATGATCTTGCACCTGCCCATGTGTACAACTGCATCTGCATCCCTGCCTGCTTCCCACCTTGTCCCCCACCTCCTCTATGCCCTATCTGCTGCTGTCTCCTCTACCTGGAACCCTGCTGCTGCACCGTTCCTCGCCCCCATCTATTCCATGGTGCTAGCTCATAGAAAGACTCAACCCAGAGGTCCCACTTAGAAAGCCTCTGCTGGGAAGACCTCGCCAAGGAAGTGGGCACCGTCAAGCAAGTGAGGATAGAGCCCACATGGGCAGGTGGCTCATCTGTATTCTTCAGGCTGCTCAACAAGACAACACTGAGCGGGTGCCAATGCAGGGTGTCGCCTGAGCCTGGCTGACTCAGGCCTTTGCTTTGAGGAAGCCAACCACATTGTGGTCCCTGCCTTGAATCATGCCACCTCTTCCCTGGTCCCTCAAGGCTGCAGCTTCCCTGAGAATAGAAAGGGACTTTTTATACCTTTTGTTCTTCCTCTTCCTTCATTCCCCAGCCACCCATCACCGCTCTTCGCTCCCCCCACCCAACACCACTCACTTCTGCCGCACAATTACAGAAACTGAACAGCACATTATAGAGGAAAGCATTCAGGACTTAAATGATTTAATGATGATGAGCCTTCGGCTTCCCAACTGCAATCCTGGTGATCTGTTCCCTAAAATCCTGTCCTAGAGGTGCTGATGCATAAGATTACTTCATCCATTCTGACAACCTCATCATGGTGTCATGTGCTCCGTAAGCCTGAGATTAGTGGGATTGTTACCCCATTACACCGGGTTTTACATACACAAGCATTTCCCTAGGGATGAAAAACTAAGTTCTAGAGTGACAGTGGCTTGCTCAAGGTCATATGTCTAATTCAGTAGTTCCAGGGACAATTGGATAATGTCTGGAGACATTTTTGGTTGTCACAACCAGGAGTTGCTACTGGCCTGTGGCCAGGGATATTGCTGAACATCCCACATTTCACAGGACAGCTCCCATAACAAAGAATTATCCAGACCAAGATGTAAATAACACTGAGGTTGTGAAGCCCTGGTCTAAATAATTAGCTAATCAAATTTCTTAACCAAAGCAGACTTACTTGTATCTTATGTATTAAAAAAATGATAAACATCTGGGACATCAAAATATTTTTGTTAAACAAATGTTGATTGTAATGGTGCTGATTCTACCAGAAAAATGTGTATTGATAGTTCACCATTGAAACAATAACTGAGTTGTTTTTCCTGTAAAGATGACCCTCTGCATGTAATCATTTACACATTCTCTCCCTTCCCTCCCCAATGGTAAGCATTTATAGAACAACTGGCTAGGGTGGCAGGTGCAAGGGTGACTCCCTATGACTGAGGAGAACCCCAAAATTTTGCTCTGAGTGGGCTCACCATGATCTCATTGGCATTATCTTTTGCCCTGTCCAATTCAAGTTGCTCAAACAATATACTGTGTCATGGACAGTTCCTGGGCTGTCCTTGAACCTGAAGGATTGCCTCAGCCATCTCAACCTTCTTCTCATAGCATCACCTCAAACCCAGGGCTGAAGTCTAGAAGCCGCATTGTCACTTCCTCATCTGTTAACCATCTCTGTGGGCTGGAGGCAATCCCACCTCAGACTGGGATCATTCAGGAGCAGACGGAATGCCTTCTAAAAGTTGAATCAGTTAGGGTCACTTATATGCAAGGCATTATGCTATATACTGTGAAATGTGCAAAAGAAATGTAACGGGTGGTCCTCATCTTGTGGGAATTGACAGTCTAAGAGAAAAATAATACATACACATGAAGAAATAACCAGTGATTCAAGGCAGAAAATTATACATTCTGAAGACAGTAAATGCTGTAGGAATTTAGAGGTGAGAAAGATGTCTCTGAATTGGGAGGGTCAGAGAAAGTTTTCCTGAAGGGTCACCCTGGCTTGGAAATGGATCTCATGGTGAAGTTAGAAGTTCAGTGGAGATAAAGAGGATTATGAAAGACATGCTTGAAAAATGGGGGGAAACCGGTCTGGCTGGGGTTGAGGCACTCAGTGGGAGAAAAATCAGAGATAAAGTTAGAAAGACAGGTTTGCCCGATTGTGACAGACCCTGATTACCAGGCTAAGGAAATGATACTTTGCTCTGTAGATAAATGGGGAGCTGGGAGGGCTTGTGAGACAAGGCCCCAGTGAACCCCCAAATCAGTTTCCTCTTTCCTCCATCCTGGCTTGTCTAAACGCATTGGTCTGGGAGCCAAGGATTCCAAATTTCTGTCAGTGCTGCCTCCTCCTGACCCACAGCTGTTCCAGGAAAGGTCATGGGAATTCAAGGACCTGAAGAAAGTCCCACATCTGACCTCAACTTGCTGTATGTTTCACTTTCTCAGTCTACAAAAATGAGCCCATTACCTTTATTTATCAAAGGACCAACAAAATTAGGATAACAGAACTTGGATCTGCTTTTGCTTGGAAGGGAACTCTCACGGGCTTTCCATTGGTATCCAGAGGCTGTGTGGAACTCCGGAAGGCAGAGAGGCTTGGCTCTGAAGGGTAGGCACCAATCCAGGCCCGGCCCTCCTCTCTCCCTTCCCCCTTCACTCCCTCCCAGCACAGGCGAGAGGAAGCAGCAGCTGTTGTCCTGTGGGGAAGACAGGCAGAGGTCCACCTGGCACTGTTGGGATTTTCACAACACCCGCCCCAACTTAAACACACACACAACAGCCTAAGGAGAAGCTGGGCCAACAGAAGTGACTTCGACGATAGAATGAGAAGGAAGCAGGGGTAGAGATTGCTGGTGTAAGGGACTTTTTCTTCCCTTCTGTCTTCTCTCCCACTGTTTTGTCTTCTGCTCTTGCTCTCTCTCTCAGAGTCTTTCTTCTCCTCCTGTGAAACTCCTGAACCAGTCCCTGGCCTGATGCCTGAATCTTTTTGTTCTTCCTAAACTTGTCCCCCTTCCTCCATCTTTTTCTGTTGCCCCATGAATGCAGTGAAGCCAAAATAGCAAAATCAGCCTACCAAGTACAAGGTGAAGCAGATCTTGGAAGCTGGATAATTTGGGCACACAAACAAAATCACCTCCCTTATCCAAATAATTGAGGCAAAACAAAGATTTCAGTTGAATTGCACGTATGGTAGGTACGACTCAATTTCGATTTTCATGTGCAAACTTAAAACCTTACTCTCTTTTCCCTTTGGACTGAAGCAGCAGGGCCATGTTTATTTCACTTTCACACAGTCCTAAGGCAGCCTTCTACGCAGCCCAGCATACTCGAGTTGAAGAGCAAACTAGGATAATTATAATATCAGGAAAACACAAGTGTAGAGGGAAATTTAAATCATGGCTTGAAAACATCCCACTCTAGGATAATGAGAAGTAGAAAGGAGACCAAGCTAGGCATTCAAATGAGCTTGCAGCCTTCCATCCAGCCTCCACTCCAAAGGCTAGACTGGCCTGTGCTGATACACATTTGATACACAGCCTGGTTTAAACCGTGGATTTTATCTCCTAACATTCATGTTTCTACGGCAGCAGGGGCATAATTCTCTATCCAGAACTTCTATCCAGAAGTTCAGCCTGCAAAGTTTGGGATACCTTAACAAAGAAGTGAACAGCTGCTCCCCCAACCAAGGCCTCGCTGAGGACAAACCAGAAGAGCCAGAGGCCTGTGTGAACTTGTTCTTGATTCTCTTTTGCCATCTAGTGGCATTTCTCATCTCCAGCACCACTTTTGCTTCTAAAGATCCTTCATCCTGACCCCCAACCCACAGCTGTGCTGTCCAGCTACTAAAATAATGTCCTCCTGGCCTCAAAACAAACTCCCCATCCTCCTGACTTAGAATCATAAATTCTGGACCAGAACACAAACTTTATGATCAGGATGGGTTGTGCGACTTCTCCACAGTTATAATCCACACAACAGCCAGGTAATCCTTTAAGCTGACACGTTCTTTATTCATCTACTTAGAACCCTTCCAGGGTTCCCTACTGTGCTTGGAGTAAAAGCCACAGGCCTTCAAATGGTCCGTAAGTCTTCCCAATGACCTGGTCTCTGGTCCCTCTCTGAACTCTCAGTTACCTGCTCCAGCCACACTGGACACACTGCTGTTCCTCCAACACCTCAGGCATCTGTCTGCTCTGGGGCTTTTGCAGTGCTAGTCTCTTCACTTGGAACATTCTTCCTCCGGATAATCACAAGTTCACTCTTATCTTCAAGTCTCTGCCCCAGAGTCAGCGATTTCAACGATGTTACGTAAAATTACTGACCACCAACCCCTATACTGTTCTACTTTTTTCCCTAGCCATTATCACTTTGAGCAAAGTATACGTATTTTTTTTTACTGTCTTTCTCCAATGGAATGTAAGCTCTACAAAGGCAGGGACTTTTGTCTTTGTTTTTTGTTGTTGTTTGTTTGTTTGTTTGTTTGTTTTTTGAGACAGGGTCTCACTCTGTGACCCAGGCTGGAGTGCAGTGGTGCAATCATGATTTTCACTGCAGATTTTATCTCTCAAGCTCAAGCAATCCTCCCTCCTCAGCCTCTGGAGTAGCTGGGACCACAGGCATGCACCACCATGCCTGGCTAATTTTTCAAATTTTTTATAGAGACAGGGTTTCGCCACATTGCCCAGGCTGGTCTTGAATTCGTGGCCTTAGGCAATCCTCCTGCCATGGCCTCCCAAAGTGCTAGGATTACAGGTGTGGGCCACCGTACCTGGCCATTTTTGCCTTTTTTGTTCAGTGATATATCCCAAGTATCTTGACACTTAGTAGATGCTCGATAAATGTTTGTTGACCACATGAATGAAGCATGCCCAAGATTCTGAGATTGCCTACTACTTACAGGTAAATTCTGAAAACAAAAATATTCCTCATCTCAGTTTTACAGGCCTTCTCACCCACAGAGGGTGATGCTTCTCTGCCTTGGTGTCTCGGTTCTCCTGAGTGTCATATTCCAAGCTCACAAGAGCTTGGAGTAGCACTGACCCAGATGCTCCACACAGCTGTAACCACCACAAGGAACAGGACATACAAGGTGAAGGAAGCACTAAGGCAGGATGTCGAGAGCAGCAACAGCATTTTAAACACAAACATTTGGGCAGTATTAAATTTTTGCAATTTTCAATAAAAAAGGGAGGGAACAAGTGAAATTGAGAGGTGTTGGCTGCCTTCTCCAGCTAAAGCCATGTGGCCTTGGTTGGTACCTGGAACTGGAGAGGCCTGTGAATCATTGTGGAATGGCTTCGCTATTGGGGATGGTGCCAGGCCTCGTGACAGTGATGATTCATTCACCCACTTCCCTCGTGTCTGTTCCATCTCCTCCGAAAGATAACCAGTATCTCCAGATGACAAGGAACCAGACAAAGCATCTTTCTAGGCTGTCCTATCTGTGCCTCAGGTCAGAGAAGAAGCAACCCTTAACACCACAGTGATTGACTCTTCCCAGGATCAAGGGCCAGAAGTGTATATGAGAGGATATGAATGACAACTCTTCCTGAAATTGATTTCAGTTGACACCTGGGTCAGGTGCTCTATTAAAGAGTCATTAAAATCATGTGGCCAGGGAACAAATACAGTCTTCGAATGTGACGATTCAAGCTTCCTCATTGCTGAACATGTTTAGGCAGGTACAGGCATCCTTAGGTGTCCACGTATTTGGGACATGTAAGTGGAGAGGCATGAACCTGATTCATTTCCTGATCCAGTGATGCTCCCAGCCCACCCCCAAACAGACACAGCGTAGCCCGGGCCAGCTCTTAAGGAGTTCAGGAGTGAGAAGAGGCCCTCAGAGATCTGACAGCCTAGGAGTGCGTGGACACCACCTCAGCCCACTGAGCAGGAGTCACAGCACGAAGACCAAGCGCAAAGGTGAGGCTGTGGCAGGATCTGGGGAGGAGTGAGGACAGAGAAGGAGGGATGGGTTCTGATCCTGAGAGTACACTCAGGTGAGCGATAAAATGGATAAAGGAGGGACTGGATTTAGGGGAGATGAGGACACGCATTGGGGAAAGGGGAGAGTGATGTTGGGGATGGAGGCAAAAAATGAAAAAGAATGGGAACACAGACGAGATGGGAATCGGGAGAGGATGAGACACAGACACAGGAACATGGAGACACAAAAGGGATGAGACTTAAGGGAAAGGGGAGAGGACAAAGAGTGACAGGCAACAGGGACAGAATGAAGGGAACAGAAATACAAGATGAGAGATGGGGCCACAGGGTTGTTGTTGGGGCTGCAGTGGATGTGGACACACAGAAGAAGAGGCAGAGATGAGACACAAAGTGAGGAAAGGAGACAACCGAGTAGGGAGATGGGTGACTAGCTCATATGAGCAGGTATAAGAGGACTAATTTCTCAACTGAACACCTCTGTCCCAGCGACCCCTGCCCTCCATCCTGACTGCTCCTCCTAAGAGAGATGGCACCGGCCAGAGCAGGATTCTGCCCCCTTCTGCTGCTTCTGCTGCTGGGGCTGTGGGTGGCAGAGATCCCAGTCAGTGCCAAGCCCAAGGGCATGACCTCATCACAGTGGTTTAAAATTCAGCACATGCAGCCCAGCCCTCAAGCATGCAACTCAGCCATGAAAAACATTAACAAGCACACAAAACGGTGCAAAGACCTCAACACCTTCCTGCACGAGCCTTTCTCCAGTGTGGCCGCCACCTGCCAGACCCCCAAAATAGCCTGCAAGAATGGCGATAAAAACTGCCACCAGAGCCACGGGGCCGTGTCCCTGACCATGTGTAAGCTCACCTCAGGGAAGCATCCGAACTGCAGGTACAAAGAGAAGCGACAGAACAAGTCTTACGTAGTGGCCTGTAAGCCTCCCCAGAAAAAGGACTCTCAGCAATTCCACCTGGTTCCTGTACACTTGGACAGAGTCCTTTAGGTTTCCAGACTGGCTTGCTCTTTGGCTGACCTTCAATTCCCTCTCCAGGACTCCGCACCACTCCCCTACACCCAGAGCATTCTCTTCCCCTCATCTCTTGGGGCTGTTCCTGGTTCAGCCTCTGCTGGGAGGCTGAAGCTGACACTCTGGTGAGCTGAGCTCTAGAGGGATGGCTTTTCATCTTTTTGTTGCTGTTTTCCCAGATGCTTATCCCCAAGAAACAGCAAGCTCAGGTCTGTGGGTTCCCTGGTCTATGCCATTGCACATGTCTCCCCTGCCCCCTGGCATTAGGGCAGCATGACAAGGAGAGGAAATAAATGGAAAGGGGGCATATGGGATTTGTGGACACAGCTGTTTCTGTTCCTGAACTAGAAGTCTTCCCCAGCTCTGACGTGGCAGTGAGGTGACCTGAAGGAAAGAAAAATATAAATAAATACCACTTCATATTTGTATAGAATCCTCTAATCCCTTGTGACATAGACTTGACAGGGATTGTATGCCTTCTTTATGGATGAGGAAATTAAGGTTTTAGAAAGCTTAATGAATTAAAGAGCTTGTCTAATTAGTTAGTAGCAGAACCTGGACTTGAACCTAGGTCTCCTTGCTCTAAATACAGTGTACCTTCTACTCTACCAGTTGCGCAAGAAAGAAGTCACTGTTACAGAGGCAAGCGGTGAACTAGGTAAGAGTTCACTCATGAAGAAACGAGTGCTCTGAAGAGCCAGTTACCCTGTGTTGGCTGCAATAAAGGTCATTACCTCTCTAGCCAAGAGATTGTTTATGAGGTGCTCTGGCATTTTATTCCTTCTCTCTCTTCCTCTCTAACTGCCCCTCCCGTTTCTCTAGACCACTGCTCTTCCAACCTAGGCCCTGGACCTGGCTCTGGCCAGATCCCCTTGGCCTGAAGACATAAGGTAAAGGGAGTGTCTGAGCTTCATCCCCCAGATCCAGGATCACATTTCCTTTGACCTTAAGGGACTTCCGTGGCCCTGAGCCTGCTTGTCACAAACAGGCTGGTGGGAGCTGCCAGAGCTTCCTTCCTCCTGATAATGATCTCCCCTGCCTCATTGCTACCCTGGCTCTCCACTCTGGCAGTCTGCCCAGGCCTGAGGGGTTGAGATGCGAAAATGCCATTTCCCTGTCCCCCTGGGCTACAGATACCATTTCTCTCGTTCTGGGGACTGGAGCTGGAGAAGGTATGGCTTGGTATTGGCCAGTCCTGATGGTCTCTCCAACATTGCTTGACCAGCACCATCCCCTTCTTTCTTCCTTTATCTCAGTCCCAAACAAGCTGCATTGTGTCCCATGCCTGTTCTATTTCAAACCCAAATTCATTATAAGACATTCCCAACCCTGCTGAGGATTCCACTCTACCTATCCCTCCCCATCAACTCCTGTGCTTTTTTACTACTGACCAGAGTCAGAGTAAGCTTTGGAGCCAGACAGAATCAGGTGTAAATCCTGACTCCCGTCTACATGACCTCGAACAATTGGCTTGTCTGTTTCTCTACAGCAAAATGTGAGGAATCCTACCTGCCAAATAGGATTCCAGGTAAAGATGTGGAAATGCTATCTATGAAACGCTTGTCAGCCCCAAGTACTGACAGGTGTTAGATCATAACTAGTAGTAGCAATATCCATCTTTGGAAAACACGCAGACCAAGGCAAATACCCCCACTAAGGTCTCCCGAGAGACTTCCTTCTGCCAGAGTGATGATCATGAGTGGGTTAGAGGACAAGCCCGCAGGCAGAGTCCTGGGAGGGCAGCCAGGTTGTCTGAGATGATGAGGAGAGAAAGTAAGGAAAGGATGATTAAAGGAAAGGAGAGCAGATCATTAAACAGTTCTAACAGAATGAGGGCCAATAAGTGGATGAGTTGGTCACAACAGCCAAACGACTGAGTGTAAAAACAAATGTTACCTGAAAACAGAACATTGCCATCATCGAATGGACTTCTGGGATTCTTGAATAAATCTGAAGTTTATCCAAAATCTGAATTTGTTTTGAACTCTTGTGGTCAGTATACTACATTTACCATCCTAAAGAGATGATTTTCACTTGTGGTGCACAGAAAAGCAAGATACTTGGGGCAGCCGATTTTTCTCTTCATTTTATTCTTTTTTCACAACTCTATCTTCTTTATTGATGATCTTTCTTATGGATAATATGGTTTTAGAGACATTCTCCTCACAAAATTTAAAGTGGCTAAAATTATGCCTTCAATGCATCCTCCCAAAATAAGAAGAATTTCCAACTAAAACTTTTTCTTGAAACTTGACCTAATATAGCATTAAAAGTTGACCTAAATAGCATTAAATAACTAGAAAGTTCTGAAGTAACCTGTGGTGATACAGGTCAGAATAGTTGTAGCCTTGGGGAAGTATAACTGTGAAGGGGCATGGGGGAGCCTTCTGAGGACCTGGAAATATTCTATTCTTGGTCTGGATATGTTTCCTATGTGAAAGCTCATTGAACTGTATACTTAAGATTTGTTTCAAAAGGCAGCAGGTGGTCATAAAAATAAATAAGAAAAAAAGATTTGTGTATTTTATGTAAGTTATATCTCATTTTCAAAAAAGTCTTTCAAATATGTATACTTCTTAAGGGATTATTTTATTTACATAATAAATCATAATACACCAATCAATTCTAAAAAGAGTAATTAAATCATAGATAGAATTATGATATAATCTAATTTCTATTGTTCTGTTCTGTACTATTTGTTAAATTAAATACTACTTGTGGTGTTTATTAAATTGTTGTAAATACATTGGGCTCAGCCAGGCACAGTGGCTCTCACTTGTAATCCCAGCACTTTGGGAGGCCTAACCAGAGCAGCTTACTTGAGCCCAGGAGTTTGAGACCAGTCTGGGCAACATAGTGAAACCCCATATCTACAAAAAATACAATTAGCTGGGTATGATGACACATGCCTGTAGTCCCTGCTACTCCAGAGGCTGAGGTGGCGGATCTCTTGAGCCCAGAAGGTTGAGGCTGCAGTGAGCCATGATCTGCACTCCAGCCTGGGCACCACTGCACTCCAGCCTGAGTAACAGAATGAGAGCCTGTCTCAAAACAAATACATACATACATACATACATACATACATACATACATACATACATACATACCTTGGTCTCAGAAAGTACAGTTGGCTTTTGAACAACATGGAGGTTAAGGGTGCCTAGTGTACAGTCGAAAATCCAAGTATAACCTTTGACTCCCCCAAAACTTAACTACTAATAGCCTATTGATCACCTGAAGCCTTACCAATAACATAAACGTTCAGTTAACATATATTTTGTATGCTATATGTATTATGTACCATATTCCTACAATAAAGTAAGCTAGAGAAAAAAAAGGTGTCATTAAGAAAATCATAAGGAAGAAAAAAATATTTACTATTCGTTTAGTGGAAGTGGCTCATCATAAAAGTCTTCATCCTCATTGTCTTCACGTTAAGGAGGCTGAGGAGGAGAAGGAAGAGGAGGGGTTGGTCTTGCTGTCTCAGGGATGGCAGAAGCAGATGAAAATTTGAATGTAAGTGGACTTGCACAGTTCAAATCATTGTTGATCAAGGGACATAAGGTTCTCCCTAAAGTTATCTAGCTAACACACTCTCTTCTATTATTTATATTATCGGTCAACTAATTTCCTATTTTTTAACCATGTGGAAATTTTAAATAATTGTTTCATATATAAGCTTTCACAACAATTAATAATAGCATCTTTCTTAAAAATAATAAATAATAATAAATACCCATTTATACTTCCACTGGCTGGTAGAATTTCAATATAATAATTTTTTTTTAAGCTCACAAGGAAAATTTCACTCCAGGTTACATCTAGAGTACTCACCAATATTTGGAAGTAACTATTCAGATATTAACAATAAATCCAAATGGCCTGGCCTATTCTTATTAGTGGTGCCCTACCTGAATAGATTTGTCACTCAATCCTTCGTGTGACCTTGATCACAGCCAAGTTAAAGGATGCCAGGAATAGTGATGAAATAGGAATTTGACTATTCAGCCTTCCAAAAGCCAAAGCTGAGATACAAGAAGATAATAATTTGGGCCAAATACCAAGGCTGGCTGAACTGTGATGCATTCCTACTTGAAAGCTGAAGAATGGGAAAAGGAGAATGCTTAATTATGAGATATTTATGTTTCTAGGGCTGGGAGCTTGGAGAGAGGAGGATGGTGTCCAGGGGAGCTTTGCCCAGTCTTGTGCAGATGGACTTAAATTGTTTCAACATGGAGTAAAGGAGCGGAAATGGAGTTCAGTAAAGAAAGTAAACCAAGAACTGGAGCTAGATGAGCTGGCTCTCCTAGAAGGGAGACTATCTGAGGTAGACTGGGGAGGAGACTTTTCTACATGACTCTGGTTCCCAGAAGTCTCCACACACTGAAGTAAATGAGCCCTAGACACCATGAAGAGGGCCAACAGAATCACTGTGAAGAGAAGGATCCTCAGCTCCAGGGATTTCCTCTGCCTACACCCTGCCCTTAAGATCAGGACCCTTTGGCCCTCTTCATAGTGTCTGGGGCTCTGGGGGATAACCCTTGAGCTATGGCACCAAAAAACATACCAGTAGCAACAACATCCAGGGGGCCTTCTCTTCTCCTTGGGAGAGCTTCAACTCATTTCATCACATTTCTTCCATGCACCTGCACAACTGGGCTTCCAAAAGTGCTTCAAAGACTTCAGAGCTTCATTCTAATGTCCTCCCCCTACCCCCACCCCACCATGAATGGGCAAAAAGAAGAGCAGTTATAGCTCTTATCAGGATGCTTACCTGTGCAAGACTCCAAAACCAGTAAGCTTGGGAACATCCACGGAGCCACAGGGACATGAGAAAGCCCACATTGCTAATGAGATCTTGTAAGAAGTCCACAGTTCATAAGAGGAAAGGTAAATAAAAATGTGTGCTCGTGATGAAAATACACACTGTGATAGAACGCCTCTTAGCTTAGGGAGGTGGGAGTTTCCCCATCTATATAAGCTGATCTCAAACTCCTGAGCTCAGGTGATCTACTCTCCTCAGCCTCCCAAAACTGCTGAGATTACAGGTGTGAGCCAATGCGCCTGGCAATAATGTTACCAACAGATGGTTTTTGGGCTTGAATACCTTCAGGGACATGGATCTTCACTACCACTTCACAAGAGTATAATGTGGATTAAAAGTAACAATACATATAAAGCACTTAGTACAGTGACTAGCATGTAGGGAAAGTTTGAATGGTGTTAGCATTTCTATTTATCATTGTGGTGTCAAATGTTGAGTGGTCAAACCTGTGATGAATGGAGCAGGCCTGACTTCCGTGACAGAAGAACAAAGGATTTAAACAAGGGAGGCCAAACTCCTCCTCATCCGCCTCTTGCCAAAAAGCTCCTAGCCAAGAGTAGATAAGGGAAGGTTCAAGGTCAGACAAAAAGGACAATATGTATTAGTTTCTGTAGATAAGGTTATTTGGGAGGAATGGATGGGTACTTTGAGTTGAAGGAGAAGTAAAAGGGGGCTTTGGAGAATTTCTGTTAAGATTACTTAAGGGAAGTTTTTCTCCTCTGCAACCTCTGTGAATTTATGAATCCAAAGATATGAAAATAAGTTGGAGGACTTAGGACCACTAACTTTTGAGGGTGCCCTCTGTATTCCCTCCCATCCAAAGGATTTGATTATTGCAGCAATTGATGGAGACAGGGCTCTAGTGACATTTCCAACTTCCCCTCCTGAGATATTTAAATTAGTCCTTAGGAAGGCTTACTATCCCCTCACTTCCATCGTGGAAGCCTCTTATATTTTTCCCACCCTCTGATTCAGCTCCATTTTCTGGTTCATTTTTCATCACTCAAAACCTCCACCAACGCCTGTGACTCATGTCCAGTGGATTGGTTATAGCAGAAAAACATTGTGGTCATTACTTTCTATGGTTTTTTCATAGAAACTTAGTTGAACTTACACATTTAAAACATAAACTAACTGTGGTGTGAATTAGTACAAATTCCTGCTTGGGTCGTGGCATTTAGCACAAGATGAAATTTCCTATCTCCATGGCTTTAGGGCTCTCCCAGTAGTAATCATAACATTATAATGCTGCAAGACATCTTGTCCAGTGTTCTCGGAGATCATCTAGTCATGCCTTCCTCATGTTGCAAATGAGCAAAATAACCCTGAGGACTTAAACACTTTGCCCAAGATTACATGAATAATTTAGGCAAGAACTCGGGCTTTTTTGAACAAGCCTTGTGATATTTACAAAGTGGCATTCAATATCAAATGGATCTCAGACATCTTTCTTCTTTTTTTTTTTTTTTTGAGATAGAGTCTTGCTCTGTCACCCAGGCTAGAGTGCAGTGGCACGATCTCGACTCATTGCAACCTTGTTGAGCTTTTTGGCCTCCCAGGTTCAAGCGATTCACCTACCTCAGCCTCCTGAGTAGCTGAGATTACAGGTATGCACCACCATGCCCGGCTAATTTTTGTATTTTTAGTAAAGACTGGGTTTCACCATGTTGGTCAGGCTGCTCTTGAACTCCTGACCTCATGTTCTGCCTGCCTTGGCCTCCCAAAGTGTTGGGATTACAGGTGAGCCACTGTGCCCAGCCCAGATATCTTTCAAGATCAAATCATACATGGACTGGCAAATCAATCTGCAAATGGGCAGACCCCCGGATTTGAGACAAAAGCATGTTCATCCAAAAGAGTATTAAGTGCCCGTAATCCTGACACGTTGCATTTCTGACCTTCACCTGAATGCTCATATTGTATCATTGAGATGGGAAAAAAACAGTACATGAGGAATTGATGGCAAACTAGTCAAGCATGTCCCTGGCCGTGCCATTGGCTGCTGGAAACATAAATAAGGATATGCAACAAGAAAAAGGGCCTGGACCTCCCATCTGCTACTCCGGACCAGGGTGAAAACATTACAGAGATCCTGTTTGGTGGAGCTCCGGGTGGGCCTGAGATATCCCAAGCATTTATCTTTGGTAAGGGTTACCACTTTTTACCCTTGAATTTGGCATATCCAGAACAGGATCTTCATGGTCAACTAGAACCTGCAGAGCAATGCTTCCCAGAATTTCCCCTGAAGTGCTAGTAACCACAGAGGAAGATGAACTAAAACACCTAAAGTAGTGCCCAATGAGCTTGGGCTTTCTCTGAAGCTTCTTTCACTTAACTAATATTTATAAAATAGCCGTGCATATGAGTGTTTTATATGCTATCTTTAAATTTCATTTGTGGTAATAATAATAATGGATCAATGTCAATTTCCCCTTTTTGGTGGCTGTACTGTGGTTATGCACACGAGAGTACTTGTAATTAGGAAATAGTCACTGAAGTATTAAGGGGTAATGAGCATCATGTCTGTAACTTGTTCTGAAATAGCTCAGAAATGTTAATAATTGGGGAACTGGGTGAAGCATATAGGGGAGCTCTGTGTATGCTTTCTGAAACTTTTATATACGTTTTAAATTATTTCAAAGTGAAAATGCTAAAAAAATTTAATGTAACTCATTTGAATTTTTCTATCATACAAAGTTATTTTCTGTAAAAATAATGCCTTAAATTACTCCCCATCCCCTAAAAAGATGGTTTTAGTAAAATTGTAAAGAACACATTTATCTTGTGACTTTGTGTACCCTCTGCACACATCTGTGTTCCACCTGGGGTAGCAGTACACTGGCTCTAATGTTTTCCTTAACTTGCTCTTTGTGGATTTCTGTCTCTGACCAGTGTTTCTTTTCAAGAACTGGTTGAGGAAGATAGGGTAGTCATGGGGCTAGGGCATTGGAAAGGTCCTTTTCATGCTGAAAAATGAGAAAATAGACATAGAGCACTTGGAACAGTGACTGGAACATAGAAAAGCCTCAGTAAATGTTAACTATGATTGTTTTTATCGTTATGACCCCTATCATTCCTAGCAGGGCTGAAGGCTGCACGCAGCCTTGTTGTGGTAAGTCAGAGGTCTCAGGAGGGCAGCCGGCCTATGAGGGGAACTGGCGTATCCAGGGAGCCATATGCCTCAGCTCTGGTTGGGTTGAAGACTACATCCTCTCCCTCATGAAGATGAATCCAGGAGTGAGGAACAAAGGGAGACAGTCCTCCCGCAGAGACAAGCTCATAGTGCAAATGGGCACCATAGGAAGGCCTCAAAGAACTACATAGAAAAGAAAAATGGACCTGGCAGGAGACAGGGTTAGCCACTGGAAACAGAGGAGGGCTTCCCAAAAGGAATGTGGCCACTGGATTCCATGTGATGGAGCTCTGCTTCTCAGAGCCATAAACCAGGGCCCAGACCACAGGTCTGTCACCACCAGGAGGCTGTTTGAAGGTTGAAGCTTGAAAAACCCTATGGGGGTGGCACTTGTAGTTCAAAGACGACCCTCGTGGTACTGCTGTCCTTCAGGCCAGCAAACCAGGCAAACTTCTCTGGCACCCTCGCTCAGCCCTCCTGGGGTATCCTGAAAGAATGGGTCTTTGGGAGATAGTTGCTTATTCTCTGCTCCCCTTCTTTCAAGGCACCTTCAGAGTCTACTATTAGGCCTCTCCTTCATACTAGTAAGGTGCTGGCTACTTACTAGCACTTTGATGTTTTTTCTTGTGTCACACAAGTGTCAGAACCAGGGGGCATTTTAGACATTATTCAACTGAAACTCCTTGTGTTATAAATAGTAAGAAGACTGAGAGGATCAGAGTGATGACTGAGTTCAATGCACGGTTACTGAGTGCTCCTGTGAGCTAGCCATGTGCCTGGCACTATGAAGACAGAGAAGCACGGAAGGACCTGATTCCTGTCCCACGAGTTTACCGTCTAGTTGGGAAGACTGGATGCTCTTACTGGATGAAAGAGTTAAATAGCAAA
The DNA here is from genome assembly GCF_000001405.40 of Homo sapiens. Taxonomy (NCBI): domain Eukaryota; kingdom Metazoa; phylum Chordata; class Mammalia; order Primates; family Hominidae; genus Homo; species Homo sapiens. The sequence continues at coordinate 21,052,334 of NC_000014.9, forward strand.
ACAAGGTAGTACACGATTTAGAACCCAAATGAGTGATACTATGAAACAGTTAATGCTAAAGGAGGTTAGGATTTGTACGGCAAGGTTCGTAAATGTGATCCTGAGCAAACTCATATGGTCAAGATGAGTTCTAAAGGATGGATAATATTTGAGGGAGGACTTGCAGGGAAGAGGGAAACAGAAGCAAAGCTGAAGAGAGCAAAACATGTGCTGGAGACAAAAGGAAAATCAGGTTATTAGGATAGAATTTGGTTAGAATAGTTTGTGTTCGGAGGGAAGATAGGGAGGCCACTCATACGGAATGGGTAGACTGGACGCAAGGTGAGTAGGAGAAGGCTTTGATTCCAGGCTGGGAAGGCTGGATGTTACCTTGCAAGCAAGAGAACCACTGGAGATAAACAGATGATCTTTAGAGAAATGATGCAGGAAAAGGAATATTTTAACAAGATCCATCCAACATTATTATACATGCTCAATTAAACTCAGGAGAAAGGGTAGGCAAGGAGGCAGTTAGAAGGTGGTGAGAGTCATCCAGACAGGCAGTGGAAAGGGAGAGAAATACGTACAAGAGAACCAATAAGACTAAGTGACTCAAGTGCCCCTCCATACTTTGATCATGCTAAGTATTCAGTCTGTTAGCCTACTAATCGATATGGGGATGAAAGATTAGAAACAGTCAAAGGAGACCAGTATTTTCAACTGGAAGCGCCAAAAACAGAAACAGGGGCCTTACAAGGGGATAATCAGGTTTTGAGAAAAGTTGAATTCTCAGACAACAGAACTGGGTGCCTGATATAACTGGTAGGTAGTGAAGATTCATGTCACTGAAGGTATTCAAGCCCAAAAACCATCTGTTGGTAACGTTATTGCCAGGTGCATTGGCTCACACCTGTAATATCAGTACTTTGGGAGGCTGAGGCGAGTGGATCACTTGAGTCCAGGAGTTTGAGACCAGTGCTGGCAACGTGGCAAAACCCATCTCTACAAAAAATAGAAAAATTAGCCGCACTTTGGCCGGGCGCAGTGGCTGACACCTGTCATCCCAGCACTTGGGGAGGCCGAGGCAGGTGGCTCATGAGGTCAGGAGTTCGAGACCAGCCTGGCCAAGATGGTGAAACCCCAGCTCTACTAAAAAATACAAAAATTAGCCAGGCGCGGCAGTGGGTGTCTGTAATCCCAGCTACTCAAGAGGCTGAGGCAGGAGAATCGCTTGAACCCAGGAGGCAGAGTTTGCAGTGAGCCGAGATCTCGCCACTGCAGTCTAGCCTGGGCGGCAGAGCAAGACTCCGTCTCAGAAAAAAAAAGAAAAGAAAAAGAAAAATTAGCCACACGTGGTGGTGCAGGCCTGTAGTCCCAGCTACTCAGGAGGCTGACGTAGGAGGACCACCTGATCCCAGGATGTAGAAACTACAGGGAGCCATGATCGTGCCACTGCACTCCAGCCTGGGTGACAGAGCAAGACCCTGCCTTAAAAAAGAAAAAAAAAATACACTTCTGATCAGAGCAAGAGCTAAGATTCAATGAACTCGGAAGTGCCTTCCTGCTTTGATATTCTATGAAACTGGGTCCATGTAAGCTAGTGAAGAGCCTTGCCCAAGGTCATGCAGCTAATTAGTGAAAGAGGTGGGACCAGAATTCAGGGCTATTCATGTCTGGTTCAGTATTCTTACCACTAGACTATTTTAACTTTGATTGTAGTCTGAGTTGTACTCTCAGGGGTGACCAGAAACCCCATATAAAAACAAGATCAGTAAAAATTGGCTCTGAAATGAAACAAAGCTGCAGCACGGCCTGACACAGTGTACAGAGTGTAAATTTGAGGATCAGATCGAAGTGGCTCTGTCACTCACTCCTGTATGGCTGTGGGCAAGTTACTCAACTCCCACACACACAGACATTGTTTCCTTACCTACAAAATAAGCATAAATATTTCTATCTCATGGGGATGCTGCAAGATAAGTAAGGAGATGTTTTTAGATAGATTGATCACAAAAGAGATAATACACACACACACACACACACACACACACTGCTGAGTTCAGTGTCAAGAACATAGTAGACATTAGAGATGGCATTCAGTCTTCTTCTCTTGTGATCTGGTGGGAACAGGCATTGACCAATCAGAGCCAAGACTGGCTCATCTCCATACCAGTGCACACAAGGTGACTCTTAGCCCACAAGAGGAGGAAATGTTTAGGCCAGCCCTGGGCTCCTGCTGCCATCCCCACTCTGTCACTTCAAAGGCTGGCAGCTTGGGTCTGTAACTGTTAATGAATTATCAATAAACAGGAAAGCAGTGTGGCAAGGAAAGATAACATGAACTTTGGAGCCAAACAGAACCGAATTTCAAATCCCGGCCCTGCCACTTACTAAATCTGTGGATCTTAACCTGCCAGAACCTTAGTTTCCTTTTCTGTAAAATTGGGATAATATTGTGGAACACACAATACAGTTTATATATAAAGTTGTACACAAAGCACAATGCTTTGGCTCGTGAAGCACCTTTTAAAATGAGGTTCTTTACTTTCCACCAAGAACCTAGAACTGTACCGAGCACATTTTAGATGCTAATTAAATGATGCTTGGTAGCATCTCTTTCCTCCTGCTGCTGCTGTACAGCCCTGTGCTGACCTGAACCATAAGCAATGCGGTGTATGTTATCCTGGCTGCCTTTAGTAGGTAGTAAATAGTATACTCTATCCTACCATACTCCTAAGCATTTTACCACTCGCCACACTACTTTGAATATGTAAGATATATATTCCTCATTCAATATTGTTTCTGCAGAAATGTATCTGAAAAGATTTTTAAAGTTTTACTTTTGAAATTATTTGACTGCAAGTAAGTTGTGACTGGCACTGTTCCTTCTGCATTCAAGGTTTCCAGGTACTTAGGAATTCCTACAAAATTAGAAAACTAACCAAAGATTGTTTTCCAATGTAGTGAGATTTTTATGTGTCCCAAATTTCAAAATAAGTGAAATCAACTTCATGCTACTTTAGTAGCAGGTAAGTAAATATTTTTTATTTGATTCTATATTTGACTTTTCCTGTATTGGAGCCAATATATTTTTCCCAGTCTCAAATGTTGTAGGCCCTTAGAAACCTCCCAGATTCTAAGCACTGAGCCTCAAGTGCTTAATGGATAAAACAGCCCTGAGGCTGTGGCAGTGGGGAAAACTCATGATGAATGACTAGGATCAAAACACACAATCAAAGGAACCCCATTCCCAGGCCTCCCTGAGTGAGGCTGGCCAGCTGCATGGGCCAGTACCTACTTCAGGGAAAGCATGTTTGCAACGTATTTGGAATCAGAGCTTGCAAAGTCTCTGGTCAGTCATCTTGGTTGGCAGTAAACGTTTAGGCCAGCCCTGGGCTCCTGCTACCATCCCCACCCTCTCATTTCAAAGCTTGGCAGCTTGGGTCTGTAACCGTTAATGAATAATCACTTGGTAACCCTTCCATCCCAATGGGAGAGGCTCAGCTGAGGGCCTGCAAGAGAGAAATGACTTCCTGGGACAGGGTGGTGGGAGGGAGTAGTGCAGAGGGAGGGAAAGATTTGTTCCCTGCTGCCCAAGTCAACTGCTTTCTGGGTAATGTTTTCCTGGGTTCAAAAATCAATGTTTTGTTTGCTTTGTGGGGAGGAGTGCACGAAGGGATCCCTGCTGTGGAAAAGGTGAGTTCTACTGGCAAACAAGGCTCCTCCACCATGTTTGCCTGAGATGACAAACATCTCAGAATTTTTACATTCAGAAATGCAGATACTAGGAGCCTCGGCAAATTTTGCCATTTTGGAGAGCACTTTATCCCAAAGGTGGAGAAGTTACACAAATCCCAGAGGTTGAGAGACTGAGGGGAGTCCAACACACTATCGCCGACCTGAGAAACTGCAGTGCAGAGCCAGTTCCCCAACTGCAGTCATTTGCTTTAACCCTTGACAATTTTCACAATATCTGCTTACCACCCCTATTATTTTAATAATACGCTAAATATATATTTACTCATTTATTTTAAATAATTCTTTTACAATGAAACTGAGTAATGCCATCTTTCAAAGAATACTAGTGTTACTTTGTAAACAGAAGTAAAAATAAATGTAATGAATATCATCTAACTTTTAAAAATTCTATCCAGATATTGTTTTCAGCTGAAAACTCAGCCTGAGGCCTGTTGTCGTTATTGAAAAGGAGGAGAAACAAACACGGGAAAGTGTAAAAGAATTCACCTTCTTGCTCTAAGAGGAGACTTTCTCTTAAATGTTTTTAGAAGGGTCTGAAGAAATTAAGGCAATGAGCACACACCACCTAAAACCACAAACAGAGACACACTCACTCTGCTCTGCTCCTATGGGAAACTCTTTCCTCTTTCCTTTTTAGCTTGGCGCCAGCCCAAAGGGATGGGTTGAACATCAGGAAGCTCTTAGCCCCAGCTCTGCCACTCACTCGGCGGCCTTGGAAAGAGTACTTGCCCTTGCAGGAACTCAAGCTCCCTCATCTTTAAAATGAGGGAGTCAACTGAGATGAACTCTAAGGTCCCTTCCAGCCCTGACCCTCTATCCTTCCAAGACATTCTCCAGCAGGGCAAAATGTCAGGCATGGAAAGAACCCAACTCGCCATGCTGCTTTGACAGCTGGAGCTGCGATCCCTTCACTAGGAGTGATCATTTTTTCTAACTTCAGTGAGAAACTGGGCCACAGAATGGGGAGGAATGCATTTGACTCCACGACCTTAATAACAACTCTTTCAGGGACACCTAAGCTAGTCCAGCAGAGTGGGGTATTGACCTTTCACATGTTTTTCTTCAAGATTTAGTTTCTCTTAACCGGGCGCGGTGGCTCACGCCTGTAATCCCAGCACTTTGGGAGGCTGAGGTGGGTGGATCACCTGAGGTCAGGAGTTCAAGACCAGCCTGACCAACATGGAGAAACCCAGTCTCTACTAAAAATAGAAAAAATTAGCTAGGCGTGGTGGTGCATGCCTGTAATCCCAGCTACTTGGGAGGCTGAGGCAGGAGAATTGCTTGAACCTGGGAGGCAGAGGTTGCAGTGAGCCAAGATCGCGCCATTGCACTCCAGCATGGGCGACAAGAGCGAAACTCCATCTCAAAAAAAAAAAAAGATTTAGTTTCTCTTTGTGATTTCTCACAGTCTCAGAAAAGATACCTGGGAGTGTGGGAAGAATAGGAGTTAGGGAACTTGAGAGGTCCTGGTTAAAATCTTGTATTTGACACGCTCTAGCTGTGGGATAATAGGAATTTTCTTAACTTTCCTGAGCCTCATTTTATTCATATATATATATATATATGTGAGAAGGTAATCATACCCATAAAACTATTGTGAGAGGTAAAGAAGGTAAGTGTTTATTAGAGGCACAAAAAGGCACATTATCTGCTGGTACTAAACAATAGAATGCCAGGGGTGTTCAATATCTTAGGCTGCACATTGCCCTGCAATAACTGGCTTAGGGTATGAAATTCTTAGAAGGACTAACAAGACTCCCCCATGATGACCTATTCATCCACCTACCTCCTCACTCTGTTCCACTGTCTCCCTTAAGAGAGATGGCACCGGCCAGAGCAGGATGCTGCCCCCTGCTGCTGCTGCTTCTGGGGCTGTGGGTGGCAGAGGTCCTAGTCAGAGCCAAGCCCAAGGACATGACATCATCTCAGTGGTTTAAAACTCAGCATGTGCAGCCCAGCCCTCAAGCATGCAACTCAGCCATGAGCATCATCAATAAGTACACAGAACGGTGCAAAGACCTCAACACCTTCCTGCACGAGCCCTTCTCCAGTGTGGCCATCACCTGCCAGACCCCCAACATAGCCTGCAAGAATAGCTGTAAAAACTGCCACCAGAGCCACGGGCCCATGTCCCTGACCATGGGTGAGCTCACCTCAGGGAAGTACCCAAACTGCAGGTACAAAGAGAAGCACCTGAACACACCTTACATAGTGGCCTGTGACCCTCCACAACAGGGTGACCCAGGGTACCCACTTGTTCCTGTGCACTTGGATAAAGTTGTCTAAGCCCTGGTGCCCACGTTCCACCTCACACTCTGCAGACTGTATGCTGCTGCTTTTCCTCCCTCCAGTTCGTTATTAATCCTTGCTCCCCACTGCAAATGCCATTTCCCTCCCACACACTCAACCTCACATACTCTTGGTTTCTTAGGGAGTTTTACAGACGCTCCAAACGATGAAAGAAGAGGGCAGATTCTCTTCAGCCTTTCATTGTAGCTTACTTTGCAGCCCTTCCAGAGTCAAGCACTCAGGATCCCCACAAGGATGGATCTGGGTTTGGTGAGGCCTGTGGCTCACCAAAGACCCTCTTAAAGAAAAAGAATATAAAATTACAAACGTAAATAAGTCAGATCCTTGGAAGGGCTGTGGCTGGACAGTCCAGGGAGATCCCAGACAGGGGTAATTATCTAAGGAAGGAAGGAAGGGGAATCTCTGCTGTGTTCCCTGTGTTGGGCAAAGAAATGCATCTGATCTTGCTGTAATAAAGACTCTGCTGTTGCTGATGGAGTGTGTGTTACTGTCTTGGGGTAAGTGGAGAGGTTTGGAGCTCCAATTCCAAGGCCCTGAAAAGGCCCTGAAACACTTACTTCTGTGAGGCATCAGCTCCACCTGCCTTGCAGGCCGGAGGGAGAGCAGCACCCTGAGCAGGCACAGTCTGGGAAGCTGGCTTGATTCTGTCCTCCAGCCCCTTGAGGGCTCTCTGGTGGCCCCCTCTCATGTGAAGGGGTAGAGTGACAGGAAGGACAGGCTGAGCCCTGGGATGCCAGTCAGGTCTGAGGCCTGACCCCCTTGTGTGTGCGCAAGACCAGAGTTCATGTTTCATCGACGTGACCCAGAGCAGGACCCTCAGCGTTCTGGAGTGAACTTCCCTCCTTGGGGAATTTCAGAATCAGGACCTACTAGGAGTCCTGATCTGGTCTTAATCATTGCTGAAGACTAACTGTGGTAAAGGAGCAGTTTTATATGCAATCGGCCATAGACCAATACTTTTGTAAAATACAATACAATGAATTACTAGAAAATGAAATAGAACATATAACTATAGAAAATACAAGCTCAATTGTTTTATTACTAGATTCAATTTATATAAAATACTCTGTCAAATTGCCATAAAAGTTACTGGGTTTTTTTGGGTTTTTTTTTTCTTTTGCTTTTTGTTTTGAGACAGGGTCTCACTCTGTCACCCATGCTGCAGTGCAGTGGCCCAATCTCTGCTCACTGCAGTCTCGACATCCTGGGCTCACGTGATCCTCCCGTCTCAGCCTCCTGAGTATCTGGGACTACACGTGCAAGCATGGCACCGCACCTGGCTAATTTTTGCATTTTTTTGTAGAGACAGGGTTTCACCATGTTACCCGGGCTGGTCTCAAACTCCTGGGCTCAAGCGATCCCTCAACTCCTGGGCTCAAGTGATCCACCCACCTGGACCTCCCAAAGTGCTGGGATTATAGGCGTCAGCCATGGCGCTCAGCCCATAAAAGTTTCTTAATGTTTCCTCTCAATTTCTGTACTTGTATTGATAGATATTCACAGAGAGAAAAACATACACATATTATACACATATACACACACACATACCTACATACCAACATAAGGCACACACATACACACCCCCATATGCATATACATACAGAGGAACACATAGTCACAACGTGCACCTGTGTGCACAACACCCACACCTACTCATATACTCACACTCAACAAGACACCCCCTCTTCTTCCCCATGCTATCTCTGCCTCCTTATTACACCTCCCTTCCCATATTTGGAAAGAGAGTTTCCTACACAGGCTATGATTCAGAGTAAGGAAAGGATGTCTGGTGAAACGTGAAGTGGCAGAGAAAGCATAGAATCCAGAAATTCAAAATCCCAGCCCCCTTCTATGCTTTCTAGAACTAGAACTCAATGCAGCCTCTCACACCAACACCATCTCACCCCAAGCGTAGTTTCCCCCACAGCCTCCAGCCCCCTCCACATTGCCCTGCCCATCACTACCACTATGCTGCCCACCCTCGTGCTTATAACCAGGGAAGACATCTGGAAGTGAGACAGAAGCAGCATTCTTCCATCCCCTGGCTTCTTCCCAGTGTTGCGGGCAGGCTCCACTTCCTGCGGCTGCGCCTTAAATGACGGTGTTTCCCAGGGTCCTGTTCTGAGCTCTCTTTTCTTCCCACACTGTACTCTACTTGAGTGACTTGATTTACTTCCATGGCTCCAACCACCATTAACCTACTCCCAAAGACAGGTATATCTCCAGCCCAGAGCTCCCAAAGTCCAGTCATACATGTCCATCTTCATACTGTTACTAGCCCAGTCAGTGTCCCACAGGCATCTCAACCCAAAACACTCAGAACTAAGTTCATAATCTGCCTGGCTTCCAAACCTGCCCCTCCCTTCTCCTGCAGCCTCTCAGTGTTCGTTAGTGGAAACATCATACTCGATCATTCAAAGTCCTAATCTAAGACACACCTGTGTCAACTCGTGCTTGTTTGTCTGTTTCTCCAGTAATTGCCCACCTTATCCCAGGAACTACCTCAAGAGGACATAAAAGTTACTGAGTTTTATTTTCTTTTGTCCAAATAGCACTGGGTTCCTAACGTGTGCTCAATACACATTACGGCCTTGGAGGGGGCCGTGATTTGGAGCTAGGCAAATATACCTAGGTTGGTACAACCGCAGATTCACTACCTTGTTGAGAGGGCGAGATTAAAGAGTACATACGAAACTATCAAGTAATAAGATAGAAAAGAAGAAGAAACCAAATGGATTCTGTAACGTTTTTCTCCCATCTCCCCTAGGGTTTCATTCATCCCAAAGTTCATTCTCTGTTGAATGTTAATTTTCCCGTTGGATATTTCTGGCACAGCATTAGGTCTGTAGCCAGGGTTAGGCAACACCAGGAGAAGTTCAACCATTCAATATCTGTAAGAGTTGTGGCCCCGGAAGCTGGGAAGAGTGTGAAAAGCATTCAGAGTAGAATGAATCGTTAAGGAGACTAATTATATCCAAACAAGTGGGGGTAGCAACCTGGGTAGGAGTTTCTGACTTCCTTGTGTAGGCTGAAGAATTAGATGGCGTGTAACTGGAATCTAGGGGTCATGGGCTGTAAAACTGGCCCACTCTGAGGGTAATGACACAGCACCCATAAAACAGGGCTCAGTGGTGAAGCTGGGACCACAGAAGAGCTGCCCAATAGCCTTGGGACCGAATCTCTACTGGGTGTGTTCTCTGGGCCCCTGAGAACGTGTTTCCAAAAAATCACTTGAGAAGGGGCTCCTCAGCCATTTGGGAGGACATAAATATTTTCCAGTGGGTAAGTATGTTCTAACATCCAGAAAATTTAGAATTAAGTATAGAAATGTTTAAAAGAATCAACACATAGCGTTAACATGTTTGTATTAAGGAATTTGTATTAGGCTTGTCATTCTAATTTAAAATGCACATGGTTTGAAATGAAACTTTCCTTTAAAATTAGTTTTGGATCATGTAAGAAAACATAGAAATTGAATCATCCTATTTAGAAATTGTTAGATTTATAAAGGTTTTTAAGTATTCAGGAATGTTTTGCTGGTTAGCTCAAATGCCCAAATTACTTTATAAGGACATGGAATATATATTGAATTTATAAAATATCTCTTTTAATGTTTAAAGAGTTTCATTAACTACTTACAAATAAGATCAAATAGTCGGTGAATACAATTCTTTAAAGTGATTATTAGAATTTATTTCTATGTAAGTTAAACATAAAAGCTTAAGGAAGCTGATTTATAACTTTAACATAGGAAACATAAGTGTTAAAAAGCCAAGTAGCCTCTAAATACTCTTTGTTGGACACAAAAGAAACATTTTAAAAACTCACATTGACACTACAAGACCGATTCATGTTCTATGATATTTTCATCTGTACTGCACAGTGGGCTTTGGTGATTATATTTTCCGGTGTTAATATGTTTGTTGATTTTGCTGGGGCGTTTAGTAGGGAGGGAAGCTCAAGGCTCAGGCTCAAGGGCATGCGACTGGCAGTGGAGCCCTCAGAGTGGAACCTGGACCTCTGTCTCTCCTCAGCATTCTCCTCCCTCTGCACTGTGCTGCCTTCAGTTGGGTTATTTTTCTGACTTGGGAATGGGAGTATTATATCCTAGAAAAACTGAGAAAGGTGAGCAGGGTTTGCCTGAGGCCCGTGTAGGGGTGGCAGAGGATTTCAGCAAAATATACTCCCAGAAAAAGTAAAACTCAAAGGCTGTGGTCAGGTCTCCACCCTTTATAGGGACTTTTCCTCCTTGGCCAAACTTGGAGTTTGAGACTACTTTTACTAAGTAGAGTAGCTTTTAAAATGTAAACAAAACAGGCTGGGCACAGTGTGTGTGTGTGTGTGTGTGTGTGTGTGTGTGTGTGTTTTGTTATTTGAGATGGAGCCTCACTCTGTTGTCCAGGCTGGAGTAGTGCAGTGGTGCGATCTCAGCTCACTGCAACCTCCACCTCCCAGGTTCCAGTGGCTCATGCCTATAATTCCAACACTTTGGGAGGCTGAGGCAGGAGGATCAATAGAGCCCGGGTGTTCAAGACCAGCCTGGGCAGTATAGTGAGACCTTGTCTCTAAAAAAAAAAAAAAAAAAATTGTTTTAATTAGCCAGGTGTAGGGGTGCACACCTGCCTGTAGTTCCAGCTACTGGGGATGCTGAAGTGGGAGGATTGCTTGAGCCCAGGAGGTGGTGGTTGCAGTCAGCTGAGATTTCACCACTGTACTCCAGGCTGGGCAACGGAGCGAGACCCTGTCTCAAAAAGGAAACAAAAGCAAAAACAAAAAACGGATTTTAAGCAACCAGTTTCTTCAGTAAATTAGAGTGCCTGCCTAAAAGTGGTGTGTATGTGTGTGTGTGTATGTGTGTGTGTGTATATAAACACACACGTGTTCAGGGTGAGGAAGTAAAGTTCTGTTAATGGAATTAGGAGTGCTATATTCCGCCAATTACAGATCTTTTGGGATTCCAAACTCCTCATCTGAAGTGCAAATATCTATTGGCACAAATAAGATAATGTAACAATTACTTGGAATCAATCACTTAGGTGTTGGATTTGGCTTGGGGTTATTTGGAGGCAAGGCAAGGATATAGGTTTTGTAATTGGGGGGTCTTATGCGTATGTTCAACATGGGCAGAGACCTGGAGGTAGACACTAAGTACAAAAAAAAAGGAAATGTCAAGGAACTAGAGACAAAGTTTTATCCGCTGCTTGGCAGTTCTGAAGTCTGGAGGATGGGAATGACTTCACGCTGTTGGAATTCCTAGATTGTCTGCTCCAGAAGACTGACTCTGCTGGGGGTCTGCCAATGAGAGCTGAGGCCACTGCTAGCTATAACAGGCACAGGTTATGTCTTAATAAATGTTCATTTAACAAAATGTGGTTTTGGAGCAAAGGGCTGGGGGTAGGAAAATGTACAGATCACAAATCTGGAAAGCTTATAAACAATTTCTTTAAAAGCTCTCTCATTATGCTTAAAATTTTTCAGTGAGAGGGAATTTACCTATGGAGATAGCTTGTCCCATTTTCAGGCAACTCTAAGTATTCAAAACTCCCTTACATAGAACCGAATCTGCTTCTTTATAACTGCAACAATTCACTGATGCCCTACCGCTTTGAGCCATTCAGAGTAAGCCCAATTCCTCTTCACAATCAACCTTTTTAATATTTTAAGAGTGTTTCATGACCCCTGCCCTCCACATATTGCCACATCTGGCAGTAACAAATGTTATAAAATGGCTCCTACCATTTGACCCAATAATTCCATTTTGTAAAATATGTCGAATGGGAATAATTCAAAGTGCGGAGGAGTACATTTCTACAAATCTTTTTATACCTTTTCTTCATACAATGGAGAAAAGTTAAACATAATATAAATTCCCTAAAATTGAGAGTGACTAAATGAATAGTGAACAACCACTTGATGCCTTTTTTTTTTTATTATTTTTGAGACAGAGTCTCTCTCTGTTGCCCAGGCTGCAGTGTAGTGGCGTGATCTTGGCTCACTGCAACCTCTGCCCCTTGGGTTCAAGCGATTCTCCTGTCTCAGCCTCCCAAGTAGCTGGGATTACAGGTGCACACTGCCACACCCAGCTAATTTTTGTATTTTTAGTAGAGACTGGGTTTCGCCATGTTGGCCAGGCTCGTCTTGAACTCCTGACCTCAGGTGACCCGCCCACCTCGGCCTCCCAAAGTCCTGGGATTACAGGTGTGAGCCACCGCACCCAGCCTACTTGATGCTTTAACTAAAGACAATGTAGGCAAAAATTATACTTATGCGTGGAAATATATACGGACAATGCTACATGAAGAAAGCAGAACACAAAACTGTTATTTTCAAATGGGTTACAACTACATGAAAGAGTTTCTGGGTTTGTACATCAACAAAGTCCATAAGCGACTTTGGAACCTTTCCAGAAGTCCCCCTCCAAACCATGCTTCCTCCAGACTCTTCTACTACAATAAGCCTACATCTGAGCCAGATGATGGTCCACATCTGTCTTAAATTCTGTCCCGTGGCCGGGCATGGTGGCTCATGCCTGTAATCCCAGCACTTTGGGAGGCAGAGGCAGGCAGATCACCTGAGATCAGGAGTTCGAGACCAGCCTGAGCAACATGCTGAAACCACATTTCTACTAAAAATACAAAAATTAGCCAGGCCTGGTGGCGGGTGCCTGTAATCCCAGCTACTTGGGAGGCTGAGGCAGGAGAATTGCTTGAACCCAGGAGGCAGAGGTTGCAGTGAGTCGAGATTGTACCACTGCACTCCAGCCTGGGCGATGAGCAAAACTCCATCTCAAAAAAAAAAAAACAAACAACAACAACAAAAAAATTCTGTCCTGCATGCCTTCCACTTGCAAATATCCTCCAACAGACAAACAAACAAACAAAAAAAACCTCATGAGGACTGATTCCAGGAAGACAGGAAAGCAGCTGACCCCAAGCCTCTGCCTTGCCATTCCCACCTCTCACTTGTTCCCAAAACCATTCCTGTTCTCTGGAGCTTTCTGCCCTCCTTTCAGTCTTCACTTGGATTTATGATCTCTTTTGGGAACTGGTCAGACACTAGCTGAAAAAGCAGTGACAAAATAGACAAGGTCCCTCATTTCATAAAGTTTATTTTTAAATTATATGTGGTAGAAAGGTGAGTCTATTATGATAGACAGAAAATAAATACATAATCAATAGAGAAAAATGCTATGAAGAAAATACAACAGAATAACATTATTCAGAAAGACAATGGGTGAGAGACCACTTTAGACCAGGTGGCCAGGGAAGAAGACCTTTGAGACTGTAACACTTTAGTTAAGACCTGAAGGATGACAGCCAGTCACTAGAATCGTGAATGAAAAGAAAGCTCCAGACAGAAGGAAAGAAGAGCAAAAAGGTGCCAAATTAAGCATCTTTAGGAATAAGTAAGGCATGTTTAAAGAACTGAAAGAAGGGGCCGAATGCAGTGGCTCATGCCTGTAATTCCAACACTTAGGGAGGCCAAGGTGGGCGGATCACCTGAGGTCAGGAGTTTGAGACCAGCCTGGCCAACATGGTGAAACCCTGTCTTTACTAAAAATACAAAAATTAGCTGGGTGTGGTGGTGCAAGCCTGTAAACCCAACTACTTGGGAAGCTGAGGCACCAGAATCACTTGCACCTGGGAGGTACAGGTTGCAGTGAGTCCAGATTGCAACACTGCACTCCAGCCTGGGCGACAGAGCAAGACTTTTTTTCAACAATAACAACAACAACAACAAAAACCTGAAAAGCTGAAAGAAGTCCACTGTGGCTGCAGGGTCACTAGTGGCTTAGCATAATGTCACCACAGGGCTATGGTAAAAGATGAGGCAGAAAAGAAAAGGAGAGATAGGCAGAAAAGGAATCATGATGCAAATGGAAAGCCATTAGACGGGGTTGATGAGATTTATTTGGATCTTTTTTTTTTGGTTGTGTTTTTTTTGTTTTTTTTTTTTGGAGACGGAGTCTCACTTTGTCGCCAGGCTGGAGTGCAGTGGCACGATCTCGGCTCACTGCAACCTCCGCCTCCCAGGTTCAAGCGATTCTCCTGCCTCAGCCTCCCAAGTAGCTGGGATTACAGGCATGTGCCACCACGCCCAGCTAATTTTTGTATTTTTAGTAGAGACAGGGTTTCACCATGTTGGGGTTTCCCCATGTTGGCCAGGATGGTGTTGCTCTCTTGACCACGTGATCCACCTGCCTCGGTCTCCCAAAGTGCTGGGATTACAGGCATGAGCCACCGTGCCCAGCCTGATTTATTTGGATTTTTAAGATTACTCTGGCTATGGTGCAGAGAATGGCTTATCAGAAGGTAAGAGTGGAACAGGCAGACAAGTGGGGAAACTAATGTGCTAGCACAGGCAAGATGCTGGTGGTATGGACCTTGATGACACTTAGTTCGGAGAAGACAAGTTGTTAATTTTTGAAAAAATATTACCAATCAAATAAAACCAAAACCAATGAAAAATTAAACCATAAATAGAACTGATATATATTTACATATCACACAGATTTTTTACCCTAAAATAACTGGGATATTGATCCCCAGATTCCTTGGAAGGCAGAGCTAACAAGAACACGTGCTCTCAAGTCCGTCCCTAAAATTCCCTTTGTGGTCCTTCATTAATTCCCCCTAACTTGAGGCATGGGGCTGAGGCACAGCCCTAGTCACTGCTACTCTCCCAGGGAGAAATAGTGAGCAGCCTAAAACCCCAACCCTCCATAAGATGGCAGTCATAGCTCTTGGTGCACATAAACCAGGCAATAAGCAGTACAGACACAGGTGTTTCTTCCACCTTCCCCCGTATTAGGATAGCACTAGTTTTCCATAAGAACCATACTGGAAATGTCTTCGGAATTATTTTAACTATTAGTCTATAACAAGTCTAGAAAAAGGTAGGTTTTTTTTTTCTCTGACCCACGGGGACATATCTATCACTTTTAGAACCTCAGTGCTGGCTTCTACAAAAACAAATTTAACTTTTTTAGCCTGATGGTTTGGTGGCAGAAATGGTGATGTGGTGTTTAAAACTCTTCTTTTATGAACTTTGACAGCTTAGATGAGACCCTATAACTTACTGGTTGCGACTGAAGCCTCTGGCGTCAGACAGCCTGGGTTCACATCCTGGTTGCTCATTTACTGTGTAGCTTAGAGAGAGTTTATTAACTTCAATAAGCTGCAATTTCTTCTGTAAAACAGGAGTTTGAGAAGCCCCAAAGAGTCTTAAATGGGTGAAATATGGTAAGAACTGTTTGTGAATGAGAAGGCTTCTAAGTCTGGTCTATTCCCAGCCTCTAATTTCTCCCTTATAACTTTACCCTTTCATATTCCCCCACTAAAAACACACGTATCAACACATACTCTGTTGTGTACACACGTACACACACACACACACACACACACTTTTAGGTAAGAGCCTGCATTCTTTGGAGAAAGTGGTATTTAACTGCTGCAACCACATGTCACTTACTTACTTAAAATAAACCATTGTAATTTAGCACAGATTTTAAAACTCCTGGAAAGAAGGGGTAACTGCATCCCTGATTCTCTATCCAAACTCCCTTACCCCACCAGCTCAAAAACTTTCAGTGGCTCCCCTTTTTTTTTTTTTTTTTTTTTTTTTTTTTTTTTTTTTGAGACGGAGTCTCGCTCTGTCGCCCAGGCTGGAGTGCAGTGGCGCGATCTCGGCTCACTGCAAGCTCCGCCTCCCGGGTTCACGCCATTCTCCTGCCTCAGCCTCCCGAGTAGCTGGGACTACAGGCGCCCGCTACCACGCCCGGCTAATTTTTTGTATTTTTAGTAGAGACGGGGTTTCACCGTGTTAGCCAGGATGGTCTCGATCTCCTGACCTCGTGATCCGCCCGCCTCGGCCTCCCAAAGTGCTGGGATTACAGGCGTGAGCCACCGCGCCCGGCCGGCTCCCCTTTTTCTCCATGAAAAAAAAAAATGATCCACTCCCTTTTTCCAGGAGTTTGTGGACCCCCATAGCCAGATTAATTTATATTCCACTACCTAAGAGTAGTGAGCCTTGGAGTCCAATGGACAACCTTGGACCCTACCAAGTGTTCCCTAAACAATTTGCTGCAGTTTAAGGAATGGAAGGCCTGGTGAGGAAAGGTTCAGACACTCTCAACACCGAGAATAGATGAGCTAGGTTTGAGACAGGTGAATAAGGTTTTTTAAACACTGGCCCCTGTAACCCGCCCCTGGGCAGTATTTACGGAATGGACACCAGGGGGTAGCAAAATCTCACTCTCCTAGCTCGCGGGCCCTCGTAATAGAGAACCTGGAGAGTGTCGGTGACTCGAGGGTCCCCTAGCCGGGTGTTAGAAAGAGCTCCAACTCCACGGCTCTAACTGTGCGGGGAAGATGGTTACCGGGGCTTGTTGCCATAGGTTCTTTTTTGACGCATGGAGCAGAGGCCTCTTCTTGCCTCTAAGAAGGATGAACACTTGCTCTGTCCTTTTCCAGGCTCAGCGGAGCGGAGAAAAAGGTGGAGGTTAGCGTCCAGAGGAGGTGAGAGAAGAGCAAGTCACCTTGGCGGCACCCCCGCCTCCCCTCCCGCTGTTCCAACAACTGCCCAGAGGCTCCGGCCTCCGAGGAACTGCAGGCGAGGCCAGACGTTTTCTCATCATCGCCCTCCAGCTGCAGGGGCACACGCGTTCACGCCCCTCCGGGGACTATTCGGCTTTCCGATCTCCTCTCCTCTCCCTTCCGTCCACCCTTTAGAAGAGCTCACGGAGCTGCGGGGCTTCCCGGTGCCTGCTCAGAGGCCAGGCAGGGCATCTCCCCGCCGTGCCCGTGCCTCCCCCCGGGCTCCTGGGAGACCCCCCATCTGGCCTTCCTTTCTCATTCAGACACTGTCGGGGGACGCTCGGGGTTTGATGAGGGAGTGAGGCTAGAACTTTCGTAACTAGCCCACCCTGCTTTGTCTCCTGCGCCAGATACCCACCCATTCCCATGGCCACGAGCCCTAGCGGCCCTGCGGGACTCTATAGCCACCCCAACAGAAGGAAGGGGCTGGCATCCAGTACCGAATCCTCGAACTGGAGGCCTGGTGCCTTCCCTCTTCTAGCCGAATAGAGAGGTAGGGATGCGGAAGGGAAGGGCCACGGAGGAGAGAACTCAGAAAATGTCCGGCGAAATGCACGCCCCTACATAAGCATCCCGATCCGGGAACCCTGCCCCCTTGGCCAGGATGTCCGCCCCCTATCCCAAGCCTTCGCTGCTCCCTAACTCCCGCACACTCCCGCCTTCCCCAGGCAACACAGAGGAGCCCATTGTCAGCCCAGAGATTCCAGGCCCGAGGAGATGGAGGGAAAGGAGGGCGGGCAAGCCCCCGGGGGGTTGGGGAATCCCCTGATTTCCCGGCCCTCCGCTCTCTGCTAGGCAGGCAGGGGCCTGAAGGTCTCATTTGAGCCCTGGGTCCTGCCAAAGTCTAGAAACCGTTGAGAGAAGAGGATCCCGGGCGAGTTAGAGCGGGGAGGCTTTCCAGCCGCAGGAAGACCCCAGTTCTGGGAAGGGGCGGCCCAAGGGAATTCACGCACGCCCCAGCCTTTGGAGCATCCCTTGCCGAGGCTAAACTGATCCCGCGGGGAGCGAGGCCGTGGCGGGAAAAGAGGGGCATCCTCGGCTGGGCGGGCCTCCGAGGGTCAGGGTCGAGGTTACCCGCTGGAGGGCGGGGCGGAGAAGAAAGAAGGTTGCCGGTGAACGGGACGGATAGGCTGGGGACGCCCGGGGAACGGCAGAGATCTCGGCGCGGGAGACAGAGTCCCGGCAAGGGGTCCCGCGCGGAGGCGGGGGCGGGCGCTGAAGGGCGGGGCGGGGAGGGGCGGCCGTCTCGGCCCTCCCTGGCGGGGCCCCGCGGCCTGGAAGCCGGAGCGGGCCGAGCCGCCACCGCGGCCGGAGCTGTCCCTTAGCCAGACCCGGCGAGACACGAGCGGCGGGAGGGAGGCGGTGGCGCGCCCGGCCCCGCCCGCCCGACCAAGCGTCGGACGCGGCCCGGCGCCGAGCCATGGTGAGTCCAGCGTCGCAGCCCCCTGGGTCCCCTCGGCCTTCGCGCAGCCCGCTCCGGGCCCCCAAGTCCTCAGCCTGGTGCCTCCCGAGCCTGCCTCGGACTGTTCGGCCCCTCTGGGACTCTCCTCCCTCCCATCCCCCCTTCTTCGATTTGTCTGTCTGCCCGACTGTTTAGCTCTGTCCCCACCGGGTATTGCCCTCACCCTTTCTTCCTCCTCTCCTCCGCCTCCTCCCCCATCCTCCCTTGGGTCTCTCCCCTAATCCACACACCTCCCCGCTCCCCGCCCTCCTCTGTCCTGACCTGTGCCTTCCTTTCCTGGAGCTTCCCTCCCCCTCCTGGTCCGAGCTCCTTACCCGCGGGAGACCCCTGCGGGTTGGTCCTGCAGCGACCCTGGAAGAGGCCCGGCCCCTCGGGTCATGAGAACTGACCTGCATGGAACCACCATTTTCCATCCCTGTCCCCAACCCGGTGAGGCAGGCCCACCCATCCGGCCCTAGGGGACTGGCCACAGCTGTGGCTGGGCCGGGTCCCGGGGCATGGCCAAAGAGGGAAATTCCCGCAGAGAAAAAGAGCTGCCTCAGGATAGTTGGGGGTGCTTGGGGGGGAGCTCACAGTACCAGGGGGCGTGACACTGCCAGAGCCGACCAGAGTTTGCGGAGGAGGAAAGTGCCCCAGAGCTCTTGCTGCAGGGAACTGAAGGGCTGCCTCAGGGCACTCCTGCTACAGAGGGGAGGGAACACGAGCCGGAGCTCCCTGCAGGGACTAGGGGACCCTGGCAGCAGCAACTTGGGGCGCTGGACGCTGGAGGGTACGCTAAGGAGAAGCCCACACCAACAGGAGTGAACACTGCCCTGGGAACTTTCACTGCAGAGTACTCTGAAGCACCGCTGCGAGAGTGGGCACTGCCAGAGAGAGCGCCCACTGCAAAGAGGGCGGGGGCATGGCCAAGGGGCCGCTCGCTGCAGAGTGGAGGAGGGGGAGAGGCCTTGCCAGGGGGAGCTCACCGCAGGGAGTGGAGGAGGGGCAGGGGCACTACTGGGGCCGCCCCTCTACGGAGGGAAGGGCACCCTCTGGCAGGGAGGCTGGAGGAAAAAGAAAGAGGAACTGGGCCAGGGAGAGCTGACTCAGTCTCTCTGGTCTCCTCTCTGGTCCCCGCCGGCAGGAGGCTGGGTCTCCGTGCTCCCGCCCGCCGCCTCCCTCCCCAGACCCCTCCTCCCCTCCTGCCGCGGCCGTTTCCTGTGGCTGAGACTCTCGCTCAGCCATGAGCTCACCGCCCCTAATGGGTTGCAGCTGCCTCGCTGCTCAAGCCCTAGCTCCGCACTCCCTGCCTTGGAGCAGACGGCCCCACTCTGCCTCACCCCCGCCCATCTCCACCTTCCCCCCACCCACGCGCACTGCGTCCGCCTGGTCCCGGGAACACTGGGGGTCTGTCTGCTCGCCCACACACCTTGGGGCCGGGTCTGCGCGCTGACGCACTGAATGTCCCGTCTCTGGAGTGGTTGCCCTAACTTCCCAGACGGTCAAGACAAACGGGCAACTCTGGATGGAGCTCAGAGAAAAATAAGCTATTTTGTTTTATGGCAAAGGCAAGGTATGGGGGTAGGGAAGGTAGAGACCAAGGTAAAGGCTGCATTGAGTATCCCCTTCCCCATTTACAGCAAAAAAGAAAAAAAAATTCCAGTAAAAGGGACTTCAAAGACTGTCTTGAAAAAGAAGTTTGCAAAGGAATAGCCCAAGGGGTGGTTGTTTAGGTTAGGAGTTGGAGAAAGACGTCTCATTGACTCACTTAGGGAGGGGAGTCTGGATGAAGCAGGGCTGAGTCTTTTTGAGACTCCTAGTGGAGGTTGGCAGAGAGAGGTCCCACTGGAATCAGAAAAGATCAGCTCGAATGCGCACCATCAAGGCCTCCTCCTCCCTTCCCACAAGTTCCTCTTGTGACTTTTTTCTCTTTCAACTGCCCCCACCCGATTCTTTGTAATCCAATCCCACATGCTCTAAGATTGGGTGATTGCTTCAGAGCCACTGTGGGAGAAGGAAGAGGGATGCTAGAAAGACCCAAGACAGTCACAGACAGTCTTTCCATCCTCCTCTTTCCACCAAATGACCATCTCTAGCATATAAATGAGCATCTCTCTTTCACCAAATGATCATCTCTGGGACATAATTGTGGGTGATGGCACCTCCACCTAAGATGGGGAGCCCTGGATGGTGGGTCTTATGGGAAGGGATTTGCAGGATGGCTGTGTGGAAATCTCCCTCATCCCCTCGAGTTCTCAGCCATAAGCTCAGTCCCCTGATAGCCCAGAAGCCTGTCTTTTCTCTCCTGGGAAAGATCTATGCAATCACCCCAACTCACGAGCACCCGGAACAGCCCTGATCAGGGGCATTCACAACAAATTCTCCCTGGATCTCCAAAGCCAAGGTCTCAGAGCGGGAGTGTTGAGCGCCCTGCCAGGTTTGTGCACTCTGGCCCAGCCCCACTCCTGTTCTGGGCTCATCAGCCAGCATTTCCTGAGTGCTCACTTTTTGCCCACATTGTACAATCGGGGCTTTGGAGAACACAGCCAACCCCAGACCAGTGCAGCTCCCAAGGAGCCATGATTGGGTGATCTCTAGGGATCTGTAGCCTGGTCCTATCTCTACAGGAGCCTGAGCCAGTGGAGGACTGTGTGCAGAGCACTCTCGCCGCCCTGTATCCACCCTTTGAGGCAACAGCCCCCACCCTGTTGGGCCAGGTGTTCCAGGTGGTGGAGAGGACTTATCGGGAGGACGCACTGAGGTACACGCTGGACTTCCTGGTACCAGCCAAGCACCTGCTTGCCAAGGTCCAGCAGGAAGCCTGTGTGAGTGGCCGTGCATCACTATTCTGCCTTCCCCAAGATCCACTGCCACACTCTACAGACTAGCCAGGCTGACTAATGCCCCCACTAACCTAGAGATACAGCCTCCCTTGAAACCGATCTCTCCAGAATCACTTAAGCTTCATTCTCTGACCTCTCACAAACTTTGACCTTCACAGGCACTGACCATTCAGATGCTAACACACACACACACACACACATTCATCTTCCCCAAATTCATCTTGACCCCAATACTGACCCCCAAAGACCCTAACTCTCCAGACCCAATTCCAGACATCTTCTCCCCCTCATATGAATTTCTCAAGACACTAACTCCCCCGTACATTAGTCAACAGAGATCATTCATTTCTACAGATATAAAGACTCCTAAGAGTCTTTAGCTTCTCCAAGACAATGGCATCTGCTGACCATGTCTTGGTAACGATTCAGTTCTTACCCTCCCACACATGGAACTAGCTTCCTGAAGAATCTTCCTACTACTGGGAGACCGATCAGTCCCAATCCCTTCCTCTCTGCCACCTGAATACCCCAAATCTCCCCTCCTGCTCTCCTGAGAGTATAACCTTCCAGGCATAAGGCTGGTCCTGCCTAGGGTGGGCCCATTCTAACTGCCCTCTCCTGCTGGTTTCTTCAGCAGAGGCCTGAGTGCAGCCTCCCACCTCTCTCCCCAGGCCCAATACAGTGGATTCCTCTTCTTCCATGAGGGGTGGCCGCTCTGCCTGCATGAACAGGTGGTGGTGCAGCTAGCAGCCCTACCCTGGCAACTGCTGCGCCCAGGAGACTTCTATCTGCAGGTGGTGCCCTCAGCTGCCCAAGCACCCCGACTAGCACTCAAGTGTCTGGCCCCTGGGGGTGGGCGGGTGCAGGAGGTTCCTGTGCCCAATGAGGCTTGTGCCTACCTATTCACACCTGAGTGGCTACAAGGCATCAACAAGGACCGGCCAACAGGTCGCCTCAGTACCTGCCTACTGTCTGCGCCCTCTGGGATTCAGCGGCTGCCCTGGGCTGAGCTCATCTGTCCACGATTTGTGCACAAAGAGGGCCTCATGGTTGGACATCAGCCAAGTACACTGCCCCCAGAACTGCCCTCTGGACCTCCAGGGCTTCCCAGCCCTCCACTTCCTGAGGAGGCGCTGGGTACCCGGAGTCCTGGGGATGGGCACAATGCCCCTGTGGAAGGACCTGAGGGCGAGTATGTGGAGCTGTTAGAGGTGACGCTGCCCGTGAGGGGGAGCCCAACAGATGCTGAAGGCTCCCCAGGCCTCTCCAGAGTCCGGACGGTACCCACCCGCAAGGGCGCTGGAGGGAAGGGCCGCCACCGGAGACACCGGGCGTGGATGCACCAGAAGGGCCTGGGGCCTCGGGGCCAGGATGGAGCACGCCCACCCGGCGAGGGGAGCAGCACCGGAGCCTCCCCTGAGTCTCCCCCAGGAGCTGAGGCTGTCCCAGAGGCAGCAGTCTTGGAGGTGTCTGAGCCCCCAGCAGAGGCTGTGGGAGAAGCCTCCGGATCTTGCCCCCTGAGGCCAGGGGAGCTTAGAGGAGGAGGAGGAGGAGGCCAGGGGGCTGAAGGACCACCTGGTACCCCTCGGAGAACAGGCAAAGGAAACAGAAGAAAGAAGCGAGCTGCAGGTCGAGGGGCTCTTAGCCGAGGAGGGGACAGTGCCCCACTGAGCCCTGGGGACAAGGAAGATGCCAGCCACCAAGAAGCCCTTGGCAATCTGCCCTCACCAAGTGAGCACAAGCTTCCAGAATGCCACCTGGTTAAGGAGGAATATGAAGGCTCAGGGAAGCCAGAATCTGAGCCAAAAGAGCTCAAAACAGCAGGCGAGAAAGAGCCTCAGCTCTCTGAAGCCTGTGGGCCTACAGAAGAGGGGGCCGGAGAGAGAGAGCTGGAGGGGCCAGGCCTGCTGTGTATGGCAGGTGAGATGACACGGAGTGAGGCTCATGGGGCAAGGGCCAAAGCAGGTCGGGCCTATGGGAGGGGGCAGGAGGAGGAGCAGGGTTAGGCTGGGAGCAGAACAACCAGAACCATCTTAACTTCAGTCCCATGTTTCTGTCTGTGTCTGTGCAGGACACACAGGCCCAGAAGGCCCCCTGTCTGACACTCCAACACCTCCGCTGGAGACTGTGCAGGAAGGAAAAGGGGACAACATTCCAGAAGAGGCCCTTGCAGTCTCCGTCTCTGATCACCCTGATGTAGCTTGGGACTTGATGGCATCTGGATTCCTCATCCTGACGGGTCAGTGGGCATCAGTGGGTGAAGGGAAACAGGACTGGGAAAGAGAAGCAATTGGGTGGGCTTGGGGACTGGGGGAGGCAGGGTGGAAAGGAGGTAGGCATGGACTGCTCCCAGCCAGGACAGCCTGGCCATTTTGTGTCTTCAGGAGGGGTGGACCAGAGTGGGCGAGCTCTGCTGACCATTACCCCACCGTGCCCTCCTGAGGAGCCCCCACCCTCCCGAGACACGCTGAACACAACTCTTCATTACCTCCACTCACTGCTCAGGTAACCGAGGCCCAGTCCTGGCACCCTGGACACTAACCTCCTGATTCATGAGGACCCTCACCTCCTTCTTCTCAGGACACTGACCTTCTGACCTCTAAGGACACCTACTTCTTCAACCTTCAGACTTCAAGCCATTGACCTTTGGCCTTACTTACCCTGACCTCCAGCTTCATATCTTCACTGATCTTCAAAAGCAACACTGTTGACTTTCACTCTCTTCCAACCCTACCAAGATCATCAGGACATTGGTTCACTGATTCAACAAACATTTATTGAGCACTGAGTACCTATTAGGCACCATACTACAGGCTGATATTGAATGCACGCCATTTCAGAACAGAATTCTTAATTTTCCAGACCTTAATCCCTTGACCTAGTAGCCATATGAATATAGACCCCTGACTGCTAGGTGACTTCCTCTTGTACACACACCCCAGAATTTGGCCCTTTGCCCATTTCTTCCCAAATGTACCGGCAACTAATTTCTCCTCAGGACTATTAACTAAAAACAGACCCCGTATGTCTGCCTTGCCTTATCTGCTATCCCCCAAAACACACACACAGCAGCCTCCTTGGCTCTTCCTGCTCCCGCAGGCCTGATCTACAGACACTGGGGCTGTCCGTCCTGCTGGACCTTCGTCAGGCACCTCCACTGCCTCCAGCACTCATTCCTGCCTTGAGCCAACTTCAGGTAACCACCCCTCAAACAGGCAGTTCCCCTGGATCCTAACTCTTCACCAGTGGCCAGTCCAGGACACCCGATTGCCCAGTTTAGGGTTATTCTTTTCTGCCCTTAGGACTCAGGAGATCCTCCCCTTGTTCAGCGGCTGCTGATTCTCATTCATGATGACCTTCCAACTGAACTCTGTGGATTTCAGGTTTGAGCCCTTCATTCCCATCTAGTTTCCCATCAGTAGTGGGGAGAGGAGAAGAGGCTGGCTGGAGCCCCAGGCTGGTTTCTGAGTCCTTGGGTGCCCAGGAAGAAACCCCCTGCCTTACCCTCTACAGGGTGCTGAGGTGCTGTCAGAGAATGATCTGAAAAGAGTGGCCAAGCCAGAGGAGCTGCAGTGGGAGTTAGGAGGTCACAGGGACCCCTCTCCCAGTCACTGGGTAGAGATACACCAGGTAAGCTTCCCCTCTACCACCTAGCATGCTGGGAGCCAGGAATAACCCAGCTGAAGACATTCTAGGAGAGAGGCCATGTCCAGGACATACCATGAGGTTGCAAAAAAGTGGTTTCCATTCCATTCAATTCAACAAGTATTTATGGCTCCCAAATCATGAGGAAAACATGTGCACTGTGCCATGTTCTACTGGGGAGATAGGAGGAGTATGATAAATTATTATAATTATTATTTTTAGACAGTCTCACTCTGTCACCCAGGCTGGAGTGCAATGCTTCGATCACAGCTTACTGCAGCCTCGACCCTCTGGACTCAGGCGATCCTCCCATGTCAACCTCTTGAGTAGCTGTGGCTACAGGCATGTGCCACCACACCCACCTAGTTTTTGTATTTTTTTTTTTTTTTTTTTTGTAGAGACGGGGTTTTGCCATGTTGCCCAGGCTGGTCTCAAACTCCTGGACTCCAGTGATCCACCCGTCTCAGCCTCCCGAAGTGCTAAGATTACAGGCATGAGTGACTATGCCCAGCCAAATAAATTCTTAATATGACATTAAGTAGTGTATGATTTTTGGTGGGAGATAAATCATGAAACAAGTAGAGAAGAGTGCAAGATAGTGTCATTGGGTTTCTGGAAAGCACTGAGAGTCAAAAGGCTGGTTCTTGTTCCAAATTACTTTACCTCACTTGCAGAAATAGTGCCCTTTCTGTATCCGCTCCTTGCACCAACATCCAGGCCTCAGGATCCTCATCAGCGCAGTATAACAATCACAATATAATTGCTAAAGGTCCTTCCAGCACTTATCTCATGTAATTCTATGAATATAAGTGTTGTGAGTATTCAAGAAGAGAGAAATAAACATGATCTGAGCTGAGTATGAAAGAGGGGTCTGTAGATGGTCTCTAAGCTTCGCCTTTAGTGTCAAAGGGGAAATTGACATGAATAGGCAGAGAGAGGGGGTGTGACAGGGGGAAGCCCCACTGAAGACAGACAGGAAGGTCACAGTTACCAAGCTGTACAATGTGCCAGGCCCACGTTAGTTGCTAAACTGGCATCATCTCCTTAAAAATCACAGAAGCCTTTCTTATCCTGACTTTACAGTTGAGGAACTGAAGTTCAGGAAGGTTTCTGAACCTGCCCAACCTCATACAATTAGTTAGCAACAAAGTCAGGAACTGAATTCAGCATTGCCTCCATAAAAGTCTCTGGGGCTACCGCACCCCAACCCTAGGGCTTAAGTTCCTTCTTAAACTCTGATCCTCAACTCCATCCCTGCATGTGGGTTTCAGGAAGTGGTAAGGCTATGTCGCCTGTGCCAAGGTGTGCTGGGCTCGGTACGGCAGGCCATTGAGGAGCTGGAGGGAGCAGCAGAGCCAGAGGAAGAGGTATGAAATGAGATGGGACAGTGGGGGGATGGGATTGGGATGGGGCTGGGGTGGAGACTCTCTGGTGGAACCCCAACTGGCAACTCCTCCCTATCCCCAGGAGGCAGTGGGAATGCCCAAGCCACTGCAGAAGGTGCTGGCAGATCCCCGGCTGACGGCACTGCAGAGGGATGGGGGGGCCATCCTGATGAGGCTGCGCTCCACTCCCAGCAGCAAGTACGAAGTATGGGTGTGCGGAGGCAGGTGGAAGTGGGAGGTGGAGACACAGCTGAAGGCTGCCAACAAACCTTAGCTGCCAGACCATTCTTACTGTGCATGTATCTGGGCAAGATACTATGCTTTTACACTTACTGTCTCATAACCCTCACAACATCCTTATGTGCCATTTACTATTACAAATGAGGATTTGGAGGATCAGAAATGTTAACTGTCTTGGCCAACATCGGTCAGTAAAGAGTCAGGATTCAAACCAAAGCAGTCAGGGTTCAGCCCATGCTTTTGATCCATGCTGCTATGCAACCTCTCATGTTTGCATCCCTCAGAGGCACGGAAGGACAGAATTGAGGGGCTCAACAAGGGAAATGATTCATTCTTCTCTGCTCCTTCCCAAGGCTGGAGGGCCAAGGCCCAGCTACACTGTATCAGGAAGTGGACGAGGCCATTCACCAGCTTGTGCGCCTCTCCAACCTGCACGTGCAGCAGCAAGAGCAGCGGCAGTGCCTGCGGCGACTCCAGCAGGTGAGCCAGGATCCCCACGTCCCTCTTACTCAGCCTGGGAGTGTGGCCTCCAGCACCTTTCCCGTTGGTACTTATAGTTGATGGTGTTCTTCTAGCCTGGCTTGGTTGAACGCCCCTCCCTCCTCCTCACATTTGTTGGTCAGTGTGAGATTGAACAAGAGGGTGGGAGCATCATAGCACCAGTAAAGAAAAGCCAGATCTTCCCCTCCCCACTGTTTACACTTGATCGAAAATGCTGAGAGATTGTGAGAGATGCTCAGCTGCCCTAGGGGATTCTGAAGAGCTGATCAACTCTGGAGTGCCTACCACCTTAGCTGAAAAATAATAAAAGTCTATTGATACCAGCTCATTAGTTATACTGCCACACACACACCCTTAACTCCTTATGCGATGTCATCCCTCAGACCTGAGGCCGGAAAGGTCCCACCTCCCTCTCCCTTGGAAGGAGAGAGCATTGAAAGCACCTAAGAGGAACTACAGGCTTCTTTGTGGGGAAGATTCAGGAATAAGGCTGGCTTCTCTGAACCTTGATTCTTCTCTCCTGGGGTTAAGAGCCCCATAGGGATTTGCTCTCCACCCTACCATGTGGGGTAGAGGGGGCTTTGAAATCTGATTGTTCCTCCTTAGCCCCGAGCATGGTGAATGGACACTTCATGGACCTGTACGTGGGCATCAGGGGAAAGGTCACCTCAGGGCCGGTGCAAAAGCGGGGGCCAAGACTTTCTGTTTCCTAGGATTTCTTCATATTGGCTTCCTCTAAGCCAATATCCTAGAGATGGGTTGCATCTCCTCCTGTTTGCTTACCTGCTTGTTAGCTGTTTCCCCAACTGTTTAAAAACAAGATTTGGAGTCTAACGTGCTCAGCTTGAGTTCTAGTTCTGCCATGTGT
The DNA here is from genome assembly GCF_000001405.40 of Homo sapiens. Lineage (NCBI taxonomy): Eukaryota > Metazoa > Chordata > Mammalia > Primates > Hominidae > Homo > Homo sapiens. The sequence continues at coordinate 21,079,900 of NC_000014.9, forward strand.
AAGATGTTGGACAAGTCATGAAGCTCCTCTGAGTTCCCAAGTCCTCATCTATAGAATGCGGATGGTAACAATTAACTCACAACGTGGTCAGAAAGATCAAGTGAATTCAGCAAAGGACTATAAAAGTGGTTATTGTTGGCACTGGCTATTAGGAACAGTCTCAGACTTCTCATCCTCAGGCTGTCCCACCCCCAGCTTCCAGCCTTTCTTCAGAGGAAAATATTACCATCCCGTTCTGGTCAAACATCTCAGAACCAGCATGAGAGTTCATATAGCCTCATATTAGGAAATTAAAGCCGGACACACACACACACACACACACACACACACACACACACACACACACACACCCCTTCTGTACTGTTTCTCCAGGCTTGGTCCCTGGGACCGTTTCTCACCAGTTGCCAAGGCTTGGTGAAGGCCGTCAGTCATCCCTATGACCCTCATCCTGCTTTTGGTTCACCCCAGTTTGATGTACTTCACCCTCGGACATAGCCCTGGAACTTTGACCCACTCCCTCAGTGCTTCCCATCAGCCCAGCTTCCCTCTCATCTGCCTTACCAAAGATTTCTTACTCGGTTTCTCATCTGACCCTTGTGGAAACTATTACCATTCACTGTTGTCATTCCCACATTGCAGATGAGATGCAATAGTTCACTCAAAGTTCTATAGATTGGGGTGGTGGGGCTGATGCTGGATCTCAGCCCTTCCTTGCCTTTCCACTCCATGACCCCCTGCCCTCCCACCCCATCTGCCTCAGGTGTTGCAGTGGCTCTCGGGCCCAGGGGAGGAGCAGCTGGCAAGCTTTGCTATGCCTGGGGACACCTTGTCTGCCCTGCAGGAGACAGAGCTGCGATTCCGTGCTTTCAGCGCTGAGGTCCAGGTGAGAAGGGGCTGGAGGGCAGGTGAGAGGAGGCAGGGGGAGACTACCTAGGAGTGAGGACCAGGTCTGAGCGCAGCCTCCCTTCTCCAGGAGCGCCTGGCCCAGGCACGGGAGGCCCTGGCTCTGGAGGAGAATGCCACCTCCCAGAAGGTGCTGGATATCTTTGAACAGCGGCTGGAGCAGGTTGAGAGTGGCCTCCATCGGGCCCTGCGGCTACAGCGCTTCTTCCAGCAGGTGCATGCAGAGCCTTTTCCTTCTGTGCCCCCCCATTTCCATTTATTCACTTCCTTTCTGCCTGGAGAGGCTAATCAAGTTGTTAAAAGTGGAGGCTGAGGGGCCCATCTCCTAGGTTTTTGCTCTTAGCTCTGCCACCTCCTTGCTGAATGGCATGGGGCAAGATACTAAACCTGACTGTGCCTCCATAGATCTACCTCACAGGGCTGCTGTGGGGATTACACGAGGCAATACATAAAAGCCCTTAGCACAGAGCCTGCCACTCATAAATGTCGTATGAGTACCGGTTATTCTTTTATATAGGCTCTTCCATCTCCATACCAACTCCGAGTGACATGGTTAGGCAGTGATGGTGGAACAGTGAGAAAACAGGAGAGTGACGGGCATTGGGAGGCCACAGGCAAGAGGACAAGGGCTGTCACTGGGCATCCTTCGTGAGCAACACAGGCCCTTACCCTTTCTCTCCCATCCCCAACCCCTTTGACTTCGTAGGCACATGAATGGGTGGATGAGGGCTTTGCTCGGCTGGCAGGAGCTGGGCCGGGTCGGGAGGCTGTGCTGGCTGCACTGGCCCTGCGGCGGGCCCCAGAGCCCAGTGCCGGCACCTTCCAGGAGATGCGGGCCCTGGCCCTGGACCTGGGCAGCCCAGCAGCCCTGCGAGAATGGGGCCGCTGCCAGGCCCGCTGCCAAGAGCTAGAGAGGAGGATCCAGCAACACGTGGGAGAGGAGGCGAGCCCACGGGGCTACCGACGACGGCGGGCAGACGGTGCCAGCAGTGGAGGGGCCCAGTGGGGGCCCCGCAGCCCCTCGCCCAGCCTCAGCTCCTTGCTGCTCCCCAGCAGCCCTGGGCCACGGCCAGCCCCATCCCATTGCTCCCTGGCCCCATGTGGAGAGGACTATGAGGAAGAGGGCCCTGAGCTGGCTCCAGAAGCAGAGGGCAGGCCCCCAAGAGCTGTGCTGATCCGAGGCCTGGAGGTCACCAGCACTGAGGTGGTAGACAGGACGTGCTCACCACGGGAACACGTGCTGCTGGGCCGGGCTAGGGGGCCAGACGGACCCTGGGGAGTAGGCACCCCCCGGATGGAGCGCAAGCGAAGCATCAGGTGAGATCCCAGCCCAACTGGTGCTAAGAGGCGGAGCCAACTGCCCAGTAGGAAAAGAAGATGACATTGTTGGGGGTACTGGCTCCCTCCCACACCTCCTCTGCCACTCCTATTGTGCCTGCAGTGCCCAGCAGCGGCTGGTGTCTGAGCTGATTGCCTGTGAACAAGATTACGTGGCCACCTTGAGTGAGCCAGTGCCACCCCCTGGGCCTGAGCTGACGCCTGAACTTCGGGGCACCTGGGCTGCTGCCCTGAGTGCCCGGGAAAGGCTTCGCAGCTTCCACCGGACACACTTTCTGCGGGAGCTTCAGGGCTGCGCCACCCACCCCCTACGCATTGGGGCCTGCTTCCTTCGCCACGTGAGTGATCCCCTCAACTTCTTCCAAGTGCTCTCCCTTCTCTGTTCCAGCCTCATCCATCTGTCCCTCTTTCTCAGTACCCACGGCCCTCTCCTCCCATGTGTGGTCCATGACCTTGGGGCCCAGCCCTGTTCTGTGGGCACTTCTGCCTCTACTCAGCCTCTGCGCCCTGCTCTCAAGAGCTGCCTGGACTATGCTCTCTCCACAGGGAGCCCTTCCCTCCCTGGTAGGCTGAGTGCTCCCTGGTGACCCATCCCTCATTTGGGCTACAGAGAGGATAGAGAGGGGGAAGAGAGAGGCTTGTCTGCAGCGGCCTCACCGGGGACTCCTTATCTGTTCTTTACTGGCACAGGGGGACCAGTTCAGCCTTTATGCACAGTACGTGAAGCACCGACACAAACTGGAGAATGGTCTGGCTGCGCTCAGTCCCTTAAGCAAGGTAACTTTTTCTCCAACCTTCAGGAGAAAAGTAGAGAGGCCAGAAAGACCTAAAAACCCACCCAACAAATCCCTCAGGGCAAAAAACTGGATATGCCCAGGAACATCACCTACCAATCATCTCCTAGAATTGCCGAGGGTGGGACAAGCACCGGACTGGTGAGGCCAGGTTCTTATCCAGTCCACCTGAGGGACTGGGCAGGACTCCTGTTTCCTCTGGGCCTCTATTTCCACAGCTGGTAAATGGGGGCAATAGTCACTATAGCCAGCTCACAGGGAGGATCTAAGCATCAGAAGAGCTCACATCAAAAGACGTACAAGTGACTAAAAGTTCAAAGGCAGTGGCCGGGCGCGGTGACTCACACCTGTAATCCCAGCACTTTGGGAGGCCGAGGCGGGTGGATCACGAGGTCAGGAGATTGAGACTATCTGGCCAATATAGTGAAACCCCATCTCTACTAGAAATACAAAAAAAAAAAAAAAATTAGCCAGGCGTGGTGGCGGGCACCTGTAGTCCCAGCTACTCGGGAGGCTGAGGCAGAAGAATGGCGTGAACCTGGGAGGCGGAGCTTGCAGTGAGCCGAGATTGTGCCACTGCACTCCAGCCTGGGCGACAGAGCAAGACTCCATCTCAGGGGAAAAGAAGAAAAGAAAAGAAAAGTTCAAAGCCAGAAAGTAAAGGGGATTACTATTTTGATTCTTCTTCCATTTCCCTTCAAGATATAGACAGTGATTGCTGGCCTGCAGGCCCCCACCTGCTTTCTTTCCAGGGAGAATGGTTTTGCCTTACTTTAGGGAGCATCTGGGCTTCATCTATACCCAAAAGCCTAGGGTATCACCCACCTACCCCCCAACCCCTGAGCTTGGCCCCCAGAGGCTCCACCCCTCCCCTCATCCCTGTCTGTGTCCTCAACCTAGGGCTCCATGGAGGCTGGCCCTTACCTGCCCCGAGCCCTGCAGCAGCCTCTGGAACAGCTGACTCGGTATGGGCGGCTCCTGGAGGAGCTCCTGAGGGAAGCTGGGCCTGAGCTCAGTTCTGAGTGCCGGGCCCTTGGGGCTGCTGTACAGCTGCTCCGGGAACAAGAGGCCCGTGGCAGAGACCTGCTGGCCGTGGAGGCGGTGCGTGGCTGTGAGGTGAGGCCCTAGCTCCAGTCACTGCTGCTCAAACTGCCCAGCCCTGGCCTCAGAAGCCGTGTAGGTTGGTGACAGGAGAACCAGGCTCCAGGTCAGAGGGCTCCAGGCTCTAATTTCTAACCAGCTGGGTGGCCTTGATTGAGTCACTGAACTTCACTGGACTTCACTTTCCTCATTTGTAAATAAAGAAGCTATGTCCTCCCAACATCCCATGTTCGTACATCTGCCTTGTACTCTCCTGTTCCTTTCCTAATTGTTATCTTTCCCCATCTACCCCATACTTCCTCCTGCACCTCAACACCCAACACATACCTTGTCTCGTCTACCTAGTCTTTTTCCAGCCCTGAGGTTCCAGAACATGTTGGAATCCTGTATCCTCCTCTGGAATAGACCTATTTCCCTTTCAGTTCTTTGCTGATTCTCTTCCTGGATCCCCAGCATGCAAAGGCTTCCCCACAGGTGGCTATAAACCCTACTATGCAGAGCACCTTGCCGTCTTCAGAGGCAGGGCTGTGCTGCTCAGCTGGGTGCACTGTGCATGGTGACCAGTTGATGGACCCTAGGCTGAGGGCTTCCCTGACTTCCTGACTCTACCTGAGAACCAGTGCATTAGGCCACTTGCCCTATAAATCTATTTTTGCTCCCTGTAAAATACAAACAAAGGGCCCCTGGGCCAACCACTTTTCCTTTTCCTTTCTCCAGATAGATCTGAAGGAGCAGGGACAGCTCTTGCATCGAGACCCCTTCACTGTCATCTGTGGCCGAAAGAAGTGCCTTCGCCATGTCTTTCTCTTCGAGCATCTCCTCCTGTTCAGCAAGCTCAAGGGCCCTGAAGGGGGGTCAGAGATGTTTGTTTACAAGCAGGCCTTTAAGGTACGATTCCTGGAGTGAGTGGTGGAGGTGACAGGAAGTCATTCTCTTCTTGAGAACTCAGGATGTTCTGGAAATTCAGCCCCAACAGAGGTTCAGAATCTGCATCATCTAGAATAGGCTTTGGCTTGTAATCGACTATCGAGTTAGGGTGTCAGGGGATGTTAGAAGTCCCTGTCTTTGGTCTACCTCATGAGGTTTTCCTTATCATTCATGCAGAACACTTAGGAGGCATTCCAAACCAGACTAGAAGAGGGACTTTCCCACTAAGGACACACATGCCTTTGGAATTAGGGGTGGTTCCTAGGGCATGAGGAGAAAGCACACTATACTTTGACTAAAGAATCCAAGAAGAGGGAGGCCTTGCTTTAGGGAAACAGCCTTGATATCCAGATAAGCATTTATAGCAACCTATGGTCCTGGATCAGGCAGTGTGGAATGGATTCTAAGGGTTTCTAGACTTTGTACCCCCTGCACAGAGGGTAAGCATAGAGTATAGCATAGAGGAAAAGGCCTGGATCCAATTCCGGCTCTAATAAGCTGTGAGAAGCCTTTGTGGAAGTTGCTTCATGTTTCTGGCCTCATTTCCCCTTCTGTAAATTATGTTTGTTACGAAGACTAAACGTAGAGCACTTGGCACGTGATAGGTGTTGAGCAAACGTTTACTGAACATCTATCAGATGCCAGGCGAAGCCCAGTGCTTGCCATGTGGCGCCACCCAGCCAGGACTCACTCTGTCTTCACCCGCTGCCCTCTGCTCTTCCTCAGACTGCTGATATGGGGCTGACAGAAAACATCGGGGACAGCGGACTCTGCTTTGAGTTGTGGTTTCGGCGGCGGCGTGCACGAGAGGCATACACTCTGCAGGCAACCTCACCAGAGATCAAACTCAAGTGGACAAGTTCTATTGCCCAGCTGCTGTGGAGACAGGCAGCCCACAACAAGGGTACTGGGCAGAGCTGAGGAAGGGGGTGCTTGGAGTCAGGGTTATAGCAGGAAGTTTTCTGGAGAGTGTGCGAACTGCTTGGGAAAACAGTTTATAGGATGAAGAAAGAATGGCTTATAATAAGATTCAAGATTTGGCTTGAGAGATTACTGAAGTAGAAATGAGCCTAAGATATACCAAAAAGAAAGAGAAAGCTGGCAAATTTCCGGGAAGCAAGAGCAAGTAGGGGCCAGGTGCAGTGGCTCATGCCTGTAATCCCAGCGCATTTTGGGAGGCCAAAGTGGGAGGATTGTTTGAGGCCAGGTGTTCAAGACCAGCCTGGGCACATAGTGAGACCCCGTTTCCACAAAAAATTTTAAAATTAACTGGGCATGGTAGTACGCACCTATAGTCCTAGCTATTTGAGGGGTGAGGTAGGAGGATCGCTTGAGCCCAAACGTTCAAGGCTACAGTGAGCTATGGTGGTGCCACTGTACTTGAGCCTGAGTGACAGAGCAAGACTCTGTCTTTAAAGGATTTTTTTTTTTCAAATTTTTTAATAAAGCAAATGGCTGGGAAAAAAGGTGAGAAACTGCTCGCTTGGATTTAAGAACTGCTGCTACTTGCTGTGTGACCTGGACTAGTTTTTTGTTTGTTAGTTTTATTTTTATTTTTGTTTTTTTGCTGGGCTTTACCTTGGTTTTAATTTTCTGAACTTCATTCTGCTCATCTGAAAAATGAAATACTAATGTCTTCATCTTAGTGTAATAGGGATGATTAGGTAAGGTCAAATATATGGAAGCATCTTGTAAACTGTAAAGGTATGTAAAAATGTGAGGGTTTGTTTTTTGTGTGTGTATGTGCTCTTAATGCCCAAGATGCAGAGTAGAAATTAGGCAGCTGGGATGCCAAACAGCCAGGATGCAACATATTGGAGAGAAGAGCCAGATATCTGAGGAGGAAGTCACACCATCATTGCCATCCATGTTGTGATAGTCAACAGAAGGAGTAAAAAGAGACATCAGAGGAATGAAAGGGAGGAATGAGGATTGGGAAGGAACGAAAAAAAAAAAAAAAGAAAAAAATCAACCATGACATGCTAGGGCTAGAGAGAAGGGCAGGAAGAAGTTGGTAACAAGTGTCCCTATTCCCCAGAGCTCCGAGTGCAGCAGATGGTGTCCATGGGCATTGGGAATAAACCCTTCCTGGACATCAAAGCCCTTGGGGAGCGGACGCTGAGTGCCCTGCTCACTGGAAGAGGTGAGGGCCAGGGTGCTGGGGGGTGGCCCCCAGGAGTGAAGACCTTGACAATGAGGATACAAAGGGGAGGTATGGTGGAAAGTCAGGAAAGGCATCTCGTCCCCAAATCAGTGGGACTGGCTGGGAGGCCCTCTGTGAGACTGAGGGTCATTCCAGGGAGCCAAGAGGGCTTTCCCACACCAGCACCCCACCCCCCACTCCCCACTCTCTGCAGCCGCCCGCACCCGGGCCTCCGTGGCCGTGTCATCCTTTGAGCATGCCGGCCCCTCCCTTCCCGGCCTTTCGCCGGGAGCCTGCTCCCTGCCTGCCCGCGTCGAGGAGGAGGCCTGGGATCTGGACGTCAAGCAAATTTCCCTGGGTGAGGCACCTCTCAAGGGGTGGCTCCCAACAGCTCGGTCATGGTGGTGATGTTCAGGCTGCTTGCTGCTGAGCAATTCCTTTTTCTAGCCAAGAAGCCCAGTTGCCATGACAACTATGTACAGCTTCCCCACCGCTAAAAGAGCCTTCCATCTGGTTGCTAGGGTGATGCTTACAACAGCCTGTTGCTAAGAAGCACTTCCTCTGTACCTCTCTCTCTAGCTCTTCTTGGGTTTCTATGGAAACTGCCTCAGCTTCCTGTTGTACCCTCCTGGTTCACCACGGCAATCCTTATAGTTTCCTGTCGCTTCTTCCCTGGTTGCTCTAATGATGCTGCTGACAATTTCCTGCCTCTTGGTAGGGGGTTCCCTTGCAACTGGATCGCTATGGTGACTCACAGCTTCCTGTTGCTATGGAGCTTTTTCTTCCCTGATGGAGCAGCTTGGTTGCTTAAGGTAATCTGGAGGGATTCTGTACTCTGCTCTCACCCTAGCTTCCCCTTCAGCCCCAGAAACACTTGACTCTTCTGGAGATGTGTCCCCAGGACCAAGAAACAGCCCCAGCCTGCAACCCCCCCACCCTGGGAGCAGCACTCCCACCCTGGCCAGTCGAGGGATCTTAGGGCTATCCCGACAGGTAAGTTCCTACAACGAGGCTGGGAACAATGTGATCTCTTTGGCTGCTTTCTGGATGGGCTTTTCTGATCATTCAACCCCAGGGGGGTTGGGGGAAAACTGTGAACTTGTGCTCCCAGCTGAGGCTACAGTCTGGATTTATTATCTTGTCTACCTTTCTCCTCTCCCCGGGACCTGGCTAAGAGGCATCAAGGTCATAGGTTAAAAGGAATCTTAAATAAGGAGTATAGTGCTGGGGTGGATGGAAAGGGGAGAATGCCAATGGCCTGGCTTGGACTTGGGTTAAAATGGCAAAACTCAGGCCAGGTAAGGTGGCTCATACCTGTAATCCCAGACTTTCAGAGGCTGAGGTGGGAGGATCACTTGAGCCCAGGAATTCAAGACCAGCCTGGGCAACATAGTGAGACTCCATCTCTACAAAAAAAAAAAAATTAAATTAGCCGGACTTTTGAGGGGTGCGCACCTATAGTCCCAGCTACTCGAGAGGCTGAAGCAGGAGGATCTCTTGAGCCCAGGAGGTTGAGACTTCAGTGAGCCATGTTTGTGCCACTGCACTCCAACCTGGGCAACAGTGAGCACCTGTCTCTAAAAAAATAAAAGTAAATAGCAAAATTCAAGGATTTTGGGTAGGAAAGAGAGGTGAATTGACAGGCTTGTGGGGAGGAATGGAGGAAAAGAGAGAGAAAGACAAGAAATATGTCCCTAAATTCACTGTAGCTTCTCTCCCCCCAGAGTCATGCTCGAGCCCTGAGTGACCCCACCACGCCTCTGTGACCTGGGTGAGTCAGCATCCCCAATTTCTACCACATCCAGCACTCCTACCATCTTGCATGTACCTTCCTTCCTGTCCCCGGCTACTTGGGAGTCAGCTTCTTCCCTCTCCCAACTCATCTCCCTCTTCTCTCCTGGCTTCTAGAGAAGATCCAGAACTTGCGTGCAGCTTCTCCTCTCAGCACACTTTGGGCTGGGATGGCAGTGGGGCATAATGGAGCCCTGGGCGATCGCTGAATTTCTTCCCTCTGCTTCCTGGACACAGAGGAGGTCTAACGACCAGAGTATTGCCCTGCCACCACTATCTCTAGTCTCCCTAGCTTGGTGCCTTCTCCTGCAGGAGTCAGAGCAGCCACATTGCTTGCCTTCATACCCTGGAGGTGGGGAAGTTATCCCTCTTCCGGTGCTTTCCCATCCTGGGCCACTGTATCCAGGACATCACTCCCATGCCAGCCCTCCCTGGCAGCCCATGTTCTCCTCTTTTCTCACCCCCTGACTTTCCCTGAGAAGAATCATCTCTGCCAGGTCAACTGGAGTCCCTGGTGACTCCATTCTGAGGTGTCACAAGCAATGAAGCTATGCAAACAATAGGAGGGTGTGACAGGGGAACCGTAGACTTTATATATGTAATTACTGTTATTATAATACTATTGTTATATTAAATGTATTTACTCACACTTTGCCTCTAAGGAGCTAGAGTAGTCCTCTGGATTAAGGTGATAAATAACTTGAGCACTTTCCCTCAACCAGCCCTTAACTAGAACACAGAAAATAAAACCAAGACTGGAAGGTCCCCTCTACCCCTCCCAGGCCCAGAGCTAGCTGACTGTGTATGAGCCTGGGAGAATGTGTCTCCTCCACAGTGGCTCCCAGAGGTTCCACACACTCTCTGAAGCTCCTTCTCCCACACTGCACCTACTCCTTGAGGCTGAACTGGTCACAGACAAACTGGGATCCAGCACAGTCCAGCAGTTCTCAAAATGAGGTCCTCAGGCCACAGTGCGTGAGAACTTGCTTGGCTGTTTGTTAAATGCTAATTCTTGGGCCCCATCAGAGCTACTGCATCGAAACCTGGGGGTAAAACCCAATATTCTGCATTTCTTATCAAACTCTTTGGGTGATAACTAAGTGTCTGAAGAGGTGACTATTTCCTGACAGAAGGACCCAAAGAGGGAAGCAGGACATAGGTAGGCAGACAGACACAGGGCCCTGTGCCTCAAGACACCTGTTTATTGGGGACACGACTCTGCAATAGGGATGACAGGAATCGTACCAAAAATAGCGACGTCTACAGGGCCCCTGATGGGGCTAGAAGGGTACAGTGCCCCCCACCCTCACCCCTTGTACAAAAATAAACTCTCACGCCTATGGACCAGCAAAGACTGGCAGAGTGGCTCCTCAACAGGGACACAAACCTTCTCTGCCAGCCCAGGGACCCCGTTCTTTGACCCTCACCTCTGCCACTTCTAAGGCACTGTGACTCCCTTGGGCTGGGTGGGTACCGCCAGCCCACCCTCCTACGCCCGCCGCGCCTTCCACCTCTGGTCCGCCTGGGGCTGGGATATGGGTCCCACGCTGCCCCCTGCTGGCTTCTCTACCCAACTACCTCTAGCGCTCCCCCGCTCCGGCGGGGTAAGCTCACTAAGCTAATCGCCCCTGAGGGCCCACTACCGTTCTTGCCCCCCCAGCCCTGCCTCTCCGGGTCTGGACAGCCCGGAGCCCTCCTCCCCTTCCTGCGAAGGACTGGGAGGGGTCTCTCCTGATGGTACTCGGGCATAGGGCGGGGACGCGTCAGCCTGGGGTGGCCGGCGGCCCCTAGCCCGGCGGCTGTGGTGCACTTGAAGGTGCAAGGCCATGAGCTCTGGGGCTCCAGTGGCGAACGGGCAGAAGAGGCAGCGGTGGAGGGCACCCCCAGGCCCGGCCTCGCCTCCCGGCCCTGCCCGCAAGGACAGGTCCAGGGGTTCGGCCTCACCGCCTCGCCCGTTGCGCAGGGTCCTCCCAGGGCTGGCGGGCTTCCGACGGGACCCCGGCCCAGCACCGCTAGAAGGAGGCCGGGGACTTGAGGCGCCCTCCACCCAGGTCGCAGGCTGCGGAGACGGCTTGGCTCCAGATTGCGGGGCCGAACCCCGCTGGGAAGGAGGCGGTGGCTCCGGGGGTGGCCCGGGGCCGGCCCCGCTCCTCTGCTCCCGGTGGTGGCGCTGTAGGTGATACTTGAGCGAGCCGGACTGGGTGCCCGCGTAGTCGCAGTGCGGACACTTGTAGGGCCGCTCGCCTGGGGAGAGTGGGTGCGATAGGGTCACGGGGTCACGATGACTGCACGCACCCACCCGAATTTCGCCCAATTTACAGACCTCATTCTCAGAACCAAGAAAGGGCACTGCGTCTCCCACCCACTTTGATTTAATAAAGGAGCGTTTCCCAAGTGATCTCATCCAGCCAAACTGAAGGCTTCGGAACAAACTTCACCTCCTAGTGTTTCGGTAGCCCTCACCTTTCTGCCCGCCCCCAGTCCCCTCTCCACGCCGGAGGCTGCCTCCCTCACCTGTGTGCACTCGCAGATGCACTTTGAGGTGATGTGCTGAGCGGAAAGATTTTCCGCAGAAAGGACAATCCTTGCCGGTGGCGCCCCGGCCCCCTTCAGGCCGGGTCCCTCCAACCAACAGCCCATTCTCTTCTGCAACACATACGTTAAGAGGAAGTCAGGGGGGCCCACACCCTGTCCAGGTGCCGCGCACCCACCCCACACCCATCCCATAGGGCTGCTTCCCCTCGGGGTCCAGGAGGAAACAAAGTCTGAGGGGTTAGATTTGTTGTGACTAAAGAGTTAAGTGTTCTCAAATGATGGCAAAGCCTCCAGGAAAACAAAACAAAACAAAACAAAAAAACTCAGGAGAAATTAAACGTAAGTTCTTTTAACAAGGAAGCTACGAGGGAGTGGCGGCGTAAGAGTCAGAGGAGGACGCGGCGTACCCGGAGAGCGGAGGGTACCTACATACCCTGCGTGGCGGTCGATCTTGCCTGGGCCCCAGCAGCAGAGGCAGAGTGCCCCGGTCCCTCACCCGGGCGCGGGTGCAGGGAAGCCAGAGAGCCCAGCGACCTGCCCCGGGCCCAGGTTTCCTCCTCGGCCTCCACCACCTCCTCTTCTTCCTCAGGCTCCTCCGCACGGTGCCGGCGAGCCCGGGCCGGGAGAGCAGAGGACAGCGGGCGGAAGCCTCCGAAGCTGCGGCCGGGACCGGGCTCAGCACCCTCGCCGTTGGGCCGGCCCTCGCCAGCTCGCAGGCTCAGGTAGCCCAAGAGGCTCGGGGGCTCACGGCGCTCGGCCGGGGTGGGAGCCGGGGCCAAGAGGAGCGCTGGGCCCAACGGCTCATAGGCCAGCAGGCCGAGGTCAGGAGGCTGGGGGGCGCGGGCAGGCCCGGAGGCAGGCCCCGGGGCACGCAGTGGGCCCAGCTTGCTGGCGTGCACCTTCATGTGGTTCTTAAGGAACCAGGGCTCCTTGAAGCAGCGGCCGCACACCGGACACGCATGATCGAAGGAGGCCTTGTGCTTACGCATGTGGCCCTTGAGAAACCAAGACTGTGTAAAGCTCTGGCCGCACACTTGGCAGCGGAACTCCGGAGGCGCTGGGGGCTCCTCGGGAGCGGCAGGAGCTGGGGTCGGGGTTGCCTCACGTTCGGGCTCCGGCTCCGGCTCCGGCTGGGGGACTGATCTGGGTTCGGGCTGGGGTGGAGGCTGAGGCTGAGGCTGAGGCGGAGGCGCAGCGGAGGTGGCCGCCAGGGGACGCTCGGGAGCCCCGTGGGCCGTCAGGCTGTGGTGCAGCAGCTCCTCCTCCTGGCTGGAGCCGAAACTGCACAGGCCGCACTTCCAGGGCCTATGCAGGATGTGCAGGTGGCGTTCGCGCTCCGCCGAGGTGCGAAACTTGCCTTTGCAGTAGGGGCAACGGAAGGCGGACGATGAAGGAGCCTGGGGCCGCGCCAGACCCTCAGTGGCAGGGGTGGCCTGCATGCCCCCTGAGCTTCGGGCTCTCCCCAGTCGGGCCTCGCGTAGTAGCGCGCGCTCTTCCAACTCCAGCAACAGGCGTGCAGCAGGACTACGTGGGCGCTCGGGCTGGTGTGTGCGCAGGTGCGAGCGCAGCAGAGCCCGCTGCGCCGCGCGGTGGCCGCAGTGAGGGCACTGGAAGGCCTGGGCTCCTGGGTGCGCCCGCAGGTGCAAAGCAAGGATAGAGTTGAAGCGGAAGCGCTTCCCGCATACAGGGCAGGGGAAGCGCCGTTCGCCTGCACGACTCTCAGACCAGCTCACCGCTCCCATCCCGAGCGACCCTGCGCTCACGGCTGGCCCGTTGGAGTATCGCTGCAGATCCAGCTCGCCGTCGAAAGCCGGCGGCGACGGCGCTAAGTGGCCGCTCGGGGCGCGGGGACGTGAGCCCTGTGGAGAAAGATCTGCGTAGAGCAAAGGGTGAAGGTAGAGCTGTAAAGGAAGCAAGGGCGTCGCCTCGAGGGCCAGAAGGACAACACGAGGGAAGGTGGGCTGGGGCCTGAACTAGGAACACAGGGTGCTACTCACCTCGGGAAGATGGGGTGGGGGGAGGTGTATGGGAATCGAGATGTCAGGGCCAAGGAGTTAACTTCTAATAATGGGAGGTCAAAGAGAGAGAGAGGTAGGCAGGAGAGGGAGTATACAGTTGTAGGTACTTGTAGGTTGAAGCCAGAGCTTCACTCACCTCCATGGACCCCCTTCACATTCTTTGGTTCTGGGAAGTGCAGGGAAGAGGAGGAAAAGCTGCTAATGAAGGCAACAGGTGCTGTGGAGCTAAAGCAAGAGACAGATTTGGAGGAAAAGATGAGCCCTAGTTTTCAGCAGTAAAGTCACTCCCTACCCCCAGACTCTCAGCATTCTGTATTCCCAAAACCAATCCATTCTCCCTACTTGCTTCTTGAGGCACGAAGGGGCTGCTATACTCAAAAACTGTACCTCTTGACTTGCCAAGCCTACAAGCCTCCCAGATAATCCAGATTTCTTCCCCAAATTCTATATTTTAAATGCATGGTCCAGAACAACCACAGCTACCACCCCACCCCCTGGCGGTGGGGAAGACCATCACAATATGCCCCTCTCCCATGTAGGTTGGGCTATGCAGTGTGGTGAGCAAATGAGGTGGGCTTGCCATGCTCCCCATTTATCCAAGTGGGACCAGTTGCTCTGAGATCCCTAACTGAGCAGCCAGCCAAACATCCTTCCAGGTTCCACAGTGCTTCCTTCTGCCCTTACCCTGTCTTTCTGTCTTTCCCCCCTCATTCTCCCTCCCTCCGCCTGGATTCCTGATCCATTCATTTCCATTCATTACAGAGACTCATTCATGCATGGGAGAGAAACACCTCCCAGCAGCAGAGTCTGAAGACAGACAGAGGGGGAGGGGCATGAAGGGGGAGGGAGCCAGAGGGAGAGGGAATGAAGAGAGAGTTGGGGGAGGAGTGGAAGTTAAGGGGCACAGCTAGCCTGGGGAAGGGGCTAAAAACTGCAAATACCGTATAGGATTCATCCCCTTGTTTCAAACCTTGGAGCCTGCAGTATGATGGGGCATCTGAGCCCCTTTGTCCAGGGCTGTTCCGAGGCAGGCTTTCCTCCTCTCTGCAGGGGAGAGGCTCCCTCACACAAGAGGAGGATTACACTGGCTCTGAGCTCAAGAGGCTGGAGTGAGGGACGGGGGGCGGGGCTGGGCCATCTGCACAGATAGGGACTCAGCACATGCTCTGAGCAGGAAAGGGTTAAAATTCTCCAGGCTAAAATTCCCTAGGCCTGGGACTTGCAGAGCTCCAGTGCTGGGGAAGGAGAAGATCATTGAGAGGAAGAGGATAGGGGTTGGGGGGGGGGGCGGGTGCTGATCCTAAGCTGCAGAGGAGTTTAGCATGAGGACTTAGAAGAAACCCCAGAATCAAGATTCATGGAAACAGACCTGGGAGGATGACCAGAAGTCATCTAGTCTACCTTTCTGCCTCATATAGAATAGTATCTGGTCAAGGCTAAATGAATGTGGGTCTAACCTTTTTTTTTTTTTTTTTTTGTCTAAGAAAGGATATTTGAGATATAAAGAACTTCCTTACAATAGGCATCACAAAACTGAAATGGGTTACTGAGAAAGAAAAAGATGCAAGCATTACTTTGCCTAAGGATCTTTAATAGAAAAGAACTGTGCCAGGAGTCAACCTGCCTGTCAGCAGAGAGAAAAGGCTCTGGAGGTCCAAGGCTTCTTTAATTTTTGACATTTAGTGGATGTGGTAAAACTCCATGAAGGGGCAGGTACCTGTTACATGTGGAATCTGGGCTATAGGATTATTATTAGCAGATGATTAATTAACAAAGTGTCCTTGTCCAAGGGTCACTAGACGACCTCCACTACCACTTAATATGTGTATTTCTGTAGCTTCAAATTAGGGCACCCACTCTCATCCTCTGGATCCTTTCCTGGGACTAAGAGCCTAGCCAGGCTTACTGAATAGTGTCACAAAAGGTGAATTAGAATAGGACTGAAGGGTACAAGGCTATTGTAGGCCTAGTCTGAACATTGATAACCCTACAACCTTTACTAAATCACTTAACCTCCCAGTTTACTCATCAGTAAAATAAGGGGATTGGACTAATTTATAGTGTTAGTCCCTTCCTGCTCGAAAAAAGTTTGTGATTCTAAGTCACAGGACTCTTTTGGACCCCAGAGAGATGTTAAAACAAATGGTCATCCCTTCAGTACCATGGAGAGTGCAGTGGGCTACCACAGAAGCCACTTGGGCCACCTCAGTACCATAGATAGAGCTATGAGGTGCTAGAGGGGCTGTTTGCCATTTTAGCATCGCAGATACAACACAGAAAAGCTAGAGCATTTTTTTTTCGTTCCTATCTGAAAACCATAGAAAAAAACCCAGTGGTACCAGAGGGATTATTTTGGCCTTTTAGATGTCACTGAAAATAGAAAGAGCTAATAGAAAATAGATGTAACTAGAAGAATTTTAATTAGCTATAAGGAGCATCCTGACAGTTACAGTTTGTACATCCTGGAATGAGTTACTGAGGCATCATATTTGGGTCCATCACATTCTGTTGCTCTCCTGGGGATTCCCGGAACATCCTGGTGTACAGCCAATCTGGTATATTCAGAGGAAGCAGATGGTGGAGGCGTGGGGCGGGGGGGCTGGGAATACTGCATGGTCATAGCTGACTAACCTATGGGCACATACTCTCATTCTGAGAAGATTCTAGGGCCCCTAAAACTGTCTGTAGGATAGCAAGCAAAATCTCTTAGGAAGCTGGCCTCATATCTGAGGCAAGAAGAGTCAGAAAAGGGCAAAGCTTCCTATCCCAAAACAAAACAACAATAAACCACTTTGCACATAGCAGTTTCCAGAACAGAAATAGAGTGATATACAAGAAGGCCCAAACTGAAGCTGAATTCCCCAGCACGGAAAGTTTCCCCAGAAGGTGGCCTAAAATCAACAAAACTCACTGAGATACCTTCTTAGGCCCAATGAAGATCTGAATCATCTCCATATCAAACCAGGTTCCAGACACCTGATCCCATGATTTTTTTCTCAGTAGGGGAAAGAACTGACAGGGACTGGGATACTATGAACTGCCTTGGAACCGAGGTCATGCATATATTGCCCCTGGACAATAATCACAGAGTTTTCTATAGTCAGGCCTTAAACACCATCCTCGAGACTTGGCCAGACAGCAGCACTGACCTACTTTCCACCCCCACTGGGAATCAGGGGTTATCTTGCCCTTATTTGGATTCTATAAGGATGCGGGGCCAGGGATAGATATCAGAAACCTTTCAAAAGCAGTAGGCCAATTATCCTTACATGCTGGGGCAGCTGGTAGGGAAGTGGGTGTGGACCACTAAACCTTACTCAGTAGAGAAGGATGGAATGGTTGGTGAAAAGACTTAGAAACAACAAGGACAGGTACATAGAAGTATTTGCTAAATGGACCACAAAGACTGTCCCTCAAGTCTTGTGATTCAAAAGTTTTTAGGGTCAAAGTGTAAGGAGCAAGGGTTCAGGACTTCTGGGGTCCAGTTGTAACTGCCTCTGGTCACCTCTAACACGATGGTTTTCCCTCTTGAGAATCCTAGACCTCCCAAATCTGCTAACAATTATGATTACCACTGCACTAGATGGGGTTAAAAGGAAAGGGAGCTTCTAGGGCGGTCTACGTTCAAAAGACTACCTTGATCACACAGACACACCAGTAGTTCACTTTTATGGTCTCCTCTCCATGGCCCTCTGAACCTCACTGCTCAGATAGCTCCTCCTAACCCGCTCCACTCTGCAGCTCACCAGCCTTTTTAGACTGAGATCTTGGTAAAGCCTCCTTCCCTCTGTCCTCACTCTCCTGAGTTAGGGACATGGAACCTCAGCCATGGACTTCAAAGGTACAGCAGGAGGCGAGAGGAAGGCACACCTGCTCACCTGCTGCCATCCCACCATGGGGAATCTTATCCCAGAGGCATGTCCTAACGCAACCCCGATTTTGATTTTGAAAGTTCTGGAAGACCTGGGTTTGGGAAAGAGGGGCATGTAGCCAGCCCTAAGTCCCTTTAAGTGGAGCTGACCCTAGAAAAGTCAGTCTTAGCACCCACGTGAGCCTCGGTCCTCAGACTGGGAGGTAGGGGCGATCAAGGGAGCCTCTGGGAAAATCCCCCTCCCAGAAATAGATTGCTAAGTAGGGTAGGACCTGCTATCCTGCCGGAGAGGTTTTTCCAGCAGCACCCCAGACCCCTCCCCAGGAAGATAAGCCAGAAGGATGATGGGGGGCAGGGTTGGGAGATAGGGAGGCCAAGGCTCAGCTACCCCCGGCCAGGAGAACAAAAGCTGAGTTACAGCCGCCTCCGCTGCTGCCGCGGGCCGAGCTCTTTGTGACACTTTGTTTGGGACGCAAAGAGGGAAGCACCCCCCATCCTTTCCCCTCCCCCGCCACCCCGTGCTTCCAGAGAGTTTGGGCTCCTTCCCCCTCCCCCACCAGCCCTACCTGGGCCGGGGGTTGGGGGGTGCACATCCACTCAGGCTCGCGGCTCTGCCGCCCCTCACCCCCAGGTCCCTCGCGCCCTGCCTTCGGGCCCCTACAAAGACACCCGCCACCTCCCCCGCCACATCCCCCCCGTTGGCCCTTCCCTTTGGTGTCTGCTCCCCCAGCTCTTCCACCTGGCCCCCCCTCCCTTGGGGCCCCCCAGCTCTCCAGGCTTCCGAGGCCGCCACCCCCACCCCGCCCCCCCAGGAGCTCTGGGCGAAGTTTGCTTGGGGCCGAGCCGGCGCCCCTCCCCCGCCCCCGCCCCCTGCACCTGCTCCGAGCCGGGCGCGCTGAGCGGGCCCCCCCTCCGGGAGGGGGGAGGGGGCCGGGGGCGGGGGCCGGGTGGCGGACGGGGGGGCCCGGGAGTCGGGGGAGCGGCTACTCACGAGCCCCGGGCGGGCGGCGGCGGAGCGGGCGGCGGCGGCGGCGGCGGCGGCGGGCGGCGGGCCGGCGGCGCGGGCGTCAGCGTTACGTGGGGCCGGGGGAGATGCGCCGGGCCCCGGCCCCCCCGCCCCCGGCCCGGCCCCCGCCCCCTCCCCGGTCCCCCGCCCCCGGCCCTGGCCCGCATTGTGTGCGGCGGGAGGCGGCCCGGCCATTAGCATGCGGGGGGCGGCGCGGCGGGGCTGGGAGCCGCGCGGGAGCCGGGCTCTGGCTCCGGGGACAGGGAGCTGGGGACCCCGGGAGCCGCGAGAGGCGGCCGCCAGGGGCGGGGTGCGGGCGGTTTGGAGACGGGGGGCGCTGTCGGAGGGAGGGAGGAAGGGAGGGAGCGGGGGTGGGGCGCACAGAGGATTCCAACAGGAGACTGGAAGAGATTTTGAAAGGTCATCTCGTCCTTCCCCCAGCCTCCAAGCAGCACTGCCCCTCCCTCCCTAAACCCGGACATACCAGGGAAGGAGTTGGCTCTGCCGCTCTTTCTGCCCCAACATGCACAGACTCGGGAAGTTCTTCCTGGGGTTTTATCTCAAAGCCTCTCCCTTACAATTTCTGTCTCTCTTTTGGGGGAGGAGGAGGGGCGATTATAGAGATAGTTAATGTCGGCCGTATAAGAAACATTATTAAAGTTACTCTTCGGTCCTTTCCGTTCTTGATAAACAATTCCTGCGCCTTCCTCTCGAATTCTATTTTCCATTCCTCAAGTCACTTTAATGGCTCTTCAATACAACAAATATTTACTGAGTGCTTACTAAGTGCCAGGCACTGGGCTCAGCGCTGTGAGGGATGAGAAAGAAGTGGTACCTTCCTTCCAGGCGATTGTAGTCTAGACTACAAACTGGTAAGTAGTATACTCAGATTTAGTCAATATTTACTGAATGCCTGTTCACCTATCTAATAGTATATAATCTTTCCAATAACCCTCTATAATTAAATTAGCCCCCATTTACAAGTAAGAAAAATGAGGCTTCAGGAAGTCTGTTTCCCCAGTGGCCTGCAGGCTCGGGGATCCTCAGTGCAAGCCCAACATCTCACATCGCCACCAAATAAAATCAATGCACGTGGGAATTGAGGAGGAGTAGACACACAGCAGTTTTCTGGATCTCTTTAAAACGTGACTCCCACTCCCCGGGAAAGAAAAGAGTAGATACAATGACCCGCCGATGTTGGCACAGCACTGATGGGGCAGGAGTGGCTTACAAAAGATCACTTGCCTCCCAGGACCCTGCCTCCCTCCTCGTACTAACTTCTAGAGTCTTCTGGCGCAGTCTCCTCTTATCGTCAACAACAAGAAATAATAATAGTGATGATGATCATAGCCACTAACATTGAGCACTTGTGTACCAGGTACTGGGCTAAGCTCTCTTCCATGCTGAAAGCAACCCCTTGAGACTGGTATTATTAACTTCCTTTTATAGATAAGGGAACAGAGAGATTAAGCAACTTGCCAAGGGCACCTAGGTAGATCTGGGATTTGTTTTGATCTATAGAGTATATTTGGGCCCAGCTGGTTCTGCTTCCGACTGTAGAAATGTGTCCCCAGCTTCCTTCTGAATAACACTTTTAGTGTATGGGCATCAGACTTATCGGTGTGACCTCATCAGCACCACTAATAGTTATTAAACACCCACCCTGAATCAACAACTCTTCACAGTCATATTGTTAGCCCCCTTTTATCAGTGAATAAACTGAGGTGCGAATAGGTAGAAAAACATATCTATCAGGACAGACACAGTGGCCCACACCTGTAATCCCAGCAGTTTGGGAGGCCAAGCAGGGAGGATGGCTTGAGCCCAGGAGTTTGAGACCAGCTTAGGCAACATTGTGAGACGACCCTGTCTCTACAAAAAATTTAAAAATTAGCCAGGCATGGTGGCATGTGCCTGTGATCCCAGCTACTTGGGAGACTGAGGCAGGATGATTATTTGTGCCCAGAAGGTGTTGGCTACAGTGAGCCATGATCATGCCACTGCACTCCAGCCTGGGTGACAGTGAGCCCCTGTCTCAATAATATAATAATAATAATAATAATAATGTATCCAAGATCACACAGATGGAGAAGCAGCAGAGCTAAGATTCCAGCTCAGGTCTGTCTGGCTATGAGGCACCTTCTCTCTCAAAAATATTAATTGTTGCAATAGCATCCTTCCCAAGACTCACTATTTGAGGACCATGAGATAGATAGATAGATAGATAGATAATGTCCAGTTGCAGGTTATCATTGAATCAAAAACAATCCCCACCATAAACAGGGTCCCCCCCATCCATTGAGTCAGTGTTCAGTTCAGAGTAAAACCTTCAAGAAAGAAGGAAGGGAGACTGTCCAGAAAGTGAGAGGCAAGAAAGCCCCTGGAATTCAACCTTACCTGGTCTGGGGGCAAAGCTGCAAGTAGTAATGACAGGGGACCAATCCAGACAGAAAGTAGGATCTCTAGGGAAGGGCACATAATTTGAGGAGGAAGCCAAAGAAAGGAGTAAGATCATATGGAAATGAGGGGGAATTGAGGTCCAGAGTGATAGTGTCCATGGGGATGAGGTAAGTGAAACCAGAAAAGGAACCCAGGATGGGCAGAAATGAGGGTAATGAGAAATGGGAACAGAGTGAGGTCGGGCTAGACATCTTGTGGAGTGAACTGAGGCCGGTATCTACCCAGGGCCACTCCCTAGATCCTTAGGCCTTCATAGAAACCTTTGCCCCACCACACCCCATCCCTGACAGCCTTCCTCTGCCAGGACAAGTTTGTCGTCTGCTCTGAGCTATCAAGCCCCTTAGGAGACCTAGGACCCAGCTGGGTCCCATCCCTTTGGAGTAGCTGCTTCAGACTAGGTAGGTGTGAGGACCTGGACCTCAAATCCCTGGATATTGGGAGTGGGCAGAGGTGTAGCTGAAAGATACGTTGTTGCATGTCCTGTCTCCTAATAGACAGAACCTATAACGCATTTTTCCCAGCCTAGGAAGCACCTAATTCTTGTGGGCAAAGGAGCCATGGAAGATAGAGCTGGTGAGCAAGAGCAGGAGAGACACAGCCTTCGTCTGGAAAAGCTACAACACTGGGCAAGGCACAGGCAGAGTGGGCACCTCTTGGTGCTAGCGGTGAGGCCAGGCTACCCCATCCCAGGTCTCAGCATGTCCACTTCTACCCAATTCAATTCCATCCATCCATCCATCCATGTTAAGTGAGCACCTACCATGTGCCAGAAACTGAGCTAGGTTCTGAATGGGAGGAGGGTAGAGGAAAACATAGAAATAAACAAGGCAAGACCCTTAATCTCCCAAGTAGCTTCCATCTTGTGGGGGAAAACATACAGGTAAGTAACTAAACTACAATATGAGGCAGAAAAAATTAAATGATACTTAATTTTTAATGATCACGTCCTTGCTCTGGGTTGACTGCTTTCCTCCACCCTGCATTCAATCCCATTTCCTGATCTCTAAAGAGGTAGGAGTTACGAGAAGGGAGGGAATCCCTGACAGTTCCTCCCCAATTACCCTACCCTTACCCCCAGGTGAGCCAGCTATGGCTGGCAGTGGTTGTGGTGCCCCTTGCTGTCTCAGTCGCCTGCCTGAACTCTGATTGTCACATGGCCACAGCGCTGCCTCTTGGGCCTGGAGCCTCAGTAAGACCCACCACAAGGGAGGGTGGAAGGTCCCAGGGCCCCTTCCTAACGGGACCAGAGCTCAACACTTGCCCTTCTCACCATTCAGGGTCTCCTCACTGGGACTGTCACTCTGGAGCTTCGCAGAGCACCCCGCCTTTGGAAGGTGAGAGGGAAGAAAACGCAGCACTGTCCTCCCACTCCCTAAAACAGACACCTACAACCCTCAGCCTAGGAAGTAAGTGGCTAAGTGTTGACTCATTCTCTCAGCTGTCACCACTGACTGGCCTCAATCACTGAGGAGGAAAGCAAAAAAGTTAAGAGGGCTTATGGCCCTGTTTGGAGGCTGAGAAGCAGAAGCTGAGTTTTGTCTTCAGCTAGGCTGCAAGTGGGGATTGAGGTTGGAATGACTCCCCTAGGCTGGGCAGGGCTGAGCTGGCTCACTGGCAGGTGCGGGCCATGATGATATTCAACACCTTCAACTTGATCTTGGGTTTCATAGTGGTGGTGGTCGAGGTGATGAAGACAGCCTTGGGGCCTGCCCCAACTGCCTCCTCCCAGGTACTGGTCAATGAAGGAGAAGGTGGGAGGATAAGGAGGCAAGAGGAGGTGGGAAGGGAAAAGGGCAGGGGCAAACAGGTGCGGGGTCCCTGCATTCTCAGCCCTGTCTACCTGCAGCATGCTGGCTTGCTGGTGCTGGAACTCAGTGCTGAGGCCTTCACCCTAGGGGGAGTGCTGGTCTCAGTGCACGCCCTATTCTTGCTGAGCCAGAGGAAACCAGGATGCTGCAGGAGCCAGAGTCTGCACTATCAAGAGCTGCAGGAGGTATGGGGGCAGGGAAGAAAGCACGAATAGCTAGCTGCCAACTAATTTTTCCACTGCCTATCCTGGTCAGTGGCACTTAAGGGAAAATAATGGGGCAGGAGAGAAAAGAAGAGGTCCTAGAATGAAACTGATTGGCTTTCTCTGGCTTTGAACATTTCTCCCCTAATGGTGGGTAAGAGGAAACTGGGAATCCAAATGATTGAGGTTAAAAGAGTGGGAAAGCATTAGGAAGCTGCCTAAATATTGGCAGGACTATGGGAAACAGGATAGAAAATTGGGCAGGAGGAAGCAGTTGTTTCTGTCTGGGGTTTCTCCTTTCTCACCTCTACAATTTGCTCACACCTGTCTCTGGTTTTCAGGGCTTCTCTGAGTTGGAAGAGGTTCCTGGTTTGGAGAATGGTCCCACGGTGGCCAGCACAGGAGCAAATGAGAGGGTGGGACAGCGGGAACAGACACGTGCTGCTCTCCTTCCACCCTGAGAGAATGCTCTCCAGACATTCCTGCATCCCACCCCACCAAACTCAGAAGCTTGCTGGGATCCTTCGAGTCCAATAGGAAGTCCGGGAGTGCCTTCAGTTTTCACTCAAAGCAGGCCCTTTTTTCGTTCCTTCCCTGTTAGGGGAAGATACACCTGGACGAGAATATATCCTCACCTCACCACCCTGAAAAGCTGCTTTCTCCCTTGCATCCATATCCTCTCTTCCTGTCACCTCCCCATACAGCTTCACATTTGCCTCATCGCACTTTTCTTTTCTGTCCACCTTTCATAATCCCATCCACTCCAAATCCCGGACCCTGCACACGCCAACTCCCTGAATCCAATTCAGGAGTGCCCCAGTTCCCCTTTCGATCCATCTCCTTTCTACTGTAGCGGAGACTACAAGTCCCAGGATGCCCCGCTAGCCCGTGACCGGCTAGGAAATAAAGAGCCTTCTCTCCGCGGTAGGGGCGCTGTTGGATGTGCTGAGTGACGCGAGGCGGGGAAGTCGGGGCCTAGCCTGGCGCTTTCTCGGACGCGACCACTGGCCCCGCGTTCGGGGAGGAGCCGGGCGGGCGGTCCTGCACTGGCGTGCCGCTCCCCCAGCCACTGCAATAGAGAGCTGGATCTGGGTCCCCAGCCCTGCGCTGGCAGCTTCAGAGACTGGCGAGGGCTCGGAGCTGACGCTTGGCAGAGCTGGGGCTTCCCAGATGCTGTCGCCGCACCCCCTCGCAGGAGGGCCCAGGTCCGAAGTCCTGAGACTTGGAGCGCGCGCGAGAAAGGGGTTGGAGATGATGAGTCAGAAGCGCGGGGCCTTTCTCGTCCCCTCCCCTAGGGCCTGGGCGCTGAAGATGGACAGGCTCGCTGGGCAGGCGGGTAGATAGGGCAGGCAGAGGGAGGGACCCTGCGACCCGCGTCTCTCCCTAACGCTTTCCCGCCTCTTGCGAGCACGCCGGTGTAACGAGCCTGCGCTGCCGCCACCCTTTATCTCCAACGCGGGAGCGGGACTGCGCAGGCTTGGCCTCTGGGCTGACCCGCCGACCTTTGATCTCGGCTGCGGTCGGGTTGCTGAAGTTCTGGCTGCGTTCACCCCCACCGTTTACGACCTTTGCAAGTGTGCAAAGATAACAGGCTCGCTTGGGCTTGGGAAAAGCCCGGGAGAACTGGGAGTCCCACTAGCAGCAGCAGCTGGGCAGCTTGCTGGCCGCTAGAAACTAGAAATTGACCACAGCTGGAGTACCAAGAGAACTCACCCCAAATTCACATAGTGCCCGGGATGGCTGTTCGCCTCACACTCATTTTTGTTCCCACTTGAGAAGGCTTCTTTCCCTAGAGAATGCTGCTTCTCCCGGCCTAGCCAGGGCCAGGCACCAGTGAGGATAGAGCGCAGCCTGGCTGCCTTGCCTTGACATTGCAGTGGCGTCCGCTGCAGCTCTTTTCTGTTTGTGACACCTTGGAAGAGTGGTAATAATCTTCCTATGACAAGGTTAAGTGTGAGTACTAGTGGGTGGGGACAGTTCTGGGATCAGGCTCTGGAATGGAGAAAAGATCTAGGCCTTCTGCATTTCTTCCTCTCCCCCAGTCTAATTGCCAGAATAATGGAGAGCTCATGTCTGCAGGGCCGATGAAACAATATTTTTCTTGAAAGTCAGAAGGTGGTGGTAGATGAGGAAGCTGAGGGAAGAAAATTAACAATTTGTTCTGTTTTCCAGGTTTTAGTGATGTGATCAGATTAGATATTGCATTCTAGTTCCAGAGAAGCTTGATGACCATGGAAATTAACCTCTATCAGTCAGATTAAGCTAGGCTCTGCTGTGGTAAATGCCAAATCACAGTGGCTTAAGACCACAAAGGTTTATTTCTCATACTACGTGTCCAAAGTAGGCTGGCAAGGGATTCTGTTCATTGCAAATGTTTCCTCCCAAGCTCATGGAGCGCCACCATTTTGAGATCCTACCCTGTCCCTATGAAGGTTAAGGTTACCCGCCCCGCGCCCCCCGCCTCAGAATGTGAAGTAAGCATGAAGAATTGTTCATGGACTCTTAAATGCTGCCCTGAAGTGATACATTCATGTCACTTCCACCCATTCAATGGCCAAAGCAAGTCATATAGCCACACCCAACTTAAGGAAGGCCAGAAGGGCAATGCCTGCAAGGAGAGGGGAAGCAGAAATACTTCATTAAAAGAAACATAGTTGGGCGGGCTCGGTGGTTCAGGCCTGTAATCCCAGCACTTTGGGAGACCAAGACGGGTGGATCACCTGAGGTCAGGAGTTCGAGACCAGCTTGACCAACATGGTGGCCGTGTCTATTAAAAATGCAAAAATTAGGCCGGCATGGTGGTGGGTGCCCGTAATCCCAGCTACTCGGGAGTTTGAGGCAGGAGAATTGCTTGAACCCAGGAGGCAGAGGTTGCAGTGAGCCAAGATCGCACCACTGCACTCCAGCCTGGGAGACAAAGCGAGACTCTGTCTCAAAAAGAAAAAAAGAAATGGAATTAATAATTTGTGATGATTTTTGAACAGCTTAGCAGTTGAAATTTATCTGTTCCAGCAGTTATGCCCATACCTACTTCTTTGGTTTGGTTTCATGAACCCCTAAGTTCTTACTAGAAATTTTTCCTCAAAAAAATAATAGGACTGGGACTCAGGAAACCTAGATTCTAATTTTGTTGCTTGGGCAAGTCAAACCTCTCTGAACTACATTTTGTGCACTTGGAGGTTATGGTAATATTTATTCTGTCTACCTTACTGGAGTATCAAGGCTAAAATAAAATCACACAAGGAAAAGTACTTTAAAACTATAAACCACTTCAGGGGTTAAAAATAAATTGCCTGTAGAGGTAAGAAGTAGTTTAAATGATAATTTCTTAAAACTCAAGAGCCAGTTCAGCTATAGTTCTTCAATCATCAGTCTGCATTAGATAAACATAGTAGGAATTCAGGTTTTGGATATATGTTACAGTTCATGTAGACCTTGCAAAGTCCAAGAGTCTTCGATTAAATATTAAATTCTTAAAACCTTTCTGATAAAACCTTTTTCATCATATCCCTCTAGGGCATTGGTTCTCAGAGAAAGGTCATTTCGTTCCCCAGAGGATATTTTGCAAGGTCTGGAGACATATTTGTTAGTCACAACTGAGGAGTGGGGGAGGAGGGAATATGTAACAATGGAAGGCGCAGTAGATGAGAAGTCAGATTTGGGATTTAGTTCCAGTGCTGCTAATGCCGCTTTCCTGTGCATTATCCTCTGCCAGCTGCAAGCAAAGACTATTGGAGACTTGTCCTGTGTTCCTCATTATTCCCCCTCCACACTGCCTATTGCCACAGTCCCGGGCTGCTCCATGACAGCGTTCTGCTTTGCTGCAGTGATTCCCAGCAACCACTGTATCTGCCTCTTTCTTCATCAGTTTGGCAGCCTCTGTGGAGGTCACTCATTTTACTTGAATGGGAACTTCACTGAAAGAAGAAACTGACAAGGTTTCTGCTGACGTCAGTTTTTAAAGGCCGTGACCCCTATCTATTCTTTTAAACATTAAAGAAATCCAGTTCATGATATGTGGCTTCATATGCAGCTGTGGCACATTGGTGGTCGGGAAATTCTCCATGTGAATACATTTTACCCTCATTTCTTTGAAATTCTGTCATTTATTCTGGCTTTTAATACGTGATCATAGACAACTGACAGTATTTCACAAATGAACTCTTTTCCGTTTCTGAATCTGCCTTTTGGCAAGATGGCTCAGGTTTTGTGTCCAGGGCTGTGTCCTCTGCTGCCATCTCGTGGCCTCTTGGCTGCCCAGGTTGAGGTCTCACAAAGTGCCTTTCCTAAGGTAATGGCATTTGGCAGTGGCTTAGTTGGGGAAAGACTCTCCTCTCCATGGTGTGGGGCGCTCCCCAAGTTCCTCCTCTGCAATGGGCCCCTGAGGGCAGCAGCACACTCGGCCTGGCTGGAAACCTGGGCCTCACAATGAGGCAGGAGGCGGAGGGCCCCTCCTGGTCTTCTGCAAACCCTTGGGCCTCTGTGTCTGTTATGCAGTCCTGGCCAGGAGCCACCAAATTCAGTGAACCCAACTACCCAGGGGTAATTGAAGCTGACCGCGCCTGCCTGGCCTGAAGAATGCAGTCTCTTGCCCCTTGCCACCTGGGACTGGGATGCTCTTAATTTCAGTAAGAAATGAAGAGTCTCCCAACAGGTTTCTGGATTCTAGGCCCACACAAAATGGGTCTAGACAAGAAAACAGAAGGGTGTGTTGCTCTGCGTCCACACCCTTCATCCTGGCGGGCCCAGCCAGTGCTGCCTCAAATTTGACATTTGATTAATGGGCTGGCGGGACAGTGGCAGTGGTGTTCTCACTGAGTCACTGTGTTTCCTATAAATATGACAGGATCTATGTACTACAGTGATCAGAGGTCCATCTCCAGGGAACTGGGAATGTGAGATACTGCCCTGACCTGGGCTGCTGCTGCTGGTGACTAAGCAGTGAGCACAGGAGGGAAGGCAGGAAAATGTTTTTAGTTGCTATTTTTTTCATTGTGATAACATGTGTGTATACACACACACACACACACACACACATATGTATATATATATAACTATATATATACCTATATAGTTAAAATCTTCCCATTGCTAACAAATTCATACAACTTTCCCCTAGTTGTTAGCCCCCTCTCCTGACTCCACCCAGCTCCCATAACCCCTAATCCCAGCCTTCTCAAAAAAAAAGGAGGAGGAAGAGAGGAGGAGGGGAAGGAGAAAGGAAAGGAGGAGGAGGTGGAAGAAGAAGAAGACTGCTTTTGGTGTTTGCTTTAACCTGATGTCCCCATTATAATAATTCAGAAGGAAAGGCCTGCTCATATAATTTCCTACGGCCTCAGGCCAGAGACAGCCATACTTACAGGTAAATTGCTACTAGGCTGGCTTCTCCTTAAAATTCAGGTGCCATTTACTATCATCTTCTGTTTCTTTTATGTTTTTCCTTGTTTGCCTATTTTTTTTTCTGACTTATTTCATTTATATTTTGTGTTGCCTACTTTTCTTGGTTCCACTTAGCATCTGAATCTTTGGTTTATTTTTCTTATCAGAAGCTTTTCCTAATTTCTGTCCAGAGTTAATGAATTTTCTTTGTTGATTCTTGACAGTTTTCCCTTGCCATCCATAAAGTTTTCTTGTTTTTACCCAAGTCCAAACTACTAAAATATAATTTTATTTGCTTTGCCTCGTTATATGCTCTCTTTATATATAAAGAAAATGCTATGTGCTCGCTCTTATTCCTTTTTGGAGAGAGGGTCTGGCTCTGTTGCCCCAGGCTGGAGTGCAGTAGCGCGACCTTGGCTCACAACCTCCGCGTCCTGGGCTCAAGCCGTCTTCCCAGTTCAGCCTCCCAAGTAGCTGGGACTACAGATGTATGCCACTACATCTGGTTAATTTTTGTATTTTTTGTAGAGAAGAGGTTTCACCATGTTGCCCAGGCTGGTCTCCAACTCCTGAGCTCAAGCAATCCACCCAACCAAGCCTCCCAAAGTGCTGGAATTATAGGCATGAACCACCGCGCCCGGCCCACTCTTATTCTTTATGTAAAGCTAAAGTCATAGCACAGGAGAAAGAGAATTTATGCTTTTATAAGCCTCAAAGATAATTATGATGAAAAGAAATTGTTCTTTGCGTAACTAAGAAGTGAAACTGGGTCCAGTGGTTACTTGTTATAGAGAGGCCAATTTTAGACTGAAAAATAGAAACTGAACACCTTTCAAAAGATGAAATGCTTTCAAGTTGGGCTCTCAGCCTGTGGATATGTTAGAGCTGTTTTGTGCAATAAGCTTTCTCATGCAATGACAGGTTATTGAAGCAAATATTCAAATATCAGCTGAGTGGTTGAATTAGATGACTTTTAATTTCTCTGCCAACACTCAGATTACATTGGCTTTTCAGCCGTGATGATGTTTTTTAATTGACCCATCCATACTCTCCAATGTCTCGCCCTGGACAAAATTGTAAAATAAGATGCTGGTATTCCTCTAGTCCCTAGAACTGAATGTATCCATCTTGGCACCATTGATATTTGGGCCAGGTAATTCTTTTTTATGGAAGACTGGTGCATTGTAGAATGCTAAGCAGCAACCTTGGGCCCTACCTACTTGATGTCGGTAGCACCCCTCCCTCCAGTTGTGACAACCAAAAATATCTCTACACATTGCCAGATGTCTCCTGGGAAGCAAAATTACTTCTTTCTCTGAAAAACAATGCCTTAGAAGGATATGATAAGAAAGGTTTTAAGAACTTAATGTCTAATTTCTCAAGATCTTTGTATTTAAAAAGACCTGCGAAGATCTACCATAACCAAACAGCACATCCAAAATCTGAATTCCTGCCCTAGCTTTTGCCCCCCACCCCATTTTTCTGAATTTTCTGTGTTGTATTATTGTAACCACATCAGGCCAATCTGGTTCAACTTTTATGTAGCAAAGTTGTAAGTTATTTCTCGGTTGCCATGGACCCCAGGTTGAAAGTCCTGTAACCTGAGCATGCCCAGATGAACACATGTTCTACCACAGGGGAAACCTGAGTACTCAGACCAAGAAGGGTGGGGAGGACTGAATTGAGAAGCAGACACCGCATAGCAGGATCTAGAATCCAATCAGATGAGCTCTGGCATCACCCCATGGCAGGATCCAGTCATATCATGCCTCCTGGCATCATGTCATTGCAAAATGCAATCAGATCACACCTCATTACCCTACGCTTATAAAATCCAACCCAACCCCCAGCTCAGAGAGGCAGGTTTGAGCATTTCTTCCTATCTCCTTGGCAGTTAAATCATGTTGCTTCTCTGCTTAAATGCTTTTCGGTCCTCCCCATTGCCCACAAGCTTAAGTCCAAGCATTTTAAAATGGTGCATGGACTTCTGTGATTTGGCTCCTGCCCACTCTTCGGCGTCATCTCCCATGTCCCCTCTCTTGCACTTCATGATTTGGTGATAGCAGTTTGAGGGAGGTGGCATTGATATTTTTTTTTTCCTTACCAGAGCTTTCTATTTCATCTGTTATTTCAGTCTCAGAGTACATTCAGCATAGTGCTGCATTAGGACAGCATACAAAGGGATCAGTGTCACTTCCCAACTCTGTTAACTCTTCCAATGAAGACACGCAGGGATAATGGTCTTTTAACATACCTGGCAATTTTAAAGTTTTACGCTGACATTGAGAACATCTCACTGGTATTTAAAACTTGAGCTCTTTAAATGTATAATTTGTTTAATCAAATTGCACCTTCTTTTTTACACTTTGCAAGTATGTCATAGTAAATACATTATATTTAATTAAGCAACTTGCCCTAGTTTCTGTATTGGGGATTTTAACATCATTGGTTGGATCTTTTGTTTTGTCATCTTGCTATTTTTCAGAATCTTGAAATAGCACGTTTCCATGATGTCTGTTCTCTTCAGTGCCTGTGGAAGCATACAAAAAATATGATGTCTATTCCCCATTTCTGGTCTTCCTGACTCTGAATTAACAGTTGTATCTTCAGTGTTGACTTCTTGGACTTGTTCCTTGGTTGCACAAGCCTCCTCAATATTTTCTCCAAAACTGACATTTTCTTAACTCTTTATTGGTAGAATATCTACAACTGTGTGTCACATCTCTTCAATAGGTTGAGCCCCTGCCAGAATGGCCTTCTCATAGATTGCGAGAATACTTTCAATAGGACTTGGGGTTGGTTCAGTATGTGCAAGACATATTCAATATTTTACAAGATTTTTGGCATCTGGAATATTTTTAATCAGATCGTTCAGTGTGACCAGTATTTCTTCTTCTGCGCGTCCTTCATTAATTAGGTTTAGGCATTCAGAAAATGTGTCGCTTACCTTTTCAGTAAATAATTTTTGTTCATCTTCTGCCATGGTAGTCCAAAAGGACCCAACTGGTTTTTCATTTTGTTCTTAAGGTTCATACTAGGTAACTATTCAGTTAGGAGGCCTTTTCAGCACTCTTTCTTTGCCAGCTTTCCACTCATTCAGATGAGCTTTTCTCTCTTCTGAGTTTTCTTTGGATTGAGTTGATCTACTATCAGCAGTTGGTTTTGCTATAGTATATCTTCACTGGTCAATAGGTTTTGATTTTTCTATCAGTTTGGCATTAGAAGATGAAGCACAAGTGGGAGCGGTGGCTCACACCTGTAATCCCAGGACTTTGGGAGGCTGAGGTAGGAGGATCCCTTGAGACCAGGAGTTCAAGACCAGCCCGGCCAATATAATGAGACCCTGTCTGTAAAAAAATAGTTGTTGTTTTTTTTTTGAGATGGAGTTTCACTCTTGTTGCCCAGTCTGGAGTGCAATGGCGCAATCTCAGCTCACGGCAACTTCCGCCTCCCAGATTTAAGCAATTCTCCTGCCTCAGCTTCCCAAGTAGCTGGGATTTCAGGCTCCTGACACCATGCCTGGCTAATTTTTGTATTTTTAGTAGAGATGGGGTTTCGTCATGTTGGCCAAGCTGGTCCCGAACTCCTGACCTCAGATGATCCGCCCACCTCGGCCTCCCAAAGTGCTTGGATTATAGGTGTGAGCCACCGTGCCTGGCTTAAAAAATAATTTTTTAAAACAGTAAGATGAAGCAGGCCTGGCTACGATTTCACATGCTATTTTCCTTTTTCTTTTTTCCTTTTTAAAACTTTCTTTATTTTGGCAACCACTTGTCCAAAAGATCAGATGCACAATCTTCTTGATTGTGCCTTATCTCTTTTCTATGTCCTGAGAGGAACTGGTTTTGACCCTAGATAAAACTGTTTTTGATTGTAATAATTCTTTTCTATGAGACCTTTTCCTGATTGTAAACAAGGCTGAGATTCTACCGATGCCTTCTTTCACAGTGTCCTGGGTATTATTGGATGACTTCTAATAAGAGATCACACAAACTTAGCACTACATTTGGTGTACCCCAAGTTACATTTAGTGTAACCCAGGGTCCTTGCACACACTGTGAACAAGTACACACTGTTGCACCTTGAGTTTTTGTTGTTTCAAAAAGTTCCAGGAAGAAGCAAAACAAAACCCATTCGATCCAGAGATGCCCTCTGAATTGGAGATGAATTTGGCAAACTCCCCACATTACCATACAAAAAGTTCCACCCAAGGAGGAGTATTTTTGCCACTTTCTATACATGTGATATATGAAGAAGCATGATTGATGACTGTACTCCACCTCTACATACGATGACTCAGCTAAGCAGCCCAATACAAGCCCTGTTTTTAGCTTTATTCCGAGAGGAACTGCTTTGGGAATTATCCCCAGTATTCTCCTTCTTTGTTGCAAGTAATGAAATCCCCTTGTTAAATTTTCCTTGGTTGTGGTCATTGGACTGTCACTGGCCAAGCGACCAGCTCACCCATTGTGTGGTAACAGTAGCAGTTATATTTGAGACTCTATTACTCTTCACTGTTACGCTGCTGGTGTTTATAAGCTGAGGCTCTGTTGCTTTAGGAATAGTAATTGAAAATTTCTTTGTTGCTGCAGAACTCTCATCTTTGACTTGTAGAGGTTTTCTAAATGAATTAAACTTAGACTGAACAATTTGGCCTCAATAAGATTCTATCACAGACTTCTTGGGTGTGTCAGCCTCTTGCTTTTGTTTTTCTGCAACAATTTGTTTCTGTTTACTATTATTGTTAGGGTGAAATGTCTTACATTAATGTCATATGTTGACATTGGGGGTCATCTTCAGTTGGTAACAACTTCAGGGTTTGATTATTATCCTCAAATTTATGTGTGACAATTACTATAGTTGAATTGGTCAGTTCATTAGAAGGTTTTAAAGGAATACAATTTTTACCACCATTGTATTATTTTTGCTTCTCATGAGTCTGTTGACATTTTCTTTACCAGCCATTTCTCACTGAAGTTTCAAAATATTTCTCTCTTCTTGGAACTGGTCCTCAAATGTCACCACTCTCTGGCCTCTATTGAGGTTACATAGCTATGGTAGCCAACTTACAGATTCCAGCCCAGGTCCTTATCATTCTCAGATGCAAAAAGCCTGGACACTATCTGATTTTCCTGTTTGTATCAAAAAATGTTTTTCTTCTTAACAGATGTTTCTTGAGTCTTTGTCTTATTCGCTCTTTGAACATGAATTGGGCCTTGGAGGCCACTGCAGGTCTTGGGACATGGCTTGGGTATTTGTCACAGCCTAAGGTGAGGGGATGCATCTCCAGCTTTGACTGCAGATGTAGGACTCCTTCAGGCCACAACCAGTGAACACCGCCTAATTTTTTTTCTTGTGTAGTGAAAATCACAATTCAATATTGGGTTCCACCCATTTTGCTTTGACTCACACTGTTTCCTTAGTGCTACTCAGCAATTAGTGAAATGGTCTCTGGTACTGCACAAAATATGAAATGCTTCAAGAATTTGCATGTCATCCTTGCTCACAGGCCCTGCTAATATTCTCTGTATTGTTTCAATGTTAGTATATGTGCTACTGAAGCAAGCACTAAATTATTAATTAATATGTATGACAGACTCCTCCATCTCATCCTTGCAATTCATACTCTCCCTCTCCCTCCTTTTTTTTTTTTTTTTTTTTTGGTTCGTTTTGATTATCCCAAGGATGATGATGATGACAACACTGACTCAGTGATGGGCTGGGTGAGGGTCAGGGCTGTTTGTTGCACACATTAGTGAGATGTCAATAAAAAAACTGTTCCCGGACCAAACTGAGGGTCGGGCTGCTATTTCTCCGGGACTGATAATGAGATGCAGAAGAACTGAGGAGGAAGAGAGTTGTTTGTTTGTTTGTTTGTTTGTTTGTTTGTTGGTTGGTTGGTTTTTTGAGACAGAGTCTTAGTCTGTCACCCAGGCTGGAGTGCAATGGCATGATCTTGGCTCACTGCAACCTCCGCCTCCCAGGTTCAAGCAATTCTCCCGCCTCAGCCTCCCGAGTAGCTAGGATTACAGGTGCCCACCACACCCAGCCAATTTTTTTTTTGTATTTTTAATAGAGACAGAGTTTCACCATGTTGGCCAGGCTGGTCTTGAACTCCTGACCTCAGGTGATCCACCCACTTAGGCCTCCCAAAGTGCTGGGATTACAGGCGTGAGCCACCCTGCCTGGCCAGTGGAAGAGAGTTTTATTTCTGTAACCAGTTACAGGGAGAAGGCCTGGAAATTATTGCCAGACCAACTCAAAATTATAGAGTTTTCCAGAGCTTGTATACCTTCTAAGCTATATGTCTATATGTAAGTGTGCATTTGTCTAAAGACACAAGTGATTTACTTCTTTTAATCTATAACTAAAGTCTAAGTCCTGAAGACTTTTCCTCTGAAGCCTCAGTAAATTAGATTACTTAATCTAAATGGGTCCAGGTCTTGGGGTGATTACCCTTATCTTGTCTCCTGCTAAATCACGGAGGTTTGGGGAGTTCTTTCAGACCTCCAAAAAACTTGTTTGTAGAGGCCTGGGGAGTTTCTTCAGACCCCCAGTGAAACTTCTTTAATCCTAAATGGGTCCTGTTAAGAATTCCTTCGTTATTTTGTCATGCTTTAAGGCCCAGGAAAGGCCTAGGCAAAACTCTTGATGGGCTTTTGTTACATTCCAGCCTTTGTATAAGTGCACTGGCTTTTTTTAGTTTATAATATTTAACTAAACCAATCAGTCAGTATTGAAACAGTTGTGATGGAGGCCTGCATTAGTGAGACCTGGCCTGCCACAAACAAAACCACTAGCGGGAAGTCAAAGTCATATGATGTCAAAATAACTGAGTCAAAAATTCTTACTTTAGCATATATATTTCTTACTTCCATGCCTTATTTAGGCTGTTGTATCCAGTCCTAGCCCCACACCTGTCCTTCAGGACTCCCTCTGCTCAGTACTCACCCACTTTGGGAAGCTTCCCTTGGCCTCTGCGGCCATCATCATGATTGTGGTCTTCAATGCTCTCTTAGTACTCTATACACAGGCTATACTTAAAAAAAAAAATTATTTTTCTGTTGCCCAGGCTGGAGTGCAGTGGCATGATCTCAGCTCACTGCGACCTCTGCCTCCCAGGTTCAAACAATTCTCTTGCCTCAGCCTTCCAAGTAGCTGGGATTATGGGTGCATGCCACCACGCTTGGCTAATTTTTGTATTTTTAGTAGAGACAGGGTTTCACCATGTTGGCCAGGCTGGCCTCGAACTCCTGACCTCAGGTGATCCTCGGCCTCCCAAAGTGCTGGGATTACAGGTGGGAGCCACCACGCCCAGCAAAAATTTTAAACTTTTTATGCAAAAAAAAAAAAGAAATCACAATAATGGTAAAGTTCAAATGAAAAGTTGAGGAAGGAGGGATGACAGAGAATAACATATAGCTAAAAGATTGTTAGTATTAATATTGAAAAGAATAAAACATTGATAAAGACAAAATAGCCAATTTACAAAAAAGAAAGAAATTTAAATGGCCAATAAATCTATGAAGGATTATTTGTATTCATAGTAGTTAAATAAATGCAATTTAAAGCAATAAGATGCTGACCAGGTGCAGGTGTCATGCACATATAGTCCCAGCTACTCAGGATTCTGAGGAGGCAGAATGGCTTGAGCCCAGGAGTTTGAGGCCAGCCTGGGCAACATGGTGAGACTCTGTCTCTAAAAAATAAAAATAGGCTGGCAAGGAGATTCATGCCTATAATCCCAGTAATTTGGGAGGCCAAGGCGGGAGGACTGCTCGAGGCCAGGAGTTCTAGACCAACCTAGGCAACACAGTGAGACCCCATCTCTACAGATAAAAAATTAGATGAGATAGTGGCACACACCTGTAGTCCCAGCTACTCAGGAGGCAGAGGATTCCCTGAGTCCTTGAGCTGCAGTGAGCCATGATCTTGCCAGTATACTCCATGGCTTGGGGGATACAGTGAAACTCCATCTCCAAAAAAATAAAAAGAAAAAGAATTCAATCAATAAGGTGCCATTTTATGCCAATCAGATAATTAACATTTTCAAATGCATAAAACCCATTGTTGATGATTATGCAAGGAAATAGGCACTTTCTTATATTTCTGGTAGGACTATAAATTGGTATAACTTTAATGGAAAGCAATTTAATGACTTGTATCTACAAATTAAGAGTTGCCTACTTTGGCCCAGCCATTCTGCTTCTAAGAATTTTTCTCAGGAATAGAGTGCAGGGAGTACTTAATCCGGCGCCTGACAGGCAGGTTTGTTTCCTCCTTTAGGACTGGAGGCTGCCACCACTGACATGTTCCACCAGATTCTTGTTGGGCTCAAGAAGCATTCAAGCTTCATCCCCCTTCGTATTTATGAAATCCGGAGGTACTGGAGCAGCGCTGTATGTCCAGCATCTGGCATTGTTCAATCAAGATGTTAGCTGGGACAGAAGACATAAGTCAGAACGCTGGAAGAAACTGGGTCCCAATATTATAATAATCAATAAAGACAAAATATATTTATAGTTTATTTTATTTGTATTTTATCAATAAAGACAAAATTATATTGCATTATAATAATCTATATACATCACTTTGATGTGTTGGGAATGACACTGATTATATCTGAAACTTGGGAGAAAAAAAAAACTTTTCCCAGGAATAACCTTGGACATGTGCAAAGAGTTACTTACTGAAATGTACATTACAAGATTAATTTTAAAAGCTTAAAAGGCAAACAGTCTAGATATCCAACAGTAAAGTAACTGACTTTTTGTTTGTTTGTTTTGTTTTGCTTTTTTGAGAAAGGGTCTCACTCTGTCACTCAGGCTGGAGTGCAGTGGCACCATCCTGGCTCACTGACCTCAAGCGATCCACCTGCCTTGGCCTCCCAAAGTGCTGGGATTACAGGCATGAGCCACCACACCCAGCCTGTAGTATATTTTTAAGTGAAAAGCATACTGCATTCAATTTTTAAATTGGCAAATGACTTGAATAGACATTTCTCCAAAGAAGATATACAAATTGCCAACAAGGACATGGTAATGATGTTGAGTAGGGAATGGAATTCAAAACTACAGTGAGATACCACTTCACCACTTCACATCCACTAGAAGAGCTATTTAAAAATGGAAAATAGGCCAGCATGGTGGCTCACGCATTTAATACCAACACTTTGGGAGGCCAAGGTGAGAGGACTGCTTGAGCCTAGGAGTTCAAAACCAGCCTGGGTAACATGGTGAGACCTCCATCTCTATAAAAATGTATTTAAAATTAGCTGGGCATGGTGGCATGTGCCTGTAGTCCCAGCTACTCAGGAGGCTGAGGTTGGAGGAGCCCTTGAGCCTGGGAGGTCAAGGCTGCAATGAACCATGATCACACCACTGCACTCCAGCCTGGGCAACAGAGATCCCGTCTCAATAAAAAAGGAAAATAACAAGTATTGACAAGGATGTGGAAAAATTGGCACTCTCATATATTGCTGGTAGAAATGTAGAATGCTGCAATCACTGTGGAAAATAGTTTGGTGGCTCTTCAATAGGTTAAGCACAGAATTACCATATGACCAGCAATTCCATTCATGGGTATATATCAAATGGGTGCTCAATTGCATATGAATGTTCATAGCAGCACTATTCACAATAGCAAAGAGTGGAAACGACTCAAATATCCATCAACTGATGAATGGATCAGCAAAATGTGATATATATCCATATGATGAAATGACATATTTATTATTTAACCATGCTACAGCATATAGGAACCTATGTAATATTATGCTCAGTGCAAAAAGCAGACACAAAAAGCCACATATTGTATGATTTCATTTATATGAAATATCCAAAATAGACAAATCCATGGAAATGGAAGAGCCTATTAGGGTTAGCAGGAGCTGGGGAAAGGAGAGAGTGGGGAATGAATGCTTGCAATGGTTATGGAATTTTAAAATGATGAAGATTTTATTGAACTACTGTAGATGATGGTGATGTTGCACAACACCGTGAATGTACTAAATGCCACACTGAATAGTGCACTTTAAAATGATAAAATGGTGGATTTTATATCATGTGAATTTTATCACAGGAAAAAAAAAGCATCTTACAAAACAGTAGA
Organism: Homo sapiens; assembly: GCF_000001405.40. Taxonomy (NCBI): domain Eukaryota; kingdom Metazoa; phylum Chordata; class Mammalia; order Primates; family Hominidae; genus Homo; species Homo sapiens. The sequence goes on from NC_000014.9 coordinate 21,118,287, forward strand.
GGGCCAGGCACGGTGGCTCACGCCTGCAATCCCAGTGCTTTGGGAGGCCAACGTGGGCAGATCACTTGAGGCCAGGAGTTCGAAACCAGCCTGGCCAAGCTGGTGAAACCCCGTCTCTACCCAAAATACAAAAATTAGCCGGGCATGGTGGCGTGCACCTGTAATCCCAGATACTTGGGAGGCTAAGGCAGGAGACTCGCTTGAACCTGGGAGGCAGAGATTGGAGTGAGCCGAGATTGTGCCACTGCACTCCAGCCTGGGCAACAGAGTGAGACCCTGTCTCAAAACAAAAACAAAACAAAACAAAACAAAACAAAAAACCCACAGTAGAAATGATTGGTCTTGTTTTTCTAGAAGTATATGCACAGAAAAAAAAGGTGTGGAAAGATAAATATCAAATTCCTCTAGTTGTCCCTGGGTGGTCATTTAGAACTAATGTTCTAATTTTTCTACAGCAATCCTAGATTACTCGAGTCCTTCTAAAACATGCTGTAGAATATCTAATGAAACAGGGGAAGTGGCCATCATATATTTGTATATTATTAAACCAAAACACTATATTTGGGTGATCTCAATTTTATTGCAAAAATACACATTGCATAGAAAAAAAACTACTGAAAGAATATATGCCAATATGTTATTAGTGGTTATGTTTCAATGGAGTGATCATAAGTGAATTTTATTTACTTTTTTAAAAATATATTTTCAAAATGTCTCTAGTGAATATATGTTACTTTCTTTTTTTGTTTCATTTTAATTTTTATATTTTCTTTTATTTGTGTGTATGTAACAAGGGATCACTCTGTCACCCAGGCTCTGGAGTTCAGTGGCGCAATCACAGCTCACTGCAGCCTTGACCTCTGGGCTCAGGTGATTCTCCCACCTCAGTCTCTTGGGTAGCTGGGACAACATGCGCAACCCACCATGCCCAGTAATTTTTTGTATTTTTAGTAGAGATGGGATTTCACCATGTTGCTCAGTCTGGTCTCGAACTCCTGGACTCAAGCAAGCCACCCACCTTGGCCTCCCTAAGTGCTGGGATTATAGGCATGAGCCACTGCACCCGGCCATATATTGCTTTCATAATCTGAATTTTAAATATTTTTAAAAAGATTCTCTTACATATATTGAGCTCAATATTACCAATATATTGAGTCAAAAATTCTCTTTTCTTTCCTTTTGTTTTTTGAGACGGAGTCTCACTCTGTCACCCAGGCTGGAGTGCAGTGGCATGATCTTGGCTCACTGCAACCTCCACCTCCCAGGTTCATGCAAACCTCCTGCCTCAGCCTCCCAAGTAACTGGGATTACAGGTGTGCACCACTGCACCTGGCTAATTTTTGTATTTTTAGTAGAGACGGGTTTTCAACATGTTGGCCAGGCTGGTATTGAACTCCTGACCTCAAGTGATCCATCTCTCTCTGCCTCCCAAAGTGTTGGGATTACAGGCATGAGCCATGGTGCCTAGCCCCCAACATTCTTCTTACTGGTTAAATGAAACCTTTAGTTGGGGGAAAATTGAAAGAGTTTTAAAGATAAATAACATCAAACAATTTAGAAACTATCAAAATGAAGGAGGAAGAGTGAGGAGGAGGATGTTCAGAGAGACCAGTAAACATGTGCTTAGACATTTTTTAAAAATCTGAGCTGGGAATATGGCTCACACCTGTAATCTCAGCTACTTGGGAGGCTGAGGCAGGAGGATCCCTTGAGGCGAGTAGTTCAAGACCAGCCTGGGCAACATAGTAAGAACTCCTCCCCCTGCCAACATCTCTAAAAAATAAAGAAAACAAATGCTGACCAGGTGCGGTGTCATCCATATTTAGTCCCAGCTACACAGGAGTCTGAGGAGAGAGGATCACTTGAGCCCAGGAGTTTGAGGCCAGCCTGGGCAACATGGTGAGACTCTGCGTCTAAAAAATAAAAATAGGGCCGGGCGCGGTGGCTCACGGCTGTAATCCTAGCACTTTGTGAGGCCGAGGCAGGCAGATAACCTGAGGTTAGGAGTTCGAGACCAGCCTGACCAACATGGAGAAACCCCGTCTCTACTAAAAATACAAAATTAGCCAGGCATGGTGGCACATGCCTGTAATCCCAGCTACTCGGGAGGCTGAAGCAGGAGAATCGCTTGAACCTGGGAGGTGGAGGTTGCGGTGAGCCGAGATTGTGCCATTGCACTCCAGCCTGGGCAATAAGAGCAAAACTCCGTCTCAAAAAATTAATTAATTAAATAAAAATAAAAATAGGCCAGGCATGGTGGTTGAAAGGGCAGGGGAAAAAAGAAATTTTTAAAACACCTCTTGCATAGTTGTCTAGCAGAGTCAAATATGTGATTATTGTAGGAGAGAAGTTCCTTTTGCTTTAAAGACAGGGTCACCCTTTGTCACCCAGGCTGGAGTCCAGTGGTCCAATCGTAGTTCACTGCAGCCTTGAACTCCTGGCCTCAAGAGTTCCTCTTGCCTCGATCCTCCCACTTAAACCTCCCAAGTAGCTGATTCTACAGGTACCAGCCACCATGCCTAGCTGAGGAATATCTTTCAAAAAGGGAAGAGAATGAGGACACCACAAAATTATATTAGAAGATACAGACTAAAAGTTGCTTTTGCAATAAAGTTGCTTTTGCAACACACAGAGCCAGAGAGTTTAAAAATAACTCAGAAAAGGAGTAAGAGAACTGTTGTCCAAATTTGTGGCCTCTGATTCTGGCTGGCCACTGGGTTGCAGGACTAACGGGCTGCAAGTGTGGTTTGTGTTCACGAAAACGCCTTCGGAAAGGGTCTGGGGTAATAATAGTTATGCACAATCATGTAGTATCTATAATGATAATAATAAAGATACTCATATTGTTAATAACAATACTTACATAGACCTTTGTCATGCTTAGTATTAACATATATTTGGCACTGTCCTAAGCATTTTAGTGTTTTAATTCATTTAGTCCTCACAGTACCCCTAAGAAGCAAGCACTGTTATGATCTCTGTTTTACACATAAGAAAAATGAAGCACAGGAAGGCTGAGTAATGTCTCAGATTACTAATGTCACATAACTAGTAAGCGACAGAGCCAATTTGTAACCAGGTGATTTTACTCTGGAATTCATGCTCTTAACCACTATATTTTATACTGCCTCTGCAGCCAAAATATCCCCTCAGGCAGTAGTTCACAAAGTGTAGTATAGTCCTTCCAAGAAGTCTAGGAGGTCAAAAGTATTTTCATAATAATGCCAAGATTTTTTTTTTCTTTTTTTCTTTTTTCTTTCTTTCTTTCTTTTTTTTTTTTTTTTGACACAATCTCGCTCTGTTGCTCAGGCTGGAGTGCAGTGGTGCGATCTCAGCTCAGTGCCATCTCCACCTCCTGGATTCAAGCGATTCTCATGGCTCAGCCTCCTGAGCAGCTGGGACTACAGGCATGCACCACCACGCCCAGCTAATTTTTGTATTTTTTTGGTAAAGATGGGATTTTGCCATGTTGGCCAGGTTGGTCTCGAGCTCCTGGCCTCAAGTGATCTGCCTGCCTCGGTCTCCCGAAGTCCTGGGATTACAAGTGTGAGCCATGGTGCCCTACCTAATACCACATTTTTTTGTTTGTTTTGTTTCGTTTTGTTTTACCTATTTTACTTTCATTCTGAGTATGCAGAGGAGTTTTCCAGAGGCTACAAGACATGTGATAACATCATCACTCTAATGGCTAATAGAAAATGTGCTTGTATAGTCTTGTATTTTCTAGAAGTTTCTATGTAAACTCTTTGGGGTCCTGAAACCACAAAGTTTGAGAACCATTGCCCTAAGGTAAAGGCAATATGGTTTCTCAAGAGATAATCTATACCAATTGCCAGAATTCATCCATTCATTCAGTCAGTCAGTCAATATATAACTATCAAGCACTACATTCTAGGCACTGTGCTAAGTGTGGGGATTACAGTGGTGAGAAAGAGTGGTATGGTCCCTAGACTTATATAGTTTAGTGCAATGGTCCTAAAACATTAGAGTGCAGAGGAATCACTTGGTAAGTTAATTAGAAATGCAAATTCTGGAGCTCCAGCCCAGAGATGTTGAGATCTTTAGTTGATCCTGAAGCAAAAGAACCTACATTGAAAAACATTGTTCTAGTGGTTGTTTAGCCTGAAGAGAAAACCTGGTGAAATGAAAATGATCACCATATATAAAGACCTATGTGACTCCAGAGAGCAGAATAGCTACCAATAGGTAGAACCTAACCTGAAGAGAGGTTTCTGTCCAATATTAGGAATGGTCACTCAGCTGAGGCAGTGGGCTCCCAACCAACTGCAAATTTTGAGTCCACTAGAGAGCCATCCCAAAGACATTGTCATAAGGATTCCCACATTGGAAGTGACATTTTTCCATATGACCTCTAAGCATAAGGGAATTATAACAAGAATCAAGAGGGATTGATGAATACTGTGACTTAAGAAATAAACCCTCAGAATCTCCAAAGTGATAAGTGTCTTTTGTGTTCTAAGGAGATAACTGATGGCTGGGGGCTGGACAGCCTTAGGATAGGGGCTGGATACCGGGGAACCAACCATGTAATTAGAGGGTTGGAACTTTCAGCCAGTGCTTCTGCCACTACCATAAGGAGAGAAGAGCTGAAGTTTGTGTTGATCACCAATGGCCAATGAATCAATCATGCCTATATAATAAAGCCTTCATAAAATCCCAAAAGAACGGTGTTTGGAGTGCTTCACGGTTGCTGAACACCGAAGGGTGGGGTGCCCCCAGGGGACAAGGAGCTTCCATGCGTCTTTCCCCATACCTTGCCCTATGTACTTCTTCATCTGGCTGTTCATCTGTATACTTTGTAATACTCTTGCCAATAAATCAGTAAACATTAAGTAAGTGTTTCCCCGATTCTGGGAGCTGCTCTAACAAATTATCAAACCGGAGATGGGGTCAAGGGAACCTCCAATTTATAGCTAGTTGGTCAGAAATTCCAAAGATCCAGACTTGCCACTGGCATCTGAAGTCTGTGGGACTGAGCCCTTAATTTGTGAGATCTCACCCTAACCCCAGGTAGATAGTGTCAGGACTGAATTAAATTGTAAGACACCCAGTTGATGTCAAAGAATTGGTTGGTATGAGAGAGAAGCTCACATATGTTGTTCCACAAGTGTTATGTTGACAGCATAGTAGGAAAAAACAATTTGTCTTTTTCCTATTACACAAAAGATGTAACTGATTTAATGCACTGTTTAAACCATTCCTTTTCCCCAACAAACTGTGTCAAATCAAATGATAACACAAATTCTAAAGTGAACACACAGGCTAGAACAGGCTATAAGAGCTGGCCAAAGTTCAAGGACTTTGAGGGTGAGAGAATGAGGACTTTGAAAATGAGAAAAAAGTGGAACAGCTTCCCAGACTTTCCCATGTTACTCATGGAATGGCACCTAAAGTTCAGTGACTTCATTAGTAAGGGCAGAGAACAGCAGATCTTTCTTCTTTTGGGGACCTCGGGAGAGAGTGTTTATCAGACTTAGTCACTACAACTAACAACACCTGCATTCTAGGTTCATATATTGTTTCTGTGCCATAGAAATTCAAAGTAGTTATGAAACACATACGAAGCATCTTATATAACTTGGCTAGTTCTCAGTTTTGTTTCTTGCTGAGCTATTCGGCCTAGTCAAGATTTCAGTACAGAAAATTTAGCCATGGCCTACATACTTTAGGGGGTCTACACGCATGAACATTAACCCTTGGAAGCAAACACTATTATCTCCATTTTAGGAATGACTATAATTAATTTTATAAGTCACTTTATATTTCACTGGGAAAATAGAAGAATCCAACTGAAAACTGATTCATCTTCCCTTACCAAAGCTATCAAACTACTTGGATCTGTAGCCTGCCTACCTTCTCACCTATTACAGTAGATAAATTTTTCTCACTACTATCAAAGACCAATCCCCCCATCTGTATACTAAACTCCAATCTCTCTTCTTTATTCACAGATTTTGCTCCTCTGATTATACCCTCTCTGTTCTGCATCATCAAGCTCTTCCTCTGTAGGATTATTCCTATTATTCTAAAAATATGTTATAGTATCTCCCATCTTTATAAAAAAGGTTGTTTTAGCTGAAGGATTTCATCACCACCAGATGTGTCTTACAACAAATGCTAAAAAGAGTTATTTAAGCTGAAAGAAAAGGATGCAAATTAGTAACACAAAAACATATTAAAGTATAAAACTCACTGATAAAAGTAAGTACAGAGTCAAATTCATAATACTCTAATACTGTAATTTTGGTATATAAGTCACTTATATCTTTAGTATGAAGGCTAAAACACAAAACTATTAAAAACAATAATAGCTGATTAATTCATTAAGGGATATTCAATATAAAAAGATGTAAATTGTGGCCGGGCATGGTGGCTCACGCCTGTAATCCCAGCACTTTGGGAGGCCAAGGAGGGTGGATCACGAGGTCAGGAGATCGAGACCATCCTGGCTAACATGGTGAAACCCTGTCTCTACTAAAAATACAAAAAATTAGCCAGGTGTGGTGGCAGGCGCCTGTGGTCCCAGCTACTTGGGAAGCTGAGGCAGGAGAATGGCGTGAACCCAGGAGGCAGAGCTTGCAGTGAGCAGAGATCATGCCACTGCACTCCAGCCTGGGTGACAGAGGGAGACTCCGTCTCAAAAAAAAAAAAAGAAAAAAAGATGTAAATTGTGTCATCAAAAATTCAAAATGAGAAAGTGGAGTAAAAGTGTAGAGTTATTTTTGTAATCAAGGTTAAGTTATTATCAGCTTAAAATAGCCTGTTATAACTATTAGGTATTTTTATAAGCCTCATGGTAACCACAAGGCAAAAACCTATAGTAGATACACACACAAAATAAAGAGTAAAAAATCAAAACATACCACTACAGAAATCTCTTAAACACAAAGGAAAATAGCAAAAGTGGAAGAAAGGAACAAACTATCTACAAACAACCAGAAAACAATTGGCAAAATGGCAGTTAAGTCCTAGTCTATCAATTATTACCCTGAATGTAAATGTAGTAAATTATCCAATCAAAAGACATACAGTGTGGCTGAATGGATTTTTTTTTAAAAAGACCCAATTATATGCTGCCTACAAGAGACTCACTTCACCTGTAAGAAGACATATAAACTGAAAGTGAAGGGATGGAAAAAGACATTTTATGCAAGTGGAAACAAAAGAGAGCAGGAGTAGCTGTGATTATATCAGATAAAACAGACTTTAAATCAAAACTATAAAAAGAAGCCAGGCACAGTGGCAACCCCTGTAATACCAGCATTTTGGGAGACCAAGGCAGGTGGATCACCTGAGGTCAGGGATTCAAGACCAGCCTGGCCAACATGGTGAAACCCCATCTCTACTAAAAATACAAAAATTAGCTGGGCATAGTGATGGGCACCTGCAATCCCAGCTACTCAGGAGGCTGAGGCATAAGAATCACTTGAACTCAGGAGGTGGAGCATGCAGTGAGCTGAGATCATGCCACTGCACTCCAGCCTGGGTGGCAAGAGGGAAACTCCATCTAAAAAAAAAAAAAAAAACAAAACAAACTATAAAAAGAGACAAAGAAGGTCATTCTGTAGTGAAACAAGTCAATTCAATATTCAGTAAGAGGGTACAACAATTGTAAATGTATATTCACCCAACATCAAAGCTCCTAAACAGGGGTCCTCAACCCCTGGGCCACAGACCAGTACCAGTCGGTGGCCTGTTAGGAACTGGGCCACACAACAGGAGATAAGCAGCAGGTGAGCAAGCATTACTGCCTGAGCTCCACCCCCTGTCAGATCAGCAGTGGCATTAGGTTCTCATAGGAGTGCGAACCCTATTGTGAACCCTGCATGTGAGGCATCTAGGTTGCGCACTCCTTATGAGAGTCGAATGCCTGATGATGATCTGAGATGGAACACTTTTATCCCAAAACCATCTGTCCTCCCGCTACCCACCCATGGAAAAATTGTCCTCCACGAAATCAGTCCCTGGTGCCAAGAAGGTTGAGACTGCTGCTCCTAAATATATAAAGCAAATATGGATAGATCTGAAGGGAAAAATAGACTATGATACAATAGTAATAGAAGATTTCAATATCCCACTTGAAGCAATGGAGAGATCATTCAGACAGAAAATCAATAAGGAAACATTGGACTTAAACTACACTCTGGACCAAATAAACTTAACAGATATATACAGATTTGACATACATTCAACAATGGCAGAATACACATTCTTCTCAAGTGCACGTAGAACATTCTTCAGGATAAATCAAATGTTAAACCACAAACACTAAGTCTTAACAAATTTATGAAGATTGAAATTATCTCAAGTGTCTTTTCTGCCTACAACGGTATAAAACTAGAAATCAGTAACAAGAGAAACTTCAGAAAATTCACAAATACATGGAAATTAAATATTATGTTCCTAGAAAACTAATGGGTCAATGAGGAAATTAAAAGGGAATTTAAGAGGCCAGGCACAGTGGCTCACACTGGTAATCCCAGCACCTTGGAAAGCCAAGGCAGGAGGATTGCTTGAGCATAGGAGTTTGAGACCAGCTTGGGCAACACAGCAAGACCCCAATGTCTAAAAAGTCGGGGGTGGGGTGGATTAAAAACATCTTGAGACAAATGAAAATGGAAACATAACATATCAAAATTTATGAGATGCATTAGCTGTTTGTGGTGGTGCACACCTGTAGTCTCAGCTACACAGGAGGCTGAGGCAGGAGAATAACTTGAACCCAGGAGTTGGAGCCTGCAGTGAGCTATGATCACACCACTGGACTCCATCCTAGGTGAAAGAGTGCGATCCTGTCTCTCTAAAAAACAAAAACAAAAATTTACAAGATGAGCAGCAGAGGTCAATAGCAATAAATGCCTAAAAAGAAGAAAGATCTCAAATAAACAATCTAATATCTCATTGCATTTCAAGAGACTAGAAGAACAAGAACAAACTAAGCTCAAATTTAGTAGAAGAAAGAAAATAATAAAAATATGAGTGGAAATAAATGAAATAAGAGACTATACAAACAAAAAATATTAACAAAACATATTAGTCCATTTTCACACTGCTGATAAGATACCCAAAAATGGGCAATTTACAAAAGAAAGAGGTTTAATGGACTTACAGTTCCACATGGCTGGGGAAGTCTCACAATCACGGTGGAAGGCAAGGAGGAGCAAGTCACGTCTTACATAATGAAAGCAGGCAAACAGAGAGCTTGTGCAGGGAAACTCTGCCTTATAGAGCCATCAGATCTTGTGAGGCTTATTCACTATTACAAGAACAGCACAGGAAAGACCTGCCCCCATGATTCAATTACTTCCCACCGGATCCCTCCTACAACATGTAGGAATTCAAGATGAGATTTGGGTGGGGACACAGCCAAACCATATCACAAAATGAAGAGTTTGTTTTTTAAAAAGATTTCAAAATCAATAAACCTTCAGCTAGATTAAGAAAAAAAGAGAAGATTCAAATAAATAAAATCAGGCCTGTCACAGTGGTTCACATCTGTAATCCCAGAACTTCGGGAAGCTGAGGTAGGAGGATCACTTGAGGCCAGGAGTTCAAGACCAGCCTGGGGAAAAAAGCAAGACCCTGTTTCTACAGAAAATAAATAAAATTTAGCTGGGCATGGTGACTTGTGCCTGTAGTCCCAGCTACTTGGAAAGCTGAGGCAGGAGAATTCCTTGAGCCCAGGAGTTCAAAGCTGCAGTGAACTATGATCACACCATTGCACTCCAGCCAGGGTGACGGAGTGAGACCCTGTCTCAAATAAATAAATAAAATCAGAAATGAAAAAGGAGATATTACAACTGATACAGTAGAAATAAAAAGGATCATAGGAGACTATTATAAGCAATTATATGTAAAACAATTGGATAACCTAGAACAAATGGATAATTCATAGACACATATAATCTACCAAGATTGAAGCTTGAAGAAACAGAAAATCTGAAGAGACAAATAACAAGTAAGAAGATTAATAATAATAATAATAAATCTTCCATCGAAAAGCCCAGGACCTGATGGTTCACTGCTGAATTCTACCAATAATTTAAAGAACTAATACCAATCTTTCTCAAACTCTTTCAAAAAAATTGAAGAGGAAGGAATACTTTCAAACTCATTTTATGAGGCCAGCATTACCCTGATACCAAAGTCAGATAAGGACATTACAAAAAAAGAAAACTACAGGCTGATATTCCTGATAAACATAGATGCAAAAATCCTCAGTAAAGGTTCTCACTTATCTGTGGAAGCTAAGAATTAAAACAATTGAACTCATGGACATGGAGATAGAGAGTAGAAGAATGGTTACCAGAGGCTGAGAAGGGTAGTCAGGGTGAGGGGAGGGGGATGGTTAATGGGTACAAAAAATAGTTAGAAAGAATAAATAAGACCTAGTATTTGCTAGGTAAATAAGACCTAGTATTTGCTAGGTAAAAACAGAGTAAAAGATTATCTAATTGTACATTTAAAAAAAACTAAAAGAATGTAATTGGATTGCTTGAAACACAAAGGATAAATGCTTGAGGTGACGGATACCCTATTTACCTTGAGGTGGTTATTATGCATTACATGCCTATATCAAAATATCTCCTGTAACCCATAAATATATATACCTACTATGTACCCACAAAAAATTTAAATTAAAAAAACCCTCAACAAAACACTAGCAAACAAAATTCAACAGCCCAGAAGAAAAGATGATTCACCATGATCTAGTGGGACTTATCCCTGAGATGCAAGAAAGGTTCAAAATACACAAATTAATAAATGTGATACAACACATTAACAGACTGAAGGAGAAAAACCATATAATTATTGCAATAGATCCAGAAAAAGTATTTTACAAAATCAACATCTTTTCATAATAAAAACTCAACAAATTAGGTATACAAGGAATGTAAGTCAACACAATAAAGACCATATACAACTAACCCACGACTAACATCATACTCAATAACATCATACTCAATAAGGAGAAGTTGAAAGTTTTTCTTCTAAGATCAGGAACAAGACAAGGAGTCCCCCTCTGGCCAGTTCTATTCAACGTAGTACTAGATGTCCTAGCTAGAGCAATAAGCCAAGAGGAAAAAAACAACAAAATGCATCCAGATTGGAAAGAAAGAGGTCAAATTGTCTCTGTTTGCAGATAGCACGATCTTATATATAGAAAATTCTAAAGATTTCACAGAAAAACTGCTGGCACTAATAGATTAATTCAGTAAAGTTGAAGTATACAAAATCAATTACAAAAATCAATAGTGTTTCTATACACTAACAGTGAACTATCTGAAAAAGAAATCAAGAAAACAATCCCATCTGCAATAGCTACAAAAAAAAGGCCAGGTGCAGTGGCTCATGTGTGTAATTACAGCACTTTGGGAGGCTAAAGAAGGAGGATCACTTGAGCCCAGGAGTTCAAAATCAGCCTGGGTAATATGGCTAAACCCTGCCTCTACAAAAAAAAAATCAAAACATTAGCTGGGCATAGTGGCACACGGCTGCGGTTCCAGCTACTCAGGAGGCTGAGGCAAGAGGATTGCTTCAATCCAGGAGGCTGCAGCTGCAGTGAGCCATGTTCATTCTACTGCATTCCAGCCTGGGTGACAGAGTGAGACCCTGTCTCAGAAAATAAAATAAAACATGCTGGGCACAGTGGCTCTCGCCTGTAATCCCAGCACTTTGGGAGGCTGAGGCGGGCAAGGTCAGAAGTTCGAGACCAGCCTGGCCAACATGGTGAAACCCCATCTCTACTAAAAATACAAAAATTAGCCAGGTGTGGTAGTGCACACCTGCAGTCCCAGCTACTCGGGAGGTTGAGGCAGGAGAATCGCTTAAACCTGGGAGGCAGAGGTTGCAGTGAGCTGAGATCGTGCCACTGTGCTCCAGCCTGGGTGACAAGAGCAAAGCTCTCTGTCAAAAATAAATACAATACAATACAATAAAATACTTAGGAATAAATTTAACCAAGGAGGTGAAAGATATAGATGTTGAAAACTATAAAACCTCGAGGTGGTTCACGCCTGTAATCCCAGCACTTTGGGAGGTCGAGGCAGGTGGATCACCTGAGGTCAGGAGTTCAAGACCAGCCTGGCCAACATGGAGAAACCCTGTCTCTACCAAAAATACAAAAAATTAGCCGGGCATGGTGGTGGATGCCTGTAATCCCAACTGCTTGGGAGGCTGAGGCAGGAGAACCGCTTGAACCCAGAAGTCGGAGGTTGCAGTGAGCTGAGATCTCACCATTGCAGTCCAGCCTGGGCAACAAGAGTGAAACTCCATCTCAAAAAAAAGAAAGAAAGAGAGAGAGAGAGAGAGAGAGGAAGGAAGGAAGGAAGGAAGGAAGGAAGGAAGGAAGGAAGGGAGGGAGGGAGGGAGGGAGGGAGGGAGGGAAGAAAGGAAGGAAGGAAGGAAGGAAGGAAGGAAGGAAGGAAGGAAGGAAAGAAAGAAAGAAAGAAAGAAAAATTGAAGAAGACAAATAAATGGGAAGATATTCATGTTCATGGAGTAGAAGAATTAATATTGTCAAAATGTCCATACTATCCAAAGAGAGCTACAGACTCAATGAAATCTCTACCAAATACCGATAACATTCTTCACAGAAACAGAAAAAAAAATCTTGAAATTTATAGGGAGCCACAAAAAAACCCCTAATAGCCAAAGCAATCTTGAGCCAAAAGAACAAAGCTGGTGGCATCACACTGCCTGACTTCAAAATATACTACAAAGTTATAGTAATCAAAACAGCATGATAGTGGCATAAAAACAGATACATTGACCAATGGAATAGAATAGACAGCCCAGAAATAAATCCACATATTTACAGCCAACCAATTTTCACAAAAGATGTCAAGAACACACATGGGAGGAGGACACTCTCTTCAATAAACAGTAGTGGGATAACTAGATGTCCACATGGAGAAAAATAAAAGTAGACCCTTACCTCACACTATATACAAAAATCAACTCAAAATAAAGACTTAGGCTGGGCGTGGTGGCTCATGCCTGTAATCCCAGCACTTTGGAAGGCCAAGGCGGGCAGATCACGAGGTCAGGAGATCAAGACAATCCTGGCTAACATGGCGAAACCCTGTCTCTACTAAAAATACAAAAACAAAATTAGCCAGGCGTGGTGGCGGGCGCCTGTAGTCCCAGCTACTCAGGAGGCTGAGGCAGGAGAATGGCGTGAATCCAGGAGGCAGAGCTTGCAGTGAGCCGAGATCGCGCCACTGCACTCCAGCCTGGGTGACAGAGTGAGACTCTGTCAAAAAAAAAAAAAAAAAAAAAAAAAAACACCTTAAACATAAGACCTAAAACTGTGAAACTACTGGAAGAAAACATACAGGAAAAACTCTATGACATTGCTCTGGGCAATGATTTTTTCAATATGACCCAAAAAGCACAGGCAACAAAAGCAAAAATAGATAAATGGGATTACATCAAACTAAAAAGCTTCTGCATAGCAAAGAAAACAGTAAACAGAGTGAAGAGACAACCTACAGAATGGGAGAAAGTATTTGCAAATCACGTATCTGATAAGGGATTAATATTTAAAATATTTAGGGAACTCAGATCAACAGCAAGAAAACAAATGACCCAATTTAAAAATAGGGCCAGGTGCAATGGCTCACTCCAGTAATCCCAACAGTTTGGGAGGCCGAGGTGGATGGATCACTTGAGGTCAGGAGTTCAAGACCAGCCTGGCCAACACGACAAAACTCCGTATCTACTAAAAATGCAAAAATTAGCCAGGCGTGTTAGCACATGCCCATGGTCCCAGCTACTCAGGAGGCTGAGGCAAGAGAATCGTTTGAACCCAGGAGGCAGAAGTTGCAGTGAGCTGAGATTGCACCATTGCACTCCAGCCTGGGCAACAGGAAAAATATAGGCAGAGGACCTGAATAGACATTTCTCAAAAGAAGACATACAAATGGTCAGCAGGTATATGAAAAAATGCTCAACATCATTAAGCAGTGGGGAAATGCAAATTAAAACTACAGATAGCTATCACCTCACAACTGTTAAAGTGGCTGTTATCAAAAAGACAAAAGATAAGTGTTGGTGAGAACGTGGAGAGAAGAGAACCATTGCACACTGTTGGTAGAAATGTAAATTAGTACAGCCATTATAGAGAACAGTATGGAAGTCTGTATTAGTCCTTTCTCGCGCTGCTATAAAGAACTACCTGAGACTGGGTAATTTATAAAGAAAACAGGTTTAGTTGACTCACAGTTCTGCAGGCTATACAGGAAGCATGGCTGGGGAGGCCTCAGGAAACTTACAATCATGGTGGAAGGCGAAGGGGAAGCAGGCACGCTGGAGAAGAAGGAAGAGTGAAGGAGGAGCTGCTACACACTTTTAAACAACCAGATCTCATGATAACTCACTATCACAAGAACTTCGAGGGGGAAATCCACCCCCATAATCAATCACTTCCCACCAGGCCCCTCCTCCAACACTGGGGTCTACAATTCCATATGAGATTTAGGTGGGGACACAGACCCAAACCATATCAAGGTCCCTCAAAAAAATAAAAATATAATTACTGTATGATCCAACAATTCCACTTCTCGGTATAAATCCAAAAGAATTGAAATCAGGATATCAAAGAGATATTTGTGTGCACCTGTGTTCATAGTAGTACCACTCACATGGAAGCAAACCAAGTGCTATCCATGGATTAATGGATAAACAAAATGTGGCATATATATGCAATTGAATACTACTGAGCCATTAAAAAGAAGGAAATCCTGTCATTTGAGACAACATGGATGAACCCGGAGGATATGATGTTAAGTGAAATAAGCCAGGCACAGAAAGACAAATCCCACATGATCTCACTCATGTGTGGAATCTAAAAACGTTAAACTCGTAGAAGTAGAAAGTAGAATGTGGGATACCAAGGGCTAGTGTTGTGGTAGGGAGGGAGTTGGGGAGATGTTGGTCAAAGGATACAAAATTTCAGTTAGATAGGAGGAATAAGTTAAAGATATCTGTTGTACAACATGGTGACTATAGTTAATAACAATACATTGTATCCTTGAAACATTCTAAGAGAGCTGATTTCAAGTGTTCTCACCACAAAATGACAACTGTGAGGAATTCCATCTTAATTAGCTTGATTTAGCCATTCCACTATATATACAGGTTTTAAAACATCATGTTGTGTATATACAATGTTATCTGTCAATTTAAAAAAAGCAGCTTTTCTTTTTCTATCACGACACTGCCTCTTTTCTTTGCTCTCCTTCTATGTCAGTGGGAATTAGGTCTAGTCACATATAACAGAAAACCCAAATTAAAGTAGCATATATAAGATAGGGTTTGTTTTCCTCTATGTGAAAGAAGTCGAGAAGTGGATATTATAGTTCCATATAGTCACTAGGGACCCAGGCTCCTTCTATCTTCCTTCTGTGTCATCTTTAGTGCAAAACTTCCATCCTCAAGTTCACCTTATGACCCAGTATGGCAATTCTAACTTCAGTCTTCATTTTATCTTAGTTCCAGGCAGGAAAAAGGAGAAAGTTGGGGGCAGGGAGTGACAAAGGAAATAAATCCCTGGCTTTTTTCCACACCACTGTCCTAAAAATATTTTTATTAATTACCTCCATTTCCCTATATTTCGTATTAAATTTTCTGTTCTCATCTGATAGAACTTTCAGTGACATGTGATATACTTGACTTCACCATACTTTTTGAAAGAATGCTTTCATCTGTTATCAGAGACTCCACATTCTTCTGGTTTCTTCTTACTTCATTGGCTGCTGCTTCTTAGTCTTCTTTGTTGGATCCTCCTTGTCTTCCCAATTTAAATATCAATTGCCTCTGGCTACATTTCTTGGTCCTCTTTTTTACATACACTATTTCCCTAATGATCTCATCCAGGCCCATGATGTTAAATACTCCCTTATGCTGCTGATTTTATAAGTTTGCAGGTCCAGACTTCTGTACTGAACCCCAGACACATATGTCATCTCCACTTGGGTGTCTTATAGGGGTCTCCAGAAACATAGCATGACCAAAAGAGAACTTTTTTTTTTTTTTTTTTGAGACGGAGTCTCACTCTGTGGCCCAGGCTGGAATGCAGTGGTGTGATCTCGGCTCACTGCAACCTCTGCCTCCCGGATTCAAGTGATTCTCCGGCCTCAGCTTCCCAAGTAGCTGGCATTACAGGCGTGCACCACCATGCCCAGCTAATTTTTGTATTTTTAGTGGAGATGGGGTTTCACCATGTTGGCCAGGCTGGTCTCGAGCTCCTGACCTCAGGTGATCCACCCACCTTGACCTCCCAAACTGCTAGGATTACAAGCATGAGCCACCACACCCGCCTCCAAAACAGAACTTTACATTCCCATCCTAAAATAAATAAATAAATAAAATAAAAATAAAAATTCTACTTTATTATTTCCCATCTCAATAAATGACATCACCATTCATTACAGTTGCTGTGGCCAAAACCTAGGACTCATGCTTGGTTACTTTATTTTCCTTCCTTTCCTGTCCTGTTTATGTCCAAAATATATCCCTAGCCCAACAACTCTTATATCTCAAATGTTCTTGCCCGCATCATCACTATGTCTTGTCTGGTTTATTTTAATAACCTCCTAATATTTTTCCTTCTTCCAGTTTTGTTTCCACTAAAGGTCAGGCTTAATAGTTACAGAAAACAGACATTAACTGACTAATTTAAGCAGAAAAAGAAATAAGGCTGGGTGTGGTGGTTCACACCTGTAATCCCAACACTTAGGGAGGCCAACGCAGGAGGATCACTTGAGTCTAGGAGTAGTTCAAGACCAGCCTAGGCAATATAGTGAGACCCCCATCTCTACAAAAAATTTTTAAAAACTTAGGCATGGGGATGTGTGCCTGTAGTCCCAGCTACTTGGAAGGCTGAGGTGGGAGGATCTTTTGAGTCCAGCGGGGTGAAGCTACAGGTGAGTCATAATCGTGCCACTGCACTCCAGCCTGGGCAACAGAGCAAGACTCTGTCTCAAAAAAAACCAAAAAAAAAACAAAAAAAAAAAAAACCAGAAAAGAAAAAGTTTGGAGGAATACTGCCAAGGAATTTGGAGACAACTGTGTACAGCATTGGTAAAGTATATAGTAGGATGCAGCAGATAAAATAATTGAGTATTATGCAGTTGTTAGAAGCAACATATTGCAGCTCCTTAAAACAGCCTCTGAAGATACCATCCACAGCGGTCTAGGATGTTGCCATGAGTTTTACTGTGAAGCCAAAGGCAACAACTGTTCCAAAGCAAACCTGCAGAAAGGGGGAAGCAGAATTTTAAGAAGCCTTTCTTCACTCTCACTGCTACCCTCTGCCCAGACCACAGTCTACCCTACCTTCCCCTGCTCTTCCCACTCCCATCTTCTCCCACTCCTTCTCACACACTTCAGTGCAAGACAGTCTCTAGTTTTCCCTGGGGTTTCTTACAGAGGTAGTGGTAATGATGGTTAATTCCTGGAGTCTATGCTTACCTCTTACTTTGTATTTTCTGCAGGACTGATTTCAGAAGAAGCAGCCAGCAACCTGAGTTCACTTGCCATCTTAGCAGTCGCAGGTGTGTTCTGATTCTTCACAAGTTCCTGCATATTGGAGGATGCATTGTTACTGAAAGGAGGGGTCGGCCTAGAGAT
Organism: Homo sapiens; assembly: GCF_000001405.40. Classification (NCBI taxonomy): domain Eukaryota; kingdom Metazoa; phylum Chordata; class Mammalia; order Primates; family Hominidae; genus Homo; species Homo sapiens. The sequence goes on from NC_000014.9 coordinate 21,135,942, forward strand.
ATTTTTAAACCCCAAATTGCACAACTTATAGAAAGCTGATTTACTGCCACCAGTGCAATAATTACAACCCTGGGAAGGGATCTAGAATGCATCATGGATTAAGAGTCATCTTAATTAACTCAACAAATACAGTAACTTGGCTAGTTATTGTAAGTCCCCCATGCCACTAGAAATAAAAATGGGGGGAAAAAGCTGTCTCTGCCCTCTAGTGGAGAAGGAGAGGAATTATCTTATACTTATAATATTGGAAACTTAGATAATTCCTTTAATAGAAGTATGCACAAAGTTATTAGGAGTATTAATGCTTAGCAAAAGGATGTCTTCACAGGAAGGTAGCGTTTCAGCAGAAAACTTGAAGAATGTGTAGAAATTTTCAAAGGAAAATGTTACAGGCAAAGAGTACAATATGATCCAAAGAAAAAAGGCTTGAGGAAATACAGTGTATTTTGGGAAACACAAATAGATCAGTGTTTCTGGAGCATAAACTCCGAGAAAGGTACCAAGAGATGAGATGAATGAGAAGGCAGCCCTAAGGAATTTAGGCTTTATCGTATAAGTCAATGTTATCAACTTTAGAGAAAATTTTAAGAACAGATTAATTTTAATTTTAAAAATTAATAATAAGGGTAAACCACAATTAAAAATAAAAGCTCCCTGTGATCCCAGCACTTTGGGAGGCCAAGGCGGGTGGACCACGAGGTCAGGAGATGGAGACCATCCTGGCTAACACGGTGAAACCCCATCTCTACTAAAAATGCAGAAAAATTAGCCGGGCATGGTGGCAGGCGCCTGTAGTTCCAGCTACTCGGGAGGCTGAGGCAGGAGAATGGCGTGAACCCGGGAGGCAGAGCTTGCAGTGAGCCGAGATCGCACCACTGCACTCCAGCCTGGGCAACAGAGCGAGACTCCATCTCAAGAAATAAATAAATAAATGCTAAAACACATTCCTTTCATATCTGTGGAAGGGCTAATATTGTTTGTACCTATTACTAGGGTATAATGATTAATTATATGTGTCAACTTGACTGGGCCTGGGGGTGCCCAGATTAAACATTATTTGTGGGTGTGTCTGTGAGAGTGTTTCAAGATTATCCTTTGAATCAGCAGACCGGTAAAGTAGATTGCTCTCCTCAATGTGAGTGGGCACCATCCAACTTGTTGAGGGCCTAAATAGAACAAAAGGCAAAGGAAGGAGGAATTCACCCTTTTTGCTGCCTGCTTGCCTGAGTTAGTTGGGACATCTCATCTCATCTTCTGCTCTCTGACTGGGATTTACACGTCTAGCCCTCCTGGTTTTCAAGCCTTCAGATTCAGACTGAATTATACTGCCAGCTTTACTGAGTCTCTAGCTTCCAGATAGCAGATTGTGAGATTTCATAATCGTGATTCAATTCCTAATAATAAATCTCTCTCTCTCTTCTGCCCCCACTCAGTCCCCCCGCTGTCTCTCTGTATATATATAGTCATAACCCAAACAATGGTGTTTTGCTCAATGACAGACCTCATATACGATGCTTGATCCATAAAATTATAATGAAGCTGAAAAATTCTATCGCCTAGCGAAGTCATAGCCCTCATAACATCATAGCACAACCCGTTTCCTTTTCTATGTTTAGACGTGTTTAGATACACAAATATTTATCATTGTGTTACAGTTGTCTACAGTATTTGGCACAGTGACATGCTGTACAGGTTTGTAGCCTAGGAGCAACAGGCTATACCGTATAGCCTAGGTATGTAGCAGGCTATACCATGTAGGTTTGTGTAAGTACACTGTGTGGTGTTCACACAATGATGAAATCACCTAACAGGGCCAGGCACGGTGGCTTACGCCTGTAATAGCACTTTGGGAGGCTGAAGTAGGCAGATCACCTGAGGTCAGGAGTTCGAGACCAGCCTGAACAACATGGCAAAACCCTGTCTCTACTAAAAATACAAAAATTAGCCAGGCATGGTGGTGCACGCCTGTAATCCCAGCTACTCAGGAGGCTGAGGCAGGAGAATCGCTTGAACCCAGGAAGCAGAGATTGCAGTGAGCAGAGATCACGCCACTCCAGCCTGGGAGCCTGGGAGACAGAATGAGACTCCATCTCAAAAAAAAAAAAAAAAAAAAAAAGATATCACCCAACGATGTTTTTATTAGAATGTATCTCTGTTGTTAAGCAATGCGTGACTATATATGTGTATATATATGTGTGTGTGTGTGTGTGTGTGTGTATATATTGATATATAGATATAAATGGTTATATATGTATGTGTATACTGGTTCTGTTTCTCTGGAGAACTCTAATACACAAGAGTGTCTTTATACAGCTCAGTGACATATAGAGAGCCACATTCATTTCTTACTCTAGGTAACATTTGTATGTTTTTTCTCTCAAAGAGTTCTAGATATTAGTAAGAAATAGACCCAGAATTTATGCTTTATCAGATACTTAGCATTTCACAGGAATCTCAATTCATAAACTACAGTTTGCAAGAAGTATTTTTAAATTTTTTCATTGCCAAATAAAGCAACCATTTAGAAAAAAAATGCATAAAACATAAATGTTTACCTTAGTGAACACCCTTGCATGCAATGAGTACCCAGTTCCAGAAGTGGAACAATCTCAGCAACCCAGTAGCTCCCCTTCTGCCCTTTACCAGTTGGAGTCACCTGCCTCTCCCCAAAAGTAGTCATTTTCTTGAGTTTTATGGTAATCAATTCTTTACTATTTGAATCCTTTTTCCACCTAATCTGAGAACTTTGTATAAATGGAAATATATATATCTTTTAGCGTCTGGCTTTGTTCACATAAGACACAAAGTTGTGGTTAGCTATAGTTTGTTCACTTTCATTGCTGTGGGGTATTCTAATGTATGAATGTATCATAATTAATTATCCATCCTGTTGTAAATAGACATTTAGTCTGTTTCCATTGTTTGGTTATAATAAATAGGCTTGGCTGGGCGCGGTGGCTCACACCTGTAATCCCAGGACTTTGGGAGGCCGAGGCGGGCGGATCTCGAGGTCAAGAGATCGAGACCATCCTGGCCACAATGGTGAAACCCCCGCCTCTAGTAAAAAAAATACAAAACTTAGCTGGGCCTGGTGGCACGTGCCTATAGTCCCAGCTACTCGGGAGGCTGAGGCAGGAGAACCACTTGAATCTGGGAGGCAGAGGTTGCAGTGAGCTGAGATCGTGCCACTGCACTCCAGCCTGGGCAACAAGAGCAAAACTCTGTCTCAAAAAATAAAAAATAAAATGAAATAAAATAAAATGGCTTATCTGAACATTCTTCTACATGTCCCCTTATGTACATGGTCACATATAGCTGTTGGGTGAATATCACAAGCAAAGCTGTTAGATCATAATATATGCTTATTTTCCTTCTTTTTTTTTTTTTTTTTTTTTTTTTTTTTTTTTTGAGACAGAGTCTCGCTGTGTCGCCCAGGCTGGAGTGCAGTGGCACAATCTTGGCTCACTGCAAGCTCTGCCTCCCGGGTTCACGCCATTCACCTGCCTCAGCCTCCCGAATAGCTGGGACTACAGGCGCCCGCCACCATGCCCGGCTAATTTTTTTGTATTTTAATAGAGATGGGGTTTCACTGTGTTAGCCAGGATGGTCTCGATCTCCTAACCTTGTGATCCGCCTGCCTCGGCCTCCCGAAGTGCTGGGATTACAGGCGTGAGCCACCGCGCCTGGCCAATATATGCCTATTTTCAACTAAAACAGCTAATGCCAAGCTGCTCCAAAGTGCTTATACAAACTTACACGATACAGGTTTGAAACTTCCAGTTGATTCAAATCCTTGCTTTTGCTACTCAGGTGAATATATAGTTGGATCCTATTGGTGAGTGGGTAGTATGATTCAGTCTGAGTCTGAATATATAGTTGGATCCTATTGGTGGGTGTGTGAGTTATGAGTGTTTTCTTGATTACTAATAAATGAGATATCTTTTTTGGATTTAATGACAATTTGAATTCTTCTGTGAAGTGCCTGTTCCTCTAGTCTATTTTTTTACTAGGCTATTTATTTATCTTTTTCTGTTTGGTTCATATATTCTGGATGCTTATCAAATGTTTTCTTCCACCCTTTGGCTTGTCTTTCTTTGCTTTTAAAATGTCTTTTAATAAATTGAGATTTAAATGTTGATACAGTCAAATTTAGTCTCTGCCTTATGATTTGTAATATTTATGAACTGTTTTAGAAAGGTTTTCCTGTCTCAGAGACATGAAGTTATTTTTGTATATTATTTTCTGATAGTTGTATTGTGTGCCTTTCTCACTGAGATCTACTGTGAACCTATATTTAAATTTTGTATACGTTTTGACGAGATTTTTGTGTTGGGTGTGTTGTGTGAATTTCCGGTTTTATTGGTCTCCTTATCCATCCTTGCACCAAAACCACATTGTTTTAATTACTGCAGCTTTATCATAAATCCAAGCTAGTAGACTATGTTCTCCCACCTTATTTTTCAAAGCATTTAGGTTATTGTTTGCCATTTGCATTTCTATATGAATTGTAAACTCAGATTATAAGGTTCCATTAAAAAACTATTGTGATTTTAATTGGGATTGCACTAAATCTGTATATACTTTATCAGTTTAGAGAGAATTGATATCTTTTTATAATAATTTAGTTTTCCAATTCTTGAACATGTATATTTCTCTACATATAAGATCTTCTTGACAGGCGCGGTGGCTTACGCCTGTAATTCCAGCACTTTGGGAGGCTGAGGCGGGGGGATCACGAGGTCAGGAAATCGATACCATTCTGGCTATCACGGTGAAACCCCCTCTCTACTAAAAACACAAAAAATTAGCAGGGCGCGGTGGCGGGCGCCTGTGGTCCCAGCTACTTGGGAGGCTGAGGCAGGAGAATGGCGTGAACCCGAGAGGCGGAGCTTGTAGTGAGCTGAAATCGCGCCACTGCAGTCCAGCCTGGGCGACAGAGCGAGACTCTGTCTCAAAAAAAAAAAAAGATCTTCTTTACTTTCTCTCAATAATATTTTATATTTTAAAAATAAGAGGTCTCACCCGTATTTTATAATTTATCAGTATTTGATACATGTATTCTATCGTAATATCTTTTTTAGATATTTTGTAACTGTTTATTGCTGCTATATAGAGGTACAACTGATTTTTGCATATTGACCATGGGTCCAGAAACCCTGCTTAACTCTTAAATTTATTTAGTCTAAATCTAAGCCAGGCACAATGGCTCATGGCTATAATACCAGCACTTTGGGAGACCGAGGAATGTGGATCACTTGAGCCAGGAATTTGAGACCAGCCTGGGCAACATAGCAAGACCCTGTCTCTACAAAAAATTTAAAAAAAAAAAATTAGCCTGTAGCCCCAGCCTGTAGTCCCAGCTACACGAGAGGCTGAGGTGGGAGGATTGCTTGAGCCTGGGAGGCAGAGATTGTAGTGAGCTAAGGTTGTGCCACTGCACTCCAGCCTGGGCAACAGAACCACACCCTGTCTCAAAAAAATAAAGTAAAATACGACAAAAAAAACTCTGTATGTTTTCAATTGGCCCATTTATTTATTTTTAATTTGTTGATGTATCAAACAAATTTACGGTTGGTGCAAAAGTACTAGCAGTTTTTGCCATTAAAAGTAACAACAAAAACCGCAGTGGCTTTTGCACCAGCCTAATAAACTCTGCTGTGCAAAAAGAACAGAAGATAATATGCATTGCAATGAACTTTATAGTTCAATTGCATGAAGGCAACATGCCATATATGAAAAAATTAATTGAACTACAATTACTAAATATTTTAAAAAGCTTACTAAGATGTATTTTATTTAACAATGTGGAAAGCTAACAACCGTCAGGCCGGGAGCGGTGGCTCATGCCTGTAATCGCAGCACTTTGGGAGGCTGAGGCGGGTGGATCACGAGGTCAGGAGATCGAGACCATCCTGGCTAACACGGTGAAACCCCGTCTGTACTAAAAATACAAAAAATTAGCCGGACGTGGTGGTGGGCGCCTATAGTCCCAGCTACTCAGGAGGCTGAGGCAGGAGAATGGCGTGAACCCGGGAGGCGGAGATTGCAGTGAGCCGAGATCGCGCCACTGCACTCTAACCTGGGCAACAAAAGTGAAACTCTGTCTCAAAACAAAAACAGAACAAAACAAAAAATGCTGCTATGAACATGGGTGTACAAACATCTCTTTCAGAGCCTGCTCTCAATTCTTTTGGCTATATATCCAGAAGTGGAATGGAATTGATGGATTATATGGTAATTGTTTTTGCTTTTTTTGAGAGTCTTGCTCTGTCACCAAGCCTGGAGTGCAGTGGCACAATCACAATTCACTACAGCCTTGACTTCCCAGGATCAAGCGATCCTTTCACCTCAGCCTTCCAAGCAGCTGGGATTACAAGCATGTGACACTAAGCCCAGATAATTTTTATTTCTATTTTTTGTAAATACAGGGTCTCACTATGTTGCCCAGGCTGGTCTCAAACTCCTGGGCTCAAGTGATCCTCCTGCCTTGGCCCCCCAAAGTGCTAAAATTATAAGCATGAACCACTGCAGCTGGCCGGTAATGGTATTTTTAATTTTGTGAGGAACTGCCATATTGTTTGCCACAGCAGTTGTACCTGTTGCATTCCCATTAACAGTGCACAAGGGTTTCCATCTCTTCACATCCTTGCCAACACTTTTTATTTTGTTTTCTTGATAGTAGTCATCCTAATGCATGTGAGGTGATATCTCATTGTAGTTTTGATTTTTATTTCCCTAATGATTAGTGATGTTGAACAACTTTTCATGTGCTTATATTCAAATCTTTTGCCTTTTTTGTGGGGGGGGGGAGCAGTGGAGAGGGTCTCACTCTGTCACCAAGACTGGAGTGCAGTCATGTGATCATAGCTCAAGTGGTCCTCCCACCTCAGTCTCCTGAGTAGCTGAGATTACAGGTGTGCACCACCATGCCCGGCTAATTTTTATTTTTATTTTTAGTAGAGATGAGGTCTGACTATGTTGCCCTGGCTGGTCGCAAAATCCTGAGCTCAAGTGATCCTCCTGCCTCGGCCTCCCAAAGTGTTAGGATTGCAGGTGTATGCCACCACACCCAGCCCTCTTGCCCATTTAAAAATAGGTTTTGGGGATTTTTTTATTTTTATAATTTTTTTGTTTTAATTTTTGTAGGAACATAGTAGGTATATATATTTATGGGGTGCATGAGCTATTTTGGTACAGGCATGCAATGCATAACAATCACATCATGGAAAAAGTGTGCATCCATCCCCTGAGGCATTTATCCTTCATGTTACAACCAATCAAATATCCTTCATATTCAAACAATACTCTTTTATTTTTAAATATACAATTAAATTATTATTGACTACAGTCATCCTGTTGTACTATCAAATGCTAGGCCTTATTTATTTATTTAAATTATTTTTTTGTGCTCATTAACCATCCCCACCTCCCCCACCCACTACGACCCTTCCCCACCTCTAGAACCATCCTTCTACTCTCTATCTTCATGGGTCAATTGTTTTGCTTTTTAGCTCCCACAAATAAGTGAGAACATGTGATGTTTGTCTTTCTGAGCCTGGCTTATTTCACTTAACATAATGACCTCCAGTTCCATCCATGTTGTTGCAAATGACTTAATCTCTTTCTTTTTTATAGCTGAATAGTACTCCATTGTGTATTAGTAGCTACGGTGAACAGTGCTACAACACACAAGGGAGTGCAGATACCTCTTCAATATACTGAGTTCCTTTCTTTTGGGTATATATCTAGCAGTGGTATTGCTGGATTGCATGGTAGCACTATTTTTAGTTTTTTGAGAAACCTCCAGACTGTTCTCCATAGTGGTTACTAATTTACACTCCCACCATGTTTGGGTTTTGTTGTTGTTGTTGTTGTTTAGCTCTAGAAGTTCTCTATATATTCTGGATACTAAGCCCTTATCAGATATATGATTTGCAATTGTTTTTTTTTCCCCATCCTGTGGGTTGCCTTTTATTCTGTTGATATTATCTTTTAAGGCAAATTTTTTTAATTTTCATGAAGACCAATTTGTCTATTTTGTGTTGTTGTTGCTTATGCCTTTGGTGTCATATGCAAGAAATAATTGGCAAATCCAATGTTGTGAAGATTTTTCTTTATATTTTTCTTTATATTTTCTTCTAAGAGTTTCATAATTTTAGGTTTTACATTTAGGTCTTTGTTGATAGCATTAGGCAAGGCTCCAACTTTATTCTTTTGTGGATATACAATTTCTTCAGCACTATTTCTTAAAAAAAAAAAAAAAACTCTCCTTTCCCCCACTGAATAGTCTTGGTACCCTAGGCAAAAATTATTTTACCAGGCTGGGTGTGGTGGCTCATGCTTGTAATCCCAGCACTTTGGGAGGGCGAGGCAGTGGATCACTTGAGGCCGGGAGTTCGGAACCAGCTTTTTCAACATGGTGAAACCCCGTCTCTACTAAAAATACAAAAATTAGTCTGGCGTGGTGATGGGCGCCTGTAGTCCCAGCTACTCAGGAGGCTGAGGCACAAGAATTGCTTAAGCCTGAGAGGCAGAGGTTGCAGTGAGCCGAGATCATGCCACTGCACTCCAGCCTGGGTGACAGAATGAGATTCTGTCTCAAAAAAAAAAAAATCATTTTACCATATATGTGAAGATTTATTTATGGGCTGTCTAATCTATGCTGTAGGTTTATATGTCTGTCTTTATGCCAATGCCACACTGCGTTGATAAGAGTAGCTTTGTAGTAAATCAGAAATCAGAAAGTGTGAGTGCTCCAGTACTGCTGAAATCAGGAAGTGTGAGTGCTCCAGTACTGTTCTTTTTTTTTTTTTTCAAGATTAATTTGACTATTTAGGGTCTCTTGAAGTTCCATATGAACTTTAAAATGGTTTTCTCACTTCAACAAAAACATCATTGGGAGTTTGATAGGGATCACATTGAATCTATAGATTGTATTGTGTAGTATTGACATCTAACACTATTAAATCTTCCACTTGATAAACATGGGATATGTTTTCATTTATTGATGTCTTCTTTAATTTCCTTCAGCAATGTTTTGTAGTTTTGGTTACAAGTCTTTCATCTCCTTGGTTAATTCTTAAGTGTTTTATGCTTTCTGCTGCTATTGTAAATGAAATTGTTTTCATAATTTTCTTTTCAGATTGTTCCTCATTAGTGTAGAAAAATGCAATTAATTTTTGTGTATTGACTTTGTATTTGGCTACTCAACTGATTTTGTTTTTTAGTTCTAACAGTTTCTGAGTGCATGTGTGCAATCTTTAGGGTTTTCTACAAATCAGATTATATCATCTACAAATAGAGGTAATTTTACTTCTTCCTTTCTAATTTAGATGCATTTTATTTTTTTTTCTTGCCTAACTGCTTTGTCTAGAACTTCCAGTACTATGCTGAGCAGAAGTAGTGAAAGGAGGCAGCCTTACCCTGTTTCTGATCTTTGAAAGTAGCTTTCAGTCTTTCACCATCGCACATGATGTTTGCTGTGGGGTGTTTGTATATACTTTTTATTATGTTGAAGTAGGCTACTTCTATTTTTTGTTTGTTGAGTGTTTTTATCATGAAATGGTGTTGACCTTTGTCAAATGCTTTTTCTGTATCAATTGAAATGATCATATGGTTTTTTTCCTTCCTTATGTTAATATGGTACATTATATTGACCAATTTTTATGTGGTGAACCATCCTTGCATTCCAGGAATAAATCCCACCTGGTCATGGTGTATAATCCTAATAATATGCTGCTGAATTCAGTTTGCTAGTATTTTGTTGAGGATTTTTGCATCAATGTTCATAAGGGATATTGGTCTGTAGTTTTCTTTGTAGTGTCTTTGTTTGGCTTTGGTATCAGGATAATGCTGACCTCATAGAATGAGTTAGAAAATGTTTTCTTTCTTTCTTTTTTCTTTCTTTCTTTCTTTCTTTCTTTCTTGTTTTCTCTTTCTTTCTTTCCTGCTTTCTCTTTCTTTCTTTCCTTCTTTTGTTCTTTCTTTCTTTCTTTCTTTCTCTTTCTCTCTCCCTTCCTTTATTTATTTCTCTTTCTCTTTCCCTCCCTCTGTCCCTCCCTCCCTCCCTCCCTTCTTTCTTTCTGTCTTTCTTTCTTTCTTTCTTTCTTTCTTTCTTTCTTTCTTTCTTTCTTTTTCTTTCTTTCTTCTTTCTTTTTTTAAAAAACAGGGTCTCACTTTGCTATCCAGGCTGGAGTCCAGGGGCATAATTATAGTTCACTGCATCCCTGAACTCCTGGGCTCAAGGGATCCTCCTGATTCAGCCTCCCAAGTAGCTAGTACTAGAAGCATGTGCCACCACGCCCAGATAATTTATTAACATTTGTGGAGATGGGATCTCACTATGTTGTCCATTCTGGTCTCAAGCTCCTGGTCTCAAGTGATCCTCCTGCTTCGGCTTCTCAAAGAGCTGGGATTGTAGACATGAACCCCTCCCAAGCAACTGGGACTATGGGTGTTCACCAACTTGCCCAGCTAATTTTTTGTATATTTTAGTAGAGATGAGGCTTCACCATGTTGGCCAGGCTGGTCTCGAACTCCTGGCTTCAAGTGATCCCCCACACCTTGGCCTCCCAAAGTGTTGGGATTACAGGTATGAGCCACCGCACCCAGCCTAATAATTATTAAATATTTGGGTCTTTCTTGTCAATTGTGTTTTAATATCTGGAAGTATGAGTTCAGTATATTGAACTGGCAGAAACAATTAGATTAGTAGAGATTATGCAAAACAAAGAATGGAGGAAAAAAAGAATGGAGAAAAATAAGCAGAGCCTCAGGGGAAAGTGGGACATAATTATTAAGCTCACCAACATATGTGTAATGGGAATACAAGAAGGAGCAGACTCAGAAAGGAGCAGAAACAATTTTTTAAGAAATAACGGCTGAAAATTGCCAAATATCTTGAAAATTGCCAAATATATTGAAAACCAATGAGTTCACGTCCTTTGCAGGGACATGGATGAAGCTGGAAACCATCATTCTCAGCAAACTGACACAGGAACAGAAAACCAAACACCACATGTTCTCACTCATAAGTGGGAGTTGAACAATGAGAACACATGGACACAGGGAGAGGAACATCACACACCAGGGCCTGTCAGCAGGTCGGGGCCTAGGGGAGGGATAGCATTAGGAGAAATACCTAATGTGTATGATGGATTTATGGGTGCAGCAAACCACCATGGCATGTGTAAACCTATGTAACAAACCTGCACGTTCTGCACATGTACCCCAGAATTTGTGGTATAATAAAAAAAAATAATAATAAAAATATATTAAGCTTGTTAAAAAAATCTGCGCCTGGATGACACAGTGAAACCCCATATCTGCAAAAAATAAAATATTAATCAGGCATGGTGGTGCATGCCTGTGGTCACAGCTACACAGCTACTCAGGAGGTTAAGGCAGGAGGATCGCTTGAGCCCAGGAGTTTGAGGCTGCAGTGAGCTATGATCATGCCACTGAACTCCAGCTTGGACAACAGTGAGACCCCATCTCTAAAAATAACATAAAATACATTTTAAAAACATTCGATAAACTATGACTACATAGGGACTTCTTCAACCTGATAAAACCGCACAGCTAACATTATATTTAATGGTGAAAGGCCAGATACTTTTCCCCTAAGGTCAGGAACAAGACAAAAAATGTCCAGTCTCGCCAGTTCCATTTAACATTGTACTGGAGGTTCTAACTAGGGCTATCAGGCAAGAAAAAGAAATAACAGTTATCCAGACTGGAAAGTCAAAAATACCCACAAAACTATGTCTATATACAGATTACATAATCTTACACATGGAAAATCCAATGGAATCTGGTAAAAAAACTATTGGAACTAATAAATCAGTTCAGCAAATTTGTAGGAAATAAGAGCAGTAGGCCAAATTTTTATAGACTTGCAATGAACAATCTGAAATGAAACTAAGAAAATTTTGGTCAGGTGCAATGATTCATGCCTGTAGTCCCAGCACTTTGGGAGGTGGAGACGGGCAGATCACTTGAGTCCAGGACTTTGGAACCAGCCTGGGCAACATGGTGAAACCCCGTCTCTTAAAAAAAAAAAAAAAGGAAAGAAATACAAAAAATTAGTAAGGCATGCATGGTGGTGCATGCCTACTAATCCCAGCTACTCCGGAGGCTGAGGAGGGAGGATCACTGAGCTCAAGAAGTCAAGGCTGAAGCGAGCTGTGATTACACCAATGCACTCCAACCTGGGTGACAGAGTGAGACATTGTATCAAAAATAAAATAAAATAAAATTTTATTTATTATAATGCATCGAAAACTATAGTAACACATTTGACAAAAGAAGTGCAAAACCTATACTCTAAAGACTATAAAACATTGTTGACAAAACTTAAATATCTAAATAAACAGAAAAAATCCATGTTCATGGATCAGAAGACTTAATATTGTTAAGATGGCAATATTCCCCAAATTGATCTACAGATTCAACACAATCCATTTCAAAATAGCAGCTGACTTCACTGTAGACATTGACAAGCTGATTCAAAAATCCACATGGAATTGCTAGTAAGCTAGAATAGCCAAAAATATCTTGAAAAGAAGGACAAAGTAGATGGACTCACATTTCCTGATTTCAAAACTTACTAAAAGCAACCGTAATCAAGACAGTGTGGTTCTGGGGTAAGGATACACATATAGATCAATGGAATAGAATAGAGAATCCAAAAGTAAACCCAAACATTTATGATCAACTGATTTTTGACAATGGTGCCAAGACCATTCAATGTGGAAAATATTATTTTCTGCAAATTGTACTGGGACAACTGGATAGCCACATGCAAAAGAATGAAGTTTTTCCCTTATCTCACACCATATAAAATCAACTCAAAATTGATCAAAGACTTTAATGGAAGAGCCCTGCGTCACCTACCTTTTGCACTAGAAATGTCCCATTTTGCAGGTTTGTCACGCTGCCTCCTGACCATAAAAGTTTGGGAGTTTTGAAGGCTCTTTTAATTTTGAACTCTGCCCTTTTTAGCCCAAGAGATCACCCTTCCACCAATATAATCCTTTCTAAAAACTTTGTGGGGTTCCTAGGAATCCAGTTTGGGTTCATTCTATTAGTCAAAAGCCATACTCCCCAATCTCTTCTAGACAGGCCATTCCTAGTTTGGACTGTGGGTCAGGAGGCTGCAAGGTGTCCTTAAGATTCTTCAAAGTCTTTTTTTTTTTCTAGTTAAAAGAGTCTATAAGGAACTGATTAAAGTCTTAATAAAGGGCCTCTCAGCAACACCCTTAAGATTGTCTTGACTTTGAGTTATTTTTGCTTGTTTTGGTTTTTAGTTTGAGAACATTTTGCCATCTGAATAAGATGGGAAAGAGAAACAGTTTTTGGATTTTTTTCAATTAAAAAAATTTTGGGGTAGAAATGGGGTCTCACTATGTTGCTCAGGCTGGTCTTGAAATCCTGGCCTCAAGCAATCCTCCGACCTCGGCCTCCCAAAGTGTTGAGATTATAGGCATGAGCCTTCACACCTGGCCCAGTTTCAGTTTTAATCCTAGCAAGCTCTGGCTACTTTATAATCCCTCTAAATTTTGCATACTGAACAGTTTCTTTTGTATTTCATCCTTTTTTAGCCATATCTCTAGTGTAGCCATATCTCGAGTGTGAATCTAATGTAGCCGTATCTCTCAGTATATGCAGCCAAATAAACCATTTGGCACCTTAAACATTCTGCTTGAAAATCTCCTTTGTCGGATCTACCAGTTCATTAGATACATTAGGTACATTCTATTTTCGATGTTACCAAAATCAACAGTTTCACAAAACTTCTTATCACCACATAATGTGTCATATCTTCTCCAGCTCCAATAACATTCTCCTCATTGACCTTCAAGCTTTCACTATCAGTCTCTTCATGGCCCTTCCAGTTTCTGCCCACTGCCCAGTACCAATGTCAATGCCACATGTTTTTGTTACAAAAGCACTCCCAACTTCCAAGTGACTAATTCATTTCTTGTTATCTACTGCTGCGTAATAAACTGCTCCAAAACTTTCCAATGACTTCAAACAACAGGGATTTTATTGTAACACATCTCACAGTTTCAGAAGTTAGGAATTCAAACAGGGCTCAATTGGGGTGATATTTTTTTCCATATGACAGTAACAAAGGTTACTTTGTGGTATTCAGCTGGCACCTGGGCTGGTGTGAGCTGGTCACCCATACATCTGGCACTTTGATGGAGAAGGCTGGGCTCAGCTGGGAGCCTCAACTGGAGTGTCTACACATGGCCTCTCTAGCATTACAACCTCAAGGTAGCCAGACTTCTTATGTGGCGGCTCAGGGATCCCAGAGAGTGTTCCCAGACAGCTGTGCCAAAGGTGCAAGTCCTCTTATGACCTAAGCTCAGAAGTCCTAATATCTGCTACATTCTAATGGTCAAACCAGACACTAAGGCCAACCCAGACTCAGGGGAAAGAGAATTAAAATCCATCTCTTACTGAAAGCAACAGAAAAGAGCTTGTGGCCCTATTTTGACATCTAGATTGATGTATAATTGCCATGAAATAAACACAAATATTTATAGTGTAAAATTTGGTTAAGTTTTGACACATGTATATCCACGAAACCATCACCACTATTATGATAATAAACATATACCTCATCTCCTACAGTTTTCTTGTGTCCCTTTGTAATCTTCCCTTCTTCCCCTTATGTCTCTTCAGGCTCCATCACCATCGCCTGACCTGTTGGTCTTCTAGAATTTTATACAGATGAAAATGTACAATATATACATTTTGTCTGTTTTCTTTTATTTGGCATATTTTGAGATTCTTTTGTGCTGTAACATGTAAATAATAATTCATTTCATTGCTGAGTAGTATTGCCTTGTAGGGACCAGGGGTTTTTCCCCTCATTTACCTGTTAATAGACATTGGGTTATTTCTAGTTTTAGAGTATTCCAAATAGAGCTGCTAAGAACATTTGAACACAAGTCTTTTGTATAGTTTACCATATACAACTATTCCATTTATTATATTCCACCAAGAGAAATAAAAGCATATATCATAAAGCATATATATCGTATGCTTTTATTTCTCTTGGTAGAATATAACGAATGGAATAGTTGTTTTATATGGTAGGTATCTATTGAACATTTTGTGAAACCACCAAACTGTTTTCCAACGTGGTTTTACCATTTCACATTCCCACCAGCAGTGTATTAGAGTTCCAGTTGCTTCTCATCCTCACCATCACTTGCTATAGTCAATCTTGTTCATTTTACCTATTTTTTAGGTGTTTTGTTGTCTCGTTGCATTTCATTTAACTTGCATTTTAATTTGCATCTCCTTATGATGTTAAACATCTTTTCATGTGCTTTTTTGCCTTCTGTATATCTTCTTTGGTGAAGTGGCTGTTCAAATCTTTTGCCTCTTTTCTTACTGAGATGTTTTTATGGAGCTTAGGGAGTTTTCTATGTATTCAGGATGCTAGTGCTTTATCACATATACAATTGAAAATATTTTCTTATAACCTGTGGCTTCTCTTTGTGTGTGTGTGTGTGTGTGTGTGTGTGTGTGTGTGTGTATGTGTGCGCGCACACATATATATTTTCAGAGACAGGGTCTCATTATGTTGCCCAGGCTGAAGCGCAGTGTCTATCCACAGGTGAGATCATCACACTGCAGCCTCCTCTAAATCCTGAGCCCAAGTGATCCTCTTGCCTAAACCTCTCATAGTGAGGACTATAAACACGTACCACTGCACTTGGCCTTTTTACTACTGTAAGTCTCTTTTGATGTATTTTAGTTTGAATGAGGCTCAACTTATTAATTTGTTCTTTTATAGATCATGCTTCCTGTGTCATATCTCAGAAATCTTTGGCTACCTCAAGGTCACAAAAGTTTTCTCCTGTTTTCTTTTAGAAGTTTTATAGTTTTAGGTCTTACGGTCAGGTCTACGATCCATTCATAATTGTTCTTATTTGATGTGATGTATGAATAAAAGTTGATTTTTATGCATATAGATAACTAAATATTCCTATGCCATTTGTTGAAAAGACTGTTCTTTCCCTATTAAATTGCCTTGGTAACTTTGTTGAAAATCAGCTGTCCACATTTTGTTTGTGGTCAAATTGTGGTCTCTCTATTCTGTTCCATTGATCTATTTCTACAGCAATCACACTGTCTTGATTACTGTAGCCATATAATTCTTGAAATCAGGTAGTCAGACTTTCAACTTTGTTCTTTTTCAAAGTTGCGTTGGTTATTCTAAGTCTTTGCATTTCCATATGAATTTTAGAATCAATTTGTCAGCATCTATAAAAAGACTGGTGGGATTTTGATTGGGATAGAATTGAATCTCAAGATCAATTTGGGGAGTATTTACATCTTAACAATATTAAATTTGGTAACCAATAAACTTGGTATATATCTTCATTTATTTAGGTGTTCCATATCTTTAAACAGTATTTTGTTGTTTTAAATATACAGGCCTTTTATACTTTTGTCAGTTTTTTTTTCAGATAAGTCAATTGAGCATAATCCAAGGGATTATTTCTTGATTCTCAATTATGTTCCATTACCCTAAATACTCATCCTTACGCCACTACCCCCATTATTTTGGTAATTATAGCAGTATGGAAAGTTTTAAAATTGGGTCTGTATTCTTCCAACTTAGTCAATGTTTTTAAATTTTTATTTTTAAGACAGGATCTTGCCCTGTTGTCCAGGCTGGAGTCCAGTGGCACAATCACGGCTCACTGAGGCCTCGACTTCCCAGGCTCATGTGATCCTCCCACCTCAGCCTCCGGAGTAGCTGGGATTAAAGGCGTGCACCACCACAACCGGCTAATTTTTGTATTTTCAGTAGAGATGGGGTTTTTTCCATCTTGCCCAGGCTGGTCTCAAGTTCCTAGCCTCAAGCAATCCACCTGTCTTGGCCTCCCAAAGTTCTGGGATTACAAGCGTGAGCCACCAAGCCCAACCTCTCCTTCTTTTTAAAATTGTTTAGGTATTCTGGTTTATTTGTATTTGCATATACATCTTAGGACCAACTAGTCAAATTTTTAAGATACAGCCTCTGAGATTTTCCTAAGGATTATATTGAATCTATAGAACAGTTTGGGAAGTATTGCCATGTTAATGATATTGATTATTCCAATCCATGAATATTGAAGGTCTCTCCATTTATTTAGATCTTCTCTAACTTTTCTCAGGAACGTTTTATGATTTCCAGTATATGGAAATGACAACATTTTTGTGAAAGAATTGTTTTCTTAATTTCATTTTTGGATTGTTTCTTGCCAATATATAAAAATATAATTAATTTTTCTATATTTTTTATATGCTGTAATTTTACTGAACTTGGTTATTAGTTCCAGTGGAGTTTTTTAATAGATTACTTGGAACTTTCTATATTCAGGATCATGTTATCTACAAATAAACTCAATTTTTCTTCTCCCTTTCCAATCTAGATGCTTTGTTTGTTTTAATGTACTTGCTACAATCTTCAGAACAATTTTAAATAGAGATGGCAATAGCAGAAAACTTGCCTTGCTTCAAATCTTAAGGGGAAAGCATTATTTCACTAGTAAGTATAATGTTGGGTGTAGATTTTTCATAAATGCCCAGATATTAGGAAATTTTAAAAAAATCCACTCATGGATTAAAGAATAAATGATAATAAAAATTAGAATATACACAGAACTTAATACTAAAAACACCATATTTCAAAACATATGGGATGCAGGCTAAATAGAATTTGAAAAAATTTGTCTTAAATGCCTATATTTAAAAAGAAGACAGCCAGTGCGGTGGCTCATGCCTGTAATCCCTGCATTTTGGGAGGCCGAAGTGGGCAGATCACCTGAGGTCAGGAGTTCAAGACCAGCCTGACCAACATGGAGAAACCCCATCTCTACTAAAAATACAAAATTAGCCAGACATGGTGGCTCATACCTGTAGTCCCAGCTACTTGGGAGGCTGAGGCAGGAGAATCGCTTGAACCTGGGAGGCAGAGGTTGTGGTGAGCCGAGATCACACCATTGCACTCCAACCTGGGCAACAAGAGCAAAACTCTGCCTCAAAAAAAAAAAGAAGAAGAAGAAAAAGAAGAAGAATGACAGGCCAGCATGGTGGCTCATGCCTGTAAACCCAGCACTTCGGGAGGCCAAGGTGGGAGAATCACTTGAGCTCAAGAGTGCAAGACCAGCCTGGGCAACATAGGGAGACCCCATCTCTACAGAAATTAAAAATAGCCCTCTGAAGATGAGTCTTATTTAGGGCATTTGGCTTTGTAGATGAAACTCTGTCATAGAGAGGGTCTTCTCTCCTTGGTTGGCTGGTTGGTTAGCTGACAAGCATTACCTGAGCAGCAATGGAAAATATAAGAGCAATATCCACAATTTGGTCTTGGGGATCTTAAAAATTCTAAGTAATGAAACAGTCACTCACCAAATATATATTCATAGTTTTCCATTTGCTTAGCTCTGTGTTCTCCCTATCAGGAATTTAGCCAGGTGTGGTGGCATGCACCTGTAGTCCCAGCTACTCAGGAGGCTGAGGCAGGAGGATCGCTTGAGGCCAGGAGGTTGAGGCTGCAATGAGCAATGTTCATGCCACTGTGCTCCAGCCTCGGGGGTGGAGAGAGAGAGAGAGACAGAGAGAGAGAGAAAGGAAAGAAGGAAAGAAGGAAGGAAGGAAGGAAGAAAGGGAGGTGGGGAGGGAGGGAGGGAGGGTGGGAAAGGAAAGGAAATACACTAACTGGGAAAAATGAATGAAGCATCTCAACATGGATTACTAAATCTTGCCAACAGGTTGAATTATGCAACAAGCAGACACACCCTTCTCACTTCTTAGTCTCTAGGACACCATCATTTCTTCTGTGGCAGGTAGATGCAGAAGCACCTGCAGACCAGAGGGCATGCCCAATATTCACAGGGGTGGGCATGGGAATGTGCTCAGGGTGACACCACCTAAGGTAAAAGTTCCCTTGACTTTCTAAAGATATGTGGTAATGCATTGAGAAATCATTCCATTGTTTTCCTACCCCAAACCTTTATTAAAGCTTTCTTCACATCCTTGTTTCTCAAAGAGTACATGAGGGGGTTCAGCACTGGGATCACCACTGTGTAGATGACAGCAACTGTGCGGTCCTGGGTCAAGGAGTAGCTGGACCTGGGGCGCAGGTACATAAAAAGTGTTGTGCCAAAGAAGAGGCAGATGGCAGTGAGGTGGGATGCACAGGTGGAAAATGCCTTAAACCTGCCCTGGGCCGAGCTCATTTTCAGGATGGTGTTGAGAATTAAGAAGTAGGAGATCAAGATGGTGAGGGTGCAGCTCAAAAGGTTGAAACCAGCAAAAATGAAGAGCAGGATCTCACACAGTGAGGTGTCTACACAAGACAAGGACAGGATGGGTGGCCCATCACAGAAGAAGTGAGTGACGACATGAGCACCGCAGAATTTCAGACTAAAGATACAGCCAGTGTGGATAAGAGAATTGAGGAATCCTGCACTGTAGGAGCCCACAATCAGCGAGGCACAGACCTCAGGAGACATGATGGTTGAGTAGAGCAGGGGGTTACAAATAGCGGCATAGCGGTCATAGGCCATGGCAGCGATGAGATAGCACTCACTGGTGGCAAAACCCGCATAGAAGAACATCTGAGTCATGCAGCCAAAATAAGAGATCACTTTCCTCTTGGCCAAGAAGTTCACCAGGGTCTGGGGCACAACCGTGGAGGAGTAGCAGAAATCCAAGAAGGAGAGGCTCTTCAGGAGGGAGTACATGGGTGTGTGCAGGGTGGCACTCACATGGATCAGGAGGAACATGACCAGGTTCCCCAGCAGAGTGGCTGTGTACATGCCCAGGAACACCACGAAGAGCAGCCTCTGGAGCTGGGGGTCAGTGGTGAGGCCCAAGAGCTCAAACTCCATCCCTTGGCTCAGGTTTGCCCCTTTCATCCTTCTCCAGTGCTCTGCGATGGAGAAAGAAGGCACCACCATAAATGAGGTTGAACACCTGGGGCTCTGACTGGGTTTAATTCTGCCTAAGGACAGCCTTCTGAAGATGAGTCTTATTGAGGGCATTTGGCTTTGCAGATGAAACTCTGTCATAGAGAGGATCTTTTCTCCTTGGTTGGTTGGTTAGTTGGTAAGCATTACTTAAGCAGCAATGGAAAATATAAGAGAAATATCTACAATTGGTCTTGGGGATCTTAAAAATTCTAAGTAATGAAACAGTCACTCACCAAGTATATATTCATAGTTTTCCATTTGCTTAGCTCTGTGTTCTCCCTATCAGGAATTCAAGAGTGCCTGACCTTGGGAAGCTTATATTCTACAGACAGTATATTTTGTGTTTAAGCCACACATACTGTGGTATCAGACTGCTAAGGTTCAAAGTTAGGACTTTGCCATTAACTAGCTGTGTAATCTTGGGAATGTTACTTTACCTTTCTGAGTTTCCATTTTTCCATCTGTGAAATAGGGATAATAGCAACTGTCTATAAAGATTATTATAAAAATTCAATGAGTTATTTCATGCAGAGAAGTTGAACAAATTCCAGCACGTTGAGGAAGTTCAAAGAAGGTTAGCTATGAGCATGCTCACTAAGAAGATAGATCCAAAACCTAAATAAACATGATAAATGAGATGAACCCACAACAAAGCTTAGCAAGCAACCTACCACCTAACAGTATAGACAGAGACACACGTGCTATGCAAGCGTGACTAAACAGGCTTTCAGAGAGGCTGTAGATGGCTGATGGGTCAGCTATAAAACTGGCCCTGTGAAATCAGCACTACCCAGGCAATAATGTGAATACTTAAGGTAACAAGGGCTGAGAGTGTGGAGAGATGGAGGTAGTGTAAGACTGCATGTGGGAGCCTCCACCAACGGGAGAGTCTCCTCATCATCCATAAAGCTGCCCATCATTTCCAGAGAACAAAATCACCCTGGACTCAGAGGATGTTATGGCCAGTAGGAAAGGAACGAAGTGAGTGAGTCTTTGTGAAAATGCCTTTTCTATTTAGAGAGTGAACAAAGCTTGAATGCATCACCTAAACACCACACTCTCCTCTGTTCCATTGGCTCCTCTACCACGTGTCTTCCCAAGTTACCTCTGGGTGCTGAGCCAGTTAAGCACCCTGTGCTCTTGGGTGAAGACTCTCAGTTACAAAGACTTTGAAGCTAACAGATGTGGCTGAGTAGGACAAAAAGGGGCAAAAGTGAGCTGCCTCATCCTGCCCTGAGGAGAGTAAGCGAATAACACACCTGTGAAAAGTGTTGGGAGAATTTGGAGAGGAAAGAGCTGGATTGAGCAAGCAAACATTCTGACGAATTCCAATGACATAATTTCCAGAATCATCAAACTACCTGGGCAGGAGAAGATTCTGGACATATGTATAACTAAATTTAGTTGTCAGGCAGGGAATGAGGCACCATTTGTGTTGATAGAATACTGTGACTGGTGACAAGAAAAAGGCTTTTAGAAATGCCCAAAGAGGTAACATGCCCTAATAAAATTGAGACACAAAATATAAGTGCAAATTTGAACACAGAACATTAGCAACTGCTTTTAGAACTCATGGAATGCAATTCTGTGACTTATTTCATGTCACTTAGATGTAACATTCAGCTATCCTTACTCTAACAGCTGTCATTTTATAATAAATCTCACTATTGTAGAATGTGGGCAGTCCTAGATTTGGGTTGCAAATGTCTTTGGCGCCATTGGTGACAAAGGCCAATTCGACTTCAAGGCAAATTAGAGGAATTCAGATAAATGACTGTAAAACTCCCAGAGTGGAAATAACTTGCAGGCACTTTAAGAAAATAGAAAGGTGGTCATTAGGAGTGGAGTAGAATTTTCAGACCCAGCTTCCCATCTTCTTTCCTTGGTGGGCTGTTTCAATTTAGGTAATAGGTCTGCAAGTATCTCTCTGATTAAAAGAACAAAAGAAGAGAAAAATAGAAATATGTGCAATGCTCCAGACAGTATGGATGAGGCAGGAAGCATACACTGGGGTGGAGTGGTGGGATGGGATGGGGTAGGGTGGTGGGTAATACAGTGGATAGCTGATCAGAGCCTCCAGATTTATCATTTACTTTAAACCCACACTCTCTCTTCTGCTCCCCTCTCCTCTTTCATCTCTCTTCACCAATCTGCACTAAATTCAAAATTCTTAAGAATATAGAGTGACTCAAGGAAAGGATTATGGAGAAATTGGCATCTCTGACAGTTGTTCAAAGGATGCTGGAATTACCACTATTTCTATTGGCTATTGTTTGTACCTGTGAATGAAATGTAGGAGGAAAACTTAAAGATGATCTTATCATATGGGAGTGGATTATGGAGTGGAGTGCATAAGAGTGAGAGCAAATGCCTGGGGCCTGTGGATGAGGGAGGCATAGGAAAGAAGCTCTGTTTATACCCGACTCATTGCCCCCATCCCTGGGATAGCACAGTGAGAGCACATGTGGATATGAAGGGCAGGCAGCCAAGAAAAGCAGCCAGTGAGATTCCCTGAGCAACAGTGATCCCAAACAATGGTTCTTAAACAGTAAGCTGCCTTGCCCAAGGTTCACAGGAGAAGCTTGTTACATGTGCAGATTCCAGGTCCCAACCCACAGAAAATTTGATCCAATAGGTCTATAGCTTGGCCCCAAAGTCTGGTGATTCTGACTGAGACAGGAGGTCTCTGAACCTCACTCTGAGAAACACTAAACCATGGGGTACTTGCAGGAGCAAACAGATCTTCCTGAGCCACATATACGTATCTCTTCCTAGCTTGCTGGATTTGTCCGTGTCCTGGGAAATCAGCCTGTGGGTAGGATGGTCATCCTGGACATGCTCTTCCCTCCAGAAGACCTATCTGTGGTTAACCATTTCCGGAAATCTGGGTTACTACCTGATGATAATCTAACACCAGAGCATTTCTTCCTTCAAAGTAGCTTCAGATGTCCTTCAGCAAACCATGTAATTCCAGCAAAGCACCTGGCTTGATGTCAGAGCTGTTGCTGTAGGGGTCAGAACACAAGTCTTCCATGGAAACACAGCAAAGACAAAGCCAGACTCTGCATTCATAGACTGAGTCTGGGGATCAGAGCCTGTCACCGACTTTAGTCTTTCACGTTGTCAGAGGTGTGAGGCAGCCCCACTCCCTGTGAGCTCCTCACAGCTGATCTTGTGCTGGCAGGAGCAACCCCAGAGCCATCTTTTCCCCTGGCAGCCCAGCAGCTCACCACTGGGGAGGAGGATGTGTTCACTGATTAAAGTTTAAAAGGCAGGTGAGGAAGTGGGACTAATTAGCCCCATGAAGGCCCATTAAAGTGTTTGAAAAGTTACTAGCATCTCTGAGAGTCTACCCATGAGGAAACAAGTGGCTGGGAAACTGGGAATGAGGGGACTAGATCCACACAGATCCCTGCAAATATGCTGCTCATTCGCCCCAAAACACTACTCCACCTTCACTCTAAACTTAACTCTTACGTGATTATCTGTATTTCCTCGACACTGGAAAACCAGGTTTTTCTTTCTTCTATGCCAGTTACCCAATGTACATTTGTGCTGTAGATGAGAGCTGAGGACCTTCCTGCCCTTCAGGGTTATAGTAAAGTTAGAGGCATGTTATGTGGTTCCCAAATATTTGGGAATTTTCTAGGTATCTTTCTGTTATTGATTTCTGATTTAAAAGCATATGGTCAGAGAATACATTTTGTATGACTTGATACTTTTGAATTTATTGAGACTTACTTTAAGGCCCAGAATAGGACCTATCTTGGGAAATGTTCTATGTCCACTTGAAAGGAATATATATTCTGTTTTGTTGAGTGGAGTGTTCTATCTGTAACTGCCAATTAGGTCAAGTTGGTTGATATTGTTGTTTGAGTCTTTCTAATCTGCTGCTAATCTCATCCAGTGTATGTTTTCATATCAGACACTGCAGTTTTCATCTACAGAAGTTTGTTTTCAGTCTCTTTTTATATCTTCCTGTCTACATTTTTTGTACATATGGAATACCATTATAACTGTTTTAATGTGCAGTACAGCTTTGAAATCAGACAGCTTGTTGTCAAATCCCTGCTTAACAATTTGTTAGCTAGGTGACATCTAGAAAGTTTATTAACTTTGCTGATACTCATTTTTCTCACCTGTAAAATGTGGATAATAATAGTACCCACCTCATATACCTGTTGATAAGACTGAATTTAATAAGACAACATTTGTAATGATCCCCACAATAAATATTTCTTATTTATTACTGCTTAACAAAGCACCCTAAAACTCAACGTTTTAAGCCAATCACATATTTGCTCAAATATCTGTAATCTTGGCTGGGCTCAGCTGAGTGGTTAGACTGCTGATGTTACCTGAAGTTACTCATGCAGCTACAGTCATCTAGAGCCTCAATTGGGGCTGGATGGTTCGGTATGGCTTCACTCACATACTTCAGTGTGACGGGCTGGAATAGCTGGAGGCTGCCTAGACCTTTCCCTTCATAGTATCTTCAGCAGAATTATCAGACTTTTCATCACATGGTGGCTCAGGGCCCAAAGAGAGATACAGAAGCTTCCAGGCATCTTAAGGCTGGACTCTGGAACTCTTCAAGATTATAATAAAATCAGAGGCATCTTACATAGTTTCCAAATATTTGGGAATCCTCTAGGGATCTTTCTGTTATTCGTTTTTAATTTAATAGCATATGGTCAGAGAATACACTTTGTATGACTTGATACTTTTGAATTTATTGAGACTTATTTTAAGGCCCAGAATATGATCTGTCTTGGTGAATGTTCTATGTCCACTTGAATGTTCTATTTCAACTTGAAATGTTGAGTGGAATGTTTTATCTATAACTTTCCAATTAGGTCTGTAACAACCAATTAGGTCAAATTGGTGGATACTGTTGTTGAAGTCTACTGTATCCTTTCTAAATCTGCTGTTAATCTCATCCAGTGTATGTTTTCTTATCAGACATTGTAATTTTCGTCTACAGAAGTCACCAAGGTCACTTGGGCTGCATTCTACTGGTCAAAGAAAGTCAAAAGGCCAGCACAGATGCAAGGAGGAAAGAAAACAGACTCTATCTCTTGATGGTGGCAATGGCATGTACGCATAGCATTGTGAAGAACTGTTAGCCACAAGAGTGTCAGTCAGAAGAATTGCCATCTTTGCAAAAGATTTAGCATAATAGATCGCAGTCGATCATAGTAAATATTAGCTATCATTATTCTTGAGTTTATGTAAACTTGGAGTTGAAGATGTGGCCAAAAGGGCATGAATATAGGTAGGAACTGAACTTAAATTTAAAAAAAGCACAAACTGAGACAAGGAAAAAGATTTGTGTTTGGGGTTTTGTTTTGTTTTTTTTGTTTTTTTTTAGACAGAGTCTCACTCTGTCAGCCAGGCTGGAGGGCAGTGGCACAATCTTGGCTCACTGCAACCTCCACCTCCTTGGTTCAAGTGATTCTCCTGCCTCAGCCTCCTGAGTAGCTGGGATTACAAGCACGTGCCACCACGCCTGGCTAATTTTTGTATTTTCAGTAGAAACAGGGTTTCACCACGTTGGCCAGGCTGGTCTCGAACTCCTGACCTCAGGTAATCCACTCACCTCGGCCTCCCAAAGTGCTGGGATTACAGGAGTGAGCCACTGCGCCTGGCCTGTGTTTGAGTTTCTTAAGAAAGCCTGGAGGAGAAAAGAGAAAAAGAGGAGTGAAGGGAGAAAAATGATAAAGAGAAAGAGAAGAAAAGAGAGAAGTCAGAATATACTTCTGACTTCTGGGTGAAATTCAGAGAGCTATCCTAGGTGTCAGATAGCCAAAGAGAATTTTAAGTACAATAAAGCCTTAAAAGCAATTTGGCAATGTATGAATAAATTAAATATAAACCTCTCTTTTATCACCCACAAAAATCTTTGATAGATTCTCAACATGAATGCTTTGTCTAAGAGGTATGTGTGTGTAGCAAAGAAGGTATTAGATTTCTGTTAGATCTGCACAGTGCTGAATGAAGACATGATGGGCAAAAACAGAAACCAACAGATAGCCAGACCATGGTAAGTTTTCAAATTTGCGGAAATCTTATAATCGAATTTACCCATGGGAGACTTTAACTTCTGGCCAAGATGGAGTTGTGGGGATCAAATTTACCCCCCTGCCTAAAATCACATCAAAAATTAAAAAGAAAATAAGCTAAGATACATAAAACAGTTTTTAAGACATCAGACACGACACAATGAAAGACAATGACCCCAAGAAGTGGGAAACAAATGAGGTGAACACAACAGTTGCCCCAGCTTACTGCCTTTGGGGAGTTTCCAGACCACAGGGCAGAGAAGGTGGACTGAGAAGGATCCTGGAGGACACTCTGACTTGAGAAGGAACTGGGACTTTGGAAAGACCTATGGGCCAATGTTCCTATGACAGAGTACTAGACAGAGAAATTTCCATAGAGGGAGAACCCCAGAGGGCCGTCTCTCAAGTATTCATTAGAGTAGTGATGAGAGGACAAAGGGAAGCGAAGCCAGAGCTGCGGGCGCTTTTTCTGCCTGCAGGGTCTCAGATTCATTCTTAGGAACTGAGAATTTAATCTACTAAGATGTCAAAAAGACCATCTTATGCCTCACCTCCCAGCCCAGCTCCTGCAACACAAATGCCCAGCACATCAGGGTTTGTGGGATACAATCCATACAGTCATCTCACCTACAACAACTACAGGCTGGGAGGGAACCCGGGCACCAACAGCCGGGTCATGGCATCCTCTGGTATTATGATTCCAAAACCACCAAAACCATCAGATAAGCTGCTGATGCCCTACATGAGGTACAGCCGAAAGGTCTGGGACCAAGTCAAGGCTTCCAACCCTGACCTAAAGTTGTGGGAGATTGGCAAGATTATTTGATGGCACGTGGCAAGATCTCACTGATGAAGAAAAACAAGAATATTTAAACGAATACAAAGCAGAAAAGATAGAGTACAATGAATATATGAAGTCCTATCATAATTCTCCCATGTACCTTGCTTACATAAATGCAAAAAGTTGTGCAGAAGCTGCTTTAGAGAAAGAAAGTCGACAGAGACAGTCTTGCATAGAGAAAGGAGAACCTTACATGAGCATTCAGCGTGATGAAGATCCAGATGATTGTGATGATGGCATTTCAGTGAAGCAAGCATACAGCCACTGCCTGTTTCCAGAGAAACCACAGCCTCATCAATGAAATCCTTAGTGACAGTGTGGTGCCAGACATTCAGTCAGCTGTCACAACAGCTAGAATGCAGGTCCTCAAACAACAGGTCCAGTCCTTAATGGTTCATCAGCAAAAACTAGAAGCTGAACTTCTTCAAATAGAGGAACGATACCCGAAGACGAGGAAATTCCTGGAAAGCACAGAATCATTTAGCAATAACTTAAAAGTTTGTGTGGTCTGAAGGTAGAAGTGGATATGGAGAAAATTGCAGCTGAGATTGCACAGGCAGAGGAACAGACCCACAAAAGGCAGGAGGAAAGGGAGAGGGAGGTGGCAGACCAAGCTAAGCGCAGTCAGAGCGGCATCGTTCCTGAGCAAGAGCACGCGGCCAACTAAGGTGAGGAGAAGAAAGACGACGAGAACATTCCAATGGAGACAGGGGAGACACACCTTGAAGAAATGACAGAGAGCCAACAGAACAGTGAAGAAGGCACATCTACTCCTTAAGACAAGGAGAGTGGGCAGGAGGGGATTGACAGTATGGCAGAGGAAGGAACCAGTGATAGTAACACTGGCTCGGAGAGCAACAGCCCAACAGTGGAGGAGTCACCAACAGATCCCATACCAGAAGATGAGAAAAAAGGAGAAATGTTGCCTTGTTTTGTGTGTTCTAAATACTTTTTTAAATGAAAAAATTTTGGTGTAAAAAAAAAGAGTCGTGATGAGTACATCATATGGAGAAACTACCCAAGGACAGCGAAGGAACAACCTGAAAATACTGGAGGGAACACGGCCCAGTGCTTACAGAGGGCCAATTACAGTGCCGGTTCTACCAGCTGAACAGGAAAAGCTCATAGCTCATGGGGGTTTGGGTATTCCGGAAGTTATTTCCTCAGTATTGGGGAATAATTAGCCCTAGATTGACCCTGCTGTGGACCTGCCTAACAAATCACGAAAGCAAGACCAAGAGGCTCAGACTGTTGCCAAATAACTTTAACTGCATCCCAGAACCAAAGATACTTATAAGACTATAAAAATATCCACCACCCAACAAGATAAAATTCACAATCTCTAGTATCTGAAAAAAGATTATTTAGATTTGTAAAGAGGCAGGAAAACATGACCCATGAAAAGAAAAATAATCAACCAACTGAAACTGACCCAGACATGAAACAGATGTTAGAGTTAGTACAGAAGCACATTAAAACAGTTATTATAATTGTATTCCATATGTACAAAAAATATGTAAAGACAAGAAGATATAAAAAGAGACTGAAAACAAACTTCTGTAGATGAAAACTGCAGTGTCTGATATGAAAACATACACTGGATGAGATTAGCAGCAGATTAGAAAGACTCAAACAACAATATCAACCAACTTGACCTAATTGGCAGTTACAGATAGAACACTCCACTCAACAAAACAGAATATATATTCCTTTCAAGTGGACATAGAACATTCTCCAAGATAGGTCCTATTCTGGGCCTTAAAGTAAGTCTCAATAAATTCAAAAGTATCAAGTCATACAAAATGTATTCTCTGACCATATGCTTTTAAATCAGAAATCAATAACAGAAAGATACCTAGAAAATTCCCAAATATTTGGGAACCACATAACATGCCTCTAACTTTACTATAACCCTGAAGGGCAGGAAGGTCCTCAGCTCTCATCTACAGCACAAATGTACATTGGGTAACTGGCATAGAAGAAAGAAAAACCTGGTTTTCCAGTGTCGAGGAAATACAGATAATCACGTAAGAGTTAAGTTTAGAGTGAAGGTGGAGTAGTGTTTTGGGGCGAATGAGCAGCATATTTGCAGGGATCTGTGTGGATCTAGTCCCCTCATTCCCACTTTCCCAGCCACTTGTTTCCTCATGGGTAGACTCTCAGAGATGCTAGTAACTTTTCAAACACTTTAATGGGCCTTCATGGGGCTAATTAGTCCCACTTCCTCACCTGCCTTTTAAACTTTAATCAGTGAACACATCCTCCTCCCCAGTGGTGAGCTGCTGGGCTGCCGGGGGAAAAGATGGCTCTGGGGTGGCTCCTGCCAGCACAAGATCAGCTGTGAGGAGCTCACAGGGAGTGGGGCTGCCTCACACCTCTGACAACGTGAGAGACTAAAGTCAGTGACAGGCTCTGATCCCCAGACTCAGTCTGTGAATACAATGAGTCTGGCTTTGTCTTTGCTGTGTTTCTATGGAAGACTCGTGTTCTGACCCCCACAGCAACAGCTCTGACATCAAGCCAGGCGCTTTGCTGGAATTATATGGTTTGCTGAAGGACATCTGAAGCAACTTTGAAGGAAGAAATGCTCTGGTGTTAGATTATCATCAGGTGGTAACCCAGATTTCCGGAAATGGTTAACCACAGATAGGTCTTCTGGAGGGAAGAGCATGTCCAGGATGACCATCCTACCCACAGGCTGATTTCCCAGGACACGGACAAGTCCAGCAAGCTAGGAAGAGATATGTATAAATATGTGGCTCAGGAAGATCCGTCTGCTCCTACAAGTACCCCATGGTTTAGTGTTTCTCAGAGTGAGGTTCAGAGACCTCCTGTCTCAGTCAGAATCACCAGACTTTGGGGCCAAGCTATAGACCTATTGGATCAAATTTTCCGTGGGTTGGGACCTGGAATCTGCACATGTAACAAGCTTCTCCTGTGAACCTTGGGCAAGGCAGCTTACTGTTTAAGAACCATTGTTTGGGATCACTGTTGCTCAGGGAATCTCACTGGCTGCTTTTCTTGGCTGCCTGCCCTTCATATCCACATGTGCTCTCACTGTGCTATCCCAGGGAGGAGGGTATACATAGAGCTTCTTTCCTATGCCTCCCTCATCCACAGGCCCCAGGCATTTGTTCTCACAGATAGAAACCAAACTCCTTTTAAGAAGGGTCTCTATGATGAGGGTTATAGATATACAGTGAGAGACCCTTTTTAAAAGGAGTTTGGTCTCCAGCTGTGAGAGGAATGAAAAATGTTATTCCTTAAATACATAAAATAAGGATATCTTTTGACATCATGTCATCTAAAATACTAGACTTCAGTTGTCCAAGCAACTGGTTCCCTTTCTTCTTAGCTGTCACCTCAGAATTTTGCTTTTGTCTTCTAAGACAGTGATTCATAAAGTATGATCCAAGGGCAATAGCCATGAATTTGTTTTTTAAAAATAAAAGTTCTTTCTATGGTTTTTTTGGAACCAATTATACACCATTCTTTAGATTTTAACTTCTATGTAAATCTAAGAGTTTTTTGCTGGTAATTTTCTACGTGATTAATTGAGAAATACTAAAATTTTGTGAGGGTTATGGTTTTTTAAAAAGGCAGTATTTTTCAGATTTTTGAGAAGCCATATCTTTCCTCAAATAAAAGGAGAGGGAGTCCCTCTATGCAAAATAACAGAAATAGGAGCCTCTTTCAATTTTTTTTCTTCCTCATAGGTGGGACATGAAAAAGTCCCCGTGTAACTCATAATGACCCCTCGGAATAGTTTGAACAACTGCTCTAAAAAGTTTACTGTTTTGTATTTGAGGGGAATGACCAGCAGGTAACAAAAATAATAGCTATAGAAAAGTGAGAAAGATCAAGAAGATGAGTTTGAATTAAAATATTACTGACAGATCAAATTAACCCCTCTCCCAAAGTGAGGATGGGGAATTTCTGAGACTGGAAGAGATAGAAAAAAGAACAAAGTGAAACCTGAAGATAAAATTGTACTAGTCAAAAATTCTCTGTAGGGAAATAATACCAGGATAATCCATTAGTAATCAATGATGACCTATTGAAAAAAAATTGTAGTTTATATCTGCTGCAGCAGACTCCTCTGGAAGGAATAAAAATTTACCCTTATCACTAGTAAGTAATTGAGTAGGAGAGGAGTTGTGGAGACTACAAAGTCCGGGGAACTGTAGGACAGTAGTCCCCAATGTTTTTGGCACCAGGAACTGGTTTTGTGGAAGACAATTTTTCCATAGACTGGGGTAAAGGGAGGGAAGTGGCGGGATAGTTTCAGGATGAAACTGTTCCACCTCAGATCATCAGGCATTAATTAGATTCTCACAAGGTGCATGCAACCTAGATCCCTTGCATTGCACAGTTTGCAATAGTGTTCCAGCTCCTATGACAATCTAATGCCGCCACTGATCTGACAGAAGGCAGGGCTCGGGCAGTAATGGAGGTGATGTGGAATGGCTGTAAATACAGGTGAAGCTTTGCTCACTTACCCACCATTCACCTCCTGCTGTGTAGCCTGGTTCTACAATATCAGCCTGTGGCCCAGGGGTTGGGGACCGCCTTCTGTAGGACCTTAGGAGAAAATAGCTGCAGGTTCTCCTGGATAGAAACACCATGGCCTTGGGACCTAACGTATTGCAAAAGGGAGAGGAGATTCTAGCAGAGCAGCCAAACTTGAAAAAAACACTTGGATTTACTAAAAAGAGTAAGCAAACAACATGCTTGCCTCTGACAGAATAGCAACATGAGAAGAGGGTCTTGTGATATTAATTCTGAAATTTGTGGTTTAATACATGGTCTCTCTACTAAGTTCTGATATAGGTATATGCAATTATACATATAAAATAGGTAAAGGTATATCTTCCTAATTGAAGGATGAAATGTTCTACACTACCAAATTTTTAACAAGTCCATTTCAGATAGAAAAATATTAAAATCTTCTAATGACTTTGGATTATAAATTTCTCCCTCAAGTTCTGTTGTTTTTGCTTTTTGTATTTACAGGCTATGTTGTTAGGTGCAAAACGTTCATGATTGTATCATTTTGGTATATCATTAATTTAGATAAATAAATAATGTTATTTCTGATTTATTTTTTAAAAAAATAGCTTTGAAGCAGGGCTAGCCAAGATGGCTGACTAGAAGCAGCTAGTTTATGTTGCTCCCACTGGGAGAAAAGAAGGGGCAAGTAAATACAGCATCTTCAACTGAAACATCCAAGTACGTGCATTAGGACTCGTCAAGAAAACAACTCGACCCAGGGAGGATGGAGAAAAGCAAGGCAGGACAACTGTCCACCTGGGAACAACATGGAGCAAGGGGAGCCTCCCCAACCCAGGGAAGTGGTGAGTAAGTGAGTGAGCAATCCTGGGGACTCATGCTTCTCTCAAAGATCTTTGCAAACCTCAGGTCAGGAGATCCCCTTGTGAACTCACTGCACCAGGGCCTGTGGTCTGACACTCAGAGCTACGTGGAGTCCCAGCAGAGCAGCCACTCAGGCACACATGGAGCCCCAGGAGCTTTAGATATCTGGACTTCCCAAACAAAAGCAGCTGCAACTCTGGCCAAGAAGGCTAGACCCGGCCGGGTGCGGTGGCTCACGCCTGTAATCCCAGCACTTTGGGAGGCCAAGGCAGGCAGACCACCCGAAGTCAGGAGTTCGAGACCAGCCTGGCCAACATGGTGAAACCCCGTTTCACTAAAAATACAAAAATTAGCCGGGCGTAGTAGCAGGCACCTATAATCCCAGCTACTCGGGAGGCTGAGGCAGGAGAATCGCTTGAACCTGGGAGACAGAGGTTTCGGTGAGCCGAGATCATGCCATTGCACTCCAGTTTGGGGCACAAGAGTGAGACTTCGTCTAAAAAAAAAAAAAAAAAGAAGCCTAGACCCCTGTACATATCTCTAGGAAACGGGCTGAATCTAGGGGACTGAGCGGCAATGGTGTGCAGGCCCTACTTCCGTGGCACTTCACAGGATAAGACCCACTGGCTTGGAACTCCAGCCAGCCACGGTAGCAGCATTTCATCTTCCTGAGATGGAGCTCCCAGAGGGATGGCACGCCACCATATTTGCTGTCTCACAGCCTTAGCTGTTGTTGCCATCTGGCTCTGGGGAGTCCAAGATGAGTAGGGACTGGAGCAGTCCCCTGGCACAGCACAGCAGCTCTCCGGAGAGATGGCCAGGCTGCTTTTTCATGCAGGTCCTGGATCCCATTTCTCTTCACTGGCTGAACCTCCTGACCGAGGTCTACATCCACCCCCTCAGCTGTTTTCCAGCTGGCAGCAATTCCAAACCTCCATGGGACAGAGCTCCCAGAGGGAAGCGTGGGCCACCATCTTGGTTGTTTTGCAGCCTTCACTGTTAATACCTTCAGATACTAAAAAAATATGAGGTGACTAGGGACTGGAATGGACCCCGAGCATATTATAGCAGCCCTACAGAAAAGTGGCTAGACTATTTGTTATGTGGGTCCCAATCCCATAACTCCTCATTGGGTGGGTCCTCCTGGCCTGGGTTTCCAGCCACCCCCCACTGGGGCTATAAAGCCAGTAGCAGCACTGAAACTCCCTGAGACAGAGCTCCCAGTGGGAAGGGTGGGTTGCCATCTTTGCTGTCTTGCAGCCTTTATCCTTACTGTCTCCAGGCCCGGGAGAGTCTGTGGGGACCAGAGGCTGGTCAAAACCCCCAGCA
Source organism: Homo sapiens (assembly GCF_000001405.40). Lineage (NCBI taxonomy): Eukaryota > Metazoa > Chordata > Mammalia > Primates > Hominidae > Homo > Homo sapiens. The sequence goes on from NC_000014.9 coordinate 21,169,532, forward strand.
CAGAGCACCCACCTTGCAGAAAAGTGGCTGGGCTGTTCTCCACCCTGGTCCCAGTCCTCACTTCTCCTCACTGAGCAGGGCCACCCAACCTGGGACTCCAGCACAACCAACCTACTCCCGCCTGACCACTTCAATCACAAAGGCAGCCCGGCATTTCTCCAAGGAGGAAATCCCAGAGTCAACCCACAACCCCTCCACTACTGCAGTTGAAGTGGTACAACCCTAACAGCCCTCGGGCTGGGGAAAGAACAAAGGGCCTAGTCACTACACTGGCACCTCCAGCACACCACAGCCACAATACAGAGAGGAGCCCAGCCCTCTTCCCTGGGAACCCCTGGCACCCATTCTCCACTAGGCAGGGCCCCCAGCTCATGACTGCAGAACAGTTGCCCCACCGACAGCTGATTATACCCATTGGAAGTGGCCCAGGGTTTTCCCTGGGGAGAGAACCCCAGAGGCATCCAAGAGCCCCTCTGCCACGACCACAGCAGCAGTTCTATCCCTGCTGCCTTTGGTCTGGGGAAGAAACAAAGAGCCTGAGGGGTACACCTGCGCTTACAGCACACCACAGTAACCATATGAAGAGGAGACCAGTCTCTCTTCCAAGTGAGCCCTTGACTCCCGATCCCCAAGTGGAGCTCCAAGCTTATGCCAGCAGTTCAGCTGCCCCACCCCACTGGCTGAACACTCCCAGTAACAGTGGCTCCACATTCCTCAGAGGTGAAGCCCTCAGGGGCAAATGAAAGCCCCTCTGCCAGTGCCTCTGCAGTGGAACTGCCTTTGCTACCCTGAGACTAATGAAGGAGCAAAGACCCTAAGTACCTTATCCACACCTCCAACAAGCAGCAGTCTACCCAAGGAGAGGAGGCCAGTCCATCTCCCATGGGTCCCACCTACTCCTCACCTTCCCCTACCCCACACACTTATCACCCAGCAGGGAACCCTCAGGTTGGGCCCACAGCCCCCATTCAGGGCTGATTGCACTAAGTGATTGCTGACCTGTATCTCTCTGGGGTAGGGCCCCCAGGAGATAAGTGAAAGACTTTCAGCCACAGCCACTGCTAAAGTTCATTCCTCTGATGCCTCCAAGTTAAGGAGGAAACATAAACCCTAAGAACACCCCAGAGCTGCAGTGGGAAGCCTGGGAGTGTCAAGCCACAATCTACAGGCAGCACTCAAGTGGGAGAGGAGGGCACACTTTCAGAGCATTGAGAGGGAACATGGCTGCAACTGTGAGGAAATATAGGGGAGCCACAGGACTGAGTAAGAGCCTACCAACTGACCACTACACCTAAGTGCCACCTACTGGATCACACCCCAAAGCTTCAACACCAAAAATACCTCACTAACCTACCCCTCTGTGAAACCAAACATAAGTCAGCTACAAATAATGACCCTGCACAAAGCCTCAGACCTGTGAAAATACCCAGAAAAGAAGTCAATTTTCTGTACTCAATCTACACCACAGTTAAAGGAATACCCACGTACAGAGATAAGAAATAACCAATGCAAGAACTCTGGCAACTCGAATGGTCAGAGTGTCTTATGTCCTCCAAATGATCACACTAGTTCTCCAACAAGAGTTCTTAACCAGGCTGAGTTGACTGAAATGACAAGAAATAGAATTCAGAATGTGGATAGGAATGAAGATCATCAAGATTCAGGAGAACAGCAAAACCCAATCCAAGGAAACTAAGAATCACAATAAAACAATACGGGAACTGACAGACAAAATAGCCAGTATAAAAAAGAACTTCACTGATCTGATAGAGCTAAAAAACACACTAAAGGAATTTCACAATGCAATCACAAGTATTAACAGCAGATCATGCTGAGGAAAGAATCTCAGAACTTGAAGACTGGCTTTCTGAAATAAGACAGTCAGACAAAAATCAAGAAAAAAGAATGAAAAGGAATGAACAAAACGTCCAAGAAATATAGGATTATGCAAACAGGCCAAATGCATGACTCACAGGCACCCCTGAAAGGGGCAGAAAGAAAGCAAACAACTTGGAAAACATATCTCAGGATACTGTCCATGAAAACTTTTCCAGCCTTGCCAGAGAGGCCAACAGTCAAATTCAGGAAAAACAGAGAATCCTTGCAAGATTTACACAAAAATACTATCCCCAAGACACATAATTGTCAGATTTTCTAAGGTCCAAATGAAAGAAAGAATGTTAAAGGCAGCTAGAAAGAAAGGACAGGTCGTCTACAAAGGGAACCCCATCAGGCTAACAGCAGACCTCTACAAGCCAGAAGAGATTGGGGACCTATATACAATACCTTAAAAAAAATCTTAAACCAAGAATTTCATATCCAGTCAAACTAAGCCTCCTCAGTGAAGGAGAAATAAGATCCTTTTCAGATAAGCAAATGCTAACGAAGTTTATTACCACCAGACCTGCCTTACAAGAGATCTTGAAAGGAGCGCTAAATATGAAAAGGAAAGACCACTACCAGCCAATACAAAAACACTCCTACAAACACAGACCAGTGACACTATAAAGCAACCACACAAACAAGCTGACATAATAACCAGCTAACAACACAATAACAGGATCAAATCCACACATGTCAATACTAACCCTAAATGTAAATGAGCTAAGTGCCCCATTTTAAAAGGCAGAGTGACAAGCTGGACAAAAAAGCAAGACCCAATGGTAGGCTATCTTCAAGAGACCCATCTCACACACAGTGACACCCATAGGCTCAAAATAAAGTAATGAAGAAAAATCTACCAAGCAAATGGAAATCAGAAAAAAGCAGGGGCTGCAATCCTAATTTTAGACAAAACAGACTTTAAACCAACAAAGATCAAAAAAGAGACAAAGAAGGGCATTACATCAGTGTATTAGTCCATTCTCATGTTGCTATGAAGAAATACCTGAGACTGGGTAATTTATAAAGAAAAGAGGTTTAATTGACTCACAGTTCTGCATTGCTGGGGAGGCCTCAGGAAACTTAACAATCATGGCAGAAGGCACCTCTTCACAGAGTGGCAGGGGTGACAATGAGTCCCAGCAGGGGAAATGCCAGACGCTTATAAAACCATCAGATCTAATGAGAACTCACTCACTATCATGAGAACAGCATGGGGGAAACCACCCCCAAGATTCCATTACCTCCCACCGGGTTCCTCCCATGAAATGTGGGGATTACGGGAACTACGGTTCAAGATGAGATTTGGGTGGGGACACAGAACCAAACCATATCAATCAATAAAGGGTTCAATTCAACAAGAAGACCTAACTATCCTAAATATATATCCACCCAACACAGGAGCACACAGATTCATAAAGCAAGTTCTTAGAGGCCTACGAAGAGACTTAGACTCCCACACAATAATAATGGGAGACTTCAACATGCTACTGACTGTATTAGGCTGATTTTTGAGGCAGAAAGTTAACAAAGATATTCAGTACCTGAACACAACATTGGGCCAAATGGATCTGATTGACAGCTACAGAACTCTCCACCCAAAAACAACAGAACATACCTTGTTCTCATCACCACATGACACATACTCTAAAATTGATCACACAGTTGAACATAAAACAATTCTCAGCAAATGCAAAAGAGACAAAATCATACTAAACACACTCTCAGACCACAGAGCAATAAAAATAGAAATCAAGACTTTAAAAAAATCACCTAAAACCATGAAATTACATGGAAATTAAAAGTCCTCAATGGCTTTTGGGTAAGTAAATAAAATCACAGCAGAAATCAAGTTATTTGAAACTAATGAGAACAAAGATACAACATACCAGAATGTCTTGGACACAGCTAAGGCAGTGTTAAGAGGAAAATTTATAGCACTGAACTCCCCAAGTAAAAGTTAGAAAGATCTCAAATTAACAACCTAACATTACAACAAAAAGAACTGGAGAAGCGAGAGCAAACCAACCCCAAAGATAGCAGAAGACAAGAAATAAACAAAATCAAAGCTGAACTGAAGGAGACTGAGACATGAAAAAACCCATTCAAAAGATCAACAAATGCAAGAGTTAGGTTTTTAAAAAAATAATAATAACATAGATAGGCCACTAGCTAGACTAATAAAGAAGAAGGAGAGAAGATCCAAATAAACAAAATCAGAAACAACAAGAGATGTTATCACTGATCCCACAGAAATACAAATAACCATCAGAGACTACTGTGAACACCTCTATGCACACAAACTAGAAAACCTAGAAGACATGGATAAATTCCTGGATACATATGCCCTTGCAAGACTGAGCCAGGAAGAAACTGATTCCCTGAACAAACCAATAATAATCTCCAAAATTGAGTCAGTAATAAATAGCCTACCAAACAAAAAAAGCACAGGATTAGATGTATGCACAGCCAAATTCTACTAGATATACAAAGAAGAACTAGTATCACCGCTACTGAAACTATCCCAAAAAATTGAGGAGAGATTCCTCTCCAACTCATTTTATAAGGCCAGCATCATGCCGATACCAAAGCCTGGCAGAGACACAACAATAAAAGAAAACTTCAGGCCAATATCCTTGATGAACATTGATGCCAAAATCCTCAACAAAATACTTGCAAATTGAATCCAGCAGCACACCAGAAAGATAATCCATCACAGTGAAGTAGGCTTTATCCCTGGGATGCAAGATTGGGTCGACATACACATTTATTGATATAAATGATTAAATGTGATTCATCACATAAACAGAACTAAAGACAAAAATCACATGATTATCTCAACAGATACAGAAAAGCCTTTTGATAAAATTCAACATCCCTTCATGTTAAAAACTCTCAATGAACTAAATATTGAAGGAACATAACTCAAAATAATAAGAGCCACATATGACAAACCCGCAGCCAGCATCTTCCTGAATGGGCAAAAGCAGGAAGCATTCTCCTTGGAAACCAGCACAAGACAAGAATGCCCTCTCTCACCACTCCTATTCCACACAGTATTGGAAGTCCTGGCCAGAGCAATCAGATAAGAGAAAGAAATAAAGGGCATTCAAATAAGAAGGGAGGAAGTCTAAGTACCTTTGTTTGCAGATGACATTATTCTATATCTAGAAAATCCCAGTCTTGGCCCAAAAGCTCCTTCAGCTGATAAACAACTTCAGCAAAGTCTCAGGATACAAACTCAATGTGTAAAAATTACTAGCACTCCTATACATCAACAGCAGCAAAACCAAGAGCCAAATCAGGAATGCAATCTCATTCACAATTGCCACAAAAAAAGAATAAAATACCTAGGAATACAGCTAACTAGGAAGGTGAAAGATATCTACAATGACAATTACAAAACACTCTTCAAGGAAATCAGAGATGATATAAACAATGGAAAAACATTCCATGACCATGTATAGGAAGAATCAATATCATTTAAATGGCCATACTGCCCAAAGCAATTTATAGATTCAATGCTATTCCTATAAAACTGACAATGACATTTTTCACAGAACAAGAAAAAATTATTTTAAAATTCATATGGAACCAAAAAAGAGCCCAAGTATCCAAGGCAGTTCTAAGCAAAAAACAAAACAAACGAACAACAACAACAAAAAAGCTGGAAGCATCATGTTCCCCAATTTCAAACTATACTTACAGGGCTATGGTAACCAAAACAGCATGGTACTGATAGACATACAGACCAATGGAACAGAATAGAGAGCTCAGAAATAAGGCCACACACCTAGAACCATCTGATCTTCAACAAACCTGACAAAAACAAGCAATGGGGAAAGGATTCCCTATTTAATAAACGGTGCTGGGATAACTGACTGAGAAGTCATATGCTAAAGACTGAAATTGGACCTCTTCCTTACAGCATATACAAAAATTAACTCAAGATGGATTAAAGACTTAAATGTAAAACCCAAAACTATAAAAACACTAAAAGACAACTAGGCAATACCATTCTGGATATAGGAATGGGCAAAGATTTCATGACAAAGACACCAATAGCAATCACAGCAAAAACTGACAGAGGCTGGGCATGGTGGCTCATGCCTGTAGTCTCAGCACTTTGGGAGGCCAAGGTAGGAGGATCACTTGAGGCCAGGAGTTCAAGACCAACCTGGCCAACGTAGCGAGACCCTACCTCTTTAAAAAAAAATTGAAAAAACTGACAAACAGGATCTAATTAGAGGTAACAGCAGGCCAGGTGTGGTGGCTCATGCCTGTAATCCCAGCACTTTGGGAGGCCAAGGTGGGCAGATCACCTGAGGTCAGGAGTTTGAATCTAGCATGGCCAACATGGTGAAACCCCGTCTCTACTAAAAATACAAAAAAATTAGCTGGGCATGGTGGCAGGCACCTGTAGTCCCAGCTACTTGGGAGGCTGAGGCAGGAGAATCGCTTGAACCCAGGAGGTGGAGGTTGCAGTGAGCCATGATTGTGCCACTGCACTCCTGCCTGGGTGACAGAGTGTGACTCCGTCTCAAAAAAACAAACAAACAAACAAAAACCCAAAAAGGTAAAAGCTTCTGCGCAGTAGAAGACACTATCAATAGAGTAGACAGACAACCTACATAATTGGAGAAAATATTTGCAAACTATGCATCTGACAAAAGTCTAATATCCAGCATCTATAAAGATCTTAAATTTACAAGAAAAAACCAAACAGCCCCACTAAAAAGTGGGAAAAGAACATGAAAAGACATATTTCAAAAGAAGACATGTAGCCAAAAAGCATATGAAAAAATGCTTAATATCACTCATCATTAGAGAAATGCAGATCAAAACCTTAATGAGATACCATCTCACATCAGTCAGAATGGTTATTATTAAAAAGTCAAAAAATAACAGATGCTTTCAAGGTTGTGGAGAAAAAGGAATGTTTATACACTGTTGTTGGGTGTGTAAATTAGTTCAACCATTGTGGAAAGCAGTGTGGCTATTCCTCAAAGAGCTAAAAACAGGACAACCATTTGACCCAGCAATCCCATTACTGGGTGTATACCCAAAAGAATATACATTGTTCTACAATAAAGACACATGTATGCATATGTTCATTGCAGCACTGTTCACAATAGCAAAGACATGGAATCAACCTAAATGCCATCAATGGTAGACTGGATAAAAAAAAATATGGTACATATACACCATGGAATACTATGCAGCCATTTAAAAAAATGAGATGATATCCTTTGCTAGAACACAGTTGGAGCTGGAGGCCAACATCCTTAGCAAACTAACACAGGAGCAGAACACCAGATACCACATGTTGTCACTTGTAAGTAGGGGCTAAATGATGAGAACACATGGACACAAAGAGAAGAACAACAGACACTGTGGCCTACCTGAGGGTGGAGGGTGGGAATAGGAAGAGGATCAGAAAAAATAACTATTGGGTACTAGGCTTAGTACCTGGGTGACTAAATAATCCGTACAAAAGAACCCCCAAGACACGAGTTTACCAATATAACAAACCTGCACATGTATCCTTGAACCTAAAATAAAAATTTTAAGAAAAGTAAAAACAGCTTTGAGGTATAATTCATGTATCATACAATTCACACACTTGAAATGTACAAAACAACGGTTTTTAGATTAACTCAACGTGGATGGAAAGAAAAAATTTTTTAAGAAATGGTTTTTAAAATATATTTACATATATGTGCAACCATCACCACAGCCAGTTTTAGAACGTTTTTATCACGTGAAAGAGAAACACCGTACCCTTTAGCTGTCACTTTCCTATCCCTCTGTCCCTACTCCCACTTCAGCCTTAAAGAAACACTTATCAACTTTCTGTCTCTGTAGATTTCCCCATTCTGGACATTCATTTGAATGAAATCATAAAGTCTGTGGTCTTTTGTGGCTGGTTTCTTTCACTTTGCATAATGTTTCCAAGGTTCATCCATGTTGTAGCATGGATCAGTACTGCACTCTTTTTATGACCAGATAGTATTCCATTGTATGGATATACCATATCTTGTTTATCCATTCCTCAGGAGATGGACCTTTGGGATGTTTTATCCTTTTAGCTAATATGAATAATGCAGCTACAAACATTTATGCCCAAGTGTCCATGTGCGCATTTTCATTTCTCTTGGGTATATACCTAGGAGTGGAATTGCTGGGTCATATCCTAACTCTGTTTAATCATCTGAGATACTGCCAGACTGTTTTTCAAAGCAGCTGCATAATTTTACATTCCCACTACCAGTGTAAGAGGGCTCTAATTTCTGGTAAGGCACAGTGGCTCACGCCTGTAATCCCAGCACTTTGGGAGGCCAAGGCGGGCGGATCACGAGGTCAGGAGATCGAGACCATCCTGGCTAACACGGTGAAACCCCGTCTCTACCAAAAATACAAAAAATTAGCCGGGCGTGGTGGCAGGCGCCTGTAGTCCCAGCTACTCGGGAGGCTGAGGCAGGAGAATGGCGGGAACCCGGGAGGCGGAGCTTGCAGTGAGCCGAGATCGCGCCACTGCACTCCAGCCTGGGCGACAGAGCGAGACTCTATCTCAAAAAAAAAAAAAGAGAGGGTTCTAATTTCTCCACATCCTCACCAACACTTGTTCTTTTCTGACTCTTACTCTAGCCATCCTAGTTGCTATGAAGCAGCATCTCACTCTTGTTCCTAATGACTAGTGATGTCAAGCATCTTTTCATGTGGTTTTGTTTTGTTTTGTTTGCTATTTGTGTGTCTTATTTGAAGGAATATCTATTCAGATCCTTTGCCCATTTAAAATTGGGTTATGTGTTTTTCTATTATTGACTTATAAGAGTTTCTTATGTATTCTAGATACAAGTCACTCATCAGATATAGATGGTTTACAAATATTTCTCCCATTATATGAGTTGTCTTTCACTTTCTTGATGGTGTCTTTTGAAGCACAAAGGTTTTCATTTTGATGAAGTCCAATTTACCTGTATTTTCGTTTGTTGCTCATGCTCTTGGTGTCATATCTGAGAATTCTTTGCCAAATTCAAGGTCATGAATATTTACCTTCTAAATGTTTTCTTCTAGAGTTTTATACTTTTTGTTCTTACATGTAAGTCTTTGGTCTATTTTGAGTTAATTTTTGGTGTGAAGTCAGCATTCAGCACTGGCTGGAAATGAAGAGGAGAGAGAGGCGTGTGTTCTCAGCTGCAGTAGTCTGGAATTAAATATTCCTCTCTAGAGCAGTCTTGTTTCAAATACCACAAACTCTCACCTTTCTTACCAAACTTGTGTACATTTTCTGAAATAGATATTTGTTCTTTTCCTGCTTACCCTTAGGACCATTTCCAGAGGCTTCATATGGCTTGTTTGTGCATGTGCATGTGTGTGTGTGTGTGTGTGTGTGTGTGTATGTTTTTAATAATTTTCTTTTTTTTATTTTTATTTTTGAGACGAAGTCTCACTCTGTCTCCCAGGCTGGAGTGCAGTGGCACTATCTTTGCTCACTGCAACCTCTGCCTCCCAGGTTCAAGCGATTCTCCTGCCTCAGCCTCTGGAGTCGCTGGGATTACAGGTGTGTGCCACCACGCCCTGCTAATTTTGTATAAAATTTGTATTATAGAGATGGGGTTTCACCATGTTAGCCAGGCTGGTCTCGAACTCCTGGCCTCAAGCAATCCGCCCACAGCCTCCCACAGTGCTGGGATTACAGGCGTGAGCCACTGCGCCCGGCCATTTAAATAATTTTCATCAGTTTCAATGAAGGCAAGGTCAACAGAGCGCCTCATGCTGTCATGCCAGAAGTCTATCTCTTACTGGTTTCTCAGTAATGATGTTTATGATAAGTTATATTTTGTCTTATGTTAATATTGCCACACTAGCTTTATTTTGGTTAGGTTTTATTGTTTGTTTGTTTTTGTTTTTAGAGGGAGTCTTGCTCTGTCTCCAGGCTGGAGTGCAGTGGCGCGACCTCAGCTCACTGCAACCTCCGCCTTCTGGGTTCAAGCAATTCTCTTGTCTCAGCGTCCCAAATAGTTGGGATTACAGGCGTGTAGCACCACGCCTGACTAATTTTTGTATTTTTAGTAGAGACAGGGTTTTGTCATGTTGGCCAGGCTGGTCTTGAACTCCTGACCTCAGGTGATCCGCCCATCTCGGCCTCCCAAAGTGTTGGGATTACAGATGTGTGCCACCACACCTGGCCTATTTTGGTGAGTATTTGAATGACACATCTTTTCCTATTCCTTCATGTTCAGCTTTCTTGTGCCATTATGTTTGCAGAATTTCCCCAAGCAGACCTGAAATCTGCTTCTTCTAGGATGATGAAACATTTATTTCAGATGTAACTTGCCTCACAGTAAACATTCAGAAATATTCTGAGCCTTTATTAAAAGAACTGGTATGACTAGGCAGAGATAAAACAAACCCTATGAAAGAAAACTTTATTAAGGATGGAATGGAATTTTCACTTCAATCAGATGTATCACAGGCAGCTGAACACCTTTGTGAAGATTTGCAAGCCAAGAATAATTGCCACATTGATAGAGTACTGCTGCCTCTTCTCTATGCAGGTATCTTATGTAGTTAATTTCTCAGATCCCTTACTTAGCATAAATAAATTTGTGTCTTAAAAGATTTTACCATCACTCTCAGCTTCATCTTTAGACAGTTTTCCTAAAAGTACCCTAAATTTAATATTTCCTACTTGCTGTTTTTTAAAAATTGACTAGTAGGAAGTGTATGTATTTATGATGTACAACATAATGTTTTGATATATGTATATATTGTGGAATGGCTAAATCAAGCTATTTAACATATTCACTACCTCATATACTTATCATTTTTTGTGGCTAGAATACTTAAAATCTATTGTCTTCACAATTTTCAAGTATACAATATATTGTTATTAACTATAGTCACCATGATATACAATAGATGTCTTGAATTTTTTCCTCCTGTCCAGATAAAATTTTGTGTCCTTTGACCAACATCTCCCCAATCCCTCCACCTCACAGGTTCTGGTAACCACCACGCTACTCTCTGCTTCTATTGTTCATACTTGTAGGTTCTTGAAAAAGTTTGTTGATTGTATCTTCCTTTTTTTAATCAACTTTTTTTTTTTAAGACAGGTTCTCTCTGTGTCACCCAGACTGGAGTGCAGTGGCACAATCTCAGCTCACTACAACCTCCACCTCCTGGGTTCAAGCTATCCTCCTACCTCAGCCTCTTGAGTAGCTGGGACCATAGGCACATGCCACCACACCTGGATAATTTTTGCATTCTTTTGTAGAGACAGGGTTTCGCCGTGTTGCCCAGGCTGGTCTCAAACTCCTGAGCTCAAGCAGTCCACCCACCTCAGCCTCCCAAGGTGCTGGGATTACAGGTGTGAACCACCTTGCCTGGCCAAAAAAAAAAAAAAAAAAACCCAACTCAATATTGTTGATATTTCTTATTGTTTCTCTAGTCTCTATTTCATTTATTTTGCTCTTATCTTTATTTTTTCCTTCCTTCTACTAACTTTGGGCTTAATTTGTTTTTCTTTTTCTAGTTCCTTGAAGTGCAATGTTAGGTTGTTTATTTGGGATCTTTCTTCTTTTTTGATGTAGGCATTTATTGCTATAAATTTCCCTCTTAGAGTTGCTTTTGCTGCATCTTATGCGTCCATTTTCATTTGTGTCAAGATTTTCAGAGACTGGATTTCAAAAAGGAAGGATATTTCTAAATTTCCCTTTTAATTTCTTCTTCGACCCATTGGTTGCTCAGGAGCATGTTGTTGAATTTCCACATAGTTGTGAATTTTCTGAAATTCCTTGTTATTGATTTCTAGTTTCTTTTTAAAAAAAAAATTTATTTCCATAGATTTTTGGGGAACAGGTGGTATTTGGTTACATGAGTAAGTTCTTTAGCGGTGACTTGTGAGATTTTCGTGCACCCATCACCCAAGCAGTATAGACTGAACCCTATTTGTAGTCTTTTATCCATCACCCGCCTCCCACCCTTTCCCTCGAGTCCCCAAAGTCCATTGTATCATTCTTATGCCTTTGCATCCTCAAAGTTTAGCTCCCACTTATGAGTGAGAACATATGATGTTTGGTTTTCCATCCCTAAGTTACTTCACTTAGAATGATAGTCTCCAGTTCCGTCTAGGATTGCTTTGAATGCCATTGATTTATTCCTTTTTATGGCTGAGTAGTATTCCATCATGTATATATATTGGTATATATATTTCTTTATCCACTCTTTGATTGATGGGCATCTGGGCTGGTTCCTTACTTTTGCAATTGTGAATTGTGCTGCTATAAACATGTGTGTGCAAGTATCTGTTTTGTATAATGATTTCTTTTCCTCTGGGTAGATACCTAGAAGTGAGATTGCTGGATCAAATGATAATTCTACTTTTAGTTCTTTAAGGAATCTCCACACTGTTTTTCACAGTGGTTGTACTAGTTTACAATCCTACCAGCAGTGTAAAAGTGTTCCCTTTTCACTGCATCCACACCTACATCTATTATTTTTTTATTTTTTAATTATGGCCATTACTGCAGGAGTAAGGTGGTATCGCATTGGGGTTTTGATTTGCATTTACCTGATCCTTAGTGATACTGAGCATTTTTTCATATGTTTGTTGGCCGTTTGTATATCTTCTTTTGAGAATTGTCTATTCATGTCCTTGGCCCACTTTTTGATGGGATTGTTTGTTTTTTCTTGCTAATTTGAGCTCCTTGTAGATTCTGGATATTAGTCCTTTGTCAGATGTATAGATTGTGAAGATTTTCTCCCACTCTGTGGGTTGTCTGTTTACTCTGCTGACTGTCGCTTTCATATCATTATGGTCAAAAAAGATACTTGATATAATTTCAGTCTTCTTAAATCTGTTAAAACTCATTTTGTGGTGTAACATATGATCTATCCTAGAGAATGTTCCATATGCATATGTGGTTGAGAAGAATGTGCATTCTGCTGCTGTTGGATGGAATCCCACTTGTCATTTGTTAATGTTAGCTTTACTTGCCATCTGTAGATGCTAGACATTTTTTGACCCACGAATTATTGCTCCTTTTTGTTTTAAAAAAAAGACTGTTTTATATAAGGTCTTTTCAATAGCTTATCTCCCTTCTCTCATATTTTACTCTAAGAAGCCAGAAGAATCAGGAAATGCTTTTGACATCCATCCTGAAAACCTTCTTAGATCACCCATTTCACTAGGTACATTTTCTACCTTCCATTTTACTGCAGATTATACTGGTGCTAAACTTTTTGCCACTAGGTGACCAGAATCCATGTTTTTCTAGTTTTTTCAGTTTATTTTTATAGTTTAAGGGGTACAAGTGCAATATTGTTACATGGATACATTACATAGCAGTGATGTCTGGGCTTTTGGTGTAGCCATCACTTGAATAGTGTACATTGTACCCATTAGTTAATTCCTCATCCCTCACTCTCTGGTACCCTCCCCACCTTTCCGGTCTTCAATGTCTATTATTTCACTATGTCCATGTGTACACATTATTTAGCTCCCACTTATAAGTGAGAACATGTAGTATTTGACTTTCTGGTACTGAGTTATTTCACTTAAGATAATGGCCTCCAGTTCTATTCATGTTGCTGCGGAAACATGATTATATTCTTTTTTATGGCTGATTAGTATTCTATGGTATGTGTGTATACACACACACACACACAAAGTTATATATGTGTGCATATACTCCATATATACATATGTGTGCATATACTCCATATATACATATGTGTGCATATACTCCATATATACATATGTGTGCATATACTCCATATATACATATGTGTGCATATACTCCATATATACATATGTGTGCATATACTCCATATATACATGTGTGCATATACTCCATATATACATATGTGTGCATATACTCCATATATACATATGTGTGCATATACTCCATATATACATATGTGTGCATATACTCCATATATACATATGTGTGCATATACTCCATATATACATATGTGTGCATATACTCCATATATACATATGTGTGCATATACTCCATATATACATATGTGTGCATATACTCCATATATACATATGTGTGCATATACTCCATATATACATATGTGTGCATATACTCCATATATACATATGTGTGTATATACTCCATATATACATATGTGTGTATATACTCCATATATACATATGTGTGTATATACTCCATATATACATATGTGTGTATATACTCCATATATACATATGTGTGTATATACTCCATGGTGTGTGTATGTATGTATATATGTGTGCGTATGTATATACACAATATATATGTATTTATAACAGATACATATATGTTATGGAGGTGTGTGTATGTGTATATATATGTGTGTGTATTCCATGGTGTGTACACTACACACATATATATAAAATGTTCCTAGCCGCACGTGGTGGCTCACACCTGTAATCCCAGCACTTTGGGAGGCCGAGACAGGCAGATCACGAGGTCAGGAGTTCAAGACCAGTCTGGCCAACATAGTGAAACCCCATTTCTATTAAAAATACAAAAAATTGGCCAGGCGTGGTGGCAGGCACCTATAATCCCAGCTACGCAGGAGAGTAGACCAGCCTGGCCAACGTGGTGAAACTCCGTCTCTACTAAAAATACAAAAATTAGCCAGATGTGGTGGCACACACTTGTAATCCCAGCTACTTGGGAGGCTGAGGCACAAGAATCTCTTCAACCCAGGAGACAGAGGTTGCAGCCTAGGCAATAGAGTGAGACTATGTCCTAAAAAAAAAAAAATCCCAGTACCATTTATTGAAGAGTGTCATTTTCTCAGTGTATGTTTTTGTCAACTTTGTCAAAAATCAGTTGGCTATGAGTATATGGCTTTATTACTGGGTTCCCTATTCTGTTCCATTGATCTATGTGTCTATTTTTATACCACGTTGTTTTGGTTACTATAATCTTGTACACTGGCTATATTAGACATGAGTGTTCTTTCAGAGCACAGCTTGGCTGTGATTTTCCACATTTCTGTTTCACTGTAACAGTTTGCACATCTTGTGCTAGAAAAGAATTTTCCACAGCTTATGTCAGCTCAAGTTCTGAATTATTTCTTTGTGCAACTTGTTCTACTCTGGGTGTGGACAATTTATTTGCATCTAGGAATGATTCAATAGATGCATTCTCTAAAATGTCACTGAGATATTACACTGTTTTATTCTATTCTGTCTTCTGGGAGTTGAAAGACTTCTTTTTCTTTTTAGTTTGAGGTGACTTCTTTGCCAAAACCTCTTGTTCACGATTTGCCTGAACTAAATTTGTAGATACTTTTGATTTCTCCCAATTATTACGATCTTAAAATAGAGTAAGAAGACAAGTCTGTTGGTTCAATTCAGTGTTTCCAGTAATGCTAAATATCTCTGTCAAGATTTAATGTCTCTATGTATGTAAACTCCAACTGTTTCTGAAATTCATCAGCCTGATTCTGATCAAAAAGACATTATTCTCAGAAGTGCTTTTGTAGATAACACCAAAATACTCACTAAAAGAAGCAAGCGTATTCCTATGAGCTTTAAACTGGTCTCCAGTTTTCAGTAACACCTTCCTCATGTTTCTTTAAGTGCACACTTGTAGCCTTCTCAAAGGCTATCAGAATTTAACTAACAGTCTCCTCAAGAAATTTTAGGCTTTCAGTGACACTTTCCTCAAGGTTCTTGCAGCTTGCTGCCACTATGAATGCCACTCCAACTTTTTAGACTTTTACTATGGCAGCATCTCACATCCATGTACCAAAATCTGTATTAGTTACTTATTACCATGTAATAAATTGCCCTAGAAGTTAGCAGCTTTTAAAAAACAATAAAACATTGGCCTTATGCCTATAATCCCGGCACTTTGAGAGGCTGAGGAGGGCAGGTCATCCTGAGTTCAGGAGTTTGAGACCAGCCCAGCCAATATAGCGAAACCTCGTCTCTACTAAAAATACAAAAATTAGCTGGGTGCCTGTAGTCCCAGCTACTCAGGAGGCTGAGGCAGGAGAATCGCTTGAACCCAGGAGGCAGAGGTTGCAATGAGCTGAGATCGCACCACTGCACTCCAGCCTGGGCAACCGAGCAAGACTCCATCTCAAAAAAAAAAAAAAAAAAAAAACCATAAAACCGATAAACGTTTACTATTTCACACAGTTTTCTATGAATCAGAAATTTGGGAGCATATAGTTAGGAAATTGTGCCTTGGCAGTTAAGTTGTCAACTGGGGCTGCAGCCAATTGAAAACAGGAAGGATATGCTTAGAAGATAACTTGCTCATATGGCTGGTGTCAGTGCTAACTGTCAGCAGGAGGCCTCAGCTTTTCTCCACAGGGCTGAGTATTCTCATGACATGACGACTGCCTCCCCACATGGAAAGTAACAATGTATTTTATGACCTTGGAAGTTCTCAGAAGGCACACGTAGTTATTTTTGCAATATCCTATTGGTTCTCAGGTTAACCCCGTTCAGAGTTGGTCAGGGTCAAGGGGTGCCCGCTACCAGGGTCAGATGCGGATGATAATAGGAAATGCATTTAATATCTTGAAAACTAGCAAAAGAAAAAAAAAGGAAAGGATTAAACGTGTATCCTGCATTTCTTTAGATGCAGCATCTAAAATATAAGGGAAAAGATTGAAAGTAAAAGAATGAAATATATATATATATATATATATCGCATACATTAACCAAAAGAATGCTAGTGTAGCTATGCTCATATCAATCATAGTAGACATAAAGGGGAAGAGCAATACTAGACACAAAGAAGGACGTTTTATAATGACCAAGGGGCCAATGAAACAGAAGGTTATAGTCATCATAAAACCATATAAATTTACTAACATAACCTCAAACACATATAAAGCAAAACCCAACCAGACGTAAAGGAGAAATGGACAAATTTTCATTCATAGTCGAGGAGTTTAACACCTCTCCCTTGGAAAACGATAGATTGATAGGACAATCTGACAAAAATATTGGTAAGGATATAGAGATATGAACAGCAAAATTAATAAACTTGTCATAATTGACATATATAGAACACTAATAGCATCTAATATATGTTAGAATATATGTTCTTTTCAAGATTTATGGATATTTACCAAAATAGAGCATACATCTATCTGTTGTGGAAAGTCTCCAAAAATTTCAAAGGATTGAAATAATACTAACTATGTTCTCTTCATGAATACTGTGAAATTGAGCTGTAAATCACCAAGATAACTATAAAATCCCCAACTGCATAGAAATTAAGTAATAAACTACTGTATAGCCTCAGTTCAAATTAAATCACAATTCTTCACTGTTAAATAAATCAGTCAATCACAATGGCAATAAGATGCTACAAAGATTATAAAGATAAAAGAACACTATCAACATTATGTCAAGTTTAGAATTAAAATATTTAAAAATTCTTGAAAAACATAACTTACCAAAACAGACAAATAAACTGATAATTTGAATAATCCTATACCTAATAAAGATTTAAATCTTTTATGTAAAATTTCCTTACAGGCCAGGCAAAGTGGTTCACACCTGTACTCCTAGCACTTTGGGAGGCCAAGGCAGTAGGATTGCTTGAGCCCAGGAGTTTGAGACCAGGCTGGGCAATGTAGTAAGACCTCATCTCTACAAAAGAATCAGAAAATGAGCAAGGCATGGTGGCGTTCACTTGGAGCCCCAGCTACTTAGGAGGCTGAGGTGGGAGGACCACCTGAGCCCAGAAGGTAGAGGCTGCAGTAAGCCAAGATTGCACCACTGCATTCCAGCCTGCACAACAGAGTGAGATCTGTCTAAAAAAAAAAAGAAAAAAAAATCTTACAAAAAACCTCTAGGTCCTGGTAGGTTTATCATTAAAATTTCCAGGGGAGGGCTGGGCGCGGTGGCTCACACCTGTAATCCTAGCACTTTGGGAGGCCAAGGTGGGTGGATCACCTGAGGTCAGGAGTTCGAGACCAGCCTGGCCAATATGATGAAACCCTGTCTCTACTAAAAATACAAAAATTAGCCTGTCATGATGGTGGGCGCCTTTAATCCCAGCTACTCGGGAGGCTGAGGCAGGAGAATCGCTTGAACCCAGCGGGAGGAGGTTGCAATGAGCCGAGATTGCACCACTCGACTCCAGCCTGGGCGAAAGAAACTCCATCTCAAAAAAAAAAAAAAAAAAATCCAGGGGAACATGTTCTTAGGACCCCCTGAGGTCTGTGTCACGAAAGCAAAATTAAAAGAAAAAAAGTAAAAATTGCCAAACACTTAAAGAATAAATGATATTTATATTACACAAAATCTTCCAGGAATTAGAAAAAGAGAAAATACTGCCCAATTCATACTAAGAGGCCAGCACAACCTTGATACCAAAACCTGGAAAAGAACATTAAAAGGAAAGAAACCTATAGGTCAATTGCTCTCATAAACATAGACACAAAAATTCTAAATAAAATATTAGCAAGACAAATCCAGCAATCTATAAAAGGGTAAATGTTGTATGATATTGAGTTTATTCCAAAAATATAAAGTTGATTTAACATTTAAATTAAAGGATAAAAATGCACTTGTCACAGGCGGTACAGGCCGGTCAAAGGGACGCCGGCGCTGAGGGACACCGCAGCATGAAGCAGAGGTGGGGAAGCTGAGGCAGGAAGCCCTTTAGTCACTTGCTGAAGGCCACGCTGTTACCCGTGGGACCGGATTTGGGCGGCCGAAGAGCACTCATCCGACAGTGGGGCCGGATTCACGCCCCGGGCCCGTTCCCTCCTGCTCCCTGGTGCTCCTCACGCCATCGGCCCCACTGCCTCTCACTGCCCGGTGTCCTGCTATGTCAGCCTCTGCTGTCCACTTCAAGAAGTGTCTCAGGATGCCGAGTCGAAGCTGGACTGTACTGCTGCCATCTCGGCTCACTGCAACCTCCCTGCCTGATTCTCCTGCCTCAGCCTGCCGAGTGCCTGCGATTGCAGGCGCGCGCCGCCACGCCTGACTGGTTTTCGTATTTTTTTGGTGGAGACGGGGTTTCGCCGTGTTGGCCGGGCTGGTCTCCAGCTCCTAACCACGAGTGATCCGCCAGCCTCGGCCTCCCGAGGTGCCGGGATTGCAGACGGAGTCTCGTTCACTCAGTGCTCAATGTTGTTGCCCAGGCTGGAGTGCAGTGGCGTGATCTCGGCTCGCTACAACCTCCACCTCCCAGCAGCCTGCCTTGGCCTCCCAAAGTGCCGAGATTGCAGCCTCTGCCCGGCCGCCACCCCGTCTGGGAAGTGAGGAGCGTCTCTGCCTGGCTGCCCATCGTCTGGGATGTGAGGAGCCCCTCTGCCTGGCTGCCCAGTTTGGAAAGTGAGGAGCGTCTCTGCCCCCCGCCATCCCGTCTAGGAAATGAGGAGCGTCTCTGCCCGGCCGCCCATCGTCTGAGATGTGGGAAGCGCCTCTGCCCCGCCGCCCCGTCTGGGATGTGAGGAGCGCCTCTGCCCGGCCGCGACCCCGTCTAGGAGGTGAGGAGCGTCTCTGCCCGGCCACCCCTACTGGGAAGTGAGGAGCCCCTCTGCCCGGCCACCACCCGGTCTGGGAGGTGTACCCAACAGCTCATTGAGAATGGGCCATGATGACAATGGCGGTTTTGTGGAATAGAAAAGGGGGAAAGGTGGGGAAAAGATTGAGAAATCGGATGGTTGCCGTGTCTGTGTAGAAAGAAGTAGACATGGGAGACTTTTCATTTTGTTCTGTACTAAGAAAAATTCTTCTGCCTTGGGATCCTGTTGATCTGTGACCTTACCCCCAACCCTGTGCTCTCTGAAACATGTGCTGTGTCCACTCAGGGTTAAATGGATTAAGGGCGGTGCAAGATGTGCTTTGTTAAACAGATGCTTGAAGGCAGCATGCTCGTTAAGAGTCAACACCACTCCCTAATCTCAAGTACCCAGGGACACAAACACTGCGGAAGGCCGCAGGGTCCTCTGCCTAGGAAAACCAGAGACCTTTGTTCACATGTTTATCTGCTGACCTTCCCTCCACTATTGTCCTATGACCCTGCCAAATCCCCCTCTCTGGGAAACACCCAAGAATGATCAATAAATACTTAAAAAAAAAAAATGCACTTGTCACAACTGATGGAGAATAAGCATTTGATAAAATGCTATACCCATTCAGGATTTAAAAAAAAAAATCTTTGCTATGAATTTGTTCAGCAGCAATAGAAACAAAATAAATAAAAACTTTTTTAGAAACCTTTTTAAGTAGTGATGAAAGAGTATTTCCTTAATTAATCTGAGAAAAGATTACTATAAAAAAGCATAGCAAACAAAATATTTATTGCCAAATATTAAAAGCTTTCCCACTGGCCGGGCGCGGTGGCTCACGCCTGTAATCCCAGCACTTTGGGAAGCCAAGGCAGGAGGATCACGAGGTCAGGAGATCAAGACCATCCTGGCTAACACGGTGAAACCCCGTCTCTACTAAAAATACAAAAAATTAGCCGGGCGTGGTGGAGGGCGCCTGTAGTCCCAGCTACTCAGGAAGCTGAGGCAGGAGAATGGCGCGAACCCAGGAGGCGGAGCTTACAGTGAGCCGAGATCCCGCTCCAGCCTGGGCAACAGAGCAAGACTCCGTCTCAAAAAAAAAAAACAAAAAAAACAAAAACCAGGTGTGGTGGCGGGCGCCTGTAGTCCCAGCTACTCAGGAGGCTGAGGCAGGAGAATGGCATGAACCCGGGTGGCAGAGCTTGCAGTGAGCCGAGATTGCACCACCGCACTCCAGCCTGGGCTACAGAGCGAGACCGCGTCTCAAAAAAAAAAAAAAAAAAAAAAGGTTTCCCCTTGAGATATGGAATAAAATGAGTTTATCCTCTGTCACTATTTTGATTCAACATTAAACTGGACAATTTATATTTAACAATGTGCAATGAGGCAATAAGGAATAAGTATGTAAGTTCTGGAAAACAAGAAACAAAATTTTCATTATTCACAGCCAACATAAAAAACTCAAAATGAGGCCGGGTGCGGTGGCTCATGCCTGTAATCCCAGCACTTTGGGAGTCCGAGGCGGGTGGATCATGAGGTCAGGAGTTCGAGACCAGCCTGGCCAACACAGTGAAACCCCGTCTCTACTAAAAATACAAAAATTAGCTGGGTGTGGTGGCAGGTGCCTGTAGTCTCAGCTACTCAGGAGGCTGAGGCAGGAGAATCGCTTGAACCCAGGAGGCGGAGGTTGCAGTGAGACGAGATAGGGCCACTGCACTCCAGCCTGACAACAGAGGGAGACTTCGTCTCAAAAAAATAAATAAATAAAAATAAAAAAATAAAAAAACCTCAAAATGAATATACAGAACAAATAAATTTAGCAGGACCTGAATACAAAATCAACACATAAAAATAAATTATTGTTAAAAAATTAATTGGAAAATAAGTTATCTTAAATTATAGCATTTACATCAGTATCCAAAATAAATTAATTCTAATGAAAGATGTGCAAGATCTGTATGCTAAAAGCGAGTAAATAATATTAAAACAATTAAAGACCTAAACAAATGGAGGGTTATAACATTTTCATATATTGGAAGAATCAGAATTCTAAAGATTTATTCCATTTTGCTTATACAATCCCACTTAAAATCCCAGAGGCTTGTTTTTTAAAATTGCCAGCTGATTATTATATGGCAGATAAAACTGTCCCCCAAGCCCCAATTCTTTCTCCAGCCAAAGAACTGGAAAATGGGTGGCCTAGTAGGAGAGAAAATCTTTTGACAGCATTTACAGTACTCCAGCCAAACTTCATGGCAAAAACTGCAGTCAGAGCTGAATGAGGAGCCTATACTTCCACCTTACCTAGCAATAATGAAGCACCATTCTGCCTTCCTGCAGTGTCTCCAGAAGCGGAGCTGGGTGTCTAGATTTCCACCCCTGCCTGGCAGCAACAGTGCCCCCCTCCCTATACCGGTGGTAGCAGTGGAGGCTGAATCGGGTGTCTACATTTCTACCCCTACCCAGCAAAAATGAGGCACCTTTCCTCATGTCAGCAGAGGCTCAGGGAGAAGCATGGACTTCCACCTCCACCCAGTGGTAACAAGATGGTGTCCAGGCCCCGCATGGTGGCTCATTCCTGTAATCCCAGCACTTTGGAAGGCTGAGGTGGGTGGATCACCTGAGGTCAGGATTTCAAGACCAGTCTGGCCAACATGGTGAAACCCATCTCTACTAAAACTTCAAAAATTAGCCAGGTGTGGTGGTGGGCATCTGTAATCCCAGCTACTCGCAAGGCTGAGGCAGGAGAATCTCTTGAACCAGGGAGGCGGAGGTTTCAGTGAAGCAAGATCGTGCCACTGCACCCCAGCCTGTGCAACTCTGCCTCAAAAAAAAAAAAAAAAAAAAACCAAGATGGTGTCCCCTTCCTTCCTCCACTAGCAAGGTGTCAGTGGAGGCCTGCTAAAATATAAAATTTCAGTAAGATCCAGAAAATCATAAAATAATACCAGTATGTCCAAGATACAATAAAAAAAATCACTTGTCATACCAAGAACCCAGAAAAACCTCCATTTGAATGAGGCAATGATGGCAGCGGCTGCTCCAGATGGTCTGCCACTACCATCACACCAGCTGCAGCAGGGAGGCACCTGGGGCTGCATGCTTAGTGGAGCCGGAGGGAACAAGCGGGAGCCCTGCCCCTTCTGAACTGGGGCAGGACGTCCCTGGGCGCCGCTGCGGCTACCCAAACGGTGGCTGCAGACCGGGCCTCCCACTTCATGGAGGAAACAGGAGCCCCGCCCTCTTGGGCGGAGCTGCAGCTGCACAAGTTGTGGCTGCAGATCCGAGCCTCCCTGCGCTCTTTCGGGGCTGGGAGCAGGCAGGATCCCTGTCCTCCAGGGCACAGCTGCAGCCACCAAAACTGCAGCTGCAGACCTGGGCCTCCCACTCAGAAGAGCAGGCAGGAGTCCTGTCCCCCCTCCCCCAACCCCACACGCAGCTGCCGCCACCCAAACCCTGGCTGGAGACTCAGACATCCCTGCACTCTTGGGGACCCGGGAATGCCCCCCTGCCCTCGTAGGCTTGAAAGCGCCTGCTCTCACTGCCTGGCTTCTCCCTGCTGTTCCCCCTTCCCATCTCAGAGCAAAGTCTGGGAGGATACCATAAATGACAGCAGGAGGCAGACAGATTCCTGGGTGGAAGAGGGTAGGTCCCTGGTGAGACCCCACCTTCAGGCCAAGGAGGACTGGGGGCTGGGCTAACAGTCCCATGGAGTAGGAACTTGTGGTGCCTTTTCCCAGTCACCCATGGCTGCCCATGGACCAATAGTGCACACTTCCTCCCCTCTGAGGGCTTTTATGAACCCATTAAAGCCCTGGATTCAGCCAGAGCTGAGCAGACGACAGGACAACCAGCTGCAGAGAGGAGCTACCCACTCCAAGTCCTCCTCTCTACTGAGAGCTGGGAAGAGGACTGGAAGACCTGCTTGCAGAAAAGAGAAACCCACTTTAGTGCCTCCTCTCTACTAGGAGCTGAACACTCTTGGGACACCCTGGCTGCAGACCCCGCTGTGGGTCTCCAGTAAGTTGTCTATTGCTCAATAAAGCTCCTCTTCATCTTGCTCACCCTCCACTTGTCTGCATACCTCATTCTTCCTGGTCACAGGACAAGAACTCGGGACCCACCGAATGGTGGAGCTAAAAAAGCTATAACACAAACAGGGCTGAAACATGCCCCTTGCTTGCCATGTTGCAGGTGAAGAGGAGAGAAGAGCTGTGACTCCTCAGGGAGCCCAGACCTAGGAGCTCCCCAAGCCAGGACTGTGACTCCCTCTTTGGGGTCCTGCAGTGCCTGGCGTCTCCAGGCTTCCAGACACCACTGCATTTCCTGGTGCTAGCCAGGGAAGCTGCTTGCAGTGCGCCTGGTCCAGCCACAGCCTCGCAGAGAGCCAGGGCCCTTGCCAGCACCCGGAGCTGCTGGCCCCACTGCAGCAGCTAGCATGTCTGACTGCAGCAGTGGCTGGACCCCATGCTTGCTCACACACCCCTCACCACTCCATGCCTGACTCACCCTTGGCAGATGTGGGATCCATGCTGGTAGTGTGAGCTGAGTGCAGCCTGCAAATCCAAGTGGGCAGAATGAGCCCAGCAGGCCTGAGCAAAACTCAGGCAAAGGCACCACTGGCCAGAGGTTTCAGGCCAGAAAATTGACACCCCAAGGATCTCGTAACAGCAACAGATGCCAACACCAAGATGACACAAATCTTATAATTATCTGACAAGGATTTTAATGTAGACATAATAAAATGCTTCAATGAGCAATTATAAATATGCATACAACAAATGAAAGATTAGAAAATCTACGCAAAGAAATAGAAGACATAAGAACCAAATGGAAATTTTAAAATTTGAAAACACAATAACTGAAATTGAAAACAAATTGGATGGCTAAAAATAGAATGGAGAGCTGCGGCTGGGAGCGGTGGCTCATGCCTGTAATCCCAGCACTTTGGGAAGCCGAGGCAGGCAGATCGCCTGAGCTCAGGAGTTTGAAACCAGCCTAGCCAACATGGTGAAATACTATGTCTATTAAAAATACAAAAAATTAGCTGGGTGTGGTGGCGCACACCTGTAATCCCAGCTACTCTGGAGGCTGAGGCAGGAGAATCACTTGAACCTGGGAGGCGGAGGTTGCAGTGAGCCAAGATGATGCCACTGCACTCCAGCCTGGGGAACAGAGTGAGACTTGGTCTCAAAAAAAAAAAAAAAAAATAGAATGGAGATAACAGAAGAAAGGACCTGTAAATATAAAGACAGAACAGTAGAAATTACCCTACATGGACAACAGGAAGAAAAAAAAAAAAAGAACTGAGCCTTAGGTACCGTTGGAAAATAACAAAAGAGATCTAGCATTTGTGTGATCAGAGTCTTAGAAAAGAGAAAGAGAGTGGGGATGAACAAATTTCAAAAAAATAATGGCTGGATGTTCCCCAAATTTGGCAACAGACGTAAACGTAGATTCAAGAAGCTGAGGAAACTCTTGACAGATGAACCCAAAGAAATCCAGAACAAGGACATCATAATCACACTTTTGAAAACTAAGGACAAAGAAAACATCTTGAAATCAGCCAAAGGTGCATTACCTATAAGGGGACAAAATCCATTTATTTTTATTTTTATTTAATTTTATTATTTTTTAAATTCAAATACCAACTCGAAGCAGAGGGGAACAACAATTCAAATGTCATGAGAAATCATAGAGGCAAGAAGGAAGTGGCACACTTTTCAAGTGCTGAGAGAATAGTCAACCCAACATTTTATGTGCATAAAATATCCTTCAGGATGGAAATTCAGTTACACACATTTTCTCTTTCTCTCTTTCTTTTCTTTCTTTTTTTTCCTTTTTCTTTCTCCTTCCTTCCTTTCTTTCTGGTTTTCTTCTTTCCTTTCTTTTTCCTTCCTTCCTTCTTTTCTTTTTCTCTTTCTCCTTCCTTCCTTCTTCTCTTCTTTCTCTTTCTTCTTTCTTTCTCTTTCATGTTCTTTTCTTTTTTTTTTTTTTTTTTGCAGGGTCTCAATCTGTTGTCCAGGCTGGAGTGAAGTGGTGCAATCAGAGCTCACTGCAGCTTTGTCCTCCCAGGCTTAATTGATCCTCCCACTTCAGCCTCATGAGTACCTGGTACTACAGGCATGTGCCATCATATCCAGCTAATTTTGTACAGGGTCTCACCATGTTGCCCAGGCTGGTCTTGAACTCCTGGGCTCAAGCGATCTGCTCACCTCGGCTTCTCTAAGTGCTGGGATTACAAGTGTGAGCCACTGCATCTGGCCAAGACATTTTCAAATAAAGGAAAATTAAGAACTTTTGCCAGCCAATCTATCCTTTAAAATGGCCGAAGGAAGCTTTCGAAACAGATGGAAAATGATAAAAGAAGGAATCTTTAAATAGCAGTAATGAGAAAAGAACAATGGAAAGGGTAAAAACATGGTTAACAACAACAAAAAAATTATCTTCTTGGTTTTTAAAAAGATTACATTTGACGGCAGTATTACAGGTAGTCAGGCATGAGTGGCACAGGAGAGGACTGACTCTCCCTGCACCCATTAGAAATGTCTGGTGATGGTTCGGCAGTTACCACATTGCCTCTCTAAAAATGATAATGTGGCAGGGCCAGGGAGAGGCCATTTCCTGATGGTCCACACCTGTTAATTGAATGCAGGTTCCAGGGAGAAGCAACTTCCTGGTCATGGATGTTAAGAGACAAAAATGGTGAAGTATGATTTTCTGGGGACGCACCACCAGAAAAAGGAAGAAAGCCTCAGATTGGGCATGCATATAACTCCCTAAACACACTGAACAGGCTCGGTTCCAAAGGGTAAGGAAAGCACTGGGCATGCGGAAAGCCCACCCTATGGGAAGAATCCTGGGAAAGAGGCAAACTTACGAAAGTCCTAGGATCATGGTTAAACGGCATTTGACCTTCTCTATTAAACTTCATGTGCCTGCTTTTTTTTTTTATTCCAAGCGCACCTTCCTTTCTTTCCTATTCTAAGGCCTTTTTAAATAAACTTCCATTCCTGCTCTGGAACTTGCCATGGACCCATACAGATAGGCTGCTGGTACCTTGGGGTAACTCAGATCTCTGCCACTGCTAACAGTAGAAGCAAAAATCATAAAATTATTTAATGAGGTTCTCTAATAGGTAGAGGAAATATTTAATACAATTGTATTATGAATGGGGAGGGTAAGGTATATAAATAAGGTAAATTTTCTACATTTCACTTGACATGGTAAAACAATAGTAGTATACTGTAATCCATTTTGTATGTATAAGGCAACACCTAGAGCAACCACTCAAAACAACTATAAAAAGAGATACCCTCAAAAACACTGTAAAATACTACCCACAGAGTGAAAATGCAATCCACAAAATGGGAAAAAATATTTGCAAGTCATATATCTCATAAAAAATTGCTATCCAGACTATATAAATAACTGCTACAATTCAACAACATTAAAACAAACAACCTGATTTTGAAATGGGCAAAGAACTTGAATTAACAAACATTGCACCAAAGAAGATATACAAATGGTCAATAAGCACATGAAAAGATGCTCAACATCATTAATAATTAGGTAAATGCAAATCAAAGCCACATTGAGATACCACTTCACACTCATTAGGATGCTATTATAAAACAAACAGTGCCGGACATGGTGGCTCACGCCTCTAATCCTAGCACTTTGGGAGGCCGAGGTGGGCAGATGACCTGAGGTCAGGAGTTCAAGACCAACCTGGGCAATGTAGGGAGACCCCATCTCTTAAAAAGAAAGAGAAAAGAAAAAAAAAAAAAAAAAAGGCTGGGCACGGTGGCTCATGCCTGTAATCCCAGCACTTTGGGAGGCTGAGGTGGGTGGATCACCTGAGGTCAGGAGTTCGAGACCAGCCTGGCCAACATGGTGAAACCCCATCTCTACTAAAAATACAAAAATTTGCTGGGCATGGTGGCGGGTGCCTGTAATCCCAGCTACTTGGGAGGCTGAGGCAGGTGAATCGCTTGAGCCCAGGAATCGAAGATTGCAGTGAGCCGAGATCATGCCACTGTACTCCAGTAAAAAGAGTGGTAGAAGAAACAGTAAAACCAGTAAAAGGGTTCAGTAAGGTTGCGGGATACAAGATCAACATATAAAAATGAATTATATTTCTTTTCTTTTTTTTTTTGAGACAGGTTCTTGCTTTGTTGCTCAGGCTGAAGTGCAGTTGTATGATCTCAGCTCACTACAACTTCTGCAACCCAAACTCAAAGGAGACTTTCACCTCAGCCTCCCAAGTAGATGGAACTGCAGGCATGTGCCACCACATCTGGCTAATTTTTGTATTCTTTGTAGAGACGGAGTTTCACAATGTTGCTCAGGCTGGTCTCAATGAATTATATTTCTATAGACCAGTAATAAACATGGAGAAGATGAAATTAAAACACAATATCATTTGCAATCATTAAAAAAATACTTAAATACTTAGGTGTAAATCTCACAAAACCTGTACAGGATCTGTATGCTCAAAACTACAAACCAATGATAAAATAAATCAAAGATCAAAATAAATGGAAGGACATACCATGTTCATGGATTGGAGGACTAAGCATGGCAAACATGTTCAATTCTCCCAAATTAATATACAGATCTAACATATTTCCTATTATAATGAAACCATCATTGCGAAATTATAACTAAGACAGTGAAAGAGATCTGACCTAACCTCCATCTTGCTTCTAACCTCTAAGCTGCTCTTGTTCATTCCTGACAGTAGGCCAAACTAAGTTTGGGAGGAACTTAATGTACAGTCTATAGTTTGAAACAAACATAATAACAGCCCTTTCCCAAAACAAACCCCCTTCTTGCCTGAGGACTAGACTGCCTTTGTAGGACCAACAAATTAGCCAAAAGATCAGAAATTATGGTTTAGGATTCACGCAGCTAGAGGCTACAAGATTCTGACCCTTCCCAAGTTGATCCAGTGGATAACAACACTATTATAAAACCTAAGATAAGTACTTGAAATATTTTGCAAATCCTGTACTCAGTGAATCAACTGATACCACCCAGATCAATAAACTGGCTCATTTGGTTTTGTGGCCCCTACCCAGGAACTGACTCAGCACAAGAGGATGGATAGCTTTGACTCCCTATTATTTCATCTCTGGCCAATCAGAACTCCCTGTCTGAACTCAGACTCACTTTCTCCCTACCCACCAAATTATCCTTAAAAACTTCAATCCCCAAATTCTCAGGGAGACTGATGAGTAATAAAACTCCAGTGTGAATTACTCTTTCTCTATTGCAATTCCCATCTTGATAAATCGGCTCCGTCTAGGCAGCGGGCAAGATGAACCTGTGGGGCTGTTTACAACCTAGTCAATATTTTTAGAAATAGACAAGCTTATTCTAAAATTCATATGGAGGCCAGGCACGGTGGCTCACGCCTGTAATCACCACACTTTGGGAGGCCGACGCGGGTGGATCACGAAGTCAGGAGAGCGAGCATCCTGGCAAACACAGTGAAACCCCGTCTCTACTAAAAATACACACACACACACACAAAAAGCCGGGCGTGGTGGCGGGCACCTGTGGTCCCAGCTACTTGGGAGGCTGAGGCAGGAGAATGGTGTGAATCCAGGAGGCAGAGCTTGCAGTGAGCCGAGACTGTGCCACTGCACTCCAGCCTGGGCGATGGAGTGAGACTCCGCCTCAAAAAAAATAAAATAAAATAGGCCAGTTGTGGTGGCTCACGCCTGTAATCCCAGCACTTTGGGAGGCTGAGGTGGGTGGATCACCTGGGGTCAGGAGTTCAAGACCAGCCTGGCCAACATGGTGAAACCCAGTCTCTACTTAAAATACAAAAATTAGCCGGGCATGGTGGCAGGTGCCTGTAATCCCAGCTACTTGGGAGGCTGAGGCAAGAGAATTGCTTGAACCCAAGAGGCGGAGGTTGCAGTGAGCCGAGATCGTGCCATTGCACTCCAGCCTGGGGGACAAGAGTGAGATTTTGTCTGAAGAAAGAAGAAAGAAAGGAAGGAAGGAAGGAAAACTGGACTTCATAAAAATTAAAAACTTTTGCTCTGCAAAAGGCTCTGTTAAGATGAAAAGATGAGTTATAGACTGGGAGAAAATATTTGCAAATCACATGGCAAAGGACTTTAATCTAGAATATATGAAGAATTCTCAAAACACAATGGTTAAAAACAATCCAATTATAAAATGGGCAAGAGGCATGCAGATACATTTCACCAAAGATGACATATGGATGGCAAATAAGCACATGAAAACATGTTAAACATCATTAGCCATTAGGGAAATGCAAACAAATGAAAACCAGTATCAATACATCTCTGATAGAACAGTGAAAATAAAAACTAGTGCTAATCCTATATCCTGGCAAAAATGCAGAGGAACTGCATCTCTTATTGTTGGTAGGAATGTAAAGTGAGATAGCAACTCTGGGAAATAGTTTGGCAGTTTCTTATAAAACTAAACATATACTTACCATATTATCCACCATCACACTCCAGGACAATTATCCCAGAGAAATGGAAACTTATATGCACAAAAACTTATACACAAATGTTCATAGCAGCTTTATTTTTAATAGCCCAAAACTAGAAACAACCCAATGTCCTACAATAGATGAGTGAGCAGTCAGACAAACTGGTACATCCACAGCAATCTGTTAAAAAACGAAAAACTATCGGTACATATAATAAAACTTGGATGGAATTCAAGAGCATCATACTGTGGAGGGGAAACCCATTCTCAAAAAGTTAACATATGCTATGTTTGTATCACATATATTATGCCATTCATAACTTCTTGAAATGACAAAATTACAGTGAAGATTAGTGATTTCCAGGGGTTAGGGAAGGTGGTGAAAGGATGGGTGATAAGGTGTGACAATAAGTGGGTAGTACAAGGGTTCCTTTGTGGCAACGGAACAATTCTGTATATTATGGTGGTGGTTAAAGTGCACAACTACACACATACACACACACACACACGAACTGGTGAAATCTGAATAAGACCTGGAGTTTAGTTAATAGTAATGTGCCAGTCAGTGTTGGTTTCTTAGTTTTGACAAAGTTACCATGTTAACATTAAGATATTAACATAAGGGGGAAACTGGATGAAGGGTATATAAGGAACTCTGTACTGTCTTTGTAACTTTTCTGTAAATCTAACATTCCAACATAAAAACATTTATTTTATAAAAGCAAAGAAAAAATGCTAATATGACACTATTACACATCAACCAGAATAGATGAAATTACAGTGAAAATAGCAGGTAGGTAACATGAGGCAATACTCTTATTTTCCAGTAATTTCCTTTTTAAGCTTTATACCCAGCAGAAATACATATGTTCAACAAGACAATTCTAGAATGTTCATAGCAGCTTTATTCATAATAGCCAAAACTGGAAACAGCCCAAATGCATAGTAACAGAATGAGTAATTTATACAATTCAATACTGTATACAACAGTATGAATGAACGAACTACAACATGCAACAATACAGATGAGTTGTATAGACATACTGTTGAGTCAAAGAAGCCAGACACAAGAGTGCATATTATTTCATTTATTTGAAGTTGAAAAACAGGCAAAATAAATCTATGCTGTTGAATTAATAGACCATCCTTGGGATAGTGGTATAGTAACTGGAAGAGAACATGCATGGGGCTTCTGGAGTACTGGTGATGTTCCAACTCTTAATTTCATACTAGTTTTTGCATGTATTCACGGTGTGAAAAATCACACCTGTACACAATTTGTGTGATTTTCTGTATGTAAATTATACTTCAATAAAAAATTTACCAAAAAGCAAACAAACAGCAAGTGAGATATCACTACACACGTATTAAAAAGCCTAAAATTAAAAGAGAAATCAATCAATACCAAGTGCCAGCAAGGATGTGGAGCAACAGAAATGTTCATTTACAGATAGTGAGAATATAAATTAGTATAATCACTTCAGAAAAATGGTTGGCAGCCTCTATATCTAAAGGTGAATATGCACATATTCTATGAACCAGTAATTCCACCCCATTACATACCCATCACAAATGTACACATGCGTGTTCTCAAAAGACATGTACAGGAATGTTCATAGTAGTATTATCCCAAACTGAAAATAATCCAAACGTCTTTCAGTGCTGTTGGAGCTTATTAAAGTCAATTACAGCTCAGAATTGCAGTGAAGTTAACTTCCTTGGGGGCATCCCTCAATCAATTGGAAACAGGAGCCAGCGGATAAATATTTCAGCCTCCTGTTCAGTCAGACAATTCTGGGAAGCATTATATATCCAACCTCCGTAATACCTTTCTATTGATTTTTCTTCTGTCTCTCTACCATCTTTCCCACTCCTGCATCCTGGAGCCAAACGCCAAATAAACTACTGCACTCAAGTTTTTTTTCTCTGAAGATCTGCTCTCAGGGAAGCCCAAACTTCCATGATTCCATTTATAGATGGCTTCAAAACAAGTAAAACCTATCTATGGTGATACAAGTCAGAAGAGTGGCTAGGATAACCAGTGGTGGTAATGATGGCAGAGAGATTTCTGGAGTGCTGGTTATGTTCCACATCCTGATCAGAGTGGTGTTTCAACTGGCATGTTTACTTTGTAAATCTTCATCAAGCTGTATGCTTAAGATGTGTCCATTTTATAGTATATAAGTGTTTTAACTTTAAAAATTAAGGAATGTAGGTGTTAAGTGGTACAAGAGATTCCCACTAAGAAAAAAGTGGGCTTTGTAAGGGAAACTGAACTTAAAGGTATTGAAAAACAGATGAACAGCCGGGCACAGTGGCTCACGCCTGTAATCCCAGCACTTTGGAAGGCCAAGGCGGGCGGATCACAAGGTCACGAGTTCATGACCAGCCTGACCAACATGGTGAAACACCGTCTCTACTAAAAATAACAACAACAAAAAAGCCGGGCGAGGTAGCAGGCGCCTGTAATCCCAGCTACTCAGGAGGCTGAGGCAGAATTACTTGAACCTGGGAGGCGGAGGTTGCAGTAAGCCAAGACCATGCCACTGGACTCCAGCCTGGGCAACAGAGCAAGACTCAAAAAAAAATGGACACACCCAACTTTTTGGATAATGCCCCTCTCTCATCCTTGGCATGAGATTACTGATTACGAATTACTGAGGGATTTGTTGGAGACTGACACTAGGAGAGGAATGTGAACTATTACAGTGAAAGCTGGACTAGTAAAACTTACCCATAAGAATGCACCCATTTGAGACAGGCACAAGACATTACAACGCTCCTCTAGGTGTGTGTTGAATAGTTAGTTCTTCAGCTTTGCTTTGCATTTCTGCTGTTTGCAAGACTGCCTCACAGAGGGTCAATCCTTCCCTTTTTCCTCTCCCTTTTCTATTTATTCATTCAACATATATTTGTCTAGACACTGTGCTAACCACTAGGAATATATTAATCACAAGTAATAGATGTGGTCCCTGCTCTTGAGTTTCATTCTAATTTTTTAAAAAACCCACATTAATAATCACACGTATCAATGAGTATGACTGTAGTGCTACGAAGAAGAGATTCCTGGTTTTGACAGCCTATCGGCCTGGTTAAGAAAGAAAGGGTAGGCTTTCTGGAGGAAGTGACACAAGTTGAAATCGAAGGATGAAGAGAAGTTAACTAGGGAACCAAATAGGTGGGGAGCATGACTAGTAAGAGGAACAAAGTCCAATGTGGTTGGAACAGAGAAAATAAGGGGACATATAGCAGAGGCTGGACAGATCAGCAAGGGTCAGGCTATCTCTGGCCTTGTGGACTGTGTTAAAAAGTTTTGTCATTATCCTAAGGGCAAGTAATGCCAGAAATGGTTTTAAGTTGAGAAGTGCCCTGATTATATGTGTGTTTTGAAAAAAACCCAATATGGCTGTTGTATGAACAAGTGATTGGAAAGAGATAAAAGTGGATGAAGGGTAGACAGGAGGATACTGCAGTAAGCCAGGAGCAAGGTGATGGAAGCTTGGATTGGCATGGTAGCTGTCAAGATGGAGAGAAGTAAAACTATTCAAAAGATATTTAGAAGGCACATGGGCACTAACAGTAGCTATAAAATATGTTCCATCTTTATTTCTAAACAGAACAAATAGACTAATGCATTTACATCCGATTCAGGAGTATGCACGTTCTTAACCTTGGCTATTAGTCTTGAGTAGCACATTTCTTCCTAGGGAAAAAGTTATGTGACCAGATTGTACCTTAATTGTGGGTGGGATATTCAGAAGCTGCTAAGTATGAATGTGCTCAAGAAGAGAACTGAGAATTGCCTTCAAGTTGCAAAAGAGAGGGGGACAAGGCTATGGAACCACCAATGAAGTATTAACACCCAAAAGGCATTTAAAGAAAGAGAAAATAGACAAGTGTACAAACAGAAGGGCAAGCAAGAGGCTGCTATCTGTGTGGGACAAGTTTAAATAGGACTATTCAGATAAACCAAAGCTAGGACAATGCTTCTCAAGACCTACAGAGATTTCTGGAAAATGAGCCATCAAGACATTTGAATGAAGACTACAGACTCCTCAGGAAGTGAGAAGCTCTTGAGGAAAGATGTCCTTACACATTCAGGTGAGTGCTTAAAACAAAGCAGCATATACTTCACTGAGGAGTACTGCCATATTTCTGATCCCCATGCTGGGGGAGTTGGTGAGGGAACAGTAGGGCCATTATGTTGCAGGGGCAATTGTATTCCCAGGTGAGAGGGGATAAAAGAGCAAACACTAAGGCTGTCTCCAGAGGTGCTTGGCTAACAGTGAGAAGATAAAGCTGCTTTGATTTCCCCTGGGGAACTAGATTCTACCAAGGGCTACTCCTGCTGCTCAAGGCAAAGAGCTGGGTCACCACTCAAAGGAAAAATACTGAGGGTCAGTCCAGGATGGGGACAATGGCAGGGCAGATCACAGCATTTCCAGCACGTATGAAAACAACTGTTTAGGCTGCTTTCATACTGCTGTATAAAACCCCCCCAAGACTGGGTAATTTATAAAGGATCTTGTTTGACAGTTCTGCGTGGCTGGGGAGGCCTCAGGAAACTTAAAATCATGGCAGAAAGTGAAGCAGGCACGTTTTACGTGGCAGCAGGCGAGACAGGGTTTGTGTAGGACGCAAAGGGGGAAGAGCCCCTCATAAAGCCATCAGATCTCATGAGAACTCTCACAAGAACAGCATGGGGGAAACTGCCCCCATGATCCAGTCACCTCCCACCGAGTCCCTCCCTCAACCTGGGGACGGGGATTATGAGGATTACAATTACAGATGAGATTTGGGTGGAGAAACAGCCAAACCATACCAACAATTTTGTCAACCAGACCCCAGTGGCACCTGGGACCTTGGGACTGACCAAGCTGGTGCTACAGAAGCTTTTATGGAGAGTGGATATAAAGTTCTGGGGGAAAGCTAAGTTTGGGGGGATGAGTAAACTAAAGTAACGAGAATAATATTGTAGATCTGGGCAAAGTTGGGCTGGCAGCTAGCTCTAGCTGGTTATTTAGCAGACTACCCTGTGGTTTGAGGTAATTTCCCCCAGGAGGGCCAATGGGGACTTTGAAGTATTTATGCCTCTTTAAAAACTTAAGTATCCTTAAAACAGGGAGGGACAATAAATGCAGCAGACACCAAGACATTATGGTCCATAGAAAGGTTAAGCCTGGATGGAAACTAGTAAAGTTGTTAACCAACGACCACACTAGAAATGGAGTCTGAGTCATTGAACTTGACGGGTGGATTCTTGGATCAAGAATTTTGGGGAGGGAAGGCTATGTCCCAAATTCACTGCAACTTCATTATTGTGGCTTGTGAGGGTCTGCAAAAGTGACTGAATCTTTGTCACTGGACCTCTTTCACATTAATGTCCCTGTGGGAAAGACCAAGTCTTTCTTTAGAACTCGTGCAATGTCACTGCCAGGTGCTTGTAATAGTCCATGGCAGGCATCAAGAGTAGAAACTTGGCTAGACACAGTGGCTCACACCTGTAATACCAGCACTTTGGAAGGCTGAGGTGGCCAGAGATCAAGACCAGCCTGACCAACACGCGAAACCCCATCTCTACAAAAAACACAAAAAAATTAGCCAGGTGTGGTGTCGAGTGCTACTCACGAGGCTGAGGCAGGAGAACCACTTGAACCTGAGAGCAGGGGTTGCAGTGAGTTGAGACTGCACTCCAGCCTGGGTGTGAGAGTGAGACTCTTGTCTCCAAAGAGTAGAAACTGTGGTTTTCCCAAGATATTTGGAAAAGTTTGTCTTCTGGGCCAGAAGAAATGGTTTAAAATACACGTTGTGGGTGGGAGAAGCTGTATTTTCTCTATATTCCTGCTTCACTTCTAAAGCCTAACAAAGTTGCATGAAATGGCAGACTTTCAGCTGTTAGCCAGGCACTGCTCAATATGCTCTTGAAACTATTCAATCTATGAAACGACTCTAGCCCTCATTAATAGAATGAAGAGAAAAATGGTATGGGGATATTTTTCCCCTTTTGTTAACTTAGAGAAGTTGCTAGGATCCTAGTCTCTTACCTCTATTTAGGAAATAGTTTATTCAATTTCTAGGACTACAGACTACAGTTCAAAGACACCATTTCCTCTGCCAAGGTCCAAAGCCCATGGAGTTAAGTCAGAACATAGATCAAATTTTTGGCTCTACCATTTGAATAACCATAGGGCTTTGAACAAGGCAATCTCTCTGAAGCTCCTTGAAGCACAGAAATTATTTGCATACGTACGTAATAGAACTGTTGTTTGAGAAACAACAGTCTATGTCAATTAAACGCTGGCCTAACAGGCTGCACACAAAGCCTATAAAACATACTCTCTTCCCTGGGCATGAAGCAACTGATTGACAAGATGGGTTCCTATTTAACAATAGTTTATTCTGTAAGAGGCACTGCTATATGAAGGTGTGAGCAACATGGATTAAGCCTGCAATATCGTCCCATTGAAGACGCCCTCACTAGGGAAATCTTCAATATTAAAGCCTAAGGTCTAGGAAAGAAAACATCAATGAACTCAGGACACACAAAATATTGGAGTCACATTTGTTCATGTACGTTTGAGTTAGTAACCACTAGCAGTACTTGTGTGGAAACTTCTCAATATTCTACAGCACTTAACTATCCAATAAAGTAGTCTCACGTCACACGTCTCTAAATAAAAATTTAAATCTAACTCTTCACACTAGCCACATCTCAAGGCTCAGTAAAGTCACCAGTTGTTATACTGGTCAATGCATCATAAAACACTTCCATCGCCACGAAGTGTTACTGACAGTACTATAGCTTTAACAGCTCACTGTAACATGCGTTGATAACAAGGAATTTTCCCCCTCCCTAACCACCAGATGACTCTTTGGGTGCCTTCTTTACTCTGGGGCCTAGACTTTAATGAGGGTACACCTTGGCCCTTTTAGCTGCCTTCAGTTCTTTGATGAAAACATACCACTCACACATCCTCTTACTGCACTTAATTCTGACATATACAGTCATCCCTCTACTAAACTTATTGGCCAGCCACCCAGCCACCGTTTCTTGAAACCCGTGTCCTTTCCTAATCCTCACCCCTCTTTATCACACAGGGTTTTTTGTTTTGTTTTGCCTTTGGTGAGTAGTTCACAATTTGGGCCAAAAATTGGAATTATGGCAACTTAAAAAACAACGAAGAGTCCCAACCCCAGAGATTTAGTAGGCCTGGAGCACACACCTGGACATCAGAATTTAAAAGCCCATCCCCCTGCTCCCAGGAAATTTTAATGCACATTGACAGTTGAAACCTATTAAACTCCACAAATTTGGTAATGTAATAATCCAAAAGCCACAATTTTCCTAGACTTCTGAAAGTCTTGTAGGAGTTATTTTTGCAAATGCAAATTTGTCAGAGCTTCAGAGCCATGTTTCTCCAAACTTTTATTTCTGAGTGCCACTTGAAAAAAACAATCCAAACATGCTTTCCTCTTCCTATCTGCATTTATCTTGGGTTCTAACTCCTTCCTACTAATCCCTTTGTCATTTGCATTCACCCCCTTACACTGTTCTCCCCTTCCTCTTACTATGCTTTGTAGTTCTACTCACAAAGGGCGTTAACTCCAATGAAGAAGCCCTGCTTTTCAAAATTGAGATTTAACTTGAAAGTTACTAATGCAAACACAAATTCTGCAGTTTTCTACTTTATTTACTTCCTGTCTCCTAACACTTGGAAAGCTTTTGTCTGGTCAGGTATGTCTACGTTCTTTTACTCTGCAGTTCAACTGGCTACATTTTTACTTTATACCAAGTTCTCTCCAAACACTAGAATTCTCCAACAGAGTGCTCCTTCTTAGTGTGAATGAGGTACTCAGACCATAATCCACATATTATATGTAACTCATTTACTGGTCAATCATTTCTACATCATATGTTTACTACTGTCGACTGGTTTTCTGGTCAGGGTACTTTTTCTTGGATGCTTCTAAATTCCTATGAAATGCATTTTTTTGGTCAATGTGATGTGAACTAGGGTCCAGAAACTGAAACTCCATTTGACATCAGTGTAGCTGAATTCCCCTAATAAATAAAAAGGTCAACTGTCAGTAGGAATAAGTATGTTTTCTGGTTTTCCCCTGAAATAAAATTGGTCAGTCAATGCTGACAGGCCAGGCATATGTTCCTGAGCTGATCACATTAAATATACACAATTTCTCTATCCTGCGACTACTTTCAAAAGCACATTGTTTCATCAAGGTTATCTCAAAACACTAGTACTTGCATATAGTGTATCATCTGCTCTACTTCTGTACTTTCTATATTATACACTGGGTTTTGCTTCCCCTAACACTTGAATAAAACATACTGCCAAGTTATAGTAGATTCGTATGTTCACACTTCATGGTTATCTTATGGTTTAAATGATGGTTACGTCTATTGTACTATTACATTCTTCCCAATCCTAATTTGACACCTGTTCATTTCCTTCCAATTTACCACCTTTTTGTTCCCATTTACATTATTTTCCTTTTCTATTACACCCGGTTCCCTCTGAAAAAGAGGATTTAAACCACGTAAGTAATAGGTACTAATCACACAATCTTTGCATGTTGGGGTAATATTAACATCAGAAGTGAAATACAAGAGGAGCCCTCCTTTTGAGAATCCCAAATTTAGCATCCATTCCCACCTGACAGCTTCCAGTTAGCTCATCCCACTGAGACAGCAGCAATTTATTAATTACCCTAGAAGAAGTTTCCCAATTATACGTTATGCAGCACCAGAAAAAAATGTTACTAAGGATTTTTTATCTACCTCCTCTCCTGCTTTCTAACCCTGAAATGAAAACTGCATTCTTGAATGATTGCAGGACATTTTCTTAGATTTCATGGCATATTGAGAAACTTGTGTTCTGAATTTTATCCCAAATTAAAATGTTTTTACTTTTAAATCTTACTTCCACTACTGCAGTGTAATCAGACTATCAATCTGAAATCCCTCAATTATTAAATCAGAAATCACTCAATTATTACCGTCAGATCTAACCCCTTTACCTGCACTGCCATGCCTACTATTCTGAATTTCTATTGAGCCAACTCAATTCTTACTTTGCAGGGCCCAGGGTTAAGTAATGTCACACTGACTATAAGCATATCATCTGATAAATGGCCTTTAAAAACACTAGCCCCTTTCCCAAAAAGCCTGTACTTATCTGCATTAGATCAGATTTTTAAAAGCCTTTTACCATGTGGTATTTCAATCCTGGTCTCTTTACTTTGCTACAGTTTTGGCCTAGGAACCTAAATGTCAAAGTACTCAATGAGTACACCTGTGATTATAGAAAACCTAGAGTACTGTTGTCTTAAACACGAGGAAATTTAAGCCACAGTAGCGTAGCCTAAAACCAAGAGCGTGAAATGACTTCCCCATCAACACAAACTAGACATGTCAGTATTCCAACAACCCTACCATATGTGTGTATAGATTTTCAATCTGTGATCATGCTCTACGGCTATTTGCAAAAGTAACTGCAGCTAATTAAAAGTAATGGCAAAAGCCACAATTACTTTTGCACCAACCTAATATTAAAAAGCGCTCTCCACAGCTTCATTCAATACCTGCTTTCCTAGAATAAAATGTATAGTTGGCCCCCCATGTTCATGGGTTCTGCACATGCAGATTCAGCCAACTACAGATCGAAAATACTAGCAAAGAAAAAAAACTAAAAAAAGTTAACAAAAATATAAATAAAAAAAGTTACAACTATTTACATACCATTTACATTTTATCAGGTATTTTAATGTAGAGATGATTTAAAATATACAGGAGAATATGCATAGGTTACATATAAATACTATGCCATTTTATGTAAGGGACTTGAACATCTGCAGATTGTGGTGTTCACAGCTAAACAGACTGCTCTGTGCAGGGAGAGGCCCTACAGTGAAGGGAAAAGTAGACACTTGATTGTGGACTAATTTGTTCAGTATTTCCCAAAAACTTACAGCTAACAATAATATTAAACAGGTTTTATTAGCATCTTATACATCTGACACTCTCTCCTAAGCATCCAGTTTATTTTCTAGTCACGGGTTACTTACTAAAAGTCTGTGTAACATGAGCTCACATCAGATTAGAAAACATCAAGTGGGTAGTATTTTTGACTGAATTAACATACAAAAGAAATTGCCTATATCATGTATATGGGCTCCAAGGGTAGTTCATACTTCAGCCTCTTCATTCTTTTCTGCTTTTGTCACCTGTTACAGAAAATGATCTATAAAATCCTCATAAATAAGACATGAGTTTTGCCTGTAATGAGTAGGATGAAAAAAGGCCAGTGCCGCATGCTATGAAACAATAGCAACTTTACAGGGGAATCCAAGGTTTGTGTGCACAAAAATTATAAGCGGCATTTTCTGCTATGCTGGAA
The DNA here is from genome assembly GCF_000001405.40 of Homo sapiens. NCBI lineage: Eukaryota > Metazoa > Chordata > Mammalia > Primates > Hominidae > Homo > Homo sapiens. Next base: position 21,209,803 of record NC_000014.9, read on the forward strand.
AAACTGAAGTATAAAACACAAATGAACTAAGCCTTTCAAGGATGAGGTATCACCAACACTGGTAGCTGTTTAATATATTCATCTTACAACTGGATGCTAAAAATGCAATCACTGTAATTAATAAAGTTGAGGAAAACACAAAGATTAGCTAACAGGGGTAAAAGATCATTTAGAGTAAAATAAATGTGTAACATTCTCTATGTTCTCAATCACCTGGGAAGGCAGTCTATGGAATATCAGGAAGTAAGAGTTTTCTTGTTTTCAGGAACATGGAGGTATATACACTTCAGAATTCAGAAGGTAACTGGGGCTATAAATAGTAATTAAAAGAACAAAATAGAAGCAGGGGGGTTCCATTATGCAGCTGTCGCCATTTTCCTGAAATCTTGATGTTTTTGAGCCTCTCCTATTTAAGGACAAAACCATTTAGCACAAAACACAAACCTCAGAAAGGGTGCCAGCTGGACCACAAAGCACTGATGAAAAGGCAGAGAGGATATACTTCCCAAACTTTCATTAGGATGTAAAAGCCATTTTGAAAAAGTCTCCACTCTATGTCAAGTTGACTCCTCAATGCAACATGCATCTCAATGAAATATAATTTGAGTAGTGTTGTGTTGGTATGCATCATGATTATGACTCCAAGAAAAATATATCTAGTGCATTCTAGAGGTTTTGTGGAGGACGCTGTAAAACAAAGTTTGAAGTAAACAATAATAAAATACAAAAATAAAAAACCAGGGTTTTTTTTTTCTCCAAATTCCTGGTTTAATAAGGACTTGTTTATTTTGAGGAAAAAAGGTCCCAAACATCAGGCTGTTCACAAAAATAACCCACAGTATCAACTTTAGAAAACAAATCTTAAGACTATAACACTAATTATTTTTCTAGAGGATGCATTTGACATGCCAACTCTCATTCACAAAAATACATTGTTACATTTGTGTTGAACTGCCCCACACAGCACACTAATGTGAGGGTGTAACACACATACTTCTAACTCAAAGCTGCTTTCAAGAGCTACTCAACTAAATGAGATTGCCTTTGCAGTTAGGGAAGCAACTACTGAACTTATGTATGAATGAAAAGAACTGTACTCCCTGCATAACAAGAGATTATTTTGGAGACAGTTGATAAAAACCATACATCCTTTTTATTGTTAAGTCATAAAGAGGTATCAAAATTAAAAGCAAAAATTACAGGGTAAGACTTAACAAAACTACTAGGAGCGTCAAAGGAAGTGAAAATGGGACTAGGCGCGGGGCAATATGAATTAATGAACATGGGAAGGACAAGGATGGGGAGAACAGTGAGCATGTGCTGAAGATACTAGGGGAGAGGATCTGGTGAAAAATTTGATCTTAGACAAGCGCCTAGGTAAAGAAATAATGGGATAAGATTTCTAAACCCCACTATGTGCTTAAGAGTCATCCTCGCCATTGGCGCTGTCTCTGTCATCCTCTCCTTCCTCAGCCTCTTTTTCATCATCCTTGATCAACTCCAGCTGTGAGAAACAGACACAAACAGGATGGAGTTAGAGGCACTCCATGTGTCCCTGAGCCCCCCTCCACCACCTTTTTCTTTCCTTTCCCGTGGTTTTCACCTGGTCATCCCCCCGATCTTCATTATCATCATCATCCAGTAGGTCCCCCTCCTCAGCAGAGTCATCTGCACCCCCCTCAGACTCCATCTTCACATTAGTCTCATCTTTCTTCACGGAGCTGCTGCTCTGCTCCTCTTCTGACTTATCATTCTTCATCTCTACTGCGGATGAGAAGGACAAGTCTGTCTAGGGGCAGTAATGTCCACAGGACGTAGACAATCCCCACTAAGGATCACAGAACTGCAGCACAAATCTAAATCCTCCCACACAAATACCCTTCCCAATTCACACTCCCCAAGTTTCATATTACATTGCTTTATATTCCACTATTCCAACATGTACTTTCAAGTGCCTTATGTAACTAACCCAACTGTATACCAAGGGCAAGCAGAAAACCCATTTACCTGCTTGTTTGCTCTGTTCCTTTTCAATTTTTTCCAGGTTTTCCAGGAGAGAATCCACTTTTTGTTTTATCTGGGTCAGCTCCTTCTTAATGGCCTGAAGGTCATCTCCTTTCACTTTAATATAAACAAAATACTAGATTAAAATCAAATGTACCGAAGATATGAGTTAGCAAATACACTGCCACCAGACTACATCAGGAGCTCACAGGAGATACCCAGGGAGAAACAGAGCCAGTACAGATTTCTCGGTAATAAAGGCCCTTGGTTCTATTATAAAGCACGTTCTGTAATGGTTTTTATTGTTTTTAATGTCTTTTAGATCAGGGCTGTCGCTATGTTGACCAGGCCTGAGGACAGTGACTATTCACACGTATGATCACAGTGAACTTAAACTCCTGGCCTCATGAAATCCTCCCACTACAGCCTAGATCCCCAGGGTCTTAGCCTCCCCCTAAGCATCTGGGGCTACAGGCACGCACCACTGCATCAGACCTTCTGTAATGTTTTACTGCCTTCCATATTTCCAGTTACAGGAGGAGTTCAATATAGAAAAGTTAAAAAAAATCAACATACTGAACACTGTCTGAATTTTAGTTTTTAAATAACACAAAAAAATCTCAGGAACTTAACGCACACCTCAACTACATAAAGTCAAATGACATTTTTTAAATTACCTAGCTGTTGCAGTCTAGAATTGGCCACTCAATCACAATCTTGTCTCCTCTGTTATTTTGGATTTTTTTTTTTTTCTTGAGATGGAGTTTTGCTCGTCACCCAGGCTGGAGTGCAATGGCATGATCTCGGCTCACTGCAACCTCCGCCTCCTGGGTAAAAGCGATTCTCCTGCCTCAGCCTCCCAATTAGCTGGGATTACATGCACGCACCACCATCCCCGGCAAATTTTTTGTATTTTCGGTAGAGATGGGGTTCCTCCATGTTGGACAGGCTGGTCTTGAACTCCTGACCTCAGCTGATCCACCCGCTGGGCCTCCCAAAGTGCTGGGATTACAGGCATGAGCCACCACACACCCAGCCTCTTCCATTATTTTGAATACACAAAGTCATGTGGCACAAAAATATTGTAACTGCATTAGCTTCCCTATCTCAAAACACAAGAGATACCAAAATCACAAAATGAAATAATACATACACTTTCCAGACTTGGAAGATCCCCGCTGTCCACTCTTAGAATTGAAGCCACTTTTGCCCCTTCGTGAAGTGTTTCCTGATACACGCTGACGTTTCGAGGGCACTACAGCCCGAGCAATAGGAGGAGGAGGAGGTACACGTGCTGGGTAACTGTACATCCTATTGGATAAGAGGAAAATGGAATTCATTCAAACCTAACATTAACTCAGCACAATTCAACAGACCTTATGATAAATAGTAAGTGAATATTGTCTCTAGTCGTTTCCTTTTATTAAATTTCATTAAGAAGGCCAGCAAAAACCTCCACAGTGGGGTTTAGAAATCTTATCCCATTATTTCTTTACCTAGGCACATAAAATAGTTGTAATACTGTAGCAACTTTTCCTCAGGAAAATAAAACATATATCAAATTATATGGTTGGCTGGCCTTTGGCACTGGATATAAATGATTCCTCTGTACTAGTGTCAGTATTAACAGGGCATTTATTATAATGAATAGCCTTTGGATCTTATTATTTTCAAATATACATTACAATAAACAATTCACATACGGTCAAATACTCTTTAAAATGTTCCAATTAAAAGGGTATATAAACAGTGGTATATGGCATTAGCGAAATCTCTGATTCTTTTCACCCACAGAAGCACACGAATTATTACAACTAGTGATATAAGGTTGAACCATATAAAATTTCAGATCTATAAAATCAGGGCAATTTCATGTAACTGAGGGAATCATAGCAAAATGTGTTGGCTGGGTATAAATACTACTGATAAAAAATACCTCATATAAAAACAGGTAGTATCATTTCTAACTAAATTTACGCTTAATTCCAACAGGGCAGAGACCACTGTCTATCTTGTTCACTACTCACCTATGTCTAAATTCACTGGCCAGTACACACTTAGCACTCAATAAACACTGGTTGCTCAACTAATTGCTGTTTCTATTAGAAATCTTAATTTCAAATGTCTTAAACTTAGTATCCCAGTGATTGATAAAGATACACCAAAGCAGTGGCTTGGTACACTTACATTTGTAAAGAGAAAATTCAAAACAGAACAAAATACTTCTTACATGGACATCAGTTCTAAACTTTCTACATTCCACATTGTCATTTCCATATAAGAACCTATGGCAACGTATGAAAAGGTCTTCAATTCTGCAAGCTTTTTAAAAATGCAACTAACTTAATGCAAAGGCCCAGGTACTCTATAAAAATACACCTACCAACTGTTCTAACTCCAAATATTTCTTAAAAAACAAATGTGATAGTCAAGAACTTTAAAAATATTATTAATCACCTTTGTCATGATTCTCCCTCTTATATATATACAATAGTGGCAAGTTATTCTGAGTTGTAATATCTCCAATCTTCCTGTAGTGAAAACATTTACAAGATCTCATTGCTAATTCTCTCCTCTGTTAACTTAAAAGTGTTTCCACACTATTTCAACAAAGCAATGTTTAATCTTGTCCCAGGAGTGGCTATGGACAGGAACATTTTCCTAAATTAAAAGAGCAAGGAAAGCTGAGATGGAAAGACAGGTTGAGCCCAGGAGGTGAGAGAACCATGACTGCACCACTGCACTCATGCGGAACAGAGCAACACTGTCTCAAAAAAAAAGAAAACAGAAAAAAGTTTGCATTTCCCCTAAGTATGGTTAATCTCTTAGTTTAATCCATTCATGGGAATTAATGCAAAGAAAAAGATACTGAGTAACTTTTTATTATCACTACTTTCCCATTTTGACATAAAGCTTTTGGTCTTTTTGACCAAAATCTTGCAAAGTATAATGATACAGAAACTATAAAATATCAGTGTTCAGAAACTCATATCCTTTGTGAGAGATGGTAACACTTGCACAAACACAAATTGCTTAACGACAATTTCTGGAGGTGAATCAAAATAAGTTATCCATATCCATGAGCATTAAACTGAGCTTAAGCCTCAGTCCAATGGAAATAAATATCTAATCTACCTCCTAAGCCACAAACCTTCACCGGCACCCGTATCTAAACCAATGAGCTAGCTAGCTAGTTCTGTACTATCACTGGAATTTCTTTTTAAAACCTACTATTTCGTCTGACCACAGCCAAAATAAAGCAAGTAATACAGTTTTGTTTTGAATCTATGTAACAGTCTCATGAACACAATTAGGAGTCAAATTCTCTACTTTTCTGAAGAAAAATATTTCAAAATATTTCAGCCAGTTAAGGCTTTTAGTTACACAGAATGCTGCTCAGGCAGAAATGGACTCTCATTCACATCTGAGGAAGTAGTCCTTGCCTCGAAAAATGTTGAGGACGGTAAGTGTGAAAATAGAAAAAAAACATACATAGTGTGACAACCTTTAAGTTAAAAGGGATATATATTAAGAAGCTCAGTATGACTACTTCAAGCACCAGCTAAAAATTAAGCGGAAATTCTCACTATGAGAAAGCTATACAATAGATGAGGCAACAATAGCTGATTACTTACTGATTAAGGCTAGGCTGTTTAAAATCTTTTACCAGGGGAACAAGGACTAAACCCTAGGAGAATTGTAACTGCACCCATAATCAAACTTGATGGTGTTGGTATAAAATCTAGTCAGATTAAGAAATTAAAACACTCTAGAGACATTAATCACCTGAACAGATTAAGACAAAATACACCAGCCAGGTGTGGAGGCTCATGCCTGTAATCCCAACATTTTGGGAGGCGGAGGCAGGTGGATCATGAGGTTACGAGTTGAGACCAGCCTGACCAACATGGGGAAACCCCGTGTATACTAAAAATACAAAAATTAGCCGGGCATGGTGGCACACGCCTGTAATTCCAGCTACTCAGGAGGGCTGAGGCAGAAGAATTGCTTGAATCTGGAAGGCAGAGGTTGCAGTGAGCTGAGATCATTCCACTGTACTCCAGCCTCAGTGACAGAGCAAGACTCCGTCTTAAAAAAAAAAAAAAGAAAGGAAGAAAGAAAGAAAAGGAAAAGAAAAAGAAAAAAAAAACAACAAAACACACCAGCTGGATGCAGTGGCACACCTGTAATCCCAGCTACGCAGGAGGCTGAGGCACGAGAGTTGCTTGAACCCAGGAAGGAAGTGGGGGTTGCAGACAGCCATTGCACTCCAGCCTGGGCGACAGAGTAAAAACTTTTGTCTCCTCCACCACCAAAAAAAAAAAAAAAAAAAAAGACAAAGAATGTCTACCCCAATTCCAAAGTAAAAGCATTACAAGACATGTACTAAGAAGAGGTTTTCAAAGGGAAGCTTCTTAAATGGAAATTCTGACCATAAGACATTAGCTGCAAACAGTGACATTTCCTGGGTCTCAAAAAACCTAGTAATACATGTCAACACTACACCAGAGTAGACGTTAATCTATTAATAATAAAGCTATCATTTGGTACATGGACCATTTAATGGACCACAGCTGATTCTCATCTTAAAAATGTGAACAGATTGAAATAATCTGTTTTGCCGGACAGGGTGGCTCACACCTGTAATCCCAGCACTTTGGGAGGCTAAGGCGAGCGGCTCATTTGAGGCCAGGACATGGAGACGGGCCTGACCAACATGGTGAAACCCAGTGTCTACTAAAAATAGAAAAAATTATCCAGGTGTGGTGGCACATTCCTATAATCTCAGGTACTCCGGGGGCTGAGGGACAACAATCGCTTGAACCTAACAGGCGGAGTTCATAATGAGTCAAGATCCCACCACTGCACTCCGGCATGGATCACAGAGTAAGACTCCGTCACAAAACAAAAATTAAGAGAACCAAAGGAGCAGTTTTTTCCATTCTATCTCCAGTAAATACTAGTTAAATGAACTACCAACTGATGACAGACATCTGCCTCAAACTTAACTATGTAGATAAAAAAACTGATATAAAAAAGTTTAACACAGGTTTACATTAAAATTTAAATAACAATATGTCAAATTGTGACCGAAAACAATAAATCCGTTAAACTAGCTAGCTAGCTAGTTCCGTACTATCACTGGAATTTCCTTTTAAAACCTACTATTTCATCTGACCATAGCCAAAATGAAGCAAGTAATAGTTCTGTTTTGAATCTATGTTAACAGTCCCATGAACACAATTAGGAGTCAAATTCTCTACTTTTCTGAAGAAAAATATTTCAAAATATTTCAGCCGGTGGGGCTTTTAGTTACAAAGAATGCTGCTCAGGCAGAAATGGACTCTCATTCACATCTGAGGAAGTAGTCCTTGCCTCAAAATGTTCGTAACATAGTTGGAATTCTTGATTTTGTGCTTAAAAATAAATCAACCAGCAAAATTTTTGTAGCTTGTGTTTTATTTCTAAACTGAAATCAATGATTTCTAATGTTATTTGCAAGTACTTCACCACAAACATGCTGTCTTAGTCTAGCATCAGTTTACCCGGATACTATCAACTGCAAGCACCACTCATTTAAAATATAAAACGACTAAATGGTAAACCAGTATGCTCATTTGCTCACCACTGGAGCTATACAAGGTATTCACCACATGGGGAAACTCTAACATAATTTTTAAAGAAAATATAATTCTGGTAATTAAGGGGGAAAAAATGGAAATAGATTATTACCACATTGTTGGGTTAGCCTTGTCCAAAGATCACTGATATGGGTTGGGGAACACCATAAACATACCTACTACCAAAGAATAGGTAGCAATAGCTCCTATACTGAGCCAATGGCATCAATCAATAATTGGTTCTGTAATATTCTATCAGAAAGAATTACAAATATTAGTATTTAGGGATATTTTTGTAAATTCTAAGCCATTTGATTGAAAATGGCTCCACGAAGAAAAAATACATTAAATGTACATACTTATTTTAAGAGGAATAAAATTTGACATCTTAATGAAATGTTGCATATTAAGGGAAAAAGTGGTGTGTCTTGATGGTTTCATTAGGAAACTATCTTAACACAAAACCAGACATTTCATGGGAAGACAATTTGAAAATGCACCTGAAAACTTTCTCAGTCAAAAAGAATCTAGTCTGTAACAGGCAGGTTGCTTGAGTCCTAGATCAATCATCAATTCTGAAACTTGACTGGATTCAAGACTGTTTTAAGAAAGGGAAAAAAAAAATCCCTGGCTTTTCTTGTTTATATGCCTCAGTCTCCCAAGTAGCGTGGATTACAGGTACACGATACCAAGCCAAGCTAGTTTTTGTAATTTTAGTAGAGATGGGATTTCACCATGTTAGCCAGGCTGGTCATGAGCTCCTGGACCTCAAGTGATCCACCAGCCTCACCCTCCCAAAGTGCTGCAATTACAGGCATGAGCCACCGTGTGCAGCCACAAATAACTTTAACATTACTCATTTGTCATGGTATTCAACAATACACATACTCCCATATGTCAGTGTTGATCTTTACCAAAGATAAAATTTTAAACTGACAATGTGGTGCAATTTTATTTTTTAAAAAACTAAAATTGAGGCTGGGCATGGTAGCCCATGCCTGTAATCCCAGCACTTCCGGAGGCCGAGGCAGGTGGATTGCCTGAGATCATGAGTTAAGAGACTAGCCTGGCCAACATGGTGAAACCCGGTTTCTACTAAAATACAAAAAAATCAGCAGGGTGTGGTGGCATGCACCTGTAGTCCCAGCTACTCAGGAGGCTGAGGCACTGCTTGAACCTGGGAAGCAGAGGTTACAGTAAGCCAAGATCGCACCACTGCATTCCAGCCTGGGAGACAAAGCGAAACTCTCTCTCAAAAAAAAAAAAAAAAAAAAAAAAAAACTGAAATTGAGTCACATGCAGTGGCTCTCATGTGTAATCCCAGCACTTTGGAAGGCCAAGGCAGGCAGATCGCTTGAGCCCAAGAGTTCAAGACCAGCCTGTGAGACAAAGAAAAAAAAATTGCTGGGAGCAGTGGCTCATGCCTGTAATCCCAGCACTATGGGAGGCCGAGGAGGGCAGATCATGAGATCAGGAGTTCAAGAATAGCCTGGCTAATATGATGAAACCCCATCTCTACTAAAAATACAAATATTAGCTGGGCATGGTGGCACATGCTTGTAGTCCCAGCTACTTGGGAGGCTAAGGCAGGAGAATCGCTTGAACCCAGGAAGCAGAGGTTGCAGTAAGCCAAGACCGCACCACTGCACTCCAGACTGGGAACAGAGCGAGACTCTTTCTCAAAAAAAAAAAAAAAAGAAGAAAAAGAAAGGGGAAAAAAAATTACATATTTTTAAAATTCTCATTTTATCAACATAGAAGAGTAAGAAGTTCTTTCACTTACAATAAAATTCCTTTTAAGGAACAGATATGATTGCTAGGCAACAGAGTGAAGGTGCATTTCAGAGAACTGGGAACTATTTCTATCTTGGTTATAGTTATGGTTATATGACTATGCATTTTGTAAATCAAATCTGATGTAGGAATTATACACCAAAAGGGTGAATTTTATTGTGTGTTTTCTATGCTGACTCCAATTTCTATCTTTCCATTCACTTGAAATCTGTGTAAGATTTCTGCCTTTAACAGTACCTACCTTTGTCAAAGGTCACCAATGACACCGCTAATTCAAAAAGACGTTTTCTAAATTCTCATACTACTTCAACTATTAGTGACATGAAAGACCTTGTTTGCCTTTCTACTCTTTTGACATATATTCATACAGTTTCCAAGATACTTCATGCTTCTCCATTTTTTTCATTTTGGCATTTTCAATCTCCTTTGCTCATTTCTTCCTTACCGCCACATTCTTTAAAGGTCACAGTACCCCCAGAATCTCTCTTCTGTTTCCAATCATCCAGTATTGCGGTTTTATAAACTCTAAGCAGATGACTCCCTTAGAACCATATAAACAACTGCTTACTTAATATCTCTCCAAACGGATCAACTTTAACATGTCCACAACTGATTTATGATATCTGCTCCTCACCTTAGCTCCTCCCAATCACTGTCACTGTAAATTCCATAATTCCAGTTGTCCAGACAAAAACGCTGGCCACATCTGATTCCTCTCTCAAGCCTCACAACATAAGCAAATTTCTCAGCAACACCTTTAAGATCCATCTGCTTTTCATCACTCCCATTGCCATTTCTCTGGTCCCACCAAAAATCACTGCTTCTCTGAACAGCCACCCATTATCTTTCTCAGTAAGAGTGATCTTGTTAAAATATGAGTAAGACCCTCCCATTCTCTTCACAAAGCCCTCTAATAGCTTCCCATCTCATTCAAAGTAAAAGCTAAAGACATTATGCCTTATGCGTCACGTGATGTCTTTAACCCAACCCCTTTTCTCTGAGGCCATCTATTTCTGGTTTTTTTTTTTTTTTGGAGACAGAGTTTTGCTCTTGTTGTCCAAGCTGCAGTGCAATGGGCACAATCTCAGCTCACTGTAACCTCCACCTCCTGCATTCAAGTGATTCTCCTGCCTCAGCCTTGTACTACAGGCGCCCACCACCACGCCCAGCTAATTTTTTGTATTTTTGGTAGAAATGGGATTTCACCATGTTAGCCAGGCTGGTCTTGAACTCCTGACCCCAGGTGATCCGCTCGCCTCGGCCTCCCAAAGTGCTGGGATTACAGGCGTCAGCCACCACTCTCGGCCTCTATTTCTTATTATAGTATTCCTGCTATATACAATGCCTCACAGCAGGATCATAACAAATATTTGTTGAGTAAATAAATGAAGTTCCCAACTGACTTCTAGGAAATAATAATCCATAAATCACACAATCAACAACGTGTAACAAACCGAACCCTATCTATGTAATAGCTGAAAAGCCAGGATTGGTGTTTTGATTTTCTGGCTTAATAAAGATCAAAGCAGGGGACTTCCCAATGAAAATCGAATAAAAGTTGAATATCATACTTTACCAAAAAATTCTATCTGTTTTCAAGGTATTTATTTAAAAAAAAAAAAATCAGCTATTGGCCAGGCCCAGTGGCTAATACCAGCAGTTTGACACCAGCCTGGGCAACATGGTGAAACCCCGTCTCTACTAAAATACACAAAAAAAGTCAGGTATGGTGGCGCGCCGGTATTCCCAGGAACTCACAAGAGGCTAAGGCAGGAGGATCCCTTGAAACCGGGAGGCAAAAGGTGCAGTGAGCTGAGATCGTGCCACTGCACTCCTGCCTCAGCAATAGAGCAAGATCCTGTCTCAAAAAAACAAAAAACATGCAAAAAACACAGCTATTGTGCCTGTGATGAACGTGAATTTGGAGGTGAAATCATATGCCTGCTGTAAGGACATCACAAATACCAGTTTATTTCTACAGATGACTTTCTCCTATTTACTCTTTCAACATTCGCTCTACAACTGCAGTCTGGGTTATTTCCTTCCTGAAGAGTAGGCTTTAGTCATTACATTTCTTATAACTTACACAACTCTAGACTTATTCTACCCAGTAAAACTGATTTTTGCAGCATTCTAGACCTGCACTATCCAATTCTATAGTCACTAGTCACATGTGGCCACTGAACTTAAATGTTCTACTGAACAGCAAGCAATGTTCTAGTTTGTTGCCTCCACAAACTTCCATCTACCGCTTATATGTAATTACCAGAGTCCAGTAATCTATAATTTACTGTCTATTACAAAACCCATAATCCTTAAAAACTCTACAAAACGACTTAGCACAAATGGATAGTTACATATCTCCTATAACTACAGAGCAGGATGGTGGAATTATAAGAAACAGTTAAAATTTTCTAACAGTATCAGATGTTGTACTCAGAGTCTTGTTTCCAGAATATATAACGAATCCTACAACTAATTCTACAACCTAATACAAAAATGGGTAATAATCTGAATACATGTGTGGAAGAGTAAACAAATGGCTGGGCTGGGCACGGTGGCTCATGCCTGTAATCTCAGCACTTTGAGGCCGAGGCAGGCAGATCACGAGGTCAGGAGATCAAGACCATCCTGGCAAACATGGTGAAACCACGTCTCTACTAAAAAATACAAAAATATTAGCCGGGCGTGGTGGCGGGCACCTGTAGTCTCAGCTACTCGGTAGGCTGAGGCAGGAGAATGGTGTGAACTCAGGAGACGGGGCTCTTGAGATCACACCACTGCACTCCAGATTGAGTGACAGAGCAAGACTCCGTCTCAAAAAAAAAAAAAAAAAAAAAAAAAAGCTGAAAAACACATGAAAAGACATTCAATATTTTTAAACAAAATGCAATTAAATCCTGACTGAGATACCACCACACTCTCACTAGACTAGAATGGATAAAAGCAAAAGACAGATATGAATGTAAGTGGAGCAACTGGAACCTTCCACATGACTGATGGGAATATAAAAGGGTACAGCCACTTTTAGCTGTTGGTCAGGTTGACCATATAATCACCATACAACCCAGCACTTCTCCTAGGTATATATACTCAAAAGAAATGAAAACACATGACCACACAAAAATTTGCATACCAATCTCCATGGCAGAATTTGTTTTTGTTTTTTTTTCCTGTACGGATTTGCCTATTTTAGGCATTCATATAAATGGAATCGTACAATGTGTGTCTTGTGACTGGCTTTGTCTGCTTAGAATATTTTCATGGTTCATCCGTGTTGTACCATGTATCAGTACTTCTTTCATTTTATGGTTACTACATTTTGTTTATTCTTTAGTCAGTTGATGGACATTTGAGTTTTTCTGGTACATCTTTAAAAATGCTGCTATGGCCGGGCCTAGTGGCTCCCGCCTGTAATCCCAGCACTTTGGGAGGCCGAGGCAGGCAGATCATGAGGTCAGGAGATCAAGACCATCCTGGCAAATACGGTGAAACTGCGTCTCTACTAAAAATAACAAAAAAATTAGCCGGGCCTTGTGGCAGGCGCCTGTAGTCCCAGCTACTGGGGAGGCTGAGGCAGGAGAATGGCGTGAACCAGGGAGGCAGAGCTTGCAGTGAGCCGAGATCACGCCACTGCACTCCAGCCTGGGCGACAGAGGGAGACTCCGTCTCAAAAAAAAACCAAAACAAAAACACCAGCTGGGCGTGATGGCTCACGCCTGTAATCCTAGCACTTTGGGAGGCTGAGGCGGCCAGATCTCGAGGTCAGGTGTTCGAGACTAGCCTGCCCAACACGGTGAAGCCCCATCTCTACTAAAGATACACACACAAAAAAAGAGCCCGGCGTGGTGATGCATGCCTGTAATCCCAGCTACTCCGGAAGCTGAGCCAGAAGAATCACTTGAAACCAGGAGGCAGAGGTTGCACTGAGCCAAGATCTCGCCATTGCAATCCAGCCTGGGAAACAGGGTGAGACTCCATCTCAAAAAGAAAAGCAACACCAAGGAGGCTAACAAAATCTACCTGAAGAATGCCCTCAAGAAGATTCATAAAACACCAGGATACCTTAGTGTTGGGTAAAAATGGAATCAAGACCGCTCAACTCAGTCATACAGCAGATTGATTCAGACCCAAATGCCTCTCCTACAAAGAAATATCTCCCACCTACTAAACGAGTCTAGGACACAATAAGAAACTAATCTAAAAGGAATACTAAGAAATAAATATTTAGCAAAATTTAAGTCCAGCCAGATGCTATAGCTCATGCCTATAATCCCAGCACTTTTGGAGGCCAAGGTGGACACATCACTTGAGCTCAGGAGTTCAAGATGAGCCTGGGCAACATGACAAAACCTAATCTCTACTAAAAACACAAAAATTAGCCAGACATGGTGGCATGTGCCTGTAGTCCCAGCTACTCAGGAGGCTGAGGCAGGAGAATTGCTTGAACCCAGGAGACAGAGGTTGCCGTGAGCAGTGATGCGCCACTGCACTCGAGCCTGGGCAAGAGAGCCACATCAGGTCTCAAAAAACAAAAAACAAACAAAAAAGACTAATAACTGATTTGTTCCAAAAGTGTATACTAATCTATGTCACCATCTAAAATCCTTCTGGCACCTATATGTATGATACACAGGTTCCCAAAAGAAAGATATAATTAACAGTGGAGCTGTGAGCAAATCCAAAACTTCCAAGCCCAGAGTACCCTCTCCACCTAAAATGACACCTCTGAGAGTCATCTGTTAGCTTTTCAAAGTAGCCTAGAAGTCTCCTGCTCTGTGAAACACATGCCTTTCAATGCAGAATGTCCCCAGTTTTCAAACTTCAAATAACCTAAGTATTTTGGCACTCTCTCCCTTCATACATATATATAAACAAACCCATCTCTCAGGTACAGTGTTACTCAAAAACATCTGAAAAATAGAAAAGGAGGTCAAAGTGTCTGCTAATCTAAACTCAGTAAGGTGAAGGTTCTCCTTCAACCCATATTGTTAATCCAAAGCCTCAGGCTTTGTGTGCCCAGAACAAAATTAGGGATATTAACTATTAATAGTTGAAGAAATGATGGTTTGACAGTTCTGTCTTGAATTTCAATGGTTTCATTTCAACTAATTTTCTCTCTCTACCAAGATACATTCCTAGAAAAGTCAGGTAGAATAAAACCAGCAGCAAAATTGCTTGTCTCCTTGAAATTCTGACAGCACAAACTCTGTGAAACCCCCCTTCATGTAACCATTAATGGCATAATCTATCATCTAGTCACGAAGACAAAATCTCAGCTTTTGACTATTATTTTCCTACAAGCACCTACTTTCATACCTTTAGTCCAACCAATCACATCAAGACCAATCTACTTCAGAAATTCTCCCAACCTCCTCTCCATTCCAACATTTACAATGTTTACCATTTAACACATCTTTTTTCCTCTAGCCACAGGCCTGTTTCTAAAATACCATCTATAGGACACAATCCCAGAACATGTAATACAAAGCCCTTTACAACTAACATTCTTTACAATTTACTTTACAGCTGGCTGCTCCTCAAACACATCAAGGCCCCTCACAACTCAATCTTTGTTACATGTGTCATCTTTGACCTGTGAGTTCTTGAAGATTTGTCTATTTCTAATGCACTGACATATTAATATATTTAGCCATGGAGTAATAACAGCACTCTGAAAACCTCTAAGAATTTCATACTCGTTACTTATATACTGTATTACTAGTCATGCACCACATACAAAATGTGCTAAGTTTAAAAAGTCCTCAGAAAGACCATTGAACTAAACCAGTCTTTTTGAACCAGGTTTCTTGCTCACCAAGTCTCCGCTGTCATAATAAAGCCTGTTATCAAACCTGCCATTTATTGGCAGTTTCTATTTCGTGTTGCCCAAAGTTCTCCAAATAAGAATTAAAGAGGCCAGGAACGATGGCTCACATCTGTAATCCCAGCACTTTGGGAGGGCGAGGTGGGCAGATCACCTGAGGTCAGGAGTTTGAGACCAGTCTGGCCAACATGGTGAAACCCCGTCTCTACTAACAATACAAAAAAAAAAAAATTAGCCACGCATGGTGGCAGGCACCTGTAACCCCAGCTAATTGGGAGGCCGATGATGCACAAGAATTACTTGAACCTGGGAGGTGGAGGTTGCAGTGAGCCGAGATCGAGCCACTGCACTCCAGCCTGGGCAATAGAGCAAGACTCTGTCTCAAAAAAAGGAAAAAAAAAAACAGAGAGAGATGAGACGACTCAAGAAAAGAGCTGACAGTAAATCAGTCTCTATGAAGGCTAGCAAGATGTCCCACAATGACTGAGAGTTCTTTTAATTCTAAAAGGTGTCCATCCTCAGGCGTAAGAGTTACCTTTTGAGGCTGGTAGCACCAGACGGGTTTCATCTATGTCTCTAACTGGCAAGTATCCTGATGTAGGTAGGGTCCACGAGATATGACAAAAAAGAATGACTGTCCATAAGACAGTGATGTATCCTTTTTCAATTGTAATGTCGCATCCATTTTCAATCAAAACGTCATTCACATACCATAAAATTCACCATTTAAAAGGGTGCCACTCCGTGGTTTTTATTAGTTCTGCAATATCACCATTATCTAATTTGAGAACAATTTCATGGGTGATCAATTATAAGGGAAAGTGGGGTTCCAATTTATTACAATCTGAAGAAAATATATCTAGTTTATATCTAGATATAGTTTTAGTATGAAAACACTGCAGTATTTGTGGCACAAATCAGAAAACACATATAGATCAAGACTTTTATGAGAATTTTTTAAAGAATTATAAGAATAGTGCCAGGTTGGGCCAGGTGCAGTGGCTCATACCTGTAATCCCAGCACTTTGGGAGGCCAAGGTGGATGGATCATGAAGTCAGGTGAGGAGTTTGAGACCAGTCTGGCCAACATACTGAAACCCCATGTCTACTAAAAATACAAAAAATCAGCTGGGTGTGGTGGTGTGCACCTGTAATCCTAGCTACTCAGGAGGCTGAGGCAGGAGAATCTCGAGAACCTGGGAGGCGGAGGTTGCAGTGAACCGAGATCTGCACCACTGCACTCCAGCCCGGGAGACAGCACGAGACTCGTTTCCAAAAGAAAAAAAAAAAAAAAAAAGAAAGAAAGAATAGTACCAGGGTAGCTGTTGACGAACATCAATTTCATGTATATGCCAGCCTACCTAAGGACTTAAAGATCTATTTTTAGAGTACTTCCCAATCTCGCTTAATTCAACAACTACAGCTTTGAATACTTGTGCATTCCCAACATTGTGATAAAAATTCACTTTTATTACAACACCTTTCGCAAAACAAAACCAGCGCCTTCAAATGAATATTAAAAAGAGGGCCAGGCGTAGTGGTTCACACATGTCATCTCAGCACTTTGCGTGGCCAAGGCAGGGAGATCCCTTGAGCCCAGGCGGGTGGACCACCTGAGGTCAAGAGGTCAAAACCGGCCTGGCCAACGTGGACAAACACTGTCTCTACTGAAAATACAAAAATTAGTTGTGTGTGGTGGTGCACACCTGTAATCCCAGCTACCTGGGAGACTGAAGCAGGAGAGTCGCCTGAACCCAGGAGGCAGAGGTTGCAGTAAGCCAAGACCAACCCACTGCACTCCAGCCTGAGTGCCAGAAAAGACTCCATCTCAAAAAAAAAAAAAAAAAGGGGGGGGGGGGACAGTGATTTTTACTCCGATTTACATATGAAGACCCAGAGCTTTCACTCAGAGCCAATTTCCCATCTTCTTTGATTAAACAATTTAACATAGTCAATGAAGTATCGCTGTTACCATTTAAAATAAAAATCTAAACCTTATGATAATGAATCTTCAGAATGACTTCTTAGAAGATATTAATACCATTTTTCTAAGTTGTTATTCCACCAGGTCATACCCAACCTATTTCCCAGGTCCAAATTGACCTAACATTTTCCAAACCAGCAAAAAACTCCTGTATCTGCCCCTCTCCCCACTAAACAAACACTCCTCCTCCTTTCACCTTCATTAACATCTATCATGTAAGACACACACTCAATTCCTCAATTCTCCAACCCAACTTGAGTAAGTTCCCATCATGTGGACACCTCCTAAAATTCATTTTCCCAACAAAGATCTCAGTACTCTAAAAGTCAGCTCTTTGCCAGCTATTACCTAGTTGCTCCACTAGTTATCAGTAATCATTATCTACTGGCTGACGTTAGAACAATAGAAGACATTACTTTTCACTGACAATAACATGCAGCAATATATCCGACAGTAACTACTAGTATCGGCTGGTGCAAAAATAATTGCGGTTTTGCTTTTTACCGTTCAAAGAAATGTCAAAAACGGAATTACTTTTGCTCAAACCTAATATATTGTTGTCTATTGAAAATCTGAAGAGGCCACCAATTTCTGTGAAGATATTTCTGCAAACGTGATTTCTTTAGATTTCTCTGCAGTATATATCTCATTGTCTCAACTAATGTTTTCCAAATTCCCTGCTCAAATTTTCAAATTTCCCCATTCACAATGTGCCTTGCCAAGAAAAGACTTTTTAATGAGAACTATTTTCAAGAAGACTGTCACTGTATACTGCTAAAACTTGATACACTCATAAAAAACATCAACTAAGAGTCCATGACATCCCTGAAATTATACCAACAAAAGTGTGAGTTTATTAAACTGGTCTGAATTGAGCCATGACAAAGAAATAGGATAATAATACACAGAAACACAACCACGTCCTTAATCTTTTATTAATGATTCTCAACTCTGACTGGACAAAAGAACACATAGAAAGCACTGAAAAATATACTAGTACTTAAGAAAGTCTGCATAAGACCAGTTGTGTAAGAATCCCTATAGGAGAAGCTGGCATGAGTATATTTTAAATGTGGTCAAGCAATTACCATGTGCAGAAAGGGTTAAAGGGCAGATGCTTCAGACAAACTCACTGGGTTTCAGTGCCTTCAAGACACCTGACCAATAATTAACCCATCTATGCCTAATGTTCCATTACTGGAATGCTAAGCTTGTCGGAGTTATTTATATCCTACTGCATTAGGTCATTACCAAGGTCTGATTGCAAAAATTCAAAAAATTGCAATTTCAGGAATAAATGGGCTGAGTTCACTAGTAATGTCCTGATTTATTTTCAACTGGAAGTTCTCCATTGATTTTTATTTTGTTTTATTTTTTGAGAAGGAGTCTCACTCTGTCACCCAGGCTGGAGTGCAGTGGCGCGATCTCAACTCACTGAAACCTCCACCTCCCGGGATCAAGCAATTCTCCTACATCATCCTCCTGAGTAGCTGGGACTACAGGCGCGTGCCACCACGCCCAGCTAATTTTTGTATTTTTTTAGTAGAGACGGGGTTCCACCATATTGCCCAGGCTGGTCTTGAACTCCTGACCTCATGATCCACCTGCCTTGGCCTCACAAAGTGCTGAGATTACAGGTGTGAGCCACCGTGCCCAGCTGATTTTTATTTTTTAAGAATTTCAAAAATTTCAACAAAAATAAAAATGAAGAATTACAGAACTCCTTAGTTTTCAAAATGTTCACACATAACTGTAAAAATCTGAGGAAAGGGCTGGACACAGTGGCTCACACCTGTAATCCCAGCACTTTGGGAGGTCAAGGCGAGTAGATCACCTCAGTTCAGGAGTTCGAGACCAGCCTGGCCAACATGGTGAAACCCAGCCTCTACTAAAAATACAAAAATTAGCCGGGAGTGGTGGTGCATGCCTGTAACCCCAGCTACTTGGGAGGCTGAGGCAGGAGAATTGCTTCAACCAAAGAGGCGTATGTTGCAGTGAGCCAAAATCACGCCACTTCACTCCAGCCTGGTGACGAGAGGAAAATTCCGTATTTAAAAAAAAAAAAAAAAAAAATCAGGCCAGGCGTGGTGGCTCACGCCTGTAATCCCAGCACTTTGGGAGGCCAAGACGGACGGATCATGAGGTCAGGAGATCGAGATCATCCTGGCTAACACGATGAAGCCCCGTCTCTACTAAAAATACAAAAAATTAGCCGGGTGTGGTGGCGGGCGCCTGTAGTCCCAGCTACTCAGGAGGCTGTGCCAGGAGGCGCAGCTTGCAGTGAGCCAAGATTGCGCCACTGCACTCCAGGATGGGCGACAGAGCGAGACTGTCTCAAAAAAAAAAAAAAAAAAATCTGAGGAAACCGCTAATGTCAAATGAAAAAAACATTTTGATGATGCATTAATGATGCTCAACCACACCATTTTATTATGGCATTCAAGGCCCTTTACAATCTGGATTTGAATTCCTTTTCGGGCCTTACTCTTCTGGCCTTCTAATGACTACGTACCATATTCTGTGAGGTTATTTCTCAAACAGAAAGTCTATACTTTCATGTCTGACACTTTCAGTGTATACTTTATGGTATTTAACGGCTGACTTGATTCCTTTACAACTCCCATGCATGACTGATTAACTCAGTTCAAATGTTAAGCATTCCCCAATCAGTAATTTTTATTCCAAAATCAGACTGAATTGTTATATACAGTAATAACATTAAAATACTAATGACTGGAATACTGGCATTATAAGACAAATAGTATATAAAGTAATATGCTTTATATATTGCATGTTTAAAGTCTATTGCATACAATAGTTTGCTCCATATACTTACATATACTGCATGAGTTTGAACGCGACAAGCCAAATAAGTCTTAACATTTCCTTCATGTTAACTGAGACTGATGTTATCAGAATGTCAATGTGGTAACACTCTTAAGCACATCATCCTATTTCCTGTTAAGCATTTGCTATCAACAGTTCTAAATCTGTTACCCAAAGCCACCCATAACCCAGTCCCTAGTCACCACACTCAGCGAATTTTTTTGTATTTTTAGTAGAAACGGGTTTCACCACGTTAGCCAGGGATTATGAAATAATGCATTAAAATCAGTATCACCCTACCTAATAATCTACTTAATGATTTAGAAAAAGGTGTTTTTTTGTTTTGGAGTTAGGGGAGTATGTTTGAAAACATCTTTGATGTTCATCACCACAAACCAGAAGAACGAAATGGTTCTCACTAAATAGCTGTTTAGCAGAAATACAAAACATTTTAACATACCTATCATAATAGTCCCGTTGAAAGTCATAGTCCAAGTCAAAAGAGGAGCTGAAAAATAAATACCGAAAAGGGTTAATTTGGAAATGTTTCTACTAATTCACAATGTCAGGTGAGGGGAGAACCATGCCAAATAAACCACAACAAATAGATCAACAAGATTAGCACTGAATGATCCCCAATCATTCATACAATAAATCACTCAATTCCAATCACCTTAGACCACTGGAAATGTAGCGGTCAAATTGGAAATTCAGGTTAAAATTCGCTAAGATTTCCACATACGACATAGCTAAACTAAACACTGAAAAACAGAATGGTAAACTAAGCATTCTTATACCACACTTCTACCCTCTCTTACTCTCTAGTGTCTTAGAAGCTCAACGATCCTGTATAAGTATTTCAGGTTATGCTATAAATATCAAACTACTCTTTAATATCAATAGCAAAAACCTCAGGGATTTTTAATTCTCTAGAAATTTTCTCTAGGGCAAAAAAGAGACATATTAACACAAAAATAATAAAACCTTATTTATACACAGATAAAACACAGTACACTTAAACCTCCCCACACCCAGAAAACAGAAAGAGAAGATGCCCACTGATGGACACAATGCAGTTATAAATAATAAAGTTCCGGACCTGAGTAGAGGGGACGGAGAAGGGTGTTCTGTTACTGACCCGTACATCTCCGCTGCAGATCGTTTCACACCTGCTTTTCCTCGGTTCACTTTTGGCTCTGCAGCCAGGTTAATATCTGAAAAACAAAAGTAAAAATGTTAATGACAACTTTGTATCCGGGTAAAACAAACTACAAAGTTTATTTTTTTTATTTTTGAGACATAGTTTCGCTTTCTCGCTCAGGCTGGAGTGCAGTGGTGTCACCTTGGCTCACTGAAACCTCTACCTCCCGGTTCAAGCGATTCTCCTGCCTCAGCCTCGAGAGTAACTGTCACTACAGGCGGGCACCACCATGCCCAGCTAATACAAACTACGAAGTTTAGAAAATCACACAGACACATAAATTAGAAAATGTGGAACAAAACAACTCATCTTTCCTTAAGACACTGTCTCACTGTCATACAAGCTGGAGTGCAGTGATGCAATAATGGCTCAATACAGCCTAGACCTCCGAAGCTCAGGTGATCCTCCCACCCAAGTAGCAGGGACCACCACGCCTGGTTAATTTTTCTATTTTTCGTAGGGACGAACTCTTGGGGTCACGTGATCTGCCTTGACCTCCCAAAGTGCTGGAATCACAGGTGTGAGCTATCAAGCTCAGCTTCATCTCTCCTTTTAATATTAAAAAGGCTCACAAATTTTTACAAGGCTAAGGCTTCATCTTCCGTTTCTTTGTAGTCTGTTCTTTACCATTCAAGTGTTCCTGAGACTAACATTAAGTCTGTCTTTGGTACTCTCCACCCTCAGATACCACTTCAACTCAACTCTCCCCATTCAAGGTACTGACTGTTCACTCAGTTACTATTACAAGAGAAAACTATCACTGGTTGCCTTTCCAAGAATGGTTCAGCTCATTCCGAATTATTACAAATATATTAGAATGAAATATATTAAAATATATGCCAATTCACAAATTAACATAGTGAAGTGTGACAACCTCAAATCATCCTCAAAGGCAACTTCAGATTTTCTTTATAAGTAAGGATTAGCTGTTCTACACGTAAAATATCCTGGGTTAACGACTGCTTTCTGAATAATTGATCAATTGCTTAAACAACCTTTACACACACCAAAAAAAATAAAAGAGCAAAGGGAAACAACCCTGGTTTTCAAATACAATTTGTAACACGTATGCCCAGCTACCTACCCTGCCACCCACTGCCTACCAAACAAGAATTTATCTTCTCCTTGTTCTAAAAAGCCCATGTCAAAAAGCCAAAAACTCTCTAAAATTCAGTTTACCTTCCCAGTCATGCTACAGCACTCGAGTCAACAGTAACTCCATTTTCATATATACTGCTTTTATTAAAATGAGCTTCATTTTAATATACAAATGCCCCAAAATATAAATTCCAAATTCCACCTCAAACCATTAACTAGATGAGTGTGGGTATTTTTTTAGACAGAGTCTTGCCCCATTGCCCAGGCTGGAGTGCAATCACGGCTCACTGTAACCTCCACCTCCCGGGTTCAAGCAATTCTCCTGCCTCAGCCTCCTGAGCGGCTGGGATTACCGGTACCCAGAACCACAGCCTGCTAATTTTATTTTTTAATAGAGATGGCTTTTCACGGTGTTAGCCAGGATGGTCTCCATCTCCTGACCTCATGGCCTGCCCAACTCAAGCCTCCCAAAGTGCTGGAATTACAGGCATGAGCCACCGAACCTGGCCAAATGTGGATATCTTAAACTTAATCTTATTTATCTTCCCTTTTTATACAAAAGCAGCTCATCAAATGACCAACTGAAAACTGACTCAGGCCAGGTCCAATGGCTGACGCCTGTAATCCCAGCACTTTGGGAGGCCAAAGCGGGAGGATCACCTGAGGTCAAGAGTTGAAGACCAGCCTGGCCACCATGGTGAAACCTCACCTCTACTAAAAAATACAAAAATTAGCCAGGTGTGGTGGCACATGCCTGTAGTACCAGCTACTCGGGAGGCTGAAACAGGACAATCGCTTGAACCCGGGAGGCTGAGGTTACAATTAGCCAAGACTGCACTACTGCACACAATCCTGGACAACAGAGCTAGACTCTGTCTCAAAAAAAAAAAAAGGACTGAATATATTGTCTATTTGCTGAACACCATTACATGAATAACCTTCAGGTTTTGGTACATTAACCTCATTTACAATTCTGACTTTGAAACCATATAAAGTGTTTCAAAACTAAAGAGAATTAAATTTCTGAAAAAGCAATCCAGTAAGATGTAAAAACAATGAAATAGACCCAAATTATGTATCTGGTTGGTTACATAACATTATCAAAGAATTGTTTCACATAACTCTAACCTACCATGCTTTGAGTCAATATACATAGTAGAATGTATACAAAGAATAAACTAAATCACAAATATAAATTTAAAAATAATCATCTTAACTTTGTAAAAACAAAGGTATGATAATTTTGAAACTGAGGCACAAGGTACACATAAAATGAGAAGTTAAAACAGACATCTAGTACAACTAATAAAATAAACATGTGGACACTGGATTCTGGCTTGAATAAACCAAATCATAGGTAGTAAGTACTCTGAGGTGTCATTACATTTTAAAATACAAGAAAATCTAACACTGAGCCAAACTGCAGTCGGCCCAACGGATGGAGTGAAATCCCAATGGGGAGACAAGCAATCAACACTAGAGGGCTCCTCCAGTCTGCTGTGGGCAGGACACAACCATTTAGGCAACGTTTTTACATTGTGAAGTGTCATTCCCAGCTCCCCCTACTCACGATTGTAGTAGAGTTGTCCTAGCTCTACTACACAAAATGGTACAATGAAGAATATCCTTTACTTAGCCAATTATAACTATAAGCCTAATGTATTTTTATTAGGCTAAACAGTCGCAATATCCAGAATATCTCATGCTGTCAGTTTTACAGACATAAAGACAAAAAAAAAACGTGAATAGAAAAACTCAGGCCTGAATTACATCATCAATGAAAAAATTCACTTACCTAAAACCTGGCCAGCAATCATTCTGCCATCCTCTCCTGCTACAGCAGCCCGGGCATTTCTCTCATTAACATACTGAACGAAGGCAAAGCCCTTATGAACAGAGCAGCCCACAATTTTGCCATACTTCGAAAAGATTGCCTCCACATCAGATTTCTTGACCACAAGAGTGTTGAGATTCCCAATGAATACACGGGAGTTCATGGAGCGAGGATCTGTCTTGTTGGTAACGTTGCTGGCCATCGTGTTTGATGGTAAGGTTTCTCACAAAGCCGAAAACTGTAAAGCAAAAAAAAGTATACAGGTGAACAGATGCTAAAAACAATATTCCTTGATAAAACATTCTCCACTCTCACTCTGAATCACTGTTAACTGCCCAGAGTATTAGGCAACTTAAAGGGACTCACAGCATTAAGTATGTATTTGCTAATAATTTCAGAGACTCCAGCCTCTGAATATACTCTAGAAAGTCAACTTCTTCCTCTTCCATTCTATTTCAGCAGCACTAAACTCTAAATTCTCAGGAAAAAAAAATTCTCCCTGGCAGATCATTGGCAATATAATTTCCTTGGACATAATTCCAAGTGGCCCTCCTCTAAGTACTCAAGCAAATTAGATTTGCCTAAATTCTCTGACACCAGTTTCTGCTGTTTTTCACATTACAGGTCATGCTAACTATTCCCTGCCATCAATAATCTTGATTCACGTTGCTTTTATTGAGTTTCACCGGTTCTGTATATATACACACAGCATAGCAAACGTCAAATTCTGTCCCAAGCCATTCATTAGCTAGATTAATATGGATAGCTTACACTTACCCATTAAGTATAATTTTCTTCAAAAGGCAATAAATAGAATCAATTCATTTACACTGGAAACACCTATTTCCAGATACTTCAATTAATCTGCAGTATGCTTTAGATACATAAGTATCAATACCATCTTTTTACAGACTGCAATGACTCGAAGGCTACTTTTTATATAACCTAAAATATAGGACATTTAATAATATCGGATGGTGATGATGATAAAACTAGCCAGTGGAACACGGCATGAATCAAATTAAAGATTGGGGAATTAAAGAAAAATACACAACTTTCCACGCATTATTTAAAACCAAAAATTATCTGTCTTTATGTATGTGATGGAGGCTCAATCCTACCATAACCATATGCAGATTCACAATACCATCTCAGGTCCCGTAAAGCGAAAATGTTTTATTTCATTCTTTTAGCATTTTGTTTCCTGCCTCTTCCCACTCCAACCCCCAATCTTGAACAAGATTTAAAAACATTCTTAAGATTGATTTCCCCTTCATCCCTTTGAAAGGTACTGATAAATCTCAAAAGATTCCAGTATTTGTTATCCTTCCAATCCTCAAGTGAATCATGACAAACTAGTTCTCACGGATGATGTAAAAAAGTCTAATGTATACATATATGTACATAAAAACAGGTAGTTTAACACCATTTCATATATACATGACTCCTATCATTCTGATGCTTAATACAGTCATTTAACAGGCAGTACTGATTTAAAAGCTCAAACAAAACTTCACTTCCTTCCAAATCTTTCTGAAATTCAAAAGTCTGTCTTTGTTACTTTCTAAAGTATATCTTTACAAAAACTTCTTAATATTTTAACACTAAGCAATAAAAATTAACAAACAGTAGCCACTGAAATCCACCAACAGCCTTTCAGCTATTAAGTATGCCAGAAAGTCTGAGGACACTAAAAAGAGGAATTAAAACAAAAATCTGCATTGAGGCCTAACTGGTTTCAGATACTACTGCTGGTTATTAAGATTTCCCATTATTACAAGTGGAGGTATAATCTGGTTTTAAGCAACTATTTTTCACAAATAGGTTTATCAATAGAAAATATAATCTCCATAGGTTTAATGAGAAGAAATTACCAGGGGTGAGGGGCTCCGTAAGCCAACACAGAATACTGACCATAAGGGAAAAAACCCATCAAACCACAGTCCAATGTTCCAAATGGACATTTGCAGAAAAATACAGATGTGATTGAAAGGGGTACCCTTTGGAATAAGACAGAAATGGATTTAAATGACCATTTTCTCAATTTTCACAAGTCTGAGTACATAGCTAGTATTATTTTCACAAGTCTGAGTACATAGCTAGTACTAATCAAGATGCAAGGAATTCATACCCCACGGCATTTTTCATGTGTATCAGGCCTTAATTCTCTCAAAGATCCACAAAGGAAAAACTCAGTAGAAAAGCATCCAGGCATACAAGGATGCTAGCAATGGTTGTTATGAGTTTAAGGATATGATTTCTCATTTTCTTTATGGTCTGGTTATTAAATTTGCTACAAAAATCATCAACTACTTATTTTTAAAATACAAAAATCCCAACTTCCAAAGTTTGCCTAAAATTAATAAAATACCCATACTTACTATGAGGACTTAAATTCAAGATGGAGGCAACAGTAAAGACAGACGTACTCACAATACGGATTAATTCCACTCTTAGTAACGTGTCCTCCTAAGGAATGAACAGTCACTACAAATTCATTCATTTTGGGGATCAAATATTTACTAACCATGTGCTGAGTACCACATTTCAGGGAAAATCCAGGGCACAAATAGTAACAAAGACTGTCCTGAGAGCTTCCTTAAATTCCAGTGGTATTGCTACTTCAAATTTTATGGAAGAGGTACATTTCCTGAAGTTTTAGAAATAACCAAATGATGTCAAGTCACACTTCATTCTACTTCAAAATTTTAAAGTATCATACAGGTGAAATTTCCATAAAGGGAGGACGATACTGTAACACAAAGAAACTACTGGAAAAGAACTGGGATTCTTGGAAGGGGTCAGCAAGAGCAGAGTAGTTTTTGAATCTCTGACTCCCAAAATAAGACTCAAGATGGCAAAATCACTATCCTACAGACAGCATTTAAATCAAAATTCCAAAATGCAAGGCAGTAAAGGCAAGCCAGCATATATGGTTTCACTGACTGTGGGAGAAATAAAAGGTAAGCAACTTGGAGAATAATAGACTTAGAAATACAAGAATACCAAAATAACCAGCAGTTATTTATTGAAAAGCAACAGGAA
The DNA here is from genome assembly GCF_000001405.40 of Homo sapiens. Classification (NCBI taxonomy): domain Eukaryota; kingdom Metazoa; phylum Chordata; class Mammalia; order Primates; family Hominidae; genus Homo; species Homo sapiens. Next base: position 21,237,037 of record NC_000014.9, read on the forward strand.
CGAAATTTTAGAAAAGCAGTTAAAACTTAGAAGTTTCACCTGCTCCAATAGTGGGTGAGCACAAGGGACTTCAATAAAAATGTGTGAAGGTGCAAGAGCAGTTGCATCCCTGTAAAGTCTCATAAGTAAACAAACCCTATGTGGTTGATTCCACTGCCAATCCCCCTTCCTCTCACCAAAAGGTAACAACCATTATGACTTTACTAGCACTTTCTCACTTTTAAAATAATTCTAATGCCTAAATGTATAACTATAGACATTCTAGTCTTCCCAGAAAAATAAACGTGATGCATTTGAAGCATTTTTGTAGGTAAGTTCCGCTTCTATTGCATTAGGTTAAAATTTATCTGTTTAAGAATCCACAGTATTAACTTGTAGTTTCCCAGTCTGTATTTTCCAGGATTGATACTCTCAGAACAATTCCACATATTCTTCTGTAACTCTTGAAAGCAGCAGCTGGGACCAAGGCTTACTCAGCTTCATCTGCAATATTTTGTCAAGACTACCTCGTCCTACAAGTGGCAATACCTTTTTGTGGTGTTATTGATGCTTAAACAATACCATTTCTCTCTAGGTAGTATGGTGTGGTTTCTCGAGCACCACTTTTAACATGTTACGCAGACTGTTGTTAGAAATCCTAAGAACAGTCCCTCAGTTCTTTCATGTAACAGGTTGCCAGCATCCTTTTATAGTAGTACAATAGTTTAGATAAGTAAAACAAACTCCTTGATCACATTTTTTTTTTAATTTTTTTGAGTTGGAGTTTCACTCGTTGCCAAGGATGGAGTGCAATGGAGCAATCTTGGCTCACTGCAACCTACGCCTCCCTGTTCCAAGTGATTCTCCTGCCTCAGCCTCCCCAGTAGCTGGGATTACAGGCATGCGCCACCAGGCCCGGCTAATTTTGTATTTTTAGCAAAGACCAGGTTTCTCCATGTTGGTCAGGGTGATCTTGAACTTCTGACCTCAGGTGATCCGCCTGCCTCGGCCTCCCAAAGTGCTGGGATTACAGGTGAAAGCCACTGCACTCGGCCCTGATCCCATTTTCTTGCCTTGTTACTCCCTTTACATCTGGAAGGTGTAAAAACCACTTGTAGAATGAATAGGTCTACTTTTGCTTTTTGCCTCATACAGATCTAAATTACTTGGTCATATTCTATATGAATTTTTATAACCGAGTTCTAACAACTAACAACCCAATAGTAATAAATGTCCAGCAATAATAGTCTTTTAAAAATACAACTTCAAGTGATGTGCAAATTATAATTTGAGTCAAAAAAATAGTATCTGAAAACGTACAATACATAGGAGACATAAATGAACTACATAAAAATCATTTAAGAACGGACAGTACAGAAACACATCAAAATATCTTAAAATGTTCTGTGGGTACTCTGCTTGTGATTAATCTTTACAATCATTTTCACAGTTTCTCTGTATTTCCCAAATTCACTACAATGTACATACAAGCTTGGGATTTCTGTAGGAAAAACTCATTTAAGCCAAACAAATATTCCTTAAAACAGAAAATCCATTTGGTAGAAATTTTAAAAGGTTAATCACATTAGTAATAATAGTCCAAGTCTTAATGCACCTGTATATACTCAAATATTTTGAGGTCAATGCCCCTCATCATCATATTTCCCCTCTTCTAGTTGAAGGGGTCTAGAATTTTTCTTTTTTTAATGCAAGCTAACCCAGGGATCCTACTCTATCACCATTTACTAGTATGTAATAGTCGAATAATGCTGTTAGATAATAAAATGGCACTAATTTACATGAACTAGATTTAACATTAAGAAATCTGGGGCTGGGTGCAGTGGCTCACACCTGTAATCCCAGCTCTTTGGGAGACTGAGGCAGGCAGTTCACATCAGGTCAGGAGTTCAAGGCCACTCTGGCCAACATGGTGAAACCCCATCTCTACTAAAAATACAAAAATCAGCCATGCGTGGTGGCCTGCACCTGTAGTCCCAGCTACTCGGGAGGCTGAGACAGGAGAATCGCTTGAACATGGGAGGAGGTTGCAGTGAGCCGAGATCGTGCTAATGCACTCCAGCCTAGGCAACAGAAGGAGACACTGTCTCAAAAACAAACAAACATACAGTTCAAATATTCCAGCCTCCATTATTTGTAAATCAGAAGGTTAAATACTTCAAAAGTGAAGCAGTAGTTTAGTCACATTTCCAGCCAGGCACTTTGGGAGGCCGAGGCAGGTGGATCATGAGGTCAGAACGAGACAGTATCCTAGCTAACATGGTGAAACACCATCTGTACTAAAAATATGAAAATAATTAGCGGGGTATGGTGGCACACACCTGTAGTCCCAGCTATTCGGGAGGCTGAGGCAGGAAAAATGCTTGAACCTTGGAGGCAGAGGTGCAGTCAGCGGAGATAGCGCCACTGCACTCCAGTCTGGGTGACAGAGTGAGATTCTACCTCAAAAAAAAAATGTCCTCAACAAATGAGAACCTTAGGTGCTATTTCTTTCTTAAACTCAACATGTCATGAAAAGCTCTGTCATGAAAAGGATAGACTTTAAAAACCTAAAATTAGGCCAGGCACGGTGGCTCACACCTGTAATCCCAGCACTTTGGGAGGCTGAGGCGAGCAAATCACCTGAGGACAGGAGTTCGAGACCAGCCTGGGCAACATGGTGTAACCCGGTCTCTACTAAAAATACAAAAACTAGCTGGGTGTGGTGGTGGATGCCTGTAATCCCAGCTACTTGGGAGGATGACACAGGAAAATCCCTTGAACCCGTGAGGTGGAGGTTGCAGCGAGCCAAGATCATGCCACTGCACTCCAGCCTTGGCAACCGTGTGAGACTGGGTCTCAAGAGAGAAAAAGGACAAAAAAAGCGGAAAAATAGTGGTTAGCACTCAAATTTCTATTACACACATGGACAAATGCGTTTGTATATTATATACTATAATTTCATTACAGGTTCTTATTCCTGTTTTTAATCAAAGGATCACAAAAGACCTGTTTTACCTAGAAAACAAGTCAAAACCAGGAATACTAAGTTATTTCTAATGCCCAAAAATCTGTGTTTTTGTCTGATATGCTTGTCTGTTTTATCATATGCTCTATCCTGAAGCAATAAAAGCGATACAAGATTTTAATAGTAGTGGGAAGGACAAGAAATTTCCTGAATATAGAAATTTGCCTCTACTCGCACTCTCACCATCCCAGCCACAGCTTAAAAGCAAAAAATAAGTAAAAACTCTATCTAGTTGGGATATAGCCAAACTGTAAATTTTATTTCCAACTGTTCATTGTAAGTGTGAGGTGCTATCATGCCTCTTCACCCTTTTAATGGAGGGAAACCAATCTTGGATTGTCAATCTAGCTAAAATTTTGAAAATATATTTATAAAAATACTTCATTACCATTACATTAACTTTAAATCTCAAGTAATTCAATTCTACTTGGAAAAGGTACGGCAGTTTGCATTATCTGAAGATTTTTTACATAAATAAAGTTCAAGTGGTCCACAAACAGGTTGTGAGAGCCCTGGAATTTGCTGAGAGCTGAGCCAAAATGAATTTGAACATGGAGTCAAGACTTCAGCTTCCTTTTTTATCTGGGCACTGTATGCCAGCTTTGATAGAGTTCAGGTCACAGGAGATAGGTGCCGTTCAACCCAACTGTTTTCAGTATATCTTGGCTTATTTAGTGCAAAAGTATACAAGTTAAACAAAGTACAAGATGTTTCTACTGGGCATTTATTTCAGCAAGCCCTGGCCACCTCTCCACATGGGTTAATCACATTATACTTAAAACACATTATCCAATGGTCCAGGAGAAAAAAATTAAACATGCTGTCACTTTCACTTACCAGACATTATCTCACACTAGAGACAAAGGAAAATATATATTACCTCAGATTTGGAAATTCAAAACCCTGCCTTACAATTTCCTTTATTACTGTATCTTAAAACCTCAACTAGGCCAGGTGCGAAGGCTCACGCCTGTAATCCCAGCACTCTGGGAGGCCGAGGTGGGTAGATCATGAGGTCACGAGTTCAAAACCAGCCTGGCCAACGTGGTGAAACCCTGTCTCTACTAAAGACAAAAATTGGTGGTGGCAGGCGTCTGTAATCCCAGCTACTCGGGGGGCTGAGGCAAAGAACTGCCTGAACCCAGGAGGCGGAGGTTGTAGTAAGCCGAGATTGCACCCCTGCACTCCAGCCTGGGAACAGAGCAAGACTATGTCTCAAAAAAAAAAAAAAAAAAACCACAACCATAACAACAAAAAAACCTAAAGTAGCCCCTGCATTCAATTCAAATTAAATGCCAATTCTATATACTAAATATGCTATATATGTAAAATTTCCCTTCTTTGCAGAATTTCAAAGACAAAAGTGACACTAGATGGCAGCAATGAGTTGTCAATTTTCTAAAAGGTTTACTAAATTTTCTGTATTCCAAAGTTTTCAGTCATTCACAATTTCTTAAGTTTCTGAATACTCTTTGGATACTATAAATTCCTCTGCATACTTGGATGATCTTCATTTGATCTAAGTTGTTGAACACACTTCAAGTCTTATTTTGCCTATTTAGGTCCGGCTACCCTATCCCACATTACTCTCTATCTGGTCACCATTTTTGTACCCTGCTTCCTATGGATCTTATTGCTTTCAACTACTTCCCTCTGGCCTCTTCAGAGGCCAACAATGCCTGGAAAAATATGTGCATTTTAATTTGCTGAACTGCCAAGAATCATTAGCTCATTTAATCAAAAACAGTATCTCAAGGTAAATACTGTGAGAGTAATCTCTGAGAAAACAGTAATACCTGGGGATATTACTAAGACATTTTCAGCCTATGAAGAAACAAAGTTGGCTACTTTTAGAACACATTATGTTAACTGCTATGTTTAAGTATTAGAACTAAGAATACCTAAGACCTTGTACATCATGGTGGGAAAATGAATAATTCAATACATGGTACTACTAGGTAGCCATCTTTTTCAAAAATTGGAACCAACCTCACTCTAAATCCTAATATAAATACAAATCGTGTAAAACTGCACACGCAAAGGTCAAAACCCAAATGAAATAAAACAACTCTCAAAAGGAAGAGTAACAAAATTTAAAAATGGCAGGAAATCCAAACAAATGGATCATAAATATAATCATATATAATAATAATAAGGTGTGGGGCCAGGCAAGGTGGCTCACGCCTGTAATCCCAGCACTTTGGGAGGCCAAGGCAGGAAGATCACGAGGTCAAGAGGTGGAGACCAAACTGGTCAACATAGTGAAACCCCATCTCTACAAAAAATACTAAAAATTAGCTGGGCGTGATGTCAAGCGCCTATAATTCCAGCTACTCTGGAGACTGAGCTAGAAGAATCGCTTGAACCCAAGACGCGGAGGTTGCAGTGAGCCTAGATCGTGCCACTGCACTCCTGTCTGGTCGTCAGTGCAAGACTCCGTCTCAAAAAGATGTTAAGACACATTATTTAAAATTTATTTACATTGGTGAGGACTTAACACCAATTTAACATATGAGAGTACTGTCGATGTATGCTAAAAGCGCCAGGTAAAACTTGGTGAGTGGAGTACAGGATTTGCAAACAGATACTCTATAATTACATAGGGGGAAAATGTATCTTTACAATGAAGACCTGGAGGTCTCAACCTAAACTAAGGGATCATAGTTAGAAAGTTGTAGGACAACCTAACATTGCATGCCTCCTGATGTGACACACTTAAACACGCATTATCACCTACGCATTATTCTCACCAAGCTATCTTTCTAGAATCTATATATGGGGGAAACAATCAGACAATTTCAAGTTTGTGGGCAATCACAATACAACTGGTTTGGACACCTCAAAAAATAAAAACTAGGGGCCTTTTTCTAGATTAAAAAAGCAGTGCCGGCATGGCCAATGTGGTGAAACCCCATCTCTACTAACAATACAAAGATAAGCTGGGTGTGGTGGCACATACCTGTAGTCCCAGCTACTTGGGAGGCTGAGGCAGGAGAATTGCTTGAACCCTAGAAGTGGAGGCTGCAATGAGCGGAGATCAAGCCACCTCACTGTCTCAAAAAGGAGAGGTGGGGGGGTGGGCAGTGTGTGAATTCTGACTGAACACTAGACTGGGCAAAAGAGACATTTTTATCTAGATAATTTTACTATCAATTGTTTAATTACTGAATTGATGTTCATTATTCTTTTGATAATATTTTGGTGGCATGTATTTCCTTTATTCTTAGGAGATGCAGCCACATGGAAGCTCCTAACTTCAGTGCGTATCATGTTTGCTGAAGTATCATGTCAACAAACTTTGAAATCATTCAGGAGAAAAGTGTAGAGGACAAACATGGCAGTTGCTATCCGAAGAGTGGGGCTTACACAGGAATGGTTTATTCTATGTATGTATATATTGTGTTCAAAAGTTTTCTTAAGATGCTATATATAGCAGATTCAAAAATGATATACACCAGATTGCACACTTCACCAAATTTCCAAAGAAAAGATTACATCTTTTTTTCTGTCAAATCTGCTTATGTAACAATGATCATGCAATGAAGTGAAGGAAAAGAAACTGGCATTTCCATTGTTTTAACTAACTAAACCAGTACACGTTTTGTAGGCTCATATGAAAATTCTCAATAAAAGGTATCAAGCAATGGGACGGTAGGTCCCTATATCTGTATTCATTAATCAACTGAGGATATTCAATTTCAAGTACTTCCATGTTTGCTTGGAACTGAATCTTTTATATAAATCTGTGACAAAAGATACTTGACAGCCATTAAACAAAAACATGGTAGAATACTTACTGACTGGAAAACATCTACCACGTAGAGGTTCTAACACTATAATAATTACATATTAGTAAAATATACATATATATATACCTGTAGCTACATAAGACAGAGAACAAAACATAAAAATGTTGATGGTGGTTACCTCTGAGTGCTGATGACATAAGTAAATGAGTAAATACTATTTTTATCTGCATATTTCCTCCAAGTTTTTTTTTTTTTTAAGACGAAGCTTAGCTCTTGTTGCCCAGGCTGGATTGCAGTGTTGCGATCTTCGATCACTGCAACCTCTGCCTTCCGAGTAGCTGGGACTACAGGCGCCCGCCACCACATCCGGATAATTTTTTGTACTTTTAGTAGAGATGGGGTTTCACCATGTTGACCATAGCTGGTCTCCAACTCCTGACCTCAGGTGATCCGCCGACCTCCACGTTCCAAAAGTGCAGGGATTATAGGCGTGAGCCCCCACGCCTGCCCGCAAGTTCTCTCTATAAAGCACTTTTATAATCAAAATTGTTTCCTTTCAATGTATGAGTGATGTAATGCAACAAATAAAAAATTAAGGTCTTAAAACATCTCGATGTAAAAAACTAATTCATGTCATTTAATTTCCCCCGAGGTCCCTCAAAAGATGCTAAAAATTCCATTTAAGGTATCCTTTCTCACTTACCAATGGTGGAGCTTTTGAATTGCCAAAGTCAGAGAACTCACAATCTAATGATATACGATTCTAAATCATAGTTGACTCTTTAATTCTTCCCTTAGCTCTATTCTTGGAATTACATTCATCAGTAAACCAATTAATCACACATTGCTTAATGACAGGGAAATGCATGAGAATTGTATCGTTATGCAATTTTGTCACTGTGTTAATGTCGTAAGAGTGTAGTTACCCAATACCAAGCTAGATAGTGTAGCCTACCACACACCTAGCCTGTATCGTATAGCCTATTGCTCCCAGACTACAAACCTGCATAGCATGCACAGTACTGAACACTATAAGAAGTTCTAACACAGGGCGGGAAAGGTGGTTCACGCCTGTAATCCCAACACGGAGTTTGAGACCAACCAGACCAATATGGTGAAACCCAGTCTCTACTAAAATAACAAAAATTAGCCAGGCGTGGTGGCATGCGCCTGTAGTCCCAGCTACTCAGGAGGCTGAGGCAGGAGAATCGCTTCAATCCCGGAGGCAGACGTAGCACTGAGCCAAGATCACACCACTGCACTCCAGCCTGGGAGACAGAGCGAGACTCCATCTCAAAAAAAAAAAAAAAAAAAAAAGCAAAAGAGAAAACAAGGGCTGAGTCTAAGTTCTAACACAATATTATTTGTGTACTTCAAAAAAGAAAAGGTACAGTAAAAATACAGTATAAAAGATTTCAAAAATGGGCTGGGAGCAGTGGCTCACGCCTGTAATCCCAGTACTTTTGGAGGCCGAGGTGGGTGGATCACTTGAGGTCAGGAGTTCAAGACCAGCCTGACCAACATGGAGAAACCGCGTCTCTACTAAAAATACAAAAATTAGCCAAGCGTGGTGGTGCATGCCTGTAATCCTAGCTACTCGCGAGGCGGAGGCAGGAGAAATCGCTTGAACCCGGGGGGTGGAGGTTGCAGTGGGCTGAGATCGCACCACTGCACTCCAGCCTGGCAACAAAGCGAGACTGTCGCCAAAAAAAATATATATATATTTCAAAAACGGTATACCTATATAAAGCACTTACCATGAATGGAGCTTTTAGGACTGAACGTTGCTTTTGGTGACTGTACTGAGTGAGTGGTGGGTTTGAAGCCCTAAGACATTACCATACACTACTGTGGACTTTATAAACATGGTACACTTAAGGCTACAGTAAGTTTGTAAAACAAATTTTTCTTTTCTTTAATATACTAACCTTATTTAGTTTACTAACATTTTTACTTTGAAAAAACTAAGACATAAACATTAGCCTAAGCCTATAGGTGTTCAGGATCAGCAAGATGTCACTAGGCAACAGAAATTTCTCAGCTCCATTATAATCTCTTTTACTTTTTAGTTTTTTTTGAGGAGTCTCCCTCTGTCACTAAGGCTGGAGTGCAGTGGCGCAGTCTCAGTTCACTACAACCTCCACCTCCCAGGTTCAAGCGATTTTGCCACCTCAGCCTCCTGAGTAGCTGGGAACACAGATGTGCACCACCACGCCTGACTACGGGGTTTGACCATGTTGGCCAGGCTGCTCTCAAATTCCTGACCTGAGGGGATCTGCTTGCCTCGGCCTCCCAAATTGCTGGGATTACAGGCGTGAACCACCACACCTGGCCTGCTCCATTATAATCTTAAGGGGCCATAATATATGTGGTCTGTCATTCACCAAAACATCTATGCAGCACACGGCTCTATATTTTTCTTTGACAAAACATTTCATTCAAACTCTTCCCCATCCTAGCCATCTATGAAAATAAATGATGCCTCAAAGGCTGGGCGCGGTGGCTCATGCCTATAATCCCAGCACTTTGGAAGGCCGAGGCTGGTGGATCACGAGGTTAAGAGATCAAGACCATGCTGGCTAACATGGTGAAACTCCGTCTCTACTAAAAATACAAAAACAAAAAAATTAGCCGGGCGTGTTGGCGGGTACCTGTAGTCCCAGCTACTTGGGAGGCTGAGGCAGGAAAATGGCGTGAACCCGGGAGGCAGAGCTTGCAGTGAGCTGGAGATTGCGCCACTGCACTCCAGCCTGGGAGACAGAGTGAGACTCCGTCTCAAAAAAAAAAAAAAAAGTCGTCTTATAACAAATAAAAGTCTGCCAATTTCCCTTTAACACAGTACTCCAAATTTTGAGTTCCCTTGGAAAAGAAAGGAATAATCTGGATGCTCTCCAGATGCTACTTTTCTGTTTACTTTGGCACTGTCAACACATACAGGAACAATTACAACTGACCTTGAACAATATGGGTTTATACATGGATTTTCTTCAGCCTAAACCACCCAAGACAGTAAGACCAAGCCTTCATCTTCCCCTCAGCCTATTCAATGTGAGGACAATGAAGAAGACATTTGTGATGATTTACTTCTACTTAACAAAGTCAATATATCTTCTGCTCCTTAATAACTTTTTCTTTTCACTAGCTCACTTTCTTGTAAGAATACAGTATATAATGTATAATATACTGAATCTGTGTTAATTAACTTTATCAGTAAGGCTTCTACTCAGCAGGAGCTCATCAGTAAAGTTTTTGGAGAGTTCAAAGTAATATGTGGATTTTTTATTTTTGAGGGGGTGCTGGCAGCTGGTGCCTTAATACCCCTTGTGTTAAGGGTCAACTGTAAATATAAGAATCCTTATTTATCAATGTAATCCTAACCTCTATGTTTTGACAACTCTTGTTGGACTTTTCATTAAGTACAGGGCTTAGCAGTTCGTATTTCATCCTCTTCTACCTAGTTCATAATCACTAAAGATCACATATAGCTCCAGCGTTAAGAAAATTTCAGCCTTTGATTTTGCTGTAAAGTATAAACAACCCCTCTCAATTATGTATCCTTCACTGATAGGACATAACCTCATGAGTCTCATCATTACCGAATTTTCCTTCAATACAAAAGTTTTTCGTGACATATTTCAATTTTTGAACAATAATAATTAGTAAAGTCAATCTCAAATAAGAAGCTGTCCTACATTATTTTTTGTACCCTGAAAAGTTATACTCTGGTTTAGTTTTCTATTTTTTGTACCCCGAAAAGTTACACTCTGGTTTCATTTTTAGCACAACTGAGTATGTTTAAAAAAATAAATCAAAATTTTAGGTAACTCATACTTCCAAATTGAAGTAAACTGAAAGTGGATACAAAAATACCTATCCTTGGCTGGGTGTGGTGGCTCACACCTGTAATCCCAGCACTTTGGGAGGTTGAGGCCAGTGGAACACTTGAGGACAGGAGTTCAAGACCAGCTTGACTAACATGGTGAAACCCCATCTCTACTAACATGGTGAAACCCCATCTCTACTAAAAATACAAAAAAAAAAAAAAAAATTAGCCAAGCATGGTGGCAAGCGCCAGTAATGCCAGCTACTTGGGAGGCCGAGGCATGAGAAAGAATCGCCAGAACATGGGAGGCGGAGGTTGCAGTGAGCCGAGATCACGCCACTGCACTCCAGCCTCGGCGATGCAGTAAGATTACATCATAAAAAAGAAAAAAAAAACCCGTATCATCACAAATTCAAGCCATGTCCACTATGACCGAACCTTAAAATGAGGTCACATTTTAAATAGAGTATAAACAAAAAACTTTTGGAGGCTGAGGTGGGAGATTGCTTGAGCCCAGGAGTTAAGAGACCAGACTGGCCAACAACGTAAGCAAGACCTTATCTCCACCAAAATTAAAAATAAAATAACGCCCAGGTAACTTTGTTGTACTTTTAGTACAGACGGGGTTTTGCCATGTTGCCCAAACTGCTCTCAAATGCCTGGTTTCAAGTATCTCCCCATCTCAGCCTCCAAAATTTGGGATTACAGGCGTGAGCCCCTGCAACCAGCCTAGACACATGTGTTTCAAGATCAACAACTTGCTAGTGGCATGCACTTTCTTTGGGAAGTCAATCTCTTTGAAAATCAGCTTCCTTATCTGTAAAATGAGTATCATTGATAGTATTTGTCTCACAGGATAGGAATGAAGCATAAATGAAACAAGGTACACAAAACACTGGAAAAGATGGTAACTGGCACTTAACAAGTGCCGCTGCTGCTACTGTTATCATTTACTGTTATTGGCACATACCAACAAAAAATGGCCCAAGGACACAAACAGGTGACTAACAATACTAAAGGTATATGAAGATTAAAAAGATTAACACTATCAAGGAAATATAAATTAAACCAAGTACCATGTTCCACCTACCAAACAAGCAAATACATTTTTAATTACAGTGTCTACTGCAAGCAATGGTCAAAATAAATGGTCCGTATGAACCCATACTGCATTTCCAGAAAACGGGATCATTACATCAAAAGTTTTAAAACTGCGTGTTTTTTGACTCAGTAATTTTAACTTTGAGAATTCATCTGAAAGAAACAATGGTGTGGACACATTAACAGTAAAAAAGGAGAAAACAAGTGCCTGACAATGAGTACAAATTATTTCAGTGCAGCAATCCAATGGAATGCAATTTAAATGACACGTGACATTGACGTGGAGGAGCATAACCAAAGTATGTACAAGTTATCTAGAAGATTACATACCAAGGTGACATCTAAGGATGGGATGGGGTTTTGAGTTTTTTAAATTTTTCTCAACTTTTCACTAATAATACATAATGCTTTTGTAATTTTTCCTTCTGCAAAGATAGCAAAATGCTACCCTGAAACTTAGTCATCATGATACACAGATAACTGAGTCAGCAAAGCTCTTCTGCAAAACCCTAAGCAAAAACTGGGCCCTTCTCTTCCCCAAGAGCAATTCAGAACTAAACAGAATCAAGGAATTGGGGCTGGGCGCAGTGGCTCACGCCTGTAATCCTGCCAGCACTCTGGGAGGCCGAGGCAGGTGGATCACCAGAGGTCAGGAGTTTGAGACCAGCCTGACCAACATGGTGAAACCCTATCTCTACTAAAAATACAAAAAAAAAAAAAAAAATTAGCCAGGTGTGGTGGCACGTGCCTGTAATCCCAGCTACTTGGGAGGCTGAGGCTAGAGAATTGCTTGAACCGGGAAGCAGAGATAGCAGGGAGCCTAGATCTCGCCACTGCACTCCAGCCTGGGCAACAAGAGCGAAAACTGTGTCTCAAAAACAAAAAAAAAAAAAAAAAAAAAAGAATCAATGAATTGGGTACCTCTAGATTCACTGAACATTGTATTACATATTTTGGGGTCTATTAGCCATTGGAAGTCCCAAATTACATAGAAATTTCTCTCTACATTCTCAACCTTCACATTTCATTGTGCCATCATTAAAGTGTTTCGGGGGTGTTACGACATAAAAGTCCATCATACTCTAACGTAGAGCAACTTCTGTTTGGAAAACACTTTTTAAAGAAAGGTTCCAGAATCTGTAAGTATCCAACAAACACCAGGAATATTTTAAAGAATGCTTTACCTAGGTTAAGATTTAATATTTCAAAATGACTTCAGTAAGGTCAATACATCTTTACTGAGAACTGAATCAAGAGAATATGCAATATGCAAAAATAATAAAACACAGGAAGGTCTTATTTCTAATATAACTGATAATCTATATGAATGAAAATAACAGCATGGTTAGTATGACTACCTGTATACTAAATTCATTAAAAAATACAAAAATTAGCTGGAGGTGGTGGCGCACACCTGTAGTCCAGGCTACTCGGGAGGCCAAGGCAGGGGAATTGCTGTAACCTGGGAGGCAGAGGTTGCAGTGAGCCGAGATCGCACCACTGCACTCCAGCCTGGGCAACGGAGCGAGACTCCACTTCAAAAAAAAAAAAGAAATCCACATTTAAATACTTAGGGGTCTTTTGTCTTCAGTCAGCAATTTCCTTGCAAATGGTTCAGCAAAAAAATAAAATGAAACATGGCAATCCTGGTGGAAGGTATATTAAGAATTCATTAGACTGTTCTGTATGTTTACATATTTTCCTTAAAACACTCAAGGAAAAAAATTATAACTATGACAGATCTACCTTGATTCACAAGGTATTTTGAATGTTAATCTCAGCTTTCATAACCAAGAATGGTTATATCACGCCAAGATATATGATCTGCATTAAGAGTTCAGATAATTCAAAGCACGTATTTCAGAACAGCATATGTATCTCCAGCCTGCCAGCTTTGAAATTTTTAATTCTGTTTGTAATTTAGAAGTCATTATTTCAAATTTTGCAAATAAAATGTCATGTTTTATATTGTATTATTTCCAATGTAAAGTAAATGTGGCTACACTGTAGTCTTCAACATTCTCCACAAACATCAAAAACCACTCCTGCCAAAAAGTCCACCGAAATTTGTAATTCCCAAGCCAAGTAATAAAAAAGGAGTGAAAAGTGTTCTAGATTCGTTCTTTTCAATGTGCATATCGGTACCACTGGGGTAGGGTGAGACTCTATTCCTAGGTAGCTCCCAGATGGTGATGATGCTATGCTGGAGCACAGGCTATTTTCTGAATAGAAAGGGCCAACATTCATTCTCAAGACTTCCATTTCCGGCCGGGCGCGGTGGCTCACGCCTGTAATCCCAGCACTCTGGGAGGCCGAGGCGGGTAGATCACGAGGTCAGGAGATCGAGACCGTCCTGGCTAACATGGTGAAACCCCATCTCTACTGAAAACACAAAAAATTAGCCGGGCATGGTGGAGGGCGCCTGTAGTCCTGGCTACTCGGGAGGCTAAGGCAGGAGAATGGTGGGAACCTGGGAGGCAGAGCTTGCAGTGAGCCGAGATCGCACCACTGCACTCCAGCCTGGACAACAGAGCAAGACTCCCTCTCAAAAAAAAAAAAAAAAAAAAAAAAGACTTCATTTCCTTGTTATCTTACAGAAAGTTTCAATTTTATCAGTGACCTCAGACTGAGCATGAGTTGTAACAAAGTATACTTTAAGTCTACTCTGGTCTACAATGCTTGCAGCCAGGTGTGGTGGCTCACACCTGTACTCCCAACACTTTGGGAGGCAGAGGCGGGCAGATAACTTGAGGTCAGGAGTTCCAGACCAGCCTGGCCTACACGGTGAAACCCTGTCTCCACTAAAAATACAAAATCTAGCCAAGCGTGGTAGTGGTGGGTGCCTGTAATCCCAGCTACTTGGGAGGATGAGGCAGGAGAACTGCTTGAACCCGGGAAGTGGAGGTTGCAGTGAGCCAAGACTGCGCCGCTGCACTCCAGCCTGGGCAACAGAGACTCCGTCTCAAAAAAAAAAGACACACGTATTAGGAAAAATAGTCTCAGATTTTAGAAATACTATGCTTTTTTTGTTGTGTAGCATCTGGGAGAGCACAGTTACCACATCAAATATTTCTGCAGGAATACATATAAATTTTCAGTAAATTTCACACATAGAACATAAATAATCTCACATCAGTTAAGATCAGTTTTTTTTGCCAAATTGAGTCTTGGTGTCAAATGCAAAATTTGTCAGAGATTTTAAAATTTCTAAATTATGGATAAGATTTTAGACAGGTATAACAAAATAATAACCTAGCAGCCCAGAATAATTTTTAACAAGGATATTTGGCTTAAAGTTATTACAGTATTCTCTTAAACAGCCAAAACAGGAGATTATATCTAAATTTGAGAATAGTAAAAGGTTTGATTTTTATCACCAATGAGTATAACCATAAGACCCCCAACTCCTAAGAAAATTTCAAAACCTACCTTTAGTAAACAACACTTCCAAAATTCCATACAGGACTGTTAGCAAAAGAACAAATAAACAAAAAGACCCCACCAACCATGTTATCCCCGTAGAAATAAAACAGCATTGAGGAATGCCTTACTCAGTTCTCAGGGTAGTACTTCTGATACTAAATGGACTTGTTGGTCTTTTTTTGTTGTTGTTTTTGTTTTAAGTCTCACAATATCACCCAGGCTGGAGTGCAGTGGCAGTATCTTGGCTCACTGCAACCTCTGCCTCCTGAGTTCAAGGGATCCTTCTGCCTCAGACTTCCAAGTAGCTGGGATTACACACATGCACTGCCCTACCCAGGTAATTTTTTTGTATTCTTAGCAGAGACAGGGTTTCACCACATTGGCCAGGCTGGTCTCGAACTCCTGGCCTGAAGTGATGTGCCCACCTTGGCCTCCCAAAGAGCTGGCATTACAGGCATGAGCCACCATGCCAGGCCTCTAAATATGTTTAGTATTAAAATAGTTAATTTATTAAACGTTTTTGGTGGGATAATTGTGGTTAAGTCCTAATTCTTTTTAAAATACACACTGAAATATCTACAGATGAAATGTATCAAGAATTTGCTTCAAAATAACATGGGAAGGGGGTGGATGGGGAGATGTAGATACAAACAAAAAGGCTGGCCAAGGATTATTAAAGTGAGACAAGTACATGGAAGTTCATTATACTATTCTCTTTTGTGTATGTGAAATTTTTTCACAATTAAAAGATAGCACCAGGCGGGTGCAGTTGCTCACACCTGTAATCCCAGCACTTTGGGAGGCCGAGGCCGGCAGATCACAAGGTCAAGAGATCAAGACCATCCTGGCCAACATGGTGAAACCCCATCTCTACTAAAAATACAAAAATTAGCCGGGCGTGGTGGAGCGTAACTGTAATCTCAGCTACTCAGGAGACTGAGGCAAGGGAATCGCTTGAACCTGGGAGGTGGAAGTTGCAGTGAGCCGGGATCGCACCACTGCACTCCAGCCTGGCAACAGAGCAAGACTCTGTCTTTAAAAAAAAAAAAAAAAAGACTGGCCAGGCGCGGTGGCTCACGCCTGTAATCCCAGCACTTTGGGAGGCCAAGGCAGGTGAATTATGAAGTCAGGAGATCAAGACCATTATGGCCAATATGGTGAAACCCCATCTCTACTAAAAAAAAAAAAAAATACAAAAAATTAGCTGGATGCCTGTAGTCCCAGCTACTCCAGAGGCTGAGGCAGTAGAATGGCGTGAACCCAGGAGGCGGAGCTTGCAGTGAGAGAGATCACGCCACTGCACTCCAACCTCTAGACTCCATCTCAAAAAAAAAAAAAAAAAAAAAAAAGATAGCACCAAAGATGTGCATGCACCTGAAAACAAAAATTACATGTGAATCTCAAACTATACACAGAAATATAGACAACATTGTATCAATGTTTCACTCAAAATCTATCAACATTTTTACTATTCAACTTAAAAACTTAGCAAATCCTTCAGAATAATACAGGGTCAAATCTTAAAGCAAAAGATCCAAAGTAATTCACAAAACTAGAAATTAAGTATTAGTGGCCGCTAACACTGCCAATAAATTGCTAAACTTATTAGCTTCTGGAGAACAAACTTAAGAACTTTTTAAAATGTGCGGCCAGGCGCGGTGGCTCAGGCCTGTAATCCCAGCACTTTGGGAGGCTAAGGCGGGCAGATCACGAGGTCAGCAAATCGACACCATCCTGGCTAACACGGTGAATCCCCGTCTCTACCAAAAAAAAATTAAAAAATTAGCTGGGTGTGTTGGCACGCACCTATAGTCCCAGCTACTCAGGAGGCTGAGGCAGGAGAATGGCATGAACCCGGGAGAGGGAGCTTGCAGTGAGACCATGCCACTGCACTCCAGCCTGGGCTAGAGTGAGATTCCGTCTCAAAAAAAAAAAAAAAAAAAGTGCATACTCTGCCCACCTCCCCGGCAAAAAAGATGTGCATACCCTTGAATAATTATATTTCTGGGGCTTAAATGTAAGAAAATAAAGATATGCACAACTGTAGTTTTGACTGTCCAAAGCTTTGTTTACAAAAGAAAAAATGGGGACGAGTACAACAGTGTATTGGTAAAATAAAATATAGTACAAGTATACAATGTACCATGTAGTATTATAGAGTATATAATACTATGTAACTACTACAAATTTTTCAGAGATCTGTATCTACTAACATAAGCTATTCAGGTTAAATTTAAAATTATTACTTAAATATATATGCTGTATGACAGTGCTTTTTGAAGTTTATATAAGCCCCAAAAAGCCTGGAAGAACACCCCAAATGTTATCTTTGGATAGCTGTATTTTCTAAAAATGTTCTATGAGCATGTATTACTTTATTCGGATCAAAGGTAAGATAAAGATGAGGTACCTCCTCTCCCAAATCCACATCAATCTTCAGTCACTTGACTAGTATTCCTTTTCAAAGGAGTAATAAAACTCCATTTTAGCAAGCTGCGGTGGCTCACGCCTGTAATCCCAGCACTTTGGGAGGCCGAGATGGGCGGATTGCCTGAGGTCGCGAGTTCGAGACCAGCCTGGCCAGCATGGTGAAACCCTGTCTCTTGTAAAAATACAAAAATTAGCCAGGCGTGGTGGCAGGCGCCTGTAATCCCAGCTACTCGGGAAGCTGAGGCAGGAGAATCACTTGAATCCGGGAGGCGGAGGTTGCGGTAGGCGGAGGTTGCGGTGAGCCAAGATCGTGCCATTGCACTCCAGCCTGGGCAACAGAGCGAGACTCTAGTCTCAAAAAAAAAACAAAAAAAAAAACCAGAAAAACTCCATTTTAAACAGCATAGCCATAACTCTAGCATGAATTCCACAAACTTAAGGGTAATAGCATGAGAAAACTTTTCTTCTCGCTCTGAAGCTAGAAAACCCACTTATGTGAAGATTTTATTTAAAGGATCAATATAGGGAGTGACAATGCATTATGAATAGTTTATCCTCTTCAGAATACCTATTTTAGTTAGAGGACTGGAGGAAAATTTTTGTTCAAAATGTACTCTACTAAACTCCTAAATGTTATTCAAGACTAGCCAGAAAAGCCTAAATCTGGTTCAATGAACTCCTGGAGTTTTTTCAGTTTTAAAATCAACTCAGGAGCCATAGGTCAATATAATTAGAAAACAGGAAGAATATTTCAGACTGGTAAAGTCAGAATCAGATTAGGTAGAAATAATAAAAAAAAAGTTCTCTAATTCACTCTACCTCTTACAAATAGCCATGCTTTCTCAGTAGAGAATACATATTTTTAAAATGGTCAAGCTCTCCCAAATGTTGATACAGGCAACACGGTAGTCTATGTGCTCAAATGCTAACTCGACTCTATCACAGCTAAACCTTTTAAAGCAGTTTCTTCAACTATTAACACTGCTTACTAAACCCCTATTACACAGACTAGCTATGCTATTTATGCCCACACAGAATCACAAGAGTTGATGTACATTTTTAAGCTTTTTAATTAGAAGGAAAATACTACCACATTGATCATTATAATAGTCTTAAGCACATAGTACACAAGTTTCAAATCTCCTAAATCCCACTTCTTGCCCAGAGGCAATCAATGTTAATTGTTTGGCATATGTATTTCTGGACATATCTCTTATGTCTTTACATAGAAAAAAACAAATTCTACAGTTGGTGATAAGTGCTAAAGAGTATTTAGGAGAAGGGGAGCTTAAAGCGCTAAATAAGGGAAGACACATCACTAAGGGGGTAGCTTCTGAGTAAAAAGTCTCAGAGGAACTGAGGAACCAAACTGTATGAGTCAGAGAAAATTCCAAGGAAAAGCCCTAAAGTGGAAACATATCCAATGTGTTCAATACAGTTAAGAAGGCCAGTGTGGCTGAAGCACAGTATATTAACAGCAAGGGAAGGGACACAACAAATCACGTGGGATGCCCTGTAAATCACAGAAAAATTTTTGACTTCAATGCTGAAAAAGGCAGCCATTAGGTTGTTTGTTTTCAGGCAAAACATTTTTCAATGGCCAGGCGTGGTGGATCACGCCTGTAATCCCAGCACTTTGGGGAGGCAGAGACGGGCAGATCACAAGGTCAAGAAATCGAGACTATCCTGGCCAACATGGTGCAACCCTGTCTCTACTAAAAATAAAAAACAAATTAGCTGGGCTTGGTGGCTGGTGCCTGTAATCCCAGCTACTTGGAAGGCTGAGGCAGGAGAACTGCTTGAACCCGGGAGGCAGAGGTTGCGGTGAGCCGAGCTCGCACCACTGCACTACAGCCTGGGCAAAGAGAGCAAAACTCCATCTCCCCCCCAAAAAAAAAATCCTTCAAACAATACATTTTAGGATCAATCTAGCTATCACTTTTAAGAACAAAACTAGTGGGGAGGGACAAAAGAAATACAAACCTATTATATATAATAATGCACAGGAGACAAGGGTGGCTTGAAATTGGACCAAGTGTCGACAGTATGAGTAGTGGTATATTTTGAAGAGCTGACAGCATTTTTTCCTTTCTTTTTTTTGTGATAGGGTCTTGCTCTGTCACCCAGGCTGGAGTGCAATGGTGCGGGTGCGATCTCGGCTCACTGCAACCTCTGCTTCCTGGGCTCAAGCGATTCTCATGCCTGTCTCTCAAGTAGCTGGGACTACAGACACTTGCCACCACTCCTGGCTAATTTTTGTATATTTTTGAAGAGACAGGGTTTCACCATGTTGCCCAGGCCGGTCTCAAACCCCTGAGCTCAAGCGATGCGCCTCCCTCAGCCTCCCAAAGTGCTGGGATTACAGGCCTGAGCTACCACACCTGGCCAACATGATTTTCTAATAGGCCAAAGGTGAGAAGAGTAAAAGTCAAGGATGGCTAGCCAAAATCTTTGGCCCAAGAGACACAAAAATTGTTTCATTAACTGAAAAAGGCAACAGTACACAAGAGACTGGTTTGAGGCATGAACATCAGGAGCACAGTTTTGCACTTTTAAGTTGACATATTGGATATTCAACAGAGTTGTCATGCAGGTAAACTGAATTGGTATGACATTCGAAAGAAAAGTATAGGCTGTTGATCTTAAGTGTCGAAATCAGCTTATAGGTGGTATATTACATCATGAATGAATCTGAATGAAATTGGACCCAGAGTGTGGACAGAAAAGAGAAGTGGAAGGACTGAACCATGGGGCACTCCAACAGAAAGAAGTTTAACATGTAACAGAAACATGTAACAAAAACCTGGAAGCAAAGTAAAAAAAAAATAAAAACGTTTCAAGGAAGAGATCTGGTTAAATGGAACCAACAGGTCAAGTGAGATGAGGATTGAAAAAGGACCCCTGGGCTTAGTTAATGCATCCGTCTCCGTGGTTCTTTTTTAACCACAAATAATTTTTTTCTAACTGAAGTTCACTTCGGTTTTATAAGTCTTAGAAAAAAAAAAAAGATAGCTCACTTTTGTTTTTTTACTTTAAGAGATAGGGTCTCACTCTTGTCACCCAGGCTGGAGTACAGTGGCGCAATCATAACTCACACTGACCTCAAACTCCTGAACTCAATTAATTCTACCGCCTCAGCCTCCCAGGGAGCTACACTACAGCTGTGTGCCACCGTGCCCAGCTTTTTGTAGACAGGCTCTTGCTATGTTGCCAGACTTTCCTGGCCTTAAGCTATCCTCCAACTTCAGCCTCCCAAAGTGCTGGGATTATAGGCATAAACTGCTGCAACTGGCCTAAAGCTCACTTTTAAAATGTGCTTGCTTCCCTATTAACAATGCCATCACAACCATGGTAACATTTTACCAAGATACATCTACCTAAACATTAACTACCTTGCACATATACACATCTTTAAGCCATTTAAGGTGTTGGGAAATCAAGGGCAAAAATATAAACATATTTAGTTTTAAAATTTTAATAATAAAAGTCCAAAGTTGTTCTTTGGAACTTTAACCAAACTAAAATCTGTTTTTCTAGAATGCTCAGCCGGACACAGTGGCTCACGCCTGTAATCCCAGCACTTTGGGAAATCGAGGTGGGCGGATCACGAGGTCAGGATTTCTAGACCAGCCTGGCCAACATGGTGAAACCCCATCTCTACTAAAATATAAAAATTAGCTGGGTGTGGTGGTGCATGCCTGCAATCCCAGCTACTCAGGAGGCGGAGGCACAAGAATCGCTTGAACCCAGGAGGCGGAGGTTGCAGTGAGCCAGAGATCATGCCACTGCACTCCAGCCTGGTGACAGAGCGAGACTATGTCTCAAAAAAAAAAAAAAGTTCAACATATCAAAGTGACGAAAGGAGTCTACTATCATTAAGTGTTGAAATCTGCACCCTTAATCCCAGGGTTGAATCCATGCTAAACCACTAAAGCAGTTTAACTTTAGGCAAGTTATTTAAATTCTGTACTCCAATATTCTCACCTCTAAAACATGAATAACAGTATCTACTCCTACTCAAGGTTTTGATGATGATTAAGTTAACACAAACTCACAACTTTAACAGTGTTGGACATAGTCAAGTGTTTAGAATACTTCCATAAATTAATGTCCTGCTACTTTTTTCTGCCAAATCAGAAAGCCATTATATGACCCAACAAGGTATCAGAAATAATTAGTAATTTCCTGGAGCCTCATCAGTTCTCAACCTATCTTACTCAGACTGATTTTGCTCATTAATACACCCAATAAAAACTCATTTGAAAAACCAGGGCAAGTTATTGTTAGGCTTGGGATGATTATTTTCTTCAAGAGATTGAGACAGTGGCCTACTCTAATAGGTCTCCAAACTTACTGCCCTACTTGCCCTCTTAGTTCTCATCACTAATATTCCCTACACAACAGAAGATAAACCAGACCTCTTCTTCAAAATCCTTCAATAGATTCTACTTGTGCCCAAGACAGGATCTTAAACAAGACCCTCTAAGGTCCCGTGCTATGAAATGTTTGGTCCTTGCCTACCTCTCTAACTCCATCCCTCATCTATGTATTCTTGGTAATTATTTTCCAGTATTATTTCTTACTTGGAGGCCAAGTCTTGTTCCCCCTCATTATCTGTGCTTTCACATATGGTTTTCTTACAGAATGAGCTTCACCATTAGCTACTTCCACGTAGCTAAGCTTCCCTGGCAGCATCCCCCAAATTCCATGTTCTAATTTTGGTTCCCTTGCCATCTTCTCATCCACGCTCTTCTTTTCCTTCATCGATCCTTACTGTGAAAAGTGCCATTTACTTTGTTTCTTCCCTCAATGATCTATAATATCTAAGAGGGCAGGGGACATGTTTTGTTCATCCCTATATGCCCAAACCTAATGATTTTCAAATAGTACTCAGATACTTAATAAAACATCTTATACTTGAATGTTCCTTGAATACCTCCAAGATGTTTAAAATATTCTTTTTCCCACCCTCAAACTATAATCTGCTCCCTTCATTCATTCCCCAATATCTATCCCTATCCCAGAAGCTAGAAACCAGCAATCATGCCAAATCTGTGTTCTTGTCCACCTTATCACATCCATCCTGAGATGCTCCTAATTTTACCTCCTAATCTCTAATCTCATAGCATTACCTTTGTCCAAGCCAGGTCGTTATTCTTTCTTGGATTTTAATATCTCCTTTATTAATCTCCTACTTCCAATCTCATTTCCTCTACACCATTTCCATACTGTTATTAGAAAGACATTCCTAAAAATTAAAATCTTCCAGGAGTTTTTGAGACCAGCCTGGGAAACAAAATGAGACCTGTCTCCACCAAAAAAAAAAAAAAACAATAAAAAATAGTCAGGTGGGCCGGGCGCGGTGGCTCACGCCTGTAATCCCAGCACTTTGGGAGGCCGAGGCGGGCGGATCACGAGGTCAGGAGATCGAGACCATCCCGGCTAAAACGGTGAAACCCCGTCTCTACTAAACATACAAAAAAATTAGCCGGGCGTAGTGGCGGGCGCCTGTAGTCCCAGCTACTTGGGAGGCTGAGGCAGGAGAATGGCGTGAACCTGGGAGGCAGAGCTTGCAGTGAGCCGAGATCGTGCCACTGCACTCCAGCCTGGGCAACAGAACAAGACTCCATCTCAAAAAAAAAAAAAAAAAATTAGCCGGGCATAGTAGCAGGTGCCTGTAATCCCAGGTACTCGGGAGGCTGAGACAGAGAACTGCTTGAAACCAGGAGGCAGAGGTTGTGGTGAGCCAAGATCACACCACTGCACTCCAGTCTAGGTGACAGAGCGAGACTCCGTCTTATTTAAAAAAAAAAAAAAAAAAAAATCCCTTTATGTGATTAAGGTAGAAGGAATAAATTTATAAATTTAAAGTTATAAATAAAAATAATAAAAAAAGGATTCCCTGACCTCTCAGGGTTAGTTAGGTAACCATTTCTGCATGCTTTCTTTTTTTAAAAAGAGATGGGGTCTCGCTGGGTGCGGCAGCTCACACCTGTGATCCCAAAACTTCAGGAGGCTGAGGCGGGTGGATCACCTGAGGTCAGGAACTTGAGACCATCCTGGCCAACATGGCATCTCTACTGAACCCTGTCTCTACTAAAAATAGAAAAATTTAAGGCCAGGTGCAGTGGCTCATGCCTGTAATTCCAGCACTTTGGGAGGCCGAGGCGGGCAGACCATGAGATCAGGAGTTTGAGACCAGCCTGGCCAACATGGTGAAACCTCGTCACTACTAAAAATACAGAAATTAGCCGTGCATGGTGGTCCGTGCCTGTAGTCTCAGCTACTCGGGAGGCTGAGGCAGGAGAATCGCTTGAACCCGGGAGGTGGAGGTTGCAGTGACCCAAGATGGCACCACTGCACTCCAGCCTGGGAAACAGAGCGAGACTGTCTCAAAAAAAAAAAAAAAAAAAAAGATGGGGTCTCATTATGTTGCCCAGCCTGGAGTGCAGTGGATAATCACATCACACACTACAGTCTCTCAAATCCTGGGCCAAGGGACCCTCCTGCCTCAGCCTTCCAATTAGTTGTGACTACAGGCTTACAGGCAGGTACCAACGCCCCCAGCTTATTTTGGCATGCTTCTATAGGATATGTGTTTACCTCTCATCATATATGGACATTATTTCATTCATGTGTCTCCCTCACTAAGCTGCGAAGCCCTTAAACATAATAAACTATTTTTTATATCCCCAAACACAACATGTCCCATAAAAATAATAAATTTGTAGAATTAACAAGGAATAAATCAAACTGAACCTATAGTGAACAGCTTCCGTACACTGACAGCAGCAAAGAAGAAAAAATAGCTCTCATACAATAGAGAGCATCAATAAAACTTGCACTTATTTAAAAAATAAAGATTCCCATTCTTTTTCTAGATAACTTCCAGGAATCTTTTGCTTTTTCTCCCATTCTGTTTTGAGTGTACCTCTGGTGTTCACTTTAACTAGATTTCACTTTTCATCCGAGTATGGTATAAGGGGGCAAGTTTGTGATTTACCCTAGTACAACAGTACCGAATATGCCTTCAAAAAATTATTCCAGGTTAGGTGCAGTGGCTCATGCCTGTAATGTCAACACTTTGGGGGTGTCAAGGCAGGAGGATCGCTTGAGCCCAGGAGTTCAAGACCAGCCTAGACAACATAGCGAGACCCTGTCTCTACAAAAAATAGAAATATTTTAAAATAAAATCTAATTATCTCCCAGCTTGAAACCTATCAGAGCAACTCTAAAATGGTTATCAAAACATTTTGCTGCAGTGAGTAAAATACTACGGGTTGCTCAACTTCTCTTTGGCTATCCACATCTTTACTAATCTCTACACCATTCCTGTGAATAACACAGAATACACTCCTTCTTAACATCAGAACACATTAGAGTTCCTAATCTAGCATTAGAACTCTATGAATTCACATTAGAATTCCCAAAATCTAGCTGGGTCTTGAGTCACCACTGTAAAAGGGGTCAGCCTTAGACAGTTCCTAATTTGGATGTAGAGGTTAAACAGATTTCCCTGCTTTGTGAGGTCAAAAAGCCTACCTTTTTTCAAATTTTTAAAAGCCCTCCAGTGAGACAGCATTTTAATATTATGTTGTATCTCCTATGGTTTGACTCTTGTGAAATATTAATGAGATAAAAAGTCTAAATAGAATATAATCCAAAAATGTCACAAACCCAAGGAATATGTTAAATGACAGAAAATGTTTACTGATTTGTAACAATCTAAAAAAAGGGACTCCCCAATATGTTTTCTTGTTGCTAATCATTAAAACAAGCCACTTTCATTTTAAACTTCAGCTGCTCTTTCCAAGTATCCAAAATGTTCTAATCAGCCCAAGTTAATTAGCAACTCATATTATTCCATTAGTTTACAAATAACTGAGGTGGTCCCCCTTGGGAAACACCTCAAGATGCACACACAAAAGTTTCAAACACTTCCAGATGCTATGACCTATACACATCAGCTAAACTGTTAAACGGGTTTATTTCCTAGTCTTTGTAATGAATCCAAGTGGACCTCACACCTCTTACCATCACCCAGGAAGGGTGTGCATCTGTTCCGAAGGCCCCCCTGGCTCCAGGTCATCCTGGCTGCTGCTGCTCCAGGCTGGGCATCCATGTTGCTGCAGCTTGTGGTTTGTGAGGGGTAGTGTACAGGAAAAGCAGGATGGGATTTCAAGGGAAACAGGAGGAAGATGGCTTTCAGGGAAAATGCCATCACGATCATAAGTGTTAAGTAGTACCACACACATTTTATTGCAGCACAGTTTAAAAATTTAACAAATGAAAGATTAAAAATAAAAAAACAAAAATAAAAAAAATTAAAAATACAGACGTCCAGAGATGCTCTAAAACAGTTAAGTTAAAGATCAGGAAAAATAAGGTCATAGACTTAACAGCCAGTAAAATTCTTTTCAGTGTGGGGAAGGGGATGAGGGCAAGGGTGGGGTTGGGAGAGAAAAGGTTTACGTGATCAAACCACTTAAAAATACTAATGCCTTCGCTTTCTCTCCCAAGATGCAAAACTCCAAAGTCAATCAGGAGGCCGGAGAAATTCTTAGAAACATTCAGAAAAACTCGATTTTAATCCGGTTAAAAATCATCAGTGTCATTATCATCATCATCATCACCA
Source organism: Homo sapiens (assembly GCF_000001405.40). Taxonomy (NCBI): domain Eukaryota; kingdom Metazoa; phylum Chordata; class Mammalia; order Primates; family Hominidae; genus Homo; species Homo sapiens. The sequence continues at coordinate 21,263,202 of NC_000014.9, forward strand.
TCATAAGTATTAATATAATAATAATAAGTAATAGTAACTAGTAACAACAATAAAAAGGAAATCAGCGGAAAGTCAGGAAAAATGTTAAAAAAAAATTGGAATAACTTACTGTAGCTGAAGATCAAAAAAATCTCACTGTAAAAAAACAAAAATAAAAATAGCCCAGATTAGAAAAACGGGAGGTGCAAAAATGTCAAGTCAGTAAAGTTCATTTCTTTTCTCTTTCCAAAAGCAGTTTCCACAAAAACCGCAAGGATAAAGTTTTCAGTAGCAGACAAGCAAAGCCCTTTCCACATCATCAATCAATCTTAAAAATACACGAGGAAGTAGAGAGGTCAGTTTATGAGAGGCTAAAAGGCTCCTCCTCCTCTAACCCAACTGCTGCAGAAAAAATAGAAATAGAAATTTTAAAAATTACATCTTAAATCCAGGTCCCGGTTTTGGAAACAATTAAAAAAAAAACACCTGTACATTTGCTGTAGTGCACACCAAGTTGCATCATTATGTTTAAAATGTCTTTATAAAATCAGTTTTGGAATGGAATGTGTGTGTTCTGGAAGGGTGGGGAAGGGAGGTTAAAAATCAAAGCTGAGCTCCAGTGAGTAGGGATGGGGTTCGCCTTGCTGCCCTGTGAAAGGAGAAGGGACAGATTGAGTCAGAGTTCCTCAGAAATGTTGTGCCCTAAACCCCCAAGACAGAAACATCTGTCTACTGCAGCTAACACATTTTGGTAAAGCATTAACATTCCACTGGGATGGGATAGCCTCCATAGAATCACCTCTACCAGTGACTGTCTTCACAATTCTTCAACATCAATAGATGACTAAAATTAACTAAATTCATGTCAATATGCCCTTGAGGGTCTCAAAAAGAGTATATCCCAAATGTTCATCTTGATAATGAGCAGTTTGGGCAAAGAAAATACAGAAAAACCGGGCCAACAAATAGAGATGAAATAGTGAGCAAATGTCAAATACTGAGATTATAAAACCTAAGCAGATTCATGGGTTTTAAACTTAAAAAAGTCCGTGGAGTTTTTGCTATGAGTAATAGACTGAAGGTGAATGGCCTACCATGAAGATCTATACTAGAGATGACTCATCTATTCTCAAAACCAGTGAGTGATCAAACCACAAGACCTAATAGGTTCTACTGTTAGGGGAAAAGATGTTTTAAATAAGGAGCACATTATTCCACTCACTGACAAAACGAAAATACAGATGGAATTAAAAAAATACTGAATATTTAAGGTCATAAAATAGGTGAAAAAAATTAAGGTCCTTATGTTAATACTTTTGTTTCTGTAGTCCACTATTTACTATGTAGCGTGTAAAGCTAATTTCAAGTTATGGATTCTAAAAATCTGGTACATAATACCACACTAAAATAATTTCCATGACAAACTGGTTGTTTCATCAGCTAAAATAGGAACTGCAATTAGACTGTAGTTCCTTGTGCAAACAATGAACTAGCTGCACTCACTGTTCAATTTAGCCATGAGGTCTTATTCTCCTTTGTAAATTTGAGGAAATTAAAATATTTTAAGGCCAAGTGTGGTGGCTCACACCTGTAATCCCAACACTTTGGGAGGCCAGGGTAGAGCACGGCTTGAGCTCAGTAGTTTGAGACCAGCCTGGGAAACATGACGAGACTTTATTAAAAACAAAAAACATTAGCAGGGTGTGGTAGCCTGAAATCCCAGCTACTTAGCAGTCTGAGGAGCGAGGATCACTTGAGCCCAGGAGTTCGAGGCTGCAGTGAGCTCTGATCACGCCACTGCACTTCAGCCAGGCCAGAGAGAGACCCTGTCTCAAAAAAAAAATTTTTAATTGAGCTTTTAGAAGTGTTCCTTGAGCCAACTATACATGAATGACTACAGCAGCAACAAGTACCATACATTTTTAAAAAGAACAGTGTAGGAATGACAGTTAATTTTTACATTTGATGTGTGAAAACTGTATGAATGTACAAATTGCGGAAAAAGTTTGTGAAGAATTGTAAGAAATATACATCTGAATGTTCTTTTCCTGTTTATGAAATACAGTTATGGTGAAACATTTCATTTTCTTATTTGGAGCCACAGCCCAAACCTGGTAATCAATTTTCAAGATACATAACTTTATAGCTCAACCACAACCAAGTCCTTTGTACAGGTGCCACAAGACATAAGCTTAAAAATAAAGAAAAATGTGAAAAGAAACCAATTCTATCTTTCAATATCAAAAAGCTCAGTATCTCCCAAGATGTTATTTATGTTAAACTGAAGAGCTACCACTCATAAAAAGACCAACTTTAGCACCATTTTCAATCAAGAATATTCCTTGAGGCCAGGCGGCGTGGCTCACACCTGTAATCCCAGCACTCTGGGAGGCTTGGGGCGGGTGGATCACCTGAGCTCAGGAATTCAAGGCCAGCCTGGCAACATGGCGAAACCCTGCCTCTACCAAAAATACAAAAAATTAGCAGCACTACTCAGCAGGCTGAGGGCACCCCTTGAGCCCGGGAGGCAGAGGGTGCAGTGAGCTGAGATGACACTACTGCACTCTAATCTGGGTGACAGTGTGAGGCTCTCAAAGAAAAAAAGTATCCTTACCTAAAGCTCAGAGATAGTTTTAGAAAAAAAGTATCTCTAGGTTATTCTTTGTCAAAACCTGCCTGAGGTTTGGATCCCTTCTTCTAAAGGGGCACCTCTCAGAATGAGTGATGCATGAGCATCATCACCTGGAACTTACTAGAAGTGCAAACTCTCAGGGCCCACCCCAGACTTACTTAATTAGAAACCCTTGTGGTAGAGATCATAGCAATCTGTTTTAACTAGCCCTATTGATTCTGGTGTTGGCTAACGTTTGAGAACCACTGTGAAGATTTTAAATTGGGAATCTCTCTATTCCCCAGTTTAGAATCAATTATTATCATTTTTTTGAGATGGGGTCTCACTCTGTCGCCCAGGCTGGAGTGCAGTGGTGCGATGGCTCACTGCAACCTCCACCTCCCAGGTTCAAGCGATTCTCCTGCCTCAGCCTCCCGAGTAGCTGGGACTACAGGCGAGCGCCAGCACGCCAAGCTAATTTTATTTTCAGTAGAGATGGGGGTTTCACCATGTTGGCCAGGCTGGTCTCAAACTCCTGACCTCGTGATCCACCCGCCTCAGCCTCCCAAAGTGCTGGGATTACAGGCATGAGCAGCCACACCCGGCCTTAGAATCAATTCTTTAAACAAAATGCCTGACCTTCCAGTGTACTGTGACAGAATCAAGTTAGAGCACCAAATAATGTTTTCCTGATACAATATAAATAAATCCAAAAACACATAACCTATGATAGTAAATGTACCAAAGAAACCTTTTTTCCTTTTATGTTAATAAACTCAAAATTTCCAATATCGAGAATACCTGTAGTTATGCTACACCTCAAAGTTCTGGTTCTCACCAATCCTCTAGTAAATCTAGTATGCACAAAACCAAAACCTTCCCATTTCCAATGAGAATACATGAATATGCATATTAAGAGCAAATAATGCTCCCCAGAGACAACTACTAATAAAGTACTTGAAGACTGAAATAATGTGGTTAAGAATAGTAATAATAACTACCAATTTAGAAAACCGGGGCCGGGTGCGGTGGCTCACGCCTGTAATACCAGCACCTTGGGAGGCCAAGGCAGGAGGACTCCCTGAGCTCAGGAGTTCGAGACCAGCCTGGCCAACACGGTGAAACCCCGTCTCTACTAAAAATATAAAAATTAGCCCGGTGCGGTGGCACACGCCTGTAATCCCAGCTACTCGGGAAGCCGAGGCAGGAGAATCGCTTGAACCCGGGAGGCGGAGGTTGCAGTGAACCGAGATTGTGCCACGACATGCACTCCAGCCTAGGGCGACAGAGCGAGACTCCGTCTCAAAAAAAAAAAAAAAAAAAAAAAAAAAAAAAACAAAACTGCTTTTAATAAAACTCAATCTGTACAGTTTTTAGGCTTCTGGCAACAAAAAATTTGAATTAGAAACTAAAAATTCAAATAGGTTTTAAAAAAAAGTCTAAGTCCCCTTATTTGCCTAAGGAGGATTAAAATCTATTTCTCCTAACTCCTAGGCAAACTTACTCCCCAGCCAACACCTCTCACATTCAACACTTTATTAAGATTTAATAATTTGCCCCTTAGTCTTTAAAATTAGAGCAACTAGCTATTTTGGAGTTTATTCTTTGCTTGTTTCGCACAGCCATTCCATCCAAAACAAGGTCGAATGCCATGTCAAATCCTCTAGAGATTTAATTACAAACGTAAGCTGTTTAAATTCTCTACAGAAGGAACATCAACCACCAAGTATTCCCGAGAGTGGCACTAGCATGAGGGGGAAAAAAAAGGTCAGAAAACCTGCAACCTGGCCATCCTTCTTCAACTTTTCCCCCTAGCCAATATGAAAATGTTACTAAACGCCTATCTAGTTGAGAACACACCTAGAATTGTGATATAAATACCGTGGCAAACAGTTTCGGATATTAACTCAAAGAATTTTTGGTGCGCTGATATACATACTGACCGGAAGGAACCCATTTTCGAAAACCTCAAAGAAAAGTGCCCGTCAATCAATTTCAACTACTATTAACAGTTCTTAAATACTAATTTCTGACATTTCTCCTTGCCAACATTTTTACTTCATGATTTCCCATTTTTACCCTAACCTCATTTCTAACAGTTCAGCACAATGATAAACTTTAGTTTTAAGTTCCTGTAATAATATACATGTTTAAGCCTTAAGAAAGGGGTCGCGATGTTTTTGACCCTTATTTTACTTCCTATCAAATAGATTGCCTTACAGATGAATTTCTTACCCTGCAGAATGGGTTTAAACTGTGCTTAACAGCTTTAGTTTTTGTGAGATTAACAGATTGTGAAAAATAAACTTAGCCAAATCTCATGTGAGGATTAAAAAAAGCGATGTCCCAGATAAGTCAATGTGACACTAAAGATCTAAACAATTTTTTTTAACTTTTAAGTTTTTTATCAAATTTCAGCACCCAGCAAATAATAGGCACTGTTAATATTTGCTTAATATAACGTAGCTGTGAATTTTTGCCCACATTTAGGCGGACGGGAAAATTAACGCCAGAATATCCCGAAAGTCAAATTTTGTCATCTTACACTTAGGAAGTTACGTTAAAAAATTCTCAAGTCTCGTAGTATTTTTCTTAAGCGCAATTTGGGAATTTCCAGTTACCTCGTGGTTTCCGTCATCAGGTTCTTGGCAAAGATTGCAATACAGTAGTTTTAGAACTATATTAACTAGGTATTCCATTAACTAGGTAAAAACCACTCGACTGACCTCGTGGTCAAATTCCTTACTAGTGCTGCTACTGACTTAATATGACCCTAGCAACCAACACTTTTCTGCCTCAGTTTCCGTCTGAGAAAGAGAGTTAATACCTACCTCAAGCAAAGTTCCACTAACTTATATATTTCAAGTGTTTTGTAACCTGCAGATGAAAAGTCAGCTGTAAATATTAATATAGTTATATCACAATATTTCCTTTTACAAATGTAAGTGAAAATAACTACTTCGAGCTCCATCATTTGCTCATAGAGAGAAATAAAATAAAAAGTTATCAGTAAAATGCTGAATCTTTTGTTAAACCTTTCTCGTAGGCCACGCGGCACGATCCAGGATTTAAAGGCTCGCGATACATCTACTTGGTAACCTTCCCCCTTCCCCTCCCCCACTTTTTACATGTAAGAAGAACGGAGGTAATAGAAGGCATCGGCGCTACGTTAACTTCGACTATATTAATGAGCATCACGATCTTCATTTTCATGATCCCGTAGTCCTCGCGGTCGTAGAAAATGAAAGGAAAGCAGCCGTTAACACAGGAAGAGCGAAAAAAGGACATTTTCCCTGGCGATCGTGGCCTAGAGGACACCAGGTTAAACCTATACAGAGGCTGAGGCCTATAAAACTGCCCCCGGCTTCAACCTAATCCCCCAAAACAAGCAGAATAAATGAGGGCCCGGTTAGTTAGGGGGAAGGATTCCCACATCTTCTCTCCCACACCCCCTCTCGCTTCCCGAAAAACCCAGCGCCTTCCCTGCGTCCGCCCTCTCCACTTACCAAGAAGGGGAGGGAGAAGAGATTCGATTCTGAGTCTCCTACTCCCGGGTTCTGCGTAGAGAAGCCGACTGCTGCTGGAGGTCGGCAACGCGGCCACAACCGCTCAGTCTTCGTCTCTTCACAAAATGGCCCCCGAGTCTCCTCTGCCGCCGAGGCGAAGGCCTAGTCCCCGCCCCATTCCTGAGAATCTTCCTATTGGCTGTGCGTTTTTTCGCTCCCGCTCCTAATTAGACAGTTCAACCGCTCCTCACAATGATATCCAATCACAATTAGCAGTGGGTTAGACTAAGCAGGCGAATTTCCACATGCGTGAGAGAAACTAGTTTATAACTGGTTAGTTTTCCTGTCATTTATTGCCTGGAGAATGCTTATTGGCTATTGCACGGGACGACCCTCTGGGTGGAAACTCGCCTTTGTATCGCGCACCGTCTCACATCCGGGTATCTGGGAGGCCTGATTGGCGGCCGCGGCGTCCTATCGCTGCCCCTTAGAGTGCCTAGTAGAAGATCCGCCCAGACCTCGGATTTCCGGCTGCGCGGGGGCGGGGAAAGGGTTGAGGGGCGTAGTTAGGTGACGGGCGCAAAAGACCTGCCCCAGCCCCGGGCCTAGGGAAAAAAAAGCGCGAAATGAAGCCTCCGTTGTGCAATGTGAATAAAGAAAGGACTTTTCTTAAAATGAGGAGGGAGCAGCAGTGACTAGGCCTTGTTAAAGTGTGTAGAAAACTAACCAGTCCTGCAGTTTTTCCAACCCCAGACCCTTTCTCAGTTCCAGATTCGAATGTCAGCTACCTCGTAGACATCTGCTTCTTGGCCTATTAAACCCTTCTTCAGACAACACATGTTCCATCGAAACCAACTGACTTCCTTATTCCTCTCCAATATAAAAAGGAAGTGCAGAATCCTGGCCTCTGGCCCCAGGGCATCTAATATCTTAAGTGCCAGCAAAATTGGCCCATCCTTCCAAATCTGGTCCCTTAATTTCCCTCCTCTTGAAATGGCTTGTCTCCTACCTACCCCCGTCACCTGCCAGTCTCTCTGGTTACATTATAGGAACTGCGCACGCAGTGGGGTAGCATCAGCTCTACTAAGCCAGCGGTTTCTTTTTTCTTTTCTTTTTTTTTTTTTTTTTTTTTTTTTTTTGAGGCAGAGTCACTGTCGCCCAGGCTGGAGTGCAGTGGCGCGATCTTGGCTCACTGCAACCTCCGCCTCCCGGGTTCAAGCGATTTTCCTGCCTCAGCCTCCTGAGTAGCTGGAACTACAGGTGCGCGCCACCATGTCCAGCTAATTTTTGTATTTTTAGTACAGATGGGGTTTCGCCATGTTGGCCAGACTGTTCAGGTGATCCGCCCGCCTCTGCCTCCCAAAGTGATAAGATTATAGGCGTGAGCCACCACGCCAGACCACTTTAAACTATTTTAAAAAGCAAAGACGAAAAATATGGGAGAAAGTATACACTAAAGTGTTAGTAGTGGTTCTCTCCTGGTGGGAAAATTACATGTGATTTTTTTTTTTAACTTTTTTTTTTTCAAACGGAGTCTCGCTTTGTCACCAGCCTGGAGTGTAGTGGCGCCATCTTGGCTCACTGCAACCTCCGCCTCCTAGGTTCAAGCGATTCTCCTGCCTCAGCCTCCCGAGTAGCTGGAACTACAGGTGCGTGCCACCACGCCCAGCTAATTTTTGTATTTTTAGTAGAGACGGGGTTTCACCATGTTGGCCAGGATGGTCTCCATCTCTTGACCTCGTGATCCGCCCGCCTCAGCCTTCCTAAGTGCTGGGATTACAGGCGTGACCCACCGCGCCCAGCCTTAAAATCTTATTGTACTTTTCTATATTTTCCAAATCATCTACTTTGAGCAAGTAATCAGAGGGAGAATATCCTACGAGTGCTTAAAGCCTCGACTCAATTGCCACATTGCAATTTATTTAAAATTATCTCGTAGCACTGTGGGTAGTTTTACACTCCTCTCCCTTCCTGGATGGTAAGATTTTTTGATGGCAGAGTTTAATTCTTACTCTTCAATATATTTTCCTTGTTTACTACCTATTAATAAATTAATAAAATATTAACCATTAACTTTTATTTATCAGGGGAAATTTTTATTTTTCCAGGACAAGCAGATAGACTGTCCTTTTTTTCTCTCTCTTTCTTTTGAGATGAGGTCTTGTTCTGTTGCCCAGGCTGTAGTGCATTGGCATAATCCCGGATGATTACAGCTTCAACCACCCAGTCGCAAGCAATCCTCCCACCTCAGCCTCTGGAGTAGCTGAGACCACAGGTGTGCACCACCACATTGGCTAATTTTATTTTTATATTTTGTAGAGACAGCGTCTTACCATGTTGCCCAGGCTAGTTTTGAACTCCTGGGCTCAAGCATTCCTCCCTCCTTGGCCTCCCAAAATGCTGGGAGGCACCATGCCAGCCCTGTCTTTTCTTTCTTTTCTTCTTTTTTTTTTGAGACAGAGTATTGTTCTGTCGCCCAGGCTGGAATGGAGCGGCGCAATCTCGGCTCTCACTGAAAGCTCCGCCTCGCCGGGTTCAGGTCATTCTCCTACCTCACTCAGCCTCCCGAGGAGCTGGGACTACAGGCGCCCGCCACCGCGCCCGGCTAAATTTTTTTTGTATTTTTAGTAGAGACGGGGTTTCACCGTGTTAGCCAGGATGGTCTCGATCTCCTGACCTCGTGATCCTCCTGCCTCAGCCTCCCAAAGTGCTGGGATTACAGGCGTGAGCCACTGCGCCAGGCCCTGTCTTTTGTTTGTTGTATGTTTTATGTAGCACTTACTCAGAGAGGCCTGGAGTCTGTCGGGTCTGGTTGACATGTAATTTATGTTATTATTATTACTATTATTTGAGACAGGATCTCACTCTGTCGCCCAGTCTGGAGTGCAGTAGCACCATCAAGGCTCACTGCAACCTCGATCTCCTGGGCTCAAGAGATCCTCCCACCTCAGCCTCCTGAGTAGCTGGGACTACAGGCGTGTGCCACCAGACTCACTAAGTTTTCTAATTTTTGTGGAGATGGGGTTTCACCGTCTTGCCCAGGCTGGTCTCAAATTCCTGTGCTCAAGCAATCCACCGGCCTGGGCCTCCCAAAGTGCTGGGATTACAGGCTGACCCACGTCTGGCCTCTTGACTTAAGTAAACAAAACTGTCTCAAAAATAAAATAAAATAAAATAAAATTTTATAGAGCTCTCTCGTTTTAGCTAACACTGCTTTATACTTTTTTTTTTTTTTTTGAGATGGAATTTCGCTCTTGTTGGCCAGGGTGGAGTGCAACGGGGCGATCTCGGCTCACTGCAGCCTCTGCCTCCCAGGTTCAAACGATTCTCATGCCTCAGCCTCCTGAGTAGCTGGGACTACAGGCATCCGCCACCATGCCTGGCTAATTTTTGTATTTTTAGTAAAGATGTAGTTTTGCCACGTTGGCCAGGATGGTCTTGAACTCCTGTGCTCAAGCAGTCTGCCCGACACACCTCCCAAAGTGCTGGGATTACAGGCCTGAACCACCGCACCCGGTTAATATCTTTTTTTTTTTTTCCTGAGACCGAATCTTGCTCTGTCACCCAGGCTGACGTGCAGTGGCGTGATCTTGGCTCACTGCAACCTCCGCCTCCCACGTTCAAGCGATTCTTCTGCCTCAGCCTCCCGAGTAGCTGGGATTACAGTCGCCCACGACCACGCCGGGCTAATTTTTGTATTTTTAGTAGAGACGGGGTTTTACCATGTTGGCCAGGCTGGTCTTGAACTCCTGACCTTAGGTGATCCACCCACCTCGGCCTTCCAAAGTGCTGGGATTACAGGCTTGAGCCACCAAGCCCGTCCCCAATATCATTTTTAAAAACCAATCCCCTCTTCAAGACATTGAAGTTGTTTCCAGTTTTTCAGTATCATATATCAATTATTTTATTATTTTATTTATTTATTTTTGGGGGGTGGGGGTGGGGATGGAGTTTCACTCTTTCCCCCAGGCTGGAGTGAAGTGGCACGATCACAGCTCATTGCAATCTCTGGAGCGGTGGCTTACGCCTATAGTCCCAGCACTCTGGGAGGCGAGGTGGGTGGATCACCTGAGGTCAGGAGTTCGAGACCAGCCTGGCCAACATGGTGAAACCCTATCTCTGCTAAAAATACAAAAAATTAGCTGGGCGTGGTGGCAGGCGCCTGTAACCCCAGCTACTTGGGAGGCTGAGGCAGGAGAATCACTTGAACCCAGTGGGGTGGAAGTTGCAGTGAGCTGAGATTGCGCCATTGCACTCCAGCCTGGGCGACAGATTGAGACTCCATCTCCAAAAAATAAATAAATAATATGAACAAACAGGCAAAAAAAATCTTTGATCACAGTCCAAGTGTGGCGGGCCATGCCTGTAATCCCAGCACTTTGGGAGGCCGAGTTGGGCGGATCACCTGAGGTCGGGGAGTTCGAGACCAGCCTGGCCAACATGATGAAACCCTGTCTTTTCTTAAAATACAAAAATTAGCCAGACGTGACGCGCACTTGTAATCCCAGCTATTCGGAAGGCTGAGGCAGGAGATTCATTTGAACCTGGGAGGTGGAGGTTGCAGTGAGCCAAGATCATGCCACTGCACTCTAGACTAAGGGACAGAGCAAGACTCCGTCTCGAAAATTAAAAAAAAAAAAAAATCCTTGTCCACAAAGCTTTAGAACTGGGAGAGATAGCTGGGCGCGGTGGCTCACACCCATAATCCCAACACTTTGGGAGGCCAAGGCAGGAAGATCACGAGGTCAGGAGACGGAGACCATCCTGGCCAACATGGTGAAACCCCGTCCCTACTAAAAATACAAAAATTAGCTGGATATGGTGGCGCATGCCTGTAATCCCAGCTACTTGGGAGGCTGAGGCACGAGAATCGCTTGAACCTGGGAGGCGGAGGTTGCAGTGAGCCGAGATTGCACCACTGCACTCCAGCCTGGCAACAGAGTGGAAAAAAAAAAAAAAAAGAAGGAAAGATAAAGTCTGGATTATGACATCCATTCGTGGTTTTGAAATCAAGTAATATTTGCTTCTAAGTATTATTGACTACCCTTATATTAAATATTAATAGTAAAAATAAAAATTTACTGAGCAGATACCATGTGTAAAGCACTTTTCTAAGTGTTTCACATGAATTAGCTCATTTGATAATTTTATTATCCCCATTTTAAAGATGTAGAAATGAAAGCACAGAAAGGTTAAGTAATTTGCCTAAGGTCACACAACTAGTTTTTGGTGGTGCAAGATTCTGACACTATAGCTAGACACTCGGAAGCCTGTAATCCCAGCTACTCAGGAGGCTGAGGCAGGAGGATCCCTGGAGACCAGGATTTAGCTACCAGCAGCAAGACCGTGTCTCAAAAAGAGAAAAAAAAAAGATTCTAATGCTAGGAGGTCTAGTTCTAGAGGATATGCAAATAACCATTACACTATTATTAATAATGTAATGTATGCCAAGGTGGGAAAATCCTACCCATTCACTCAACAATACTTGTTAAACGTACTATGTAATTAGCTGATGCCACAAGAGCATAGAAGTAAACAAAACAGACATGGCCCTGCCCTTCAGAACAGAATCAAATATTAAATGGATAATTACTCAATTAATTGTTTATACTAAATTGTGAGTGCTACTGAAAATAAGTAAGAAGGTGCTATGAGACCTATATAATAGAGACTTCAAGCCCCTTCAGAAGATATTTGAAAATAAGTGACTTTATTTTAAAAACATCCTCCAGCTTGGGCAACATCTCTTAAATTTTTTTTTTTTTTTTTTTTGAGACAGAGTATCGCTCAGTCGCCAGGCTGGAGTGCAGTGGCACGATCTCGGCTCACTGCAGCTTCCACCTCCCAGGTTCAAGCGATTCTCCTGCCTCAGCCTCCCAAGTAGCTGGGACTATAGGCTTGTGCCATCATGCCCAGCTAATTTTTGTATTTTTAGTAGAGATGGGGTTTCACCATGTTGGCCAAGCGGTCTCAAACTCCTGACCTCGTGGTATGCCCACCTCGGCCTCCCAAAGTGCTGGGGTTATAGGCGTGAGCCACCACGCCCGGCCAAAATATTTTTTTTTAATGAAAAATAGTGGGGCATGGTAGTGGGTGCCTGTAGTCGCAGCCACTCAGGAGGCTGAGGCAGGAGAATCCCTTGACCCCCGGAGTTCCTGGCAGTATGCTATGATTGTGTCTGTGAGCAGCCACTGCACTCCAGCCTGAACAACATAGTGAGACCTCATTTCTGAAAAAAGGAACATATAAACTTCTAATTTCTTTCTTGTTTCTTCAATTTCTCTTTTCACTTTCTACTTAATGTTTTTCTCCTACTTTTCCTTTGTCTTCTTTGTTCCTCTGCTAATTTTCATCTCAGCAGTGACCTAAATCTGGCTTCCTGTAGGTTAAGCCTTCTTTAACGTATTTGCCATCTGTTCTCATTCTGGCTCTGAAGCACAGGATTTTATCCTCTGGTAATTTTTCATTAAGCTAATCTTTGTACAACTTACAAAATGCTTTTTTAGTTGACAAAGGTCACATTTCATTGTCAGTGCTTATTTTACTATTATGGTACAAACTGAGCTCTTGAGCAAATCTAGATGGCATAAAAATACTATGTGAACTATCTGGCCCACATTTTCAAATATAAAATTTATGCAGGGTCTTTTCCTTTTTTTTTTTTTTTTTTTTTTTTTTGAGAGGGAGTCTCCCTCTGTAGCCCAGGCTGGAGTGCAGAGGTGCGATCTGGGCTCACTGCAGCCTCCCTCTCCCAGGTTCAAGTGATTCTCCTGCCTCAGCCTCCAGATGCTGGAAATACAGGAGTGCGCCACCACGCTCAGCTAATTTTTGTTTTGTTTTTTTTTGAGATGGAGTCTCGCTCTGTCGCCCAGGCTGGAGTGCAGTGGCGCGATCTCGGCTCACTGCAAGCTCCACCACCCAGGTTCACGCCATTCTCCTGCCTCAGCCTCCCGAGTAGCTGGGACTACAGGCGCCTGCCACCGCGCCCGGCTAATTTTTTGTATTTTTAGTAGAGACGGGGTTTCACGGTGTTAGCCAGGATGGTCTGGATCTCCTGACCTTGTGATCCACCCGTCTCGGCCTCCCAAAGTGCTGGGATTACAGGCGTGAGCCACCGCGCCTGGCCTGTATTTTCAGTAGAGACGGGTTTTCGCCATGTTGTCCCGGCTGGTCTCGAACTCCTGACCTCAAGTGATCCACCCGCCTCTGCCTCCCAAACTGTTGGGATTACAGGAGTGAGCCACTGCACCTGGCTTGTTTGGTTTTTCTTTTGTTTTTGAGATGGAGTCTTGCCCTGTCGCCAGGCTGGAGTGCAGTGGTGCCATCTCCACACACTGCAACCTCCGACTCCCTGGTGCAAGCTAATCTACTTCCTCAGCCTCCTGAGTAGCTGGGATTATAGGCAGGCACCACCAAGCCCAGCTAATTTTTGTATTTTTAGTAGAGACGGGGTTTCACCATGTTGGCCAGGATGGTCTCAATCTCCTGACATCATGGTCCACTCGCCTCAACCTCCCAAAGTGCTGGGATTACAGGAGTGAGCCACCGCACCTGGCCTTTTTTTTTTTTTTTTTTTTTTTACAGGGTCTCCCTCTGTTGCCCAGGCTGGATTGCAGTGGCGCCATCTCGGCTCACCGCACCCTCCACTGCCCGGATCTAATCCATCTTCCCACCTCACCCTCCCGGATAGCTGGGATTACAAGTATGCGCCACCACGTCTGGCTAATTTCTTTGTATTTTTAGTAAGACAGATTCTGCCATGTTGGTCAGGCTGGTCTTGAATTCCTGGCCTCAAGTCATTGGCTGCCTTAACCTCCCAAAGTGCTAGGATTACAGATGCGAGCCACCATGCCAGGCCTCAGGGGACCTTTGTATTTTAACTTTTTTTTTTTTTTTTTGAGCTGGAGTCTCGCTTCGTTGCCCAGGCTGGGGTGCAGTGGCAAGATCTCGGTTCACTGCAACCTCCACCTCCATGATTCGCCCACCTCGGCCTCCCAAAGTGCAGGGATTATAGGCATGAGCCACAGCACCTGACCTGAAATTTCTGTTTTTTTTTTTTTTTTTTGAGACAGAGTTCTGCTCTGTCGCCCAGGCTGGAGTGCAGTGGCGCAATCTCGGCTCACTGCAACCTCCGCCTCCCCGGTTCAAGTGATTCTCCTGCTTCAGCCTCCAGAGTAGCTGGGATTACAGGCACTCACAACCACGCGCAGCTAATTGTTTTTGTATCTTTAGTAGAGACAGGGTTTCACCATGTTGGCCAGGCTGGTTTCAAACTCCTGACCTTAGGTGATCCACCCACTTCGGCCTCCCAAAGTTCTGGGATTACAGGTGTGAGCCACCAAGCCTGGCCAATGACTGAAATTTCTTTTTGTTTTTTTTTGAGATGGAGTTTTGCTCTTGTTGCCCAGGCTGGAGTGCAATGGTGCAGTCTCGGCTCACTGCAACCTCCGCCTCTGGGGTTCAAGTGATTCTCACTGCCTCAGCCTGGTGAGTAGCTGGGATTACAGGTGCCTGCCACCACGCCCAGCTAATGTTTGTATTTTTAGTAGAGATGGGATTTCACCATGTTGGTCAGGCTGGTCTCGAATTCTTGACCTCAGGTGATCCACCCACCTCAGCCTCCCAAAGTGCTGGGATTGCAGGTGTGAGCCACCGTGCCCGGCCTGAAATTTCTTTAACACAGAACAAAGTCTTACTGTCTACATTGAGAAGTACATTAAGCCTAGTGGAAAAAGTATCACGTAAATTCACTCCAAGATGTAATGAGAATGTTAAGGGAAACTGGTTGCCTGAAAGAGGTAGGAGATGTTTTAAAAATTAACAAAAGTCAGCCGGGAATGGTGGCTCACGCCTGTAATACCAGCACTGTGGGAGGCTAAGGCGGGTGAATCACCTGAGGTCAGGAGGTCAAGACCAGCCAGGCCAACATAGTGAAACCTCATCTCTACTAAAAATACAAAAAATTAGCTGGGTGTGGTGGCGGGTGCCTGTAATCCCAGCCACTAGGGAGACTGAGGCAGGAGAATCTCTTGAACCCGGGAGGCAGAGGTTGCAGTGAGCCAAGATTGTGCCATTGCACACCAGCCTGGGCAACAAGAGCAAAACTCCGTCTCAAAAAAAAAAAAAAAAAAAAATTAACAAAAGTCAGAGGTTCAGAAAAGAGAACACGATTATCAAACACAAACTTGGCTTACTTCAAAATTAATTTTGTCCTGCACTGTCTCTGGCTAGAGCATCTTAAAAAAGGACAGAAAATCCCAGATTTATCAAGAAATAGCTTGGGCAAGAAGCAACCTTAAGTGCATAAAAGCCCAGCTTTTAAATTTTATAAATCTGTCATTTAAACCTGGTAAAATATTATATTGAATTTTCCTCTCTTCACTGGGAAATGTATGTGTCCTGGATACTTTCTCTACTTCCTAATTGTCTCCCTAGCTTTATTTTATTTTATTTTATTTTATTATTTCATGGGATTTAGAGGAAGTCACATGGGGCCCATTAACTATGTGTTCATCCTCCTGGAAATCCCCGAACCTCATGCCAATAACCAGAATGGAGCTTTCTCAATGCACCCATTCAGTGCATTAAAGAGAGGATTTAGGCCAGTCGTGGTGGCTCAGGCCTGTAATCCCAGCACTTTGGGAGGCCAAGGTAGGTGGATCACCTGAGGTCGGGAGTTCGAGACCAGCCTGACCAACATGGAGAAACCTTGTCTCTAGTAAAAATACAAAATTAGCTGGGCGTGGTGGCGCATGCCTGTAATCCCAGCTACTCAGGAGGCTGAGGCAGGAGAATTGCTTGAACCCGGGAGGCAGAGGTTGCAGTGAGCCGAGATCGCACCATTGCACTCCTGCCTAGGTAACAAGAGCGAAACTGCATCTCAAAATAAATAAATAAATAAAGAGGATTTTATGTAACAATTGAGACCGTATTCCACTTAATATATAATATGAATGCAGTGACCAGCCTTGCAGAATTTTTAAGAACATTTAATTTTCTTATATCAAATCCTATTGCTTCATAATTACATCCCAAAGTTTGGTTTCAAAACGGTGGTCACGGTGAAATGGAAGATATACATTCTCTTACTCGAAAGCACTGGCACATGTGGACTGAATAGGCATGTTGATCCCACCAACGGTGCAGTGTTTGTTCTCTTCAAAGGGATCTCAGGGCTTCAGAACAACTCCCACTGTTGTTGCCCTTCAGATAAAGATTTAAAGAATATCGGCCGGGCGCGGTGGCTCAAGCCTGTAATCCCAGCACTTTGGGAGGCCAAGGCGGGCAGATCACCTGAGGTCAGGAGTTCGAGACCAGCCTCAACATTGAGAAACTCCATCTCTACTAAAAATACAAAGTGAGCTGGCTGTGGTGGTGCATGCCTGTAATCCCAGCTACTCGGGAGGCTGAGGCAGGAGAATTGCTTGAACCTGGGAGGCAGAGGTTGCGGTGAGCCGAGATCGCGCCATTGCACTCCAGCCTGGGCAACAAGAGTGAAACTCTGTCTCAAAATAAATAAATAAATAAATAAAAGATTTAAAGATCATCCTCTGAATACCAACAAATTTCTTTTAATCTCAAATCCCGCAAATGTGTTCTCAGCTTTAGTTTTAGTTGAGAAGTGGATCTGTTAAGGACCCTTTAAGCTGCTCTTTCTCCAAGTCAAACATGCATAGAGAAAAAGCACAGCCTTCACACACTCTGATCTACAAAGAGTTAACATCTTAAAAGCTAAACAGAACTGGATTAGCTCCTCTTTTAACAAGCCAGAAGGACAAGCTTATTGGAACCTAGAGTACTAAAGGACACCAGAACATTGAGAGAAAAGAATTAGCGACAGCTATCTGGAGCAAGCAAGAACTGTAAGTTTCTATCTGATGCATATTTATAGTTTCCTATGTCTTCCCTAGGGGTGTTTTTGAGAAGAATGAAATAAGTTTATTCTTTTTTTTTTTTTTTTTTTTGAGACAGAGTCTTACTCTGTCGCCCAGGCTGGAGTGCACCGGCACTATCTCTGCTCACTGCAACCTCTGCCTCCCAGGTTCAAGCGATTCTCCTGCCTCAGCCTCCCAAGTAGCTGGGGACTACAGGCATGCGCCACCATTGCCCGGCTAATTTTTGTGTTTTTAGTAGAGACGGGGTTTCACCATGTTTGCCAGGCTGGTCTTGAACTCCTGACCTCAGGTGATTCACCCGCCTCGGCCTCCCAAAGTGCTGGGATTACTGGCATGAGCCACCGCGCCTGGCCTGGTTTATTCATTTTCTATTGTACCACCAGTCTCCCAGGCATCCAGCACAACATTACCAAGTCATCTTTAATCCTGTCACCCTCTTAACTCTATCTCACGTCCAACCAGTTGTCACATCTTTTGATTCTCCTTCCTCAGTGTCTTCATGATCCATCCTATTCTTCCATCCCCCACCCCCCTCCTTCCCTAGTTCAAGACTTCTTGCCTGAACTATAGCAATATCCTCTTAACACTGTTCTCTCCCCAATTTCCAAATCACTAATAGTAGATGAATCTTCCTAATGCTCTTCCATAGCTCTAATTATATTGCTCTTTTGCTCAGAAATGTATCCACTATCTGCAGAATGAATAAAACTCCTTTTCAAATTAATTAATTTTTAATTGACAATTTGAAATTGTATATATTTATTGTGTAAAATTTGTTGCTTTGAAATATATATATAGAGAGAGTGGAAAATGGCTACCTTGGGCTTTTCTTTTTTTTTTTTTTGAGACAGAATCTCTCTCTCTCGTGAGGCTGGAGTGCAGTGGCTCAATCTCGGCTCACTGCAACCTCTGCCTCCTGGGTTCAAACAATTCTCCTGCCTCAACCTCCCGAGTAGCTGGGACTACAGGTGCGCACCACCATGCCCAGCTAATTTTTGCATTTTTAGTAGAGACAGGGTTTTACCATGTTGGCCACGGCCAGGATGGTCTTGATCTCTTGATCTTGTGATCTGCCCGCCTTGGCCTCCCAAAGTGCTGGGATTACGGGCGTGAGCCACCACACCTGCCCAATCTTGGGCTAATTAAAATATGTATTACCTCATATGCTCATCAATTTTTTGTGTTTGATGAGAACACTTAAAAATCTACTCTTGGCCCAGGCGTGTTGGCTCACACCTGTAATCTCAGCATTTTGGGAGGCTGAGGCGGGTGGATCACTTGAGATCAGGAGTTCAAGACCAGTCTGGCCAACATGGCAAAACCCTGTCTCTACTAAGAATAGAAAAATTAGCTGGGCGTGGCGGCTTGCGCCTGTAATTGCAGCTGCCTGGGGGGCTGAGACATGAGAATTGCTTGAACC
This sequence comes from Homo sapiens, assembly GCF_000001405.40. NCBI lineage: Eukaryota > Metazoa > Chordata > Mammalia > Primates > Hominidae > Homo > Homo sapiens. The sequence goes on from NC_000014.9 coordinate 21,281,613, forward strand.
CTGGAGGCAGAGGTTGCAGTGAGGCGAGAGCATACCGCTGTACTCCAGCCTGGGCAACAGAGTGAGACCTTGTCTCAAAAAAAAAAAAAATAAATAATAATAATAATAATAATAATAATAATAATCAGAGTAAGGGGAACTGGCTACAAAATTTTAAATGCTTGCCCAGTGATACAGAGTGTAAAAAAGAAAAAAAAGAAGTCTGGGCAGGGTGGCTCATGCCTGTAATCCCAGCACGTTGGGAGACCGAGGCTGGCGGATCCCAAGGTCCGGAGTTCGAGACCAGCCTGGCCAAAATTGTGAAATCTTGTCTCTACTAAAAAATACAAAAAATTAGCTGGGCATGGTGGCAGGTGCCTGTAATCCCAGCTACTCTGGAGGCTGAGACAGGAGAATCGCTTGAACCCGGGAAGCGGAGGTTGCAGTAAACTGAGATTGCAACATTGCACTCCAGCCCAGGCAACAATGTGATACTCTGTCTCGAAAAAAGAGGAAAAGAAAATTTTAATTGCTGATGTCATCAAGCTGGCTTTATACGTCTATCCATCTATCACTAGTAAAGGGTTCTTCACCCTCACTAACCTATACTTGTCCAAGTGCACTGCAATTCTGAATATCACTGCAAGGAAATTTTTTTTTTTTTAAGACGGAGTCTTGCTCTGTCACCCGGCTGGAGTGCAGTGGCGTGATCTCACCTCACTGCAATCTCTGCCTCCCAGGTTCAAGCAATTCCCCTGCCTCAGCCTCCTGAGTACCTGGGACTACAGGCACGCACCACCATGCCTGGCTAATTTTTTTGTATTTTAGTAGAGACGGGGTTTCACTATGTTGACCAGGATGGTCTCGATCTCCTGACCTCATGATCAGCCCGCCTCAGCCTCCCATAGTGCTGGGATTACAGGCGTGAGCCACCACGCCGGGTGGAAGTTTCTTCAGTCTTTCATCCTGTTGAGTTCAAAACAATTGATAAACCCTTTTAGAATCTACATTCCATTTTTTTTTTTTTTTTTTTTTTGAGACAGAGTCTCGCTCTGTCTCCCAGGCTGGAGTGCAGTGGCGTGATCTCGGCTCACAGCAAGCTCCGCCTCCCAGGTTCACGCCATTCTCCTGCCTCAGCCTCCCCAGTAGCTGGGACTACAGGCGCGTGCCACCACACCCGGCTAATTTTTTGTATTTTGTAGTAGAGATGGAGTTTCACCACGTTAGCCAGGATAGTCTTGATCTCCTGACCTTGTGATCCACCCATCTCGGCCTCCCAAAGTGCTGGGATTACAGGCGTGAGCCACTGTGCCCGGCCTACATTCCACTTTTTCATTCCTGAGAAATTAAATCTGGCCACTGGATGTTCAACACGCCTTCACTGACAGTCTCAACTGGCTTTTCTTCTCTAGCATTCCAATAAACTCCATTTCATTCTTAGAGCTTCTGTGACTTCAGTTTTAATGATACTTTTCAATTGCTCCATAGTGCCATATAGCATTGGTGGTGCGTCAATGTGCTCTGGGCCCAGATATTAAGAACAACAGCATCCCTTCTACTACAGCTCCATTTTTGCAAATGGCTTCAGGTCCAGAGGACCAAGCTTATGATGCAGTCACCTTTCCTTTTCCTTCACATTACTTTTCTACAGTAGGAAACTAGGAAGGTGGGTGACTAAGTAAACCTGTAGATGCTACTCTATTTATTTTATTTATTATTATTATTTTTTGAGAAGCTGTCTCACACTGTCGCCCAGGCTGGAGTGCAATGGTGTAATCTTGGCTCACTGCAATCTCCGCCTCCTGTGCTCAAGCGATTCTCCTGCTTCAGCCTCCAGAGCAGCTGGGACTACAGGCATGAGCCACTACACCCAGCTAATTTTTGTATTTTTAGTAGAAATGGGGTTTCGCCATGTTAGCCAGGCTGGTCTCAAACTCCTGACCTTGTGATCTGCCCGCCTCGGCCTCCCAAAGTGCTGGGATTACAGGCATGAGCCACTGTGCCCAGCCCCTATATATGGTACTTCAAATGGAGATTTACTTGTAAACTAAATGCAGATTTACTTTTTTTTTTTTTTTAGACAGAGTCTCACTCTGCTTTGCCCAGGCTGGAGTGGAGTGCAGTGGCACGATCTTGGCTCACTGCAATCTCCACCTGCCGGGTTGAAGCGATTCTCCTGCCTCAGCCTCCCGAGTAGCCGGATTACAGGCGCCTGTCACCATGCCCAGCTAACTTTTGTCATGTGGCTGGGCTAGTCTCGAACTCCTGGCCGCAGGTGATCCATCCGCCTCAGCCTCCCAAAGTGTTGGGATTATAAACGTGAGCCACCGTGCCTGGCCTGAGATTTACTTGTAATCCTAGGTCTAACATGCGAAAGTACTTAAACTTTGGGGTGATTATTCAGCTTTCTTAAAATAGGCATGCTATGAAATCTGTATAGATCTATTTAAGACTATGACATTGGAAAGATGCTCTCCATTTATTGTGATTTTTAAAAATGAAATGTTACAGAACAGAGTATGAATTATCCAATTCAAGTTAAATTGCCCGGAAAGCAGATCAATACAATGTTTACATTTTCTCTAGGTGATAGAATTTCTCCATTATACTTTTTGCTTTCTTCTTTATATTTCTCTGTTTGTTCAAAATAAGCTTCTGAACACCCTTCTCCAGTTGACAAGTCAAGCTAGCTTCAACAAAAAGGGAGAATTTGTTGTATAGGGCACAAGACTCTACTATAGAACCTAAAGGTAGGAACAGAGCCAGACAGTGGCATTTATGGAAATAGGGAAAGACTGGGAAACAATCAGACTGGTAAGAGAAATTACAATTCCTCTTTGGGAAAGGTGAGTTTCAGTTGTCTAGTATGTTTACTAGGGGAAACATTTGAAAGGGGAAATGTTTAAAAAGAATTTGTACAAATCTGAAAGTCAAGGCTGGAGAACTAAATTTTTTTTTTTTTTTTTTTTGAAGATGGAATCTCTCTCTTGTCACCCAGGCTGGAGTACAGTGGCACGATCTCTGCTCACTGCATCCTCCGCCTCCCGGGTTCAAACTATTCTCCTGCTTTAGACTCCTGAGTAACTGGGATCACTCTGTCGTGGCACATGTCACCGCGCCCAGCAAATTTTTGTATGTTTAGTAGAGACAGGGTTTCACCATGTTGGCCAAGCTGGTCTTGAACTCCTGACCTCAGATGATTTGCCCGCCTCAGCCTCCCAAAGTACTGCGAATACAGGCGTGAACCACTGCTCCCAGCTGAGACATAAATTTTGGAGACAAAACTGGAAAAGACTGGAATCAAGAACAGAATGCTTTAAGAACTTTTTGACTCACTTCAGTCCCTCAGTGTCATTCTCTCTCTTGTTCGTTCATTCTACTTTTCATACATTCGGTGTTTATTTGTTGAGTACCTGCTATGTGCCAATAACTGTTCGGGTACTGCATCTATAGAGGTAAACAAGATAAACCATTTTTCTGCCTTCAAAGTCACTATGTTTTAGTGAGAGGGGACAGACAATAAACTAGTATAAATAAATGAAGGTAGTTTCTGTGTATAGTAAATGTCACAAGGGAAATAAACAGGGTGAGGTGACAGAGTATAAGACTGGTAAGAGAAGGGGAAGTGCTCAGTTCAGCTACCAAAGTCAGAGAAAGGCCTCCTGGCAAATGAAAAGATGCTTGAGAGACCAAAGGATCAGATGGAGTCAGCCAAATAAAGAGCAAGAAGGAGGCCAGGTGCAGTGGCTCAAGCCTGTAATCCCAGCACTTTGGGAGGCCAAGGCAGGCAGATCACAAGATCAGGAGATCAAGACCATCTTGGCTAACATGGTGAGACCCCGTCTCTACTAAAAACACAAAAAATTAGCCGGGCATGGTGGCACGTGCCTGTAGTCCGAGCTACTCAGGAGGCTGAGGCAGGAGAATCACTTGAACTCGGGAGGTGGAGGTTACAGTGAGCTGAGATCGCGCCACTGCACTCCAGCCTGGGTGACAGAGTGAGACTCCATCTCCAAAAAAAAAAAAAAGAGCAAGAAAGAGCTTGATGGTTGGGAGAGCAAAGAGAGGGCAAGTGGTGAGGAGTGTTGTGAGCTAGAGGAAGGAAGGTACAAGGTGTGATTGGAGGAATAAGAAGCGGATCAGCTGAGGTTGGGCTTTACAGGCCCTGGAAAAAAAGTGTAAATTTTACTTTAAGTGTAATGAAAAGCCATTTGGAGACTTTTGGCAAAGAAATGTTATGAACTGGGTTGTTTTATACAGGTCACTCTGGGTGTTTCAGGCAGAAATAAGGGAGGATGGGAGAGGAAAATGGGGAGAGCATTAAAAAATGTGGTAGTTGAGGAAAGAGACACAGATCACTTGAATTTTAGTGGCGGAGACAGGCTAATATATGTTGTTTTTGTCTGTGTTTGTTTTTTAGACAGTTTTGCTCTTGTTGCCCAGGCTGGAGTGCAATGGCACAATTTCAGCTCACTGCAACCTCCGCCTTCCAGGTTCAAGCAATTCTCCTGCCTCAGCCTCCTGAGTAGCTGCGATTAAAGGCACCCGCCACCACGCCCGGCTAATTTTTTGTATTTTTAGTGGAGACAGGGTTTCACCATGTTGGCCAGGCTGGTCTTGAACTCCTGACCTCGGGCGATCCGCCCGCCTCAACCTCCCAAAGTGCCGGGGTTACAGGCATGAGCCACTGCACCTGGCTGATACATGTTTTAAAGGAAGAACCTGGAGAACATGCTAATGGGTGAGGGAAAGGGAGGAATCAAAGCTGCAGGATTGGTAGGACGGTAGTGGCATTTATGGACCTAGGGAAAGACTGGGAAAAGATGAGACTGGTAAGATAAATCAAAATTCCTGTTGGGGAAAAGTGAATTTGAGATATCTAGTAGCCATGCCAAGAGAAATGTTTAAAAAAATAAGAAATTGGGCTGGCTGCGGTCTGATGCCTGTAATCCCAGCACTTTGGGAGGCTGAGGCAGGCAGATCACCTGAGGCCAGGAGTTCAAGACCAGCCTGAGCAACACAGTGAAACCCCATCTCTACTAAAATTACAAATATTAGCCAGGCATGGTGGCACATGCCTGTAATCTCAGCTACTTGGGAGGCTGAGGCAGGAGAATTGCTTGAACCCAGCAGGTGGAGGTTGTGGTGAGCTGAGATTACACCACTGCACTCCAGCCTGGATGACAAAGCAAAAAACAGAAAACAAAATTGTACAAATCTGAAGCTGGAGACAAAAATTTTGGAGACAAAAGCATATACATACATAGTATTTAAAGTCAGGAGACTGGGCCTGGCACGGTGGCTCATGCCTTTAATCCTAGCACTTTGGGAGGCAGAGGCTGGAAGGTCGCTTAAGCCTAGGTGGAGGCTGCAGTGAAACGTGGTTGTGCCATTGTACTCCAGCCTGGGGGACAGAATAAGACCCTGCCAAAAGAAAAAAAAAAGAGGAAAGAAAGAGAGGAAGGAAGGAAGGAAGGAAAGAAAAGAAAAAGAAGAAAAGAAAGAGATGAAAAAAAGAGAAAGAGGCCAGGTGTGGTGGCTCACGCCTGTAATCCCAACACTTTGGGAGGCCGAGGCGGGCAGATCACCTAAAGTCAGGAGTCCAAGACCAGTTTTGCCAACATGGCAAAACCCTATCTCTACCAAAAATACAAAAATTAGCCGGGTGCAGTAGTGGGTGCCTGTAATCCCGGCTAGACTGGATACTATCATCCAGGAAAAAAAGTGTTGGCCAGAGTATGAGGCAACTCTATAGACAGGATTTCCTGATTATTCAGGCCACAGAGCTGAATATGGTCATTTCAGAGCTCCCAAGTTTACATAGTAGTTCTAGCCATCCCCAGAGGCTAATTTAAACTTCTCAGTTTTATTTTCAACCTCCTAGGAGATAGAATCTGATTGGTTCAGCGAGGGTCATTTGTCTTGGGTCATTCGATTAACCCTGGTCCAATCAGCAATGGCTTCGGGGACTGGATTGTAGGCTATAAACTGATTCCTGGGGAGTCAGTCCCTGTAAATTGAGTGGAGAGAGGGATAGAGGCCTATTTCGCAGAGAAAAGGGATGGTCATCGGCTTCCAGGCTGAGCAGACACTTAAAAAAATGATCCGAAATGATATCCATCAATTCCATAATCATAAAAACTGATTTTCATTTTGGATCAAGTCATTCCTACTGAATACTTGTTGTTACTCTTTAGTGTAGAGTTGTCCACACTACCATGAGAATGACTCTGACATGTCATATACCATCATGAAAGTGCTGAGAAATTCCTGCTACAACTTATGTACACGTTTCAGAAGACATCCTAAAGTTGCATGTAACTGACTGGACTTTTCCTTTATTTCAGTGTCCTCTGGGATCTCTTACAGCTTGGGAACAGAGATCATGTCACATCTGGTGGACCCTACATCAGGAGACTTGCCAGTTAGAGACATAGATGCTATACCTCTGGTGCTACCAGCCTCAAAAGGTAACTTCTACGCCTGAGGATGGACACCTTTTAGAATTAAAAGAACTCTCACTGTGGAACATCTTGCTGGCCTTCACAGAGACTGATTTACTTTCAGCTCTTTTCTTCAGTCTTCTCACTTTTTTTTTTTTTTTTTTGAGATGGAGTCTCGCTCTGTCACCCAGGCTGGAGCACAGTGGCACAATCTCAGCTCACTGCAGCCTCCGACTCCTGGGTTCAAGCAATTCTCCTGTCTTAGCCTCCCAAGTAGCAGGGATTACAGGCGTGCACCACCATGCCTGGCTAGTTTTGGGATTTTTAGTAGAGACAAGTTTTCACCATGATGGCCAGGCTGGTCTCAAATTCCTGACCTCAAGGGATCTGCCCTCCTCGGGCTCCCAAAGGGCTGGTATTACAGGTGTGAGCCACTGTGCCTGGCCCTCTTCTCACATTTTATTCTTAAGTTCTTTTTTTTTTTCTTTTTTTTGAGATGGAGTTTCACTCTCTCTCGTCCCCCAGGCTGGAGTGCAGTGGCCCAATCTTGGCTCACTGCAACCTATGCCTCCCGGGTTCAAGCAGTTCTCCTACCTCAGACTCCTGAGTAGCTGGGACTACAGGTGGCCACCACCACGCTTGGCTAATTTGGTATTTTTAGTACAGATGGGGTTTCACCATGTTGGCCAGGCTGATCTCGAACTCCTGACCTCAAGTGATCCGCCTGCCTCGGTCTCCCAACGTGCTGGATTACAGGCGTGAGCCACCGTGCCCAGACTTAGTCTTAAATTCTTACAGTAAAAGTATTACTGTGTGGGTTTAGGAGGTAAAGCTAAATACTACCACCACAAACAGCACAACAAAAGCCAAGAACAACTAGTGGGTTTCACTCATCTATCCTTGTGATTAGCCCTTAGCCCTTCACTGTCACTAAGCAGAAGTGTTCAATTTAAGATGAAAGGGCTCAGCCCTACCAGAGCTTCTTCCACACATTATTTAAGATATCTTTAGGGCTGGGCGCAGTGGCTCATGCCTGTAATCCCAGCATTTTGGGAGGCCGAGACGGGCAGATCACGAAGTCAGGAGATCGAGACCATCCTGGCTAACATGGTGAAACCCCGTCTCTACTAAAAATACAAAAAAATTAGCTGGGCGTTGTGGCGGGCGCCTGTAGTCCCAGCTACTCAGGAGGCTGAGGCAAGAGAATGGTGTGAACTCAGGAAGTGGAGCTTGCAGTGAGCCGAGATCGCACCACTGCACTCCAGCCTAGGCGACAGAGCGAGACTCCATACCACCCCCCTCCCCCAAAAAACCATATTTTTCTAACTTTGGCCAGGCTTGGTGGCTCACACCTGCACCAGCTACTCGAGGCTGAGGTGGGAGGATCACTTGAGCCCGGGAGTCCAAGATCAGTCTGGGCAACATAGCAGTACCCTATCTCTAAAACAACAAAAAAAGGTATTTTTGTAATTTTGCTCCACTTTCCCATCCCTCAATCCCAATCATGGCTACCGTTGATTCTATTTTCACTTGACTTCACTTCTATAAAATTATTTTTTGAGGATAGGGCACTTTATGCACTGCCCATAAGTGTATAAATGATGCAACCACTTTGGAAAATATTTGCCATTATCTAGTAAAGTTGAACGTGTAACTCTACTTTTGAGTATAAAATTGGCAGAAATTGCCTGGGCATAGTGGCTCACGCCTGTAATCCCAGCACCTTGGGAGGCCGAGGCAGGTGGATCACCTGGTCGGGAGTTAAAAATTTGCAGAAATTAACTCTTGCCCATATATACCAGGAGACATTACCAGAATGTTCATAGCAGTATTTTTTTTTGAGACAGATTCTTGCTTTGTCACCTAGGCTGGAGTGCAGTGGCGTGATCTCAGCTCACTGCAACCTCTGCCTCCCGGGTTCAAGTGATTCTCCTGCCTCAGCCACCCAAGTAGCTGGGATTACAGGCACCTGCCACCACACCTGGCTAATTTTTATATTTTTAGTAGAGATGGGGTTTCACCATGCTGGCCGGACTGGTCTCCAACTCCTGGCTTCAAGTCATCTGTCTGCCTCGGCCTCCCAAAGTGCTGGGATTACAGGCAGAAGCCACCACACCTGGCCCCTGTTTTTATTTCTCCTGGGCACAAATCTAGATGTAGAATTGCTGGGTCATACGGTAACACTAGTTTAACATTTTGAGGAACTGCCAGGCTATTTTCCAAAGCAGTGGCACCATTTTACATTCCTACCAGCAACGTATGATGCTTCTGATTTCTTCACTTTCTCAGCAACACTTGTTATTGTTTGTAACTGAGGTGTTATCTCATTGTATTTTTAAAAAAATATATTCTTTCTTGGCTGGGCAAAGTGGTTCACGCCTGTAATCCCATCACCTTGGGAGGCCAATGCAGGTGGATCACCTGAGGTCAGGAGTTCAAGACTAGCCTGGTCAGAACAGTGAAAACCCATCTATTCTAAAAATAGAAAAAGTTAAGGCCGGGCACGGTGGCTCATGCCTGTAGTCCCAGCACTTTGGGAGGCCGAGGCGGGTGGATCACGAGGTCAGGAGATCGAGACCATCCTTCCTGGCTAACACAGTGAAACCTCGTCTCTACTAAAAAATACAAAAAAAAATTAGCCAGGCCTGGTGGCGGGCGCCTGTATTCCCAGCTACGTGGGAGGCTGAGGCAGGAGAATGGCGTGAACCCGGGAGGCGGTGCTTGCAGTGAGCCGAGATCGCGCCACTGCACTCAAGCCTGGGCGACAGAGTGAGACTCCGTCTCAAAAAAAAAAAAAAGGAAAGAAAGAAAGAAAAAGTTAGCTGGGCCAGGTGGTGCACACCTGTAGTCCCAGTATTTGGGAGGCTGAGGCATGAGAAAAACTTGAACCCAGGAGGCATAGGTTGCAGTGAGCCGAGATGGTGCCACTGCACTCCAGCCTGGGTGACAGAGCGAGACTCCATCTCAAAAAAAAAAAAAAAAGGATTCTTTCTCGTTATGGTTTTGATTTGCATTTCTCTGATGAATAATCACACTGACCATTTTTCATATGCTTATTTGCCATTTGTATATCTACTTGGGAGAAATGTCTATTCAGGTCCTTTGCCAATTTTCTTTTTAATTCAGGGGCCAGTTTTGCCAATTTTTAAATTGGATTATTTGTCTTTATATTGTTGGTTTTAAGAGTTCTTTGTATATTTTGGACACAGTTGAGAATTTTGTGCTTCTGAAAGCTTTAACTGTTCCACAAAGTCCATGAAACATGAACTGACTGAGATAATTTTTCAAGTTAGAAGAGTCATAGTGATAGGAAACCGTTGTTCAGGAACTACCTACCTGGAGTTCCAGTCAGTTTGGAAGCCACCCACATATCCAAAAAGCTAAAAGAATTCAATATTTTTCTTCAGTATCATAAAAGAAAAATAGAAGATGAGAAAGGGGAATATTTACAAGTTTATTTTATGAAAAAATAAGCTTTTTTAGGTTTCATTACAAACATGTCCAATTTCACTTCTGTCATTTATGAAATAACTAAAAGTAGATGAAGTACCTTTTTTTTTTTTTGAGACAGGGTCTTGTTCTGTCACCCAAGCTGGAGTGCAGTGGTGCGATCTTGGCTTACTGCAACCTCTGCCTCCCAAGGCTCAAGCGATCCTCCAGCCTCAGCCTTCCAAGTAGCTAGGACTACAGGTGCACACCACCATGCCCAGATAATTTTTGTTTTCTGTTTTTTGTTTTTTGTTGAGATGGAGTCTCGCTTTTGTTGCCCAGGCTGGAGGCAACGGTGCGATCTTGGCCCACTGCAACCTCCACCTCCCAGATTCAAGCAATTCTCCTGCCTCAGCCTCCCGAGTAGCTGGGATTACAGGCACGTGTCACCACACCCAACTAATGTTTGTATTTTTAGTAGAGACGGGGTTTCACCATGTTGGTCACGCTGGTCTCAAACTCCTGACCTCGTGATCCTCCGGCCTCAGCCTCCCAAAGTGCTGGGATGACAGGCATGAGCCACTGCACCCAGCCAATTTTTATATTTTTTGTAGAGAGGGATTTCACTGTGTTGCCCAGGCTGGTCTCAAACTCCTGAACTCAAGCTGTCTGCCCACCATGGCCTTCCAAAGTGTTGATATCACAGGCATGAGCCACCGCGTCTGGCCTAAATATTTGTCATATATAAATATTTTTATAAAGGCATATGGTCATGTTATAATTTTCTTCCTAGTGACCTTACCTTCCTAGTTGACCTAGCAACATTATTTTGCAGGTTCTTTGGTTGGGAAGTTGTATTTTTTTTTTTCATTCTAAGCACCTCAGAAACACTGTTTTCGGAGAAAAAAAAATTTTGATGTCACAAATAGATAAAACCACATTAAGGGAATATTTTTATAGCATATATTCAAAAATTAATCTAGCCAGTGACTCATGCCTGTAATCTCAGCACATTGGGAGGCCAAGGCAGGAGGATCACTTGAGCCCAGCCTGGGCAACATGGTGAGACCTTGTCACTATAAAAAATTTAAAAATTGGCCAGGCATGGTGGCTTATGCCTGTAATCCCAGCACTTTGGGAGGCTGAGGCAGGCGGATCACCTGAGGTCAGAAGTTTGAGACCAGCCTGGCCAACATGGTGAAACCTCATTTCTACTAAAAATACAAAAATTAGCTGGCTGTGGTGGCCCATGCCTGTAATCCCAGCCATTCGAGAGGCTGAGACACAAGGATTGCTTGAACCTGGGAGACAGGGAGACGGAGGTTGCAGTGAGCCAAGACAGCACCACTACACTCCAGCCTGGGCAACAGTGAGAGACTCTGTGTCAAAAAAATAATAATTAGCCGGGCGCAGTGGCTCACGCCTGTAATCCCAGCACTTTGGGAGGCCGAGGCGGGTGGATCACGAGGTCAAGAGATGGAGACCATCCTGGCCAACATGGTGAAACCCCATCTCTACTAAAAATACAAAAAATTAGCCAGGTGTGGTGGCAGGTGCCTGTAATCTCAGCTACTTGGGAGGCTGAGGCAGGAGAATTGCTTGAACCTGGGAGGCAGAGGTTGCAGTGAGCCGAGATCGCACCATTGCACTCCAGCCTGGGCAAAAAGAGCGAAACTCTGTCTCAATAAATAAGTAAATAAACGCAAAAAAATAAAAAATATGGTTCCCATTCACCATGAGATCAGAGCAGACCTGGGCCAGTGAACACTCACAATGAAAAGTGTGCTCCAGTTTCCTCTGCTTAGACCAAGCAGAGGCTCTTGTCCTAGGAGGCAGCTTTGGGGACAGTTTCTCCTGACCAAAAAAACAAACGAGATGGTTCTTGGAAATCAAAAAAAGTTTTTATCCTTTTCCTTACTGGGTTTTTGAAGACAGTCATGGGAACAATCCTTGTGTAGGTCCAAATTATCTAATAAGGAGAAAAAAATAGAAGAATAGGCTGGGCATGGTGGCTCATGCCTGTAATCCCAGCACTTTGGGAGGCCGAGGCAGGTGGATCACCTGAGGTCAGGAGTTGGAGACTAGCCTGGCCAACATGGTGAAACCCTGTCTCTACTAAAAATACAAAAATTAAGCTGGGCACGGTGGCTCACACCTGTAATCCCAGCACTTTGGGAGGCCGAAGCGGGTGGATCACAAGGTCAAGAGATCGAGACCATCCTGGCTAACATGGAGAAACCCCGTCTCTACTAAAAATACAAAAAAATTAGCCAGGTGTGGTGGCTGGCGCCTATAGTCCCAGGTACTCGGGAGGCTGAGGCAGGAGAATGGTGTGGACCTGGGAAGCGGAGCTTGCAGTGAGCCGAGATGGCGCCACTGCACTCCAGCCTGGGCGAGAGTGCGAGACTCCGTCTCTTAAAAAAAAAAAAAATGGAAGAAATTAGCTGGGTGTGGTGGCAGGCACCTGCAATCCCAGCTACTCTGGAGGCTGAGGCAGGAGAATCACTTGAACCTGGGAGGTGGAGGTTGCAGTGAGCCAAGATCACACCAGTGTACTCTAGACTGGGTGACAGAGCGAGACCCTGTCTCAAAAAAAAAAAAAAAAAAAGAAGAAGAAGAAACTAAAAAGAAAAATTAAGTAAAATAAAAGCCTAATTGGATATTTTTATCTAGAGAATGTACTTTCTAGACGGAAGGTCGAGTTATACCTCATGCTGTGATAATATAGAAAGGGTCTCCAGGGACCCAGTAGGAGTCATTTCTGTTTTTGTTTTTTTTTTTTTCCAAGGCAGAGTCTTGCTCTGTCACCCAGGGTGGAGTACAGTGGCACGATCTCGGCTCATGGCAACCTCTGCCTCCCAGGCTCAAGCAATTCTCCTGCCTCAGCCTCCTGAGTAGCTGGGATTACAGGCACGTGCCACCACGCCCAGCTAATTTTGTATTTTTAGTAGAGACCGGGTTTCACCATGTTGGTCAGGCTGGACTCGAACTCCTGACCTCACAATCTGCCTGCCTCAGCTTCCCAAAGTGCTGGGATTACAGGTGTGAGCCACTGCGCCTGGCCCAGAGTCATTTCTCATACTTCCTGATTTCCTCATAAATACTTGACTCAAGATAGATTTATGCTCTCTGGACAAGATGTGATGAGACATCTAAAGGGTTCAAAAAATAGGTGTAAAAATACTGTCCATTTACTGTTTTCTGGGACTTTAGGTAAGAATATGAAAACTCAACCACCCTTGAGCAGGATGAACCGGGAGGAATTGGAGGACAGTTTCTTTCGACTTCGCGAAGATCACATGTTGGTGAAGGAGCTTTCTTGGAAGCAACAGGATGAGATCAAAAGGTACTTAGAGTTCTCCTTAAATTTTTTTTTTTTTTTTTTTTTTTTTTTTTTTTGAGACGGAGCCTTGCTCTGTTGCCCAGGCTGGAATGCAGTGGCATGATCTTGGCTCACTGCAACCTCCGCCTCCAGATTCAAGCAATTCTCCTGCCCCAGCCTCCCAAGTAGCTGGGATTATAGGCATGCGTCACCATGCCCAGCTAATTTAGTATTTTTAAGTAGAGATGGGGATTCGCCATGTTGGCCAGGTTGGTCTTGAACTCCTGACCTCAGATGATGCACCCACCTCGGCCTCCCAAAGTGCTGGGTTTACAGATGCGAGCCACTCTGCCCGGCCCAAAAATAATTTTTGAAGCAATATTTCTTTAGTCAATTTTTTTGCCAAACATGTCGATAGACTGTGACCACAGGACACAGAGCATCATTAAGAGCTTGGGTGATAATATTTCAGTCCACAGAATAAGAGACTGGACAGGTTCCTCCCCTGGTCACAACTGAGGGGATGGAGATAGGTGGAATGGTCAAAATTTCAGAGGAGAAAAGCCTGCAGGGGCAAGTAAAAGAAGGGGTCTTTATTTACAAAAGAAAACTAAAGATCGTATTGATCCCTGCAGGCATGTTGTAAGTGCTATCTATACATTTATTTATTTATTTATTTATTTATTTTTGAGATTTTTTTTTTTTTTTTTTTTTTGAGATGGAGTTTTGCTCTTGTTGCCCAGGCTGGAGCGCAATGGCATGATCTCAGCTCACCGCAACCTCCGCCTCCAGGATTCAAGTGGTTCTCCTGCCTCAGCCTCCCAAGTAGCTGGGATTATAGGCATGCGCCACCACACTCAGCTAATTTTTAGTATAGACGGGGTTTCTCCATGTTGGTCAGGCTGGTCTTGAACTCTTGACCTCAGGTGATCCGCCTGCCTCGGCCTCCCAAATTGCTGGGATTACAGGCTTGAGCCACCACGCCAGCCAATTTTTATTTATTTTTGAGACAGAGTCTCACTCTGTTTGGGCTGGAGTGCAGTGGTGTGATCTCGGCTCACTGCAACCTCTGCCTACTGGGTTCAAGCGATTCCCCTCCCTCAGCCTCCTGAGTAGCTGGAATTACAAGCTTGCACCACCACGTCAGAGTAATTTTTTTTGTTGTTTTGAGATGAAACCTCGCTCCGTTGCCCAAGCTGGAGTGCAGTGGCGCAGTCTCGGCTCACTGCAACCTCCACCTCCCAGGTTCAAGCAACTCTCCTGTCTCAGCCTCCCAAGTAGCTGTGACTACAGGCACACACCACCATGGCCAGCTAATTTTTTTTTTTTTTTTGGAGACGGAGTCTCCATCTGTCGCCCAGGCTGGAGTGCAGTGGTGCGATCTCGGCTCACTGCAACTTCCGCCTCCCGGATTCAAGCGATTCTCCTGCCTCAGCCTCCCGAGTAGCTGGGACTATAGGTGCCCACTGCCACCACTGGCCGTGCTGCCCAGGCTGGTCTCGAACTCCTGAGCTCAGGCAATCAGCCTGCCTCGGCCTCCCAAAGCGCTAGGATTACAGGTGTGAGCCACTGTGCCCAGCCATGCCTGGCTAATTTTTTTTTTTTTTTAGTAGAGATGGGGTTTCACCCTGTTGGCCACGGTAGTCTCAAACTCCTGACCTCAGGTGATCCACCCACCTTGGCCTCCCAAAGTGCTGGGATTACAGGCATTAGCCAACACGCCAGGCCTTAATATTTGTATTTTTTGTAGAGATGGGGTTTCACCATGTTGGCCAGGCTGGTCTCAAACTCCTGACCTCAAATGATCCCCCCATCTTGGCCGCCCAAAGTACTGGGATTACAGGCATGACCCATCGTGCCCAGTTAATTTATTAGAAATAGTATTAATTAGCCAGCCACAGTGGCTCACGCCTATAATCCCAGTACTTTGGGAGGCCAAGGCGGGTGGATCACGAGGTCAGGAGTTCAAGACCAGCCTGACCAACATGATGAAACCCTGTCTCTACTAAAAATACAAAAATTAGCTGGGCGTGGTGGTGGGCGCCTGAAATCCCAGCTACTCGGGAGACTGAAGCAGAATCACTTGAACCCAGGAGGCAGAGGTTGCAGTGAGCCGAAATTGTGCCATTGCACTCCAGCCTGGGCGACAAGAGCAAGACTCCATCTAAAAAAAAAAAAAAAAAGTATTAATTCATTTAATAGTCTGAAGAGGTATTATTAAGAGGAAAAGGAAGCATAAAGAGGTTAAATAAGTTGCCTGAGATCATACCTAGTGCATAACAGAGGTGGAATCTCTTTTTGTTTTGTTTTGTTTTGTTTTGTTTTTGAGACAGAGTCCTGCTGTGTCACTCAGGTTTGAGTGCAGTGGCGCAATCTCGGCTCACCGGCAATCTCTGCCTCCCGGGTTCAAGTGATTCTCCTGCCTCAGCCTCCCAAGTAACTGGGATTACAAGCATGTGCCACCATGCCTGACTAATTTTTGTATTTTTAGTAGAGACAGGGTTTCACCATGTTGGCCACGCTGGTCTCGAACTCCTTTCCTCAAGTGATCCGCCTGCCTCGGCCTCCCAAAGTGCTGGGATTACAGGTGTGAGCCACCGCGCCTGTCCCAGTGGGAAAAACTCTTAACTTCAAAACATATTATTATATACAGTGATCTTAGATTTCTTTCTTTAGAAAATGGGGACCTGGAAAGAAATCTGAGACGGAGGTGAGGGAAGGTAAACAGATGGGAAGAATGGGAGTTCTCAAAGTCTGGAGTCTATCTCTAGGACACATTTTGAAGATACTGGTGTCAATGCCTTCCAGCCAAGGACCACCAGGAACATACCAACAGTTGAGCAAGCTGGGCTTATTCATTACAGCTAGAGAATATGCACACCAGGGGAACTAAAGGCATCTCAGCAAATGTGTTAGAACTTATTATAGTATCTAAGCTTTGTTTGATTGGGTGATTTTGGGGGAGGATCCAAGGAAACAGAAGTTTGCTCCAGATTTCATGCTGTCAGAAAGCAAGCACAATTCTATGTTTCGGTATCTCAATAAATTATTCTTTCTTTCTTTCTTTCTTTCTTTCTTTCTTTCTTTCTTTCTTTTTTTTGAGATAGGGTCTCACTCTGGCACACAGGCTGGAGTGCAGTGGTGCAGTCTCAGCTCACTTTAGCCTCAACTTCCTGGAATCAAGTATCAATAAATCTTATCTACAGGGAGGGTAAACTAGTGCAAGGCTGAAGCCATGATTGGTAAAGAAGTTGCAGTCACTCATATTAACCTGGAGAGAAGGATGTTTGGTATTTTGTGGGTGGCAGTGACACTAATTTTGTCTGTAAGCAGACAAAATTAGGCAGTGGACTTGTTTTGTATCATTCTATCATGGTTTTGGAGTGAACTTGTTTCATGTTGATGTTCTGTGAGGTGTCCAAAAGAATAGTGGCTGGGCACGGTGGCTCATGCCTGTAGTTCCAACACTTTGGGAGGCTGAGGTGGGCAGATCACCTGAGGTCAGGAGTTCAGAGACCAGCCTGGCCAACGTGGTGAAACCCCGTCTCTTCTAAAAATACAAAGATTATCCGGGCGTGGTGGCAGGCGCCTATAATCCCAGCTACTCAGGAGGCTGAGGCAAGAGAATCGCTTGAACCCAGGAGGCGGAGGTTGTAGTAAGCAAGGATTGCGCCACTGCACTCCAGGCTGAGTGACAGAGTGAGATTCGGTCTCAAAACGAAAACAAAAACAAATGGAGATAGCACAGACTAGCTTCAAACAACACTGAGGACCAGTTGTGTCAGACCAGTTTCCTAATGTCAAGGGCAGTGTTTTGCTTTCTCATTGTAACCCCCAGGAGTGATTAAGATCTTCGTTTAGAATCTGCAGGATTGGCCGGGCGTGGTGGCTCATGCCTGTAATTCCAGTACTTTGGGAAGCCAAGGCGGGTAGATCACTAGGTCCGGAGTTCAAGACCAGCCTGTTCAACATGGTGAAACCCCGTCTCTACTAAAAATACAAAAATTAGCTGGGTGTGGTGGTGGGCGCCTGTAATCCCAGCTACTCGGGAGGCTGAGGCAGGAGAATCTCTTGAACCCGGGAGGCTGAGGCTCTAGTGAGCAGAGATCGCACCACTGTGCTCCAGCCTGAGCAACAGAGTGAGACTCTGTCTCATAAAAAAAAAAAAAAAAAAAAAAAGAATCTGCAGGAATGCAGGCCTCCATTGTGGATCAGCACTCTTCAGAGTTGGTGATTTTTTTTTTTTGAGATGGGAGTTTCGCTCTTGTTGCCCAGGCTGGAGTGCAATGGCGTGATCTCGGCTCACCGCAACCTCCGCCTCTCAGATTCAAGCGATTCTCCTGCCTCAGCCTCCCAAGTAGCTGGGATTACAGGCATGTGCCACCACGTGCAGCTAATTACAGACAGGGTTTCTCCATGTTAGTCAGGCTGGTCTCGAACTCCTGACCTCAGGTGATCCGCCCACCTCAGCCCGGCAAAGTGCTAGGATTACAGGCGTGAGCCACCGCAAAGGGCCGATTTTTTTTTTTTTAATTGTTGAGAACTTGAGAATCTAGTGACTTGAGTGAAGTCAGAAGGTTGTATGGGCCAAAAAATCTAGTTTCTTGGTTGATAATCAAAGAGTACTTGAGATTATGGATGCTAAATGGTTAATCTGGATTCTATGCCCCTGGCTTTGGGCAAGTTACATAGCTATTTTACACCTTGTTTTCTTTATCTGGGTATAATGATATGTAATAATAATAGCTCACACCTGAAGCCCTTACAGTGTAACCCCACTGTTCTAAGCATTTTACATATATATTTATATATAAGCTTATTAATCCTCACAACAATCTACTGCTTTTATCTTTTTCTATTTATCTTTATTTATAAATGAGGAAACTGAGCACAGAAAGGTTAAGTGGCATGGCCAAAGCTACAGTTAGTAAATGTCAGAACAGACGGGCAGTGTGTCTTAGTCAGCTCAGGATGCCATAACAAAATACCACGGACTGGGTGGCTGAAACAACAGACATTGGTTTTCTCAGAGTTCTGAAGCTGGAAGTCTGAGATCAAAGTGTCAGCGTGGTTGGATCCTGGTAAGGGCCATCTTTCTAGCTTGCTGACTGCTGCTTTCTCACTGTGTCTTGGGAGGTGGGAGAGGGAGATCTCTTGTTACAAGGCCACAGTCCTATCCAGTTAGGGCCCCACCCTTGTGAACTCATTTAAACTTAATAACCTCCAAAGGCCGGGCGCGGTGGCTCACGCATGTAATCCCAACACTTTGGGAGGCCAAGGCGGGCGAATCACTTAAGGTCAGGAGTTCGAGATCAGCCTGACCAACATGGAGAAACCCTGTCTCTACTAAAAATACAAAATTAGTATTTTGTGGTTAGGCGTGGTGGCGCATGCCTGTAATCCCAGCTACTCAGGAGGCTGAGGCAGGAGAATCGCTTGAACTTGGGAGGCAGAGGTTGTGGTGAGCTGAGATCGTGCCATTGCACTCCAGCCTGGGAAACAAGAGAAAAAGTCCGTCTCAAAAAAAAAAAAAAAAGCCTCCGGAACACCCAATGTCCAGATACAGTCACACTGGGGGTTAAGGCTTCAACATAAGAATTTTGAGTGGGGACACAATTCAGGCCATAGCACAGTGAGAGCATAGAATCAGATAGTAGCAAAAAAACCATGATTTTAGGTCAAGATAACAAATAAAAATTGTTACTAAAAGTTATAAAGGAGTTATCCTTAATTTGGAGCACATATACAGGGGTGTGTAGACAAGTGGGATAGAAAAAGCAAATATTAAAATTGTTATTTATATTTGTCACCCATTTAAACATACATATTTTGTTTTATAATGACAATTTATTAGTACAAAAACAAGTCTATATATAATTTTTTTAAATGCACACAAATACTATTGGGGTAGTGGCTCAACTTTTTTTTTTTTTTTTTTTTTTTTTTTACTAAGATAAGGGTGTAATCACTGCAATAAAATAAAGACAGGTATCACAATGGCCCTGCCCTCAAAGAGTTACAGTGTACTGGGGACAGAAGGCTAATCTTTTTAAAGTGTGGTTAATAGATCACGGTAGATGAATACATATTATAGATCAATTCGTGATTATATGTCCCAAATAACCCGTAGAAATAATAACTGTCATGAAAGGAGAAGCCACGTGCTCTATTTGTCCACAGGCTGAGGACCACCTTGCTGCGGTTGACCGCTGCTGGCCGGGACCTGCGGGTCGCGGAGGAGGCGGCGCCGCTCTCGGAGACCGCAAGGCGCGGGCAGAAGGCGGGATGGCGGCAGCGCCTCTCCATGCACCAGCGCCCCCAGATGCACCGACTGCAAGGGCATTTCCACTGCGTCGGCCCTGCCAGCCCCCGCCGCGCCCAGCCTCGCGTCCAAGTGGGACACAGACAGCTCCACACAGCCGGTGCACCGGTGCCGGAGAAACCCAAGAGGGGTGAGATTTAAGGCTACATCCCCTACAGGGCTAAGACACTGGGAAGGACTGATGTGCCAGCCACGTTTTCCTCACTGCCTTCTTCTGCCCACCACCCCATTTTGTTCTTTTGTTCTCACTCCCTCCTTTCTGCCTCCCTAAAATCTTTATTTCCTGAGTTGGGATATCAGATTCAAAATTCTAAATTCACCATGGAGTGTCGCTGAGGGCAGAATCAGACAACAGGTCAGGAGATGGAGACCATCCTTGTCCAACATGGTGAAACCCCGTCTCTAATAAAAATACAAAAATTAGCTGGGCATGGTGGCGCGCACCTGTAGTCCCAGTTATTCGAGAGATTGAGGCAGGAGAATCACTTGAACTCGGGAGGCGGAGGTTGCAGTGAGCTGAGATTGCACCACTGCAGTCCAGCCTGGCGACAGAGCGAGACTCTGTCTCAAAATAATAATAATAATAATAATAATAATAATAATAATAATAATAATAAAAAATTAGCCAAGCCTGGTGGCACATGCCTGCAGTCCCACCTACTTGGGAAGCTGATGTGGGAGGATCGCTTGAGCCTGGGAGGCGGAGGCTGCAGTGAGCCCAGATGGCACCACTGAACTCCAGCCTGGGCAACAGAGTGACACTCTGCCTCAAAAAACAAACAAAACAAAACCCCCAAAAAGAAAACTCAACGTTGAATCTCTAGAGTAGACACCTCATTCTCATGGCCCTAAATCAGGAATGAGTAACCTAGGTAAAGGAAATCTACACACAGCATTTCATTAAGTACTCTTATTTTATTAGTAAGTACTCACTTATTTTGCTTAGTGTGGTCCTATAATTTCAAGTTCCATACTCCAGACAACCAAACGCATGCAAAAACAACTGAAAGTAGAAAACTTGCATGAATTTAAATTTCAGTTCCATTTAACAGTTCAGCATAGCTGGCCACCTGTTATGTACTGGGCACTAGATACAAAGATGGTTAGAGTTAGACACACAGTCTCTGCCCTGGACAAGCTTCCACCTTTCTTTTTTCTTCCTATTTGTACTTACTCACTTGAGGATCTATAGTCTGGCTGACTTTAGTTGCAGTTTTTTGCAAGAGTAAAAAAAAAACTGCTCCTCGGGGACCATTTGTCATACAAGGGTTTCACCCAGGTCTCAAGACTCTATGCCCAGCCCTTCATGTTCCAGTTTCAGTACTTGGTGTTCCGGAGGGTACTGTTGCCCGAGTCTGCATCTTCTGTCTAAACTTTTAGGGCCAAGGGACAGGCTGAGCTACACAGCCCCTCCATCGTTTAAGGAGCATGCGACAAATGAAAACAGAGGTGAAGTAGCCAGTAAACCCAGTGAACTGTGAGTTCTTCTCATTTATCCCATGTTGTTATTCCTGCCACTTTAATTAGAAAGACATCATTTAGGGAACAAATGAATGTTGGTGATTTGAGTCTTTTCAGCATGATCAGGGAAGATGAAAGTCGACCCTAGGTCAAAT
The DNA here is from genome assembly GCF_000001405.40 of Homo sapiens. Classification (NCBI taxonomy): domain Eukaryota; kingdom Metazoa; phylum Chordata; class Mammalia; order Primates; family Hominidae; genus Homo; species Homo sapiens. The sequence goes on from NC_000014.9 coordinate 21,302,724, forward strand.
TCCAACTTCATTGCTTAAAAGTGGAAAACAAGCGTCTCTCTGTTCTCTGAGGAAATGAAAATAAAGGTCCATTTCTCAGTTGAAGGTATTCCCTCTATTTACATTTATATTTTTTTCCTTAGGTCATAATTCCTTTGTTGTGTTTTTTTTTTTTTTTTTTTTTTGAGATGGAGTCTTGCTCTGTTGCCCAGGCTGGAGTGCAGCAGCGTGATCTTGGTTCACTGCAACCCCTGCCTCCCAGGTTCAAGCAATTCTCCTGCCTCAGCCTCCTAAGTAGCTGGGACTACAGGCATGTGCCACCATGCCCAGCTAATTTTTGTATTTTTAGTGGACACAGGGTTTCACTATGTTGGCCAGGCTTGTCTCCAACTCCTGACCTTGTGATCTGCTCGCCTTGGCCTCCCAAAGTGCTGGGATTACAGGTGTGAGCCACCACGCCTGGCCCATAATTCCTTTATGTTTTGTTTGACATTTGAAAGCTGTATTTTATAAGATTTTCCTCGACATGTACCAAGGTTACTGATTCACTTAATTTCTTTTTATATGTGTAAGAACCCAATTCTAAACTCCTGTAACAACAGTTTCTAAGTATCCTTTTTGTATTTAGTGTTTCTGGTTCTAACAGCATAATTTCTTTCAGCAGTGTCATAAGTATGGCTAAACCCATTGGTCTATGCATGCCTAACAGTGCCCACATCATGGCCAGCAATACCATGCAAGTGGAAGAGCCACCCAAGTCTCCTGAGAAAATGTGGCCTAAAGATGAAAATTTTGAACAGAGAAGCTCATTGGAGTGTGCTCAGAAGGCTGCAGAGCTTCGGTAAGAGTGTGGCACTCCATGCCTCAAACCAAAACGAACTGAAAAAGCTAAGAGATTCTTATTTATACCTTTCCTCCATCTCAGAGGAAAAGAGTGTTTGGGATTAAATTCAATCGGAGTAGTAGACACGGAGTCCCTCGTAGGTTAAGAAATGGATTAACCTGCGGGCACCATGGATCACGCCTGTAATCCCAGCACTTTGGGAGGCCGAGGCAGGCCGATCACCTGAGGTCAGGAGTTCGAGACCAGCCTCGCCAACATGGAGAAACCCTGTCTCTACTAAAAATACAAAAATTAGCCAGGCATGGTGGCAGGCACCTGTAAATCCCAGCTACTAGGGAGGCTGAGGCAGGAGAATCACTTGAACCTGGGAGGCAGAGGTTTCAGTGAGCTGAGATAACGCCATTGCACTCTAGCCTGGGCAACAAGAACAAAACTTGGTCTCAAAAAAAAAAAAAGAAAAGAAAAGAAAAGAAATGAATTAACCTTCTGGGCGCAGTGGCTCACGCCTGTAATCCCAGCACTTTAGGAGGCCAAGGCAGGTGGATCACCTGAGATCGGGAGTTCAAGACCAGCCTGGCCAACGTGGTGAAACCCCGTCTGTACTAAAAATACAAAAAAACTAGCCAGGTATGGTGGCCGGTGCCTGTAATCCCAGCTACTCAGGAGGCTGAGGCAGGAAAATCCCTTGAACCTGGGAGGCGGAGGTTGCAGTGAGCCGAGATTGCACCATTGCACTCCAGCCTGGGCAACAAGAGCAAAACTCTGTCAAAAAAAAAAAAAAGAGGAAAGAAGGAAGGAGGGAGGGAGGGAAGGAAGGAAGGAAGGGAGGGAGGAAGGAGAGAGAGAAAGAAAGAAAGAAAGAAAGAAAGAAAGAAAGAAAGAAAGAAAGAAAGAAAGAAATTAACCTAAAGGAGATAAGTTTATGTATAAAAGGATATTTGCTGCCTCACTATATAGAAGGAAAACGACTTCATCCTCATCACCAGATAGGGATTCTTAGCCCTCTCTGTGCATAAATTCCTGGAAAACTTTTTTAAAAATGTATTTTTCAGACAAGTTTTAGTTTTATAGCAAAATTAAGCAGGAAATAGAGTTCCTGTATACCCATTGCCTCCATACACACACAGCCTCCCCAACTATCAGCACCCCGTACCAGAGTGGTGCATTTGTTACAATCAGTGAAACTACATTGACACATCATTATCACCTGACCATCATTTAATAGTTTACATTAGGGTTCATTCTTGGTGTTGTACATTCTTTTTTTTTTTTTGAGATGGAGTCTCGCTCAGTTGCCCAGGCTGGAGGGCAGTGGCGTGATCTCGGCTCACTGCAAGCTCTGCCTCCTGGGTTCATGCCGTTCTCCTGCCTCAGCCTCCTGAGTAGCTGGGACTACAGGCGCCCGCCACCATGCCCGGCTAATTTTTTTGTATTTTTAGTAGAGACGGGGTTTCACCATGTTAGCCAGGATGGTCTCGATCTCCTGACCTCGTAATCCGCCTGTCTCAGCTTCCCAAAGTGCTGGGATTACAGGCGTAAGCCACTGCGCCTGGCCGGTGTTGTACATTCTATGGGTTTTGACAAATGTGTAAGGACATGTATCCATCATTATAGCATCATACAGAATAGCTTTACTCCCCCAAAAGTCCTCTGTGTTCCACCTAGTCATGTCTTTTACCTCCAGTCCTGGCAACCACTGATCTTTTTACTGTCTCCAGTTTTGCCTCTTCTAGAATGTCATATAGTTGGGATTACACAGTATGTGGCCTTTTCAAATTGGCTTCTTTCACTTAGTAATATGCATTTAAGCTTGCTCCATGTCTTTTAAGGTTTGAAAGCTCATTTTTTCAAAACACCAAATAACATTCGATTGTCTACATGTACCAGTTTATTTATCCATTCAGCTACCGAAAGATGTCTTAGTTGCTTCCAAGTTTTGGCAATTATGAATAAAGCTGCTATTAACATTATGTGTCGTTTTTTGTATGGATATAAGTTTTCAACCTGGAGATATTTTAAAACCACAGATCCAGGCCGGGTGCGGTGGCTTATGCCTGTAATCCCAGTACTTTGGGAGGCCAAGGTGGGTGGATCATTTGTGGTCAGGAGATCGAAAACAGCCTGGCCAACATGGTGAATCCCCATCTTTACTGAAAATACCAAAATTAGCCGGGTGTGATGGCTCATGCCTGTAATTCCAGCTACTTGGGAGGCTGAGGCAGGCGAATAGCTTGAACCCGAGAGGCAGGGGTTGCACTGGGCCAAGATTATGCTACTGCACTCCAGCCTGGGCAACAGAGCAAGACTCTGTCTCAAAAACAAAACAAAACAAAACAAAAAAAGACCATAACAGATCCCTGGGCCCCATCTCTGAGATTCCCTTTCAATTATTTGGGGGGTAGAATTCAGGCAGTGTAATTTTAAGATCTCTCCAGGTTATTCTAATCAGCAGCTAGACAGGGAATCAATGAGATAGAGTGGAGTGAACCCAAATCCTCCCCAGTATCTCTTTCAATCTTTCAAACAATAAAGAAAACGTGAGCTCCTAGGTTCAGGAATAATAGTCTTTTTTTTTTTTTTTTTTTTTTTTTTTTTTTTTTTTTGAGACAGAGTCTCACTTTGTTGCCCAGGCTGAAGTGTAGTGGCACCTTGTCAGCTCACTGCAATCTCCATCTTCCGGGTTCAAGCAAATTCTCCTGCCTCAGCCTCCTGAGTAGCTGGGATTACAGGCACCCACCACCACACCTGGCTAATTTTTATATTTTTAGTAGAGAGGGGGTTTCACCATGTTGGCCAGGCTGGTCTCGAACTCCTGACCTCAGGTGATTCGCCTTCCTCGACCTCCCAAAGTGCTGGGATTACAGGCGTGAGCCCCTGCGCCCAGCCTAATCTTCTTTCTATTATTTTATTTTATTTTATTTTTATTTTCCGAGACAGAGACTCACTCTGTCACCCAAGCTGGAGTGCAGTGGCGAGATCTCAGCTCACTGTAATCTCCACCTCCCAGGTTCAAGTGATTCTCCTGCCTCAGCCTCCCGAGTAGCTGGGACTACAGGTGTGCGCCACCATGCCCAGCTAATTTTTGTATTTTTAGTAGAGACGGGGTTTCACCACGTTGGCCAGGATGGTCTTAATCTCTTGACCTCGTGATCCACCCGCCTCAGCCTTCCAAAGTGCTGGGATTATAAGCGTGAGCCACCGTGCCGGGTGTATTTTACTATTATTATTATTATTATCATTATTTTTTGAGACAGTCTCACTCTGTTGTCGCCAGGCTGGAGTGCAGTGGTGCAATCTCGGCTCACTGCAACCTCCCCCTCCCAGGTTCAAGCAATTCTCCTGCTTCAGCCTCCTGAGTAGCTGGGACTACAGGTGCGCACCACCACACCCAGCTAATTTTTGTATTTTTAGTAGAGATGGGGTCTCACTATGTTGGCCAGGATGGTCTCAATCTCTTGACCTCGTGATCTGCCCGCCTCAACTTCCCAAAGTGTTGGGATTACAGGCCTGAGCCACCGCACTCGGCCACTATTGTTATTTTTTGAGACAGAATCTCACTCTGTTGCCTAAGCTGATTTCAGCTCACTGCAACCTCCGCCTCCCGCAGTTCAAGCGATTCTCTTGCCCAGTGTCCATAGCTGGGATGACAGGCTTATGCCACCACACCCATCTGACTTTTGTGTTTTTAGTAAAGACAAGGTTTTGCCATGTTGCCCAGGCTGGTCTCCAACTCCTGACCTCAGGCCATCTGCCCGCCTCAGCCTCCCAAAGTGCTGGGATTATAGGCGTGAGCCACGGTGCCTGGTTCATAATCTTCTTTTTAAGTTTTCTAGCACGTTCAAACCTCACTGGTTTCTCTAAGGAAACGGCTGAGACCTAGCTTGACATTGCAAGGTTTGTGGGAAATTATGAACACCATCATTTAAAAAAGTAGTTATTATCTTTTCTCATAACATAAGCTTAAGGTTAGTGATCTCTATCAAATCTTGGCTGGCGTGATGAGAAATGGGAGAAAGGAGATTATTTACTAGACTGTACATACACCACATACTTGTGTTCTAGTGTGGGTAAGACGGGAAGGCAAGAGACAAGAGGGAGGTATTCTTACTAGGGCATAGTCAAGGAGAAAATGTCTTTAATTCTATCCATGTTCAGACAGAATAATTTAGCGCCTTTCTCTGCAGAGCTTCCATTAAAGAGAAGGTAGAGCTGATTCGACTTAAGAAGCTCTTACATGAAAGAAATGCTTCATTGGTTATGACAAAAGCACAATTAACAGAAGTTCAAGAGGTGAGTTGCCATCATCAGCTGTGCTTTCTTGGTGGGGGGAAACCCCAATTAAGAGATTCATATTATTTTCTCCATTTTAAATATGAGAAGCCACAATTCAGAAAGACAATTTATAAGTGATATCACACAATTTATAAGTGATATTCAAATCCAAGCCTCACAACTCGGAGTCTATGCTTTTCCCAGTATTTCCCATTAGTTCTCTATTAAGAGGAAGGCTCAAGCTCTGCCTGCTAAGGTGAAATAAAGTGGAGTTAACTTGTGTAAGGGTTACGGTCCCCTACGAAGACCACAACCAGAATGTGATTAAATTAGGAAGCCAAAAGCAGTCACAGGGAAGGGAAGGAAACTAGCCTTTTAATTAGCACTTTCTGTGAGCTGTACTCTGTCCCAGATATTTACAGTCATGATCTTTTTTAAGCCTGACAACAGCCCTCAAGGTAAGTATATTTAGCATTAGCACACATTAGAAACTAACATCTGATTGGTGGAAATAGAGTATCAAGGGTCAAAGTAAGGTCAGCACCATCCTTTTATTGAACAAATATTTATCCAGTACCAGGAATTGCAAAGCACTGGGATACAAAGATTCCAAGGGTAAGTAAGAAAAAACTGCCTTCAAGGAGTTTATAGGAGTGAGAAAACAAGTAAACAAATTCAACTATCCTATGCAGGGTATGGGCAGGACACAAAAGAGAGAGTAGTCAGACCCACCAGTGGGTGAGGTGCTGATATGGCTGATAAGTGGAGGAACACCAGGGCTCTTGTCTCACGCGAATTAGATAAAACGACACGGACACAGGTGGAGCGGCTTTAAGGAGCGGAGAGTTTAATAGGCAAGAAACAAGGGAGAAGAAAGACGGAAGAAGCTCCCCTGTACTGAGACAGAGGGAGAAGGACTCCAAAGCAGAGAGGGGAGACCTCATGTGCCGGGAAAAGTGGCTGCTTATATGAGTAGGCAGGAGGAGGTAGTGTCTGATTTGCATAGGGCTCAGGGGATTGGTTTGACCAGGCATGTCACTCATGTAGCCTGTGGAAAAAACTGGCCCTCCTACCCTAGTCTTTTAATATGCAAATGAAGGGCGCCATGATGTTCTACACACGTGGGGATATGTGGGGGTGGCCATGTTGCCAGGTACAGGTCGGGGAAAGGACAGGAAGACAAGGGCGGGAATCGCCATGTTTGGGTGGACCCAGTTTCTAAAGACCTGTATTTGCATATCAAAGGTTGCCTTCCCGGCTGTAAGAGCCAGGGCTTTCCTGCTAGACAAAAAACGTTTCTGGAGCTGCTTTAAAGGACGAGAAAACTTTCCAAGGACCCCTTTTCCTCTCTATCTGCCTAAAATTATTTTTAATAACTCCTTTAACAGTGCCAGATCAGAAAAGGATTAATGACTGGGTGCGGTGGCTGGAGCCTGTAATCCCAGCACTTTGGGAGGTCAAGGAGGGAGGATCACTTGAGCTCAGGAATTCGAGACCAGCCCAGACAACATGGCGAAACCCCATCTCTATCAAAAATAGAAAAATTAGACAGGCATCGTGATGTGTGCCTGTAGTCCTAGCTACTATGGAGGCTGAGGCAGGAGGATTGCTTGAGTGCTTGAGCCCAGGAGGCAGAGGTTGCAGTGAGCCGAGATCCCGATACGGCACCTCAGCGTGAGACTTTGTCTCAAAAAAAGAAAAAAGAAAAGGATTAATAAAGGAATAGATTTGTGAGTTAAATACTGAAATACTAAAAGATTAGCTTGTGTTAATAAGTGTGTAAGAGAAGAGGGGGCTTTCCATGAGAGCAGAGGTGAGAAACATCAGGTCTGGTCATGAAGGACACACTAAGAATTTTTTTTCTCGTTGTCATTAAAGACAGAACATGCTAGGAATTTAGACTTTATCCTACAAACAGCAGAGAGCTATGTGAAAGGGTTTTAAGCAAGTTGATATGATCAATTTTTTTCTCTCTCAAGATTATTTGACCTTTTTTAAAAAATAAAAAATAAATTTAAAAAAAAAGTTTGGGAGGCTGAGGTGGGTGGATCGCTTGAGGTCAGGAGTTTGAGACCAGCCTGGCCAACATGGTGAAACCCCGTCTCTACTAAAATACAAAAATTAGGTGTGGTGGGGGGCACCTGTAATCTCAGCTACTTGGGAGGTTGAGGAAGGAGAATTGCTTGAACCTGGGAAGCCGAGGTTGCAGTGAGCCAAGATTGTGCCGCAGCACTCCAGCCTGGGCAACAGAGTGAGACTGTCTCAAAAACAAAAACGAAAACTTACCTCTCATATTTGCTACAAGGATTAAATGAGATAATATGTGTGAAATGATTATAATGATCATGATGTGGCAGGTAATGAAACACATAGTAACACATAGCAACTACTCAACTAATTATAGCTGTTGTTATGATCATTCTTTTTTTTTTACTAAAACTGAAGAGATCTTTCTGAAGTGTGCTAAGTAACAGTACCTAATTTAAGATTAAACATTTTTCTTGGATAATCCACCAAGTACAATGCAAATGTTAATAAATGACCCTTCATTCTTTTTTGAGAAATGGTGTGAATGATTGCAGTCACAGACTACTTGGCAAGCTAGGGCAGGGGAAAAATAGCAACAATTAGTAAACAAGTACACAAATTGATTTGTTTTGTGGGATTTTTATAATGTCTTTAAAAATGTTAAGCATTATATTACAGTGATAAATATATCATGAAATTGATAAATCAATAAAATAATAATAATTTCTTTCTTCCAGGCATACGAAACCTTGCTCCAGAAGGTACTTAATGAGAATTGAGTCTCTGTTTCTTAGTAACCAGAATAATCAAACCCAAAGAAATCTATGTTCATCTCCAAGTAACATAACACCAGAATTTAGCTAACTAAATCAATGTTATTATGTCATATAGTTTCTGTTAAAAATGATACTATTATGATTATCAAAAGATACAGATACTTATTGCACTGTTTTCATAAAAATTGAAATATGAAATTGTAGTTGAGAAATATTTGGCATGGTATTTTTAAGCCTATTGCTGGAGCAAATTATAGCATTTGCTCAAAACTTCCTAAGAGTATTCTTCTAGCATGTGTGAGGTGATGAGATATAACAAAGTTGTTGCAGGTATTCTCAGATGGTCTTAAATATTTGGCCCTATTCACCACTGTGAGTGGGCTGCATGTGAAGCTAGGTGAATGTCTGTGCTTAAGAATCACCACTAAGACAGAGTTCCAAACGAGACCACCCAGCTGTGCCTCACCAGAGGAGTCCGCCAGAAACACACACAGAACTTCTGGAGTTAACATGTCACTTGTCTAGGTACAAACGTAGTCATCATAAAAAAGCAGTCAAATAGCTTAGAAAGTGAAGGCAGCTTTGGAAGGTGGCAACTAATTTAAAGCTAGGGATTAATTTGAACCTTGAGAAAATTAAGGCTCAAGGGCCAGGCGCGGTGGCTCACGCCTGTAATCCCAGCACTTGGGGAGGCGGAGGCGGGTGGATGACCTAAGGTCAGGAGTTCGAGACCAGCCTGGCCAACATGGAGAAACCCTGTCTCTATTAAAAATACAAAAATTAGCTGGGCGTGGTGGCTCATGCCTGTAATCCCAGCTACTCAGGAGGCTGAGGCAGGAGAATTGCTTGAACCCGGTAGGCAGAGGTTGCAGTGAGCCAAGCACTATTGCACTCCAGCCTGGGCAACAGAGCGAGACTGTCTCAATAAATAAATAAATAAATAAATACAAGAAAAGAAAATTAAAGCTCAAATGATGAACTACAATTGCCCAGAATGGAAACCCTACCTACCAGGGAAATTATACTTCCAGAGAAATGCTAGGGTGAAAAACAAGGTTAACGAACAGTACAAAGGTAATAAGCTATTAATCAAAGTCATTCTTTGTGACATCTGTTAGAGAATGCTAGGGTTGCTGGTGTCTGGAGACCACTCGTGCTGAGTGATATGACCATTCCCAGAGGTACTTTCCTTTTGACCCAGAATCAGGGAATCCTGAGTGCAGCCCATGAGGCCCTCCTCAAGCAAGTGAATGAGCTCAGGGCAGAGCTGAAGGAAGAAAGCAAGAAGGCTGTGAGCTTGAAGAGCCAACTGGAAGATGTGTCTATCTTGCAGATGACTCTGAAGGAGGTAAATAATAATAGTTGAAAGATACCATCTACATTTCAACTTCAGGGATGTTAGAATGTGTATCTTAGCAACAATATGAGTATTGCATTTTTTCAAATGACAAAAACGAAGCTCCGAGTAGTTAAATCATTTGCTTAAGATTACACCATTAGAGGGAAAGCTTGGATTTGTACTTATGTCTGTTTTTCAAAGTCCTTGCTCTTTCATAATGTTTTGCTGCTTCCCTAGCAGTAGAAACCCAGAAACAGTGAAGACTTATTTTGGAAAATCCTCATTAATCCCAATACAAGTTTCTAGCCGACCTTCAATTGGTTCAAGTCTTTCTAGTTGGATGGCTTCTCAGACACTGGAGATGGTGATAGAAAGCCTCTCACCCACGCCCCTCCCTGCCATGGACAGGGGAAATCCTGTGCAGGGGAATAGATTTTAACATTTTATCTCAAGGGCTACTATCACTCTTAGTTTCAGGAGAGAGTTGAAGATTTGGAAAAAGAACGAAAATTGCTGAATGACAATTATGACAAACTCTTAGAAAGGTGAGTACCACATTTGGGTCCCAGAGCAGTGTTACTATGAAAGACATTATAGAAAGTTCATTCCTAATACCTAGCATTAATAAATATATGGGGAAATTGGTACTCAATATTGTTAGTGAGAATATTAATCGGCAGTCTTTTGGAAGGGAATTTGACACTATTAAAATGTTAAATGTGCATATCCTCTTTTTTTTTTTTTTGAGATGGAGTCTCGCTCTGCTGCCCAGGCTGGAGTGCAGTGGTGCGATCTTGGCTCACTGCAACCTCTACCTCCCGGGTTCAAACGATTCTCCTGACTCTTCTTCCTTTTTATTTTTTTAACCAGCAATTCCTTTTTTCTTTTTTTGAGATGTAGTTTCTCTCTGTCACCCAGGCTGGAAAACAGTGGCATTCTAGGCTTACTGCAGCCCCAGTCTCCCAGGCTCAAGCAATCCTCCCACCTCAGCCTCCCCAGTAGCTGGGACTACAGGTGTGCACTGCCACACCTGGCTAATTTTTTTCTATTTTTTTGTAGAGACAGGGTTTTGTCAGGTTGCCCAGGCTGGTCTCAAACTCCTGGGCTCAAGTCATCTGCCTGCATCAGCCTCCTAAAATGCTGGGATTACAGGCACGAGCCACCATGTCTGGCCCCCAAATTTTTTGGGGGGCTGGGGGGAATCAAAATGAAAAAATTCTCTTGTGTATGTGCAAATATATGTATATAATAAGAATGTTGCTGGGTGCAGCAGCTCACACCTGTAATCCTAACACTTAGGGAGGCAGAGGTGGGAGGATAACTTGCGCCTAGAAGTTCGAGACCTGTCTGGGCAATATAGTGAGACCCTGTTCTCCACAAAAAGAAAAAAAAAAAAAAGAATGTGAATTACTGCCCTGATAGTAATAGCAAAAAAACAAAAACAAATAAACAAATAAAAAGGAAACCACTGATAAGAGATTGATCACATAAAGCATGTTGCATCCTCACAATGAAGTGCTATGCAGCTGTTAAAAATGAGATAGATGGCCAGGCGCGGCGGCTCATGCCTGTCATCCCAGCACTTTGGGATGCCGAGGCGGCCAGATCACGAGGTCAGGAGTTAGAGACCAGCCTGACCAACATGATGAAGCCCTGTGTCTACTAAAAATACAAAAATTAGCCAGGCACAGTAGCGCGCACTTGTAATCCCAGCTACTCAGACAGCTGAGGCAGGAGAATCGCTTGAACCCGGGAGGCGGAGGTTGCAGTGAGCTGAGATTGCGCCACTGGACTTCAGCCTGGGTGGCACAGCAAGACTTCCTCTGAAAAAAAAAAAAAAGATACATTGTAAAAAGAAAAAGCAAGCTGAAAATGAATATGTTAACTCTGACATGGTTTATGTTATGTATCTTTATGGTTCCACAAACCTTTGATGAGATAAGAGGATTAGAATAAGGCAAAGGGGCACCTTCACTTTTATTCTTTTTTTTTTTTTTTTCTCTTGAGATGGGGTTTCACTCTGTTACCCAGGCTGTAGTACAGTGGTGTCATCTCAGCTCACTGCAACCTCCACCTCTCAGGCTCAAGCAATCTTCCCACCTCAGCCTCCCAAGGAGCTGGGACCACAGGTGCACACCACCATGCCTGGCTAATTTTTGTATTTTTTGTAGAGATGGTGTTTTGCCATGTTGCCCAGGCTGGTCTTGAACTCCCAGGCTCAAGTGATTTTTCCACCTCAGCCTCCCGAGTAGCTGGGACCACAGCCACACGCCACCACACCCGGCTAATAGTTTCTATATTGTGCAGAGACAGGGTTTCGCCAGATTGCCCAGGCTGGTCTCAAACTCCTGGGCTCAAGTGATCTGCCTGCCTTGGTCTCCCAAAGTGTTGGGATTACAGGCATGAGCCACCGACCCTGGGCTATTCTATATGCTGATGTATTATTCTAATTTTTCACAATGAGCATGTATTCATGCATTAATTTTATAATTAAAAAGAACTGGAAGTGGCCTGGCATGGTGGCTCATTCCTGTAATCCCAGCACTTTGGGAGGCTGAGGCAGGAGGATCGCTGGAGCTCAGGAGTTCACGACCAGCCTGGGCAACATGATGAAACCCCTTCTCCACAAATTATTTTAAAAATTAGCCAGCCAGGCGCGGAGAATCACTTGAACCCAGGAGGCAGAGGTTGGGGTGAGCTGAGATCAGGCCATTACACTCCAGCCTGGGCAACAAGAGCAAAACTCTGTCTCGAAAAAAAAAAAAAAAATAGCCGGGCAGCTGGGCGCAGTGGCTCATGCCTGTACTTCTAGCACTTTGAGAGGCCAAGGCAGGCAGATTGCCTGAGCACAGGAGTGTGAGACCAGCCTGAGCAACATTGCAAAACACTGTCTCTACTAAAAATACAAAAAATTAGCTGGGCGTGGTGGCAGGGGCCTGTAATCCCAGATACTTGGGAGGCTGAGGCAGGGCGAATTGCTTGGACCCGGGAGGTGGAGGTTGCAGTGAGCTGAGATTGCACCACTGCACTCCAGCCTGAGCAACAGAGCAAGACTCTGTCTCAAAAAAAAAATTTGGCTGGGCATGGTGGCGTGCATCTGTATTCCCAGATACTCAGAAGGCTGAGGCAGGAGGATTGTTTGAGCCTAGGAGGTCAAGGTTGCATTGAGCCATGTGCAGTGCAGTGCAGTGAGAAAGTGAGACTCTCAAACAAAAAAAAAACCTGTAAGTAAAAGAAAAAAGTTTTTAAAACTTAAAAGTGCCAGGCTGTGCGCGGTGGCTCATGCCTGTAATCCCAGCACTTTGGGAGGCCGAGGTGGGTGGATCACGAGGTCAGGAGATCGAGACCATCCTGGCTAACACGGTGAAACCCCGTCTCTACTAAAAATACAAAAAATTAGCCAGGCGTGGTGGCAGGTGCCTGTAGTCCCAGCTACTCGGGAGGCTGAGGCAGGACAATGTCGTGAATCCGGGAGGCGGAGCTTGCAGTGAGCCGAGATCGCGCCACTGCACTCCAGCCTGGGCGACAGAGCCAGACTCCGTCTCAAAAAAAAAAAAAACAAAAAACTTAAAAGTACCTTTGATCTAGTAAAAGGCAGCAGGGGGTAGATTGAGGAGGTCTTACGGGAGCATCTGGGAACAACTGATGTTCTTCAGCTCAGTGAAATAAAGCAGTGTGGGGAGTATCCACTTCGATAGACATTACTCTGTGATAGACATTACTATTTGCCTCTCCCCTTCATCACTCAAAATACTATTTTCTTGAGTCCTTACATGATATATGGTCAGGCAATGCCAAGAAATGTTAATACTTGCCTAAGTAGGTTATTATTATTATTATTATTATTTTTTTTTTGAGGCAGAGTCTCACTCTGTTGCCCAGGGTAGAGTGCACTGGTGTGATCTTGGCTCACTGCAACCTCTGCCTCCTAGGTTCAAGTGATTCTCCTTCCTCAGCCTCCCAAGTAGCCGTGACCACAGGTGTGTGCCACCATGCCTGGCTAATTTTTGTGGTTTTTTTTTTTTTTTTTTTGAGACAAAGTCTCACTCTGTTGCCCAGGCTGAGAGTGCAGTGGCGCAGTCTCGGCTCACTGCAACCCCTGCCTCCCGATGTTTAAGCTATTCTTCTGCCTCAGCCTCCTGAGTAGCTGGGATTATAGGTGCCGGCCACCACACCTGGTTAATTTTTTGTATTTTTAGTAGAGACGGGGTTTCACCATGTTGGGCAGGCTGATCACCAACTCCTGACCTCGAGATCTGCCTGCCTCAGCCTCCCAAAGCACTGGAATTACAGGTGTGAGCCACCGCGCCCAGCCAATTTTTGTATTTTTAATGGAGATGGGGTTTCACCATGTTGGCCAGGCTGGCCTCGAACCCCTGACCTCAGATAATCTGCCCACCTTGACCTCCCAAAGTGCTGGGATTACAGGTGGGAACCATCCAGCCTGGCCGGTAAGTTATTTATTTATTTCTTGAGACGGAATCTCACACTGTTACCTGGGCTGGTGTGCAGTGGCACGATCTCAGCTCGCTGCAGTGTCCGCCTGCTGGGTTCAAGCAATTCTCCAGCCTCAGCCTCCCAAGTAGCTAGGATTACAGGCACCTGCCACCACACCCAGCTAACTTTTTGTATTTTCAGTAGAGACAGGGTTTCACTATGTTGGCCAGGCTGGTCTCGAAGTCCTGACCTCATGATCTGCCCTCCTCGGCCTCCCAAAGTGTTGCGATTGCAGGCGTGAGCCACTGTGCCCAGCCTGGTAAATTATTTTTAAACCACATTTACTAAAATGATAAATAAGAAATAAGACATAAAAAGAAATAATTGTTTGATTATTAGTGTCATTTCATTTGTATGAATGACCAAGAACTAGCCATGTGGCTGGGCATGGTGGCTCACACCTATAATCCCAACACTTTGGGAGGCCGAGGCAGGTGGATCACCTGAGGTCAGGAGTTCAAGACCAGCACAGCCAACATTGTAAAACCCCGTCTCTATTAAAAATACAAAAATTAGCTGGGCCTGGTGGTGGGTTACTTTAATCCCAGCTACTCAGGAGGCTGAGGCAGGAGAATCGCTTGAACCTGGGAGGCAGAGGTTGCAGTGAGCCAAGATTGCACCCCTGCACTCCAACCTGGGTGACAGCTCGAGATTCTGTCTCAAAAAAAAAAGAAAAAAGAAAAAAAAAGGAACCAGCCATGTGTATTTTATACTCAAAATGGGTCTGCTCTGACAGCTTGATACAATAGGGTGGAGGATACAGTTGTTGAAAAGTTTAATTCCCGCCCTTCAGCATAGTAATTTATAATCTAGGTCAAAGACAAATATTCTCTAAACTCACCGTTGGTGAAGGTAGATGGAGGCATGGGGTTTGAGAAAAGGAAGATTTTGTTCCTCATTTCTAATCCGGCAGGCCTGAGAAGGTCTTGATACATAGTTCCCTGACTAAAGAAAGCCATCATGGTGGAGAAGTTCCTTGGGAAATGGATATGACTTGGGGTGTTTGCTCAGTCAGATATCTGAGACCTAAACAGAAATGGTACTGAGCAATAACTCAGTAGGACTCAAAAGTTCCAAGGCAGTTGGTAAATGACAGTTATGAATAAAGCAAGGGCAGAAAAAAACATGTAGGGGAGAGAATGAGGAACTAGGTCCAGGAGATGCTGAAACTGGATAATAAAGACGTCATATCACACCCCTTGGGGTATCCATCTGAGAGCTTGCTTTCCATTGCCAGCATGCTGGACAGCAGTGACAGCTCCAGTCAGCCCCACTGGAGCAACGAGCTCATAGCGGAACAGCTACAGCAGCAAGTCTCTCAGCTGCAGGATCAGCTGGATGCTGAGCTGGAGGACAAGAGAAAAGTTTTACTTGAGCTGTCCAGGGAGAAAGGTAGGCTGGACCTTGAAGAGCTCTCTCAAATGTGGCATCCTCTACCTCTGGTTTGGGAGAAGATAACTTGAGCCATCATTTCTTTAATCCCCTCACTTGATCCTATTCTTTTGTGGGTTGTAGGTAACTAGAATGAGAACACTAGCAATAGATCAGATCTACAATCAGGAAAACATGACACTTACCTACCTCTCATGTATACTTTTTCCTATATAATGTCTTTCCATTTGAGAAGATGCTAGTTTTTGTTTGTTTGTTTGTTTGTTTGTTTTTGAGGTGGAGTTTCGCTCTTGTTGCTCAGGCTCGAGTGCAATGGCACGATTTCAGCTCACTGCAACCTTCACCTCCCAGGTACAAGCGATTCTCCTATCTCAGCCTCCCAAGTAGCTCGGATTACAAGCATGCACTACCACGCCTGGCTATTTTTTTTTTTTTGTATTTAGTAGAGATGGGGTTTTACCATGTTAGTTAGGCTGGTCGTGAACTCCTGACCTCAGATGATCCACCAGCCTCAGCTTCCCAAAGTGCTGGGATTACAGGCGTGCGCCACTGTGCCCGACCTGCCAGTTTTTAATTTATTATGTTTTTTAAACGTTCAGTTTATTGAAAGTTTTCTTTTGTTTGGTTTGGTTTGGTTTTGTTTCTGAGAGAGTCTCACTCTGTCACCCAGGCTGGAGTACAGTGATGCGATCTGGGCTCACTTCAACCTCTGCCTCCCAGGTTCAAGAGATTCTCCTGCCTCAGCCTCCCGAGTTGCTGGGATTGCAGGTGCCCACCACCACACCCAACTAATTTTTTGTATATTTTAGTAGAGACGAGGGTTCACTATGTTGGCCAGGCTGGTCTGAAACTAACCTCAAGTGATCCACCCGCCTCAGCCTCCCAAAGTGCTGGGATTACAGGTGAAAGCCACTACACCTGGCTGAAAGTATTGAAAGTGAATTTCTTTGTCTTTTATCCTTCTCATCATTTTAGAGGTAACTGGAATACTTTTTTTTTTTTTTGCCATCCAATTCTTGAAATTGAGTAGCAAATTACTATTCTTGGTTACCACTGCCAGTTCACCCCCGTCTTAACTCTTGGATCTCAGGAGATAGGTATTTGGAACATTTTTAAATACTGTCAAAAAGACCTTCATCTTACTACTTTTTCCTAGCCTGGACCTTAATATTTAGTTTTATCAAATTTATATCTCATCAAGTTTTAGTGTATTCAAATAGGGAACGGAAGGAAAAGAAATGTGTGAAATCAAGAAAAATAGAGGCAAGAACCATGTTTAGGAGCACATGCCAATTAGTATGTTTGAAGCACAAATGAAGTCTTGTAAGGACCTTCAGGGCAATCTAATTTAATCCCTTCTCTAATGCATGATGGAAATGATCTGCTCACTAAACACCGATTACCTTTATTCCCTGAAAAACACACACACAGCCTGGTGTGGTGGCTCATGCCTGTAATCCCAGCACATTGGGAGGCCGAGGCCAGCAGATCACATGAGGCCAGGAGTTTCAGACCAGCCTGGCCAACATGGTGAAACCCCATCTTTACTAAAAACACGAAAATTAGCCAGTCGTAGTGTCGTGCGCCTGTAATACCAGCTACTCAGGAGGCTGAGGCACAAGAATCGTTGAACCCTGGAGGCATAGGTTGCAGGGAGCCAAGATCGCACCACTGCACTCCATCCTGAGTGATGGAGTAAGACTGTCTAAAGAGAAAAACACACACACACACATTGGAACACAGAAATGCCCATCCTCCATCCAGGCCAGGGTGGGTGTGAAGATGGGTGCCACAGAGAGCTAGTAACCTAGAAGTCAGAATGGAGTGGGGGTGGAGTTGGTGAGATACTGGTTTCGATGCTGCTGTCAAAAAGTTTGGATTACCCTAGTCAAGTGATTCCCTTTCTGTTTTGTGTTGTTATTGTTATTCCACTTTCCACTCTACCATTCTGCAGGTGTCTTTTGTTTTCGGAGTGCAAGTAGTATCACCTCAGTTTACTGAGTCAATAAGCTAGAGTCCTCCTCTGTAGAAATAATAGAGAATTGCTTCTCAAATTTATAACATTAATTAAACCTTAGTGGGAAGATTAAATTCACACTTGATCCAACTCTGACCATGGTGATAAATAACTACAGAATTTCACATTTCTGGATTATTTTTCCCCAGCCCAAAATGAGGATCTGAAGCTTGAAGTCACCAACATACTTCAGAAGCATAAACAGGAAGTAGAGCTCCTCCAAAATGCAGCCACAATTTCCCAACCTCCTGACAGGCAATCTGAACCAGCCACTCACCCAGCTGTATTGCAAGAGAACACTCAGATCGAGGTAAGAGCCTCTTTAAACAAACTAGTCCACTCTGCAGAGAGATCTCTGGCAAATATCTCTAGGGAAGATGATGAGATTAGAAAACTAACTAAATAATATTTTGTCCTGACTGAGGACACTCTTTTTTTTTTTGAGACAGAGTCTCGCTGTCGCCCAGGCTGGAGTGCAGTGGCGCGATCTCGGCTCACTGCAGGCTCCGCCCCCTGGGGTTCACGCCGTTCTCCTGCCTCAGCCTTCCGAGTAGCTGGGACTACAGGCACCCGCCACCTCGCCCGGTTAATTTTTTTGTATTTTTAGTAGAGACGGGGTTTCACCGTGTTAGCCAGGATGGTCTCGATCTCCTGACCTCGTGATCCGCCCACCTCGGCCTCCCAAAGTGCTGGGATTACAGGCGTAAGCCACCGCGCCCGGCCCACTCTTTTTTTTTTTTTTTTTTTTTGAGATGGAGTTTTGCTCTTGTTTCCCAGGCTGGAGTGCAATGGCGCGATCTCGGCTCACTACAGTCTTTGCCTCCCAGGTTTAAGCAATTCTCCTTCCTCAGCCTCCCGAGTAGCTGGGATTACAGGTGCTTGCCACCACAGCCGGCTAATTTTTTGTATTTTTAGTAGAGACAGGGTTTCGCCATTTTGGCCAGGCTGGTCTCGAACTCCTGACCTCTGGTGATCCGCCCAACTCAGCCTCCCAAAGTGCTGGGATTACAGGCACGTGCCACTGTGCCCTGCTTGAGGACACTTTTTGGAAAACTGTGAGAAGGCAGAGCGTAGAGAACTTCATGAGCTCCACCCATTTCTTCCACTCTTTGCAGCTCATAAAATTTAGAATCTTTTTCAGATGAGGACTTGAAAAGATCTGTGGAAGAGCAAACAGCCATTAGTGGCTGTATCATCTCCCTTCACTGCTGCTACTGAACATGAGAACTAGGGGAAAGAGCACTTGTGAAGTCATACAGGTCCTTGTTTACATTTTGGAGTAGTTTCTGCTGCTGGCATTTTACTACTACCAACAACTGTTTTATGGAGAATCATTATTACTTTACCTGTCATATTTATACTCCCTTTTACCAATGCGTTTCCCTCTACAGCCAAGTGAACCCAAAAACCAAGAAGAAAAGAAACTGTCCCAGGTGCTAAATGAGTTGCAAGTATCACACGCAGAGACCACATTGGAACTAGAAAAGACCAGGGACATGCTTATTCTGCAGCGCAAAATCAACGTGTGTTATCAGGTGCAAGGAAAGATGGTACAGGAAGGGGATGGATAACAGGAACGTGGGAACCACTCACAGGACTGGGAATGAAGCAAGACCTAAGTTTCCAGGGCTGATACCAGGTGATGTGCTATCCTGAGCAAACACACAATGGCTGTCCTTTGAAGAACTTGAGGACTCACACATGCCCACGGCACCTTGGCACTAGGAGCCAGTGATGGGGCCAGCCCATGCCAATGGCAAGCGTAAGGCTTCTGGGTTCAAATTTTGCCAGTCCTAGGAACCACCCTACCTCAATGATAGCACAACTAGTCTTGGAGGGGTCTGCAAGGAAATCAAACCTTCTTCTAGTGGGTGAACCTGCCCAGCTAAGGATAGCAGTCTTCTTGACCTAGCCAGTGCCACATTTTTTATGCTCTTTGGTTTTAGGCCACTGAGATAGAAAAGTTCAGACATTATTTTGTTTCAGGAGGAACTGGAGGCAATGATGACAAAAGCTGACAATGATAATAGAGATCACAAAGAAAAGCTGGAGAGGTTGACTCGACTACTAGACCTCAAGAATAACCGTATCAAGCAGCTGGAAGGTATTTTAAGAAGCCATGACCTTCCAACATCTGGCAAGTCTTAGTCCTTTGTTCTCCTCACTTCGGGACCCTTCCACAGCTAACGCCTGTGTTCCACTCTGTGTACTTGTCAAGAAGGGTGCCTCTCATACCCTTAGCATATGACTTATCCTTCTTGTTCTTTATCCTATCATTTTTGTTGTTTTTTTTTGCTTGTTTGCTTTTGAGATGGAGTCTTGCTCTGTCACTCAGGCTGGAGTGCAGTGGTGCGATCTTGGCTCACTGCAACCTCTGCCTTCCAGGTTCAAGCGATTCTCCTGCCTCAGCCTCCCAAGTAGCTGGGATGACAGTTGTCCACCACCATGCCTGGCTAATTTTTTGTATTTTTAGTAGAGATGGGGTTTCACCATGTTGGCCAGGTTGGTCTGGAACTTCTGACCTCAGGTGATCCACCTGCCTCAGCCTCCCAAAGTGATGGGATTACAGGTGCGAGCCACTGCGCCCGGCCCATCTTTGTTGTTTTAATACATGTTAGCAGCTTCTTTCCCTCCATCATGTTTTTCTGATTTCTCTGTAGAGTTTCAAGTGGGCCCAGCAATTGCTTCCAGGGGCTTAATTCTGTTGTGAGAATGAGTATCACTGTTGGCTCTCAGGGTGGTGGTGTAACACACAATCTCTCTCTCTCTCTCTCATTCTTTCTCTCTTGCTCCTCTCCCCTGTCCCTCTCTCCTAGTCACTGTTTCCTCAAAGCAGTTTTAGTCGGATAATAGAACTTCATCACTCATCTCCTGTTATTCTTGTCAGTGATTTCTCTCTTAAAAGCTCTAAAATCTTTGTTGCAATTTGAGGATGCTGACAGTGACAGGGCAGCTGGCTGGACACTGAATGCAAGTTTCATATTGTGGTGCCTCCTATACTTAGTGTAGTCACTGCTGACCAGAGCCTGGTCTCAGGCTTGTTTGTCAAGACACTTGGCTTTGTTATTATACCCAGTGGTGAAAGATCTGACTCACGAAAACCAAATTAACCAGAAGCTGATATTTAAACCCAAATGTTTGTTATTTTACAATAGTGGCTATTCCACTGCTTCCATGAGGAACTTGGAACCACAGTTCAGGGCAGCCCTCTTTCGGGAAGCAAAATCAGTAAGTAGGTTTCTTAGTGAGCATGGAATAGAATAAAGGGACATGGCTGGGCACGGTGGCTCACACCTGTAATCCCAGCACTTTGGGAGGACGAGGCGGGCGGATTGCCTGAGGTCAGGAGTTCGAGACCAGCCTGACCAACATGGTGAAACCCCATCGCTACTAAAAATAGAACAATTAGCTGGGCATGGTGGCGGGCACCTGTAACCCCAGATACTTAGGAGGCTGAGACAGGAGAATCGCTTGAACCCGGGAGGCAAAGTTGCAGTGAGCCGAGACCAGGCCATTGCATTCCAGCCTAGGCAACAAGAGCGAAACTCTGTCTCAAAAAGAAAAAAAAAAAAGAATAAAAGCACATAAGTGTCTCTGGGCCGTGATTTATCCATGTCAGCGTGAGTCTGATAAAAGATCACTGCTTCTACCTACGTCTGAAGATTTATTTGCTTTAGCTAATAGTTCTTTGATCACTGGTAAGACTAAAGAGTTTTTCTATGTTCACCAGTTATTTGTATTATTCCTTTTGAGAATTGACCGTTCCTATCCTTTGCCTACTTCTTAACAGTATCCTATTGATTTATAGAAATTCTTTTTATGCTGAGATTATTACTCCTGCATCATGTAATGCAAAATTTTAAGTATATTATATTTAATTATATTAATCTTGTTAATTAAGAAAGTAGTCTCCTTATTCGTGTGTGTGTGTGTGTGTCATGAAGACATTCCGATGTGTCCAGAATATTTTATTCTACTGCTTTAACTCTTAAAATAGGACCTTCGGCAGCAGCACACTGTGTTGACTCAAATATTCCCCAATTTGAAGCAGGCTATATATCAAAGTTTCTGATTGGTTGGACTTGGGAGATAATACCCAGATTTGCTAGACTGTCTACCTATCTTTGCGTCCCACTGCCAATATTTCCTACCTCTTTCCAGTAAGTCTCTTTTCCCACTTTTTACTCCATTACTCTTTAACTTATAATGTACTTTTTGCCTTCTTATGTTGAAACCAAATTCTGAACAGAATGAAAGATCTCCTGACTGACCTGGCTAGAGAAGGAGAAGCATTTCTTGGTGGGACTCAATGTAATGTCATAGACACTATGTCTGCAACTTGCTATTATCTCCACGGCCAATATACCAAACTTGTAGAAATATTCATGTTTTTGTGTTTCTAGTACTTCTCTTATGGAATTACCAGTTAATCATAGGGCCACGATGTACACCAAAACAATGTCATATATAAGATAAAATGTGCCCCCAGTGTTTTCCTAAGTTTAGCATCTACTTTCCAGTCACTCCTTTTGTACCTTCTCCCTAAAGCTGGCATTGGATTATTTGGCTATCGGAATTCAATGCTCCTGGTTGTCCTTCTGTTGCTTTTCCTTTTGAATCACGTGGTTTCTTGAAATAATCACAACTTGGACTTCCACCATGTGTTTTATATTTCTTTTGTCCACCCTCCTCTACCCTAAGAAAGAGCTCCCTACCCTTTAACGGATAGGCAGCTTTCTTTCCCCTCTAGAACAGCTCAAAGATGTTGCTTATGGCACCCGACCGTTGTCGTTATGTTTGGAAACACTGCCAGCCCATGGAGATGAGGATAAAGTGGATATTTCTCTGCTGCATCAGGGTGAGAATCTTTTTGAACTGCACATCCACCAGGCCTTCCTGACATCTGCCGCCCTAGCTCAGGCTGGAGATACCCAACCTACCACTTTCTGCACCTATTCCTTCTATGACTTTGAAACCCACTGTACCCCATTATCTGTGGGGCCACAGCCCCTCTATGACTTCACCTCCCAGTATGTGATGGAGACAGATTCGCTTTTCTTACACTACCTTCAAGAGGCTTCAGCCCGGCTTGACATACACCAGGCCATGGCCAGTGAACACAGCACTCTTGCTGCAGGATGGATTTGCTTTGACAGGGTGCTAGAGACTGTGGAGAAAGTCCATGGCTTGGCCACACTGATTGGTAAGTGCCGTTGGCTTCCTGCGGCTCCTAAGCACCAATGCAGAATTTCCCAAAGCCTACAGTTGCTTTTCTGGTGGTTTCTTATTTTCTTCCTTTGTCTTGTTCTTGATCCTTGCCACACCATCTGTATTCCCCCTGCTTTCACACTTTCTGCTACCCAGGAGCTGGTGGAGAAGAGTTCGGGGTTCTAGAGTACTGGATGAGGCTGCGTTTCCCCATAAAACCCAGCCTACAGGCGTGCAATAAACGAAAGAAAGCCCAGGTCTACCTGTCAACCGATGTGCTTGGAGGCCGGAAGGCCCAGGAAGAGGAGGTGAGAAAAAAGATGTGCCGAGGCATCTCAGAGGAGCCTCAGCCAAACAGCTCATGAGCACAGTTCAGTCTTCCACTCTCAATAAGTGTTTGTTGAATGTGAATGAAAGAGAAAACTGTCACACCACAACTAGTCTGGATTATTCCCTTGGTCAGGCTTGAGTCTGAAATGAAAGTATGCCTTTGGAGCGAGCTACATCCTTCATCCTTGCTGTGAACAGAATAGCTTCTCTGTGCCATTCTCTAAGTTAAGTCGTGAGTGCCAGTATCTCCCTGAAATAACTGCCAGAGCCAGTTTGCAGGCAGGTGAAGATCATTAGGTTTCTTCCTGATCCAGTTGGGATAGCTGTTCTCTAGATCATAGCTCTTCCTCACCACAGATCCTAGGCTTCACCTACAACAGTCTCAAGCTGCCCTTTTCCTCAATCCATGACCAACATCTTTCCAGTTCAGATCGGAGTCTTGGGAACCTCAGAACGAGCTGTGGATTGAAATCACCAAGTGCTGTGGCCTCCGGAGTCGATGGCTGGGAACTCAACCCAGTCCATATGCTGTGTACCGCTTCTTCACCTTTTCTGACCATGACACTGCCATCATTCCAGCCAGTAACAACCCCTACTTTAGAGACCAGGCTCGATTCCCAGTGCTTGTGACCTCTGACCTGGACCATTATCTGAGACGGGAGGCCTTGTCTATACATGTTTTTGATGATGAAGACTTAGAGCCTGGCTCGTATCTTGGCCGAGCCCGAGTGCCTTTACTGCCTCTTGCAAAAAATGAATCTATCAAAGGTGGGAGTTCGAGGTTATTACATCTTCACGCCCTCTTCCCAGTGTTGTCTCCCTGTCCTGATTCTACTTTTCTTTGATTACTTGCTTGAAACAGTCTCTCTTAAAACCTGAAGATAAAGGATTTAGAATATTGTCAAGAGCAACAGAGCAGAAGACTTAGAGCCTCACTACTTGTGTGGAAACACTGGCTTCTTCTGCTTCTTTTCAGCCACAAAGACAACATTCCTAAGTGGGTAGAGCCAGCAACCTGAATTCTATACCTCTGTATCTGAATAAACTTCTTTGTTTTTTGAGATGGAGTTTCGCTCTTGTTGCCCAGGCTAGTAGCTGGGATTACAGACATGCGCCACCACACCCGGCTAATTTTTGTATTTTTAGTAGAGATGGGATTTCTCCATGTTGGTCAGGCTGGTCTTCAACTCCCGACCTCAGGTGAACCTCCCACCTGAGCCTCCCAAAGTGCTGGGATTACAGACGTGAGCCACCGCGCCTGGCTGAACAAACTTTTTCAAGCTCTGTAATGCTGTCTAGTATCTGTCTTTACTAAAGGCCTGTTGTTTCTTAGTGCATGACTACATAGATATCTGATTATAAACTGAGACCTTAACACTCCCCCATCATTCTCTCACTTCTTTTAAACACTGGACACAAGTTAGAGAGATTTCCACACCAGATCATGACAAACACAAATTTCTTGGATTTTTTTTTTCCTCCCAATGTGGAGCTGAGCTCCATACTGTCTTTCCTAACTTTTATACCTAGGATTGTGGGGGTGTACCAAGAGGGGTCAACTCTTTGACTACAGTCCTGGGAGGGTGAGGTGGGGGTATCCATGTTTTCCTTAGGAAGTGGGGATAGCTGCAGTCAGAAACAACCATATTTAACAAGATTCTGGATGCTCCAGGACATGTATGCAGCTCTCTCCTCAATACAACTGCTTAAAAAAAGGCTGACACTTCTGGACACAACTCCTTTGCCAAACAGGGGAGGCAGTATAAGCCACCTGTTAATCAGTGTTACAAATCAGACATCTGGCATTTCGAAAGAGCCATTTTGCTTAAGTTTTCTTGGGACCACTTGAGGGTAGAGGTAACAGTTTTCTTGGTACAACTAAGGCACAGTAAGCATTTGATAATAGTAATAATAATGCAGCCTTGTTCATTGGCTGGATGACTGATGACAAGCAAGCTGTACTCCTTTTCATACACCCTTCACTATCTCTTCCTGAATCCTAGAGATAACCCATCTTCCCTGATTAATATTCTAACTGCACTGCTGTTTGATTTTACTTCTGAGTGTATCATCATCGTAATTATTTAATGGATGTTAATTAATTGCTGATAAAATATGTTGAAATTAAAAATGGGAAGGAAGTAGATAAGGTGCTGACAAATGCTCACTTGCTTATTTCATGTGATCAGGTCTTATTAATATCTGTTTGTTTCTCAGGTGATTTTAACCTCACTGACCCTGCAGAGAAACCCAACGGATCTATTCAAGTGCAACTGGATTGGAAGTTTCCCTACATACCCCCTGAGAGCTTCCTGAAACCAGAAGCTCAGACTAAGGGGAAGGATACCAAGGACAGTTCAAAGATCTCATCTGAAGAGGAAAAGGCTTCATTTCCTTCCCAGGTAACTCTCCAGGACTCCACAGGTAGCAGATCTCTGCCAATCCTATGGAGCAGATTTGAAGGAGACAGTATTATAGTTGAAGTAGGTGCAGTGGCTCACGCCTGTAATCCCAGCACTTTGGGAGGCCATGGCAGGCGAATTACCTGAGGTCAGGAGTTCAAGACCAGCCTGACCAACATGGGGAAACCCTGCCTCTACTAAAAATACAAAAAATTAGCTGGGCGTGGTGGCACATGCCTGTAATCCCAGCTACTGGGAGGCTGAGGCAGGAGAATCACTTGAACCTAGGAGGTGGAGGTTGCGGCGAGCCGAGATCACGCCATTGCACTCTGGCCTGGGCAACAAGAGCAGAACTCTGTCTCAAAAAAAAAAAGAAAAAGAAATTCCCTCTGTGAGTGTCATGTGTCCTGTGAACTTAATATATATCCCTCATAATGCCATGAGACTACTGATGGAGCGAAAGCCTGGGTTTTACTGCGGAAAAGAGAGAGAAATAGCATTTCTCAGCTCCATGAGGAGAGAAATGAAGTCTAACACTAGTTCCCAAATCCCTTTCTTGTGTTTCTAGGTTGTTAAACTACCAGCTTGTAATGCTATCTCTGATCTTTCTATTCAGGATCAGATGGCATCTCCTGAGGTTCCCATTGAAGCTGGCCAGTATCGATCTAAGAGAAAACCTCCTCATGGGGGAGAAAGAAAGGAGAAGGAGCACCAGGTTGTGAGCTACTCAAGAAGAAAACATGGCAAAAGAATAGGTGTTCAAGGAAAGAATAGAATGGAGTATCTTAGCCTTAACATCTTAAATGGAAATACACCAGAGGTAAGACCTTAAAAACTCTGAAGCACTAAATTGTGGGTTGTAGTGTCCCCAGATGTATTATTCTCAGAGGTAGAAGCAGAAGCAGAAGCAGACACACAAGATAAGCACTAATCGGCCGGGCATGGTGGCTTCGGCCTGTAATCCCAGCACTTTGGGCAGTTGAGGTGGGCAGATCACCTCAGGTCAGCCTGGCCAACACGGTGAACTCCTATCTCTGCTAAAAATACAAAATGAGGCCTGGTGCAGTGGCTCACGCCTGTAATCCCAACACTTTGGGAGGCCGAGGTGGGTGGATCACCTGAGGTCAGGAGTTCGAGACCAGCTTGACCAACATGGTGAAACCCTGTCTCTACTAAAAATACAAAAATTAGCCAGGCATGGTGGTGTGTGCCTGTAATCCCAGTTACTCGGGAGGCTGAGGAAGGAGAATCACCTGAAGCTGGGAGGTGGAGGTTGTGGTGAGCTAAGATCGCGCCATTGCACTCCAGCCTGAGCAACAAGTGAGAAACTCCATCTCACCAAAAAAAAAAAAAAAAAATTAGCCAGGCATGGTGGTATGTGCCTGTAATCCCAGCTACTCAGTCGGGAGGCTGAGGTAGGAGAATCGCTTGAACCCAGGAGGCGGAGGTTGCAGTGAGCTGAGATCGTGCCACTGCATTCCAGCCTGGGCGACAGAGCAAGACTCCATCTCAAAAAAATAAAAATAAGATAAGCCATAATCATAGCTAATTGTGGCTAGCTTGTGTTTCCACAAACACAAGTAGTTTAACAAACCCCTGGACTGTTCATTTCAATGTAATTTAATTCAGCATATTATGTACTCTACAGTTTATGCTTAAAGTTTTAATACTATATATATTTTTAAACAAGTACTCACTTTTTTTTTTTTTTTGAGACCGAGTCTTGCTCTGTCGCCCAGGCCAGAGTGCAATGGCATGACCTCGGCTCACTGCAACCTCCGCCTCCCAGGTTCAAGCAATTCTGCTGCCTCAGCCTCCCAAGTAGCTGGGATTACAGGCACGTGCCACCACACCCAGCTAATTTTTGTATTTTTAGTAGAGACGAGGTTTCACCATGTTGATCAGGCTGGTCTCCTGACCTCAGGTGATCCGCCTGCCTCAGCCTCCCAAAGTGCTGAGATTATAGGCGTGAGCCACCATGCCCGGCCAACGAGTACTAACTTTTAAAAATTAAAAAGAGCCAGTATTGTCTGGGCATGGTGACTCACGCCTATAATCCTAGCACTTTGGGAGGCTGAGGCATGCGGATCACATGAGGTCAGGAGTTCGAGACCAGCCTGGCCAACATGGTGAAACCCCATCTCTACTAAAAATAGAAAAATTAGTCAGGTGTGGTGACGGGCTCCTGTAATCCCAGCTACTCAGGAGGCTGAGGCAGGAGAATTGCTTGAACCCAGGAGGCGAAGGTTGCAGTGAGCCGAGATGGTGCCACTGCACTCTGGCCTGAGTGACAGAGGGAGACTCTGTCTCAAAAAAATAATAATAATAAAAATTAAAAAAATAAAAAGAGCTAATATTTAAAAAGAAGGCAGGAAGGAAGGAATGAAGAAAGAAAACCAAGATATTACCAGCTATGTAGTATTGTTGTTCTTATTCTGAAGCAGGTGAATTACACTGAGTGGAAGTTCTCAGAGACTAACAGCTTCATAGGTGATGGCTTTAAAAATCAGCACGAGGAAGAGGAAATGACATTATCCCATTCAGCACTGAAACAGAAGGAACCTCTACATCCTGTAAATGGTATTGTCTTTTAAAATCTATTTTTTTTCCTAGCACTTTGGGAGGCCGAGGTGGGCAGATCACGAGATCAGGCTTTCAAGAGCAGCCTGGCCAACATGATGAAACCCGTCTCTACTAAAAATACAAAAATTAGCCGGGTATGGTGGCAGGCGCCTGTAATCCCAGCTACGTGGGCGGCGGAGGCAGGAGAATTGCTTGAACCCAGGAGGAGGAGGTTGCAGTGAGCCGAGATTGCACCACTGCACTCCTCCAGCCTGGGCGACAGAGCGAGACTCCATCTCAAAAAAAAGAAAAAAATATATATTTTTTCTGTTTAATCATTTAATTGTTTTGCCAAGCTAGTTATTTACTTTTCTCCTTCACCTTAGAATGCTAAAGTTTTCATGGAAAATTAGTATGTAAGACCTGAGGCCCAGTTTTGTGTTACAAGTGTGATGGTTGGGTTAACCAAGGCTGGAATTCTTAAATAAGTAACTTTCTCAGTGTTTATAAAATGTTATTTTGCCCCAGGATTTTTTTGTTTTGTTTTGTTTTGTTTTTGAGATGGAGTCTCATTCTGTCTCCCAGGCTGGAGTGCAATGGCAGGATCTCAGCTCACTGCAAGCTCTGCCTCCTGGGTTCAAGCAATTCTCCTGCCTCAGCCTCCCGAGTAGCTGGGATTACAGGTATGTGCCACCATCCCCGGCTAATTTTGTATTTTTAGTAGAGACAGGTTTTCTCCATGTTGGTCAGGCTGGTCTCAAACTTCTGACCTTAGGTGATCCGCCCACCTCAGCCTCCCAAAGTGCTGGGATTACAGGCGTGAGCCACTGCACCCGACCTAGTTTTGATTTTCTCATTAAAACTGTTTGTTGGCTGGTTGTGGTGGCTCATACCTGTAATCCCAGCACTTTGGGAGGCATGGGCGGGTAGATCACCTGAGGTCGGGAGTTTGAGACCAGCCTGACCAACATGATGAAACCCCATCTACTAAAAATACAAAAAATTAGCTGGGCATGGTGGCATCTGCCTGTAGTCCCAGCTACTGGGGAGGCTGAGGCAGGAGAATTGCTTAAACCCAGGAGGCAGAGGTTGCAGTGAGCTGAGATTATACCACTGCACTCCAGCCTGGGCAACAGAGCAAGACTCCGTCTCAGTACAAAAAACAAAAAACAGGACAGTGTTTGTCTTGATTATTGAGTTTTTGGCACCCCTTCAAATTTTATGCCTAAGGTCAGTGCCTCACATGCCTTCCTCTACTTCTGACAGTGGTCAGAATAGTGGTTACTGCTAGGAGAAGGGGAAGAGGGTTATCAGGAAAGGACACCCTTTGGGCATCTGGAGTGCTACCAGTGTTCTATTTCTTGGCTGAACGGTGATAGAGATGTTCATTTTACAACAATTTAATAAGTTGAACATTTATATTTCATGGGCTTTTCTATGTGCTTGAAAAATTTAATAATGAGAGGAAAAATATAAAGGTAGATATGGAAATATTATGAAAAGAGAGTCTTTACTACTTAAAAAAGCTTTTTTTCTAAATCTCTAG
The DNA here is from genome assembly GCF_000001405.40 of Homo sapiens. Taxonomy (NCBI): domain Eukaryota; kingdom Metazoa; phylum Chordata; class Mammalia; order Primates; family Hominidae; genus Homo; species Homo sapiens. The sequence continues at coordinate 21,331,916 of NC_000014.9, forward strand.
AAGCATTTTATATATATATAATTTTTTTTTTTTTTTTTTTTGAGATGAAGTCTCTCTCTGTCACCCAGGCTGGAGTGCAGTGGCACAATCTCGGCTCACTGCAATCTCTGCCTCCCAGGTTCAAGCGATTCTCCTGCCTCAGCCTCCAGAGTAGCTGGGACTACAGGTGTGCCCCACTATGCCCGGCTAATATTTGTATTTTTAGTAGAGACTGGATTTCATCATGTTGTCCAGGCTGGTCTCGAACTCTTGACCTCAAGTGATCCACCTGCCTCAGCCTCCCAAAGTGCTGGGATTACAGGTGTGAGCCACCACGCTTGGCCTAAAAGTATAATTTTTAAGCTTTTGAATGTATTTGGCATAACTTCTTAAATGGGAAGAGCATAAATGATTTTTCTCATGAGAAGGATAATTTTTCTATTGATTATGTAATCTGATTTCTCCGTCAAAGTTTACTCAATGTAAGGAAGGTTAACAAGAATAACCAAGCCCAAAATTTCCCAGAGCCAAATTTACATGACTGGCAAGAAATCCTGGTTATAAGAGAACAATTCCATTCTTATGATTTGCAGACAATGGAATATTATTTAGTCATAAAATAGTAGAATAAATAGTAACAGTGTATCTAGATAGCTTCAGTGTATCCAGACCTGAATGCGGGGTTCCAGTTATCTCCATACTCCCAATTTACATTTCTTCAGGTATTTGATTGAGTATAATCTATATCCACTAGCTTTTTCTCCTTGTAGAATGTGAAATATGGGACCAGAAGGTAATCTAAACCTCATGTACTATATGGTCATCTATTTATAGTCATAAATAATAAAAGAAGACTATTTCTGTGGAAGCCTAATTGTTAGTTATTGTTTTAATATCGCTGTTCTCCATGAATTTCAAAAGATCAAGACTGGCCAGGCGCAGTGGCTTACACCTGTACTCCCAGCAGTTTGGGAGGCAGAGGCAGGCAGATCACCTGTCAGGAGCTTGAGACTAGCCTGGCCAACATGGTAAAACCCCGCCTCTACTAAAAATGCAAAAATTAGCCAGGTGTGGTGGTGGGTGCTGGTAACCCCATCTGAGAAGCTGAGGCAGGAGAATCGCTTGAACCTGGGAGGCAGAAGTTGCAGTGAGCTGAGACCATGCCATTGCACTCCAGCCTGGGCAACAAGAGCAATGCTTCATTTCAAAACAAAAACAAAACAAAAACCTCAAAAGCACCAGTTAGTACTCGCAAGAAGCTAAAATCTGCCTGGTTTCAGATGTCTGAGTGGAGCTATCAAGCAGGATGCTGTAGTTGTTGAAAAAGAAGCTTATTAATCTTTTAGACAAAGATCTAAGGGTATTAGGTAAAGGCCATCAAGAAATGAAAAGGGCCTGATTTTAAGGCCATTTCCACATATGTAGACAAAGCCTTGTGTCTTTTAGCAGCCTTTGCTTTTGCTGCCCGCTCAGACCTTTTCCCTTTGAGACCTCAGTGAAACAGACAACCCAAGACTTTGAAATTTTACAGAAGAGGCACAGCTTGCCATCCAGTTATCTAATGCTATGTAACAATCTACTCCAAAACTTAATGACTTAAAACAATTGTCATTTCTTTGGCTCACTACTCGGCATGTTAGGCAGGTCTCATGAAGAAGGCTCATTTCTCCTCTCTCAATGTGGCATTAGATGGGGTAGCTCAGCTAGGGGGCTGATGGGTTCATCTTGCAAGATAGCTCACCCTACTAGCTGATCAGGTGGTCCTGGCTGTCAGTGGTTGCTTGGGCTTCCTCACAGGTTGGTAGCTGAGTTCCAAGACAGCAAGGTACAAGTCCATGGCATTTTTGTGTTCTGGCCTTAGAAGTCACATAGCATCACTCCTACCGTACTCTTTCAGTTGAGACAGTCCAAAAGATCCACCTTAATTGAAGGGGAGGGGACAAAGACCCCACCACTCAATAGGAGCAGCGTCAAGGTCAGTCGCATTGTAAGGAGAGCAGCTGAGATAGGAGAGACCATTTGAGGCCACCTTTTTTTTTTTTTTTTTTTGAGACAGAGTCTCTTGTCGCCCAGGCTGGAGTGCAGTGGCTCGATCTTGGCTCACTGAAACCTCTGCCTCCCGGATTCAAGCAACTCTCCTGCCTCAGCCTCCCGAGTGGCTGGGACCACAGGAGTGTGCCACCAAGCCAGGCTAATTTTGCATTTTTAGTAGAGACGGGGCTTCACCATGTTGGCCAGGCTGGTCTAAAACTCCTGACCTCAGGTGATCCACCTGCCTCGAACTCCAAAAGTGCTGGGATTACAGGTGTGAGCCACCACGCCCAGCCAGAGAGGCCATCTTTGGAAAATACAATCTGCCCCACCCAATTGCACAGCTTTACCTCAAGCTTGGCCATTTTCTTCAGCCCCCACAAAAGGACTTCCTTTCTTCCTTCCTTACTCTCACCCTTCCTTCCTGTCTTCCTTCCTTTCTTCCTTTCTGTTTTTCCTTCTTTCCCTTTCTTTTTTTGAGAAGTGAATCCTGTATGTTTGGCAAGCTTCTGAATAAGTGTACCTTTGAAAAAGAGGGTTTGATTCTTAGTAAGTGAAGGCAAAATCTAGACACTCGGAACTAGTGACCAGACAGTGGATTGGAGATGTGTGTGCTGGGTCTTTTCTTGGGCTAAAGTGCTTTGAAACAGTTCTATAACTGCAACCTCTTCTCTAGCAGACAAAGAATCCTCTGAACAAGGTTCTGAAGTCAGTGAAGCACAAACTACCGACAGTGATGATGTCATAGTGCCACCCATGTCTCAGAAATATCCTAAGGCAGTAAGTACACTGGAGTAATCATTGCATACGAGATAAGACGATAAATAATGACAGTGGCCAGTCATGGGGGCTCACGCCTGTAATCCCAGCACCTTGGGAGGCCGAGGCAGGCAGATCACCTAAGGTCGGGAGTTCGAGACCAGCCTGACCAACATGGAGAAACCCCATCTCTACTAAAAATACAAAAAAAATTAGCCAGGCATGGTGGAGCGTCCTTGTAATCCCAGCTACTCAGGAGGCTGAGGCAGGAGAATTGCTTGAACCCGGGAGGCAGAGGTTGCAGTGAGCCAAGATCACGCCATTGCACTCCGGCCTGGGCAACAAGAGCAAAACTCTGTCTCAAAAAAAAAAAAAAAAAAAAAAAAAGCAATAATGACAGTGTGCTTAGTGGCCACACAAGTGAAGGGCAATCCAGTTTTAATGAAGCTGATGGAAAATGCAAATTGTTTAGTTAAATTTATGTTTCGTGTGAATGAAGGTCGGCTGGTACAGTCAGATAAAAGGATCATTTTCTTGAGATAGTGTAAATGATGACTTGCTTCAATACTTCTGTCCTATCTGGATCCTTTGCCTCTTACTCCCATATCCTCCATTGTGTCCTGTAATTCATGCCCAGCCTGAATGGTACCCCTGCCTTTAAGTCCATCTAAGGAAAACGGGTTTGCTTTGGGAGATGGAGTCTGGAAGAGAGGACAGGATTCTTCATGGGAGGGCTCATGGAGATCATTCCATTTCTGCTGTTTTTTACTCAACCTGTAATTATCTATTAAACAGTTCAGCCTCAAAGCTCTTTCAGAACTGATTTAAGAGACACGCATCAAAAAAATATAAAAAAGAAAAAAAAGCCGGTTGCGGTGGCTCACGCCTGTAATCCCAGCGCTTTGGGAGGCCGAGACGGGTGGATCACGAGGTCAGGAGATCGAGACCATCCTGGCTAACACGGTGAAACCCCGTCTCTACTAAAAATACAAAAAAATTAGCCGGGCGTGGTGGCTGGCACCTGTAGTCCCAGCTACTCGGGAGGCTGAGGCAGGAGAATGGCGTGAACCCAGGAGGCAGAGCTTGCACTCCAGCCTGGGCGACAGAGCGAGACTACGTCTCAAAAAAAAGAGACACACATATATTAATAAATATCCACACATATATTCAGTAATCATTGTGTTCTAACCTTGTGGGTTACACATGAGGTAGAAAACAATTACTCTTAAGTCGCTGCTGCCTGACACATTTGTAGGTCCTCAATATTTGTTGAGTGAGTGACTGAATAATAGATTCAGAGTGAATTGATGATTATGAACTTCATTAGAAACATTAAATAAGAATGTAGGATGACCTAAAACCAAGGAGGTAGATTGTGTAATATAAAGTCTGTTGTAAGAAATCAGAAAAGGGAATTTATGGTTTCTTTTGTAGAGGTTGGAAAACTCTTCCTTGAAAGCTGGAACATGTGCTTGAGAACTGCAGGAAAATGAAGGATATTGGAGTGAGGAGAAAAAACTCAAAGTCAGTAGACTTAAACACTGAATATAACACATAGTTCAATTTCAGCTGAGGTGTGGTGGCTCACACTTGTAATCCCAGCACTTTGGGAAACTGAGGCAGGCAGATTGCTTGAGGCCAGGAATCAAGACCAGCCTGAGCAACACAGCAAGACAACTGTCTCTACATAAAATTTAAAAACTAGCTAGGCGTGTTGGCTCACATCTGAAGTCCTAAGTATTTGGGAGGCTGAGGTGAGAGGATTGCTTGAGCCTGAGAGTTTGAGGCTGCAGTGAGCCATGATCTTGCCACTGCACTCTAGCTTAGGTGACAGAGAGAGACCCTGTCTCAAAAACAACAGCAACGACAAAACCAGTTAAGTTTCTCTTTGTCTGAACTTTTATCTATCATATCTTTTTTTAGATATTATGTAGTTATCTGACAAGTGTTTGTAAGACAGACTGGAGCCACAGAATGTTGGAATTAGATAACACTTCTATATTACCAAGGTAAAGAAGATTAAATGATGTGTACAGGATTATTGAGTTAGTGAAAGAGCTGAAACTCCAGTTGAGGTTTTTAAACTGCGCAACCTCTCAAGTAACCAAAAAAAGCAGCCAGCTGATCAGCAAACTCATCTTGAACTGTAACAAGCCAGCCAGATTTCATTAAAAACATTACCTAAATTAAAGGCTCCTAAGTAAGATATCCTTTTAGAAAACTTCCTTGTGTGCCCCAAAGTGTTACTTGAGAAATTAAATATGAGAAAGGAGCCTATCTAAGCAAAAAATTAGTGTTATTATCAAGTTAAACGTACAACACAGGCACATATATATTAAATTATTGTTATATTCCAAAATGTCCAGGCATGAAAGGTAGAGGGGGTTGAAAGCTCAGAGTCAAAACTTGAGTTCTGTCACTCTTCTGCCTGGGGTCAGCTGGGATAAATGGAAATGCAGTAGAGTGTAATGTTTAAGAGCATGGAGATTTGGTTGAGACAGTGATTTAGATCCCAGCTCTGCTACTTAACTAGATATACAGCTTTGAGAGAGTTTTTTAACCTCTATTAGGCCTTGTCTCCTTATCTGTAAAATGGTAGTATTAAGTATACCCATCTGATACTGATGTGGCAAGATTAAAATAAGGGTTTAATACAGTGCCCGAGACAAATTAAGCCCTAAATGATAGTGAGGATGAGTGTGATGATAATAGTAGTCTCATTTCTCTGACCTACTGGAGTTCTCAATGTTAAGCTTTTTTTTTTTTTTTTTGAGATAGAGTCTTGTTCTGTTGCCCAGGCTGGAGTGCGTGCAGTGGCGCAATCTCGGCTTACTGCAACCTCTGCCTCCCAGGTTCAAGAGATTCTCCTGCCACAGGCTCCCGAGTAGCTGGGACCACAGGTGTGTGTCACCACGACCAGCTAATTTTTGTATTTTTAGTAGAGACGGAGTTTCACTATGTTGGCCAGGCTGGTCTCAAACTCCTGACCTCAGGTGATCCACCCACCTCGGCCTCCCAAAGTGCTGGAATTTACAGGTATGAGCCACTGCGCCCGGCCTAGGTTAAGCATTTTTTTTTTTTTTTTTTTTTTTTTAGAGTCTCGCTCTGTCACCCAGGCTGGAGTGCAGTGGCACCATCTTGGCTAACTGCAACCTCCGCCTCCCGGGTTCAAGCGACTCTCCTGCCTCAGCTTCCCAAGTAGCTGGGACTACAGACACACGCTGTCACGTCCAGCTAATTTTTTTGTTTTGAGACCTAGTCTTGCTCTGTCACCCAGGCTAGAGTGCAGTGGTGCGATATCGGCTCACTGCAACCTCCGCCCCCCAGGTTCAAGCAATTCTCCTGTCTCACCCTCCCGAGTAGCTGGGACTACAGGCGCACGCCACCATGCCTGGCTAATTTTTTGTATTTTTAGTAGAGATGGGGTTTCACCGTGTTAGCCAGGATGGTCTCAATCTCCTGACCTCGTGATCTGCCCGCCTCGGCCTCCCAAAGTGCCGGGATTACAGGCGTGAGCCACCGCTCCTGGCCTCCCTCTTCTTAACAGTTACTAATGAGGAGGGAGCAATCATTTTCATTTGCTCTATGGTCCCAGATTACTGTTTCTTTAGCAATAGTGAATATCGAGAACCTCAAAATTTTTTCTCTTATCGTGTCAATTTCAGGTGTCAGGAATTTCCTGACCCTTATGTATGCCAGGTAGTAAGTTTTGGCAGCCCTGCCCCCCAGCCAAATTAGGTGGCACATCTGAGCTAATAAGCCAAAGGGTGTTATCTGGCACTAATCCTTGCAGGGTTTCTGCCAGCAAGTTCAAATGAGTTGATATATATTTCAATGGTTAATATTACTAATTGCATACTTTCTTTGCTGTTCAGCCCCAATAAAATTACATAATGGAATTAGCTCATGTAAAGAAAGTATTCTGAATCCAACAAAAAATATTAGATTGAACCATATATTGTCATACTCATAGATAAAAAATGGTTGACAATTGTCAGTTCTGTATAGTCCAACCTAATATGAATGAATAAAACATCTGTGTGTACTTGGATCAAATTTTAATCTTATTCATCCTCCCATTTCACCATTGTTACCAGAATAAACTTGATGTAGTCTGCATGAATATGGACTTCTGATTATTGTCCCAGGATTATTAGCAAGTTTAAAAAATTTGCTGGGTGTGGTGGCTCACGCCTGTAATCCCAGCACTTTGGGAGGTCGAGGCGGGCGGATCACCTGAGGTCAGGAGTTCGAGACAAGCCTGGCCAACATGGTGAAACCCTGTCTACAAAAATACAAAAATTAGCCGGGCGTGATGACGGGTGCCTGTAATCCCAGCTACTCAGGAGGTTGAGGCAGGAGAATCGCTTGAGCCCAGGAGGTGGAGGTTGCAGTGAGCCAAGATTGCACCACTGCACTCCAGCCTGGGCGACAGAGCAAGACTCTATCTCAAAAAATTGTTTTGTTTTGTTTTTTTAACTAGGCAGGTGTGGTGGCTCACGCCTGTAATTCTAGCACTTTGGGAGGCCGAGGTGGGCTGATCATGAGGTCAGGAGATCGAGTCCATCCTGGCCAACATGGTGAAACCCCGTCTCTACTAAAAATACAAAAATTAGCTGGGCGTGGTGGCGCGTGCTTGTAATCCTGGCTACTCGAAAGGCGGAGAAAGGAGAATGGTTTGAACCAAGGAGTCGGAGGTTGCAGTGAGCCGAGATGGTTCCCCTGCACTCCAGCCTGGTGACAGAGCGAAACTCGGTCTCAAAAAGAAAAAAAAGAAAAATAATTTTAGATGTACAGGAAGGTGCTATGTAATGTTTATTTAGTTTTACTCTTTTTTCTTCTTTTTTGGTAATGTTATGAAACATGTATTTTTCAATCAATAATGTTTTGGGGTTCTATCCATGTCGATATATTTAGCTTTTTATAGTTCCTTCGTCTTAACTGCTGATCGATATTGCATTAAAATAATACATGACCTTTCGTTTAGACAGAACTCTAATGGGTAATGATTGAGATTTCATACTGTGTGCCAAGTGCTTGATATTCATGACTCTCTCGGGCTTCACAGCAGCCTTATGAGTTATTCTTTCCTTCAAGTAATTATGAAGTGCCTGTTTTAGTAACTGCCGGGCTCTGTGGGCACAAAATGGTGGATAAGACAGACTTGGTCTCTTCTCTCTTGAATCTTACATACTACTGAGGGAAAATATGTACATCAGTGAGCAAATAAGTAAAGCAGATAGCTCTGAGATTCTAAGTACTATGAAGGAAATAAATAGGGCGATATAATAGCAATGCGAGGAGTTGAACTAGGATAGGTGTTGAGGAAAGATTTCTCTGAGGAGGGGACGTTTGAACTGAAATCTGAAGAACGAGAAGGGAAGAGCTACCCATGTACTGGGTAGACTGTACTCATCTCAGGCAAAGGAATTGGTAAGTGTAAAGGCCCTGAGGTAGGAAAGAGTTTGATTTACCTGAGGAGTGGGAAATCAAAAGAAAATTAAAGTTTCTCTTGCACACATGTATATTATTATTCCCCCACCCCCTTTCAAAGGAGGACAGTGAAGTCTAGGGAGAAGAGCTTGCTCAAGGGAATATTTAATACAGTTTTACTGAGTGTATACTGTGTGCCAGACATTATGCCAGGCATTGTGCCAGGCACTAGATACTCGGTAGAGACTTTAATGGGGCCGGGCGCAATGGCTCACGCCTGTAGTCCCAACACTTTGGGAGGCCGAGGTGGGTGGATCACTTGAGGCCAGGAGTTCGAGACCAGCCTGGGCAACATGGTGAAACCCCGTCTCTACTGAAAATATAAAAATTAGTCGGGCATGGTGGCACATGCCTGTAGTCCCAGCTACTCAGGAGGCTGGGGCAGGAGAATCGCTTGAACCTGGGAGTCAGAGGTTGCAGTGAGCCGACGTCGCACCGTTGCACTCCAGCCTGGGCAACAGTGCTAGACTCCATCTCTAAATAAATAAATACAGATTCCCAGGAGCCACTCTAGACAGTCTGATATAACACAGAGGCTTTTATACATTTTTTATAGCAATCACTATGAGAAATACATTTCTGCAGTATCCAATACTCTTATAAAAGAACAAGTTTCAAGAAACCAGGCTTACTATTAACATTTGCCATGCATTCTCCTATTCCACTAGATAGTGTCTTATCCTGTCTATCCTATCCTATTGTTTCTTTTTTAAAAAGCTAGTGAAACCCGCTAATCTGACCCATCAAAGTGTCAAAAAAAAACCAGATTTTTCAAAACACTGTATAGTCAATAGTTTTCTTGATGTTTGGGAGAGTTGGATGTTATGGGAGGGTTATTAAGAGAAAAACATCAAATATCGTTTTTTTGTTTGTTTGTTTGTTTTTTGAGACCCAGTCTCACTCTGTTGCCCAGGCTGGAGTGCAGTGGCACTGCAACCTCCACCTCCTAGGTTCAAGTGATTCTCATGTCAGCCTCCCGAGTAGCTGGGATTACAGGCATGAGCCACCATGCCTGGCTAATTTTTGTATTTTTAATAGAGATGCGGTTTCACCATGTTGGCCAGGCTGGTTTTGAACTCCTGACCTCAGGTCAACTGCCCGCCTCGGCCTCCCAAAATGCTGGTATTACAGGTGTGAGCCTCTGCACCCCGCCAAATATCTTCATTTTTAAGAAGCACCCCAGATGATTCTGATGCAGAATCATTGAGAGATCTTGCCTGCTGAATTTCTTAGGGGCAGGCACAGGAGCTCCACTTGCTTTCTAAGAGAAGAAAAGATGGGGTAAGAGCCGGTCTTTGGAGAAGTAAGGGCATTGGCCTGGCCAGCTAGTGAAAAGAAGCATACAGGAGGGCACTCACAGATAGAGGGGAGAGCGCTATGGCTGGTAGGGAACCATCCTGGATTGACTCATTACTGGTGTCACGATACTGACTTGCCTGCCACACTGTGGAAGGAGGAGACTTCTGTTGGCCTTGGTGTACTTCTGGAAACTTCCTCCTGGTATCCCTGATGCCAACATGGACACAGGGACAATTAAAAGAAAGGACAGGGTGATGGCAGCGACTGTGAAGTGGGATTGAAAATATTGGAGTTCCTGGCCAGGCGCGGCGGCTCACGACTGTAATCCCAGCACTTTGGGAGGCCGAGGCGGGTGGATCACGAGGTCAGGAGATCGAGACCATCCTGGCTAACTAAACCCCGTCTCTACTAAAAATACAAAAAATTAGCCGGGTGTGGTGGCGGGTGCCTGTAGTCCCAGCTACTCGGGAGGCTGAGGCAGGAGAATGGCGGGAACCCGGGAAGAAGAGCTTGCTGTGAGCCGAGATCGTGCCACTGCACTCCAGCCTGGGCGACAGAGGGAGACACTGTCTCAAAAAAAAAAAAAAAGACTGGAGTTCCTGTGGGAGGGCAGGGTGGTCTGGTGGCCTCCTCAGTGGCATGCACTTGAGTGGGCATGGGAAGCCCTGGGCAGCTCTTTGCTATAGTGGCTGAAGCAGCTACTGAATCTCCAGTATCAGTCAGGAGGTCTTTTAGGTCCTAACCTCAGGAAAATACTAGCTTGGTTTTCATGAAGAACACTGTGGCCAGTTGCAGTGGTTCATGCCTCTCATCTCAGCCACTTTGGGAGGCTGAGGTGGACAGATTGCTTGAGTCCAGGAGTTCTAGACCATCGTGGGCAACATAGCAAGACCATATCTCTATTAAAAAAATAAAAATAATTGTCCCTATGTGGTGGTGTACCTGTGGTCCTAGCTACTTGGGTGACTAAGGTGGGAAGACTGCTTGAGATCAGGATGTCAAAGCTGCAGTGAACCATGATCACACAACTGCCCTCCAGCCTGGGCAACAAAGCAAGACTCTGTCTCAAAAAAAAAAAAAAAAGTTGAGAAATAGCTGTTTAGAAATTTATTTATTTGTATATAATCATCGGGTACAAGCACAGTTTTGCTGCATTTATATATTCCACTGTGGTGAAGCCTGGAGCGACGCACATTGTTCCCACCAAGCAACCTCCCATCATCCACCCTCCCCGCCGCTCCGAATCAGACATTTTTTTTTATTCTTTCTATATGTGGAGATGACTGAGAAAGGCTGTCCTGGAGAAATGATCCACTGGACTGTGAGAGAGAAGAGCTGGGTTCTCTTTATAAATTTCCTATCAATTAACTATGGCAATTAAGTCAAGTTGTCTTTTGATGCCAGTTTTACCTATAAAAGGATTCTCAGGGAATAATATAGTAGATAGATTATACCTATGGTTGATTTCTAGAGAGTACCGTAATGGGTTAATTGGATGGCGTATAAGCACTTGGAGCCTCACTAACCTTTAGGAACTAAATAAACATTTTCCTTATCAGGATTCAGAGAAGATGTGCATTGAAATTGTCTCCCTGGCCTTCTACCCAGAGGCAGAAGTGATGTCTGATGAGAACATAAAACAGGTGTATGTGGAGTACAAATTCTACGACCTACCCTTGTCGGAGACAGAGACTCCAGTGTCCCTAAGGAAGCCTAGGGCAGGAGAAGAAATCCACTTTCACTTTAGCAAGGGTGAGGCATCCTGTGTGGTTACTGGGGTGAGGAAGTCTGATGAACATTGAGACTGAGGGTCAGAATTACTCTGGATTTTTGTGGGGTGAATCCAGCCATTTCACTTTATTATTTTATTGTTCAAAGTGTTGTGTGCATGTGGTTTAAAAACATCGAATGGGGCTAAACATTTTACATGAAGCAGGCCTTTGTCCCAGCTCTTCACAGATCACTTCGCCTGTTCCCACCCTTCCTCAATCCACGGCTTCCCACATTTCAGCTATATTTATTTTTACTTTTTGAGGTGGAGTCTCGCTCTGTTGCCCAGGCTAGAATGCAGTGGTGTGATCTTGGCTCACTGCCACCTCTGACTCCGAGATTCAAGCGATTCACGTGACTCAGCCTCCCAAGTAGCTGGGATTGCAGGTGTGCGCCACCGTGCCTGGCTAGTTTTTTGTGTTTTTAGTAGAGGCGGGGTTTCACCATTTTGGCCAGGCTGGTCTCAAACTCCTGACCTCAAGTGATCTGCCTGCCTTGGCCTCCCAAAGTGCTGGGATTATAGGCGTGAGCCACCAAGCCCATCCTATCTCAGCCATTTCTTCTGTTATTTACTTCCATCATATTTCTGAGTATTGATTTTTGTTCTTCCTCTTTTCCTGTTTTTTTTTTTTTTTTTTTTTTTTTTTTTTTTTTTTTTTTTGAGATGGAGTCTGAACATGTTGCTCAGGCTGGTTTCAAACTCCTGGACTCAAATGATTCTCCTGCCTCAGCCTCCTGAGTAGCTGGAATTACAGGCGTGAGCCACCATACCTGGCTTCTGAGTAACATTTCTATTGCAATCTCCTGATTCACCGGCTTTAGACTTCCTATCTCGGACCTTAAAAGTTAGCTCTTTTGCACTACACTCATGTCCCTTTCCTTCCCATCGTAATTGTATCATAATTTTTATTTAAATCCATTTAAATTGGTTCTGTTATTATGGATATGTAAATATTAATTCTTGCAGAACCAAGTAGTATGCAATGATTATATTTCTTTACACGTATTTTTTGCAGCAATTTTTCATTCGCCTTATTTTCATTATACATATTGTAATTATTTTCGTGTCCTTCAACAGTCTTCCCAAATTTTGAAATAATCAAACCTGTCAAATTATCTACTCATCTATTTTTTTCCTGAAGACCTCTCTCCATCCTCTTGTTCTGCTCTAGCCCACTGTTTCATTATTACTGCTGCTCATGGAGAATACGATCAAATTCTCTCCTATACCAGATTTCTTATCTCCTGGTTATCCTCTAATTTATTTTCTTATTTTAATGGATCATATTTTCAGTAGTTTTTAAAGAAAGGGCATATCACAAGTGAAAATTTGAGAAAGTCGTGCATGAAATCTTTTTTTCCTACCCTCATATTTGATTCAAGTGTGGAAATCTTTTTCATTCAGAATTTCGAAGGAGCCTGGGTGCAGTGGCTCATGCCTGTAATCCCAGCACTTTGGGAAGCCAAGGCGGGCAGATTACTTGAGGTCAGAAGTTGGAGACCAGCCTGGCCAACGTGGCAAAACCCTGTCTCTACTAAAAATACAAAAATTAGCCGGGCATGGTGGGGTGCACCTGTAATCCCAACTACTCGGGAGGCTGAGGCAGGAGAATCGCTTGAACTTGGGAGATGGAGACTGCGGTGAACCAAGATCACGCCACTGCACTCTAGCCTGACACAGTAAGAATCTGTCACACACACACACACACAAATGATTTTCAAAGCAGTTGGTCCATGTTATTCTAGATCCAGGCAAGGAGTCTAATCTTTTTATGAAAACTACCATGAATACCACTAATGAAAGTCTTGGGGCTCACACTGCAACAGTATATGATTCTTTGCTTTTTTCTCTTACCCTTAATACAGTAATAGACCTGGACCCACAGGAGCAGCAAGGCCGAAGGCGGTTTCTGTTCGACATGCTGAATGGACAAGATCCTGATCAAGGACAGTAAGCATCTGCTTTCCACTTTGAAACAAAGGAGATATTGAGACAGAAATTCAAAAGTTTGAGTTTGGTTTTGTGCTGATGCTGAATATTTTAATAACTTTTTTGAGTTAATTTACTCTTAATGAATTTCCTATGTACTTGAGTATAATTTATATTTGTGACTACCTAATCCATTACCTAATCTTATAGGTTATTTATTTATTTATTTATTTATTTATTTTCGAGACAGGGTCTCACTCTGTCGTCCAGGCTAGAGTGCAGTGGTGCGATCTTGGCTCACTGCAACCTCCACCTCCCCAGGCTCAAGGGATTCTTGTGCCTCTGCCTCCCAAGTAGCTAGGGTTATAGGCATGTGCCACCATGCCTGGCTAATTTTTTGTGTTTGTAGTAGAGATAGGGTTTTGCCGTGTTGCTCATGTCTGGTCTTGAACTCCTGCGCTCAAGCGATCTGCCCTCCTCGGCCTCCCAGAGTGCTGGGATTACAGGCGTGAGCCACCGTGTCCAGCCCATAGTCTTATAGGTTTAGTTCATTTCTCACCCATGCCAGCCTGATGGGCCCTTTTTTTGTAGCAGCAGTTTACTTGAATATTGACAATGCCCAAATGGAATAACAAAAAGTGTTGACATTCTTCTTTTTTTTGAGACAGTGTCTCACTCTGTTGTCCAGGCTGGAGTGCAGTGGTACAATCTTGGCTCACTGCAACCTCCACCTCCTGGGTTCAAGCGATTCTTCTGCCTGAGCCTCCCAAGTAGCTGGGATGACAGGTGCACGCCACTTGCCTGGCTAATTTTTGTATTTTTAGTAGAGACAGGGTTTTGCCATGTTGGCCAGGCTGATCCCAACCCCAGGTGATCCTTCTGCCTCAGACTCCCAAAGTGTTGGGATTACAGGCGTGAGTGACCACACCTGGTCAACAGGAATTTTTTGATGTTGACATAACTAAGTGAATTTTAGATCTCCTTTAAAGTTTTAGGAAAGCTGGTTGTCCTTATTATTCCAATAATCTGAAGAAGGCCTCCTTTCAGAGTTTCCAGATAAAATGTGGGACATACCCAAAAAAAAATTATTTGGTCGGGTGCAGTGGCTCACATCTGTAATCCCAGCACTTTGGGAGGCTGAGGCGGGCAGATCACTTGAGGCCAGGAGTTTGAGACCAGCCTGGCCGACATGGTGAAACCCCATCTCTACTAAAAACACAAAAAAATCAGCTAGGCATGGTGGCACATGCTGGTAATTCTAGCTACTCAGGAGGCTGAGGCATGAGAATCATTTGAATTTGGGAGGCGGAGGTTGCAGTGAGCTAAGATTGTGCCACTGCACTCCAACCTGGGTGACAAAGCAGACTCTGCCTCTAAGGAAAAAAAAAAGTTATTTGTTGTTTAGCTGAAATTCAAATTTAAATAGGCATATGGTTTTTGTTTTTGAAATCTGTTATCCATACCGCCTGTGCATGTGTGTGCATAAGAAATAATATGGGGCTGGTGTTTTATCTTATTTTTAATTTTTTTGTTTGTTTGTTTTAGAGACAGGATCTCACTATGTTGCCCAGCTGGTCTTTCAGCTCCTGGGCTGAAGCAGTCCTCCTGCCCTGCCTCCCAAAGTGCTGGGATTATAGGCATGAGCCACTGTGCCCGACCTGGTGTTTTAATTACTTTTTGAAAGGCCCAATACTTTTGTTTCATCTGCTTTTACTTTGTCTTTGGTTAGTCATAGAAAGAACTGAAAAAGGAGCCAGATGAAATAAACAGTGACTCTGACTTCAGCATCACTGTGGGCTTAAACAGATGTAAGCTTACAGAGAACTTTTGGACATGGAAAGTGATTTGGTTCTTTCCTTTCTGTGCTAATGTCAAATTTAGCTTTCACTTTTTTTTCCCCAGCATTTCCAGAACTCTCTCTTCCTTTATTCCCTTACAGTGATAATCATTTTCTACTCAATTTTAGATTCGATTGGTATTACCTTTGGCTTTCTTTTTGCCAGTATGGTCTAGCAGACAGAGCAGGCTTTGTAATCAGACCAACCTTGTTTTTATTCCAGACTCTTTGACTTACTAGCTCTTTGATCTTTTTGATATTACTTAATTTGAAGGCTCTTGTGAGAATAAAATTGAGCTAATATAGTTTACATAAAGCACTTGGTATTGTGCCCGGCACATTGTAATGCTAGTTATCATCCCTTTCCTATGCAAATTGGGATGAGGGAGTCAGCATTATCACTTCGCATTGTTGAAGTTCTCAATAATGACATAGAAACATAGTTACAAATGAATATTGCCTAATGGGCTGAGAATGGATCCCTTTAAAGTAATTCCTTTGTTTCAGTTTAATCATATTTAGCTGTGCTTTTAAAAGCTTGAATTTTTAGTCCTATTCCTGGCACTCTGTATTAGCTACCAATATTTGCTTTTAAAAATTAATAAAAATATGAAAAATCAAGAATAGGCAAATCCAGAGAGATAGAAAGTAGATTAGTGGTTCAGGAGCTAGGGAAGGAGAATGGGGAGTGACTGCTTAATCAGTACAGGGTTTCTTTTTCTTTTTTCTTTTAGAGACTGGGTCTCGTTCTGTCACCCAGGTTGAAGTGCAGTGGCATGAACACAGCCCACTGCATCCTCGACCTCCTGGGCTCAAGTGATCTCACCTCAGCCTTCCAAGTAGCTGGGACTATAGGTGTGTGCCACCATGCCCGGCTAATTTTTTATTTTTTTTGTAGAGACGGGGTGTTCCTATGTTACCCAGGCTGGTCTTGAACTCATGGGCACATCCCATGATGTTCCCTCTTCTAAAAGGACTGTTACTGCTTAAATTATACCAATTCCTGACTTTTTTGCTTATTGTCATTTTGTAAAATGGAGGCAAGGGAAAAGTGATTCAGAGAAGACGTTGTATTGTTTATGATTACTTTTATCCTTATTTTATTTTTGAAGCATTAAGAGTATCAACAGTGCTGAATTAAATGCAATTTCTTTTTAGTTTAAAGTTTACAGTGGTAAGTGATCCTCTGGATGAAGAAAAGAAAGAATGTGAAGAAGTGGGATATGCATATCTTCAACTGTGGCAGATCCTGGAGTCAGGAAGAGATATTCTAGAGCAAGAGCTAGACAGTGAGTCATTTTTTTTTCAGTTCTAATTATTTCCAAGGAAATCATCCTAATAGTGAATATATTTTATCTTCAATACATAATTATTACTATGAAGTTGATAAGACACAAAGTGGATTGAAATCTTATCCCTACAACTGTATTTATTTCTGGATCCAACATTAAAGTAGTCAGTTGTGTATTTTTACCCCCATATACCTGATTACAACTAGAATTGATTTTGAATCTACAATGTTTGAAAAGGAGATTTTTAAAAAGACAAGTTATTTTCATTTCAAATTTATACATCAGAATTTTGGACCTCTCTTGAGCATTTTCGTATAGGCAGCTGATGCCCATTCTTTATGTTATCATGCATCCAGTCTTTTTTTTTTTTTTTTTTTTGAGATGGAGCCTCACTCTGTCGCCCAGGCTGGAGTGCAGTGGTGTGATCTCAGCTCACTGCAACCTCTGCCTCCCAGGTTCCAGCTGTTCTCCTGCCTCAGCTTCCTGCCTCAGCTTCCATGGTGTGCCACCATGCCTGGCTAATTTTTGTATTTTTAGTAGAGACCGTGTTTTACCATGTTGGCCAGACTGGTCTCGAACTCCTGACCTCAAGTGATCTGCTTGCCTTGGCCTCCCAAAGTGCTGGGATTGCAGGTGTGAGCCACTGCACCTGGCCCATCTTGTCTCTTAAAAAGACATTAACTGTCTCCTCTTTCCTCACATTCACTGGTCATTAAGTCTTATCCATTCTACTTGTGAATTGACTATGCTCTCCTTACTACAATTTTTTTTTTTTTTTTTTTTGAGACAGAGTCTCTCTCTGTTGCCCAGGCTGGAGTGCAGTGGTGTGATCTCGGCTCACTGCAACCTCCACCTCCCAGGTTAAAGCGATTCTCCTGCCTCAACCTCCTGGGTAGCTGGGACTACAGGCACCTGCCACCACGCCAGCTAATTTTTGTATTTTTAGTAGAGACGGGCTTTCACCATGTTGCCCAGGCTGGTCTCGAACTCTTGGACTCAAGCAATCCACCCTCTTTTGCCTCCCAAAGTGTTGGCATTACAGGCATAAACCACTGCGCCCGGCCTCCTTAAATATAATTACTATAATTTCTTTCTTTTTTTTTTTTTTTTTTGAGATGGAGTCTTGCTCTTGTTGCCCAGGCTGGAGTGCAATGGACCGATCTCAGCTCACCACAACCTCTGCCTCTTTCTTAATCAAGCGATTTTCCTGCCTCAGCCTCCCTAGTAGCTGGGATTACAGGCATGAACCACCACGCCCAGCTAATTTTGTATATTTAGTAGAGATGGGGTTTCTTCATGTTGGTCAGGCTGGTCTCGAACTCCCAACCTCATGTGATTCGCCCTCCACTCAGCCTCCCAAAGTGCTGGGATTACAGGCGTGAGCCACCGCGCCCAGCCATATAATTTCTAAACTGGTCTTCCTGCCACCGGTTTCTTCTACCCCATTTCCATCTACTATAGTAAATACATAATACATTTGATCACTGCCTTCTTCTTAAATCCTTTTACAGTTTGCTATAGATCAGCATGTTTTAAAAACATTTGTATTTGAGTACCTTTAGTTGGGACTGCGCTGTCCAGTCTTCACTGTTCCCATTACCTTACATAGCTGGGATGTCACCTATCTTATCTGCTAGGACCTTCAGACACTTAAGATTATCCACTAGATCAATGTTTTTCAAACTTCCAGACACACACCCCATTAGTGGATGTGAAACTGAATTAGTAAATCACAAGGAAATTTGAAAAATGCAAACCAAAACTGTGGGAAAGAAAACAGGAATTAAAGGCCAGGCGAGGTGGCTCATGCCTGTAATCCCAGCACTTTGGGATGCCGAGATGGGCGGATCACCTGAGGTCAGGAGTTCGAGACCAGCCTGGCCAATATGGTGAAACCCCATCTCTACTAAAAATACAAAAAAAATTAGCCAGGCATGGCGGCGGACACCTGTAATCCCAGCTACTCGGAAGGATGAGGCAGAATTGCTTGAACCCGGGAGGCGGAGGTTGCAGTGAGCTGAGATCAAGTCACCGCACTCCAGCCTGGGTGACAGAACAAGACTCTGTCTCCAAAAAAAAAAAAAAAAAAAAGAAAACAGGAATTAAGAGTACATAGCACATATTGTCTTGTGAAACTTGTTTTATGTATTGTTTAATGAATCATGGTATAAAATTATTCTTACTGATCATTATAAACATTTTTTGAGGAATACTCCTCAGACCCTAAGGTTTACAAAGTTCAAATGTTAGATAAGATTCTAATTATATTCCTCTAGTATCTTTCCAACTGTGATCCTTAGTCTTTTTCCTCATCTATAAAACGGGAATAACAGCAGTCTCTATCTTACTGAGTTGTGAAGATTAAGGAAGCACTTAAATAAGGGATTAAGGGGCTTAGGGTAGTGCCTGGCATAAGGCAAGTGACGTTATCTTTGTGGGCTATTTTCCAACTCACTCCTATCCCCATTCCTAAACATGCTATGTTCTTCCTGACCTCCATGCCATTTGTATGTGCACAGGGAAAATCCACTTAAGACTTTTCTGGTGATTTCTCCAGAAATCCTTTCCAATTTGTCCATTCTGGTGCAGATGCCTCGTTATGTCCCCAAAGCAACTTGTGCTTCCATTTATTATATAGCACCTATACACTATACCATTTTCCTTTCTCCTTCACTAGATTGAGTCCTCTTATGAAATGGGTAATTTCATTCATTTAGCATCCCCAGTACCTAACCTGACAAATACCAAGTATCAAAGTGTTCAACTGAGTGATGCTGTTTTTTTCCCTTTCCCAACAGTTGTTAGCCCTGAAGATCTGGCTACCCCAATAGGAAGGCTGAAGGTTTCCCTTCAAGCAGCTGCTGTCCTCCATGCTATTTACAAGGAGATGACTGAAGATTTGTTTTCATGAAGGAACAAGTGCTATTCCAATCTAAAAGTCTCTGAGGGAACCATAGTAAAAAGTCTCTTATAAAGTTAGCTTGCTATAACATGAATTTGGTTTACTGTGATGTCTAGTGTCTCTCAATCTAATGATGAAAGTTTAGAATGATGAAAGTTTCATTTGTAAAACTAGCTAGCTAAAGGCATTTTTCTCCAGTACCTTAGCACTTTACCAGGCAGGAAGCAGGCTTGCTTTCAAGAACTGAAAATGAACGGTCACAGGTGAATTTACAAAAACAAACAACAAAAAAAACCCAGTTTATTCATCTTTTAGTTCTTCCAAAATTGAAAATATCAAGTCCTACTGCTAAGGAGAAAAAACAAACAAACATAAAATCCGGGACCCCTCCCCCCTTCTTCTCTTAAAGTCACAGAGCACGGAAGGAACTGCAGTGGGACAGGTGGGTGCAGAGAACCAGAAGGGGAGGATGGCAAGATAAACTCCCCAAATACTTGAAAAGCTGTTCAACAGAAACTGTGATAAATACAGGACAATGCAAGACAAAGTTAAAATAAGGAGCAGCAGTGCCGAGAGGCTGTGTTGTAGATATGGCCTCCCTTCCTCTTCTCTTTTCTCATCAGGGTATTCTAGGCCCAAGGCATGACTTGTCCCTTCCAGATATAAATGTTGACTCCTTTGAGCCTTCCTCTACATTTCACTAGAAGCGGTACATGAGGCACAACCTGATATATCTTCCTTAGATATATGAGAAAAAAAAGAAGACAGTGGCAATTTTGCCTTCTATCATTGTACCATGTGTGCATTGTATGGAGAAAATAACCGAGCCAGGGAGTATCACTGCTTCTTATGTCTTCCAAGGCAGCAGATATACCTCAGAATCTGCACGAGGCAGGAAAGCAGGAAAACTCAGACGAAGGCACCAGCCCAATCTGCCTCACTGGCTCAAGCTGTATGGTTTATCACAACCATTAGCAAATTTCCGAGAACCTTGAGTATTGCAAAGATAAAACTTAGAGATGTGCGGAAGGTCATGGCAGTAGGGTAGGTTGGAGGATTGAATGTGCTGGTCAAGAACCATGATACGGGTAATTAAGGGTCACCTTGTACCACTGTCTTGGAAATACAGCTTTGAGACACCAAATAAGATGTCAGAAGCCATCAATGTCTTGGCAGAAGGTGACAGGAAGAGAGAAGAATGAAACAATATTTATTAACAGCGGGAGCCTCCTCCTGTCTTCAAGAACACCTCCTCCCTTGCCATCTGAATGGGGCCATTGGCACGTGTCCTGGTGGGCCTGGAATTCCCCGAGTAGATTGGTCCACACAAATGGCCCCCTAAACCCATAAACACAAATGGCAAAACTTCAAATGAAAACGAAAGGAAAAATACAGTTTCTATGTCATGTAAAATTTTCAGGGGTTGGCTGGAGGAAGAATGGAGCTCAGGGCCAAAGTTCAGAAGTTACTTCCTCTTTTTCTTGGGGGGTGCAGAGCTGTGTCTGGAACCACGGTTAGAGCCACGGCCCGAACTGTGCACAGATGCCTTCCTCTTCCGGCTCATACTTCGACTTTGTTCTTCTTCTTCCTCGTAACGACTTTCTCGGTCCGCTAAATAGAAGAGGCATTATTAGTTAGCAATAGGTAAGCTTTAGGTACCTAATATTACTGGATAGCATGAGATAGTACAGAGAATACACTTTGGAATCAGACCCAAGTTTTAATATTGGGCAAGTACTTTCTGAACCTTGGTTTATTTACAAAAGGGAGAATTATTTAAGGGTTAAATAAGGTAACCTATGAAAACTACCTATTCCCAATGCTTGGAACACAGCAGTTAATATTTATTTCCTTTTAAGCTTTAAAACGTTTGTTTGGGGTTTGGCTTCAGAGTAACTAGATTAGCATTATAAAGACATGCCTAACCTGGAAGAAGCCTAGAAAATTAAAGTATTATAGGATTTAGGTTTGGAAACTGAGTAGGCTAATTCTTGAGTATTACATGAATATGTGGCTATCATGGCTATAGGAAAGATGGGGGCTTGCGCAGATGAAAACAGCATCCAGTTTGGCAGAGCACTGCCCACTGGAGAGTATGGACACATTCCACACCTCATTTTCTCCTTCAGTCAATGAAGTTGTATCTGTGGCTCCAAAGCACTTTTATAGTGTTCTTTTGTTACTTTCATTACGCCATCAATACTAACACCTCAAAATATTGAAATGTGTTAGAAATTTGTGCGTAGACAAATGAATAAAAAACAACACATTTTTAAAAACCTTTTCGGGCTTCTTCCTCCAGTTCATCCCAATCCTTTCCACTCTCTTCTTCACTACCCAATGACTCCTTAGAATAGTCTGGAAGAAAATTAATTAAGCGTTAGTCATCATGCGGGAACAGAATGGAACGACAGAGTTCTTAGTCTAAAAAAAGTAGTTTTCAGAAATGACATTAGATTAGGAAGCCAGGACGAACTTTGCTCTGTAAGACTAACCTGACTCTTCTGCTTCTGATGAATAATCTTCATCACTGTCCTCCTCTTCCTCTTCATAGTCATCTTCTGAAGGATTAAAAGTCTCATCTTCAATTTCAGACTCTGAATCCCCTTCTTCAGCATCACTCCCCTGGTGAGTTAGAGCATAATACTGATTTTTTTTTGACATTTACCTTATTAACTTAATGAATTAATTCAGCCCACATAGTATACCAGTATTTACATGAAGAAAACAAGAGCAAAATAATCTGAGGGATCAAGAGATAAAATGACTTGTTTAAAATTAGTGGTCAGGTGCAATTATTATTTTACTATTATTATGTATTATTACATTTCTGAAAAATTCACGTTAGCCTTCCTCACCCAGGGAAATTAACAACAGAAAGACTTTCTGTATTTACGTATCACACAAACGTTAAGTGGATCATTTTTTAAAAAATAATTTTTGCAAAATGCCCTGAAGGATTTTTCCCTAAATGCTAAGAAACTCATTGAGGAAAAGTTTTTGTAATTTCCAAGAAATCTTGTCAGGAGTTAGTTACCACTGCCCAATCAATTTATCAATTTGAAGAAACAATAATATCAAGTGGTGTTTAGAGCTTCTCCCAGATGGCCTAGTCCCTTATGTACTACTCATATTCCATTCTAACTGACCAAATGATAGCGGGCAACACTGTGTACCAGAAAAGAAACCCCACACTCACGCACCTCACCCTCAGGCTCCAGGAAAGACCAGCCACCTTGTTCGAAGAAGCCCTCAGGGTCATCAACAATGGTCTTCATGATTTTAGTCCAGTTGAGGGACTGTACTCCTTCTGTGTATTTCAGGTCGCAGGAACTAAGAGAAATGACATGACAAAGTCAAATCAATCTTCTGTATTTTCCATATATTCTTTCTTCTTTTTTTGAGACAGAGTCTTGCTCTGTTGCCCAGGCTGGAGTGCAGTGGCACAATCTTCGCTCACTGCAACCTCTGCCTCCTAGGTTCAAGTGATTCTCCTGCCTCAGCCTCCCGAGTATCTGGGATTACAGGCGCATG
Source organism: Homo sapiens (assembly GCF_000001405.40). NCBI lineage: Eukaryota > Metazoa > Chordata > Mammalia > Primates > Hominidae > Homo > Homo sapiens. Next base: position 21,354,742 of record NC_000014.9, read on the forward strand.
CCACCATGCCTGGCTAATTTTTATATTTTTAGTAGAGACAGGGTTTTGCCATGTTGGTCAGGCTGGTCTAGAACTCCTGACTTCAGGTGAATAACCTGCCTCAGCCTCCCAAAGTGCTGGGATTACAGGTGTGAGCCACCGCGCCCTGCCTGGGAGCAGATATTCTTTGCACTATGCCACCAGATCATGTCCCAATGGCTGCTATTTGATCTCCTAGAGCACTAGCCCTCACAACAGACCAACATTCCAACTGAAACAAGCTTTCTCCTTCACCTGAGTCTGAGCTCATCCTCTCCCATTTTCTTCCTTAAACACCAATTTCCCTCTTCTTCACTTAGTCTTCTCTCCTATTCACCCATGCTTTTCCCTCTCTGTCACTGATTCCATTCTTATTTCTAAGTAGTCTTAACTCATAACCACTTCTGCGATTCTGTTTTTCACTATTGTAGTTAAGAAATAGGGACAATTTTCAGCCGGGTGCGGTGGCTCACGCCTGTAATCCCAGCACTTTGGGAGGCCAAGGCAGGCGGATCACGAGGTCAGGAGATCGAGACCATCTTGGCTAACACGGTGAAACCCCGTCCTACTAAAAATACAAAAAATTAGCCAGGCATGGTAGCACGCGCCTGTAGTCCCAGCTACTTGGGAGGCTGAAGCAGGAGAATCGCTTGAACCTGGGAGGTGGAGGTTGCAGTGAGCCGAGATCGTGCCACTGCACTCCAGCCTGGGCAACAGAGTGAGACTCTGTCTCAAAAAAATATATAATAATAATAAAAAAAAAAAAAAAAAAAAAAAGAAAGAAACAGGGACAATTTTCAATGGCCCTAGCCTTTCTTCTTCAACCTTTCACTGCTTTCCTATGTGTTGTTTATTTGATGCAAAATCTGTATGAAGGTAGGAACAAATTTTTTTTCCCAGTACCTAAAGTGCCCTGTATTTAGACAATGCTCAAATGACTTTCTCTTTCTCACTTCTGTTGAGGAGGGCTGAATCAGTTAAGAGTGGGTAAGAAGAAAAAAATCAAAGAAATGACAATAGTAAGGATAAAAACAAACAACCATAAAATCTGCCTGAGAACCACTGGCATAAATCCACTTTAGACAATATACACGGCAACTTCTGCTTCCAGCCATGATGGAGTAACAATGACTAGATTTACTTTCCCACCTTAAACAACTACAAAACAAAATATGAAACAACAGTTTTCAGACATTGGATAAAAAGCAGCACAAGACCATAATCCCTGAAAGAAGGAAACAACAAGGGTTAATTGAACATTTGCCCCAGTTTTCTGTCTAGAGGCAATTCCTAGCCTGCTATGCAGGGAGGGAGAATCCACCACAACCTGATGGTCTCCAGGAACTGAGACAAAGTAGGATTTGGGAAGGCTGGGACAGCTAGAATTTGTGGAGAAGAGTACAGGAAGGAAGAGTTTCCCAGAGAGAAAGCTCCAGAGATCTGCAGAGGGGTCCCCTCAAGTCTTTGGTGGAGGGATGATCTACACATTCATGAGAAAACTGGAACTGCATAAAGAAGCACTGGAAAGCAGTAGGACAGACAACTCCCAATCTCACACAGAACTAGAAATAAATCGTGTTCCAGTGGATTTATTTCCACCACCTTTCCACCAGCTTCAGCAGAGAGATCTCACAATCCACAGGGCATCAGGCAGACTCTGAAGAGTATTGCCTCGTAGTAAGGCCAATTACTTGGAAGTTTTTGAGTGAAACTTTTAAAGGCTGTTCTAAATCCACACTAATAGACATTTGAGAACAAGCCTTGAAAGATCAAACAGAATCCAACTAACTTGACTGCATCCTAGAATAACCTCATCTCTAGTAAAAAAAAATTAGCTGGGTGTGGTAGCACATGCCTGTAGTCCCAGCTACTTGGGATGCTGATGCAGGAAGGTTGCCTGAATCCAAGAGTTTGAGGCTGCAGTGAGCTGTGACTGCACCACTACACTTGAGCCTGGGCAACACAGTGAGACCCTGTCTCAAACAACCACCACCACCACCACTACAAAATATGTAGAAAATATAAAGATAATGGGTGAAGAGCAGAAAAGGATGCTTCAAAAGCTATTGTAAATATGCTCTACATTGACTGGGTGCAGTGGCTTGTGCCTGTAATCCTGGTACGTTGGGAGACCGACGTGGGAGGATCGCTTGAGCCCAGGAGTTTGAGACCAGCCTGGGCAACACTGAAAACAAAAAAGATCTTAGATTTTGATTTTCTTTGTGTTAAGTATGCACAAGCTATTGTTGGGAATTCAAGAAAAAGTGAACAGCTCCGTTATCTAATAGATCTCAAGTTTTCAAGTCCTGGTCTGTAACAACCAAAAGGCAGTCTCACTTTAAGTATATCAGTAGATTTTATGCACAACATACCACATTCAAATTCTATAAAACAGGGCTCATGGGCTAAATGGGAGACTGATGGCAGATTTACTTACTTCAACCATTCCTTGATGGGGTCAAGAGAGGCTACAGGAATGGCGTTGATCATGGTCACTTTCTTGCTGTAGTCCTTGTAGACGATTACCATATCAAAGTTCTTCAGGTGAAACTGGACCCGCTCAAAGTGGATCAGCTCTACCTCATCCAATGTCACCACAAAAGGTGGCTGTCAGGGAGAAACTGAATCATTAGCATATAAGTATTTCCCCCAAAGCAATAATATTTCAAATAACTTTCATGATCTAAATCACTACATAAAAGATAACTTAAGCTGTTTTTTGGTTTTTTTTTTGAAAGACTGAGGCAGTACAACATACTAAGAAGCCACAGAAAAAGGATCTGCAAGATACAAAAATCATCCCTCAAGGAGAATAAACTCAAGGAAACTATGTGAAGGAACCATTTAAAATAAACTATTTAAAAAGACATTATCTTAAAAAATAAAAAATAAAAAAAAGAGAGATAGGTTCTTGCTATGTTGCCCAGACTGGTCTTGAGTTCCTGGCCTCAAGTGTTCCTCCCACCTTGGCCTCTAATTGTGCTGGGATTACAGGTGTGAGCCATTATGCCTGCCCTAAAGAGACTTTAAAAGTAACATTTGTTCAATGAGTTTTAAGTCTAAGTAAATATCAAAAATGAAAATGACAATAATTAGGATAAAAAACACCTATCCTTCTTTATTTTCTCTAACAATTTTCTTACTAAAAGAAAGTAAGAAACACTCACCCATTCCGTAGCATTTACCAGCGCACTACTAGTGGGCTGAAGGAGGCAGGTACTCCTATAGGGAGCTCCGTTAAATCTGGAAGAGACAAACTTTTAAGACTGAGCTCATCACGAGAGAGACTGCTCCTACCACAACAGACAAACTTCTTCCCTCTCCCCATTCCAAACAGCTCCAGCATACTCACTGGAGACTCATCCAGAGGAAGCCTCTTAAGAGTTAGCCACTCACCTAAACCCTTAAACATTTTCAAGAAAAAATGGATGTCTCAAAGATTATTAGTCATAGGAAAAAAGGATATGATATGTTAAATTATTATTAAAGGAAGAATAATTTATTGTACCAAAAGACAGACCAGTCAAACTTCAAGCCAAAAATAAGATAGGTTACCCCAAGTCCCTAAAAGGCACTTCAAATTCCAGTTCCTCCTTAGTTAGAGCCTCTACTTTCTCAATGAAATTTTTAAAGGCTGTTTTCAGTTTGTGCCTCATTTCTCGTTCCATCTGTAGAAGAAAAAAATATCAAATACAGCCATCACATTTGTTAACAGTACCTCCCCTCAAAAAGTCTGAAGTGCTTTTGTGCTTTAAAATAAAAATTCCAACTTTTAAGTTCAGGAGTGCATGGGCAGGATTTGCAGGTTTGTTACACAGGTAAACGTGTGCCATGGTGGTTTGCTGCACAGATCATCCCTGAAGTGCTTTCGTTGCCCTTCATTCTCTCGTAACTATAAAACTAACATGTACATACACCTTTAATATTTAAGGTCACCATGCCATTACCTGTCAAGCTGAGTCTGCAACCTAAGCCTAAACTCTTGTAATACCCTATCTCAGCAGATACTTGAGTTGCTCTGCACAAACAGATTCAGGGTTGTTTATTTATTTATTTATTTATTTTTGGAGATGGAGTCTTGCTAGTCGCCCAGGCTGGAGTGCGGTGGCGCGATCTTGGCCCACAACCTCTGCCTCCCAGGTTCATGCCATTCTCCCGCCTCAGCCTCCCGAGTAGCTGGGACTACAGGAGCCCGCCACTACACCCGGCTAATTTTTTTGTATTTTTAGTAGAGACAGCGTTTCACTGTGTTAGCCAGGATGGTCTTGATCTCCTGACCTCGTGATCTGCCTGTGTTGGCCTCCCAAAGTGCTGGGATTATAGGCGTGAGCCACTGCACCTGGCTATTTATTTATTGAGATGGAGTCTCACTCTGTCGCCCAGGCTGGAGTGCAGTGGCGCTATCTCAGCTCACTGCAACCTCTGCCTCTTGGGTTCAAGTGATTATCCTGCCTTAGCCTCCCGACTAGCTGGGACTACCACCACCCACCACGCCCAGCTAATTTATGTATTTTTAGTACAGACAGGGTTTCACCACATTGGCCAGGCTGGTCTCGAACTCCTGACCCTCAGGTGATCTGCCCATGTTGGCCTCCCAAAGTGCTGGGATTACAGGCGCGAGTCACCACGCCAGCCCAGTTTGTTTATAAAATACAATCCCTGAGCTTGGATTTGGCCTCATCCTCCCTCACTATCCTGCAAATACAATACTAAATTTCACAAACCTGCTCAGCATAGAGGTCATCTCGGTCATGCATATGCTGATGTTTCCCCAAGTCCGTGGTTATCTCTCCCACTTCTGTGTAGAACTGCACATCCGTGTGCCGCTTCTTCCCAAACATGATGGCATTCTGTCGGCATAAAACAGAAAGAACACAGAAGTCAGAAACACAAAGGTATCTGTGATGGAAATGGCAGTGATCCAAACTTGGGCCTCCACAGCATGCATGCAAAAATAATTAAACCACCCCTGGTGTCATCATAAATAATGATGCTTGGGAATGGAAACAGTGTACATTTGAAAAAGTGCTGTGCTCCTACTTATTACAGGAACTTTGGAAATCATGTTGGTAACAAATCTTATCTAAAGCAAAACTTCATTTTAGAAAGAGAAATCTGGAGATCTCGTATAAAACATTTGCTGGCCACCATATAACACACCAAAGGAACAAACATGCTTATGAGCCCCTTCTAGATGCCAGGCCTTGTGGCCTTTAGAGGCATTATTTTATTTAATCCTCTTAAATGTTCTTAAGTGAGAGGTGATTTTTTCATCACTTTTTTGTTTTTTGTTTTTCACACGCTGTCGCCCAGGCTGGAGTACAATGGCGCGATCTCGGCTCACTGCAACTTCCGCCTCCCAGGTTCAAGCAATTTTCCTGCCTCGGCCTCTCAAGTAGCTGGGATTACAGGCGCTGGCCACTACGCCTGGCTAATTTTTGTATTTTTAGTAGAGACGGGGTTTCATCATGTTGGTCAGGCTGGTGTCGAACTCCCGACCTCAGGTGATCCACCCACCTCGGCCTCCCAAAGTGCTGGGATTGTGGGCATGAGCCACCGCGCCCAGCCCTTTCATCACTATTTTATAGGAAAGAAGCTGAGTGAAATGAAGTGTCTTGCCCAAGAGCTGACAGCTAGTTAAGTAGAAAGGTATACCTTGAGGTGAAAGTGCAAGACAATAATCATTTCTCCATCACAGGGCTGGAACAAAGCATGCTTAATATTATTGTACAAAATATCCACTTTGTCTCCTCGAACAGATGTGAAGCGGAAGCCTGGGGAAAAGAATGAAGAAATGTCAAGCAGTATAATTAAGTTAGGCCAAAAGGCACTGCAACTCTTCTGGCTGATTTGCACAGGGTCAGAGGAAACACCAACAGCTGTATAGAGCTTTCCTTTCCTTCTGGCCACACAGCAGTGTAAGTAGATTCCTCCCAGCATTTCCTTGTCATACTTTATTAGCACCATGCTTTAACCAACTGAGCTAACCGGCGGATGGCTCTTTGTCATATTTTATTATCTGATCTGTCATTCCTAACAAATGTGCCCTGAAGAGAAAGCCTAGGTACAGGAGAGATCATCCATACCATTGACATGGGCCTCCAGTGAGCCTTGCATCCTCTTTTGGGCAATATTTGGGCGAATGTATAGATCTTTCAGTTTCGGATTACTCCGGTTTAGATTGATCACCAGTGAGTCTTGTTTTACAATCCCCTAAGCAAGAAGAAAATTAATGTGAATTGTCACATATCCTTACAAGTCTCCAAAAAATACATGTCCTTCTTTGTGTAAGAATGTTTTGCCTGTGTTCAGGCTCACCTCCTTCTCTTTCTCTTCAGCTTCTCGAGTTTTATAACGTTTCTGTACTTCTTTAATAATTCGGAAAGCATTCTGAAGGTTCAAGGCTGGTACTGTCTGTTCTCCGGGTGCCTTAATATTTGATGCTCGGTATGTACTGCAGAAAAGCAACAGCATTTATAGACATTTCTTTTTCAGGCCAGGGAAATTGTACTGATTTACTTTATCTTCTAAGCAGCTTAATCTCTACTTTGCTTTTTTTTTTTTTTTTTTTTTTTGAGACAGGGTGTGCCTCTGTCACCCAGGCTGGAGTGCAGTGGCCCAATCTTAGCTCACTGCAACCTTCGCCTCCTGGGTTCAAGCCATCCTCCCACCTCAGCCTTCCAAGTACCTGGGATTACAGGTACACACCACCATGCCCGGCTAGTTTTTGTATTTTTAGCAGATACAGGGTTTTGCCATGTTGACCAGGCTGGTCTTGAACTCCTGGCCTCATGTAATCTGCCTGCCTCTGCCTCCCGAAGTGCTGGGATTACAGGCGTGAGCCACCATGCATGCCCATTCCTTCTTTTTTCATTTTTCAAATCTGGTATAACATCCCCAAATTATCCCATTTCACACCATGAAATCATAGAATCCAATGTGGCACCAGTTTTCTTATTTGAAGATTCTACTGCAATATATGTTTATTACTTTTAACACTTATTTTCATAATTATTTTTTTTTTGAGACAAGGTCTCGTTCTGTTGCTCAGGCTGGATGGAGTACAGGCAAGATCAGGGCTCACTGCAGCCTCAACCTCCCAGGCTCAAGGAATCCTCTCACCTCAGCCTCCACAGTAGCTGGATGACGGGTGCACACCACCACCCCTGGTTAATTATTTTTTAGAAGAGACAAGGTCTCACTATATTACCCAGGCTCAAAATATGTTTAGTAAATATATAGTATCTTCAAGAAGATTCTAAATTGGGATCCATCCTGAAAATAGTACAAAGTCAAGAAGGCGATCCGAAACAAGTACCAATGAGGAAGGCTTTGACATTTACTAGGTAGGGAAAATGTAGCACAGACAATGAAATGTTTCTGAGAGTACCACTCCAGACAAGATGAATCTGGGTATGACTTTTCTTGGGGACTCACATTTCCTTGACAAAAGTCGCTTCAGGGTTAGGAAAGATGTTGCCTTCATTCCTGCCCAGAGCACTGCCTGGGCAATAAAAGTTGATTCGCAAGTAAGTATAATCTCCTTCCACGGACATACTTATATTCTGTTCAAAGGAAAAGCATAAAAAGTAAACAGATTTCTTTCCTAGAGATTAGTAGTTACAGAGATGTTAAAATTAAGTTAGGAGTTACAAATTGACCGCTCTTAACCTTAATCTAAATCTAATAAATTTACATAATTTATCTTTTTAATAACGAAGTATCCTTTTCCCAAAAAAATCTCTGAATTCTCAAAGTACCTTGTACCATGAATACAACTAAAAGTTAAACAATGATTAAACGAAGTTGAAAGAAAGATAGGCAAATTATGTTTCTAGACTAGTTTAGCTTTCTACTAAGTGAAAAAAACTGAAAGAGGAAGGAGAATGACAAGACAAGAGGGATGTCAGTAACTGAACAGAGTCTGAAGGAGTCAAAAGTGGGAGACATGATGAATGCAGATTATTTATGGCAAATACAATTACTATTTTAAGCAACAGTTTGGATGAAACCTGATGCACTGAATGTCAGTACCTTGATTGTGGCAATGTGAAACGGTGTTGCAATGCCAAACACGGGCATTATTACAGTCTCATATTTCTTATCGATGTAGATCTTCATTTCCCGAATATGTGGTTCCTTAGGCATCAGAGATGGGTTTTTATAGGACACATTAGACTTGCGAGCTCTGGAGTGGGATAAAAAAACAACTGAGAAATTTCTGCAGTCCCACAGAACCCTCAGATGATCTCACTGCTCAGTGAAAACTCTTACTTCTGAATCTGCTGTTCTCCCTTTTGTTCAGTCAATCGCCTCTTTGCTTCTTCATTGAGTTGAGCCGCTAGTTCTTTCTGATGTGCTCTTCGCTTCTCTTCTGCAGTCATTTCATTCTGGTGAATGGAAAATCCAATTTATCACAACACGTGAGCCATATGACAGCCGAGATCAATGTAATTTAAAATAGTAAACTTACTCTTGTTCTTTCTGTAAGTAATGCTGCCCGAGAACCTCTTCCCAAAAGGTCCTCTGCCTCATCTTTCTCCTCCTCCTCTTCTTCCTCATCTTCATTCTATGGAAAAAGTCATAATCAAAAAATGAAATTTTAATTATTTTAGCCAATATTATTTAACTTCTTTATATCCTAAACTTCCTATACTACTTATCTATCTTCTTCCTACCTTTAGGAAAATCCCCACATTCTTCACTTTCTTCTTCACAGAAGTGAGAACAGTAGCTGGGCCATCCTAGAATTAAAAGGAGAATGAAGACACATTATTTAAAAGAGGCAATTTCATTTTCTAACCTAGTAAACGGCTGGGCAATGCTTTGAATCTTTTGGACACTAAAATGTTTGACAATGAATAAATATAGTTTTTATCCTTCTAACCTCTAACCTCTCGTCAGGAGCTACAATTTTTTTTCTTTTTCTTTTTTTTGAGACAGAGTTTCACTCTTGTCAACGAGGCTGGAGTGCAATGGCGTGACCTCAGCTCACTGCAACCTCCGCCTCCCGGATTCAAGTGATTCTCCTGCCTCAGCCTCCCGAGTAGCTGGAATTACAGACGCGCACCACCACACCTGGCTAATTTTTGTATTTTTAGTAGGGCCGGGGATTCACCATGTTGGTCAGGCTGGTCTCAAACTCCTGACCTCAGGTGATCCACCTGCCTTGGCCTCCGAAAGTGCTAGGATTACACGCGTGAGCCACTGCGCCCAGCCAAGAGCTACAATTTGGGAGGCAACATTGGGTAATCACTAATACAGGTTTGATTTGAAGCCTGGCTCAGTTGCTTTCTACCTCAGTGACATTTGGCAAGTTACTTAAACTTGTCTGTGCCTTCAATTTATCTGTAAATGGAGGTAATAAGAGTATCTACTTCACAAGGTACTATTTCAATGAATTAATGTAAACTGCTTAGCTTATGATAAAAACACTGAACTATCTGTGCTCACTATTATTAAAAATCAGTTCGCTGAGGGAAAGAAGCCAGTCACAAAAGACCACATAGGGTATGACTGAATTTACATCAACTGCTCAGATATTTAGCAAATCCTTAGAGAGAACGCAGTTTAGTCATTGCCTAGGCCTGAAGAACCAGTGGGGGAAGGGAAGGGGGATGGGGAGTGACTGCTAATAGGTTCAGGGTTCTTTCCTGAGGTGATGAAAATATTTTCAAATTAGATTGTAGTGATGGTTACACAAATGTGAAAATACTAAAAATCACTAAATTGTACATATCAGGTGGGTGAATTGTATAGTATGTGAATTGTAGCTCAATAAAGCTGTTATTAAAAAGAAAAAAGAATAACCGGTTTCATTATTAGTATTAGTTCCTGATATTATCATTATCAAGGTTCAAGCCACAATATGACAATATGATTTAAAGGTTTATATCATTCCCTATACCTGGGCTACAGTCTCTATTCCTAGCTGCATTAGGTTAGGCTGTCACACGGATTCTTCCCCTTAGCTAGCATTTAACAAAGCAAGAAAAAAACCACAGGGTCCACAAACGTGCCTCAGAAGTTAGTTCATGAAGACTCCAAAGTTTAGACACAATACACACCTCATCCACAAGCACTGTGTCACCAATGAACAGGGCATAGGTTTTCTCTTCTGGCTTTTTCCCCTCCTTGTTAGTCAGGTCTGAGAATCCTAAATTGATGCTGAAAACCATTCCTAAAACAGCAAAACAAGGATCAGTCTGTGGCTGTGACAATGTGGAGAGGTGTGAGACATATGCCTAAAAGAAAATAAAGCTAAAGGAAGTAACTCACAAAAGCATTTTCCTATTGTATGTGAAACTTACCTTTCTTCAGTTTGTATTGATTTTTGCTATTGATTACTAGGGAGCCTTCACGGAATTCAATTCCCATCCCAAACCTGAAAAGAAACAGATAAACATCAGCAAAAGGCTAAAGATCTCTAACATGGATCAAGCATAACATATTCATTTCAACTTTCACAATAAGACAGGCAAACATGTTTGAAATGATTTACCCCTGCTGACCGCTCAGTTAGAAAAGAGGATTCAAAGACAGTCTTTGGCCTCTAAACATGCTGTATAATCCCATGGCGAAAAATAATTTCCTAATTGATTATATCGAGCCTTTTTAATTTTAGCTTATTTGCCCACATTTAAACTTTAACCTTCTACCATAAAATCAAGTCAGTAGTACTCCTAGAAACAACATAGAGATTATTAAGGGGTACATTACTAAGACAGTAATTACTAGATTAAAAGGGGCAATTTTTAGTGGAACACTGGTAAACCAGATTCGTAAGACTTGTTATATAGGTATATATTTCCATGAGAGAAGTCTAGAAACTATATACCATAGACTAGTTTTCATCTAAAGAGAATGCCTACATAAAGCTTTGTTTCCCAAAATGTCCTTTGTTCCATTACACGTTATTAGGTATTTCTAGGTGTTCAGTGATAAAATACATTTGAGAAATGTATAAAATACATTTGAGAAATACACTGGATTGAATAAACAAACCAAAACCAAAACCAAAACCAAAACCAAAACAAAAAAAAACCCCCAAAACAAACAAACGGCCAGGCACAGTGGCTCACATCTGTAATCCCAGCACTTTGGGAGATCAAGGTGGGAGGACTGCTTGAGCCCACGAGGTCAAGACCAGCCTGGGCAACATAGCGAGACCCTGTTTCTACAAAAAATAAAAAAATGAGCTGGGTGTGGTGGCACGTGCCTTGGTCCCAGTTATTGGGGGAGCTGAGATGGGAGGATTGCTGGAGCCCAGAAGGTCTAGACTGCAGTGAGGCACGACTGCACCACTGCACTCCAGCCTGGACAGAGTGAGACCCTGTCTCTAAATAAAATATTAGGACATCTCAGAGTACTTAAGTTGCAAATGTGCACGGAGAGAGGAGATATAGTATGTATTGATAATATTTCCTAACATCTGTAATTATATCCTGGAAAACCTATGGGCTGGAACACCACACTGGTCTAGAAAAATCTCTCTTATACACTTGGGAGAACTTAAATCTGTCTCACCTTCTCTGATAACATCATGTGCCTGGCACATAGTATAGTTTGCTAGTCCATAAATGTTGGCTGAATCAATCAATTAGCCTAAAGAAATAAGACTGACCACTGACAGTCTAACTGAAAACTGACTCAAGAATGACAATAGACATCATGGCATACCCTAGGTTTTTGGTAATTTTGTTCAGCAGTTCTGGCTTCTGCTTTTTAACCACGTCCATGACAGCGTTATACACGTCACATATCTTCACACCTAATAACAAGACACAAAGGAGATATTAAAGTATCTTTTAGGAAAAAAACTCAGTAACATTTTAAAATCAAAATTTATGTCCCCTAAAGCAGTGTTTCTCAAAGTGTGAACTAAACAGTCCACTCACTTTTTTTTTTTGAGACAAGGTCTCACTCTGTCACTCAGGCTGGAGTGCAGTAGCATGATTACGGATCACTGCAGCCCTGACCTCCCAGACTCAATGATCCTCCCACCTCAGCCTCCCAAGTAACTGGGACTATAGGCACACACCACTATGCCCAGCTAATTTTTTATTTTTTGTAGAGACATGGTCTGCCATGTTGCCCAGGCTGGTCTCAAACTGGACTCAAGCAATCCTCCCACCTTGGCTTCCCAAAGTGCAGGAATTATAGGTGTAAATCACTCCACCTGGCCCCATTCTTTTTTTTTTGGATGGAGTCTCACTCTGTTGCCCAGGCTGGAGTGCAGTGGCGTGATCCTACTTCACTGCAAGCTCCACCTCCCGGATTCACGCCTTTCTCCTGCGTCAGCTTCCCGAGTAGCTGAGACTACAGGTGCCTGCCACCACGCCCGGCTAATTTTTTTGTATTTTTAGTAGATGGGGTTTCGCCGTGTTAGCCAGGATGGTCCTGACCTCATGATCCGCCTACCTTGGCCTCCCAGAGTGCCGGGATCACAGGCTTGAGCCACCATACCCGGCCCCGATCCCATTCTTAATCATACTATTTGAGAATCACTGATCTAGGAGGACAGTGGTCTTAATAAAATACTTTAAGAGTTGATAAATGGTATCACATTAAAGTTATTATACATTTTCAAAAACAGATCCTTGTGGTGGGCCTGTTCCATTTATCACTAAATGGGTGAATTATTGTTATGAGGGCTGTGGCCTTAATTTTTCAGGATCTAGACTATGAATGGGTATGTCAAGCTAAAAAGTAGTCTAGATATGGTGGCCTCAGAGGGATCTTTATCTTCATTAAACTATCTATGGCTATGATTTCCAATAGGACTTCTTAAGACCGACTTAGAGATAATGTGGAAGAATGGTGTCTGGAAGCTCAGTATCCTTCGTATCGTTTTGATGTAGGATTAACAGTATATATCCTGTAGGTAGAGATACTAGTTCTCAGAACTTTCTATAACTAAGGAATAGTAATAAGGCCAAGGTATTTTGTGATGATCTGGACACAGAGGGCCTAACAAGTCAGAGAGGTTTCTATAAACATCAATGTAAACCACAATGATCACTCATGCTTGAAAGAAATGCAGATTCAAGACCTAGATGCTAGGATGATTCAACATTTGTAAATCTTATTCTGTTTTTAATATGAGAGCCTCAGAGACATAAACATAACACTAATGACATTTCTTTTTTGAGAGAAGGTCTCAACTCTATTGCCCAGGCTGGAGTGCAGTGGCGCAATCATAGCTCACTGCCGAGGTATAATCGCAACTCACTGCAGCCTTGACCATTCAGGCTCAAGTGATCCTCCTCAACTTCAGTCTGAGTAGCTGGGACCACAGGCGTGCACCACTATGCCCAACTAATTGTTTCATTTTTAATTTCTTGTAGAGATATGGGGGCCTCATTGCCCAGGCTGGTCTTGAACTCCTGGATTCAAGTGATCCTCCTGCCTCGGCCTCCCAGTGTAGGGATTACAGGTGTGACCCACAGCTCCCGGCCAATGACATTTTTGTTACACAACTTTCAAACCTCCTTTTCTAAGGCACCTCACCATGTCTTAATTCCTTCAGCAGCTCCTCTTGAAGCTGGAGCAAAAAGTTATAATTTTCTTGAACTTCTTGAGAAGGATCAACCATCAAAGTGCGAACAAGGTTGGAGCAGTAAGACTTGAAGCGAATACCCATGGCACAAGTGATAGCCCCAAAGTGCATATGATTCTTGTCACTAGAGACCAACAAAGAAAGAAAACATTTCATTACCAAAACTAGCAAAGTCCTTGGTATCAATGGGACACGGTATCAATAATCATTACTTTTCCCTGCCATATCCCAAAGCTGTGGCTGAATAAGGACCTAAACTTTTTTGTGTTTTGTTTTAAATAAACTAACCAGTTTATAAAGGCTCTGGAGTAAAAGTCAGTGACCAAAACTTTTAGGATAAAAATTCAGTGAGTAAGTGAGTACTGGATTACAAAAATGCAAATGATATCCTGAATTGTATCCATTATAGTCTAATTGTGGGGTTGTGAGGAGTCACTTATCCATTAGTCCTCTATGAATTGTGAGTTGTAATTAGTCTTAAGTTAAATGAGCCAGACATAAAAGGACAAATACTGAATGTTCTCACTTATATGTGGGAACTAAAAAATTGGATTACATGGAGATAGGGAAAAAATAGATAACAGAGACTGGTAAGGGTAAGTGTGTAGGGGGGCAGGCGAGGATGAAAAGAAGTGGGTTAAAAGGTACAAACATAAAGTAAGATAGAAGGAATAAATTCAATGTTTGACAGCAGAGTAGGGTGACTATACTTAACAAAAATGTATTGCACCTGGGTGATGGACACCCAAGATAATGACTTGGTAACACTATACATTATATACTTGTAGCCAAATTTCAGTGTACCCCACAAATTTGTACAGATTTAACAAAAAGAAAAAATAGGCTAAAGTCAAAATGCTATATTATGAAGTCTTCATATACTTACCTCACCACACTGAACTTGAGATTATAGTTGCCACCACTCTGAATGATAGGAGGGTAACACATTTCCACAGTAGAAGGGTCTGCCCCAGCAAGGTATTTTTTCTCTTCAATGGCCTTTTCCACAGACTCAGCCAGTTTGCTGTGTCGAACTTTCTGTAAGAGCATCCAGAAATAAAGTAACACTTACTAGAGGGTAGCAAAGCGGGGTGTGTGGACACTATGATTTGAAGACAAAATGTATCCTTGTATAAGTCTTAGGAAATGATTTATGCGCCAGGTAATATATTGGTATGCAGGCAAAACACATTTGGAGAACAATATGTAGGACTTACAGCTATTCCTATGATTCTCAAGTAAAATAATGGGTTACCTCAAGAAAACATAACGCAGGCTTACCATTATTTTGAAAGGGAGATGATGTAATTACCACCAACTTAAGTGTCAGTCTTAATTTCAAAGGAAGCTGAAGAACACACCAACAGATTTGCATGGTAGACTTATTACTGCTTCATTAAAACAGTAAAAAGACCCTCTCATCTCCATTTACCTCATCTGCATCAACTATTTCCATGACTCTTTCCTTGAAGAATTTGTTGAAGACTTCAGAAGTGATGCTGGCTGCTTTCTTCATTAGGTTGAGCTCCCCATCCTCCTTTACAGCGATGGTATATGCCACAACTGCACTGATATCTATCTGCAGTCAAAGTGACAAGAGTTTCTAACATGCAAGTACAGAATTACAAAATAAATGCATCTCTCCAATTTGAATATTACCAGTGATATTTCTGTTATTTAGCAAACTATCACTGGTTTGCAGAATATTCAAACATTCTCTTCTTGAACTGAATAAACATTTGAAATAGCTCTTTGCCAGGTCATTGTGTGTACTACAAGAGGTGTTAAGCTAATGTACCACTTAAAATGTAAACTGCCCTCTAGACGTTTTTTGTAAAGGCAGATAGAAGAAAGGCAGGGAAAAAAAATAAAACTGGCACACTGCTCAGCCAAAGGGGATAAAATGTAAACAAACATACAGTTTTCCCAAAACAAACGTCCTGCACTATCTGTTATGGAAGCCCATCACATTTCTGTCTTCTCAACTCTTGATTTGCTATTTCCAGTAGTATTCTTACTTTGTCAAAGCCTTCTTTGTTGAGGCAGTCATTCCAGCTCTTCATGAACTCTCCAGGGAATTTGTCTTTGCTGAACACTCCAATCTTCTTGCCATTCTTGCTTTCTTTAATGGCTTCAATCATTTTGTCAAAGCTACTCTTATTACTTTCATTCTGTCAGTGTCATAGGGAAGAAAAGACACATATGTTTTACCAGTTCATTAGACACGTTTTACCAGTAACAGGTAGAATAATATTCTAAACTACGGAAAAAATTAATTCTCCTCCCATCCCCACCTACTTTTTACTTTTAAAGAGACAGGGTCTTGTTCTACTACCCCCAGGGTAGAGCACAGTGGTGTGATCACAGCTTACTGCAACCTCGAACTCCCAAGTTCAAGCAATCCTCCTGCCTCGGCCTCCCAAGTAGCTGGGACTACAGGTTCATACCACCATGCCTGGATAAATTTTTTTTTTTTTTTGAGACAGACTTGCTCTGTTGCCAGGCTGGAGTGCAGCGGCGCAATCTACACTCACTGCAACCTCAGCCTCCCGGGTTCAAGTGATTCTCATGCCTCAGCCTCCCGAGCAGCTGGGATTACAGGTGTGTGACAACATGCCCGGCTAATTTTTTATATTTTTAGTAGAGATGGGGTTTTGTTATCTTGCCCAGGATGGTCTTGAACTCCAGACCTCAAGTGATCCACTGCACCCAGCCTTCCTGAATAATTTTTGTATTTTTTGTAGAGATGGGGTTTTGTCATGTTGCCCAGGCTCATCTGGAACTCCTGCGCTCAAGTGCTCGCCTCGGCCTCTCAAAGTATTGGGATTACAGCCATGAGCCACCATGCCTGGCCTACCTGTAAGATGCCTTCCCATCTTTAAGGAAGATTGTAATATATCAAAAGTGAGCAAAACATTTCTTTAGATATTTTTATATACTCAGGTGAAAGTGCTGCCGTAAGTTGACCAGACTATTCCTTTTTTTAAGAGAAGGGGTCTCACGTTGCCCAGGCTGGTCTCAAACACCTGGGCTCAAGCAATCCTCCCATCTCAGCCTCCTGAGCAGCTGGGACTACGGGTGTGTGCCACCACGTCTGATACAACTATCCTTTTTCTTCAGAAACAGTTAAGAAACTCAAACACATAAGTGAACAATATTCTGAGAAAACATCCCATGTTAGGTGGGCAGTATGACAAAAAAAATTCACATTTGATAAAAACTGGAAATGATGTATATCTAAGTTTCCTTAAGGATATTTAAGGTTATTTGCTCTAATCAAGGCATACAGATGAAAACAAACTAACAGTGTCCTCAAGAATGGAGACATAAAATCAGTGTTCACCAGAATTTCATAGCTCATTTGTTTTACAGCAGAACTGATAGGATTATTGAATTCTTTTCCTCCTAACAATGAAGACGTGACAGAACTTTGTAATTACAACCACAGCCACCTATAATTTCCCCTGCGCATTCTTTCAAACTCCTATAAGGCATTTCTGTTCATCCCTTTTGAAGATTCTTCCACATTTATGACACATTCTTTATTAATCCTGACCTTTTCTCGTATTAGCAGTGTGATGGCAGGGGCTCCATTAGCATTCTCATTGCCCTTAGTGTTGGCAATCTGTTTCAAGAACTCCACTTTTTTCTTGCTGGCCATAAAGATGATTTTGTCATCACAAAAGACCATGATAGTATCAGTTAGTTCATAACCAAAGAGCCATGTCTATGGAAAAAGACAACAGTGACAACGGTATTTACAGATACAAAAATTAATGGACTCATATAGATATACAGAAATACTTATAGACAAAAATAACATGTCTGAAATTAACTCCAAGGTAATCAGGCTGGGGAGTCTGGAGTGGATACAAATTAAGCAAGATCGGCCAAGAGTCGACAATTTATTAGAACAGGACAATGGGGTTCAATGTATTATTTTCTCTACGTTTATATGCTTGAACTTTCTATAATTAAAACCATCAAATCAGTTAAACGATTTGTGTTTATAGGAAGTATATCAATGTTTAGTGATACAGAAATGCATAAAACAAGGGACAGAGTGATACAGAACCCTGCGTTATTACCTCCTCAATTACCAGTTCCCTACCAATTATTCATTTCTCCTTCTCAAAGAACTGATATTTTACCTTCCTTTCAGGTAAGTATGGTCATTAGGATCAAATTTTGGCCAATAGGTAAAAAATGGTAGTGTGTGGAGCTTCAAGCAAGTCTTCTTAAAAAGAAAAGGTGGCCTCCTGTTTTCTTCTCTGTCTCTTTTTGCTTGGAATGTAGATGAAACACCTGGAGTTCTAGAAGCCATTCTGTACCACGTGCAAGAGGGCTATGTTCTTTGGGTGGCAGAACAGAGAACTGGAAAAAGCCTGGGTCCCTGAAGACTATACATAAGGAAAAGAATATTTTGTTTAACTCACTGTTACTTAGGTTTTTGTGTTATAGCAGCTAAATCCATACTGATATTAATACTTCTTTTTCCTTATGTCTTAAATCACTGCTAAATCCAATTGAACTTTATGTGATGGTGAAAATACCATTTATCTGCTCTGTCCAATATGGGGTAGCCACTGCTGAGTACCAGAAACACAGCTGATGGGACTGAGAAATTGAAATTTTTTAAAGTAAGAGACAGGGTCTCACTGTGTTGCCCAGGCTGGAGTGCAATGGTGCAATCTTGGCTTACTGCAACCTCTACCTCCTGGGGTCATGCCATCCTCCCATCTCAGCCTCCTGAGTAGCTGGGACTACAGGTGCACACCCCCACATCTGCTTAATTTTTTTGTATTTCTTGTAAAGACAGGGTTTTGCCATGTTGTCCAGGCTGGTCTTGAACTCCTGGGCTCAAGCAATCCACCTGCCTCGGCCTCCCAAAGTGCTGGGATTACAGGCATGAGCCACCGCAGCCAGCCAGGAATTTAAGTTTTAATGTGGCTACCATACTGAACAGTGCAGTAGATAATCCAACAACTCTAAGAGCTAAAAATTGCTGTAAATCTCTCACCTGTAAGGCAGTTGATTTGGCATAAACAATTTCTTCATCAACACCCACTGATACAACAATGGCATCAACGTTGGCATACTCATCTTCTCCTTTCTGAAAAGAGTGGGTAATCATCACTTAATTTTTCACACTAGCAAAACAGGAATACAGCCTTCAATATTTATCTAGGACAGGCATAATTTTCTCCTGATAGAAATTTCAAGTTTAAGGTACATGCCTGTTTGGCAGTCTTACGGCTATTCTATTTTTTGTTTTTACAGTACTTGCTAATTGTTGATAAATATCAAGAGAAATTTTTCCTTAGCCCCCAGATCTATGTTTCATAGTTCAGGAACACAGATCAGTGACAAACGTCCTGTGTAATTCAAAGAAATATTTTATTTTTTAAAATTTTATTACTTATTTTTGAGATGGAGTTTGACTCTTGTTGCCCAGGCTGGAATGCAATGGTGCAATCTCGGCTCACTGCAACCTCCGCCTCCTGGGTTCAAGCAATTCTCCTGCCTCAGCCTCCCCAGTAGCTAGGATTACAGGTGCCCACCACCACACCTGGCTAATTTTTTTATTTTCAGTAGAGACAGGGTTTCACTATGTGGGTCAGGCTGGTCTCGAACTCCTAACTTCAGGTGATCCACCTGCTTCGGTCTCCCAAAGTGCTGGAATTACAGGCATAAGCCACCATGCCTGGGCCAAACTAATTTTTTATATTCCAAAATCATCTTGCACTCTCAAAGATAAGCCACCTTCATCTTAGAATCTTTCAAGGAGTCATAATTTATGCAGAAATCTACATATGCCTTCTTTTTTGGTTCAGCCACAGAAATTTTAATAGAGAGATGTAACCCCAGGGCAAAATGAACACTTCAACAACATGAAATCACAGATGCCTGGCCAGAAGGCCACATATCTGAGGTTTCATGAAAGCACTGGAAGCCATGGTAGTTTTTGTCCTTGTAGGTTTTGTCAACCTCAATACCAATGTCCTTTCTGGCTGATGGAGAGACGGGAGTTCTTTATTTTTTAAAAAAGTTTTATTGAGACAGAATTCACATAAAATTCAAAAGCATACAATGTAATGATTTTTAGCAGAATTATGCAACCATCACAATTTTGGAACATTTTAATCTCTATGTCCTTGAGTACAATCATTCCCCAACTCCCCTATCTCCATCTCAGCCCTAGACAAACCACTAACCTGTCTCTATGGATTTGTCTATTCTGGACAATTCATATACATGGAATCAAATAAAATGTGGCCTTTGTGTCTGGCTTCTTTCACTTGTTTTCAAGGCTCATCTGTGTTGTGACACGTATCAACACTTCATTCCCTTTTACTGCTGAATATTTCATTGTGTAGATATACCACATTTTATCTATCCATTCATCAGCTGCAGGACACTTGGGTTTTCACTTTCTGGCTATTGTAAAAAATGTTGCCATGAACATTTGAATATGTTTTGTATGGACATTTCTCTTGGGTATACATATACCTAGGAGATGAACTGCTGGGTCATATGGTAACTTTTCGAGGAATCATCAGACTGTTTGTCACCATGACTGCACTAGTCACTATTTCACATTCCTAAGAATGTATCAAGGTTCCAATTTTTCCACGTTAACCAACAGTTTTTATGTCGTTTTGATGACAGCCATATAATGAGTGTAAATTAGTATCCTGCTTTTTTTTTTCTTTTGAGACAGAGTCTCGCTCTATCACCCAGGCTGGAGTGCAGTGGTGCAAACTTGGCTCACTGCAACCTCCGCCTCCTAGGTTCAAGCGATTCTTGTGCCTCAGCCTCCCAAGTAGCGGGACTTCAGGTATGCACCACCACGCCCAGCTAATTTTTATATTTCTTAGTAGAGACGAGGTTTCACCATGTTGGCCAGGCTGGTCTTGAACTCCTGACCTCAAGTGATCCGCCCCCACTTGGCCTCCTGAAGTGCTGGGATTACAGGCATGAGCCACCACGCCCGGCCCTCACTGTAGTTTTGATTTCATTTCTCTGATAGCTAATGACGCTGAGCATCATTTCATATGTTTACTGACAACTGTATGCCTCTTGGAGAAATGCCTGTTCAGATCCTCTGCCATTTTGTAGCTGAGTTGTTGCTTTATTATTGAGCTGTAAGAGTTTTCATATTCTAGACACAGGATCTGCAGACATTTTCTCCCATTCTGTGCATTTTATTTTCACTTTCTTGATAGTGTCCTTTGAAGCACCAAAGTTTCTAATTTTGAAGTGGTACAATTTATCTATTTTCTTTTTTATTTTGGAGACAGAGTCTCACTCTATCCCCCAGGCTGGAGTGCAGTGGCACGATCTCGGCTCACTGCAACCTCCGTCTCCTGGGTTCAAGCAATTCTCGTGCTTCAGCATCCCAAGTAGTTGGGACTCCAGGCAACTGCCCCATGCCTGGCTAATTTTTGTATTTTTAGCAGAGACTAGGTTTTGCCATGTTGGCCAGGCTGGTCTTGAACTCCTGACCTCAAGTGATCCTCCTGCCTTGGCCTCCCAAAATGCTAGGATCACAGGTGTGAGCCACTGTGCCTGGCCTATCTATTTTCTTGTGCTTTTGGTGTCATATCTAAGAAGGTTCTGCCTAATTCAAGGTCACTCAGATTTACTTTATACTTCTTCTACAAGGGTTTCATAGCTTTAGCTGTCACAGTTAGGTCTATGATTCATTTTCAATTAATTTTTTTGTATGGTCTGAGGACTAACCCAACTTCATTCTTTTACATTGAATATCTAGTTATTACAACACCATTTGTTGAAAAGACTATTCATTTCTCATTGAATTATCTTGACATCCCTGTCAAAAATTAAATGACCATAAATGTGAGGATTTATTTCTGAATTTTCACGTTTATTCCACTCTTCTATATGCCTATCCTTAGGCCAGTACCGTGATGTTTTGATTACTACAGCGTTGTAGTAAGTTTTGAAATCAAGATGTGTGAGTTCTCCAACCATCAGATACTCTTCAATAGCTCTATAAAGCCAAAACACTGGTCATTCTGAGCTATAATTCTGACTTCCCCTATAAAGTCAAGATAAATGCATACATAAGACTCTTCCACATTTTTAAGGCTTCTGCTTGTTAATAAGGATATATGATAGCAACTGAGTGTTCTGTTGTATTTCTCTACCACAACAAAATATATTATGCAAAGAAGTCACTACATAGAAATTATATGCCTTTTCTCATTGATTTTCAGTAAGAAATGTTTTCCTTCAGGTTGGTAAAAAGTTTTACCATTAGTTCTCACCAATAGTGAAATAGTAATGGCACTTAAAACTGCTAGTCCCTTTGTATGAGTCAAGGTAGTGGCGCCAAACTACTTCTCCATTACTACACACTCAGGAAAAAAGGCCAGTTTCACGTAAAAGTCCTTGATGAAGTAAAAATGATTACCATTATAAAATCCCAAACCCTTGCATTTGTCTTTTAATATTCTATGTAAAGAAATAAGAAGTTATAAATAAAGCACTTCTGTGTGCAGTGAATTTATGATGGTTGGCTAAGTAAAAGCACTTGAATACATATTTCAGTAGCAAGATAACTAGCCATTTGAAGACCTGGATTAGCCAGGCATGGTAGTAGGCACCTGTAATCCCAGCTACTCGGGAGGCTGAGGCAGGAGAATCTCTTGAACCTGGGAGGTTGCAGTAAGCCGAGATTGCATCACTGCACTCCAGCCTGGGCGACAGTGAGACTGTCTCAAAGAAAGAAAAAGAAAAAAAAAAAAAAAAAAAAGATCAACAATGAACAGATTTAACCAAAGAGGTCTAAACCTTACTGAATAGGAATTTCAGAAACAAAAGACATCACTAAGGAAATGCAGGGACCAAAATGATCAAATAATGCACCATCCTAGGACTGAAGAATATGAGCTTGAGACTAAAAGGATTTCCCCAAAAGAGACATATCAAAGCACATTGCTGTGCAATTTCAAAACAGAAGGGATGATTCTAAATTTCAGAGAGAACAGGCTATGTATGTATACTGGAAATAGAATCATATCAGCCTTCTCAAAAGTAACACTGAAGTCTTTGACGCCAAATAATGGCTTCAAAATTCTGAGCAAAAAATGATTTTCAACACAGAATTTTATACCTACTGCATTAACAAAGCCAATAGAGTTGACTTTGGTTAACTATATTATTAACCAAAAGTGAGGGCAAACTAGCACTTTAAGACATGCAAGGGCTGAAGACATTTATATTCTATGCATCCTTTTTTTTTTTTTTGCATGGGGTTACAGTGGAGCTAGTGGTGAGCTTTTTATTTATTCTTTTTTTGAGACACAGTCTCACTCTGTTGCCCAGGTTGGAGTGCAATGGCACGATCTCAGCTCACTGTGGCCTCTGCCTCCTGGGTTCAAGCGATTCTCGTGCCTCAGCCTCCTAAGTAGCTGGCATTACAGGAATGTGGCACCATGCCTGGTTAATTTCTGTATTTTTAGTAGAGATGGGGTTTCGCCATGTCGGCCAGGGTAGTCTTGAGCTCCTGGCCTTAAGTGATCTGCCCACCTCGGCCTCCCAAAATGCTGATATTACAGGCGTGAATGAACCACTGCGCCTGGCCCATCTTTTCTTACGAAGTTCTTAGAGAAAATGTGCTAAAGAAAAAACAAAGCAGAGGCTCTTGGATATAGGGGACCCAATATTGCAAAGTCCCGAGGTTCAACAGGCCTAAAGAGTAACCTATACAGATGGAGCAGGATAATGTGGGGGGTGGAAGTGGGGAGTGAGGTTGCTTTTAAGCAACAGAATAAAATTCTGAGTGTGAGAAATTTAGAATAAAAGACTGGTAACAGGATAATGTGGGGGGTGGAAGTGGGGAGTGAGGTTGCTCTTAAGAAACAGAAGAAAATTCTATGAGTGTGAGAAATTTAGAATAAAAGACTGGTAACATTATAATAGATTTATTGGAAAAAATTAAGGCTAGGGAGACTTTTTTTAAAGGAGAAAAACTGAGGAAATCATTAATGCCAGGAAAAATAAAAAACTGTAGAAAAAAAGGAAAGTTAATCATACTTTATTACTTCACCCAGCAGTGAAAACATCTATATGAACATAAACAATGTAAATAGTAACTACTTATTTTACTAAAAATTGTGGGGAAAAGTTATGAAGAAGGATGGATGTGTGATAAAGCAAGTACAACAAAATGTTAACTGTGTGGGGTGGTGGGTATAAAGGGTTTACTTAAAATTCTTTCAACTTTTCTGTCTTTAAAATTTTTCATATCAATGTGTCAGGAGAAAAATGTTAAGGTATCAGGAGGTAGGGAAGTTGGAATGAGTGTGATGACACAAAGAAGTTAAATTCAGATTTACCATAAGTTAATAACCGTTAAAAATTCACAAATCAAGAAATAGCAGTATATATAGATATTATTTAGAAATATGAAAGAAACAAAAAACTCAAAGTGGTTGCCTCTGGGATAGGTGACTTTTTGTTTTAAGGCTTTTATTAGAACTATGACTTTTAAAAAACTATATCTATTACTGATTAAAATAATTTTGAAAGTGAGAGTTAAATAAAATATAAAACAGGTGGCAAAGAATCTGCAAAAATTGTGAAGGTGGTATCTGGATGATAAAAGTTGGAGAAATAGTGCAGCAGCAGAACAACTATCTTCCTTTGAACCAAACTGATACTGCCTTAAAAAAAGAAAGTATTTTTGCAGTCTGGTTGTAGCTAAATACCCATATAATCAGTTACCACTGTTCACTGAGTGACTTCTATATGCCAGGCACTGTAGTTGTTAATAGGGATAAAAAGTAAATATAAAAAGTAGAGATCTAGGGCTGGGTGTGATGGCTCATATCTGTAATCCCAGCACTTTGGGAGGCTGGGGTGGGTGGATTGCTTGAGGCCAGGAGTTAGAGACCAGCCTGGCCAATATGGTGAAACCCCATCTCTACGAAAAATACAACAATTAGCCGAGCATGGTGGCACACACCTGTAATCTCAACTACTCAGGAGGCTGAGACACGAGAATTGCTTGATCCCGGGAGGCAGAGGTTGCAGTGAGCTGAGAATGCTTCACTGCATTCCAGCCTGGGTGGCACAGTCAGACTGTCTCAAAAAAAGAAAAAAAAAAAAAAAGTAGAGAACTAGACTATAAAAGCTGAGTAAGCAATATTTAAAAAAAAATCTCAATCCATCTGGGCATTTATTTCCATCTAACCCTCCTTACTCAGCATTATTAAAAAGTTTCTTGGCCAGGTGCAGTGACTTACACCTGCAATCTCAGCACTTTGGGATGCCGAGGTGGGCGGATCGCTTGAGCCCATGAGTTTGAGACCAGCCTGGGACAACACGGTGGAACCCTGTCTCCACAAAAAATACAATAAAATAAATAACAATAATAATAATAATAAAAATTGGTCAAGTGTTGTGGCATGCACCTGTGGTCCTAGCTACTCAGGAGGCTGAGGTGGGAAGATCACCTGAGGCTGGTTTGGTTGAGGCTGCAGTGAGCAGTGATTGTGCCATTGCAATCCAGCCTCAGCCACAGAGTGAAACTCAAAAAACAAACAAACAAACAAACAAACAAACAAAAAAACCTTTCTCTATCCCACTCCAGAGATAAAGGAGCTATTAAGAGCTGAGTGTGAGTGGAAGTAATCCACTGCCTGACTGAAATAACAGGAAATGCCTATACAGCTGGCTCTCCTTATCTGTGGATTCAACTGTGTACTGAAAATTAAAATGGCCAAACATTTTTCTATGTCATTACCCCCTAAAAAATAAGTATAACTATTATTTACATGCACTTACACTATATTCGGTATTATAAGTAATCTAGAAATAAAAAATAATGGGAGGATATACATAGGCTATGCAAATATGCCATTTTGTTATCAGAGACTTGAGCATCCTTTGATTTAGGTATCTAGGTATGTCCTGGAAGCAATCCCTGACAGATACTGATGGAAGACTGAATTTTTTTTTTTTTTTTAAAGAAATGGGCTCTCTCTCACTATGTTGCCCAGGCTGGTCTTGAACTCCTGGACTCAAGCAATCCTTCCACCTCAGCCTCTGGAGTAGCTGGGATTATACAGGCATAAGCTACTATGTATTTTTTAAAATCCTTCCTGAGCCACAGAACATAGCTGTTGAATCTTAATAGAACAACCCAGAACAAGAAACTAAGCCACCATAAAAATCTGCAAAGAGCCAGAAAGCTCCACTCAAGAGAAGCACTGACACTTTAATTCATTAGTTTCTTCAAAGGCATAAAATTTCTTTGGGGTCAGTCTTCCACTACCCCAATCCTGACAGTTGGTGTATGCTCACAAGAATGTGAGTATTCCTTCTGAAAACAAATATTTTTGACATTTTATGGAATTCTTCAAGAAAAAAGGCAGATGAAGTCAAGGTCCACTCATATCAGAATGTCCCAACAGGTAGGTCTCAAATGATATACAGATATGCCTGGATATTGTACCACTCAGCCCTCAAGGCAGCTGGAACCCTGGGATGGTAGATAACCTCTTTTGTTTCTCCCAATGACCAGCACTAATCATATTACTTGGTTAAAAATAATCGTAATCATGAAAAGGCTGGCAATCCCTGAAGAAGGATCTAGTAGGCATAAGAGGACAAAGAAACATGCAGCCCATTTCCAGGAACCACCACTACCACCTGCGATATTCTAATAATACAGAGAAGGTGCTGCAAATCCTTTCTGCTCTTAGCAGCTCTCACTTAAAACATAAGAGGCAAGACTGGATCTAGACTCAAACCTCCAGGAGTCATAAAACAATAGTACGTTCTAAGGTCTCCTGTTGATTTTTGACTGACTCCATTTTCCCATCTCTAAAATGACACGATTTACTTAGATACAGGGCTTAATATTTTTGAAATTTCTATTCAGTTAAAAGTACATGGTAACTACAATTGTTTTTAGGACATAAGTTATGAAAATTATAATTAAAAAATATTTTATTTGCAATAGCCTCAAAATATGTACCTAACTGAAAATTAACTTGCAGATAGGTAAGGTTAATTCCTATTCTTATTTTTAAAAAAGGGAAGAAAAAGCTTAGTAGCCTATCAGTTCTCTACAACCCTGTGTACTTGTATTTGGACTGCTGGAACTACCAGGTTCAACCACTACAGCTTTTAAGGGCTTATAATCAAGAGTATTTAAAATTAAAAGTGGGTTTGGAGCCCAAATCATTTTTTAGTTAATTTTAGTCATAACAGTTTTTTTTTTTAAGATGGAAGCTGAAAGCAAAAGGCTTGGGATTTATTTTTTTTTTTTTTAATTTATTTTTTAAAGACGGGGTCTCATCCAGGCTGGAGTGCAGTGATGCGATTACAGCTCACTGCAGCCTCAAACTCCTGGGCTCAAGGGATCCTTCTGCCTCAGCATCACAAGTAGCTAGGACTATAGGCACACACCACCATGCCTGGTTAATTTATTTGCCTTTTTTTTTTTTTTGTAGAGACGGGGGTCTCATCATCTTGCCCAGGCTGGTCTTTAACTCCTGGCCTCATGTGCTGGGTACAGGCATGAGTCACGGTGCCCAGCCAGGTTTGGAATTTTTACCATTAACTTCAACTTATTCTATTTCAATCCCAGTTTTCTTATTAAAAAAAGGAAAAGGTGTAAAAGAGAAAAGTTATACAACACACCTATATATCCCACTATCTTTCTGCTATATCCAGGAGGATAAGCGACTAGATTTAACCCAGAAAACTACTATCTCTGATTAAGTGTATCAGAATGAAAGCACTGTAGGGTGAAAAGACTGCATACACAAAGAACTTCTACAGGTGGGTTCTGGACACATTAACACAAAAGCAGAAAGTCTTATTCAAGTAAGTTTTTCATAATAGCCACAGGTTTTGTTAACTGGTACATTTTTACATAGATTTGGCTCATAACTTTACACCATCAGTGTCTTATCAATATCTAACATTCTCCCAAGATGATGTCATTAAGGTAGTAAGAGGGCCAAGATAAACTTTAAAGATTTTTGAGATACAAAAAAAAATGGTGGGTGGGAAATAACTTTCATGGATTTAAAGACTATCAGTTTTATTAGGTTTGCCAACCTGTCTTCAGGCCACAGTTAATTTGTCATGTAGAGGAAGTGAGAGCTATAGATTAGTTTTCATGAATGGTATAGAGAGAATGAAATTATTTGATGAATCTGAATCACTGGGACTAGAAACAATTTTCATACCAAAGGTTCACAGTTTCAGGGTTTATGGGTACAAGAGAGGGCTTCGGATTTTTAGTACTTACTGATCATTAGAAAGTATCAAGGTTTTAAAATGTTTTTCTAACATCGATTATGTTTGAATAATATGACACTGAGAGAAGCTGCAAAAAATCATTTGGTAGAAATTAATCAAAAAATTAAAAAAAATAAAATGTTCAGTATTCATCTAGCATTTAGTTCTTATTTTTCCTTTTCATAAAATGCAAGAGAATCAATTTTATTTTCAATTATCTAATGTATTTAGCCCCAAAAGATGAAACATGCACAGACAGCTTTAATATGAATGGCAAGGAAACGACCAATTTTAATGGCTTGGTTTTAGTAGATGACCAGTTTGAAAGATAATTTACAATGCTGAAATGAGAGCTGATCATTTTTCTCAAAACGTTTTTCAGGTTAAAAAAAAATCTTTATTAGCTGTATCTTCCCTTGATGACAGGGTTCAGGGGCAAGACTTAAGCTAGCCAACTCAGACTGCATCACAGAATGCAACCAAATGTTTGCTCAATTAGTAAGTTAACATCATAAAAATAAGTTTTAACTGTGGACGTTTTTAGAGCAGCAAAACTGCCGAATCTTTAAAAAACTGGGAACTGCCACAGCTCTTTTAATGAACACGTGCCCCGGATACGCTACCAAGGAACTAATAAGGTTTTAGGCATCGTTTTGTTTTGTTTTGTTATTACTAATGCCTGCAGGCTTTCAGCGTTAGGTCCCTCTCTGTAACCCACAGCAGGGCCTAGAACATGAGGCGGTTGCGCGTGAGCAGTATTTCTTTTTTTAACTCCAGCAAAAGCCCCGCAAACGATAAACGCTAAAAGCCCGATTGACATCCTCCTTGCCCTTCCATCTCTCCTTTACGAAGACGGTTATAATCCTGGCGGGACCAGGGGTGGAATATTGTGGTTCTGGAGGGACAGAGCGAGTGCGTGAGAACACGGCAGGGGAGGGCAGCAAGACGTGACCACGGAGTAGGAGGGAAGGATGTTGCCTCTTCTAGGGCGGGAAGAGACTGCGAGAGGTGCTGCTATGCATGACCAAGGCTGGCACGCGGGGAAGATGGTGATGGCCGCAGGACAGGGTGAATGCGGGGGATTCCCTGTTAAGGGGCAGCGTTCGTGGCCGCCTCCGGTGAATGATTCGGGAGCAACGAAAAGGGTGAGGCACAGAACCCGGGAATTCCTGACCGAAAGAGAAAAAAGGGCGCCGAGAAACAGGGTTATTATGGGATGGCTAAGGGGGCTCCCTAGGAAAAATTACAGGATCTTCCTCACCCGCCAATTGCTGTACAGTCTCTTCACTCGCCGATAATAAGCGTCTTTGTCCAGAGTCACAGCCATAGCCCCGGACGCCGCTTCTCCTCGGGTTCCGAGAATCACGCGAGGTCCCGGCTCAGCCACCCGCTCTCGGCCCAGGAATCCCGCACTCTCCCAATGACCCGGAAGTATCGACCTCAAAGATGCCCTTTCCGCTTCCGGGTCCCAACAGCGTTAGGTTTTTTTTTTGTTTGTTTGTTTGTTTTGTTTTTTTCCAACCCTCTTTCGGATGGACGGGGGAAAGAGAGAAAGAAAAACGAGGGAAAATCAACAAAATGTGCGATGCAAAGAGTCGATTTTCGCGGGGTTTGTCAACTTCGCCACTGCCGCACGCGAATCGACGTCGTCACGTGACGGTCTGCCTCCGCCCTTATTAACTCTCAGCCCAGCGGCGGTTTCCAGGACCTCAGACTTTTTGCCGAGGCGGCAGTCCCTAGACGAAGCGAAGGAGGCGGCGCCTGCCCCGCCCACAAGAGCTGCCGCGCGCGGGTGTTATAGCTCCACCCCATCTGCAAAGGAAGGGGGAGCGGAAAGAGCGGGATCTAGCGTGGGATAAAAGTGGGACTACTACAGTGTAACTGGGCATGCGCCCCTCCTAGAAATGATGGGAATGCAAAAGCCCTTGACTGCTCCAGGACTCGAGGGATCCTCGGTGCCAGGATGCTGGGTCAAGCGCTCCGCCGGGACAGAGGACTCATACCAGGGAAATGGAGCCCAGCCTCGTGATAAACTACGACCCAAGCTGGGGGAGGAACCTAGTTTTCGAAAGGAAAATAATATGCGCAAGCTTTAACTGAGCAGTGGGATGGTGTAAGTCAGAGGAAACAGATGACTTGAGGGGCTCTACAAACTTTTAGTTCCTTCCCACAACCCCACCCCCTGAGCCCAAGTCGCGGCAGCATCCTTCCAGTCGGCCAGTCCCCTTGCTGCAGTTCATGAAAACTGGCACTATTCTATGGCTTCCCCCAAATAACCGTTACTTCAGTTAATTAGAAACAAAACATAAATGGTTCCTGATGACATTCTTGCTCCCTGTCTCTTCTAAAAACTTGGAGTTTGAATCCAGAAGTTTGCCTACCTACCATTTACCTTAAATAATTCCCTTGCCTTTAGCCAGCTGGACAGTCTACATTTGTATATACCCTTTAGAGGAGTACAGATGACTTGTCTGCTGTAAGGCAATTTAGTATAAACAGTATTGAACTTAAGGAAAGTGGTGCTGAAATTACCCACCATTAACAACTCAAAATCAATACACTGGGTTTGAGCAAACATAGAACAAAGGAAGAGTGGAAAAGGATTAACTTAAATTTATTAATGCCAAGGGGAAAGAAGGTAACAGTTCCTGACCCTCCAGCTGTATCCACAGTTCGGCCAGGAACAGGCTCTGCCAGAGGCTAGGGCCAGCGCTACATAGTCTGTGGTTAATGGAGGTGACTAGGGAGGGGTGAGCACACCAGCTGCTCTAGTCTCCTTTCCTTCCCCAGAAATGAGGAAGTGGTCATGTATTATTTTAGGAGTTCCCCTGCCCACCCAATCCTCTCATAATTGGGAGCAATCAGGTACATTTTTTTTTTTTTTTCCTTTTCACCTCCTGGAGTCCTGGACTTCCCCACATCTCCCCTGCCCCTCCCACGTTTCCATAGTCCAAGGGCCAGAGTAAATGAAAATACAGCAGCCGCCCAAGCAATGGGGCCCATGCTGGGGCTTCAGTCATCAGCATCTTCACTGGAGTCTGAGTTAGCTGGCATCATAGGATCATCAATGAGTGAGAAGTCCCTTTCTGAGCTATCATAGCCCTGAGATAAGTCATCATCATCTTCTTCATCCTCATCGTCATCCTCCTCAGGTTGCAGTGGTGGCAACCGCAAGGTAGTACCAGAGGCGGTAGTCACTGGTGAAGAGGGGTAGCCAGGGGCTCTCAAGCCTGGATGGTGATGGTGGTGATGGTGGGGGTGGGGGTGGTGGTGGTGGTGATGAAGCATGGTGCTGGAGTCTACATGAGGGGATGATGGTGCACCACCCATCACAAATGGCATAAAAGGCAAAGATGCAGAAGTGGCACTGCTGTGACCCAAAGATGACACAGACTGTAGGCCACTACTGCTGTGTTGGAACGTGTTATGCAGAGATAGAGACCCAGTGCTTCCACCCTGCATGAGGGCCATCATCTTAGAAAGGTCTGGTCGCATCCTACGGGCCCGCTTCTTGCTGCTCTCTGGTGCAATAGGCCCTGGCAAAACCCGGTTGAACACCGTTTCAGTGTGATGACCCTAGGAGGAGGGAATAGAAGATAATAAAAAGAAAGAAAGGGGAAAAAAGAAAAGAAACCAAAGCCAACAGAGTCCTAGCTTACAATGCTTTTTTACTGAATGTACCTTAGAAGAGGCAAAACAAGCACAGCGATACTAGGCTTGATTGGTGGTAATGGGAAGGAGGAAATGCTGGACTTAGCTGGTTGAAACATTCTGATACTAAAGTTAAGATCAATGATTTTGTACCGAAACTCATATTAACCAGTTTTTGCTTCTTTTCCCCATGACTATATTGTATCTTTACTTTAGTCAACCATTTCACAAATGCTTACCTTTGTTAAGAAGGGGTCTGGGTAAGACAATGAATTAGTAAATGCACATAAAAAAAATCACTTGTGACCGGGCGCGGTGGCTCACGCCTGTAATCCCAGCACTTTGGGAGGCCGAGGCGGGGGAATCACAAGGTCAGGAGATCGAGACCATCCTGGCTAACACGGTGAAACCCGGTCTCTACTAAAAATGCAAAAAATTAGCTGGGCAAGGTGGCGGGCGCCTGTAGTCCCACAGCTACTCGGGAGGCTGAGGCAGGAGAATGGTGTGAACCCGGGAGGCAGAGCTTGCAGTGAGCCGAGATCGCGCCACTGCACTCCAGCCTGAGCGACAGCGAGACTCCGTCTCAAAAAAAAAAAAAAAATCACTCGTGTCTCCTGATGGCAAGTTGTTCACTTGTTCTTACTATGTGAATTGACATTTACAATAATATCCTCTATTAGCACATCAAAGCAGGGTAAATTCAAGACAGATCAGATAAAGATTTCTACATGTCTAGAACACCAAAAAACTGTCAGAAACTCCTCACTAAATTTAATAAAATAATTTTTGTTCCACATTGATAAAAAACTTACATATCTGAATTTTAAATGGCTTCTTCTAGATGTTCTGACTAAAAATTCTGATTAAGTTCATTGAAGATAGAAGTTATTCCTGCAGGTCCCAAGAATAACGTAGTGCTAGATTCACTGTCAATTCTATATTAAGAATTCTGGGCCAGGCGTGGTGGCTCATGCCTGTAATCCCAGCACTTTGGGAGGCTGAGGCAGGTGGATCACTTGAGGTTAGGAGTTCAAGACCACCCTGGCCAACATAGCGAAACTCTGTCCCTACTAAAAATACCAAAATTAGCCGGGAGTCAGCCAGGCGTGGTGGCTCACGCCTGTAATCCCAGCACTTTGGGAGGCTGAGGGCAGGCGGATCACCTGAGGTTGGGAGTTCGAGACCAGCCTGACCAACATGGAGAAACCCCATCTCTACTAAAAGTACAACAAATTAGCTGGGCGTGGTGCCGCATGCCTGTAATCCCAGCTACTGGGGAGGCTGAGGCAGAAAAATCGCTTGAACCCAGGAGGCGGAGATCGCGGTGAGCAGAGATCACGGCATTGTACTCCATCCAGCCTGGACAACAAGAGTGAAACTCTGTATCAAAAAAAAAAAAAAAAAAAAAGCTGGGTGTGGTCGTGCATGGCTGCAATCCCAGTTACTCAGGAGGCTGAGGCAGGAGAATCACTTGAACCCAGGAGGCGGAGGTTGCAGTGAGCTGAGATCATGCCACTGCACTCCAGCCTGGGTTACAGAACGAGACTCTGTCTCAAGCAAAAAAAAAAAAAAAAAAAAGAATTCTGTACTAGTCATATTAGGATTTTCTGTGATTTTCTATGATATTTCTTAAGAGTTTCAGTTGACTATAAGGGAGTAGCAGAAGTACTTGAGGTAAAAATAGGTAACAGTGAAGGAAAAGCCCTTCTTACAGGCTGCTCTATAATGTTAAATTAAAGACAGAGATGGCATTAGCCTTCTAGCCACCAGCCTTTCCCATATCAACCATTCTGTTTATTGCACTCTTGTTCTCATCGAGGCTAACAGGGAAAACTGAAACATTCTCCCATGGTAACACTTCCATTAATATAAAAATAAGCCTCATAAATCTACATATATTTTATGTTTCAAACTTGTTAAATGCAAAATATTGATAGTTTACTTTAAAATTAATTTTGTTAAAAGATATTCCATGTGGTTATATAGACACATAAATATATGTGTATGCACATAGTCAGCCTTCCATATCCATGGATTCAACCATCTGTGGATTGAAAATATTTGAAAACAACAAGAAACTAAAAAATAACAAGAGAAAATACTACAGATTTTAAAACAATACCGTGTAACAACTATTTACATAGTATTTATATTGTGTTAGGTATTATAAGTAATCAAGAGATTAAAGTGTATCAGAGGAAGTGTGTCGGTTACATGGAAATACTACATGATTTTATTTATTTATTTATTTATTTTTTGAGGCAGGGTCTCACACTCTATTGCCCAGGCTGGAGTGCAGTGGCATGATCATGGGTCACTGTAGTCTCAGCCTCTGGGCTCAAGTGATCCTCCTGCCTCAGCTTCCACATAGCTGATACTAGAGGACTGCACTACCACGCCCAGCTAATTTTTTGTAGAGATAAGGTCCCACTGGGGTCCCCAGGCTGGTCTTGAACTCCTGGGCACAAGTGATCCTCTTGCCTCAGCCTCCCAAAGTGCTGGGATTACAGGTAAGAGCCACCGCACCTGGCTCTACACCATTTTATATATAAAGGACTCGAGCATCCATGGATTTTGGTATCTGCAGGGGTCCTGGAACCAATCCCTCACAGATACCAAGGGATGACTGTATGTGTATAAAGATTTCTATAGAAGATCAAATGGGGGAATAATTAGATAAGGCAAGTATATACAAGTGCTAATCCATTTTAAATGACTCTATGTCATTTAAAACAATGATTTATGTATGCTTTAAAAATACAACTATTGACCAGGCGCTGTGGCTCACGCCTGTAATCCCAACACTTTGGGAGGCTGAGGCGGGTGGATCACAAGGTCAGTAGTTCGAGACCAGCCTGACCAACATGGTGAAACCCCGTCTCTACTAAAAATACAGAAATTAGCTGGGCATGGTTGCACACACCTGTAATCCCAGCTACTCGGGAGGCTGAGGCAGGAGAATCACTTGAACTTGGGAGGTAAAGGTTGCAGTGAGCTGAGATCAGTCCATTGCACTCCAGCCTGGGCAACAGAGCAAGACTCCGTCTCAGGAAAAAAAAAAAAAAATTACAACTATTGGCCAGGCACAGTGGCTCATGCCTGTAATCCCAGTACTTCGGGAGGCTTAGGCAGGTGGATCACCTGAGGTCGGGAGTTTGAGAACAGTCTGGCCAACATGGCAAAACCTTCTTTCTATTAAAAATACAAAAATTAGCTGGGTATGGTAGCATGCGCCAGTGGTCCCAGCTACTTGGGAGGCTGAGGCAAGAGAATCACTTGAACCGGGGATGCAGAGCTTGCCGTGAGCTGAGATTGTGGCACTGCCCTCCAGCCTGGGTGACAGGGCAAGACTCTGTCTCAAAAAAATAAAAGATTAAAAAACAAATACAACTATTGCAGAAAGTAAGGTAAGCATAGCCAAGAGAAACTTTTGCAGTTGAAATTTGGTGGAAAGAATAAACTGTGGGTACTTAGTCCACCAAATGGCCTATTATCCATCATAAAAGTATAAGTAAATTTGAAAATATAGAATAACTTAATGGACAAATTTATTATGAATTACAAAACAGTTTCCTCTGCTTTTTCCATTACTGACATATTATTAGTGATTCTCAACCTTTATATATTGGGAAATCTCATGACTATTTTCCTTAGAAGACCTCTCCAAACACTTCTAAAATATATAGAATTAGAAAACTTAAGGCCGAGTGCGGTGGCTGAAGCCTGTAATCCCAGTACTTCAGAAGGCCAAGGCGGGTGGATTACTTGAGGCCAGGAGTTCCAGAGCAGCTTGGCCAACGTGGTGAAACCTCGTCCCTACTAAAAATACAAAGAATTAGCCTGGCCTGGTGGTGCACGCCTGCAATCCCAGCTACTTGAGAGGCTGGGCAGGAGAATGGCTTGAACCAGGGGAGGGAGAAGTTGCAGTGAGCTGAGATGGTGCCACTGCACTCCAGCTTGGGTGACAGAGTGAGACCATGTCTCAAAAAAACAGAAAACTTAAGAAATTGCTTTAAAACCCTCACTTTTCAGGATGTAAAAACTGAAGAGGTTAAAGGATTTGTCCAAAATCCCTTAGTTATTCAATAGAAGAACAGAGTAAGATCTGAATGTTCTCTCTAACCCATCTTACTAATTCTTAAATTTTCATATGCATCAAGTACTAAAGTTAGTTTTTAGAATGTTATGCTCTCCTAGAGATGAAGATACCACAGGACTGCAAAAATACTGATAAAAATACTCTGGGCCAGGTGCAGTGTGGCTCAGGCCTGTAATCCCAACACTTTGGGAGGCCGAGGCGGGTGGATCACGAGGTCAGGAGTTCAAGACCGGCCTGGCCAAGATGGTGAAACCCAATCTTTACTAAAAATACAAAAATTAGCCAGGCGCGGTGGCAGGTGCCTGTAATCCCAGCTACTCAGGAGGCTGATGCACGAGAATTGCTTGAACCCGGCGGGCGGAGGTTGCAGTAGGCCAAGATTGCGCCACTGCACGACAGCAGAGTGAGACTCCGTCTCAAAAAAAAAAAAAAAACCCCAGAAAACTCCGGTTTCCTTATTGGTGAACTCAAGATAATTCTTCACACAAACAAACATAGGAAAAAAGATAAATAACATTAGTCACAATCATCATTGAAAGACTTGTAATCTCACATCTAGTGTGGGAATAGAGTGGTAATGCTGCAATTTCTCTCACCTTTTTCCCATTTCTAGAGTTAGCTGTCTGTACTGGTTCCATTCCCAAACAGTTCAATTCTGCCTTATTATTTTTTTTACATCTTTGCCACTTCTGTTTTCTGCGATCCTCCATATACTGCAATAGAAAAAATCAGTTATCCTAGAGGAATAGAAATCTTCTCTGGAGTAATTATTAAAGTACTAGTGTCTTTTGTTTGATAATAAACACTTATTACATAGATAAAGGATTCATCCTAGTGGAAAACTGCCATTAAGTGGGATCTCTCCAAAAAATATTAGGTGGTTTATATAATAGTTCAATAGTAAATATTTGCCTAGCACTTAAAGTACTTCAACATTATTTTATTTTGGGCATCACAACAATTGTGAGGTTGGAAGACTGGGTATTATTAATTATTACCCTTATCTTGCAGATACAGAAACGATGATACAGTATGTCATGCTTTCTCTTTCTCATGCAGCTTAAATACCAAAGGAATGACTTTAAATCTTGCTGGATGGGACTGCCACTCACCGCTAGAAATCGGGGATCAACAGCAAACTCTGGATGACCCTGTAACCACATCTCCAGTTCAGCCCGGCGAGGGGCATCCTCACCCACCAGCAAAGTACCATCCACCTTATTGATGACAGGGATCCGGGTCTCCAGGTCCACATCAAGGTGATTAGGCTCTTCCATGCACTCCACCTCCAGCTGCAAACCCAGAATCCACCCCCATGAGCACATACTCTTCTTTGGGGGAGGGAGGGAGGGGGAGCAGGGCCAATGGTAGTCATGAAATGACTCTAGTATTTTCCATTCCCCCAGTCCCACTGCCTTCATCAATTATTGGGAATAAAAAGACAATCTAATCGTCAGGTTAAAGACTTTCTCTACCACTCACCTCTACTAGCTTCTTTCTGTTCCCCTTCTTCTTATGAAACAGTGGATGTCCATCTCCCATTACTCCATTCGCCATCAACTTGTGCTTCTGGAATGTTAACTTCAATCCTTCCTCCTAGGAAGACAACCCACCCACCCAAGACATCATATGGTACATGTTTTTCAAAGTAAAGATTAAGCTTTGAGGGATGTGGGCTATAGGTCATCCTCTTGCCCAATGATGGTGAGAAGGAAGGCCATCTGACTAAAGGGTAAAATTAGAAATACAAGAAAACATACACACTTTTTCCTTAGAAAGATTTCACTTCTTCACCTAGTGCCCCTCAGCATTTACGAGAAAGAGTTTATTTCAACAACACCCAAGTTAGGGTAAAACTCCCTACCTGGTGTCTCCGTATTAGCATGGCAACTCATCACAGGGGCAAAATCCTGCTATTCCTAAGCATACTAATTTAAGAAACTTTTGTTGAATATTAATAGGATTAATAATCAATAGGGTTCAATAAGGAAAACAACCAGGAAAAATGATTCTTCCTAAATGGATCTTTGTAAGCTCTGTTTTCTCATTTTTAAAATTAGCTAACCAAATGAGTTTAGTAACCTATTAGTAAAATTAGTTACAGCAAGGATTCCAGCCTCCTTCCCCACTTCCCAATGCCCAAATGCTGAGCTTACATCTTTGATTTGAACTGTAAACTCCTTTTCATCCATGCCTCGGCGAAGTTTGGTGAACTGGGCTGCCGCTGTGCTGACTGCAGATGCTTCCTCCTCTGCCATGGAAGCTGCACTACTACTTCGTGGTGTGGGGACTGGAGAGTCACCATATTCTCCAGGAGTCAATGAGGGACTGTCTAGCAAGTGGTTGCCTGGCCCCAAAATTCCTCCTGTTACCATTTCCTGGCTCCTACGGCTAGAAGGCCACTTCCCTGAGAGTACAGCCTGGCAGACGAGGTCAATACGGTTTATCAGGACACGATCCTGAATGGGGAAAGAAAGAAATACCATTTTAAGAGTCTGAGTACTAGCTGTGTGATCCTGTGATACTCAATAGTGCCATCACTACCAGGATGGGTAAAAATCATAAGGCAGAAAAGAGGAAGTTAATACTATTAAGATTCCTAAGTCAACTGGGAAGTTTCCTGGAAAAAAAAAAAAAAACTTGCAGCAATAAACACAATTTTAAAAATCCAGAACCATATGTTCCTTTTTCCCCGGATATACTGTTACACTGTATTTCTGGACTCTACATGTCCAGGGATGAGGCTGTTTGTTACCTTGGGCCACTCAGAGGCTCTTTGTCTTTCCTGCAGTAGCAGAAGCTCAGGGGTCATTTGTTCTCCATCTTCATTTGGGAATCCATCTTGGGACATAGTGAGGGACAGGAGACTCTCTTCATCATAGAGCTTTGAGCGGGACTGGTCAGCTGGTAAGAGAGCCCATAGAATGTGTGAGAAAAGATGGAAGAATAATGTCATATGGTAATGGTATTATATGGGCTTTGAATAAAGGCCCAAAGAATGGCACTCTTTTGACATTTTATCAAATCAAAATCCAAATCTCTCTCAAGAGGATGCATTTAGAAAAGGGAAAGAGAAGAGAGGGGGAAATAGGGAAGGGGGCCAACAGCCTGTCACATGCACTCACTTAGCTTCTCTTCCTTCTCATCCTCACTCTCATCAGTGCTGGAGCTGGAGCTGGATGAGGATGAGGAAGAAGAAGAAGATGGTGACAGCTTGCTCAAGTCCAGCTCAGAGTCCGAATCATCCTCATCCTCCAGTTTGACTGGTGGAACACTCCGGGAAACCAGAGGGGTAGTATCAGAGGGGGATACTCGCATCTCATAGTCTTGTGGGGTTGGTCGGCTCCTGGCCACCACCTCGTGCTCTAGCTTTAAAGTCAGACTCTCCAGACTGGGGACCTGGGTAGCTGTCTCCTCGGGTGACTTTTCAACAGGAGCATCTGGGCGCAGGGGCAGTGGTGAGGCAGTGCGTGAGGTATACTGCTGGTGCAGCAGTGGAGTAGAGCAGCGTGACAAGGATGGAGCTGGTGCTCCTGCTTGATGGTTCTGCATATAATTCATACGGGCAGCCAGAAAAGAGAAGTCTGGGTCCTGCATGATGTTGCAGTCTGTTTGGCTCACCCCATGGCGGGCTGCCCCTCTTAGAAGCTCCCCATCATGCCGAACAGGCTCCCACCATTTGGGCAATTCAGGACCAGGAGGCTGACACAATGCCAGCCGATCTTCCAAAAGGGGGTGGCATAAAACTTGTTCCCGTAAGCGCCGAAGCAATTCTATACGGTAGAGAGTCCGTGAGGCTCTCTCCTCAGTGATGGGCTCAATGAACAGGTTAGGGTCGGGGGGTTCTGCAAGAGACAGGAGTAGAAGAAATTAACAGAGTTGCTTCTGTTGGCATCCATCCTCACCCACTCTGCAATCTTGCTTACCATCTCCAGCTGCTGGGGGAAGGCGGCATACTTGGCGGCACATGGCCACAAAGCCATGGAAGTACTTGGTAAGGCTTTCATCTGTCTTTTTGTCTAGTCGAGCAAAAGTGCGGAAGCGATCCCAATGGAACTGCATGGTGTCAGGGTCATATTCCACACCAAACGTAGACACCACTCGATAAAAATCAGTTTGTTCACGCCTTGTCCATCTACAAAAGGAAAAGTAGGGCAACAATAATCAGAAGAACACATCAGAAGAACACAAGAAAACTGGTTATTTTTTAATGTGTTTTAGAATATCTGAAAACACAAAAATTGAAAGTAGACGCAAAAAAAAAAAAAAAAAAAGGCCCAGAAGAGGTAGTGAGAGGTACTCTGTAATGAGTAAGAATTACAGAGCCAAGGGGGAAAAGACACAGACAAATATCAATGAAAATGTCTACACAGGAGACCTACCTGAGAGTTAATGATTACTGCATGCAAGTGAGGTTTTAATTTCTACAGGTTTAACTACCCAAGGCAGAAAAGATGGTCCCTCTGTAGAGAATTCCAAATAAATCCTTCCTGAGATGGCTTTCAGTATAGGGACCATAACTGAAAACACAGATCAGCACAAGTTCCCAGCTATATTTTACCGTTGTTGTTTCTCCCGCCGTGCAATTTCTTTCAGCTTGAAGGCTGCTTCACAACGCCGCCTTCGCCGGTCCCCACGTTCTGCAGCCTCTATCTTCATTTGTTCTCTCTTGTAGCTGCGCTGATACGCTGTTACTAGACGCCGAAGCCTAGCTGTTAGGGCAGAGCCCGGAGGCCAGAATAAATGGCCTGGCTGTTGGGTCACCTGGGCTGTGGAAAACAAAGTAGAATGAATAGGAAGTATAGCAAGGGTAGTAGAGGCAATACTAGTATTTTAACCCACCCAAAGGCAAAGCTCTTAGAAATCCCAGGATAGGACAGAATTCAGTGAATAATTCCCCAACCCACCACCCCACACAGAATTATACTAGTTGACCTAGAAGTTTACCTTCATCTCCATCAATCACTGAGATCTCCTCATCCATCATCATCAAGGGATCACCCTAGAGAAGGAGATCCACCCAATAGGATGGAGCGGGGAGGGAAAGGGGGGGAAGTTGGCACTCTGAAATCACTTTCTTGTGTGTGTCCTTCTATGGCACCAAGGGATCAAGAAAAACTTCTAAAGAAATATATCCCCACAAAAACTTGGAAACAATCAACTAAAAGAACAAGAAAGTAGAACCTGAAAGGTCAGTTCCTATTAACGACTCAAAGATAATAGAAGTCAGGAATTTATTAGTCAAATAATATCTTTCAGTGTCCAGCTCCTCCATAAAGTTATCCCTGATCTCCCCCTACTGGCATTACAGTCCTTTCCATTAATATTTTCTATTCTCAAATGGTATAATTCATTTTCCATTTTGTATTATAAATTAACCAATATATTTCAAGATTCAGAGAATGGTTGAAGACTTAAAACTATTTAGTAATAGAGAAAAGTGAGACTCAAATGAGAATTCCTTACCTCATCATCTTGGTCCTTTGGGGGACCTTGGAGTGGTTTATATTCAGGATCTTCACAATCTTTATCAAAGTCAACCCTAAAATTATGGAGAGGCACAAGAAAATGTTAATAATGTATCTTCTATCACTAAGGGAACCTAGGATGAAGACCTAGCCACACATATATCCAGCATGAAATAATCTTTATTAGTATTATTTTTGAGACAGGTCTCACTCTGTCGCCCAGGCTGGAGTGTCATGGCCCTATCACAGCTCACCGTAGCCTCAACCTCCTGGACTCAAGCGATCCTCCTCCCTCAGCCTCCTGAGTAGCTGGGACTACAGGTGTGTGCCACCGCACCCGGCTAATTTTCATATTTTTTTAGAAGTGGGGTTTTGCCATATTGCCCAGGCTCATCTCAAATTCCTGGGCTCAAATAATTCACACGCCTTGGCATCCCAAAATGCTGGGATTACAGGAGTGAGCCACCATGCCTGGCCTTATTTTTATTTTTATATATATATTCTTTGACACAGAGTCTCACTCTGTAGGCCAGGCTGGATTCCAGTGGCATGATCTCAGCTCACTGCAACCTGTGCCTCCCGGGTTCAAGCGATTCTCCTGCCTCAGCCTCCTGAGTAGCTGGGATCTACACATACCCACCACCATGCCAGGCTAATTTTTGTATTGTTAGTAGAGATGGGGTTTCACCATGTTGCTCAGGTTGGTCTCAAACTCTTGGGCTCAAGTGATCCCATCCTGGCCTAGTCTTTTATTTATTTATTTATTTATTTATTTTTTGAGATGGAGTCTTGTTCCATCACCTGGAGTGCAGCAGTGCCATCTCGGCTCACTGCAACCTCCGCCTCCTGGGTTCAAGTGTTTCTCCTGCCTCAGCCTCCCAAGTAGCTGGGATTACAGGCATGCGCCACCACTCCTGGCTAATTTTTTTTGTATTTTTAGTACAGACGGGGTTTCACCTTATTTGCCATGCTGGTCTCGAACTGATGACCTTGTGATCCACCCACTGTGGCCTCCCAAAGGGCTGGGATTACAGGCATGAGCCACAGTGCCTGGCCTAGTATTTAATTTCGTGTTTACAGGAATGGCAGGCCAGGTGCAAAACTTTGGGTCAGTCTGGTATAGCATCCAATGGAATACAAATAATTATAAGAAATTGACAATGTACCATTCGTAATTGCTTGAATTTGAAACACTTTGATCAACACAGTTCCTTTTTCTTGACTTTTATTATGTAATTCTTCCTCCTACCCAACTATTTACTTTTTATTATTTCATTTGTATGGTTCACGCTTTTTTGTTTTTATTACTGTGTTCTTCTGAGCAGACAGGTGGCATAAACGATTTGCAATGAATAAATAACCCAATTTCCTTTGAGGGTCCTACACTAGGCAAACTGAGGGTGTGATCGTCAAAGAGAAATTTCTCAGTCATGATGGAATGGGGAGGTATTCATTAAGCCAACTGTTTCACATGCCCCTCAGATCTTCATGTGAGAAGTTTTGTTAAACTCACTGGCACCCAAACCAGGGCAACACTGCCCTACCTGGTGGCTCAGTATTAGCATGGCAACTCATCATTGGGACATGTTTTCAGGCAAAATAAGTACCTTTATGTGTCAGGTACCATTGGGAGATGATAAACCAGGGCTGAAAGCGCCTAAGGCTCTTCCACAGAAGCAACGTATGAGAGCTGCTGGCTGTTATCTTTCAAGAGACCAGTTATCCTCTCAGCTACTGTAGCTGTACAGAAGAGTGTTGTAAACCAAACCAAATAGAACATCAAATAAGCCATTTACAAGTGACATTCATTTTCACCCTCAGATGTATCTTATGGCAACATGTGGTTTATGCAGTTTATGGAGTCCTTTCTGCTGGTCCTATTTTTGCTAAGGATCTATCACTTTTGAGTATAATTACAATTAAGAATCCCATTGGGTTCAGTCAAGGCTAGAGTTATTTCACGGCACAAGTTAGAGTTTTAAAAGAACAAATACTAATGCTTACCCTTCTACTATGTCAGAGAAGTTATCCAACACTCGATGTTCTGCTGCAATTGCTTTGTCATCTGGTCGGCCAGCCTTTTCTAGGAAACATAAGGCTGGGTCTGCCCTCATGGTATTATATTTCTCATAGCCTAGAAGAAAAAGGGTCATAGTTGAAGAAAATGAGATTTGTTTTGCCTTTATGCTTACTTTATATGCTGCTGGAATAATTAGAATATGTTCTATATTGCTCATAATGGAAAACAAAGTTAGAATGTTATCTTGGACAACTACTGGGTTTATTACTATATTTAACATTTTTATAGCAATTTAGAATCATGAAGAGTTTTTAACTAGTGACTGATAGCCTTAGGCTCCCAAAGTGTTGGGATTCCAGGTGTAAGCCACCATGCCTTGCCTGCAGTTTTATTTATTTTTATTTATTTATTTATTTTTTGAGATGGAGTCTCACTCTGTCGCCCAGGCTGGAGTGCAGTGGTGCGATCTTGGCTCACTGCAAGCTCTGCCTTCCAGGTTCACGCCATTCTCCTGCCTCAGCCTCCTGAGTAGCTGGGACTACAGGTGCCCACCACCACGCCCAGCTAATTTTTTATATTTTTTAGTAGAGCC
Organism: Homo sapiens; assembly: GCF_000001405.40. Taxonomy (NCBI): domain Eukaryota; kingdom Metazoa; phylum Chordata; class Mammalia; order Primates; family Hominidae; genus Homo; species Homo sapiens. The sequence goes on from NC_000014.9 coordinate 21,398,431, forward strand.
GGCGTTTCACCGTGTTAGCCAGGATAGTCTCAATCTCCTGATCTGCACACCTTGGCCACCCAAAGTGCTGGGATTACAGGCATAAGCCACCATGCCCAGCACCTGCAATTTTATTTATCCCATTAAACGTCTCAAAAAAGATGTAGATTAAGTGCCATTACTTTTATTTTATAGAAAAAAAAGTATTCTTTTAAAAAAAAGACATTCTAATTCACAAAGTCACTTGGCTGAAAGTTAACGCTTACTGTTTTTAGTGCCTGGGATTTGGCATTAGGCAAAACTGCTATAAGAGTAAGGAAATATTCTTACCCCCACTGCATTTTTGTTTTGGCTAGTCAGTCTCCCTTCTTATACTCTACTTTTATTTCACTCAAAAACTGCTGCCTCATACCTATATCAGAGAGACTGCTGAACATTTAGACAAATGGGACATGTAGAAAAACAGAAGATTTTCAGCTCTTTCTCTTTAGTGAGGCAGCCAAGCTGACATAGAGATGCAGATCTCTGTAAAGACCCTCACAGGCAAAACCATCACCCTTGAGGTCCAGCCGAGTGACACCAGTGAAAATGTCAAAGCCAAGATCCACGACAAGGAGGGCATCCCACCTGACCAGCAGCATCTGATATTTGTGAACAAACAGTTGGAGGATGGCCGTACTCTTTCAGACTGTAACATCCAGAAAGAGTCCACCCTGCAGGTGGTGCTTTGCCTCTGAGGTGACATTATTGAGCCTTCCCTCTGCCTACTCACCCAGAAATACAACTGCGACAAGATGATCTGCTGCAATTGTTATGCTAGTGCACATCCAGAGGAAAGTCATATAAATTAAGTGTGATTATTATTAACAATAGTTGGGGTATATTACCTGCCCTGATTCATGGGACCCTAACTTACCATAGCATACAGTGCGGTAACACACTGCTAACAGTGATTAGAGAACAGATGGGAGGCTCCCTACCTTGAGATTTACCTATCCATCTGGCCCTTCTTGAACATCTATTTATAGGAACTAACTGCTCTGCTCTGGATATTTAAGAACTACTTTCCTACTCAAATTTATTGAAGATCAATCAGATAACTGAGTTATTTCTCAGGAGCATTTTGCTAAATGTTCCATCCGTGAACATAAATCTTCAGTCGGAAAGGAGTAGAATAGGAGAAGATACGTACCATGTTTAAAGACTCCAATGAGCAGCGACTTGTCAGCCTCACTGTCCCACCAAGTTGTTGGAACCTCCAGTTGATCCACTACTGGGAACCATATGTCAATCTCACTAAAGGTATAAGAGGGCAGAGTCAGCACAGAAATGCAGGAAATTAAAGTGAGAATCCTTGCAAAGGTTATTATAGGTATCTTCCTGTATCCATTAATTTAAATACTCATGCATCTACCCTATTTCCTCCCACTAGTGTCAAGTATAAGATTAAAGACCTGATATATAGATTTAAATTATCAGGTATCCCAAAGATAGCATAAAATGAAATAAGCAAACCAATCTTCCCTCAAATAAGGTAGGGCATAAATCAAAAAAATATAGCAGAATTTTACCTGGCAATCGCACCCCCTAACACCTTTTCTGCTTGGTCTCCAATAACCTCCTGCCTCAGGTAGTATAGCATTCGTACCCGCAACAGTACCCTAGAAAGGACAGAGGAAGAGCTGGCTCAGTAACACTGTAGAAGTTTGAGGTGGAAAATGTCTGCTAATTCTATGCTTACTTGTTACACTGATGTTTCAAGTGCTTCTTATAACTTTCATCTTGGAACAAAGTGTCAGGGTTATATTTCCGGATCCAATCTGCCTTATGGATATCAAAAGTGCTTTGTGACTTTACTTTTTTTCCTTTGCGTCCACGAGGCACAGGGATAGATAGACCTGGGAAAGGGGAGACATCAAAGACTTGGATTGAGAAAAACCCTTGGACCTGAAAAGGATTAGATTAACCTATAGAAAAACATAAAGTAAAGAGTTGATAATTACCTGAATGATTCTGCAATTCTTTTGTCTTGCCATTTTCAGCTGGGCTAATCAAGTCCCAGATGAAGCCTTTAATATTTTCATCCCCACGGTAGTGTAGAAGACAGTACACGAGAATGGCCCGACAAATGGTCTCCACATCTCGTTCAGTCATACGTCGCTTGAAGCGTCCATGAGATAAAATATCTCGCCATCGTCCCCAACTAAAAAACAGAAAACTATATTAACATTTTTCTGAGAAATGACAGTCCCCTGTCCCTCAGAATCATGTCTCTGAAAAGGTGTGAAACAAAGATCTTAAAAAACATGGTAACAGAATAAACAGAACAAACTCCCTCCAAGGCAAATATTTTTTCACATTATCCCTTCTTTGATCATAGCCCCCAATTTGAAAGGCAAACCAAGAGTATCTATCAGGATGGAGATGCACTATGCACTACCTCTAATGGTAAGTTGGGGTCTTACCCATATACCAGGAGATGCTTTTCCACCCGAAAGCAGTCAGTGCGCCCATAGGCATGATGACGGTCATGTCTGCGGGAGCGTGGCCGCTCATCATCCTCACTTTCCAAATCAGAGAATTCCACCAGGTCATCATCTTTCAGAGTGCTAAAGTGGCGCGTTTGTTTTCGTACTCTAGGTGTGTCAATTACCAAATTATTCTATGAAGAGAACAGAAGGAGAAGTAATTCTCTTCCTGATTTGCTCATGGGAAAAGAATAAGACAATTAGGGATTACAATAACATTGGATGTAACGTGTAGATACTCAGAGATTTTTTTAAATGACATGTAAAATAATCTACAGAAAGCAAAATTATTCAGAAAGCAACTACTTTTCTGGGGCCTCCTAGGTAGAAAGTATCCACAACAGCCCTTGTATACAATACACCATCATAAATCACAATTAGCATCAAATAATCAGAGTAGCTGTAAAGACTCCCGAAAGTAGTGTGGTCTTCTGCGATACTTCCTCCCTAAAAGAAGAAACTCACCTTGCTGTTGAGCAGATCCATGTCTAGGTCAGCCTTTTTGGCCCACTTTTGCCAAAAGTTGGGGTCATCCAAAGAAATATCTGTCCTGTTTTCAGAAGCAACAAAGCTTGCCTAGAGAAAAACAAATGCAGAGGTAAAGCTGACTTTTTTTTTTAAGTGGTGCAAAATCAGCAATTATGTTTTAAAAACATTTTTTTTTTGAGACACAGTCTTGCTCTGTTGCCCAGGCTGGGGTACAGTGGCACGATCTCCGCTCACCGCAACCTCCACCCCCTGGGTTCAAGTGATTCTCCTGCCTCAGCCTCCCGAGTAGCTGGGACGACAGGCGCAAGCCACCATTCCTGGCTAATTTTTGTATTTTTGGTAGAGATGAGGTTTCACCATGTTGGGCAGGCTGGGTCTCGAACTCCTGACCTCAAGTGATCTGCCCGCCTCAGCCTCCCAAAGTGCTGGGAATATAGGCATGAGCCACCATCCCCAGCATAAAAACATAATTAAATCCTAGAGATTCCGGTCTCTGTGTTTTTCTAGCCTCTGGCATAGACAGAACATGCCTTAGCAAAGGTGGAACCTTTTCCTTCAGATTCAATGGTGATGGTTGTAGTTCGTCTTAACAAGATCTGGTCAATGTCCTCTTCACAAAACTTGGAGCCTTCATCATCTTCCTCCATGATGGCTGCATATGCTCCTTTTCTTAAAAGATCTTCAATCTCCTTCTTAGAGAACTGTTGGATCTGTAAAAACCAATAGAAAGATGAAAAGACTATCAAGAGAATAATATCTAACCATGCCATAATATTTTAGCTATTATATTTTAAGAAATAATAATTGAGAATCCAAACAAGGTAGTCAAATCCCTGTGTACAAATAGCTTTTGTTTCCCTCTATCACAATGATCTACTACAAACTTATCTATAAACTAAGAGGACTCACTCCAGTAATGTTGCCATCCCGACCACTCATGGATTGAAGCACAGCCTTATCCAACCCCAACTTGAGGCTGGCCTTATCAAACATCTCTCTCTCGTAGGAATTACGAGTGATGAGGCGGTACACCTTCACAGCTTTGCTCTGCCCAATTCGATGACATCGTGCCTGGGCCTGGTTTAAAATAAAAACGAAAGGAAAGGAGAAAGATATCATAAAATTAGCAAGGGAAAGGATACAAAATACCAATTTATGATTCTTTCACCTCTATAGAGCAGCCATGAGATCAACTCAAAACCAAGAGTCAATTTCAAGATGAAATTATCACCCCATCATGTAGACCAGGGGTCAGCAAACTAAAGTCTGTGTGGACATCTGTTTTTAAAAATAAAGTTCAATGGGGACACAGGTGGGACCACCCACTCATTTACATATTATCTATGGCTGTTTTTGCGCTACAGGACTTGGAGATAAGCAGTTGCAACAAAGACTCGATGGCTCACAAAGCCTAAAACATTTACTGTCTTGTCGTTTACAGAAAACGTTTGCTGATTCCCTGACCTAACTGCCACCCTTAACTAAGGAAACAATTCCAAACTCTGTGAAAGGTCTTTCTAAAAGATCCTATTCTTGTTGAAAAATCTCCCAAGTTAGGTAGTTAGTCCCTAAGACAATGAATTCCTTTACCTGCAGGTCATTTTGTGGATTCCAGTCTGAATCAAAGATGATGCAGGTATCAGCAGCTGTAAGATTAATACCAAGTCCACCAGCCCGGGTACACAGTAAGAAGACAAAGCGGTCTGAGTCAGGCTTGCTGAAGCGGTCAATGGCAGCCTGTCGAAGGTTGCCTCTAACTCGCCCATCAATACGTTCATATAAGTACCTGTATGGGAATCGCAGAAAAAAAATGTAAGTGGCTAAGCAGAAGTGGAGACCAAAACAGCAGGCTAGGATCAATACCAGTACTCCCATATCAAAGCTGGTCAAAAACCCAAGTTGAGAGTGAGAATCTTAAAAACTTCTCTTATTGCAATTGGTGAACTCTAATTAAATCCAGGCCCTCCTACTTTTTGCTGCTTTATGAGGACAGAGTAACCACAGGCTAGGATGACTCTTTTCTTACCTCCTCTGGATTAAATAATCCTCTAGGATGTCTAGGCAGCGCACCATCTGAGAGAAGATCAGAACTTTATGGCCACCAGCTTTAAGCTTTGGAAGCAACTTGTCAATAAGAACCAGTTTGCCGGCTGAACGAACCATGGCCTGCAGGTGAAAGTCATGAGGTATAATATGGCAAGCTTCACGGAATTCTGTTAGGATTTTTTCTTCAGCACCTGCCAAAAGAAAAATCAAATTATGTTGAGATCCAGTGAACCATATTAAGGTTGTAGTCTATTTAACTAAGAAAGCAAAAGGAAAAAAATGTAATTTGACTTAAGACCAACATTTCTCACACACAGAATTTCAGCACAAAAAAGTCTTAAATCGGCTGGGTACGGTGGCTCATGCCTGTAATCCCAACACTTTGGGAGGCCGAGGCAGGTGGATCACTTGAGGTCAGGAGTTCGAGACCAGTCTGGCCAACATGGTGAAACCCCGTCTCTACTAACAATACAAAAATTAGCCAGGTGTGGTGGCGGAGGCCTGTAGTTCCAGCTACTCAGGAGGCTGAGGCAGGAGAATCGCTTGAATTCGGGAGGTGGTGGTTGCAGTGAGCTGAGATTGCGCCACTGCACTCCAGCCTGGGTGACAGAGCGAGACTCCACCTTAAAAAAAAAAAAAAATCAGCCGGGTTCAGTGGTTCACGCCTGTAATCCCAGCACTTTGGGAGACCGAAGCGGGCAGATCACCTGAGGTCAGAAGTTCGAGACCAGCCTGCCCCATGTGGCGAAACCCTGTCTCTACTAAAAATACAAAAAATTAGCTGGGTGTGGTAGCAGGCGCCTGTAATCCCAGCTACTTGGGAGGCTGAGGCAGGAGAATTGCTTGAACCTGGGAGGCAGAGTTGCAGTGAGCCGAGATTGCACCACTGTACTCCAGCCTGGGCGACAATAGTGAAACTCCATCTTAAAAAAAAAAAAAAAAAAAAAACTTAAATCATCCTCAGATGTGTCATACAAAATACACTAAGTAAGGCAGGCCTATGATAACTGGGTTAAAAAAAGATGTAAATATGTGGACAAGGACTAAGATGGAACACACTATCAGCACCCAAAAGAGACAGAAACAGCAAAATGGAGTGTCGATGAGGACATTTATCCAAGGAACAGAGTAACCTAAGAGTGTTTTTTCTGAGACAGGGCTAGCTTCAAACTCATGGGCTCAACCGATCTTCCTGCCTCAGCCTCCTAAGTAGCTGGGACTACAGGTACATGCCACTGTGTGGCTAATCTGAGTTCTTCTTCATGCAATTCTAAACAGCAAATCCTATTTAATCTTGGAGATTATGTAGGATCAAAGGGGTAGAAAGAACTACAGAAAAACATTCCAAATAAGAATTGTTTTTATTTACTTTATTTGGAGACAGGGTCTCACTCTGTCACCCAGGCTGGAGTGCAGTGGTGTGATCTCGGCTCACTGCAACCTCTGCCTTCTGGGTTCAAGCAATCCTCCAAGCTCAGTCTCCAAAGTAGCTAGAACCACAGATGCCTGCCATCACACCTGGCTAATTTTTGTATTTTTTGTAGAGGTGGGATTTCATCATGTTGCCCAGGCTTAGAGTCTCTTTTTTAAAAGGAGAACCATTTCCCTCCCATTCCTCAGTCCGCACCCCAAATTAGGTTGGTTGAGTCAATGCATCCATTGTCCCCAAGGAGAATCATCCGGAAAGTAAACACAGGTACTACAGAAGTTCAGGTATATACCAAGCATTCCCTCACCATTGATGAGATATGGGTGGTTGCAGCACTTGCGCAACTCCATCATTGTGTTAAGTAGATTAGGCATGTTGGTATGACCTGCCCCTTTGGAAAGGAAGGAGAAATTCTTCTCCAAAATAGCCCGATAGTATTTCTTCTGGATATTAGTCAGCTCTACTTCAATAATTGTTTCCTGTTTGGGTGCCAAGTTTTTTTCAACATCCTCTTTGAGTCTTCTCAGCATCATTGGCTTAAGAATGGCCTGTAGCTTTTGAACCTGTGGTCCATTACAGAGAGAAAAATAAATCAATAAGATGAGGGCGAACATTCTCACATTATGTAGAAACATGGAAAAATTAGAGTTTTCCACTATCTAAGAAATGTATACTTTGGATGATGCCACAAATGATGTAGGCACAAGGTTATAAGGAGTTCAGAAAGGCCCTTGAGATACCCATGACAACAGATGTCTGCCTTGTACAAACTTCACCTTCTTTGTCCTGAGTTAGTACCTCATCAGATAGATTTCCTACCTGTTCCTCTGTCTTGAGATCCCCAAAGTCCTTGAGAAACTCTGATTCTGAGGGAAATTGTGACGGTTCCAAGAAATGAAGCAAGCTAAACAGTTCTTCTACAGTATTTTGCAATGGTGTTCCTGTGAGTAGCACCTTGTGTTCCTAGAAATGGAGGAAACAAAAGAATAAAATTTAAAAACATGAAGGACTTCTGGGGTTTCCTATCAAGTATATAATCTTTAACATATATAACCTTTAATTTCTTTATCTATAAAATGATGAGAATGGACCAGTGATCTGGTCCATTAATTTTTCTTCCATTTGTCCCCTCTTTCGATAAACACAAAGCATTCAAGAAATCCCTCTGACATTAATGTATTGAAATAACATAAATATTATAAGCAAATTAAAAAACAGTAATTCTGATTATGTTTATTCCAATTACACATGTCTCTCCATATTCAACTCCCCACAGATATCCTAAAATCTGCTGTCCTCTATGGAATGTAACTGAGCTGGATTAAATATGGTCATTAATTTGCTGCTGTTCCTCCTAACAAGGTTCACCCCTAGGCTTGCCTTATTACTTGCAAGAACAAGAATGTAGCAAAAGTGACACTGTGTGAGTTTCAGAGCCTATCTCAAAGGTTACTGTTTCTACTTTTGCCCTCTTGGAATACTGCCCTGAGACTACCACACAAAGCAGCCCAATCTGGCCTATGGAGGATGAGAGGCCATGTGGAACCCAGGTGCTCCAGATAAAAACCAGCATCAACTGCCAGCTGCAGCAATACTGACTCCAGGCAAGATCATCATAAGAACCAACTAGCTGAACTCAGCCTAAGTGGTTGAGCTAGAAGATCATGAAAAATATAGTTGTTGTAGGACATTAAGTTTTGGAGTATTTTGTTATGCAGTAATAATAGGTAACCAATATAGTTTCCCACCTCCTCTTCTGGTTATCACTAAACTTCCCAATTCTAAAATGTATGACTTTTACACGACTTTCAGGTTACCATTCCCATAGGTCATCCCCACTGTTCAATACCACGATTCAGACTTTTCTTCTCTGCTAAACTAGGGTTATTTTAATACCGCAAGGAATTACGGTTTATTCCAGGTGTTTCTGCTCACAAGTCAGTGTGGAACTCACCAGGTCCATGTGCTTGAGACTATCAAGCAGCTTGCAATTACGGTTTTTCAGTCGATGGGCTTCATCAATGATAACACAACGCCATTCAATTTCACGAAGCTCAGGACAATCTGACAAAATCATCTCAAAAGTGGTGATCAGAGCGTCAAACTTGTATGCGCCTGGGATGAGGCGTCCCTAAGCATGAAGGCAGTAAAGTCAGAAAAAACCAAAAATGTACCTAAATGAGGAGCTTTTCTGAATTACTTGCCTATATTAAGGCATGTTTAATAGGCAATACAAACTGCACCACCACCCACCTCCACCGCTGTTTATCTTCCTGAAAAATAGTGCCATATCACTGAATGTAAGATACATTGCTTCCTCAACATATTCAGCTTCTTGGGAAAATGACAGACTCACTGAATGAGAGGCTAGACATTTTTTACTCTGCTGTATGCCTAGCTCATGTATCTCTGCCCCAGATCTTTTGTTGATTAACAATGAAATCCACAACTGCTGGACAATGCTGAACCATACAAGATAATAAAAATGAAAATAGCTAATACAGAACATAATATTGGCTGATGTCTAAAAATTGACAAAAGAATGAAATCATTTTAACAAAATTAAAAGCTGCAAAATATGATGAAAAGATGTGATTTGGTAGAAATAAAAAAAAGAAAACTAATAGAGAAACAATAAAATTCATGTTAATACACGATGGATAATTCCAATTTTGTTTTCAAATTTACATGGAAAAAGGAACTGATCCTTTTTTTTTCTTTTTTTGAGACACAGTCTCACTCTGTCACCCAGGATGGAGTGCAGTGTGACGATCTCGGCTCACTGCAGCCTTCGCCTCCTGGTTTCAAGCGATTCTCCTGCCTCAGCCTCCTGAATAGCTGGGATTACAGGTGCCCACCACCACACCTGGCTAATTTTTATATCTTTAGTAGAGATGGGGTTTCACCATGTTGGCCAGGCTGGTCTAGAACTCCCGGCCTCAGGTAATAAGCCCACCTCGGCCTCCCAAAGTGCTAGGATTACAGGCATGAGCCACCACGCCCGACCATTTAGAAAAAGAAACTGATCTTGATGAAAATTTCCGTAGACTAAAAAGAGGAAAAGAAATAAGCTCACCACCGCATGGATTAAGTGGCTAAAGGAATTTAATTTTTGTAAAATACTGTGATTAAAATTCATTGATGCTGACAAAATTCTACTTAAAATGTGTATGTTCATAAATAAAATCAGAACTTCTACCAGATCAAATGTCTACTAGGTAAAAAAAATAGCAAAGTCAAAAAAATGCCCTGCACACTGCTATACAAAAATGCCTTAAACCATAGGCATTTTTGCATAGGCATATTGAAGACTTTCAATAAAAGTCTTCTATTCATATATAGCCCTTAAAATACCAGGTACCTTGGCCGACTTTCTCTAACTCATAGTATTCCCAAGACATGCAACTCACCCGTGAATCTTTGCAGTACATTTCATACTGTTGAATCATCTGCCTGCTGGCCAGACTGCCATGGTACACAATAGTGTTCATTTCTGTCCATGTATTAAATTCTCGCTCCCAGTTAGTAATTGTGGACAGTGGGGCAATGACCAAGAAGGGACCATGGATGCCCACATTATATACTTCCTGCAAGAAGGCAATGGACTGAATAGTTTTGCCCAATCCCATCTCATCAGCCAGGATGCAGTTCTGCCTGCAGATTCACCATGGGAAAAAAAAAATGTTAAAAGATACTATCTTTAAAAAAAATAGAGTATGTAGGAAGAAATTGTTTCAATAGAAAACAAATAAAAATAATCCCAGAACTAAGCTTACATCTTATGGCCCATTCTTTCCTTTACCTGTTATACCAATTAAAGAGCAGCCAATTAACCCCTTCCAACTGATATTCCCGTAGCTGGTTTCTGTTTTTATATTCATGTGATAGCTCCAATTTCTTCCAGGCACTTGCCTGCGGACGATTCTAAAAAACAAGACGTTTGAATAAATGGAGTGGAGACATTATCAAAAGGTAAGACTTACTAGGTAAGTTCTAATAGTTAAAATCAATTCAAAACAACATTGTTTGGATTAAAACATGTCAAATATATTTAAATTTATGAGTTCATAACGTTACTTTATGGGTCCATAATGATCACAAATGGCTGACAACATCACAAAACACAACCTGATGGAAGGACACACCACCATCTATGAAGCAGTTACTGGCTTCCCTCTCTCATCTGATCAAGCCTGTAGAACAGTGATGTCTAATAGAGCTTTCTACAACATTAAAAATAAAAAAACAAACAAAAAAACACGGCTAGTGGCTACTGTATTAGACAGCACAGCTCTAAAATGTTTTATTGGACAGTGTAGCTCTAAACCTAAGCATTCATGTGAAACATAAGGGACAGAGAACATGTAAAAAAGTACCAAGGGTAATCAGCAAACTTCAGCCTATGGAAAATCCTACAAAACAAATCACCTGATTTCTTCATGAGAAAATTATAACGGAGGGAGAGGAGGAGATTAAGGGGGAGCTTAAAAGAAACTTGAGACATATTAACTGATAGCAATATATGGACCTTACTGAGAACCAAATTTAAATGATTTAACAAAAATTAGAAGACAATCAGGGAAATGTATGCAATGATTGGTACCAATGACTTGATGATATTAAAGAATGATTAAATTTTTTAGGTGTAATAATGGTATTATTTCTTTTAGGCAAAAACACTGTAATATTTACAGATGAAATAAATGAATCTGGGATTTGATTTAAAATAACCTGGGAAACAGGAATTAATGGGTAGGAAAATATATGACACAAGACTGGATATGTACTGATAATTGTTACGTGGGTGATGGGTACATTATACCATTTCTTCGATTTTTATATGTTTGAAATTTCCATAATAAAAAGCTAAAACAACAAAAAATTTCATAGGGGAAAAAATTTAATCATTTCTTATGTAGGCCTTTATACTTTAATGCAAATGTACTTACCACCCTTTTGAGTTCTGGGTGCCTTGACTGAATCCGTTTAAATTCTCGAATCTTGCCCTCATCAACATCTTCTTTTAGCTCCCATGTGCTATCCTCATAGGGCAGAGAGCACCATTTCACCAGGTAGTAAATAACGGGCTAGGAGAGAAGAAACCAAAGCCTTAAGAAACTGATTCTGTGTTCTCTGCTCCAGTTAAAGAATAAAAATTTGATTGTAAAATCAGATCACAAAGTATCAGTACCTAGAAGCCGTTGAAAAAGTCAGGCCAAACACATCGACCAAAAGTTCACCTTCTGATGCACTATATGGCTTTGATCATTCTTCAAAGCAATTTATCAGAATCTGTTCTAAAAGGAAAATTTCTACCCACTAGTTTCTATCACACTAAGCACTAAAACATGCTCGTCAACTAAACAGATGAAAAAAAAAAGACTAATCTTTTCCTATACCATGTTGAAATTAAAAGATATGTTTCTGTGCCATACTATTCTCCTGGAGCCAAATTTGACACAGTGGCAGCTAGGCTACCTTTAGGATGAGGACTATCAGCTTATACTGGCTTCTGGGCCCCTAGAGCTCATTGCAGATGCACCTCAAGAGCACTTACATGGTGATAAAGAAATGTCCTTGTGAGCCCCAGGAAGCTAGGAGCTAACAAGAGGTTATCACCAAAAAGAGGTACTAAGAGTAAAGAAGGAAGAGAAAATGCTAAAAAGTTCAACTACAGTAAGTACTAGTTTATGTAGGTATTCCACTGAAAGTGAAGGGGCAGTGACCAATGGTAAATGGCTCCTATTTTCACTATTCAAGATGATCACTGCACTTACTGCATCTCCATTTTTGGCTTATGAAGTATAAAGCAAGGATTAGATTGGGCCTAGTGTAATCAACAAGAATCTCTAATTATCAATTCATAGAAAACTTAAAATAGCCAACAAAATATGTGAAAGTGCCTCAAGGTAGTCACAGATCTCGAATCTCTGGAATTGATCCAGCTGCTTGCTCTTTTACCTTTTTCTTTATCATAGTAACTCAGGTCACTCTCTATATAAAGCCATTTGTCCAGGTCACATATTTCCAGCATAATATCTATTTATTTCCACCATTAGGTAATATAAAATGGATGACAAACTTATTTTGCAGAGGTGGGGAAAATGGGTATATAGAATAGTATTAGCCAATACTGGGAGCATAAATTATAGTATTAGAGTATGAAAACATTATCATCTGTCACGTCATTTGCAAGACATTCCAAAGGGGCCTAACTAAAGGCCAATTGCTTTTAGAAGGGTAGGTATGATTAAAAGCATAAGACTGTCAAGGCTGGAAAGGCTGAGATCCTGAAAAATGATAAGAATTTAAGAGTAGCTAACAACCTGCCCTAAAACCCGGCCCATTCTCCATTCAACTCACACAAACAAACACACAATACTACCACCCCAACTTCAAAAGCAGAATACGTTATGTGAAGCATGCTTGTTAGGATTTAAAGACAATGAATTCTACCGTGTCCTGGATATCTAAGATTCTGAGGCTCTGAGTGAACCTGAAGACTTATAAAGTAGAATAAACTTCGGAATTTTATAGAGGAAAGAATTTAACTCAGAGGTCCTGTTAGAATGATGTATGGGAGGATCAAGTCACTTGAAAAAGTCATGAAAAAGCCCAGCTCACCCACTGAACATTAACATCTTAAAAAGGCTCTGCTGTTCTCTACTGGTCACTGTATAAAGTGTCAGATGTGATAGAAATTTTCTTTATGATCCTGCTAAGCTAAACCAAAAAGTGCTACTGGAAGGAAAAATATAAAGTGACAAATTCTAAGAAAATGATGGTTTATAGCCTAAAAAAAAATTAGAAGTAAATTTAAAAGAAAGCTGAATTCACTGGTGGCTAAGACCTAGATGACCATTTGAAAATGAAAAAGGTGCCAGGCGTAGGCGGCTCACGCCCGTAATCCCAGCACTTTGGGAGGCCGAGGCAGGGAGATCACTTGAGGTCAGGAGTTCGAGACTAAGCCTGGCTAACATGGTGAAACCCTGTCTGTACTAGAAATTTAAAAACTAGCCGGGCATGATGGCACACGCTTGCAGTCCCAGCTATTCAGGAGGCTGAGGCATGAGAATTACTTGAATCTGGGAGGCGGAGGTTGCAATGAGCCAAGATCACACCATTGCACCCCAACCTGGGTGACAGAGTGAAGATGGTCTCAAAAAAAAACCAAAAAAAAAGAAAAAGAAAAAAGAGAAAAATAAACTAATTAAAATACAGATTCAAATGTAGATCTGCTTTTTTGTTTGTTTGTTTTTTTTAGACGGAGTCTCACTCTGTTGCCCAGGAATGGAGTGCAATGGCATGATCTTGGCTCTCCACAACTTTTGCCTCCCGGGTTCAAGCGATTCTCCTGCCTCAGCCTCCCGAGTAGCTGGGACTATAGGCACGTGCCACCACACCTGGCTAATTTTTGTATTTTTAGTAGAGACGGGGTTTCACTATGTTGGCCAAGCTGGTCTCAAACTCCCAACCTCGTGATCTGCCCACCTCAGCCTCCCAAAGTGCTGGGATTACAGGTGTGGGCCACCGCGCCTGGCCAGCAGATCTGTTTTAATGACAAATGAAGAGACATTTAACTAATGGTGAGTTCAGGAAGTAGCCCATTCTCAAGAACATGATTTGTAGAAAGCTAGGAGCGAGCCTGTAGAAGTATTTTTATATTCACAAATTTAGGAATTTGTGAAGTATCCCTTTCCCCTTCCCAACACCCCACCTCCAACTGTATGTCAAGAGTCTCCCATTTAAAATATGAGGAAAAATGAGACCAAGATGAATGACTTTTCAGTACTTAGCCTCTACATGTCTGACTTTACAGAAATCTTTCCTTTTAGCATCTCTCCCTACACTCTTACCTCCCATTATCTTTCAAAGGATTCCACAGAAAAATTTAGAAATACCTTTTCAGTCCAAGGGATTCTGCATCCATACCCGAAAAATAAAGGATTGGCAAACCCACCAGCAGAAATCTAAGAGGATGTTCACGTTACTCCATGCCTCAACAACTCACCTCCCCATTGTCCTTGTCAATACTGTGAGACTCATCCAATATCCTATCCACCTCTACGTAGTCTGGATTAAAGGGCTCTTCATCCTAGATGAGTTAGGAAACCAAACAATAAGACCAAAAGATCACTGTCCAGTAAACCCACTCCTCTACCTCACCTTTAGCAGAGAATCCTACTTCAAAATTTTTAAAGAAATTAGAAGCTATCCGATGGGTGTTCTCCTTTTTCATAACAGCAAATCCTATGAATTTACCAGGGTCTATACCTGACTTCTCACCTGCTACCAGTGAGTGTCTCTTTCTAACAGAGGTCCTTCTCTCCATATATGCTCTGCTGTTCATTGCTTCTTGTATTCTTAGGAATCCCTCTACCGAGTCATTGCCATAAATACACGTATATGTTCCACATTTCACATTTTAAAATAAGACCTCTTTTTATTCTACAACTCCCGCAACTATTTTTCTACTCTGCTTTATACCTAAACCTTTTTTTTTTTTTTTTTGAGGTAGAGCCTTGCTCTGTCATCCAGGCTGGAGTGCAGTAGAGCGATCTTGGCTCACTGCAACCTCCACCTCCTACGTTCAAGTGATTCTCCTGCTTCAGCCTCCCGAGTAGCTGGGATTACAGGTGCCCGCCACTATGACCGGCTAATTTTTGTATTTTTAGTAGAGACGGGGTTTCACCGTGTTGGCCATGCTAGTCTCAAACTCCTAACTTCAAGTGATCTGCCTGCCTTGGCCTCCTGAAGCGCTGGGATTACAAGCATGAGCCACTGCGCCCGGCCCCATACCTAAACTTTTTCAAGGGTTTAAACACATGCTATTTCCATTCCTTCATCTCTTTCACTTGTCCATCCATTCCACTTTTTCTTCTACTTGCAACATACAACCAAAACTACTCTTATCAAGGATGAACGCCGCAAATATAACAGGCATATTTCTTCACTCATCTTGCTCCAGTGTTTAGGGGTAAACCTGGATATTGGAAATTAAAGCTCCTTTATCCCTATTTCTAATCACACTGGATTAGAAATTTGAGAAAACAAATGTTCTCTCTTAATAATAGGTCTACAGAAACCATCAATAGCTAAAGAAAGACAAAGAATGCCTCAAGTGGACCAGCAGTCAGTGTATCATCAGTTTTGAAAATACTTCATGTGCATTGAGGAAATCAGTTTCAAAATATCCTATAACTAATAAATGAACCATATTTAAACCTAACAAAACAATGCAAGGGCAGTTAAGTAAGGGAAGTCAATGACCAAAATTGAAAGTTTACACCCATATATAGAAACCAATTACAAGTATTTTGAAGAATCAGCCAAGGCTGACAACCCCAGTAATTTGTGCTTCTGTGAAAGAAATGACAGGCAATACCTATTCCTAATTACCTCATGGAAGAAGTGTCTCATCTGAGCCATTTTGGTTTTGAAGCGCTTTAATTTTTGATGTATCCTCTTATCCTTCTCTAGTTGGGAGATAGTAGCCCATTCACAATGCAGATAGGAGCTAAGGGGGATGGAAAAATCCAGTCATGGTGCAAGTAAAAGAAGGTGGCAGGCTACTGTCTGAAATTTTGGGATTAGTCAGAAGCAGACATAACAAATACAGGCTTAAATTGGGAGACAGTCTCTTAGGTCAGTGCTTCTGAAACTCTAATTTGTATACAAACCACCTGGTATGGGATGTGCTTGAAAGCCCACATTTTTAAAAAGCACCCAAGTAATGCTAATTCTGCTGATCCATGGGCCATATTTTGAGTAGCAAGATCTTAGTGCTAAACTAAGGTAAAGAGAATCACATGACATTTTATCAGGAACCACCCTCACCCCACTTACCTACAAGGAAATAATAAGAGTCATGTCAATTCCTGAATTTCTCTCTGAATAGCCATTTTTCCCCATTAAAAACAGCAACCTGGGCTACAAGACTATAAAAAAGGGACACATTCCCACCCAGGATACCCAGGAGAACTTTTTACCACCCTGTGGAATTTGGGGTGACAAGCTTTTTGCACAGATCACGTACTAGTTCTTGTACTTGACAAAGAATTCTTCTGCTTCAGTATATTGTCCAGAAGGGAGCTAAGAAAAAAGAAATAAATTAGTCACTAGTCCCTTATTTGTAAAAGAATGAACTTTTTAATTTTAACCACACATTGCAGAACTTCATACCAATAATCTCTGAATATATTAATAACTCAGAGATTAAGGAACTAGTCTGGTACTTCAATAATAGAGGCCTGATAGCTGGAAAAAGTAAGCCTTTATCCACTCTAAACAGGTAAGTAAAAGAAGCACCAGTAAAGCAGTTCCTGTTTTCTAGCTAACTTTCCTCCATCATCTCTCACAACTACACCTTAGCAATATATCTGACATCCAAAGGTGCTCATTAAATAAAGCCTGTGAACATAGCATTACGGGTTAATATTAAGATAGAGAAAAGCCAGGCGCAGTGGTGCACAATGGTAGTCCCAGATACTCAGGAGGCTGAGGCAGAAGAATAGCTCAAGCCCAGAAGTTCATAGTGTGCTACGATCATATCTATGAATAGCCACTGCACTTTAGCCTGGGTAACACAGTTAGACTCTATTTCAAAAATAAATAAATAAATAAATAAATAAATAAATAAATAAAAATAATAATAATAATAAAAAGCCCTCACCTCCTTCTTCACAATCCGCATAGAAAGCACTTTGTCTACAATGGCTGCATCTTCTTCACTGGGATTCTCCTGCAGCAAAAGATGCAGTCAGTCAACAGATGATTGTGACCAGCAAGGCAATCCTCTGAAATCATTTGAGTTTACAGCTTACCACAAAGAACTGCATGGAAGGCAAAGTCTCGCCATCTGGTTCTTGCACTGGTTCAGGGAGGATAGGCTCAGGTTTTATTGGACCAGTTACATCCACCTCTTCTTCTTCTTCATCATCTGTGATCTTTATATCCAGGTCCTCTGTATATTTTTTTCGCTTAACTTGGCGGTTTGAGCGTCTCTTCTGTAGAGCAAAAAGTAGTTAGAGTGACTAGTTAGGTCTCTCACAGAGAAGACTTTTAAAATTATTTGCTCATGGTCATATACTTAGATTCTACTCCAAAATTTTCATGAAAAATCAGACCAAAAGATGATAAGGAGATTATCTGTCAAACAATGTGATTATGCTATGTACTGACCATATATCAATTTGCTTAACTGCTTTATGAAAGGCCAAGAATCCACTGAGAAAAACCTGTCCACTAGTGGCAAGAAGCTCTGGGAAATCAAAACTGGATTCTCAGGCTGCAGGGTGCAATATAATTCACACTAGAAGCAACCCGTTAGTGCAAAAATGCAAGAAGATTTTGTTTCCATTTTTTGCTTTTTTGTCTTAGTTCTGAAGTTTTTTTTGTTTTAATAAACAGAATCTACTGTATGTACTATTCTGCCACTTACTTTTTTATTTAATGATATTTCCTGGAAATGTTTTCCATATATATTTTTTATTTACCTTATTCTTTCAAGTGGCTGAATTAAACATTTTCTAATTAAGTAATTTAAGCAACACTTCCAGCTCATGATAAAAAACTGGGAAGGAGGCTTGGTACAGTGGCTTATGCCTGTAATACCAGCACTGTGGGAGGCCGAGGCAGGCGGATCACCTGAGGTCGGGAGTTTGAGACCAGCCTGGCCAACATGGTGAAACCCCGTCTCTGCTAAAAATACAAAAATTAGCCAGGCCTTATTTTTCAATTATGATTATCTCTCTGGAAAACCTCAAAGGATCAAATGAAAGAACTACTGAAACTAGTAAACTTGAATGGTATAAAACTAATTTTTAAAAAATCAATAGCATTTCTACATATAATCAGCCAGAAAATATAATAAAAGATCCCATTTATGAAAACACAAAGATTAATTATCTACAAAACTAAATTGGCTGGGAGTGGTGGCTCACACCTGTAATCCTAGCACTTTGGGAGACCGAGGCAGGTGGATCACCTGAGGTCAAGAGTTTGAGACCAGCCTGGTCAACATGGTGAAGCTCTGCTAAAAATACAAAAATTAGCCGGGCCTGGTGGCGGATGCCTTTAGTCCCAGCTACTCAGGAGGCTGAGGCAGGAGAATGGCTTGAACCCGGGGGGTGGAGGTTGCAGTGAGCAAACTTCATTAGTATAAAATTAATTTTATACCAATACAAATATAATTTTATATTTAAAAATGTTATATTTTTGTTTCACCCAACAGACTGGCAAAAATCAGCAAGTTTGATCAAAATATTTTTAAGTAAGAATTCATACATTTTTGGTGAGAGTACATATAGGCACGACTTCCATGAAGAAAAATTTGGCAACACCCTTTGAACCTATCAATTCCACTTCAAAGATACTATCCTATAAATTTGCATATGTGCACAAATCTCTGGAGCATTACTTGTGGGAGTAGGAGACCAGAAAAAACCTAAAGGCCCATCAACAGGGGATTGGTTCAATAAATTATGCTATAGCCTTAAAACTGAATACTACAGAACTACTAAAAAAGAGTGCAGGCTGGGTGCAGTGGCTCACACCTGTAATCGTAGCACTTTGGGAGACTGAGGTGGCAGGATCACTCAAGCCCAGGTGTTCAAGACCAGCCTGGGCAACACAGTGAGACCCTGTCTCTATTTTATACAAAATATAAAAATAGCCGGGCACGGTGGCTCACGCCTGTAATCCCAGCACTTTGGGAGGCCGAGGCAGGCGCATCATGAGGTCAGGAGATTGAGACCATCCTGGCTAACACGGTGAAACCCTGTCTCTACTAAAAATACAAAAAATTAGCCAGGTGTGGTGGCGGGCGCCTGTAGTCCCCGCTACTCGGGAGGCTGAGGCAGGAGAATGGCGTGAACCTGGGAGGTGGAGCTTGCAGTGAGCCGAGATCGCGCCACTGCACTCCAGCCTGGGAGACACAGTGAGACTCTCTCAAAAAAAAAAAAAAATATATATATATATATAATATATATATATATACACACACACACACATATACACATTAAAAAGAATGGGGTAGATTTATAATACCAAATGTTGAAGATGTGTATCAACCAGAACTCTACTGGTGAAGTATAAAATAACATAATCACTTTAGAAAACTTAACAGATTCCTACAAAGTCACGTTTGTATATTCATAAAGTCAAATATTACTGAAGAAAAAAATAAACTACTCATTTATTTAGCATAGATGAACTATCAAAAACATTATGCCTTTCTCATTGATGTGTGGGCAGAAGAAAAAGAACAACAAAAAATTATGCTGAAAGAAGTGAGACCCAAAAGTACATACTGTATGATACTACTTAAAGTTCAAAGCCGGGCACGGTGGATCACGCCTGTAATCCCAGCACTTTGGAAGGCCAAGGCGGGCAGATCATTTGAGGTCAGGAGTTCAAGACCAGCCTGTCCAACATGGTGAAACACTGTCTCTACTAAAAATACAAAAAAATGAGATGGGCATGGTGGCGTGCACCTGTAATCCTAGCTACTAGGGAGGCTGAGGCATGAGGATCACTTGAATGCAGGAGGCGGAGGTTGCAGTGAGCCAAGATCACGCCACTGCACTCTAGCCTGGGTGAGAGTGAGACCCTGTCTCAAAAAATAAATAAAATAGCCAGGCGCGGTGGCCCACGCCTGTAATCCCAGCACTTTGGGAGGCCAAGGTGGGCATATCATGAGGTCAGGAGATCGAGACCATCCTGGCTAACACGGTGAAACCCCGTCTCCACTAAAAATATAAAAAAATTAGCTGGGCGTGGTGGCAGGCGCCTGCAGTACCAGCTACTCAGAAGGCTGAGGCAAGAGAATGGCATGAACCCAGGAGGCGGAGCTTGCAGGGAGCGGAGATCGCGCCACTGCACTCCAGTCCAGCCTGGGCGACACAGGGAGACTCCGTCTCAAAAAATAAATAAATAAATAAAGTTCAAAAATAGGCTAAGTTAATCTAAGGTAAGAGAGAGCAGAACAGCAGTTAGCTGCCTATGCCCTGGAGTGAGGAACTGGACTGACTACAAGGGAGTACAGGGGAACTTACTGGGGTGATGGAAACATTTTCTTCACTTGGTGAAGTAACTTCGATACATTTGTCAAAACTATACAAACAAAATTTGTGCATATTTTATGATATGTATATTCTACGTCATTTTAAAAAGTCTGGGAGGATATATAAACTAAATTATTTCTAGAGAATAACAATTTCTAGAAGATACTTTCTACTTTTTACTTAATATATTTCTGGATGACTTGATTTTTATCACATCCATCATATAGTATTCTTAAAATGACCTTTTTAAAAAAAAAATTTAGGAAACACTTTAAACAAGTACTTAGATTTGGTTTAAAATAATCCAGGGTGGGCCGGGAGCGGTGGCTCATGTCTGTAATCCTAGCGCTTCGGGAGGCCGAGGCGGGCAGACTGCCTGAGCTCAGGAGTTCAAGACCAGCCTGAGCAACATGGTGAAACCCCGTCTCTACTAAAAATATAAAAAATCACCTGGGTGTGGCAGCATGTGCCTGCAGTCTCAGCTACTCCGGAGGCTGAGGCAGAAGAATTGCTTGAACCCGGGAGGCAGAGGTTGCAGTGAGCTGATATCGTGCCACTGCACTCCAGCCTGGGCAAGACAGTGAGACTCTGTCTCCAAAATATAAAAATAAAAGAAAACAAAAAAAATAATCCTGGGTGCCGTACACTGGAGACCATGTCTAGGGACAGCAACTGCAGCCAGACCCTGAGCTGGGCCATCCCTGCCACTCACTGGGTGGTGCTGGGCAAAGGCATGCAGCTACAGGACAACCCCCCAGGGGCACAGTCTTCAGCACCACCCTGGGAGGTACCAGGATCATCTACGACTAGAAATTCCTGGAGTGTCGGAACTCACCCATGACCAAAACATCCCCGAGGGATCTGCCCACCATTCCTGGGGTCACCAGCCCTGCCAGTGATGAGCCCCCAAAAGAAGCCAGCCAGGGCCACCTGTGCAATGGCCCAGAAGGTAAGTAGTCGGGCCGTGAGGAATCACAATTTGAGATGGACATTTAAAGGACCAGCCATCAGATTGCGCATTGCCTATGGGCTCCTCCAGGCCTTTCTGGGAGGAATCACACCAGCTAGGCCTTATGAAAGTTATCACACTGGGCAGGTGTGGGACATGGGGTCGGCCACCCCAGCTTTCTCTCCTTCACTCAGGGCACCTGCCCTCTCCTCTTTGTGAAAACTAGCAGATTATCTCCTAGTGCCCTAGTGCCTCTGCTGATGTGGTAGCTGCTGCCCCAAAGGGTGTGACCCCTGCCAGCACACCCTTCAGCAGAGTGCCAGGAAGTGGACAAGAATGAGCCCTTCCTTCCAAATAATCCAATGATCGGCTCTTCTAGCCCTGTGCTCTGTGGGCGCAGCCACCCCTTCTTTAGGTTGATGTGCCTGGGAAAGCTCCCCTCCCCCTCCTTCCACAAGAGAGGAAATAAAAGCCACTTTCACCACAGGGCCAAAGGCGGGCAGGACTAGAGTGGAAGTAAGGACAGTGGGAAGTGAGCCATCTGTTGATAAATATTAAAGTGGGAGAATGGGAACATGGGACTTCATTAAAAATCTACTTTTGTGTATGTCTGAAAATTTTCCTAATAAAAAAGAAAGTAGAGGAGGAGAATGGGTATATCTATCTTTTCCACTAAAGAACAACCTCCAAGACGTATCATTAGGGAAAACACACAGTAGAGAAGAGTAGGTATGGAATATTAATATTTAGTGGAAGTAGAAGTAGAGTGTTCATGAAAGTAAGAAATATTTCTAGAAGGGTATACAAGAAATTGGTAACAGAGGCTACCTGTTGTAATTTTTCTCATACACATTTTTTTTTTTTTTGAAACGGAGTTTCGCTCTTGTTGCCCAGGCTGGAGTGCAATGGCATGATCTCAGCTTACTGCAACCTCTGCCTCCCAGGTTCAAGTGATCCTCCTGCCTCAGCCTCCAGAGTAGCTGGGATTACAAGCGTGCACCACCATGCCCAGCTAATTTTGTATTTTTAGTAGAGATAGGGTTTCTCCACGTTGGTCAGGCTGGACTCGAACTCCCGACCTCAGGTGATCCACCTGCCTCGGCCTCCCAAGTGCTGGGATTACCGGCATGAGCCACCGCACCTGGCCTCATATATGTATTTTTAAACTGAAAAATCAAATGGCAAATGGTCCAGTTAAAAAATTTCACACAGGGCCAAAGGACAAAAAATTAAAGCACAATAATCATGACCCACTTACCATTCAACCCTTCTCTTCAAAGATACATATTCTTATCCATTTCTTGTATATCCTTCCAGAAAAAAATGGATGCATATACATATATATACACACACAGACACACATACATACTTTAAACATTAAAGAGATACTACATACACCTTTTTTCATTAATAAGTCTTCCTTATTAGCACATTCCAACCTACTTCATTGTTTTTAACTGCCATCTAGTATTCTACTGCCATCTAGTATTCTACTGCATGAATATTGCCAATTTTACTTAACTATTTCTCCACCAATGGACATCTAATTTTTAGACATTTTTGCTATTGCAATATTGCTACAATACATATATCACTGCATTCTTTTGAGAACATATTCATAAGGTAATTTCCTAGGTGCAGAATCATTGAGTGAAATGAAATTAACATTCTAAATTTTTCTATATATTGAAACACCGACTTGCCAAAAAGATTGTCCCAATTAACATTCCCATCAACTGTGTCTAAGTGTCTGTTCCTTAACTTCATTGCCAATATTGTCATTCTCACTTGTCATAGACTGAATTGCATCCCCCCACCAAATCCATATGTTGAAGCCCCTAACCCCCAGTACCTCAGAATGTGAGTGTATTAGGAAATTGGGAATAGGGCTTCCAACGGTCATTAAGTTAAAATAAAGCCACCAGTGTGAGCCCTAATCCAATCTGACTAATGTTCTTACAGAAGGAAGAAATTTGGACACACAAAAAGACACCAGGGATGTGTACCAATAGAGGAAAGACCACGTGAAGACACAATGAGAAGGTGGCCTTCTGCAAGCCAAGAAAACCTTCAGGAGAAAACAAACTTGCAGACCATTTGATCTTGGATTTCTAGCCTCCAGAACTATAAGGAAATAAATGTCCAGGCCAAGTGCAGTTACTCACACCTGTAATTCCAGCACATTGGGAGGACAAGGCAGGTGAATCACCTGAGGTCAAAAGATTGAGACCAGCCTGGCCAACATGGTGAAACTCCATCTCTACTAAAAATACAAAAATTAGCTGGGCATGGTGGCACACACCTATGATCCCAGCTACTCGGGAGGCTGAGGCAGGAGAATCACTTGAACCCGGGAGGTGGAGGTTATAGTGAGCCGAGATTGTGCTACTGCACTCCAGCCTGGAGACCCTGTCTCAAAAAAAAGAAAAAAGGAAAAGACAAGAAATGTCCATAGTTTAAGCCACCTAGTCTGTGGTATTTTGTTATGGTGGTCCTAGCAAACTAACAGACCACTTTCTAAATTTTAGTAATCTCTGTGTATTTTGTATTATTAAAAATTTCCTTCATTTTTTTTGTTTAACAAATACTTTATTACTTTATTTGCACAACCCTCTAAGCCTTATTTAACCTTTACTTAAAAAACAAGTTGTTTTAACAAATCACGTTCATTTTGTGTTGCTATAACAGAATACCCGGGACTGGGTAATTTATTTTAATAAAAAAAGAAATGTAGCCAAGTGCAGTGGCTCCTGCCTGTAATCCCAGAACTTTGGGAGGCTGAGGCGGGTGGATCGCTTGAGGTCAGGAGTTGAACGCCAGCCTGACCAACACGGCGAAACCCTGTCTCTATTAAAACATACAAAAATTAGCTGGGCATGGTGGCGCACACCTATAATCCCAGCTACTCAGGAGGCTGAGGTAGGAAAATTGCTCGAACCTGGGAGGCAGAGGTTGCAGTTAGCCAAGATCGTGCCACCGCACCCCAGCCTGGGAAACAGAGCAAGACTCTGTCTCAGAAAAAAAGAAGGCCAGGCACGTGGCTCACGCCTCTAATGCCAGCATTTTGGGAGGCCGAGGCAGGCAGATCACCTGAGGTCAGGAGTTTGAGATCAGCCAGGCCAACATGGCGAAACCCTGTCTACTAAAAATATAAAAATTAGCTGGGCGTGGTGGCGCCACCTGTAATCACAGCTACTTGGGAGGCTGAGGCAGGAGAATCACTTGAACCGAGAGGCAGAGGTTGCAGTGAGCCAAGATTGCGCCATTGCACTCCAGCTTGGGCAACAGAGCAGACTCTATCTCAAAAAATAAAAAAAAGAAAGAAAAATAAATTTATTTCTCACAGTTCTAAAGGCTGGTAAGTCCAATATCAAGGTGCCCATATTTGGCGAGGACCTTCTTGCCACATCATCCCATAGCAGGAAGGTGACAGGTGAGAGCACAAGTGAGAGAAAGCAAGAGAGGTCCCAACTTGATTTTATAACAAACCTACTCTCTCAATGACATTAATCCATTCATGAGGGTAACGCCTTCATGACCTAATCACCTCTTAAGGGTCCCCCCTCTCAACACAGTTGCATGGGGGATTTAGCTTCCTATCCATGAACTTTTTTTTTTGGCGGGGGGAGTCAGGGGGTGCAGTAACAGTCTCTCATTCTGTTGCCCAGGCTGGAGTGCAGTAGCATGATCACAGCTCACTGCAGCCTCAACTTCCTGGGCTCAAGAGATCCTCCTGCCTCAGCCTCCCAAAGTGCAGTGATTACAGGTATGAGCCACCATGCCTGGCTAACCCATGAACTTGGGGGACACATTCATCCACAGCATATGTATGTAAGTCTTAATATGTGTTCTTACTATGAGCCAAACACTGTTATATGTGCTTTATAAATGTGTACATTTAATCCTTGAAGCAACCCTATTTGGTAAGTACTATTACCCACATTTCAAAGGTGAGGAAATTAAGGTACCAAGAGGCTAAGAAACTCGCTCAGAGTGACAAAGCTATTAAATGGTAGAGTCAAGAAAAGAACCCAAGAAATCTGGCTCCAGAGTCTGTGCTCTCAACCACTATGCTGTTCATGGAATTTTTTTGTTGTAATACCATACATAATTTTTATATTATCAAGTGTACCAATATTTTCCTTCATGACTTCTGAATTTTAATACCGTCTTTACAAAGATTACTCCACCGGACAGTTACTTTAAAATGTATTCATGTCTTATAGACAGTTCATAAATTTCATCTTTTATATTTACACCTTCAATTCGGTTGGGATTTATTTTTAAGATGGCAAAAAAATCCAGCTTTTCCTAAATGGTTAGCCAGCTGTCCCAATTTATTGAATAATCTTTTTCCCTGTTGATTTTAAATGGTGTTTTAATCATATATAGTAAATTTCCACAAGTATTTGAGTTGATTTCTAAGCTCTACTGTGTTTTATTAATCTGTTTTTTCTTCTCCAATTTCAAAGTCTTAGTAATCATTATTTCATAATATATTCTAAAATTTTTTTTTGGCCTCATTTTCCTTTTTAAAACTTTCTCGACTATTCTTTTGTTTTGTTTTGTTTTTTTGAGGTGGAGTTTCACTCTGTCACCCAGGCTGGAGTGCAGTGGCGCAATCTTGGCTCACTGCAAGCTCTGCTTCTAGGGTTCATGCCATTCTCCTGCCTCAGCCTCCCAAGTAGCTGGGACTACAGGCGCCCACCACCACGCCCGGCTAATTTTTTTGTATTTTTGGTAGAGACGGGGTTTCACCGTGTTAGCCAGGATGGTCTCAATCTCCTGACCTCGTGATATGCCCGCCTCGGCCTCCCAAAGTGCTGGGATTACAGGCGGGAGCTACCGCGCCTGGCCCAGCTATTCTTACACAGTAATTTCCCCTAGAAAAACCCAAGTATCAGTTTGTCAATGTACCGAATGTATATTATGAAAGAGGGGAGGCACTTATAAATATTAATAGAGAAACACTTAAGGTTCATTTAGTCCAAATCTCCATTTACAGATGAGAAACTGAGACTCAAGTAAGTTAAGTTGGCCAGGCCACAGAGCTACTTAGAAGCACTATGGGTCTCCTTAATCAGATTTTTTCTATGGTTGGAAACTAGAGCCAAAGATGGTACCATAAGGCAACAAATCAGAGATGGAAGCCTACGCTTCTGGTCTGGCTTCTTTTGGTCTCTTCCAACGTCCCTCATCTTCAAAACGTAGCAAGAAACTTTGTGCCTAACTACCCTAGTTCACAGAGTCAGAATCCTGAAGTGTAGAAAAGGTAAGGCAAAAGGGATTCTTGGAGAGTTCTAAGAGAGAGTCAAGTTCTGGCCCAACCAGAAGGGCAATCAAGCAGCATGATTTCATATGATTTGCTTTGTATTTGAAACACTGGAATTTGAGGAAACGAGTATTGCTATTTTTTTTTTTTTTTTTTTGAGACAGAGACTCGCTCTGTTGCCCAGGCTGGAGTGCAATGGTACAATCTCGGCTCACTGCAACCTCCACCTCCAGGGTTCAAGTGATTCTCCTGCCTTAGCCTCCCAAGTAGCTGGGATTACGGGTGCCTGCTACCACACCTGGCTAATTTTTGTATTTTTAGTAGAGATGGGGTTTCACCACGTTGACCGGACTGGTCTCCAACTCCTGACCTCAGGTGATCCACCCACCTCAGCCTCCCAAAGTGCTGGGATTACAGGTGTGAGCCACCACGCCTGGCCAAGTATCACTATTTTTATAGTAATATGCTCTTTGCCTAAAAAAAAAAATTTAAAGACACTGACCAGTGGGAGGCCAAGGCAGGCAGATCACTTGAGGTCAGGAGTTCAAGACCAGCTTGGCTAACGTGGTGAAACCTGGTCTTTACTAAAATAATACAAAAATTAGCTGGGCGTGGTGGTGCATGCCTATAATCCCAGTTACTCGGGAGGCTAAGGCAGGATAATCGTTTGAAACCGGGAGGCAGAGGGTGCAGTAAGCTGAGATCATGCCACTGCACTTCAGGCCTGGGTGAGAGAGCAAGACTCTGTCTCAAGAAGAAGAAAACAACAACAACAACAGAAAAAAGACACTGGCCAGGTCCATCCACCTTATTTAGGCCTACGCCCAGTTTAGAAAAGCCAAAGAAATGTGTATAGACTTACGATTTCTCAATATCTGCTTGGCTTGGTTAGCCATAATTAAACATGGTTTTTTCTACTAAATTCTTTTGGGATCCTTTTACCTGAATGCTGCTTTCTTCATCTTCTCGAGGTGACTGTGCAGGCATGACTTCCACATCTGAATTATCAGATGAGGTATTACGTTTTCTCTTCTTACCCACTACAGGAGTGATGGTGCTAAAAAGGAAAAACCAAATTCATTTTCAGTGAAAGCAAAGAAAATTTAGGAGTAAAAAAACATAATTAATCTAAACCATCACATACAAAACTTCCAGACAGAAGTTTTTAGATCTTCAGTCAATAGGACACACAGCTACTAAATATGGTGTTTGAAAAAAAGAAGATATTAGGGTTTGTAAACCACTGACTGACCCTTATACCATATTTGACAAATCCTTGTTATTACTGTGTTCACAAATACCTGAAGGAAGGTAGCACAAGATAGGAGAATAAATACCAGATTAAGAATTAGAACACTTATTGCAGTTCCACTTCTGTCACTACAAGAGCATTAGTTTCATTATTTGTAAACATTAGAGAGATAATACCTGTCCTGACAGTTACTGAGGCTCAAATAAGAAACATAAAACTGTCTTTTAAAAGCTGAAAAATCCGGTACAAATACAAAGCATTATTATAATTACACCACAAAGCCTTAAGAATCCCAGGGAGTAAAAGCTAGTAAGAAAGGAGAAGATACAGGACATGGAAGGGAAAGAGAGGACACTCAATTATGACAAGAATTATGTGGCAAGCCATCACTTTTCTGTCAACACTGCTTAAAGCTAATGGTAGATGCTGAAATCTCCAATTCACAGAAGAGATGCAAGAACAGGACAGCTATGTCTCCAGTAGTTCTCTTTTTACTGATGTGGGTGGTAGGAGGTAGTGAGAAATCTCTTTCACACTACAGTAATACAAAATCAGGACAAATATATGAATGCAGAGTCACAGCTTTTAAAGGTAACTCCCAGCACAGTAACTATCTTTCCTGTGCCTTCGTGTTTTCCTCTTAAAATATGCTAATTTCAGTTTTCCATTTAACAAATCCTATAAGCATTAGGACAGAAAAAAGAAAGGCCTTATTATTTTCTATAATAGATCACCTTGAACTATGTAGCTGGTAAATACACATAAGTTCCTCAATGCTTCTTAGAAATGAGTGCTCTGCCCTCAAATGTCCCATCACAATAGCAAGGAGTACTCAATCTTGAGCTTGCTCTTGCCCGTCCCATCCCAATAGCAAGGAGCACTCACTTGAGCTTGCTCTTGCCCGTCCCATCCCAGTAGCAAGGAGCACTCACTTGAGCTTACTCTTGCACGTCCCATCACAATAGCAAGGAGCACTCACTTGAGCTTGCTCTTGCACGTCCCATCACAATAGCAAGGAGCACTCACTTGAGCTTACTCTTGCACGTCCCATCACAATAGCAAGGAGCACTCGAGCTTACTCTTGCACGTCCCATCACAATAGCAAGGAGCACTCACTTGAGCTTACTCTTGCACGTCCCATCACAGTAGCAAGGAGCACTCACTTGAGCTTGCTCTTGCCCTTTGTTTTGGAGGTACCAGATGTTTGCTCTGCCCTCAAATGTCCCATCCCAATAGCAAGGAGTACTCACTTGAGCTTACTCTTGCACGTCCCATCACAGTAGTAAGGAGCACTCACTTGAGCTTGCTCTTGCCCTTTGTTTTGGAGGTACCAGATGTTTGCTCTGCCCTCAAATGTACCATCCCAATAGCAAGGAGTACTCACTTGAGCTTACTCTTGCACGTCCCATCACAGTAGCAAGGAGTACTCACTTGAGCTTGCTCTTGCCCTTTGTTTTGGAGGCACCAGATGTTTTACTCTTCTTTGGCTTCTCCTCTTTCAGCCTCTCCCCAGCACTCTTCTTCCTGCGTTTCTTCTCGCCTTCCTCCTCTGGCCGAACGCTGGGCAACTCGTCCTCATTTAAGACTCGAGGTATGTTCTGCTCACCGCGGGCACGGGCTCTCGCAATGGCCTCTGCTACAATCCGATTTGCTTTCTCTTGCTTCTTCTGGTGTTCCAATCTGCGGTTTTCCTCCATTCCTGTCTTTCCCCCCGAATGAGGAGCAGAGCTTGCTGGTGATGACAAAGCTGCCACTTCACTGGCACTCAGAACTTTAACTACAGAGAGCCCAGAAGAGGCCCCTTGGGAAGAGCCAGCCTATAGAAACAAAGATACTACAATTTCAACTTGCTTGTAGTTAAATGGCCTAAATAAAATCCAGCTCTGAAGCAGGGGGGCTAGAAACTAGTTCTTTAATCCCTCAAGAATCAAGCTCAGACTAAATCTTATTGAACCTACACCTACTTTTTAAAATGTATTCTTTTGGTGGGAAAGGGGTGAGAAAAACCAAGAATTCTGCCAAAATAAACTTTAGTATCTTTTTGCTATGCTTCCATTAATATACATCTCCATTACCTCAGAAAAATTACAACTAATATACCCAATATTGGTCTCTGGCCTAACGGTAAAAAAATTCAAATTCTACTCTTGGCCTACCTTTTATCTGCCTGGGCGGGGAGAGGGGAGGACTGATCACTTATTTCTTCAAGTCATTTCTGAACTATCATTTAAAGGATATCACAAATCATTTTTATTTCACAATAATATTAGGAAAAGATTATAAATAAAACAATTCAAAGATAAATACTAAATAATCTCATATCCCAAACCCAACAATCCCTCTCTAATCTTTTAATAATATAATTAAAATAAGGTTTCCATGAATGAAAGAATTAAGTCTGCACCTCAGTTCAGAGATATAAATCTAGAATGGCCCCACATTCAAGAATAAGTGGTTGCTGAGGGCAACAGCAATGGACTAAGTATTTTTGTTTTCTTTCTTTTCCTTACTATGTAAGTCTCTCACCTGTGGCTGCAGTACCACCTTGACTGGTACTGAAAGTCTTTGTCCTGGGCTTTGTCCTGGTCCCATTATCTGAGCCTGCTGTACAGAGGACAGAGTCACTGGCTGGGTGGAGGGTGGCTGCTGGGGCTGTGGCTGCGATGATGGTGGTTGTGGTACAATCTGGATTTTTTGCTGTGGCTGCTGCACCTGCAGCTGGATAGTTACTACCTTGGCAGGCTGCCCTTGGGCATTCTTGGCTTGAGTCAGGGCTGCCAGCTGGTTGCCCTGTAACACTATCTTGCCTGGTAGACTCCCTAGCACAACATGCCGATGTCCTTGGGGACCTCCAGACTGTGGCTGCTGGAGGACCAGGGTGATGCGTTTCGATTCACCCTAAAGTGAAGAAAGGAAATTGCAAGAGTACAACATTAAAGAATGGTATACTCTGAAATATTTACACCAGTTTTCTTCATGCTAGAATCATAAAAACTACAGGTCAGAAGACACAGTACAACTCACTTTGTTCATCATCCTATCTGTCTTGATGCAATCTTTTTTGTTATTTTTAGACAGGGTCTCGCTGTATTGCCCAGGCTAGAGTGCAGTGGCTATTCACAGGCACAACACTACTGCTGATCAGCAAGGGAGTGCTGCCCTGCTCCGTTTCCAACCTGGGCCAATTCATCCCTCCTTAGGCAACCTGGTGGTCCCTTGCTCCTGGGAGGTCACCATATTGATGTCAAACTTAGTGCAGACACCTGATTGGCATAGCACACCACAGCCCAGAACTCCTAGGCTCAAGTGATCCTCCCGCTTCAGCCTCCTGAGTAGCTGGTACTATAGGTGCATGCCACCATGCCCAGCTAATTTTTATTTTGCTTTTTTGTAGAGATGAGGTCTATGTTTCCCAGGCTGGTCTCGAACTCCTGGCCTCAAGCGATCCTCTGGCCTCAGCCTCCCAAAGTGCTGGGACTATCAGCTGTCCTGATAGAATCTTTTCTATAATGCTTCTGCTCAGTAGGTATCAAGCTATGTTTTAAAAACTCCTGATGGAAGGCTATCTTCTAATGCAGCAGTTCATTTTTGGAAACCTAATAATACAAAATTCCTTATATTGAATTGAAATCTGCCTCCTTGTAGCTTCTTCCCACTAGTCCTACTTTTTTTAGAGACAAGGGTCTCACTATGTTGCCCAGGCTGGTCTTGAACTTCTGGCCTCAAGCAATCCTCCTGCCTCAGCCTCCTGAGTAGCTGGGATCACAGGTGAGAGACATTGTGCCTGGCTAGTCCTAATTATCTCAATGCTGCGCCCCCACCCCCACCAACTCTTTTGGCCCTTTATTCAGATGCTAGAGCCTCTACCTTCTTACGCTAGAAACTAACACTTTCACTGAGCAAAGTAGGAGGGGGACAATCTTAGTAATAAGAATAAAAGAAAGATATAAATAGCTTTTACAAGTCTTGCAAATATAAAGATAATTCTTCAAAGATGTTTCTTTGTTCCCATAGCATCCCATACTTCTCATAAAACTTTGTATCACACAATTATTGTGAACTCTTGCTTAATATCTGTCTTTCCTGGCAGACGGTGAGCTCTGTAAGGACAGGGACTGTGTTTGCCTTATTTAGCACCAGCTAGGTACAATGTAAATGTGTAGTAAGAGCTCAAAAAATATGTTAACATTAACTGCTTCCAACCAGCAAGTACTAAGTATGTGGCTGTCACACTAACTGATAAAAACCAAAGATGGAATTTAAATAGGCTTTCCCAGAGAAAGCTCTCATGTGCTCACTCTCTCAAAGAGTTGCTGGGCCCTCTATGAAACCAAAATTCACCTCCCCCTTTCACTCAAGTCACCTGGGTAGGTGTAGAGGTCAGTGTAACTGCAGGCTTCAGTGGGGGCCCTGTGGCCCCAGGGTTTCCAGCAGGAGCTGAACCCTTAACTGGCTGGAGGACCAGCTGCTTTACTGGTCGGCTGGGCTGGACAATGCGCTGAACAGCAGCCTGGTTCCCAGGGACCTTGGCGGCCAACACTGTATTACCAGAGACAATGGAAACACCTGGTCGAAGGGGTGTGCCGGTTAGCACTTTGGTAAAAGTGACTTTTCCACCATTGGCTGTGCCTGCCACCAGGGGCTGAGCTGTGCTGGTGATACCTTGGGCCTGAATTTGTGCCACATGGGCACCAGTGACTGAGGAGCTTGGTGGGGCCTTAAGGATAACAATCTTAGGGGCTGACTGAGGTGGCTGCCCTCCAGCACTACTGGAGGAGACAGCTGTGGCAGAGACACCCATGAAAGGATTCCCTTGGCTCAGGATCTCCTGGCTCTTGGAGACTTGCAAAAGTCCTGATGTTGGCGTCGATGTCTGTAAGACAGGTTGGGCTGGCTGCTCCTGGCTGGCAGGCTGAGTGGTATAATCATGCAAGGTTATGGATTCTGGAGCTGGAGCTGTGGATTCTTTGGAAAGTTCTGTGGGAGCTGTTTCCTCTGGTGGAGGGACCAGTTCACTTGCTGATGAATTCCCCACATCACCACCTCCACCATCCTGGTTCATCTGATCCAAGGAGTCCAGAGAGCTTGGCAGTCCAAGGGCTTCCTCAATGGGGTCTTGTGTGACCTGGTTAAAGCTGTCATCAGTCAGAGAGTCCAGGCCAAATAAATTTGGGTCATCGAACAGATCCATGATGGGGTCTGCCATCTTGGGAAAGTAATGGAGGGTACTTCTCCAAGGTCTAGGGAGGGAAGGGGAGGGGGGGTACTGGCTCTCCCCTCCCCTCCCCTATTAAGAAAAAAATGTACACAATGTAAGAGGACTACTCTTCAAGTATAGAGGCAAGAAACAAGTGCATGTCAGATTGTCCTGACCTTCATGGAGCAAGATGGCTACGTCTTCAGAGGAAGATGGTGGAACTCCTGTTGTAGGAATACAAATACAAATGAAAAATAGGCAAAGTTGGCGATCTCAGAGAAAATTTTCCCTTCTTACGTACTGTTCTTAATATCAAATAGCATGAATATAAGAGGGAAATGTGAGGAAATCTGAGGACGGACATACAGCAGAAAGACACTCATATTTCTGCTTCAAAACTAAAACTAAAAGAGAAAAACAATAACAACCTCCTCTTGGGCACTTACACCTACAAACTTTAAAGACTCTGTCAAGAGCATTTGGCTGTCTTTCTCCGTTTCTTTTAACAATTATTATTCTTTGGTAAAGATAAAATTTAATATTCATTTACCTTCTATTTTCAGTTTTTAAGTTAGTAGAACTCAAAAATATGCCACCAGAATTACAGTGACTCTATAGATAAAGGTTTCTGGATATATTCTATTGTATAAATTTTTCTTGTGTTTTATATATTTTTACTTACTATTGGCAAAAATAACCACCTTTAACCAAGGCTTATAGTACAATCTCACCAAAGTGATCATACAATTTTACCCAGGAAGTTTTGCAACCTTTATTCTAGTTAACATATTAATCTATAATGGGATTTTTGTTCTGAAGTCCCCTCTCAAGAAAACTTTCTCATATTTAAGATAAAAAAGGTCAATTGCAAGGGATTCAACATTGTTTCCAATTTATATTCCCAACTTCCTCTTACCATCTCTTACATATATTTTACATTCCAGTCCAACTAGACTACACAATTCCCTTAATGTGATTCCTACCTGTGTGACTTTGCTTATGATGCTGTGCTTTCTGCCTGGAACACGTCCTCTCCATCCCAATGCCAATAATCTCTCGCAGCTAAAATCCTACCAACCCTCAAAGGTCTTCTACTCCATTAAGTGAGCCCTGAACCTCTGACGCTTTAACAACTGAGCAACTTGTGATGACTTGATCCCTCCACCTCCTTTAAATACCCACACCATTGTTTATACCTTAAAACACTTATATTTAATATTTTATTATAATGACCTAAGTCTGTAATATATCCTCTGAAGGCCCAAATGGTTCCTTTGCGCAAATTGTAAAAAGTTGCCCACTTCTCAAGATGCCTGGAAAACTGCCATACTAAATATATAAAAATTTGTTATGAATGTATGCAATGTACACCCTCCACAACTCTGTACCATGGCCCAGCTCCTCTTTCTCTGGGAGAAAGTTCTTGGATGGTGGGGACTATGTTTTATTTATCTGTGGATCCCCTAAGAACCAGCAGGACATAGCACATATAGTAGCTAATCAAAAAACAGTTAATGAATTATACTTGCTCGCATTATCTGGAGTAAACCATTCGATCCTCACAGAAACTAAATGGTATCCTTTGATTCTAACATGAGATGGTAAAAAGCTTCCTATCTTGAAAACATGTCTTATGAATGGCTGAAAGTAGGTTCACAAAATCCATGTCTAGGGTTTTAAGTTCATGAAACTAGTGGAAAAAAGAAAAGCTATCAAAGACAGGGAAGTATATCACCATAAAACCCAAATATATGAAAAAGAAATATCTGTTCTTTGTATATGATGACAGTATTTGACAATACAGGAAAGTCTTGCTTGGTAAGACCATTTCTCCTAACTTTTGGAAGACACCAGATAAGAAATTTGTCAGAGGCACAGTCCTGACTGAAGGAGACTTTTCCATATAACCCCCATGCTATGTTTTTTCCTTCCCAACCCATCTCACTTATCCTTATAAAACAATATAATATGGGTTAATATATCAGATACTCCAAAACAGACAAAGAGAACAAACACGTGAGTCAAAATTACAAAGTATACATGGTATCTCCAACAATGTTAAACAAGATCGTCCTTGCTTCAGTAATTGCATACTTTTCATATCTCAACCCAAGATCCATACCATCTCCCATTCCTGGCTAGCCTATTCCACCAGCTCATTCCAGCCTCTCATATCTAATATTTGCCTCCAAATTACTCAAAATGGCAATCAGGAAAGTTATGAATGCTTCCTGATTTAACGAAAACCTACTCAATAACTTGATATTAATAAATTTCCTTCCCATTATCATCAGCTTTTTTCCAGTATACCTACTTTGGCACCAATTATTTTTCATTCTCTACTCACCGTCAGAAGTTAAAGTATCTACAGCTAGGAGTAATATAAAAACAACAGTGAAAGTTTCTTTTTTTTTTTTTTTTTTTTTCTGAGACAGAGTTTCACTCTTGTCGCCCAGGCTGGAGTGCAATGGCGCGATCTCGGCTCACCGCAACCTCTACCTCCTGGGTTCAAGCGATTCTCCTGCCTCAGCCTCCCGAATAGCTGGGATTACAGGCCTGCGCCACCACACTCGGCTAATTTTGTATTTTTAGTAGAGACAGGTTTTCGCCACGTTAGTCAGACTGGTCTCGGACTCTCGACTTCAGAGGTGAGCCGTCGCCTCAGCCTCCCAAAGTGCTGGGATTATAGGCATGAGCCACCACGCTGAAAGTTTCTACTAACCAGAAGTTTACGTTGCAAATAGTTTATAGCCTGCTCCTTATTCCATGGAGTATTTTGTCGCTTCCATGATTCCTTGCTATTTGTTAATTCTAATGCTCTTCCTTTCCCCCATAATGATCCAATCTTAGGCCCAGATTTTTTTTTTTTTAAATAGGAGAAACAAGGCTGATGGTTTCTGATGAATCTCCTTACCCCCATATGACTTAGTATAAGCTTTTTAAAGATCAATGCATTGTCATTTATCTCTCCCTTCCCAATTTTCGAACCAAATTTCTGCTTCTTCTAGTTCGGTCTATGCCTAATAATTCAAAAACCTTGCCACCAAGTATCATTACTTCTCAGTCCCATCATTCTCACCTATACTGACCCAATTCATCTCATATTTTTATGCTAGTTTCCTACTTCTTTTCTAGTTCCTATCTTTAAACTGTCCTTGACTCTTACAAGATTAAACCTTCTCCCAACATACATCTAACTTTTTTTAACCCTCCTTCTACTACTACTTGTGGGTCACCCTGGCTATATCCACATACGGCCTATTTATTCTACCAAGCTCATCTATCTCATGAATCCTCTCAACCATCTCATGAATTCTCTTTCCTTGATTCAAACCCTAATAGCAAAAATGAACAGATGTTAAGTTGGTTTCAATGCAAAGTAACTGCCTAGATAAAGAAGTCACACCAACTTTTATCATATTAAGAATGAAAAGCCAGTGTTGGCCCACCAGTCCCCAAAAGAGAAACACATGTATGTGCTCAAAAGGAAAGACAAAACTTAGTGGTTGTACTTAGTCACTTTCCATAATTACAAACTAATGACCAGAATCATGACAGAAATCTTGGAGGGCATGTAGGGGGTGAGGGATGGCAGTGGAAGGGAAAAGTAACAAACTAGTCAGTTAAGGTTAAAATCCAAGCCCATCTATCTATAATCGCCAAGTAACAATACAGTTACCTGTAGAAAAATACTTTATTATATATGCCAGTATAGCCCTTCACTTCATCTCCTTCTTAAAGGTGAAACTACTGCTTCCCCTTGAGACAAGTACAAACTGATGTTCTTCTGCAGCTTTACCACCTTTAATACAGTTCTTGATTTTTTTGGAAATCTAGAGTCCCAACTCTCTCATTCTTATTTGACATTATTCCTCACCCTTGCCCATTTCTATAATAAACTGTCTGTCCTATGATAAAGTATTTTGTTTTAATTCTACCCTATATTTTTCCATCTCAATCTCTCCATACCTTTCAACAAAGCAGTGATTCTCAACCAGGGGATGGAGACTAAGGCCCTTAAGAAGGGCTTCTGGGAACCGAGGGTGGAGATAAATGTGCAGTTCTTAAAGGTGTATTCAATATTATAATTTTATATTTATCAAGTGAAAAAACTACATCTCATTGTTTAGGCTATTTATATTTATTAACACTGGACAAAGCCTTCTTGGCCAGTGAAGATCTGTAAAAGACACGTGAGGAGTAGAGGGCAGAGAAAGAAACATTCCTGGCTTGGCAGAGTTACCAGTATCTTTGGGATGGGATAAGATTTCCTATAGCCTCTCAAAAGGAGTTTATCATCATTTACTGTTTATGATGGATGAGAAACACTGCAAGAGATTAGTTCTGTCGTCTAATAGATAAAATTATGTAAAATGAGCTACAGATATCTATTGCCCACTTATAGATTTCTCCGTAGTGACAACCTCTTAGAAGACAATGAACGAATGCAGTATTGAGCCATGCTGACCTCTTTCTGTAATGTGCACTTTTAGAAAGTACCACTCATGACCACTTAACCTCTAGCTGCTCAAAGGTTCAGAAAAGAATAAACTATTTTATTTACTTCAAAGAACAAATCTTGTTGTTGGAAACTGTATCCTTTCAAGAAGATCAGTTGCAGATAGACATAAATACATGTTACTGAAACATAAGATGGGTAGAAGCAGCTTAATTTAAATGAGAAATACCTTGAAAATAAAATAATCCAAAGGGCTAAAATGAAAATCACCAACATAATTTTAAAAGAGAAGTATTTTAAAACTGTACCATGAAGACATTCGTGAGACACGAAGGGTCTCAAATCTTATACAGAAATGAAAAATAAACATCCAAAGTGAATGCAATCACAATTTAGGGTCAGCAAAGGATCAGGATGGAAAGACATAGGACCAAATTGGAGCCACTCAGATTTCCTAAGTAGATCAAGATCCTAGGCCATTTTCTCTGTCTTCACCATTCTCACTGCCAAATGTGTGGCTACTCTGTTTCTGTTTTCCAATTACTGAAAGAGAAAGCACTCACACCTCAATCAAGGGTATGGTCATTTGGGGGAATATAAGGCTGGTAAAGTAAGACCTTGTGAATAAATCGGAAAAGCAAAATAGGCAACTACGACAGCTAAAGACATGTATTTTCAGGGGGTAAAGAAGAAACTAGAGAGATTCTGCACTCATGAAAAAAGGGAAAGGGCGAGGTGAGGAAGTGAGGGGTTGATGGAGAGGAAAACGCGACTGGGGTGGGGGTGGGGGGGACCCGGGTACATTACCTGCTCATACTGCCGGGGTTGGTGCCAGTAAGGTCCATACAGCAGAGGCGGAAGATTTCTGGTAACTGGAGACCCCAAAATGGAAATGAGGTACATGCACTTGAGGTAAGGAGCTAGCGGGGGTGCCCTCCAGGGTGGGGATGGCCAAGACGGGAAGATGCGGGGGGTGGGGGGTGTGGATGCCCGGGATAGGAGCAATGTTAGGGCGGAAGCTGCAGGCCGAGAGGCCCGACAAGCCCTGAAGGAGAAAACGAGCTGTGCCTCACCCCAGTGGAGGAGAGAGGTGGCTTTACCTGCAGTGGCTGTGGGGGGCCGGTTCGCCCCTCTCCCTGTCTCTCCAGCACCAGTTCCCCCTCCTCCTGCGCAACCTAACCTGATGCTCCTGCCCGCCCCGCGCCATCATTGGCTGAAGCGCACTGCCACTCACCAAAGGCGAAAAGACGCAAAACAGCGCAAAGGGTGGGACTATAAGGAGCTCCCTTCCCCCTCCCCCGCAGGTTAGGTTGAGAGCGCACGGAGAGGCCTATCCGGTTTCTAGGGCCGAGGCGAAGCCTGCAGCTTGCTTGAAAAAAGGGGGCTGGCCAGAGGAACAGTCTCATAGTACGCGAAACCAGTCCTGGAGATTAAATTCCCTACCATCTACTCTGAATTCTTCACCCTGAAGAGTATAAACTTGGGAGGGAGGGTTCCGCGCTAGGCCAGCTCCGCCTCCCTCTGAATCCCCGGCCTTCTAGCAGCCCTGTCAACCCCTCTCCTGTAGTGACTACACCGTATCCCACTACCTAATAAAAGGGGCCAAATCTTCTTCCCTCCATCGTGGGAGTCAGCCCAGCTGGAATATGGGGCCTTTTAAAGCACTCTTTCTGCCACAACACATAAGGTTGCCGTGCATTTTTGACACTGTGACCCTTCAATACCAATACGGCTTTTTAGACAGTAATTCCTGGGGCCCTCTAACAATTCCCGACCCTTAGCCCGCTCAAAACAAACACTCCTCACCCTCTAAACTCGGTTTCCTGTTCTCCCATCTCTTGAAACTCAGCCCATTTGACCTTTTAATCAGTGTCCACTTTGCGATGTCACTTGAAATCACTCTAATTCCCAGTGAGACTAGACAACCCCAGAATGATGGTGTGCAAGCTTAAATCCACCAAAGTAAACTTGTTTTTTCCTTTTTTGAGACAGAGTCTGACTCTGTCGCCCAGGCTGGAGTGTAGTGGCGCAATCTTGGCTCACTGCAACCTCCGCCTCGCGTGTTCAAGCGATTCTCTTGCCTCAGCCTCCCGAATAGCTGGGATTACAGGCGCCTGCCACCACACCTAGCTAATTTTTGTATTTTTAGTAGAGACAGGGTTTCACTATGTTGGCTAGGCTGGTCTCGAACTCCTGACCTCAAGTGACCCACCCACCCCAGCCTCCCAAAGTGCTGGGATTACAGGCGTGAGCCATCACGCCCAGCCAGGACACTGTTATTAAAAAGAGCAGTTTAGTCCGGGTGCAGTGGTGGCTCATGCCTGCAATCCCAGCACTTAGAGAGGCCGAGGTGGGCAGATCGCTTGTATCCAGGAGTTCAAGACCAGCTTGGGCATTACATAGTAACACCTAGTCTCTTAAAAAAAAAAAAAAAAAAAGAAAGAAAGAAAAAAGAAAGATGCCGGGCGCAGTGGCTCACACCTGTAATCCCAGCACTTTGGGAGAGCGAGGCGGGCAGACCACAAGGTCAAGAGATCTAGACCATCCTGGTCAACATGGTGAAACCCCGTCTCTACTAAAAATACAAAAATTACTGGGCGTAGTGGCATTCGCCTGTAGTCCCGGCTACTTGGGAAGCTGAGGCAGAATCGCTTGAACCTGGGAGGCAGAGGTTGCAGTGAGCCAAGATCACCCCACTGCACTCCAGCCTGGTGACACAGCGAGACTCTGTCTTAAAAAAAAAGCCAAAAAAAGCCAGGTGCAGTGGCTCACACCTGTAATCTCAGCATTTGGGAGGCCAAGGTGGGCAGATCACTTGAGGCCAGGAGTTTGAGACCAGCTTGGCCAACATAGCGAAACCCCATCTCTACTAAAAATACAAAAACTAGCTGGGAGTGGTGGCACTCACCTGTAGTCCCAGCTACTGGGGAGGGTGAGGCACGAGGATTGCTTGAACCCAGCAGGTGGAGGGTGCAGTGAGCCAAGATCATGCCAAGGCACTCCAGCCTGGGCAACACAGTGAAACAATGTCTCAAAAAAGAAAAAAAAAGGGCGGCTTATCTCCTGACCATTAGTTTCCTCTGAAAGTATCCTCAACATTGAAATCCTATTTTCTTATACTCTGAGGACACAAATTAGGAAAATCAACTTGCTTTAGATGTCTTATTTTTTAAAGATCCTAGCATTACCACTGTCGCTAAAAACACCTAATTACCACTCCTGTAAACAGCAATACTGTTTTCCCATTCACTGTGGCTCAAAACCTCAACAGTCTCTAAAACCTCCCCCCTGTAGCCACCATCCAATCATTTGCCAAGTGTCATTGATTCTCTTACAATATATAACAAAGATTTTGGAGCTGCCAAAGACTCTGTCAACCTTCTTAGTGTATAGATGAGAAAACTGAGGCTTAGAGAGTTGAATGTTTGACTATGAAACTAAGTGGCAAGTTAGGATTCATATATCTGACTCCTATTTCTGCTGCCATCTCCCTTACTTATGTAGTTGCTTATGTAAGAGAAAAGCCTCATAAAAAATCTCTCTACTCACCCTACTAATCCATTCTGCAACCAGATTAATATCCTAAAACACGGTATGGCCAAATCAAACTTGTGCTGGAAAATTTTCAAAGGCTCCCAATTACTTAAGACAATATCTTATATTTCCTGTCTTATTTTCTACCATTTGTCTACATATACTTGCTAGCCAAAAAAAGACAAATTACTATTGTCGTATTTTTTCTAATCTGAGCCTAATATTGCTGCCTTCAAATTATACACATCTTTAATTTCTTTCTTTGCATTACCAAAATCTTACTTATTATCCTCTAAGTTCAACATCAAATGCTTCTTATTACTTCAATATGTATTGAGTATGTAACATGCCAAGTAATCTGCTAGCATTAGGGATCCAAAAACAAGTAAGACATAATCCCTACCCTCAACTCACAGTAAGTAAGAGTGCATTTGTGTATGTATGTGGGAAGAGGGTAAAGAGTAGGCAGTATGACAACAGTGACAAATAAAAACAATTATAATACAAGGTGACACATTCAATAAGACCAGCAGGGGCTCAGGAGGAAAAAACATCAATAAAGTAGTTTCTCTTTTTTGTTGCTGGTTTTTTTTTCTTGAGATGGAGTCTCACTCTGTTGCCCAGGCTGGAGTGCAGTAGTGCGATCTCGGCTCACTGCAACCTCTGCCTCCCGGGTTCAAGTGATTCTCCTGCCTCAGCCTCCCGGGTAGCTGGGATTACAGGCGTCCACCACCATGCCCGGCTAATTTTTGTATTTTTAGTAGAGATGAGGTTTCACCATGTTGGCCAGGCTGGTCTCGAACTCCTGACCTCAGGTGTTCCACCCACCTCAGCCTCCCAAAGTGCTGAGATTACAGGTGTGAGCCACCGCATCCAGCCAAGAAAATAGTTTCTTAAACAATGAGGAAAAGTTACCAGGTGGGAGGGAAAGGTGGGCTGTAAGAAAGGGATATTCAGGCAGCAGGGACAGGAAGAGGGAAGGCAAAACAAAGCATAGCAATGAGAAACAGCATGAGACATGTAGAGGAAACTCTAGTTCTGTAGTTCAGCCTTGCTAAAGTGTAAATCGCGAAGAAGGAACTGGATAGAGATGAAGCCGAAGGGACAGGTAAGGGCCAGAGCGTGGAGAGCCTTGAATAACATTTTCTTACAGGTGGATGAGGAGCCACTGAAACATGGAATAACGTAATCAGAATTACATTTTGGTTAGCTAACTCTGGCTCTAGGGGGTGAGAGGACAGAGGACACAGAAGCAGTTAGGAGGCTGCTGAGACCAGAAAGGAGTTGTATAGTGAACATTTGCTAGTTTTTTTCTGCTCAGCAACCAAAAGGCCCCTTCCTATATTTTCCATGGAAAGCTGGATCTTATCTCCCCATATGGAGCCTGGGGAGATAGGGTTCAATTGCCTCCTCCCCTTCCTAGCAAAGAGGAAGTATGCATGCACATGACCTAGGCTAGTTTAAGTGGATACTCCTGCTGGGGAAGTCTTGACTTTGCAGGAGTAATGCAAAGACCCAGGACCAACCAGTTAGACAATATTTGGCAATGGCAGATATTAGAGTCCAACTGTAGCATCCTATATAGACTGGTCAGCAGTGTGACCTTGACCTTCTCTTTGGTCTTCCCTCCTTTGATTTCACACCATTCTCTAAACCAGGTTCTCTAATATTCCCATTACTTTTTTGAGCCATTCAGTATCCTTGCAATAAATTTTCTTCCTGCTTAAGTTACCCAAAAGATGATTCCTGTTGTTTGCAACCAAGAATCCTAACACAATTATTAGGGCCTAAATTATAGCAATATGGTTCAAAAGATAGTGATAGAATTGTTTATTGGCCTTTTGCTAAGATCAAGTTTAAAAAATAATAATGGGAGGGAAATGACAAAGCCAGAAACACTTAAGGGATAAAAATCAGTAGAACCTGGAGTTCAGAGGGAAAGATGAATAGTTTAGCCATATTGAAAATGAGCTGCCTAGAGCTGGGCGTGGTGGCTCATGCCTGTAATCCCAGCACTTTGGGAGGCCAAGGCGGGCATATCACGAGGTCAGGAGATGGAGACCATCCTGGCTAACACGGTGAAACCCCGTCTCTACTAAAAATACAAAAAAATTAGCTGGGCGTGGTGGTGGGCACCTGTAGTCCCAGCTACTAGGGAGGCTGAGGCAGGAGAATGGCATGAACCCGGGAGGCGGAGCTTGCAGTGAGCCAAGATTGCGCCACTGCACTCCAGCCTGGGTGACAGAGCGAGACTCCACCTCAAAAACAAACAAACAAACAAACAAAAACCAAAAAGAAAATGAGCTGCCTATAGTATGTTAAGTAGTGACATTCAGTAGGAGGTTGGCTGTATGAGCCTAAAAGTCTGGCTTGGAGATAGATTTTGAGAGTTATTAGCAACTAAGTGTTAGCTGTAAAAGTGGAGATTACCCAGGGAATGTGAAGAGCAGGTCAAGGATAGGAAAAACTGCAAGGCTGGGAGGCCAAGGCCAAAGAATTGCTTGAGCCCAGGAGTTTGAGATCAGCCTGGGTAACAAAGGGAGACTGTTTCTACAATTAGGCCGGGTGCAGTGGCTCATGCCTGTAATCCCATCACTGGGAGGCGGAGGCAGGCAGATTGCTTAAGCCCAAGAGTTCAAGACCAGCCTGGGCAACACGGCGAAACCCTGTCTCTACAGAAATACAAAAATTAGCCAGGCGTGTGACACAGGCCTATAGACCCAGCTGCTTTCAGGGCTGAGGCAGGAGGATTGCCTGAGCCCGGGAAGTTGAGGTTGCAGTGAGTCAAGACTGTGCCACTGTACTTTAGCCTGGGCAATAGAGTCTGACCCTGTCTCAAAATAAAATAAAATAAAATAAAAAATTAGCCAGGCATGGTGGCATATGCTGTGGTCTCAGCTACTTGGGAGGCTAAGGCAGGAGGATCGCTTAAGGCTTCAGTGAGCCATGTTCATGACACTGCATTCCAGCCTGGGTGACAGAGACCCTATCAGAAAGGAGAAAAGAGAAAGGGGAGGAGAGGAGAGGGGAGGAGAGGAGAGGGGAGGAGAGGAGAGGGGAGGGGAGGGGAGGAGAGGAGAGGAGAGGAGAAGGGAGGAGAGGGGAAGAGACGGGAGGAGAGGGGAGGAGAGGGGAGGAGAGGGGAGGAGAGGGGAGGAGAGGGGAGGAGAGGGGAGGAGAGGGGAGGAGAGGGGAGGAGAGGGGAGGGGAGAAAGGAAAGAAAGGAAGAAAGAAAGAGAACAACTGCACAAATATTGTTGGGAGAGACAAGAGAATGTTAATGACTGTGAAGAACTGGAGAACCTATATCCATTCTGAAGAATGTAGCTGCAATTCACCTCTAATTAAGTCCTGTCAAATACAAACACACATCCAAGGTTGAAAGAAAACTTCAGATTTTCCAAAAGCCAGAATTTTGACTGTAAATAACTAATTTTTTAAGAAAACTAAACACTATGCAGGATAAAGAAAACACTTAGCTGGGCTGGGCTCAGTGGCTCACACCTGTAATCCCAGCACTTTGGGAGGCCGAG
This sequence comes from Homo sapiens, assembly GCF_000001405.40. NCBI lineage: Eukaryota > Metazoa > Chordata > Mammalia > Primates > Hominidae > Homo > Homo sapiens. The sequence continues at coordinate 21,443,161 of NC_000014.9, forward strand.
GCGGGAGGATCACCAGGTCAGGAGATTGAGACCATCCTGGCTAACACGGTGAAACTCCGTCTCTACTAAAAATACAAAAAATTAGCCGGGTGTGGTGGCGGGCACCTATAGTCCCAGCTACTTGGGAGGCTGAGGCAGGAGAATGGCGTGAACCCGGGAGGTGGAGCTTGCAGTGAGCCGAGACTGCGCCACTGCACTCCAGCCTGGGTGACAGACTGAAAAGCTAAGGAGGAACCCAGGAGAACAACAGAAATTAAGAATCAGAATAATGCCTTCTTAAGCAGGTAGAGAAAAAACAGCTAGAGAAGCAAGACAGTGCAGTGTCACAGAGGCAGAGAATAGAGATTTGCAGGGGAAGAGTGATCAATTATATCAAACAAAGCAAAAATGTCCAACCATATAAGAATTTTAGGACTGGGCGCTGTGGCTCACACCTGTAATCCCAGCACTTTGGGAGGCCGAGGTGGGTGGATCACGAGGTCAGGAGATCGAGACCATCCTGGCTAATACGGTGAAACCCCATCTCTACTAAAAAATAACAGAAAATTAGCTAGGTGTGGTGGTGGGCGCCTGTATTCCCAGCTACTGGGGAGGCTGAGGCAGGAGAATGGCGTGAACCCGGGAGGCGCAGCTTGCAGTGAGCTGAGATCGCGCCACTGCACTCTAGCCTGGGCAACAGAGCGAGACTCCGTCTCAAAAAAAAAAAAAAAAAAAAAAAACAACACTTTAAAATGTCCACTGGATGTAATACTTGAAAGCCTTTCTGATACCTACTTTCCACTGTCAAACCAGAAGTGAATCTGTCCATGTGAGTTTTCATAGCATTATGTGTAGTCCTCTTTTAGGATAATTATCTTTTACTTTATATTTTACTTACATTTGTATATGGAAATATAATGAGCTTTGAAGTCCAAGGGACCTGGGTTCAAATTTCTGTCCCATCAAGAAAATCAACCTTTCTGAGTCTAGCTCATTCCTCTACATAAAGGGGATAGCAGTATTAAGTTACAGGAACATTTATGAGGATTAATGAAACAACTGGCACAGTGCTTGACACATAACCACTAAGTCCTAGTAGGTACTTGACAAATGTTGTTGGATAAATTGGAAAAAAAATTGTTTTTGCTAATATCTATACCTAGGATACTGTAATGAGCCTGAGAGAGGGTCACTACCCAGATTAATGGCCTCCAAAATAGTTTAGTTTCAGTTGGCTAATACCTATGAGCTTGAGTGCACACTCTAGCTCTCTCTCCCTTTATATTAAATCTAATTTAAGGTGAACAGGAATAGCTACATTCTAGATTCTAGAGTCTGAAGATCATGTTCAACTAAATGGCTTTGGTCAGCCTAAGCCTGCTCTAGATGTTCTATGTCACTAGTATCCCATTTTGAGTGGTGAGACTTCACACTCTAAAGGATCCAAGGAAGGGTCATAAAAATTGCAAAAACACCACTCCCACCCTCAAACATATTTTTTTTCCCATGGCTTACAGGACACCACACTTTTCAAGTTTTCCTTCAATCTATTTAACCACTTTTTTAAAAAAAAAAATTTATTTGCTACTTTTTTCCTATACCACCCCTTTAATTGAAGTTCACTTTGGTCCTAGACCTTCTTTTCATTCTATACTTTCTTTTCAAGGATGTTTAATTCCAATACATCACCTCAATTATTATTCATTATTTTCTTCAATAAATTATATGCTTATGTCTCTCATATCTCTGGGCAAGATGTCACCTTTGAACTCTTGGTCTGTATATCTCCCTGCTTAATCCATAGCTTTTCTTGGTAGACTCTCCAGTTCCCCCATCCCTATCCCACTACCACATGTGCACATACACAAACTGGTAATCATTCTCCAGCATCTCCTATCTGGATAGTCATGGTTGCACAGACCAGAAACCTACCTTACTACCCGTACCCAGTATTTTAAATTCCCATCTTTACCTCCTAAAGATCCCTCAAATCCATCTACTTCTGCCTTTATTACCCTTTGGCTCAAAAGATGGCTCAATTTATCATGTTCATTTCCCTAGACTACTGCAATTACCTTCTAACTGGTTCTCTTCCATTCTGCCACTTTAATTCTTACTTATCCTTCAAAGCTCATTTCAACAAAAAGTTGGGCCAGGCGCCGTGGCTCACACCTGTAATCCCAGCACTTTGGGAGGCCGAGGCGGGTGGATCACGAGGTCAGGAATTCAAGACCTGCCTGGCCAAGATGGTGAAACCCTGGCCGGGCGTGGTGGCTCACATCTGTAATCCCAGCACTTTGGGAGACCGAGGCGGGTGGATCACCTGAGGTCAGGAGTTCGTTCAAGACCAGCCTGGCCAACATGGTGAAACCCCATCTCTACTAAAAATAAAATAAAAATTTAGCCAGGCGTGGTGGTGTGCACCTGTAATCCCAGCTACCTGGGAGGCTGAGGCAGGAGAATTGCTTGAATCCAGTAGGCAGAGGCTGCAGTGAGGCAAAATCGTGCCACTGCACTCCAGCCCGGGCAACAGAGCAGGATTCGGTCTCAAAAAAAAAAAAAAAAAAAAAAAAAAAAGTCAGCTGGGCACGGTGGCTAACACCTGTAATCTCAGCACTTTGGGAAGCCAATGCGGGTGGATCACGAGGTCAGGAGTTCGAGACCAGCCTGGCCAAGATGGTGAAACCCTGTCTCTACTAAAAGTACAAAAATTAGCTGGGTGTGGTAGCGGGCACCTGTAATCCCAGCTACTCGGGAGGCTGAGGCAGGAGAATCAGTTGAACCCAGGAGGTGAAGGTTGCAGTGAGCTGAGATCGTGCCACTGCACTCCAGCCTGGCGACAGAGCGAGACTCCGTCTCAAAAAAAAGATGGTGAGATCCCGTCTCTACTAAAACTGCAAAAATTAGCCAGGTGCGGTGGCAGGCACCTGTAATCCCAGCTACTTGGGAGGCTGAGGCAGAAGAATTGCTTGAACCCAGGCAGCAGAGGTTGCAGTGAGACAAGATCGCGCCACTGCACTCCAGACTGGGTAACACAGCGAGATTCCGTCTCAGAAAAAAGAAAAAAGTTTTCCTTGATTTCCCAGACTAGTAACAGCTAAAATTGCTGAATGTACATTACATGCCAGGCACTCTAAGCAATGAAAATGTATTAACATACTTAATTTTCTTCTTCTTCTTTTTTTTTTTTTTTTGAGACAGGGTATCATTCTGTCACCCAAGCTGGAGGTGGCACCATCTCGGCTCACTGCAACCTCTGTCTCCCAGGCTCAAGCAATGCCTCTGCTTCAGCCTCCCAAGCAGCTGGGACAACAGGCACACGCCACCACACTCGGCTAGTTTTGCATTTTTGGTAGAGACGGGGTTTCGCCATGTTGCCCAGGCTGGTCTGGAACTCCTGGCCTCAAGTGATCGGCCTGCCTCAGATTCCCAAAGTGCTAGGATTACTTTGGCGTGAGCCACAGCTCCTGGCTTCTTATTTAATTTTCTTAACAAGACTAAAATAACTATCTCTATTTCACAGATGTGGAAACTGAGGCACAAAGAGATAATACCTTGCCCAATATCCTACAGCTAGTGAAAAGTAGTACCAGATGCAAATTTAGGCAGTGTAGCTCCAGAAGACACATTCTTAACCACCTTACTATACTATGCTCTAGGTTACATGCCCCATTATAAATTATCTTATAACTTCCAGTACTTCTCCTTTGTTGTAAAGATTGAATAACTGATTATATAATTGTTTGATGTCTACTCTCTCTCCCCCATTAGAATGCAAGTTCCACAAGGGTAAAGGCTTGTCTATGACTTGTCCATTACAGTATTCCCTTGGCTTATCAGGTGGTAATGGGCATTCAATGTATTTTTGTTGAAGGAATGCACTGAATTTCCAGTTGAAGGTGTGTGGGAGAGAGGTTTCTGAGCCAAAGCAATGGCTTCCCTCACTCAGACTGCATGACAACAAAAGGACAGTAGCACAGTTTCCTACCAGAAACATTCAGAAGTATCATAAAATCACAAGCACCTTCACTTTTTAGTAGCTGTAGCAGACACAGCTTTTACATAAAGCAAAAGGGGTTGTATGGCACTACACATAAAAGACTGTTTTCTAGAGTGAGGTACTCGCTGTTGACAGTAATGAAATGTTAGTTACCCCGTTAGGGTTAGGACTATAATGCCTCAGTGGTGACCAATTCCAGCTGTGGCAAGAAGTGAACGGATGACACTATATCCCTTTTTTTTTTTTTTTTGAGACAGGGTCTCCCCATGTTGCCCAGGTTTGAATGCAGTACCACGATCTCAGCTCACTGCAACCTCCTCCTCCAGAGTTCAAGTTATTCTCCCACTTCAGCCTCCTGAGTAGCTGGGAGTACAGGCACGCACCACCACGTCTAGCTAATTTTTGTATTTTTAGTAGAGACGGGGTTTAACCATATTGGTCAGGCTGCTCTCAAACTCCCAACCTCAGGTGATCAACTCGCCTCAGCCTCTCAAAGTGCTAGGATTACAGGCGTGAGCCACTGCGCCCGGCCGGATGACACTATATCCTTATGACTCAAAAATAGAGCATGGATTCTTTTTTTTTTTCTAAGTCAACCTCATTGTAGATTTTTTTTTTCCCAGTAAACCCCTCAAGTTTTGGTCTAAGTCTGAAGACAGAAAATAAGAGCCTAATCTTTGGGGAACATTAGACTTAGGTCAAGTTTGGACTGGATCTGGAGAAGTTGCTCTTCACTGGCTCATGGTCACTAAGGTGAAAATAATACTCTCTGTTCTAGATGAGAAATCTCTAACTGGGCCAATGTTCACCTTATACTACCACTTTTGCGATCCAACATAAGTAACAATGTATATTAATTTAGGTAACAGATTCATGTCCTCTTCATGCTCCCCCACATACATTCCTGCATGCCCTATTTTAACTGAGCCAAGTACACATAAATGTGTTCAGCCTAATAGAAATATATAAATATTTACTTAATAACCAGAGGCTATACGGAATTGTTTTCACTGCAACCATTATGCTAAAAGAGTATGTGTGGGAGGAGAAACATCATAAAGCACTGTTATTATCAGACTTGTGCCTAAAAACTGACCCCAGTGACATGGGATTCATGAAATTTTAATGGGCTAAACTGACTTGCATTGGCTAAAAAAGTGAATTATATGCAAGACTGACCAAGTCATTTTCCCCTGTACAGCTTAAAGTATTTCACATAATCTTATCTTCAAAATAACTAAGTTAAATAAAAGAAACAAACTATTTACTCTTTTTCCTTTTAACAGAGATACAAAGACGTAAATAAATCTTACATTCTCAAGGTTCTACAATTTTCAAAGGCACAGCTTTAACAGGCTACTGAATACCTACCTGTCTAGTGCTGTGGTCAAAGACAGTTTGCACACAGGGGTCAGCACTGAACTTTTTTTTTGTTTTTTGAGACACCGTCTTAGTCACCCAGGCTGGAGTGCAGTGGCTCAATCTCAGCTCACTGAAAGCTCCGCCTCCCAGATTCAAGCGATTCTCCTGCCTCAGCCTCCTGAGTAGCTGGGACTACAGGCGCGCGCCACTACACCTGGCTAATTTTTTTTTTTTAATTTTTAGTAGAGACGGGGGTTTTCATCATGTTGGTCAGGCTGGTCTCAAACTCCTGACCTCATGATCCACCCGCCTCGCCCTCCCAAAGTGCTGGGATTACAGGCGTGAGCCACCGCGCCTGGACCAGCACTGAACTTTTAAAAGGAGGAGGCTGGGCTGGGCACGGTGGCTCACGCCTGTAATCCCAGTACTTTGGGAGGCCGAGGCGGGCAGATCACGAGGTCAGGAGATCGAGACCATCCTGGCTAACAAGGTGAAACCCCATCTCTACTAAAAATACAAAAAATTAGCCGGGCGTGGTGGCGGGCGCCTGTAGTCCCAGCTACTCGGGAGGCTGAGGCAGGAGAATGGCGGGAACCCGGGAGGCGGAGCTTGCAGTGAGCCAAGACTGCGCCACTGCACTCCAGCCTGGGCGACAGAGCGAGACTTCATCGCAAAATAAATAAATAAAATAAAATAAAAGGAGGTTGGCTGGATAATAAATGGGGCTTTGAAGTCAGACCAGAGCTCCTCCTACTCTTGGTTGTGTTACCTAACCTCACAGTCTTTTTTTATTTTCCCTGTAAAATGAAACTAGCACCACATACATTTCAGTTATTCTTAAGATTAAAAGATAACATACAATGTTTGGCACATAGTAGGCAAATAAAAAGGAATTTATTATTCTCCATCCAATATCTTAAAACAGTACCACTGAAGGCTTCTCTCAAAGCAAAATTACTCCTCAGAGACTTGGCAGAGCTGATCTGTTAGGCAGAATGGAGGGATACCGAAATAGATGTAAAAGTTTCACAATTAGAATGGCAGGACTGCTGGGCAGGATGAAAGGACTCCAGTACTACCGTGCTGAGAAAGCAGCACAAGTCTTTAACATCATAACCATGAAACAGATTTCAACCAGCACTTGTGATCTAGAGTAACATCCCAGGTAATTCAACTAATCACTTTTATGTTTGTAGGAATATGTCAGTGTCTATTTCTTAAGTATTCAATTTACTTCACAATACCTGCTTGTGGTAACTTTTAGTTTCCAACTGACTAGACTGTCCCTTGGTAGTTCACATGCCCAGATCCAGCTTACTTAGCTTTTGACTCCAATGACTTTCAGGAGCGTAGTGAAAGGAAGTAACCACTGCCTACACTATATAGTTAAATTTTCATTTAAAAAAGCAGTCATATTTGTAAAACAGGCGAAAGCACTAAATTTTATAGGAGAATTGATATGCAAATTAAGGAAGAACTGACTAATGTGCCCCAGACCCAGGAAGGGGAGGAAAAACAAGAATGACTGAGTACTGAGTAGAAGAAATGAAAAATACTGAGTAAAAGTTCAATGTTTATGCAACTTGCTAGCCCCTATTCAAAAATCCACTAATTTGTGCAGCAGCAATAGAAAATGAAAAAAAAGATGAAAAAATTCAGAAATCCAGAAACATCTTACCATTAGTGCTGTTTACTTAGATAGATGTATATCTGATAAAATCATGTTCCATACACGAAATTCTGTTATGATTTGGGTGTATCTAAATAAGCAGCCAAACTATAGAAATCACTGGTTTCTTCCAGAACTAACCAAAAAGAAATTCCCATATCACTAATATGACAATGTACTTCTGAATAACCATATCCCAAAGAAATAATCCCCAAAGATATAGTGCATCCCCAAAGCATGTAGTGGAAGAAAAAAAGAAAGCAGGAAATTCCAAAGGTTTCTATAATAACACAAGAGACAATCTGAGAAACCTTAAACATTTTACAACTCTCAGCTGAGCACTGTGATATGGGCCGGCCTGTAACCCCAGCTACTTGGGAGGCTGAGATGGGAGGACTACTTGGGCCAAAAAGTTTGAGGTTGCAGTGAGCTATAATTGCACCACTGCACTCCAGCCTACATAACAAACACAGTAAGATCCTGTCTCTTAAAAAAAAACAAAAACAGAAAAAAAGAAAAAAAAAAGCGTAAGACCTTATAGCTGTTCAGTAGCCTTCTTCTCAAATAAAATTAAGAATTCAGTTACTATATATCCTTTATTGGAAAGCTACTGACATAGTCTTAGAAGAATTACAGACTCTGAAAACAAAAAGGTGTTATTAGGAAATTACTCATCACTGGAATATTGAGACACTACCCAAAGGATTGGCACTATCACATTTAAGGTGCTAACATACAAGGGAGCAATGAAGCACAGTCCTGGAAATTATCTGGTAATTTCAGTAGCATGCTATTTAATTGTCTTTTTAAAATGAAATAAACAACAAATAAAATGAAGTCATATACAATAAATATCTATGAAATATTAATATACAAAGGAAAGAAAATAAGGGATATTTCACTCCTTAAATGACAAGGTCAACCCTTTCTTAATAATTACACATAACAGTAAATCATAGTTCTGGAAACTCTTTCCAAACAAACTAGTGAGAATATACTACAGGAAAATCTGAATTTGAAGAGGTTAGAATGTTGTCTAAGATCCCTACACTGCTCCACTGCTTAAAATATATTCCTGGATCTTTCCCTGCTGAAGACTAATGTAAAAGTAATTATCGGCTGGGTGCGGTAGCTCACACCTGTAATCCCAGCTCTTAGGGAGGCAGAGGCAGGAGGATAGCTTGAGCCCAGGAGTTTGAGACCAGCCTGGCCAACATAGTGAAACCCCGACTCTACTAAAAATACAAAAAATTAGCCGGGCATGGTGGCACGCGCCTATAGTCCCAGCTACTCGGGGAGGCTGAGGCAGGAGAGTCACCTGAACCCGGGAGGCGGAGGTTGTGCTGAGCCGAGATCGCTCCATTGTACTCCAGCCTGGGCAACAGAGTGAGACTCTGTCTCAAAAAAAAAAAAAAAAAAAAAAAAAAAAAAGTAATTATCTATGCCAGGCTAATTTCTATCTATGCCTGCTGGAATTTTTATTATCCTGTACCATACAATTAATGGGTAGAAATTACGTGCTTTAAGTCTCCTGCTGCAACCTGAAGGCAACAAATAAGATATTTTGAAGTTGACCATTTTGCTTCATGTAACATTAACAAACTAAGGGCCTAGTGAAGGATGGAAACTATATAATTAATAATAAAAGGGCAAAAGAAATGTTACCTAGAGAACAGCTTAATGAGAAACGTCAGAGATTAAGATACTTTGTAGTTTAAACGTAAAACATTAAGTAACTACAAAGAGGTGGACTTATTTTACAATACAAATACAATGAAAACTTTAGAGTTTCATTTAAAGTTTACTCACCCACAAAACTGAGAGATTAAAGGAGAAAAAGGTTATCCAAGACAAAATCTAGAATGCAGTAAATGTTTTGTTGTTGTTTTGAGACAGAGTCTCGCTCTGTCACCAGGCTAGAGTGCAGTGGCACGATCTAGGCTCACTGCCATCTCCGCCTCCCTGGTTCAAGTGATTCTCCTGCCTCAGCCTCCCGAGTAGCTGGGCCTACAGGACCACGCCACCACGCCCAGCTAATTTTTGTATTTTTTTAAGTAGAGACGGGGTTTCACCATGTTGGCTAGGATGCCCGCCTTGGCCTCCCAAAGTGCTGGGATTACAGGCGTGAGCCACTGCACCCAGCCAGAATGCAATAAATGTTAAATAAACTTTAGGTAAAAGAAAACTTCAGGCCTGGTGTGGTGGCTCACGCTTGTAATCCTGGCACTTTGGGAGGCCGAGGCAGGCAGATCAGCCTGAGGTCAGGAGTTTGAGACAAGCCTGGCCAACATGGTGAAACCCTGTCTCTGCTAAAAATACAAAAAATTAGCCAGGCGTGGTGGCACACGCCTTAACCCCAGCTACTTGGGAAGCTAAAGCAGGAGAATCACTTGAACCCAGGAGGTGGAGGTTGCAGTAAGCCGAGATCGCGCCACTGCGCTCCAGCCTGGGAGACACAGGGAGACTTGTCTCAAAAGAAAAAAAAAAAAGAAAACTTCATACAACAATCCCATTACATAGAAATACAACTGTCAGCCGGGCGCAGTGGCTGACGCCTGTAATCCCAGCGATTTGGGTGGCCGAGACAGGCCGATCATGAGGTCAGGAGTTAAAGACCAGCCTGGCCAATATGGTGAAACCCTGTCTCTACTAAAAATACAAAAATTAGCCGGGCATGGTGGTGCGCGCCTGTAGTCCCAGCTACTCGGAAGGCTGAGGCAGAAGAATCACTTGAACTGGGAGGCAGAGCTTTCAGTGAGCAAAGATCGCACCACTGCATTCCTGCCTGGGTGACACAGCGAGACTCCATCTCAAAAAAAAAAAAAGAAAACAAAAAACAAAGAAATACAACTGTCAGGCTGGGTGTGGTGGCCCACACCTGTAATCCCAGCACTTCGGGAGGCCAAGGTGGGTGGATCACTTGAGCCGAGGAGTTCAAGACCAGCTGGGGCAAGATGGCAAGACCCCGTCTCTTAAGAAAGAAAGAAAGACAACTCTCATTTGGGTGCTAGGTACCAAAGAAAGACCACATCTTGAAAATTAGATACCCTAAAAGGTTTCAATTTTCACGAGGTCAGGAGTTAAAGACCAGCCTGGCCAATATGGTGAAACCCCGTCTCTACTAAAAATACAGAAATTACATTCCCTAAAAGGTTTCAGCTAAACAGAAGCAAAAGTGTACAACGTCAGTGAATTAAGTGAAAAGGAAAGTGAGCAAAATCACAGGAAGATGAAAAGATCACCAACTTGGTGAGACAAAAGAATAAAAGATCATAGATCATGTAAGAGGGGATATAAAAAGTTAAAGTGAGATAAGAAACATGATAGTCTGTCAATGAATCAAATGCTAAAGGTAAAATAGTAAATATTATACCACAATGGTCACAGTAATGTAAGGACAGGTCATGCGAAGACCTGCAGATCAAGGACTGGCTCAAATCCAACTCCAGAAGTAGAGAGATTCTAGAGGTGAAAGTGGAGACTCGAGAGAAATGTTTGTCTTCTGTTTTCCTCCCAAGTATTAGGCTCAATGTAAGCTCAGAAGATAGCTTAACTCTTCCAGAGCTGTAGACAAACAGTTCACTAAAGCATTTAGCATTCATCTGAATGTTACAGTCCTTTCACATATGAGAATATCAAATCTTATTTCTTCAGTAAGCAAACACAGTTTTGACACCCACAACTTAATCTTAAGTGGTAATTTTGCTTAGAAAAGTGGCTCATGCCTGTAATCCCAGCACTTCGGGAGGCCGAGGCGGGAGGATCACGAGGTCAGAAGTTCAAGACCAGCCTAGCCAATATGGTGAAACCCCGTCTCTACTAAAAATAAAAAAAAAAATTAGCCAAGCATGGTGGCGGGCGCCTGTAATCCCAGCTACTCGGAAGGCTCAGGCAGGAGAATTACTTGAACCTGGGAGGCGGAGGTTGCAGTGAGCCGAGATCCTGCCACTGCACTCCAGCCTGGGTGACAGAGCAAGACTCCGTCTCAAAAAAAAAGAAAAGAAAAGAAAAGAAAAGAAAAGAAAAGAAAAGAAAAGAAAAGAAAAGAAAACTGACAAAACCAAAAGAGCAGATGCACAGGACAGATCAAACATGGAGAATACAAAAACTGTTCAAGTACTCATACACTGTTCCATTATATCCCTTATCCCAATCCATTACTCCTTTGCTATCCTCTGGCTGTGTCGCCCAGGCCGGAATGCAGGGGCACGATCTTGGCTCACTGCAATCTCCACCTCCAGGGTTCAAGCGATTTTCATGCCTTGGCCTCCCATGTAGCTGGGACTACAGGCACGCGTCACCATGCCCGGCTAATTTTTTTTTGTATTTTTTGTACTTTTAGAGACGGGGTTTCACCATGTTGGTCAGGCTGGTCTCGAACTCCTGACTTCAAGTGATCCGTCCGCCTCCACCTCCCAAAGTGCTGAGATTACAAGCGTGAGCCACTATTTCAGTTTTAAACTTTCTCCTAAGCCTGTCTCTTCAAACTTGCCTACTCTCTCTTTGGCCAATATCTTTCACTTGCCTTCAGATCCACTGACACGCCTCTCTTGCAGCAGAAGGTCTTCTTACATGGAAAATGTTTTTCTTATCATAACTCTTTTTTTAAGGGTTGGGATAATTCCAAAGTACTTGAAATAAGTTTCTCATATCTTGCTCTATGAGGTTGACTAGAATTTGTTCTGAAACCTATTGGATGACCAATACAAAAGAAATTCCTAAGCAGAAGACACGATCTAATTAACTAACACAGGACACGATTCAAATCACAAACTCACTTTCGATATGTAATGTGCCCCACACCAGATGACTTCAGCATATGCTAACCTAGGCTGAGAATCCTTGACTGAGTCGACAAACTCAGAAAAGCATGGAGATGAAACGATCTGTAGACGCCGCTGTGATGGTAGGATGCAGCAGACACTGATAAGGCAGCTCCCCTGGCTTGTGTTTGGGGCGCTCCGCTGTTTATTCTTTAATAGAAAAAGACAGAGTTCTAAATCTTTGACTTCTGGCTCACTTTGCTTAGCCATACGAAAGAGATGGGTCCACTATATACCTTTTCTGTGAAGACCCTAACCGCTTCAAGACTGTCCCTTAAAAAGCAAGAGGCTGCTGCATTTATACAGCTGCTGCAGGGAAATTCCCTGCGACACTAGAGACAGGTAAATAAACTGCATTCGTTCCAAAGCAGGGGGAAGGGTCTTCTATCAGTGACGAGTTTACATAATGCAACGGAAAACCAGTGAGCTCTGCAGACCTGTCAAGGAGGATGCAAGGCTTGAGCTCCTCTCTTCCCACCATCTCTAAACATTCTCCAACAGCCTGCTCTTCACTGCCAGGAGACCCACAGAACTTACACCTGAGAATGAGTAACAATCTGCTTACGCTTACCCCATGCTTTCCTACCCACCTTTATTATTAAAATACAGAAGAAAAAAAAATAAAAAGAAGTAGAAAACCCTAACCACCTATTTCTGAATCCAAAGTATGGAGTAACCAAACGGGGCCGAGGAGTTTTCCCTTCTCTGAAGAGAGGAGAACAAGGCGCCGCCTCCAATCTACACTACGCCCAGTAATGCAATGACAAGCCCTGAAAACTCCACAGCGTCCCAAGCAGTCCCTCGCGGCTCGGCCCGGCTCGGACCCCGCGGCCCGGCAGCCACCCTCTCCCCCGGCCTCTCACAAAGGAGACTGGTTCAGTCCGGAGCATCACCCCGCACCTGATCCCTCACAACTGGGGGGCGAGCAGGGGGTGGAAGAGAGAGGAGAAGGAGTTACTTAAATCAAATCTCTGAGAGCCTCAGCTTTTGCTGACTCCTGGCCCAGCACTGAGGAGCGGGTGCGAGCGGGAAGCCTACCTGTGCAAGTCCTGGTACTTCCTTTCCAGGCAGCGTTTCAACTCACCCTCTCCGAGAACAAGGCGCCTTCCGGCGGAGCATGGCCAGCCCTCGCCTCAATCTAGCTTGCTAGTAGTCCATTCTCCCTAGGCTCCGCCCCCCTGCGCTCCCATCCGCCAATGGCAGCACCGAAGCCCGGCCTCTTCCAGCGAGCTAGTGTGAGCGCCATCCAGGAAGTCTCTTGAGGGTGGAAGGTCCTAGGAGGATGAGAAGGGTACGTAGGCGACCACAAATATGCCTGATTGAAAATAAAATCTGGCGGCGGCTCGCCTCTGACGACTCAGTTCACAGGCGGCCAGGCCCCTCGGCATCTTTTTTTGACCCCCGCCATTGGGGGCGCTGTGAACTAAAACAACACTTAGTTACCTACTTCTGGGAAGCCATCTTGGCTCGGACTCCGGGACTGGGTGAGAGTGCTTAAAGAATGTGAAGACCCTGTCGGTGTTCTGTCCGACTATCTAGGTCCAGCCCGAACATACTCTGCTGTATACACTTAGGAGGCCCCTCAGTCACGACGTGAAACCCTGGAGTAATGCCGTATGTGGTTACGGGCAACAACCACCACCACCCTCTCACTTAACTGTAGGAGTAAAGCAATTTTAACAAATCAAATAAGCAAAAATTAATTCTTCTAATGAGAGTGAAAGTTGCACTTTCCTAGGGTAATCCTTTATGGACACCTCACTCAAAATATCAGGACATGTATCTATTATAGGTGCTACTAAGCTTTAGGATTCACTGCAAATTTTCCAGTAGGGGCACTGTGAATCAGTTGGAAATCAAGAACAGGACTTAAGGAGGAATTCCTTTTTTTTTTTAAAGGCCTAATTTTTTTTTTTTTTTTTGAGATGGAGTCTCGCTCGGTCACCCAGGCTGGAGTGCAGTGGGGCGATCTCGGCTCACTGCAACCTCTGCCTCCCGGGTTCAAGCAATTCTCCTGTCTCAGCTTCCTGAGTAGCTGAGACTACAGGCTCCCGCCACCACGCCCAGCTAATTTTTGTATTTTTAGTAGAGACGGGGTTTCGCCATGTTGGTCAGGCTGGTTTCGAACTCCAGACCTCAAGTGATCCGCCCACCTCGGCCTCCCAAAGTGCTGGGATTACAGACATGAGCCACCATTCCTGGCCAAGAAATCTTTTTTAAAGTTGTGAGTGAGGGAATCCTTCCAGATTATTAAAGGAATTTCTCAAGGAGTAACATAATTGCATGGTCTTACATGATAGGAGCTCAGAGACATCAAGAAGTCATATGAGTGATAAGACTCGGCCTTAAGCTGGGCGCAGTGGCTCACGCCTGTAATCCCAGCACTTTGGGAGGCTGAGGCGGGTGGATCGCCTGAGGTCAGGAGTTCGAGAGCAGCCTGGCCAACATAGTGAAACCCCGTCTCTAGTAAAGATACAAAAAAAAATTAGCCGGGCGTGGTGGCAGACACCCATAATCCCAGCTACTCGGGAGGCTGAGGCAGGAGAATCGCTTGAACCCAGGAGGCGGAGGTTGTGGTGAGCCAAGATCTCACCACTGCACTCCAGCCTGGGCAACAAGAGCGAAATTCCATCTCAAAAAAAAAAAAAAAAAAAAAAAAAAAAAAAAAAAGACTTGGCCAAATACATTTCCCTGTGTATCAAAATCTGTCAGCCAAGACAGGCGCGGTAGCTCACGCCTGTAATCCCAGCACTTTGGGAGGCCGAGGCGGGTGGATCACCTAAGGTCCGGAGTTCAAGACCAGCCTGACCAACATGGAGAAACCCCGTCTCTACTAAAAATACAAAAGTAGCTGGGTGTGGTGGTGCATGCCTGTAACCCCAGCTACTCAGGAGGCTGAGGCAGGAAAATCACTTGAACTCGGGAGGCGGAGGTTGTGGTGAGCCTAGATCATGCCATTGCACTCCAGCCTGGGCAACAAGCGGGAAACTCTGTCTCAAAAAAAAAAAAAAAAAAAATCTGTCAACCAAATTCTCTCCTGGCTACTGCTGCCATTATATCAATTTGATGTTAGTATTAAGATTTATCAGAACAATGTGTTTGTCTGTAAATGCATATACAGATATAACCTTAATTATTAATAGTTTCTAGGATGAGAGCCTATTATCCATCTGGTACAGAATAGACCTGTCATCAAAGGAGCTATAGATATTATGGAAATGGGAACAGGTGTGCCTGAACCAATTTCTGGTACCTACACTGATCTTAGTATGATTTCCAATGGTCTTGGCCTTCAAAAACCAATGGACATTGGTAAGACTATAGATGGAAAAAAAAAAAAAGTGGACATTATTTCATAACTACCATTCTTCATATGGGGTGGCATATCCACTTTTTATAATTCTTCATGACCACTTCACTCAGAATACAGATGATTTTGCCCAGATACTTTTTTTTCTCATGCTTCCCTTACAATTGGTGCAATACCCAAGTACAGAAGGTCATAAGTCGGCTTGGTTAATAGAACAAGATATGGGCATTAATATTAAAAAACTGTGCTCCAAAATATCAAAATGGTATCCTTTATTGACTCTGAAAGCAGTAGCTCTAGGCAGAATGCTGTCTTTGACCAATCCTCTAATGCTTCTCAATTGCTAAAGATTGTTTTTTTGGGTAGTAAAAAAAAAAAAAACAAAAAAAAAACCTTCTGTACAGAAACTAGTTTTTATTACTTTAGTTTTCGCCCAGAGGTAAGGGGGCAGGCTAACTCCAAGTTCAACAGCTTCAAATCCTTTTTGGAATCAGATAGGATTTTAAAAACAAAACAAAAGCATAACCAAAGCAATACCCCAAATGTCTTCCAACTTCCTGTGGTGCACTGTCAACTATTACTACTACTACTGGGGTCAGAATCGAGTATAGCATGAATCCCAAAGAGGCTTCTTCATTATCTTTGATTTAATTCCCTGAGAGGAGAGTATCTACTAATGTTTGGGATACAATTAGAAATGACACATGGAGTATGAATAGCTTTGATACATGCATATATTTAATAATGAAACAATTCATCAACAGCAAAAAGAAAGTAGAAAAATTCGTAAGACCTCAGGGCTGTGGAAGAGAACGGGACATCAAGGAAAAAAGATATATATAGCAACCAACCCAGAAGGCTGCATGATGAGTGAAGCAAAGGCAAGTTTGGCTAAGATAGTATTATATGCTCTGAAAAGAGAATGGCTGGATAGGTACCCACTTATGTGACTGCTTACTAGCAGGCAGCCTTACTGTATGCCTCATGGAATGGAGGCAAAAAGCCAGGGAAAGGTGGGAGGGGAGAAGGAAGAGAACTGTATAAAACCCAGGGTAAACAAATGAGTGGGGCAGAATTACAGAGAGAGGACTCTAAAGTCTTTTGTTTCCTTGAAAGTCTAAAATAAACCTTAAGTTTTTAACTATGTCAGTCAAATTCAATGAACACATAATGAGTAGCACTAGGCACTGTAAAGGAATGATAGGGGGAATAATTTATAAAAATAAAGGAATGACATGGATCCTGCTCTCAAGGAGCTTACAACTTATACGGAAAGACAAGATTCCACACAAAAACAACTGCAAACCATATTTACATAGTAACATACATAAAAATAAATATACATATAAATAGACATATGAATAACCAACATATGAAAACTAAGGAATATTGTGTTAATAACTGCTTAGCAGTACCTAAGTCTGTTACTAAAGAAAAAATTTTTGGACTTTTAAGTATAATTAGTGGAGAGTAGGGCATGTGCAAAGGTATGGAACTAGGAATAAATATGTCACATTCAGTAAGTAGATTAGCCTGATTGGAGTAGAAAGTCTAGGTCTAGTTAAGAAGGGAGTTTGATGAAACAGTAGAAGTCTATCTGGTGAAAGACACTACAATGTTAGATCTGGCCCCTAAAATAAAATGAACAGGGAACAAATGTTTTCTTTAGGTAATAATAAGTGGCCACATGTCCCTGACCAACTTCACTGCTCTTAAAAGTTTTGAAGTTACACTAAGAGATAGAAGCTAATAATAGGATAGTAGAGAAGTACTCAGTGCTCTTGGGCAAGTAGAGGAAACTGCCTTCTACAAGAATTCTTAGGAAGTGGCAAGCAGACACCCAAAGGCAAGGAAGAAAAAAACTCAATGAAATTCCGAGGCAGAGGATCTATCAACCAAAGGCCAACTAGATCTAGGTAATTGCAAGTGTTCAAATAGAATGTCTTTGACCCTAATTCTTAGTGGGAAGTGGATTGTATATGCTTACGAAATTATTTATTTAGGCCAGGCACGGTGGCTCACACCTGTAATCCAGCACTTTGGGAGGCCAAGGTGGGCGGATCACGAGGTCAAGAGATCAAGACCATCCTGGCCAACATGGTGAAACCCTGTCTCTACTAAAAATACAAAAATGAGCCAGGTGTGGTGGCACATGCCTGTAGTCCCAGCTACTCGGGAGGTTGAGGCAGGAGAACTGCTTGAACCTGGAAAGTGGAGGTTGCAGTGAGCCAAGATCATGCCACTGCACTCCAGCCTGGAGACAGAGTGAGACTCCATCCCCC
Source organism: Homo sapiens (assembly GCF_000001405.40). Classification (NCBI taxonomy): domain Eukaryota; kingdom Metazoa; phylum Chordata; class Mammalia; order Primates; family Hominidae; genus Homo; species Homo sapiens. Next base: position 21,460,586 of record NC_000014.9, read on the forward strand.
CAAAAAAAAAAAAAAAAAAAGAAAAAAAAAATTATTTATTTATTTGAGACAGAGTTTTGCTCTTGTTGCCCAGGCTGCAGTGCAATGGCGTGATCTTGGCTTAGCGTAACCTTCACCTCCTGGGTTCAAGCGATTCTCCTGCCTTGGCCTCCCGAGTACCTGGGATTACAGGCATGCACCACCACACCCAGCTAATTTTGTATTTTCAGTTGAGATGGCATTTCTCCAAGTTGGTCAGGCTGGTCTCGAACTCTTGACCTCAGGTGATCTGCCCACCTTGGCCTCCCAAAGTGCTAGGATTACAGGCATGAGCCATGGCGCCCCGCCATGAAATTATTTTTTAACTACTGTGATAATCAACTTTGATCCTAACAATTTAAGAAATTTGTATAGGAGGATAAGAAGAACCCTAATCTATAGGGAATGCTCATGTCCCTGAAGGAGGACAGGTCAGTAAGGGCCCAAATTCTCTCCTGGTCTTTAGGTGGAAAGGCAAAACATCACACTTTAAAAAGAGGCTGCTCTCAGCCAAAGCAAGAAAGACCTCTTTCATTAAGCCTATTGATCTGAAGCTATTCCAGGAAGGACAAAAAAAGTTCAAGCCAGATGTTCAGCAGCAGCCAGAGTTGGACCCTATGTCACGAGAGTTCCGCTGGGAGGCACTGGGTCCCACTGATGTTGAAATTGACTGTTGGGGCCCAATCTTGATGCCATTTGCCTGTAAAAGAAAAGAGGCAATAGTTCCCACCTCAGTGTTAAAGTGAATGAGAGACAGGAGGGGGCTATCTCTGCTTGTATCCCAGGGTAGAAAGAAAACAGAAAGGGGAGAAAGGAGAAATCATTAATTATATTTTCTAAAAGCAGATTTGACCTTGGCAGGTAACCAGATGCCCTAGCCACGCTGATGTGGAACAATAATCTGTGACAGTAAGAATAAGATGACTACCTGTGGTCTAAATATCCTAGTTGACTACAGTGGCTTTTGTGCACTTTTTTTTTCCTTGAGGAAATGAGGTCTCCCTATGTTGCCCAGGCTGCAGTGCAGTGGCTATTCACAGTATGATCAGTGTGCACTATAGCCTCAAACTTCTGGCCTCAAGTGATCCTGCCTCAGCCTCCCAAGTAGCTGAGACTATGGGTGCGCCACTGCACCCCTGTGCTCATTTTAGAGACGGAGTCTCTCTTTGTTGCCCAGGCCGGTCTCAAAGTCCTGGCTTCAAGCAATCTCCCCAGCTCAGCCTCTCCAAGTGCTGAGATTATAAGCATGAGCCGCCACACCTGGCCCCTGTGCTCATTTTTAAGGGACAATGTTATACTTAAATGTCATAGCTACGTGCAGAATCAGGGTGTGACGAGGTAGAAGTGGAGGCGGCAAAGTGCAGAAGTAGCATATGATTCTTTTTGTCTTGTTCCAGAATTTACTTTATAGAAATTACTCTCCTAAGCAATTATGAATTATACCTCCCTTACGTTCTAGAATAGTAAAAAACTGAGGTTGACAAGAAAATCTCCCATATTGTGTAAGTCTTTTAAATCACCAATAATCTCTTTAAGCATTCTGAGTGTCAGACTTGAGAAAAACAGAAAATGATGACAGGTCTCTGTGTACCTAGATTTAAAAAAAAAAAAAAAAAAGTGTTGAATTGGCAGAGCTTTTAAATTGTATAATGATAGATGGGGAATGTAAGCATTCCATTCTAGGGAACCTCCAGTTGTATTCAGAACAAGCCAAAGTTAACTGCCAGCACTTCTACCCTTTCTTACCTCATTGTGGACATCAAATAAACCCTGCTGGATCTTCCTATATATTTCTTTGGCTGTGTTAATGAAGGCCTGAAAGAGACATAAATCGTATCATCAGTCTCAAGTTCAGGTAGAGAAATGAGGGAAAGAGAATATTAATTATTATTCATATTTGAATTTCTAAGGTGAATTAGGAACCATTAGAAGACAGTAAAAAACATAGAAGGTCGGTTGGGTGCGGTGGCTCATGCCTGTAATCCCAGCACTTTGGGAGGCCGAGGCGGGCAAGTCACTTGAGGTCAGGAGTTCGAGACCAGCCTGCCCAACATGGTGAAATCCCGTCTCCACTAAAAATACAAAAATCAGCCGGGCGTGGTGGCGCATGCCTGTAATTCCAGTTACTCGGGGGCCAAGGCACGAAAATCGCTTAAACCCAGGAGCGCAGGTTGCAGTGAGCTGAGATCGCACCACTGCACTCCAGCCTGGGTGACAGAACGAGACTCAGTCTAAAAAAAAAAAAAAAAAAAATCAAAAAAGAAAAAAAACATAGAAGGTCCCCCAAATGTCCTTGTAAAAGCCATTAAGAGTAGTTTCAAACACAAAAGGATTATGGGGTATTCTGGTACTGACCCAAGATGTTCCTAGGCTGGCACCTTCCACAAATAAAACAAACATACTCTATTCTCCACTGGTTACCGAAGATACCATCAACACCAGGCCTAGGAATGACTACAGTAGAACCCATTAGACACTCCAACCAGAGTGATTTACTAGTAACAAGTGTGGTGTCTAATCCACACTTGCCAACTAATGTTACCCAAAGCAAAAGTAAAACCTTGGGAATCAGGGTAAAAGAAAATGGGACAATTCCTTTAAAAGGAATGAGACATGTAGTCACTACGATCAGAAGACATTCTTTCTTTTTTTTTTTTTTTGGAGATGGAGTTTTGCTCTGTTGCCTAGGCTGGAGTGCAGTGGCGGGATCTCAGTTCACTACAACCTCCGCCTCCTGGGTTCAAGCAATTCTCCTGTCTCAGCCTCCCGAGTAACTGGGACTACAGACACACGCCGCCATGACCAGCTAGTTTTTTGTATTTTAGTAGAGATGGGGTTTCACCATATTGCCCAGGCTGGTCACAAACTCCTGAGCTCACGCAATCTGCCTGCCTTGGCCTCCCAAAACGCTAGGATTACAGGCATGAGCCACCGCGCTCGGCCAAGACATCCTTTCTTTACCAATTTCTTATAGGAGAAGAGAATTCTGAATACAAGGACAAATAATGGTGTAATCTCTAAAGAGCTTTCCCCACTGTTTTCCAAATAGTACCTCTTCAACATTGCAGGCTGTTTTGGCTGAAGTTTCCATGAATATAAGTCCATGCTCCCTAGCAAAGGCCTCTCCTTCTTCTCTCTTCACATCCCTGCGGGACTCTAGGTCACTGCAAGAGATTAATTAAGGAGAAAATTTAAAAAAAAGATCCAAGTGAAAGAGGAAAGTCTATTTCTAAAAGAATTCCGTCGTGGTTTCAACTGCCAGTTATTTCATAAAGAATGTAGATCCTACATGATACTCTTATACAGAGTTACTGATTTTTGTAGCATCTTGGAAAATATTCTTTAGTTTTGGGACAGCTGCTGCATAGTTGAAGATAATACCTCACTCTATTACAGAGAAAATGGCTTATCAAGGGTTAGGCAAGCCCCCATAGTTACACAAAGCTTATGCTCTATTGCTTGTTTTTCCAATGAGATCAAGGAGAGCAAAGTATAGATGAGGAAAAAAAAAAACTTGGCTGGGCACAGTGGCTCATGCCTGTAATCCCAGCTCTTTGGGATGCCGAGGCAGGTGGATCACGAGTTCAGGAGTTCAAGACCAGCCTGGCCAAGATGGTGAAATCCCGTCTCTACTAAAAATACAAAAATTAGCTGAGTATGGTGGCAGGTGCCTGTAATCCCAGCTACTCGGGAGGCTGAGGCAAGAGAATTGCTTGAACATGGGAGGCGGAAGTTGCAGTAAACTGAGATCGCGCCATTGCACTCCAGCCTCAGCGACAGAGCAAGACTGTCTCTTGGGCGGGGAAGAAAAAAAGGAAAACTCTAGTTACTAGAAAGCAGAAAAGTCATAAGATGTCCCATCCAGCAGTGATGAGCATCTTCCTTTTTTACTGGAATCAAGCCACAAGAAGAGAATGAGCCAGGAATAAGGAAAACACAGTTGTCTTAAGTCTCACTGGTTTCGTTACTAGTGCATATAAAAGCAGCTTGCCACCAGGGAATTCAGAGACAGTGATATGGATAAAATTAGGTGAAAAAAAAGATAAGAGCTAAGGACTGAAAAAGGGAATAAAAATGGCAACAAAAGACCTTATGAAAAACAGGATAAAAGGCTGCAGAGCTGGGCGTGGTGGCTCATGCCTATAATCCCAGCACTGTGGGAGGCTGAGGCAGGAGGATTACTTGAGCCCAGGAGTTTAAGAACAGCCTGCACAATACAGTGAGACCCTGTCTCTACAAAAATTTAAAAATCAGCAGAGCGTGGTGACACATGCCTGTAGTCCCAGCTACGTGAGAGGCTGAGGTGAGAGGATCTCTTGAGCCCTGGAAACAGGTTGCCGTGAGCTGAGCACGTTACTGTACTCCAGCCTGGGCAACAGCACGAGACCTTGTCGCAAAAAAAAAACAAAACCAAAAAAACAAACTGAAGAATAAGGCAAGGTTGGGCTGTTTGTGATTCGTATTTTTCAATTTGAAAATTTTCATTTGGGAGGTTTCCAGTTTTCCAACTCCTTGGAAAAAAAGTGTAAGACCATTAAAGAACAACAAATCTACAATATTTTAATTTATTATACCATCAGCTGTGTGAAGACCAGGGAAGATCTAAATGTCAACCCTCCCAAATTTGTACCTCTAGCCCAGATGCTTGACTAAGCACCAGATTTGTACATTTGTGAATTCTTCATTTCCACACTGATACATAAAACGGACTTCAAACTTAACACATCAAAATGGAACTTCTTTTCCCCTAGCCTGTGTTTGCTGCAGGCTTCTGTATCTCAGTAAATGGCATAAGCCAAAAACCAAAGTGTTATTATTGATACCCTTTGCTCCCTACTCCAAATATCTAATCCATTCCAAAGTGAAGTACTTCCAATATGTACCTTAAAATTATCCTTTCTTTCTCTTTCCAGGGTCACTTCCTAGACCAAGCTACCATTCTTTCTCATGTGGACTATTGCAACTGGGATACTACTTCAGTCCTTGTTCTCCTCCAGAGTGATCTTTTAAAATCTGATCAAGCCACTTCTCTACTTAAAACTTTAAAATGCTTCAGGTGTATTTATTTATTATTATTTTTAATCCCCCATCTCCCAAGCTTCAATTTCCATGTATTTAGAATAAAATCCAAAACCCTTACTCAGGCCTCTAAGGTGCTATAAAATCTGGTCCCTACCTACTTTTCCAACCTCATCTTGCACTATTCCCTCTTGATTTAGTCCAATCACACTAGGTTTCTTTCAATAAACGTGTCAAGCTTCTTCCAAGTTCAAGGTGTTTGTATAGTTTGTTCCCCCCAAGTAATACCCTTTTAAAAAAATCTTTGCCCAGCAGGCTCTTGCCCATCCTTCAGATCCCAGCTTAATATCACTCCTAATCAAAAGTAGGTACCCTGTTATTCTTTCGTAGCACCCTTTTTCCTCCATTGCATTTATCACAATTTACAATTTGATACAAATAATTTTATATTTAACATCTATGCCCCCACTAGACTGTAAGCTGCACAAGAGCAGGGGGACGACTTTTTTCCACCTTGCAAACTCAGAATCTGGCACAGTCGTTTTCAATACATTGACTGATACACTAAAAATAATTAGCAGGATGGGTGTGGTGGCTCACGCCTGTAATCCCAGCACTTTGGGAGGCCGAGGCAGGCGGATCGCCTGAGGTCAGGAGTTCAAGACCAGCCTGATCAACATGGAGAAACCCCGTCTATACTAAAAATACAAAAAAATTAACTGGGCTTGGTGGCACATGCCTGTAATCCCAGCTACTCGGGAGACTGAGGCAGGAGAATCGCTTGAACCCAGGAGGTGGAGGTTGCAGTAAGACGAGATCATGCCATTGTGCTCTAGCCTGGGTGACAAGAGTGAAACTCCATCTCATAACAAACAAATGAAAACAAACAAACAAACAAAAAACCAATTAGCCTGTGGCCACAGTTCTCAAATAGTACACTCTGGGCACTACTACAAACTCACAAGGGTGCCATGGGATACCTCAAACTTTTGAGAAAAACACAGTAACACTCAACACAAGGATACTTACTACATGAATTACAAGCTTAAGACAGTTGCAATGTCAATATCAGACCATGATAAAATTCGTTCAATATCTTCATATCTCTGAGAAGCTGTTTCTGGCAGTTGCTGTTATAAAAAAGCAAGCACTACACAAAAATCAATATGAAATGGGAAATGAGAGTAGCAGTGTGCAATCGTGATTCCAAGGTTTGAGAAGCTATGCAGTGCCCAACAGACACATAGAGGTCTTTAGTAAGTAACTGTTGCTATTTAAGAATGAAATAATTTTTTTTTTTTTGAGACAAAGTCTCACTCTGTCGCCCTGGCTGGAGTGCAGTGGCACTATCTCAGCTCACTGCAACCTCCGCCTCCCGAGTTCAAGCAATTCTCCTGCCTCAAGCTCCCAAATAGCTGGGACTAGAGGTGCGTGCCACCACGCCTGGCTACTTTTTGTATTTTTTCAGTACAGACGGGGTTTCACCATATTGGCCAGGCTGGTCTTGAACTCCTGACTTTCTAATCTACCCACCTCGGCCTCCCAAAGTGCTAGGATTACGGGCTTGAGCCACCACGCCTGGCATATTTTTTCTTTTTTTTATATAGGGTCTCACTCCTGTTGCTGAGGCAGGAGTGCAGTGGTACAATTACAGCTTCATTGCAGCCTCGACCTCACAGGCCCAAGTGATCCTCCCACCTCATTTAAAAATTTTTTTGTATAAACAAGGTCTCACTATGTTGCCCAGGCTGGTCTTGAACTTATGGACTCAAGCAATCCTTCCAGAGCTGGGATTACAGGCATACGCCACTGCGCCTGGCCTTTTTATTTTCAAACAGTTACTAAGCGGTTATAAAAAATACTCATGTTGTTTGGGTATAACTATTTAACAAAACTATTAGGTATTTCTTTTGGCCTATGGGTGTCAAAAAAAATTTACTGATAATAACCAGTGTTGTTAAGGATGTAGAGAAACTGGAATCCTTGTACATTGCTGGAAAGAATGTAAAATGAGACAGCTGCTATGGAAAATGGTATGGTGGTTCTTCAAAAAATAAAAGAATTACCATATGATCCAGCAATCCCACTTCTGGGCATATACCCAAAAGAATTCAGAGCTGGGACTTGAACAGATCCATGTTCATAGCAGCATTATTCACAATAGTCAAAGGATGGCAGCAACCCAAGTGTCCATGGACAGATGGATAAACAAAATATTGTGGTATATGCATACAATGAATATTACTCATCTTTAAAAAGGAAGGAAATTCTGACACATGCTACAATATGGATAAACCTCGAAGACATTATGCTAAGTGAAATAAGCCAGTCACAAAAGCACAAATATTACATGAGTCTACTTGTATGAGGTACCAGTAGTAGTCAAATTCATAAAGTAGAATGATGGCTGTCAGGGGCTGAGGGATGAGGGGGATGGGGGAGGGAAGATGGAGAGTTAGTGTTGAATGTGTATAGAGTTTGAGAAGATGAAAAAGTTCTGGAGATGGATGTTGGTGATGGCTGTGGAACAATGGATATTCTTAATGCTACAGGACTGTATGCTTAAAAATAGTTAAAATGGTAAATTTTGTGTCATATATATTTTATCACAACAAAATTTTTTTTTTTTACTGAAACACTAAGACCACTATAAACTGAGAAAGTTTGGGGATCAATGTGCATAGAGTACCTAGATGACTCCTGTTAACTATTATTCACATGGATACAATTTTACCTCTTATTCCCAATGAGCATGATAACCATGTTGGAACTAGAGTGCTGCCGGGCATCCTCTAACCATGAGGTCAGGTGGTTGAAGGTTTCACGCCTACAGCAGAAAAATTTAGAATGTGGGTCAGAGACACATTTCAAAAGGCCAAAACAACTCCAAGCGTATACGAAAAGAGGGGAAGCCATACGTGTAAAGAAAAATATTAGAGAGGCCATTCCTAGTTAACATCCTTAACAGAATCAGTAGATAGAAAAAAAAAAAAAGCTTTAGAGGATTTAGGGAAGAATCTCCCTCCCATGCACCAGATCTGGCTCACCTTGTAATGTCGTACACCAGCAGTGCTCCAGCTGCTCCCCTGTAGTAGGAACGGGTGATAGAACGGAAGGATTCTTGCCCAGCCTTTCCCACCAACATGGCAACAAAAAATCCCAACAAAACCAGGTTATTTCCACAGAACCGACTTGATCACATGCCACCCTAATACAAAGGACTTAACTAAAAAAAGAATTTCTATTACGAAAAGAGAATTAGGGAAAGAAAACATGCCTGCCCGAGAAGAAACCCAAGTGGGAAATCAATATTTTTCTATGGGAGTGCATTGATATTTTGGGCAGTCACTTACTCTTCCTGAGAGACTGTCCATCAGATTAGTGGATGTTTAGCATCCTAGATCCCAGTCACTAAATACCTGTGGCACCCCAGTCAGCACGATAAAGACGATGAAGACATTTGCATACATTTCCCAATATCCTCATAAAAGAACAACTGGAAATAGGACTGGAAACGGAGTGTATGTCATTTTTTTCAATCCCAAATATGATATTGAACACACCATATTAATCTTTCTGTTCCCATTTCTTTATCTGTAAAAAGGAAAGTTATCTTAGAATGCCAAAACCTGGTCTAATAGAAATTTCATTCCAATGAATCAATATAAAAATTAGATTAAAAGCACTTCAACTGATTATCTTCTAACTGACCTTTAGTGTTCCACTGATAATGCAAGACTACCTAGATGTCCCTTGCTGGGCTTCTGTCATGGGAAATAGGAATAACAAACAGAGAAAGAAGCCCAGGGCCCAGCATAGAGTTTTCCTAGAAAAATCCAAATGTTCACACTCTAATCTCATTTCCAGTTGGACAAAGATATTAAGTTCTATTTAAAACTGAGTAATTTATTAATGCCCCCATAATACTGGGTACTTTTGCTTTCTTGATGGACTAGTTCTTTTTTTTTCCTTTAGGGAAAACAAAAACATTTTTTAAATAATATGAATACCCTGTACATTGAATCTATCCTATTAAGAAAGTTTTCACATTCTTGAAATAATTTATCCTTACATCCCTACATAACAGGAGGTAAGACTATAATTTATAGGTTACAAATGGGAGAATCATGATTAAGGATGTGGGAAAATAAATGGCTTTCTCATAGTATAATACCAGTAACAGTGGTAACACTAATTATAACACTGCAATAGTACTATAAACTACTTTTTGGCATATAAAATGTGCTACGAACTTTAAGAGACAATTACATATATTATTTCATTTACTTCTCTTAGCAACCCTGGGGCCGATATTATTATTCCCTTTTTTTTTTTCTTTTTTTTTTTGAGAGGGAGTCTCGCTCTGTTGCCCGGGCTGGAGTGCAGTGGCGCAATCTTGGCTCACTGCAACCTCCGCCTCCCAGGTTCAAGCAATTCTCCTTGCTTCAGCCTCCCAATTAGCTGGGATTACAGGCGCCCACCACCATGCCTGGCTAATTTTTTTGTATTTTTGGTAGAGATGGGTTTTCACTATGTTGGCTAGGCTGGTCTTGAACTCCTGACCTCATGACCCACCCGCCTCGGCCTCCCAAAGTGCTGGGATTACAGGCATGAGCCACCGTGCCTGGCTTATTATTTCCTTTTAAAAATGGGGAAAATGAGGCTCACACAAGTTTAATAAACGGCCCCAAATCATAAAGCTTATTAAGTGCTAGAGCCATAATTTAAACTTAGGATCTTAGTACTTCCTAGGACAAAAACTTGTCCTCTTAGCCACTATATCATATAACCTAAACTGGGGTTTGTAGGTGAGAAGAGAATTCCAGTATACTAACTCTAAGGTTAATTTTCCAACAACAGAAGAATCTCTTTCTATAAGAATCATAGAAACATGTGAGTGAGTTGCATAGCTGTTAGAGAATCAGAATCGGAAAATAAAAACTAATTCTGAAGTCCCCTGTCATAATACTAATAATATTTTAAGATTAAAAAAATACTTACAGTTTTATATTTACTCCCTAATGTCTTACGTTATTTGGGTCTTGTTTTCCTTTTAGCACTTACTTTTTCTCCTCTTCTGCTATGGTTGTAAGCCTCCCTCTACTTCCCTCACAGCCTACCAAGAACTAAAAGGGAAAGTTTGAGGGAGGCCCACATGATGGTTCAATCACATGGCAGCATTTATCTTTAGCAGCTGAAAATGCTATCAGTGGGTCATGAGAAAACCTTTTAAAATCAAATCACTCACCAGGCGCAGTGGCTCATGCCTGTAATCCCAGCACTTTGGGAGGCCAAGGCGGGCAGATCACGAGGTCAGGAGTTTGAGACCAGCCTGACCAACATGATGAAACCCCATCTCTGCTAAAAATACAAAAAAAAAAAAAAAAAAAAAAAAAAAAAAATAGGTGGGCGTGGTGGCGCACGCCTGTAATCCCAGCTACTCAGGAGGCTAAGGCAGGAGAACTGCTTGAGCCCGGGAGGCAGAGGCTGCAGTAAGCCAAGATGGCGCTATTGCACTCCAGCCTGGGCAACAGAGTGAGACTCTGTCTAAATTAAAAAAAAAAAAAAAATCACTCTACTTCATCTCATTCCAGTTCATGAGCCAAAGTTTGTGAACCAGTAAGCTAGAAAGAGTGAGCAGTTCAATTTGGTCTTGTCTATATCAGTCTCAGGTATCCTTGGCCATCCCCAGTAAAAAAATCTGAAGCAGCAGGCTGGGCACCGTGGGTCATGCCTATAATCCCAGCACTTTGGGAGGCCAAGGTGGGCAGATCATTTGAGCTCAGGAGTTTGAGACCAGCCTGGGCAACATGGTGAAACCACGCCTCTAAAAAAAATACAAAAAATTAGCCAGGTGTGATGGCACACATCTGTAGTCCCAGCTACTTGAGGGGCTGAGGTGGGAGGACTAGTTGAGCCGGGGAGGTTGAGGGTGCAATGAGTGGAGATGGTGCCACTGCACTCCAGCTTGGGTGACAGAGCAAGACCCTGTCAAAAAAAAAAAAAAAAGAAAAGAAAAGATGCAGCAGCAACGAACTAAGATGAAGGTTTTTTTTTCCTTTTTTTTTTTTGAGAGGGAGTCTCGCTCTGTTGCCCAGGCTGGAGTGCAGTGGCATGATCTTGGCTCACTGCAACCTCCGCCTCCCAGGTTCAAGTGATTCTCCTGCCTCAGCCTCCCCAGTAGCTGGCATTACAGGCGCCCGCCACCACACCTGGCTAATTTTTTTATTTTTAGTAGAGATGGGGTTTCACCATGTTGGCCAGGCTAGTCTCAAACTCCTGACCTCAGGTGATCCGCCTGCCTCAGCCTCCCAAAGTGCTGGAATTACAGGCATGAGCCACGACACCCGGCCTAGATGAAGGTTTGATAAGATAATTAATAGCTTTCTAATCTCTCCCAAGTGGAAGCATCATACTATATTAAGATATACAGTTTGAAGTATCAACTCCTAGAAAGTCAGATACACCATTTTCCTAAGAATCAAAATGCATTCCTTCCAATGAACGGTTTATTAAGGAAAAAAAAATTTTAATTGCATTCCAAAGTAAAATACAAACCAATTTGATATTATTTGATCAGTATTTTATATTACAGTAAAATACCTATTCATTAGCATGATTATTTAGGAATACGTGTATACACACACACACACGATTTTTTAAAATATGCTTCTCTAAATCCACATAAATGCCAGAACAAAGACAACAAAAACCTTTGGACAACCTGATCTCTTTAAAATACCTATCACAGTAATCCCTAAACATTTTCATGTAGGATGGGTTTGGAAGTAAGTGAGAGAATGGGTCAATAAAGTGGGAAGCTAAGATGGGTAAACAATGGGCAGGAGATCAGGGCTGACAACGGAGAAATGACCAGACTTACCCAAAAGGCGACAGACTAGATGGACACATTATTATACGTATGAATCTTTTAAAATTTTCAAAATATATAGAAAACCACAGTGTTCTGAAACTGGTTCCTTTTTATGATTTAGCAAATATTAATCTCAAGACAATTTTAAGAGGGAACAGAAAAGAACTAGGCCAGTTGGATGACCATGTAGTTCTTAAGGATTCTGTCCAAAGTCGTGGCTCTCAACTTTCCTTTTTTGTTTGTTTTTCTATGTATGCATTCTCAGCAGAATCAAGCTCTCAACTTTCTTACTTTCATGATCCAACCATGTCCCATATGAGTGCTTAAAAAAAAAAAAAAAAGGCCATTGCCATGACCATTCCATTAAATGGCACTTATTGGGTTTTTTTCCCCAGCATCAAAACATTCATCTGGGCCAGGTGCCAAGGCTCAGGCCTGTAATCCCAACACTTTGGGAGGCTGAGGAGGGCGGATCACTTGAGTCCAGGAATTCGAGACCAGCCTGGGAAACATGTTGAAACCCCCGTCTCTACAAAAAATACAAAAATTCCCCAGTGCAGGGGATCAGGGGATAGATCTGTAGAGATAGACGGATAGATGGATGGATAGACAGATGAACTTAAGCTTCAACTACTTTTAAGACATACACTTGCGTGTGGTGAGGAGCATTGGGGAGGGAAGGAGAGGAAAGGGAGGAAAAGAAAAAAGGAAAAATAATGTGTACACTGTTTGCAGATATAATGGCTTTAGCTCTCAGTTCAGAGAAGAAACAGAATCACATAGTAAGAAGTAAGCAAAAAAAGTAAGAGATTTTAGCCAAATATTATTTACTAGCTATTTACTAGCTCCCTTTAACTAGAATGGAGACTAAGGTATTATTTTACTTAGGGGGAAAAATGTACAAATCAAATGAGATAATGCACATGAAAGCAATTTATCTGGATAGGGCAAAACTACACTAAGCCAAGCTAAATTTTGGCATTACTACATGTATCAAATTTGAAAATATGTACAAGCTTTTGACAGAGTTTCCATTTCTGGGCAGATATTCCACAAAAATTCTCAAACATTGGCATAAAAACTTTGTAAATAAGGATGTTCAGGCTGGGCACTGTGGCTCACGCCTGTAATCCCAGCATTTTGAGAGGCCTAGGTGGGTGGATCACCTGAGGTCAGTTCAACACCGGCCTGGCCAACATGGCAAAACCCCATCTCTATTAAAAATACAAAAAACGTCCGGGAGTGGTGGCTCACACCTGTAATCCCGGCACTTTGGGAGGCTGAGGCGGGCGGATCACGAGGTCAGGAGATCGAGACCATGCTGGCTAACACGGTGAAACCCCCTCTCTACTAAAAATACAAAAAATTAGCCAGGCGTGGTGTCAGGCGCCTGTAGTCCCAGCTATTCGGGAGGCTGAGACAGGAGAATGGCACGAACCCGGGAGGCGGAGCTTGCAGTGAGCTGAGATCACGCCACTGCACTCCAGCCTGGGCAACAGAGTAAGACTCCGTCTCAGAAAAAAAATACAAAAAATACAAAAAACATTAGCCACGTGTGGTGGTGGGTGCCTGTAATCCCGGCTACTCAGGAGGCTGAGGCTGGAGAATTGCTTGAACCCAGGCGGTGGAGGTCGCGGTGAGCCAAGATTACGCCATTGCATTCCAGCCTGGGTGACAAGAGTGAATCTCTGTCTCAAAAAAAAGAATGCTCAGTGAAATTCTGCAATACTTAAAAATTGGAAAACAACCCAAATTTCTATCAGTAGGATGATGGTTACATAAATCATGCTACTGACATTCCATGACTACGCAGTGGTTAAAAGGAATGAGACAGATCTATATGTATTGATATGGAAAGGTCCCCACAACATAGAGATTGTTTAATATACAATCTAAGTCACACAACTAGGTCTACTCTGTCACGATTCTATACATGTAAACACTAATAAAAACAAAACTACTACCATATATTTCTATGTGTTTACATGTATGTATCTAAATGCATAGAAAAAGTCTGAAAGCATACACGTGGAATCATCAGTAATGATTTCCCTGCTAGAGTACCAACCAAGATGGGAAGGGAGAAAGAGTTTATGTATCAAAAGGGGACATTTACTTTCTATTCTATAAATTTATATTGTTTGATTTTATTTTTACTAGAATAAACTATTACTTGGATCGTTTACAACACAAAGATACAGCATCCAGAATTTGTAACTGTAACAGAATCAAAAACTTCTCTCTTTGATTTCACCTTTCCCCTACTTTATCCCCACCATTAGTTCCACCCTCATCGCCCCTTTCCTTTGCATCAGCTTTTCTTGTTATACTTGGATATTGGTCAGAGACTAAATTATTTTGTACTCTCACCGTATCCCAGATTTGCAGTTTGATTTGTTTTCCATCAATGTTGACCATACGAGCTCCAAACTCCACACCTGTCGGTAAAGACCGAGAGAAAGAATGTGATTCTCACGAACAGCAGCCACGTGGAGTGGGAGGTTCCTGCCTTTCCTCAATGTGTTATAACCATCCTTTGTCTGAACTCAATGCCACTAATTCCATTATTGCTGCCTATTTGCTCCAATTAATTTTGTGTTTCTTAAGGTTCTTCATTTCCCTTCTAGAATTAAAAAATTGTGCTCAATGACCTCAGGAATGTAACCAAAAAGCAGATATGGGAAAATAAAACCAATTAAGAAGTCAAATTTAAAAAGGTGAATACTTTTTTAGCAATGTTAGGTTAATGCTTAAATTTGGTTAGGTAACATTTAGTTTTGTAACTTTTCCAAAAAACTAAAAATTTTGGAAATATTTCCTGACACTTTCTCAGTCACTCTTTAGTCTCTACTTAAAACAATATTTATTTTTTTGCAATTCCAGATGTTTTTCTTTAAGAAAAGAGCCTAAGAAATAGGTTCTCAGAAACAATACTTTTTTTTTTTTTTTTTTGAGATGGAGTCTCGCTCCGTCACCCAGGCTGGAGTGCAGTGGTGCGATCTCAGCTCACTGCAGCCTCCACCTCCTGAGTTCAAGTGATTCTCCTGCCTCAGCCTCCCAAGTAAGTACCTTACAGGCACACGCCACAACGCCCACCTAATTTTTTTAACAATACATTTTACATTTCCAATAATTGCCAGAGGCACAATTAAGCATTGTTGCCTTGTTAAGCATTGTATCATTAGCCCCTATCGCAAAGTGAGAATTCGCTCAATATTCCCTTTAAAATACCTTTTAGTTGATACTGCCAAATCCTTTTCTAACCCCATCAATTATTTGACTCTAAATAAATCCGTTAGGAACAGTGGTAGCTTCAGGTTTCCATACAGGTGGGACTTGGAAGTAGCAATATGGTAAGAATGGGGATGTAGGGGTTTATTTAGAAACTGCATTTGCATGGCAAGAAAGCTAGTTTCATATATGTTGTTTATTTGGACTGGGGTTACGGAGATAACGAAGAGGGGGTAGTTAAAAGCCTCTTCAGGCCATGCCTTATCACAAACGTGTGGGAAAGGTTAATATTTTCCAGGATCGCCAGTGCGTTTGAGGAACTGTTAACACACTCTTTCATTTAAAAGGAAAGTTTTTAGTTTTATTTGCCTATTAATTCTAAGGCAGGGATGACTCCTCAATTTGCTTCTTCACCAATATAAAAAATGTCCATGTATTGGTGTTTACTTTTTAAAAGTAAGGCTGGTATTAATTTACCTCAAAGCACAGATGAGTTCATAAATAAGCAGTTATGCTTTCGTGGGATTTTCCATAAACATACAAATTGTATTTGAAAAAAAATTATATGACGAGTCTATACCTCACACTCTAAAAAGTTACCTTTCAATTATATACTCTCCCTTACACTACTCCCCACATATCAACGTTTCATTGGTCACTTCATTAACATAAGTTTGGACTAGTTTAAAGTAGTGAGGGGTAACTTTTTACTTCGAACACTGAAGGCTGCTAACTTTCCACTTTAGCAATTTAGCTAGTCAGGTTTTATCATCTGTTCTGGAACAAGTAGATGCACTTACCTATTGTGAGGTCGTGGACAGGCTGGAACCGCTTATCTGTAAACTGCAGGAGGAGACATGACTTCCCCACACCTGAAAGAGAAAGCACACTCCCGGAATCACGCAGCCCTGGAACACCTTCCAGAGTATGGACTTCCCGGACCAGAGAAGGGGGGCTCCCGAGCCCCGCCCCCGGCCGCCCCGAACCGCCCCGCCCGTCTCGAATCGCCCAGCCCACAAAGTGAGCCCCGCCCCCGCCACCCAATTTGGGAGCTTCGAATGCCCGCCCGAGCCTTGAAGGCGAACCACCTGAGGGTTACCTGTGTCTCCGATGATGATATACTTGAAGAGATAAGCATAAGTCATGGTGTCGCGTCCTCTGGGTTCCGGGTCCGCCCGACTTCTATAGCCACTTACCTCCGACCTCTCTAGCCACTCAATCTACCGATCTTCTTCTTCTCCCCCTTCCCCCCGCTCCCCCGCCCCTCCGGCTCCTCTAGCCCAGATCACGTCTCTATTGCACTCCCCGGAATCATCCTTAGGTCGGGAGTACCCTACGCCACCTCCAGGGACGCTTCTAGCACTTCTACATGCCCTTATCCCTCCAAACTCCAGGGGGCGATAGCCCAGCGCCTGACTCTCTGCAGCCCCACGGCGCTCCTTCCAATCAGCAGAGAGAACACACGTCCTTGCGGAAGTGACGGCAGTTCCGAGTCCAGTGGGGGCGGTGGGAGCGATGAGGGTCTGAGACGGTGGGAGCGGTTGTGTGAAGATGGAGGTAGGAACCTGATAGCTAAGAAGGCTGGCGAGAGAACGCGGCCGACCGGGTTGAAGCAGGGACGGGAAGCCGGGCGGAGAGGCGACTGACGGGAGAGGAGAGAGAGCGGGGTTTGGGGAGTGTTGTCAGAATGTCAGGGTCAAAAGCCATCGCTCCAAGCTGACTCCCTGCTCCCCCTAACTTATCCCCGCGACTTTCTTTTGGTTTCCAGTTTCCCGGAGGAAATGACAATTACCTGACGATCACAGGGCCTTCGCACCCCTTCCTGTCAGGGGCCGAGGTGAGCCAGAGCTGCCGACGCCGCGGGGGTAGGGCCTGAGGCAGCGGTGGGGTAGGGTAGTGGGGAGGAGAGCACGGACTCCGGGGACGGGGGCTGGGAACCAAGGGCCGCAATTGGTGTTTAGAGAAAAGTGGCGGTTGCTTCTAGAGCCTGTGGGGACTATCTGGGGAAGTCTTGGGAAGTTGCTGTCATCAGAAAGCAAGGTATTGGAAAGAGATAACCTGTTTAAAGAGAAAAGGGATTCTGGATTAGAAGACAGAGTGGAATTGTCTCCTTTCTCTGGGGAGAAATAGCTACAGTAATCTTAGGGGATCGCAGTGGAAAGAAAATGTTTCAGCAGCTGAAGAAATTGGGGTTGAGGGGAGGAGCTTATTGGTTTTCTTTTGTTTTGAGACAGAGTCTCGCTTTATCGCCCAGGTTGAAGTGCAGTGGTGCGATCTCGGCTCACTGCAACCTCTGTCTCCTGGGTTCAAGCGATTCTCCTGCCTCAGCCTCCCGAGTAGCTGGGATTACAGGCGTGCGCCACCACGCTCGGCTAATTTTTGTATATTTAGTAGAGATGGCAGTTTCACCATATTGGCCAGGCTGGTTTCGAACTCCTGACCTCAGGTGATCCACCCACCTCGGCCTCCCGGAGTGCTGGGATTACAGGCCTGAGCCATTGCGCCCGGCCTAAATTTCCTACTTTGATAAAAAATTTGTGGTTACCTTTACCTACATGGTGTCAGCTTGTTTTGCTAATGTCAGGAGGAAAGGAAATAGCTGCTAGAGAATATAAAAGAGTTGAGTAGGACATGTGTTTCAATTTGCCAGTGACTCAGACGTTGGGCACATTACTTCATCTTTGTATGTCACAGTTTCCCCAGCTGTCAAACAGCTGTAATTATAGTTTCTTATGCTGTTTTAAAGTAGAAGTAAAGGTTATGATGAAACCCTGAAGTGTTCGTTAAAAAAGTTTGGTTGAAATATTGTCATAATATAGATATGTATCACTTGTTTGGGAGAGGCAAAAGAGAATGGTGGAACAGACAAAAATTTCTGTCTTTGAGAAACTGAAGTCTTGAACCATCTGCCATTTTTTGAGGACTTTTATATTTATTTTCAAAAGTGGTGTGGACCATTTGCATCAGTTTTTTTTACCAAGAATTGTCAGTGGCTGTTGCATGGGCTTATCCTATAATCCTAACGTTTTCATGGATGAAAATGGGGTTGACAAGGGCCAGTTGCTAGTTTAACTTTTTTTTTCTTTCTTTTTTTTTTTGAGACAGTCTCCCTGTAGCCCAGGCTGGAGTGCAGTAGCACGATCTTGGCTCACTGCAGCCTCCACCTCCTGGGCTCAAGTGATTCTCCTGCCTCAACCTCCCAAGTAGCTGGGAATACAGGTGTGCGCCACCACACCCAGCTAATTTTTTTTTTTTTTTTGAATTTTTGTAGAGACGGGGTTTCACCCTGTTACCCAGGCTCTTTAACTCCTGGCCTCAAGTGATCTGCCCGCCTCAGCCTCCTAAAGTGCTAGGATTACAGGCATGAGCCAATGTGCCCAGTGCCAGTTTAACTTTTTTGTTGCTTTTATTTATTATTCTCATAAGCAGGATAAGTGTGAATCTAGTATGCAGCAAACTTTGAAATGATATAAAACCTAAATCTGGGCCCAGCACAGTAGCTCGTGCCAGTAATCCCAACTGTTTGGGAGGCTGAGGCAGGAGAATTGCATGAGCCCAAGAGTTCTAGACCAGCTTGGGCAACGTGATCAAACTCTGTCTCTATAAAAGATAATAATAATTAATTTTAAAAAAACAGGTGAGGCGGGGTGCGGTGGCTCATGCCTGTAATCCCAGCACTTTGGGAGGCCAAGGAGGGCGGATCACGAGGTCAGGAGTTCGAGACCAGCCTGACCAACATGTGAAACCCCATCTCTACTAAAAATACAAAAATTAGCCGGGTGTGGTGGTGCGCGCCTGTAATCCCAGATACTCAGGAGGCTGAGGCAGGAGAATCGCTTGAACCTGGGAGGCAGAGGTTGCAGTGAGCCGAGATTGCGCCATTGTACTCCAGCCTAGGTGAACGAGTGAGACTCCATCTCAAACAAACAAACAAAAACAGCTAAAATCTGCTTGGTGCTTTGCACTCTTAGTTGCCATTTTCTTCTAAGTGAGATCTTCATTTTTAAATTTCATTATTTGAGTGTTGCAAATCTCACATTGGACTTACCTGCATGAAATTCCCAATTTCTCCTCAATCAGGTCTCCACAGTTTAAATTTTGTTATTTAGAGTGTTATAAATTTTACGTTGGCCTCGTTCATGAGAAAGTGCATTTTAAAATTAAATACAAGTAGCTTTCAAGTTTACCCACTGTTCTTAATTCTCTACCCCATTTATGAAGTTGAACAATCAAGAGGTAGCCACATTTAAAAAAGTGGTTCCTTTTTGCTTTTGCTTTTGTTTTTAATAGAGACAGGATCTCACCATGTTGTCCAGGCTGGTCTCAAATTCCTAGGCTCAAGCGATCCTCCCACCTTGGCCTCCCAAAGTACTAGTATTGTAGGTGTGAGCCACCATGCCAGGACAGAAGTGGTTCCTTTTCACATCAAGAAACTTCCCATGAAGAATCATGGTGTATAGTGAAGAAAAGTAAATTTAAAGTATTAACAAGTAATATTATAATAAAAAAGAAAGAAACTTTCCAGGTTTGAATCTGTCCTTTGTTTTTGTTTTTGTGACTTAAGAAATCTTATTTTATTTTGCCAAGAAACTGATAGCTAAGTTTTAGGCTCA
The DNA here is from genome assembly GCF_000001405.40 of Homo sapiens. NCBI lineage: Eukaryota > Metazoa > Chordata > Mammalia > Primates > Hominidae > Homo > Homo sapiens. The sequence goes on from NC_000014.9 coordinate 21,480,341, forward strand.
ATTTCAGTAGCTTCCTTTGCCTAAGGCTCCTGTCATTGTTAACAGTTCTCCATTTTCTCATTACAACTTCTACACCTTCCCTTTCCCTTGGTAGCGGTGGTAATGGTTGTTTATAACTTTTATTTTAATGGGGTTATGGTTTTACTGTGAGCCATTCCAAATATATCTTAGAAGTAGGTAAAGGTAATATTAAAAAAAAGTTTTTTTTTACAAGAGAGGAAATTTTTAGACTTTGCCGACCCTCCCCCAAAAAAGTAGTTGCCCATAAAAAGTTCTAACCATTAAAAAAAATGAATAATTGGACTCCACTGTAATTAGGAACTTCCTTTCATCAAAAAACATGATTAACAAATAGGCATTCCACAGACTGGGAGAAGATATTTACAATACATATATCTAACTCATATTCAGAATATATCAAGTACTTCTGCAGAGTAAAAGAAAGAATCCAGTTTAAAAGGAAGCAAAGGCCAGGCGTGGTGGCTCATGCCTGTAATCCCAGCACTTTGGGAGGCTGAGGCGAGTGGATCACCTGAGGTCGGGAGTTCAAGACCAGCCTGAGCAACATGGAGAAACCCCTTCTCTACTAAAAATACAAAATTAGCCGGGTGTGGCAGCGCATGCCTGTAATCCCAGCTACTCAGGAGGCAGAGGCAGGAGAATCGCTTGAACCTGGGAGGTGGAAGTTGTGGTGAGCTGAGATTGTACCATTGCACTCCAGCCTGGGCAACAAGAGAGAAACTCCGTCTCAAAAAAATAAAATAAAAGGAGGCAAAAGATTTGAACAGTCACTTCACAAAAGAAGACGTCCAAATTGCCAGTGAGAGTTGGCAAGGATGTGGATAACTTTTTTTTTGAGACAGAGTCTTGCTCTGTCACCCAGGCTGGAGTGCAGTGGTGCGGTCTCGACTCACTGCAACCTCCACCTCTCACGTTCAAGCAACTCTCGTGCATCAACCTTCTGAGTAGCTGGGATTACAGGCATGTGCCACCACACCTGGCTAATTTTTGTATTTTTGGTAGAGACCGGTTTTCACCATGTTGGCCAAGTTGGTCTCAAACTCCTGACCTCAAGTGATCCACCTGCCTCAACCTCCCAAAGTGCTGGGATTATAGCTGTGAGCCACCTTGCCCAGTGGATGTGGATAACTTAATTATTGCTAGTGAGAGTGTAAGTTAATTGAGCCACTGGAAAACTAGCAGTACCTACTAAAGATAAACATGCCCCCCTAACCTATGACCAGGTAAATTCCACTCCATGATATGTACACAACAGAAATGATTGCATATGTTCACCAAAAACATGTTCACAACAACTTTATTCTTACTAGCTTAACCCTGAAAACAACTCATGTCTATCAACAGAAAAAAATGGTGTATTTGTGAAAAGGAATACTACACAGATATAAAAAATTAAATTATAAATGCAATTGGATAATCTAAACAATATTTTGTTGAGTAGAAAAAGACAGACATAAAAGAGAAGACACTATATTCGTTCATATTTTTTAATGAGGGTCAAGAATAGGCAAAACTGAACTATCAAAATAGTGATACCAGTTGTGAAGGGAAGGAAGTATTCACTGGAAAGGGGCACAAGGAAATGTTCTGCATCTTTGATCTGGATAGTGATAACTTGGATGTTTGCATATGTAAAAAATCCATTAAGCTATACACTTAAAATTTATGTACCTTACATAAGTTGTATATCAATGAAATAAGAAATAGTAATAATTTCAAAAGAGTAGCAGTCCAGAGAGAGCATTGCCTGAGGCGGAAAGTTCTATGATCTGAAGGCAATTTAATCTTTCTGTTTCTCTTTTTCAGGTTGGCTCTAATATAGTGGTATTATGCTTAGAGCACATTGGGGAAATAATTAGGCATAAAGGTACCCATCCTTCAGTAGGAAAAGTAACTAACATTAGAACCAGTTCATTATTTCTGGCTAAATAGGTAAAATTTTCACTACTACATCAGTTTTTAAGAGCAGTTATTTAAATGACCCATAGTACCAGCGTATTGTTGAATAAATAGGTGTTGGATTAAAATAAATTTCTCTAAAGTGAATGATCTATATAATAAGCTAAAGAAATAATAGATTGTATGTTTTGGGATCAGAGAATGAAAAAAGGGAGGGAAATGGTATTTTTGATTTTTTGGTTCTCTTGATATTTAAGCATCTTTGCTTATAAACTGTAATTCCCAAACCAGCCCCTCCTTCAAAAAGGCCCAGGAATTGAACAAAGGAGGAAAGGAAAGCTAAGTTAGAAGGTAACTGCATATCATGTTCCTGTTTTCTCTTTCTGTGTCCAAACCACTTCTTTTTAATATTTGCTTCAGTTTTAGTTTTGTTTTATATTTAACAGTCTAGAGTGTGATCTGGTTATGTAATCCGCTAAAATAAAGTAAGTTTAGGTATTCATTTTTGGATTTTACCCATAATTTTACAGATCATTTGTAGTGAAAAAGATTTTAGTGAATCTCTACTTTTACTATAGCATGTGGTTTACCCTATCCTTTTTTTTTAACCTTCTGTATTCTTGATAATTGTAGTTATCTTACTATTCATACTTAAAGGAAGAAATAAAACAGAACCCAGAAAACCACCATGAAAGCCATAGGTACTGAATAACAAAGCTTTTACACATCCCAAGGGGTGGTGTATAGAAAGAATGCCTTGTCGATCCTACATAATGGAATCTCAACATGTCTAATTTTTTTATCATTTCCCAGTTCATTTTATGTAGCCATGTCTAATTTTTTAGTGTACAAGGAGAACATTCCAGATGGTTTATGAGGGGTAGTCACTTGTGGAACACTGGTCCCTTGTTTTGGATATGAATTTTTATCCTTTTGGGGTTCTCATTAACAAATAGTATCATTTTTATATCCTGACAAAGTTGCTGTTTTGTTGTGGTAAGCAGAAAAGGATAGGCATCTTTGCTTTGCCAAAGCAATCTGTATCTTGAAAATTTTGGAAACTACTATTTTACTATTAGTCTAGTACAGTAAATGTTTCCCTTGATCCTTCTTCCTGTTCCTATAACTTTTTTTTTTTTTTTGGTGTGAGAATTTGGTAAAAATCTTTGTACCTTCTACCTTAAAAATGCTCACGTAAACCTAAACTGAAATATCAGAAAGAGTCATGGACTGGAAGTTAAGAACTTCCACACAATAACAAAAATTATGGGCCAGACACAGTGGCTCACACTTGTAATCCTAGAACTTTGGGAGGCCAAGGTGGGAAGATCACTTGAGCCCAAGAGTTCAAGGCTGCAGTGAGTGGTGATGGAGCCATGCACTCAGCCTGGGCGACAGGGTAAGACCCTGTCTCAGAATTAAAAAAAACAACAACAAAACAACATACATAAATACATGATTTGTGTACTACTGAGAAAAGTTCAGTTCTTGGGGAAAGTTTCAGTTTTTCCCATCAAGAACTGCGTGGTATTTTTTGTTATTTGTGTGTGTGTGTGTGCGCGTGTGAGACAGAGTCTTGCTCTGTCATCCAGGCTGGAGTGCAGTGATGTGATCTTGGCTCACTGCAGCCTTCAACTCCTGGGTTCAAGCGATTCTCGTGCCTCAGCCACCTGGGTAGCTGGGATTACAGACGCACACCACCACACCCAGCTAATTTTTGTATTTTTAGTAGAGATGGGGTTTTCCATGTTGGCCAGGCTGGTCCCGAACTCCCGACTTTTCAAGTGATCCACCCACCTTGGCTTCCCAAAGTACTGGGATTACAGGTGTGAGCCACCACTACCAGCTGAGAACTGTGTGTTCTTATGCTCCGTGTGCTACTTATATCTCAGACAACGACCAGATTTTTTACCATACCAAGTAAAATAGTAAGGAGAAGGGAAACTGTACATATATCTTTTTGTCTTTTAGGAAACTTTTACAAATGTGATTCAGAGATTGGGCATTTCACAGGCACACTTTTTTCTCCCTAGTTTCTGCTAGCTGGAAATTTTCTTTCTAGCAATGTCTTTTTTTTTTTTTTTTTTTTTTTTTTTTTTTTTTTTTGAGACAGAGTCTTGCTCTGTCACCCGGGCTGGAGTGCAGTGGCACAATCTCGGCTCACTGCAGCCTCTGCCTCCTGGATTCAAGTGATTCTCCTGCCTCAGCCTCCTGATGTAGATGGCATTACAGGCACCTGCCACCACACCTGGCTAATTTTTGTATTTTTAGTAGAGATGGATTTTCGCCATGTTGGCCAGGCTGGTCTCGAACTCTTGACCTCAGGTGGTCCACCCACCTCGGCCTCCCAAAGTGCTGAGATTATAGGCATGAGCCACGGCACCCGGCCTTTATTTTCTTTCTTTTTCTTTTTTTTTAGACATGGTCTTGGTCTGTCGCCCAGGCAGGATTGCAGTGGTGCAGTCTTGACTCACTGTGACCTCTGACTCCTGAGTTCAAGTGATCCTCGTGCCTCAGCCTCTCGAGTAGCTAGGATTATAGGTGTGTGCCACCATGCCTGACTAATTTTTTGTTCTTTTGGTAGAGACGGGTTTCACTGTGTTGGCCAGGCTGGTCTCGAACTCCTGGCCTCGTGTGATCCGCCCACCTGGGCCTCCCGAAGTGCTGGGATTACAGGCGTGAGCCACTGCTCCCAGCCTAATGTCTTCATTAAACCAGAATTAGAGGCTGGGCGCTGTGGCTCATGCCTGTAATCCCAACAGTTTGGGAGGTCAAGGCAGGGTGATGGCTTGAGCCCAGGGGTTCAAGACCAGTCTGGGCAATATGGCCAGACCCAATCTCTACAAAAAATGCAAAAATTAGCCTGGCGTCATGGCCAGGCGTGGTGGCTCACGCCTGTGATCTCAGCACTTTGGGAGGCCAAGGAGGGCGGATCACCTGAGGTCGGGAGTTCAAGACCAGCCTGACCAACATGGAGAAACCCCGTCTCTACTAAAAATACAAAATTAGCCGGGCATGGTGGCACATGTCTGTAATCCCAGCTACTAGGGAGGCTGAGGCAGGAGAATCACTTGAACCTGGGAGGCGGAGGTTGCGGTGAGCTGAGATCACGCCATTGCACTCCAGCCTGGGCAACAAGAGTGAAACTCTGTCTCAAAAATAAAATAATAATAAAAATTAGCCTGGCATGGTGGTGTGCACCTGTAGTTACTTGGGAACCTGAGGTGGGAGAATCACTTGAACCCAGGAGGCGGAGGTTGCAGTGAGCAATATCACGCCACTGCATTTTATCATGGGTGACAAAGGAGACTCTATCTCAAAAAAAAAAAAAACTGCCAGGTGCGGTGGCCCATGCCTGTAATCCCAGCACTTTGGGAGGCTGAGGCGGGTGGATCACGAGGTCAAGAGATCGAGGCCAACATGGTGAAACCCCGTCTCTATTAAAAAACACAAAAATTAGCTGGGCGTGGTGGCACACACCTGTAGTCCTAGCTACTCTGGAGGCTGAGGCAGGAGAACTGCTTGAACCCGGGAGGTGGAGGTTGTAGTGAGCCAAGATCGCGCCACTGCACTCCAGCCTGGGCCACGGAGCGAGACTCTGTCTCAAAAAAAAGAAAAAAAAAAAAAGACAGAAATGGTCATAATAGAAGAACATTTCAGGATCTAGAGGAACCTTGAGGTCTGTAAGCCCAACACTTTGGAGGCCGAGGCAGTAGGATTACTTGAGTCCAGGAGTTCGAGACTAGCCTGGGCAACACAGGGAGAGCTCGTCTCCACAAAAAATTTTAAAAATTAGCTGGGTGTGGTGGCACATACCTGTAGTCCCAGCTACTCGGGAGGCTGGGGCTGGAGGCTTGCTTGAGCCCAGGAGTTCCAGATCAGCTTGGGTGACAGGGCAAGACCCCATCTCAAAAAAAAAGAAAAGGAACCTTTAGGAACTCTATTTAAAGAATGCATTGTTCAATTATGAAAAAAAAAAATGTTGGTACCTATTGAATTTGATCTGAATCAGTTTATATTTACTATGCTATGTGTTAGATTGATAGAATTTAAAGTTTCTAAAATTCCAATTATCTGTTATAATTGGTTGGGGTGGGGGTAATCATTATTAGGATATTATCATTCATAACAATGGTTAATGATGGTGATTAAGCCATTATATGTATCAGGCAATGTGCTAAGATTTTATGCATGAAATCTCACTTATCCTCATAATAACCATATAAGGGGATTACCATTATAATTCCCATTTTACAGATGAAGAAAACTTGTTCAAGGTCTTGTACCCAGGTCTCTCTGACAGCAGTCTCTTGCTATTATTTATAAATGTCTATTGCTGTAAATGCCACCATTTAGATTTTAGTGTCAAAACAGAACCATAGCAGTTCACATCTTAATCAGACATTGTCTGTTAGCTGCATGAGTGGTGGCCTCATTCAGAAAAGAAAGAATGTGTTATTATTGACCTAGTTGGACTCAGAGGAAGAGATTGGGTCTTTAGCCAACTGGAGTAATCCTTTTCCTCTCTTAGAGAGAAGCTTGGTCAGAGCAAGACTAGCATTTTTGGCATTGTTGAGGTTTTCTGAAAATCCTATACTAATGGGAATCTTTATTTGTTGTTAACATTATAATTTCTAAAGTGGAGAAGAAGTAGGAAACTCTGCAAATATTTTAGAGGGGGTAAAGTTCCCATGACAGTACATTTTAGCATCTGTTTGAAAGGAACCTAAAACAACAAAGTATAATTGGCTGGCTGACAGCGAATTTCTGTGACCTAACAGTTTAGATGTAATAATTGTGAAATAACTGCTCTATTAGAATCTTTAGAGAGAGATTTCAAGAATCATAGTAAACAGGTTATAAAGGCTATGTCCTAAGTAATGGTACTGAAAGAATTTTTCATTAGAACCATAGGCATAATTTAAGACAAAAGAGACGGTAATGGTAGAAAAGAGATAAAAGAATTGAAAATTGTGACTGATGTTAGCAGCCTTGAATGTACCAAATGACCAAGGGTATCAGAAGAGAGATTGGTAAAAATAATAGGTTCTAAGAAATTGATTATAAAATAGGATCCTAAGCAGAAAAAATGCATCCTGAGAATCTCTAGTACCCCATTATGTTCTTCACTTAGTAGTATGCCATTTCTCCTCTTTTCACTAATTCTTTTCCCCCTTTTTTCCCCTACAGACATTCCATACACCAAGCTTGGGTGATGAGGAATTTGAAATCCCACCTATCTCCTTGGATTCTGATCCCTCATTGGCTGTCTCAGATGTGGTTGGCCACTTTGATGACCTGGCAGACCCTTCCTCTTCACAGGATGGCAGTTTTTCAGCCCAGTATGGGGTCCAGACATTGGACATGCCTGTGGGCATGACCCATGGCTTGATGGAGCAGGGCGGGGGGCTCCTGAGTGGGGGCTTGACCATGGTAAGGGGCAAGACATTGTCAGGCTTACCCCAGCTAATGGGCATGGCATTAGGGGAGACAAAGTTACTCTATTCCCTGCTACACTTGGGTATTACTTGTTTCTCTTCTTGTGGCTAAAGGCTCACCAACAAAGACTTAATTTCACCTGAATAAATGAAATTTACCATGTAGGTAGATTTTACTTGAAAAATAATTTAAAATTGTACAATGTCTGGTTTGAAAATTATTTATTGTGGTTTTTGGGAAAAAGTGTTTTCTGCTTTTATTATGGCCTTCACATCCTAGGATTCAAATTTGAATGTGATAGCTGGCACACGGAGGGATTTATTCAAAAATGGCCTGAATCACGTTGAGCAGCCAGCAGAACAGAGCTTAAAAAAAAAAAAAAAGTCTGAGCCAAATATAGTATTGTGGATTAGTATGTAATATAAATCAGTATATTGGGCTTCCAGCACATCGAACCAGTAAGCACATCTTCATACTCTATATTTGATGCCAGACTTTAATATTGGCCTTATTTATGCTGATTGCCTATGTATTACAATTTTAAAAGCTATTATTTTGGGAGAGTACAGATAGGAAGTTTTTCTTTACTCAATGTGTTGTCACTACCTATATATTACTGAATAAGTTGATAGCTCTTTGACTTGTCCAACAGTGCGACTTCTCTGATTATTTTTAGTTCTTCTTTTGAGTGCAAAGAAGTAAATTCATTAATTTCTGTACTTTTTTAAAAAGCTTATTTTTTTATTTTCATTTTTGAAGACTATTTTATGTTTTGTATTTTAAATGATACAATTTGGGTAGGCAGGGAATTTATAAGCTGTCTTAAATTTAGGGGGGAAAAGTGGTTTTTTTTATATTTAGTGTTTAATTAGTCCTTCTGCTTCTCTCAGGACTTGGACCACTCTATAGGAACTCAGTATAGTGCCAACCCACCTGTTACAATTGATGTACCAATGACAGACATGACATCTGGCTTGATGGGGCATAGCCAGTTGACCACCATTGATCAGTCAGAACTGAGTTCCCAGCTGGGTTTGAGCCTAGGGGGTGGCACCATCCTGCCACCTGCCCAGTCACCTGAAGATCGTCTTTCAACCACCCCTTCACCTACTAGTTCACTTCACGAGGATGGTGTTGAGGATTTCCGGAGGGTGAGGCATTCCCTGTCAAAATCAATTCTGCTGTGATAGTCTGGGATAAAATTTTTGGGATACAGAGCCTAATCAGTATTCTTTACCCTTGCCGTGCCATCTCCTCTGCTGTTTTCTGGGTATGGGGTTCCACCTCCCAATTTCCAGTTTATAATTCTCCTCTCAATCCCTATTCTTATTGGTTCTCCATATTTGACTAATGTCTTTTAATGCTATTTCTATGATTTTTAGCATTTCTGAAAATTCCATACATGTGGCTAGTTTCCAGACATAATACTTGTCATTGTCCATTGTGTAATTCTCTCTTTTTTCTCTCCTACAGCAACTTCCCAGCCAGAAGACAGTCGTGGTGGAAGCAGGGAAAAAGCAGAAGGCCCCAAAGAAGAGAAAAAAGAAAGATCCTAATGAACCTCAGAAACCAGTTTCAGCATATGCTTTATTCTTTCGTGATACACAGGCTGCCATCAAGGGACAGAATCCTAATGCCACTTTTGGTGAGGTTTCAAAAATTGTGGCCTCCATGTGGGATAGTCTTGGAGAGGAGCAAAAACAGGTGAGCAAATATTGAGGAACTAGTAGTGAATGTTCCAGAAGTTTTTAAAGAGATAAAAATTGAGGTTTTCTTTTTTCTTACATGTCCTTATCTAATATCAGCTGTTTGTTAATGACACTTAAATATCATCCCTTGTCTTCGAAGTTGCAGCCATACACTCACTCCAGAAAACCTATTTAAATTTTTTTTTTTTGAGACAGAGTCTCGCTCTGTCACCCAGGCTGGAGTGCAGTGCCGTGATCTCAGCTCACTGCAAGCTCCGCCTCCTGGGTTCACGCCATTCTCCTGCTTCAGCCTCCCGAGTAGCTGGGACTGCAGGCGCTTCCACCACACTGGGCTAATTTTGTTTTTGTATTTTTAGTAGAGACGGCGTTTCACCATGTCAGCCAGGATGGTCTCGATCTCCTGACCTCGTGATCCACCCGCCTCGGCCTCCCAAAGTGCTGGGATTACAGGCATGAGCCACTGCGCCCGGCCTATTTAAAAATTATTAATAGGCTGAGTGTGGTGGCTCATGCTTTTAATCCCAGCACTTTGGGAGGCCAGGGCAGGAGGATTGCTTGAGCCCATGAGTTCGAGACCATCCTGGGCAACATAGGGAGACCCCCGTCTCACAGAAAATTAGCTGGGTGTGGTGGCATGTGCCTTTGGTCCCAGCTGTGGAGGCTGAGGCGGGAGGATTGCTTGAGTTCAGGATATAAAGGCTGCAGTGAGCCATGTTTGTGTCACTGCACTCCAGCCTGGGTGACAGAGCAAGACCCCGGCTCAAATAAATAAATAATAATTGTTATAGGCCGGGCGCGGTGGCTCACGCCTGTTAATCCCAGCACTTTGGGAAGCCGAGGCAGGCGGATTACGAAGTCAGGAGATCAACACCATCCTGGCTGACATTGAAACCCCGACTCTACTAAAAATACAAAAAAATTAGCCGGGTGTGGTGGCATGCCTCAAATCCCAGCTACTCAGGCGGCTGAGGCAGGAGAATTGCTTGAACCCGGGAGGCAGAGGTTGCGGTGAGCCGAGATCATGCCATTGCACTCCAGCCTGGGCAACAAGAGTGAAACTCCATCTCAAAAAATAATAATAATTGTTACAGAAGTACTGCATCTTTACAATAACTCTCAAAAATAGCTACCATTTCCCGCTTTTAAGGTGGAAACTGGAGCCCACTGCCCAGTTAAGGTCATATAACATTTAAGTGGTAAAGTTGAGACACAATCCAGGTTCTTTAACTCTTCCCATGTACTTTCCACTAATAATGTCTCCTATAATTCCTCATGTAGTGTCCTTCTGTTCAATTTTTAGATATTTAACTTTTCTAAGTCTCATTTTTTCCCCCATTTATAAAATTAGGCTATTACTTGATAAGCTGCATGCTGTGGCTAACTCTCAAATCCACTACCAAGTTTGGATTTAGAATTACTTGTTTGTTTGTTTTTGAGATGGAATTTCGCTCCTGTTACCCAGGCTGCAGTGCAGTGGTGCAATCTCAGCTTACTGCAACTTCCACCTCCTGGGTTCAAGTGATTCTCCTGCCTCAGCCTCCCAAGTAGCTGGGATTACCGGCATGTGCCGCCACACCCAGCTAATGTTGTATTTTTAGTAGAGACAGGGTTTCACCGTGTTGGTCAGGCTGGTGCCAAACTCCTGACCTCAGGTGATCCGCCTGCCTTGTCCTCCCAACGTGCTGGGATTACAGGTGTGAGCCACCGCACCTGGCCTATTTTTTTTCTTTCTTTTTCTTTTTTGGATTTAGAGTTTAAAAACTTTTTAGAGCTAGCCCAGATTCAAAGGAGGGGGAAATAGGCTTCAGCTCTTGAAGGGAGAAAGGTCATATGGGAGGAGTTGTTGTGGCCATCTTTGCAAACAATTTACCACATTCCATAAGGGAAAATATACTGGTTAGACACAGTCCCAGGCTAAGACACAGTTTTTGGATTAGGGTTTATTTTGTATTTATTTATTTATTTTTTTGAGACAGAGTCTCACTGTGTCGCCCAGGCTGGAGTGCAGTAGCACAATCTTGGTTGACTGCAAGCTCTATCTCCCAGGTTCACGCCATTCTCCTGCCTCAGCCTCCTGAGTAGCTGGACTATAGGCGCCCATCACCACGCCGGGCTAGTTTTGTTTTTGTTTTTTTTAGTAGAGATCGGGTTTCACCAGGTTAGCCAGGATGGTCTCAATCTCCTGACCTCGTGATCTGGCCACCTTGGCCTCCCAAAGTGCTGGGATTACAGGCGTGAGCCACCGCACCTGGCAGATTAGGGTTTATTTTTGTTACAGAAGTGAGCATGGGTTGATGTTTGCCTTAAATGTAGCTATTCTCGGCCAGGCGTGGTGGCTCACGCCTGTAATCCCAGCACTTTGGGAGGCAGAGGCAGGCGGATCACAAGGTCAGGAGATCGAGACCATCCTGGCTAACACAGCGAAACCCCATCTCTACTAAAAATACAAAAAATTAGCCGGGCGTGGTGGCGGGTGCCTATAGTCCCAGCTACTCAGGAGGCTGAAGCAGGAGAATGGCATGAACCTGGGAGGCAGAGCTTGCAATGAGCCAAGATCACGCCACTGCACTCGAGCCTGGGCGAGAGAGCACGACTCTGTCTCAAAAAAAATTTAAAAAAAATAAAATAAATGTAGCAAAATAAAATAAATGTAGCTATTCTTGCCAGACTCCTGTCGATTGGTTGTCTTTCAGAGGTATGCTCAGTGGAGTGAGTCTGCCATGGAGGTTGTCTTGACTGTTAGCTTTCAGAATTGAATTCACTGATAGAGGTTGTCAGTGATTAGACTAAGATGAATTGTCATTCATTGATAAATAATACAGAACTATCAGTCTTTCCTAAGAGTATGGGGAGTTTTGTTTTTTTTTTTAAAGTCTCTTTTTTGCAGGTATATAAGAGGAAAACTGAGGCTGCCAAGAAAGAGTATCTGAAGGCACTGGCTGCTTACAAAGACAACCAGGAGTGTCAGGTAAGAGGGATAGGATAGAATGAATATTTAAACCAGTAAGAAGTTTTTTGGAAGTGTTTGTTAGCAGTTTTAAGAAGTAAATACCACCAAGTGATTGATTAATTGATAGATTGATTTATGTCTTCTTTTAGGCCACTGTGGAAACAGTGGAATTGGATCCAGCACCACCATCACAAACTCCTTCTCCACCTCCTATGGCTACTGTTGACCCAGCATCTCCAGCACCAGCTTCAATAGAGCCCCCTGCCCTGTCCCCATCCATTGTTGTTAACTCCACCCTTTCATCCTATGTGGCAAACCAGGCATCTTCTGGAGCTGGGGGTCAGCCCAATATCACCAAGTTGATTATTACCAAACAAATGTTGCCCTCTTCTATTACTATGTCTCAAGGAGGGATGGTTACTGTTATCCCAGCCACAGTGGTGACCTCCCGGGGGCTCCAACTAGGCCAAACCAGTACAGCTACTATCCAGCCCAGTCAACAAGCCCAGATTGTCACTCGGTCAGTGTTGCAGGCAGCAGCAGCTGCTGCTGCTGCTGCTTCTATGCAACTGCCTCCACCCCGACTACAGCCCCCTCCATTACAACAGATGCCACAGCCCCCGACTCAGCAGCAAGTTACCATTCTGCAGCAGCCTCCTCCACTCCAGGCCATGCAACAGCCTCCACCTCAGAAAGTTCGAATCAATTTACAGCAACAGCCTCCTCCTCTGCAGATCAAGAGTGTGCCTCTACCCACTTTGAAAATGCAGACTACCTTAGTCCCACCAACTGTGGAAAGTAGTCCTGAGCGGCCTATGAACAACAGCCCTGAGGCCCATACAGTGGAGGCACCTTCTCCTGAGACTATCTGTGAGATGATCACAGATGTAGTTCCTGAGGTGAGCCTTTGTTTTTAAGTCTTTAGTCTAGTGGAAATGTATAAAAATGTTTTTGGTTGACCCAATAACAGTGGGGGTTGCTACTAGCATTTAATGCCCAGCAACCAGGAGCACAAAACATCCTGCAGATGGGAGTTCCTTGCAGCAGTTGACTTCTCTTACCCAAGGTACTCATACTGTTTTTTTTTTGTTTGTTTGTTTTTGAGATGGAGTTTCACTCATTGCCCAGGCTGGAGTGCAATGGTGCGATCTCGGCTCACTGCAACCTCTACCTCCTGGGTTCAAGAGATTCTCCTGCCTCAGCCTCCCGAGTGGCTGGGATTACAGGCATGTGCCACCATGTCCGGCTAATTTTGTATTTTTAGTAGAGACGGTTTCTCCATGTTGGTCAGGCTGGTCTCGAACTCCTGATCTCAGGTGATCTGCCTGCCTCGGCCTCCCAAAGTGCTGGGATTACAGGTGTGAGCCACTGCACCCGCCCTGTTTTGTTTTGTTTTGTTTTGTTTTTCTTGAGACGGAGTCTCGCTCTGTTGCCTGGGCTGGAGTGCAGTGGTGTAATCTTGGCTCACTGCAATCTCCACCTCCTAGTTCAAGTGATTCTCCTGCCTCAGCCTCCCGAGTAGCTGGGATTACAGGCGCCCACCACTACACCCAGCTAATTTTTTGTATTTTTATTAGAGACAGAGTTTCACCATGTTCATTGGGCTGGTCTTGAACTCCTGACCTCGTGATTCGCCCGCTTCGGCCTCCCAGAGTGCAGGGATTACAGGCGTGAGCCACCGTGTGCCCCATAGTGTTTTTAGTGAGATACATTAAGACAGTCTTCTGCCCCAGACCACTCCTTAACTAAGCAGAGGTCACTAGTTCAACTGGACAGGATATAGCCTAAACAGTTATTATTCAGAGTTGTTACCCAAGGATCCTAAACTTTGGACATGCAAAGCTTTTCATTTCTCCTAGGTCTTAAGTTCCTTAGCTTGATGTTTTAAATGTGTGTGGGGCAGGGGGTATAGGCAGAAAAATTTAATTGGTTCATACCGTTATTTTTTAAAACAGACATAAATATGGCCAGGTGTGGTGGCTCACGCCTGTAATCCCAGCACTTTGGGAGGCCAAGGCAGGTGGATCACCTGAGGTCAGGAGTTCAGGACCAGCCTGGCCAACATGGTGAAACCCTGTTTCTACTAACAATACAAAAAATTAGCTGGGGCTGGAAGCGGTGGCTCACGCCTGTAATCCCAGCACTTTGGGAGGCCGAGGTGGGCGGATCACGAGGTCAGGAGATCGAGACCATCCTGGCTAACACGGTGAAAACCCGTCTCTACTAAAAAATACAAAAAAAATTAGCCGGGCATGGTGGCAGGCGCCTGTAGTCCCAGCTACTCTGGAGGCTGAGGCAGGAGAATGGCGGGAACCCAGGAGGCAGAGCTTGCAGTGAGCTGAAATCGCACCACTGCACTCTAGCCTGGGAGACAGAGAGAGACTCCGTCTCAAAAAAAAAAAAAAAAAAAATTAGCTGGGCACGGTGATGGGCGCCTGTAATCCCAGCTACTTGGGAGGCTGAGGCAGGAGAATCGCTTGAACCCGGGAGGCAGAGGTTGCAGTGAGCTGAGATTGTGCCACAGCACTCCAGCCTGGGCAACAGAGCAAGACTCCGTCTCAAAAAAAAACAAAAAACACTACCTCTCTATTCCCACTGCTTGACTAGCCAGGCTTAACAGGGAAAAAAAAGCATTAGCACATGGCCACCTTTCTCCTGATGGGAAGAATCTTCCACCATTCTGCTTGGCAAAGTTCTGAAGCTGGACTATAGAGGGGAGACCAAGAACTCACCTTCTTCTGCAGTTTTGCCCCCCAGTGTGAGGAATTCTAATACCTGTTGCTTCATTGGTTTCTACAGATAATTTAGCTAACTAGCTAGCTAGGCAGGGAGCAATCTAATCCACCTTGGTACTCTTCTTCTTCTCACAGGTTGAGTCTCCTTCTCAGATGGATGTTGAATTGGTGAGTGGGTCTCCTGTGGCACTCTCACCCCAGCCTCGATGTGTGAGGTCTGGTTGTGAGAACCCTCCCATTGTGAGTAAGGACTGGGACAATGAATACTGCAGCAATGAGTGTGTGGTGAAGCACTGCAGGTGAGCTTACAGTTCTCCCTTTTATAATTCAGCTACTGGTCAATTCTACTGGGAAACATAGGAATCTTGAGCATAAAATCAGCATCTCAGTGTCACCTTACCTTAGGTAGAGTAGGTTGCTGTATCTGGTCTACTAGAAAAGCTCCCCTGCTTAAGAGCTTACATTTGCCACATAAGCCAAAGATGATGTAATCAGCAGTTCACATTTTTCAGTTACCACATACCTCTCTTATGTATGCTCTTTAAAAATATAATACATTAAGCTGTTAGTGTTTGCAAATATTAGCTTTTCAATTCTTGGTGCAAATCAGACTACTTAGGGAACTAGAATTTGGGGAGAAATGGTAAGTGGAAAGTAACACATAATAATTTGCAATTTGTGAAGGAAATGGGGAGATGGTTGGAATATTTTACCCCTCTCCCCAAATTTTCCTGGGAATTTCCTATAGCTGTAGGACAAGGCATTTCTATTTCCTATTTCAAAAACTCTGCAGTAAATTAGCATTGCCTCTACTTCTGACTTTTAAGCCCACTGTTCTTATATTTTCAAGGTGATACTATCTCACCATAATGCTGTAGGAAATTATCTGGGAACCTATTTGTTTAAGACAGATAAAAAATCCAGCTGGGCCATACAGTGAAACCCCATCTCTACTAAAAATACAAAAATTAGCCGGGCATGGTGGCAGGCACCTGTAGTCCTGGCTACTCAGGAGGCTGAAGCAGGAGAATCTCTTGAACCTGGGAGGTGGAGGTTGCAGTGAGCCAAGAAGATCACGCCACTGCACTCCAGCCTGGGCAACAGCGAGACTCCATCTCAAAAAAAAAAAAAAAAAGATAAAAAGAATGTAGCGGCCGGGCGCGGTGGCTCACGCTTGTAATCCCAGCACTTTGGGAGGCCAAAGCGGGCGATTCACGGGGTCAGGAGATCAAGACCATCCTGGCTAACACAGTGAAACCCTGTCCCCACTAAAAATACAAAAAATTGGCCGGGCATGGTGGTGGGCACCTGTAGTCCCAGCTACTCGGGAGGCTAAGGCAGGAGAATGGCGTGAACCCATGAGGTCCGTCTCAAAAAAAAAAATGTATCTAGGCTGTAATTCTATTTCAGTTTGTGTATAATTCTGTTTGTGTATGTCTTTTTCTCTCTTAGGGATGTATTCTTGGCCTGGGTAGCCTCTAGAAATTCAAACACAGTGGTGTTTGTGAAATAGTCCTTCCTGTTCTCCAAGCCAGTGAAGAGTTATCTGCTGGGAAAGTGTCCAAGAGCCTGTTTTTGAAACACAAGCTGGGCTTCTGGTAGTGCCTCATCACAACCCATGATGGCTGTTCATGTTTCACCCCTTTTCTTCCTTCAGCAGAGGCCAGGCTATGGAGCAGGGCCACTGAATTTGCTGTAATCTGGAGATGCTTTTTACTTTCAACCATAAGCGGTAATAGCAGAGGAAAGGGTGAAGGGAGTCTGGGCAAGCAAAGCATAGAGATGGTGGGGTGGTGGTGGGGTTGAAGAAACTTGTTGGTATAATTGTCATAGGACTTGCCTAAAATATTATTAAAATTACGGGAGTGTACTCAGCTTTGAGCCTAGGAGAAAATGCCACTGTGTGCATCCATTTTAAAGGGTTCCCTCATAAAAAAATGTTATTCCCCATTATCACATCAGTACACTGCTTTGAAAACAAAACTTTTCAACATGGGCATACTGGGCTACATGGAAAATGACATCACCCAGGAGTGATTTCTCTTTATATATATTATTTCTGCAGTTACCATCCTTATCTGAGTTATCACAGTTCATGAATCTAAGAGGCGGAACTCTACATCATTAGTAAGAGGTTCCACCAAAGTCTAAAGTTGTATTCACTTGTGTTTGATGAACTATCTTTAAAAGACCATAGGTCTATCATTATTTCTTAGACATAATCTAAAGAAAAACAGACTAGAGAAGCCACCTGGTTGTAACAGAATAAGCAGAAGTTTACAGCATGATAGTCCAAGTGGTGATAACTTTAAATAAAACTCAAATTTTTACTGTTTGTAGACAGGAATGCTGTCCTAGAGAACCTCCTCCTCAACCAGCTACGTACATAGTTTTATCCTATGCATTCCTGTTTTCTGTGTGTTTTTTGTTTTTTTTTTTTTTTTTTTTTTTTGAGACAGAGTCTCGCTCTGTCACCCAGGCTGGAGTGCAGTGGTGCGACCTCAGCTCACTGAAACCTCTGCCTCCCGGGTTCAAGCGATTCTCCTGCATCAGCCTCCCGAGTAGCTAGGATTACAGGCGCCCGCCACTACGCCCAGCTAATTTGTGGTATTTTTAGTAGAGACAGGGTTTCACCATGTTGGCCAGGCTGGTCTCGAACTCCTGACCTCATGATCCGCCCGCCTTGACCTCCCAAAGTGCTGGGATTACAGGCATGAGCCACCGCACCCAGCCTGCATTCCTGTTTTTTTAATGGTTTTGGAGGGTAGCAGTAGAGATGGGGTCTCACTATGTTGCCCAGTCTAGTCTTGAACTCCTGGGCTACAGTTACCCTCCTACCTCGGCTTCCCAAAGTGCTCGGATTACAGGTGTGAGCCACTGTGCCTAGCCTATAATGATCATTTTAATGTTTCCCATGCACTCATTTAGTTTGAACCTTCACAGCAACCCAATGAGGTAATACTCCCATTTCACATATAATACTGAGAGATGAGTTGCACAAGATTATACACTGTTAAGTAGCAGAGCCAGAATGGACTTCAGAATCCCAACTACAATACAAATGTTTATTTAAATAAAGAAGAAAGCTATTGTACAAATATCACTCTTCAGGTTTAGCTTACAGAGCCATGGCTATGGATTCTTAGCTCTGTAAGGAAGTGCTTCTATAAATTCTTAGGTTTAGAGATGATACCATCTGGGTACCTTTGCTTGAACCGTGCAACCACATCTGGGTCTAGTAGGTGGATCCCATCCAGTTGGTTTCCAAGGGTGATCCTGAAACAGTGTAAAAGGAGGGGCAAACCAGAAATCCTGGAATTAGAGGGTTTAATATTGTTAAAAAATGCATACCAAATGAAGACTGCCTATCATCATATCAAATATGCCAATTCTAAAAAGAGCTTAACATTAGAATAGTATATGGTAGAATTACTAGTTCAGAATTGGCATAGATTCTGGTGTTAAAATAGACTGGATCTGTATTATCTGAGGGTTAGTAACTAATGCTTAGCCAGGCCTGCTTCACAGAGTTGCTACCAGGGAGTATTCTTTGGATAAGCAAAATGCTAGCAGCATGTGTTTTAAGCTCTGTTAAGGGGTGAAAGATGTAATTATTGACAGATTAAATAGATAACTTCGTAACCACCAGGGGGCAGATTCAATACATCACAGAATGGCTGAGGAAGATCCTTGGGTTGTGAAGAGAGTAGAAACCCTAGGGAGCAGTGCTTTTGGGTCCTAGAACCTGTTGAGTTTCTAATGAATATTTGTAGAATCTCATAAAACAGTTTAAATACAAGCTTAAGTGGCTTATGAATCCTGTGAAGCTCATTTATGGACTAGTGTAAAACAATGTGAAGCTCTACTAAGTTCTGTCCTTAATCATAAATAATAGCCCCTTGAGGACTAGCCTGTTCTCTGGTCACCTTACCAGTTGGGTTGCACATTGTGTGGTCGTCCAAATAACTCAATCTTGCGAGTGCCAGGAGATAGTCTTTCAATCATGCCATAGATTTCATCTGGTTTATGACTGGTGGAACGAACCTAGGAAATAAAAACTAGCTGCTTTTTAAGTTACACAAGATTGCAATTCTAGCCCTTTCTATTATGTTTATGATCTAAATGAGAAAAATCTGGGATGAGAATACACCCAACATGAATAACTGATACCAACAAAAATGTGGAAGCTTTGGAGGCCTGGGAAGCACATACCTCAGCTACGATCACATCACAATCCAGACCCTGGTTGAAGCCTTGGGGATTTCCTTTGACACCAACCTGCTCACCACAGATAACAGATTACCTTATGAAACCACACCTTTGAACTTTTTCTCAGTAAGAAATCAAATGATTCTTCTTTGTGCTCCACCTATTGAATTGGGCCCCACTGCTGCTCACCAAGCAGTGTTCCTTCCCATGGTTCAACCAGTGACCTGTACGGCCTGTCCGAATGATGCGTTGCAGTTGATTTGTCTTCACCCAAATAATTTCATCTACCCGTTCATACCTGTGGGGCATAAAAAAGAACTAGAATTTTAGCCAAACTTTTACAGTTTAGGGGTAGTACCATTTATAGAAGCAAGGAATCACAGAATAGTCTGGGAGAAGAGAACATGTATCTCACTGTAACAGTATTACCCTCAAAAGAAAGCAACACAACCACTACTTACCCCCAGAGGTTTAGACATTCTCTCCCCAACTCCATGGCCCTAGAAAGAAATGAGTTAAACAACTATTTGTATGCCCATATTTTTTTTCCCTTCAAAATATGTGATGTGTTAAAAACACTATAAACACTTTTTCAGTAGACGCTCAGTGAACATTTACATGCACACCACCAAAAGCATGGTGGATCTAAGAACGAAAAGATAAAACTATGCTCAACAACCTTACCTTTCTCAAAGAACAAATGTAGAGTTAAATATATATTCGGGGTAAAATTTGCATTGTAAACAGGCATTAGGACTCAGTAGAAAAAAAGACTGGCTGGGCATGGTAGCTCACGCCTGTAATCCCAGCACTTTAGGAGCTCGAGGTGAGTGGATCACAAGGTCAGGAGATAGAGACCATCCTGGCTAACATGGTGAAATCCAGTCTCTACTAAAAATACAAAAAGAAAAAATTAGCTGGGCTGGTGGCACGTGCCTGTAATCCCAGCTACTCAGGAGGCTGAGGCAGGAGAATTGCTTGAACCTGGGAGGTGGAGGTTGCAGTGAGCTGAGATCACACTACTGCACTCCAGCCTAAGCAACACAGTGAGACTCTCTCAAAAAAAAAGAAAAAAAGACTAAATCAGTCATACATTTAATAGTGGGGCTAGGAAAACCCAGGATTTTATCTCCCATTCAGTATTCACTCTTGTACTGTATCTGTCCATACCTACGTAACTGAATTGCATTACCTGCCTGTGACCCAGAGGAAGAGAAAGCCATCATCCTGTAGTACGGGTATGTTGAGCCTGCGCATCTCATCATCTGTCAGGGTCCCATAGGGCAGTTCCATGTGAATATCCCAGGGTGGGTCAGCCATCACAACTGCAAACTTGCCCAAGATACTGACGTCCAGGTAGCGGATATCACAACAGATCCACTGCATAAAGTGGTATTTGGTCATCTTCCCTACTTTAACTCTGAGATTCATGGCCCGAGTCCCTCTTTTCCATTTGATTTTTCCTATTCCCTTAAAAGCTTATCTATCCCCCTCCATTCCCAATAAGCAAGACAAGATTGCTGAATTATGCTCTGCTTTCTTAACGTGTATGGCTGCCCTATCAAACATAAGTCCGTAAGTTGAGACGAGTTTTCTGAGCAGACAGGTACCTGAGGTGGGAAGAGTCGGTCTGCACTGGAATCACCTCCGACACTCTGTGTAAGAGCAAGCTCCTGGCTTGGCGTGTGGTCTTTGCTGCCAGGGGCCTCAGAATCCATGCAAGCATCAATTTCATAGTGAACATACTTGCAGGTATCCATGTGGAAACATGTATTAAGGAAAGAGCAGTCACCTAAAGACTCATCAGTGTGTTTATTGATAATTCGTCTGGGAAAATAAAAAGGGAGAATCAAGATGGTGCTCCAGATGTAGATCCAACAGTTCAAATTCCAAATGATTTCAAAATGTCTATTTTATTACCCTCCCCTAATTCTATCATTAGAGCTTCCTTCAAGAGTTTTAAGGGAGGCAGGTAGCATGGAAATCCATAATTCATACTACAGAACAATTGTAATTCCTCTCTGAGTAAAGACTTGGTTTCCTGTTTTACCACTGGAAGGCAAGCAGTGCAGGAGACTTGGGTAGAACAGAATAAAACACTGACCTAAGAGTTTAGGTTCCTTTTCTCCTAAGATTATCCTCCTTTCAGAGTACTTTAACTTTCACTGTGGCTCAGAGACAGACATACTTTGCTATTCTAAGAGGGAGGGAGCTTTTAAAAAAAAAATCTCAGTTATTTGGGAGTACAGCCTGTATTCTTCCCACACAATGCACTTCTGAAAGTACACCTTCAGGGTCTGGAGGACTTACACAAACCATAAACTAAATAAGATTACAGACAGAACCCCAATGACTGGAAGGAATATGCTGAAAAGGAATGGCTGCTTCTGACAAACCCATCCCACCTCATTCCCTTCCAAGAGACCTGAAGTGCAGCTTGCGACAGGGTCGATCAGCATCACTGGCTTTCATGCACTCCTCCTTGGTTCCATAGTCACAGAATTCTTGCACTTGGGCCCGACCTCGAGAGCGAAATTTTTCAACAATGGATTGTTCCTTGGCTGTTGTAGTATTTAATAGCTCTAGGATCTCCTGACTGACCTGTGACAGAAGTAGCCTTGGACTTAAAATGTCTTATAGATCAAATTGGCTCTTAGACCAACTCCGCAAATTCTTTTTGACATTAATGTCTTCTAAGAGATAAATCAACTTTTTTTTTTTTTTTTTTTTTAAGAGATGGGATCTTGCTGTCACCCAGGCCAGAGTGTAGTTGTGTAATCATAACTCACTGTTTCTCCCACTGAACTCCCAGGCTCAAGTGATCCTCCCAGCTCAGCCTTCAATTGTAGCTGGGAATATAGGTGCGTGACACCATGCCAGCTAATGTTTTAATTACTTTACTTTCTATAGGGATAGGGTCTATGTTGCCCAGGCCGGTCTTGAACTCCTCGCCTCAGGTGATCCTCGCGCCTTGGCCTCCCAAAGTGTTGAGATTACAGGAATGAGCCATTGTGCCTAGACCTAAATTAGCTAACTTAATATTGGAAAATTGGAGCCTTCAGATAAGAGATTTGTTAGGGGTTCAGTCCTTCCTCACAAATATGCATTTGGGATGAAATTAAAATGGAAGAGGCCTGGTTCCTACCGCTAAGCATTATGTTAACATCCCCTCCCCAGGAAGGCATTCCTTCTACAAAAAACATATTTACTGGGTGCTGAACTAAAAAGTATAGTGCTAAACACTTTACTTTTTAGCTCAGAGTCTATTCAATTCTATAAGGCAGGATACGCTGGTATTATCTTCATGTTACAGATGAGAAGACTAAGGCTCAAGAGAAGTTAATTAACTTGTTCAAACTCACGCACTAGAAGTACCAAACAGATAAGAACTCATGTCAGGCCAATGCTTATACTCAGAACCAATTCACATTATTTAGTCAATTTCCATAATTGGTCTAGTATTCCTCTCCATTCATCTCCCTATATTTCTATATATTTGGATTCCTCTTCTCTTGATCCAATTCTTTCAGATTCAGTGACAGATTATCTAAATAAGAATTTGTCGACATTGGCATTGTTGACACTTTGGGACAGACAACTGTTTGTTGTGGGGGTTTGTCCCACTATGCACTGTAGGATGTTTGACAACATCCCTGGCCTCTACCCCCACTAGATGCCAATAGCACTCCCCCATGTGTGACAATAAAAATGTCTCCGGACATTACCAGATCCCCTGGGAGTTGGGCAGTAGGGAATCATCCCCAGTTGAGAACCACTGCTGTAAACAGTTCCTTGCCCTAGGGGTAAATCCCTGTCAAACAAAGCTATAATTAAGAGCATATTGTGAGAGTATTTTCACATGACCCCTACCTTCTTGCTCTGTTGTTCCTTAGTGGACTGTTGGTTCAGAAGGCTCTCTATCTCCAGATCAACATCTGAGGCAGCATGTTTCCTTGATTTCTTGGCTGGCTCCTTTGCTGGTTCCGATGCTGAAGAGTTCAGACCAGAGACTAACGAACTGGCAAAGGCAGCTACTGTAGTCGAGTCCTGTTCTGCACGCCGCTTCTGCCCTGTGACAGTCCCTGCTACCTCCCCAGGGCCCTTCTTTTCTGCCACAGCACCCATCATGGCAGAGAGCTTGGAATGGTCAGCATAGGTTACAAGAGTAGGATGTGCATCATCTTGTAGGAGACCTCGCTTTACCTCAATCAACTCCTGAGCTGCAAACTTCTGCAGGAGGCTTTCTACCCCATCTTGAGTGGCAGGAGCATCTGGCTAGAGAACGAGGGGAGGTATGGGCAATAAGACACTGACCGTGAACTGAAAATAAGTGGTAAATCCTAACTCTGTCAGGTCATTACCGTGGAGATGGCAAGACAGATGGACACAGCATCAGTGGGCAATGTTAAGGCCAGATCAGAGAGGTGGTGTAGCAACTTCTTCTCTAACTCAGGATCTGTAGCTAATTCAGGAACTGCTGAAGCTGTGCTGGGCTTAGGGCCACCAGAGGTGGGTGCAGTAGGCACTGGGCTGTCACTACGGAAGGTTGGAGACAATGCTGCCTCTGGATTCCGTAGATCTAAGAATGAAGAGAAGTGAAAATGAAAAAAGGCAACCACTGTTGGTCTATATATTTCTGAGAAGTCAAATTCTCTAGCATTCCCATACACAGATCTTTCATTTTGTGCAGGAAATTCTGTGACCAACTTTAGCACTAGATTACCTATCCTCAATCATACTAAAACATTCACTGCTTTGTCAAGATAATACTGGATTTTCTATCTACCTTTTCTCTATTGAGTGAGTAATCTTTTCCTAATTCCCTATCCTTGCTGTGATACAAAGAAAGTAAATTAGCATGATAGATTTAAATATCCCTACCACCTTTCTATCAACCTACATTTTAATAAAGGACAGGAATATACTCAACAACCTAGGCTGGGATCCAATATTCTTTTTGAGGCATGTAGTGTGAATTTTAATGAATTCAGGCCACTGATCAACAAAGTGTACAAAATGACAATGTTGGGGGCCAACAGTGTTACCTATAACACTCACAAACACAAAAATCTTAATACTTTGCTGAAGCCTTGGTTACCAAATGATATTTCCTGACTATATTATTATCATCTATTACTTCACAAGCTGGGTTGCCATCATAACCTTAATAACGATTTGAGAAACTAAAATTAGGACAAAATGTTATCTTTGAGAAAGCCTAATATCTGTGGTTAATTAAAATATAGATGAAATATTAAACTCCTAAGAACTGAACTGAAATTGCTAAATAAGTAGGCCATTAGTTTACATTTAGAAATATTTTGTTTACTTAAATATTTCCATTCTGGTAAGGCACTGGGGCTCACGCCTGTAATCCCAGCACTCTGGGAGGCCAAGGTGGGTGGATCACTTGAGGTGAGGAGTTCGAGACCAGCCTGGCCAACATGGTGAAACCCCATCTCTACTAAAATACAAAAAAAAAAAAAATTTAGCTGGGGGTGGTGATGCAAGGTTATAATCCCAGCTACTGGGGAGGCTGAAGGAGGAGAATTGCTTGAACCCACGAGGCAGAGGCTGCAGTGAGCCAACATCATGCCACTGCACTCCAGACTGGGCGACAGAGCAAGACTCTGTCTCAAAAAATATATAAATAAATAATTCATTAATTTGAAAATTTTCCACTCTAATGGAAACTGAATTTATTAAAATCTGACTCAGGGCTTGGTGTGGTGCCTTATCTCTGTAATCCCAGCACTGTGAGAGGCCAAGGTGGGAGGATCACTTGAGCCCAGGAGTTCCAGACCAGCCAGGGGAACATGGTGAAACCCAGTGTCTCTAAAGAAAATTTTTTTAAAAATTAGCCACACAAGGTGGCCTGTGCCTGTAGTCCCAGCTGCTGGGGAGGCTGAGGTGGGAGGATTCCACTCTCACCCATTTCTTCTTTCATTTTCAGTTTCTCCAGTTAGTAACTGAAGATGTTCTTTGAGTAATTAAGTGAGTGAGAAAATTTTTAAGTGAGAAATCTATAAAAAGAACCATGTTAACATAAATATTTCAGTCCTTACAAGTTGGTATTGACTTTTCTCATTGGTAATCTGACTGATTTAATACTGCTCATTCCAATATCTGGTGATGTAATTCTGGTTATGAATCCTTGTATTAATAACACCTCCTGGGAGGTTTTTTTTCCCCAACATTACATTCAGAATATTAGAGCTGAAAATACCTTTTTTAAGGTTATCAGGAGGAGGGAGCTTATGTTTAATGTGGTGGATAAAACTTAACTGCTGGTTAATACAATTGTTATTCAGGTGAAATTCCCTAAACTTTTCACGTGCAAAGTTTTGTATGTATACAGACATTTGGGGAAAAGTTTTATCATCCCTAAAACCGGTTACTGTCCAGAAAATGATAAGAATCCCTGGGTTCCAAATCCTTCATAAGGTATTTATTCATTTATTTATTCAACACATTTACTCAATGCCTCCGCTCTGCTGCAACTACACTGACATTCTGCTTCTAATCTAACGAAAATAATGTGTTCGGTTTAGCAAAATAATACATAACACTTGATTCACCCTTTAATTAAGAGAACCACTGAAATTAATATGGTCTGATTACAAATTTGCTGAATCCTTAAACGTGTCAACATCTATATGCACATCTTCAATCTCAAGAAATATACTGGAGCACTTCACATATTTACTATGTGCTAAACCTGGCCAAATATAGTTTGTTTCCATTAAAATAAAGTTTTTTTTTTTGAGACGGAGTCTTGCTCTGTTGCCAAGGCCAAAATAAAGATTTTTTTAA
This sequence comes from Homo sapiens, assembly GCF_000001405.40. NCBI lineage: Eukaryota > Metazoa > Chordata > Mammalia > Primates > Hominidae > Homo > Homo sapiens. The sequence continues at coordinate 21,506,116 of NC_000014.9, forward strand.
GTAATATTTTTCTTTTTAAAAAAATATACTTTACCAACATGAGATATATAACACCCATTAGGATGGCGCTTCCTCAAAAATCAAAAATAGAATTACCATATGATCTAGCAATTCCACTTTTGGGTATATGCCCAAAAGCATTAAAGCGGGGTCTCGGCCGGGCGTGGTTGGCTCACACCTGTAATCCTAGCACTTTGGGAGGCAGAGGCGGGCAGATCACGAGGTCAGGAGATCGAGACCATCCTGGCTAACACGGTGAAACCCCGTCTCTACTAAAAATACAAAAAAATTAGCCGGACGTGGTGGCAGGCACCTGTAGTCCCAGCTACTCAGGAGGCTAAGGCAGGAGAATGGGGTGAACCCAGGAGGTGGAGCTTGCAGTGAGCCGAGATCGCGCTACTGCACTCCAGCCTGGGTGACAGAGCGAGACTCCGTCTCAAGAAAAAACAAAACAAAAAAGAATTAAAGCAGGGTCTCAAAGAGATATTCATACACCCAGGTTCATAGCAGCATTATTTACAATAGCCAAAAGGTAGAAGTAACCCAAACGCCCACCCATGGATGAATGAACAAAATGTGTTATATACATACAGTGGAATATTATTTATCCTTCAAAAGGAAGGAGGCCAGGCATGGAGGCTTATGCCTGTAATCCCAGCACTTTGGGAGGCTGAGGATGGAGGATCACTTGAGCTCAGGAGTCCAAGACCAACCTAAGCAACATGGCAAAACCCTGTTGGGCGTTTTGCCCAAAAAATACTAAAAATTAGCCAGGCAAGGTTGTATGTGCCTGTAGTACATACAACAAGCACCTGCCACCACACCTGGCTAATTTTTATATTTTTAGTAGAGACAGAGTTTCACCATGTTGGCCAGGCTGGTCTTGAACTCCTGACCTCAGGTGATCCACCCGCCTTAGCCTTCCAAAGGCTGTGGACACCTGTAGTCACAACTACTCGGGAGGCTGAGGCAGGAGAATTGCTTGAACCCAGGAGGCAGAGGTTGCAGTGAGGTGAGATGGCACCACTGCACTCCAGCCTGGGCAACAAGAGCGAAACTCTGTCTCAAAAAATAAATAAATAAATAAATAAATAATAAAAATGCCAATCTAACAAAGGTCTCCCAATATTTTGCCCATATTATTTTCCACTATTAACGATGTGGTGGGTACATTTTAGTTCATTTTATATCCTTGTCTTTTGACACTCAGTTCAGTAGTCGGTAATTATCAGATTTCAGTAATGCTGTAAAAAACAAGGTGTGGCCGGGCGCGGTGGCTCACACCTGTAATCCCAGCAATTTGAGAGGCCGAGATGGGCGGATCACGAGGTCAGGAGATCGAGACCATCCTGGCTAACACTGTGAAACCCCGTCTCTACTAAAAACGATACAAAAAAATCAGCCAGGCATGGTGGTGGGCACCTTTAGTCCCAGCTACTTGGGAGGCTGAGGCAGGAGAATGGCGTGAACCTGGCAGTCGGAGCTTGCAGTGAGCCGAGATCGCGCCACTGCATTCCAGCCTGGGCAACAGATGTGGTAGGCAAATTTTTATTTCCGGTGAGAAACGAATGGAATAATCTGAACTTTTATCAAGTCTTGAGTTATATCTTACATGACAACATGATTCATAAACTTACAATACAGTGTTTCACAAGGGTTTCCTAAGAATCCTAAAGCTCAACAAAATACATTCTTTGAAATAATCAAAATAACACAGAAAGAACAGTGACATTCTGGTTTAATTTGTATGTTTCATCTTTACCTATTACCACAGTACCAAATGATGGGTCAGATCAAGCTCTCGGTCAGAAGACAAGATACATTTAATTACAACCCCAAAAATACTTTTATAAGAGTCTTAACTAGACTGGGATTACATCTGTAATCCCAGCACTTTGGGAGGCCAGGGTGGGAGGATAGCTTGAGCCCAAGAGTCCAAGACCAGCCTGGGCAACATGGCAAGGCCCTGTTTCTACAAAGAAATAAAAATTAAAAAGTAGGCAGGCATGGTAGGGTACACCTGTGGTGCTAGCCACTCAGGAGGAGGCTGAGGCAGGAGGATCACTTGAGCCCTGAGGTCGAGACTGCAGTAAGCTGTGTTCACGCCACTGAATTCCAGCCTGGGTAACAGAACGAGATTCTTATCTTACACACACACACACACAGAAAAGGGTCTTAGCTATATTACTAGCTAAATATACAAATCAAGAGATATTCACATCTAAAAAAGAAAAAATAAATAAAAATAAAAAAGGATATGTACATGCAGGGAGAATACAGTCTTATTGTCAAAAATATTAAACATGTTTAGCAAGGACCTGGATCAAAGTATCAAGGCTCTAGTAGTTAGGTCTGCATACAGCAGAAAGTTTGGTTAATACCAAAATGTAGTTAATGTCATAGAAAAATGAAATGAAACTTAAAATGACCAAGAGCAATTAGAATCATTCATTGAAAGAGTATGAATTTAGAAATGGAAAAGTATAAAGAAGTATGATGCCGGGCACAGTGGCTCACACCTGTAATCCCAGCACTTTGGGAAACTGAGGCGGGCAGATCAGCAGAGGTTGGGAGTTTGAGACCAGCCTGACCAACATGGAGAAACCCCGTCTCTACTAAAAATACAAAATTAGCCAGGAGTGGTGGCACATGCCTGTAATCCCAGCTACTCAGGAAGCTGAGGCAGGAGAATCACTTGAACCTGGGAGGCGGAGGTTGCGGTGAGCCAAGATCGCGCCATTGCACTCTGGCCTGGGCAACAAGAGCGAAACTCCATCTCAAAAATAAATAAATAAGTATGATGAGGAACAATTAAAACCAAGAAACAACAAACAACACCACAGATAGAGGATGGCCTGTCACAAAAACGACAGAAAGGTGAACACAAAGTAGTCAATGATGTAGTACACCAATATAGCGGCTTTTTAAAAGTTAATTTTGTAGGCCAGGCATGGTGGCTCACGCCTGTAATCCCAGCACTTTGGGAGGCCAACGTGAGTGGATTGCTTGAGCTCAGGAGTTAGAGATCAGCCTGGGCAACATGGTGAAACCCCTTCTCCACCAAAAATACAAAAAATAGCTGGGCATGGTAGCACACGCCTGTGGCCCCAGCTACTTGAGAGGCTGAAGTGGGAGGATCGCTGGAGCCCGGGAAGTCAAGGCAGCAGTGAGCCATGATCATGCCACAGCACTCCAGCCTGGGTGACAGAGGGAGACCCTGTCTCTAACTAACTAACTAAATAATTTTGCAGATCACTTTGTTGAAACAAACAACTACCTGATCCTCAGGTCCCCTTTTGCAACTGCCATTGCTGAATGGGAAAAGACTCCACAGGAAAATTAAATAGGCTGGATATGGTGGCTCTCACCTGTAATTCAAACACTTTGGGAGGCTTAGGCAAGAGGACAGCTTGATGCCAGGTGTTCAAGACAAATTTGGGCAACATAATGAGACCATATCTCTATTAAAAAGTTAAAAATTAGCCAGGCATGGTGGCATGCACCTGTAGTCCTAGCTACTCAGGAGGATGAGCCGGGAGGACTGCTACACTCCAGCCTGGGCAACGGTGAGAGACGCTATCTCAAAAACAAAAGCAAAAAAAGTCGTTGGCATCATTTATGCACATTTTTAAAAAGTTTCAAAACAGGAAACCAAAGAATAGGGGAAAAAACATAACAAAACAAAAAATTGTATCTATAAATAAATCAATGAAGTTTCTAGAGCAAGGGAAAAAAAATTCTCCCTCTTAGGTAATTCAGGAACTACTCTGAGACTTGACTACTAATTATTGCCTGACCATATGACTTGCACTTCTTACTCCACTATCCTCCCCTCTTACCTCTTTAATTATCTAGGTCCTATATAGCCATAAAGGCCAAATTCAAGTGCCAATTCCACTATGATGGTTTTGATGGCTTCACTACCTACACCAGCTCTTGTTACTTCTCTTCATTGTACAGACTGTAGATTCATTCATTTGGTTTCGTACATATATCTTATCATATTCCTCACTTTTTGTAAGCGTCTCCCCTTGAATCCTATGCTTTTTAAACTTCTTGAGGACAGGGGCAATTTCTTCCTTATTTTTGTCTAATTAGACCCATGAACACTGTAGATACTCAAGAAAGGTAATTAATTAGGTGGGAGGATCCTGCCAGTGCATCTTCTATTTCTAGGGGCCAGAATACGAGCACATGAACCTAACATGATCTAGACAAGATTTAGAGATGCAGTTGAAGATACTGACAAATATTGGAACAATCTACCACAAAGGTGATACTGAGTCACTATTTTTGCAGAGCTTTGTTACTAGTTTGCCTTAAATAATTCAGAGTTTGTCCTGAGGGTAGGGAGTGGATAACAGTGAATTTAATCTTTTAAATTTCCTTCAAGTTTTATGATCGTGACACGGGGGCAACAGGAGAAGAGAAAAAGTTTGGAAACCAAACACAAATGTTTTCAGATTCCTGCTAGGTATGTAAATGGCTAAGTCAATGCCGGTAGGGGTACTCATTCAGAAACACCCAGTGCCACTCTGTACGGGCCACTAAATTGGGCACTGCGGATATAAAGGTTCATTCCTCGCTTACTGTACCCACAGCTGCCAAGAAATGACCACTACAAAACAGTCGTTATAACTGAGGGAACAAAGCGCCAAAGCAGCAACAAAAAGGGGTTCTTGCTGCTTCGCGGGATAGGGGGCTGAGCAGCCTCACAAAGGCGACGTCCTCGCAGTCTGAAGAGGAGTGGGCAAGGCGGACGAGGGTGGGGCTCAAGCGTCCGTCCGGTAAAAGTGAGCTGGAAGAACCGAGGCCCAGCGTGAGGAGGAACCGCGAACTACTTGCAGAAGGGCGAACGTCTGCTGCTGAAGGTGGAGAGGGAGTACCAATGTACGAGGCTTTATAGAAATGGCCGTTTGGTAAAGGGCAGTGACTCTGGAGCTTTTTCTCTAGGGATCCCGCCCGTCCTCCCCGGTTGAGCCTCGGCCCCAACAGCCCAGTGCCTCACCCAAGTGCCCCGAGTCCTGCTTCCGCCTCCGCTGCAGCCTCTCCCGCAGAGAGTCCAGCTGCTTCTTGTGGGCCTGGATAGAGCTCCACGTGTCCGACATCCTAGTCTCCCAGCCCTGACACCTCTCGAATAAGGCGCGGCGGACTAGCACCTCCCAGCACTCGCTCCAGGATATAGCCAATTCTCACGCGGACACCCCGAAGGCTAACCGGAAAATGACCCCTGGAGCTGAGCAAGACAGAAAAGTCATTTCCGGTGTCGCGCTTTCTTGGAAGCTATAAAGAGCCACGTTAGGTGTTGGCAGAGCGGCCGGTATAGTCCTCATACCCGCTCTCTCATGCTTCCGGACACAGTGAGGCTGTGGTTGCCATGTTGGTGACTGGCAGAGCGGCCATGTTGCTTATAGACGCGCATGCGGCCATGTTGAATATTCGGAGAGGAGTCCTGAGAGTTGACTTGTGTTAAAGTAGCACTCGTAGAGAGCAACACCATATAGTACAGTTTTGGGGGTTTTTTTCTTTTTTTTTTTTTTGAGACGGAGTTTCACTCTGTCGCCCTGGCTGGAGTGCAATGGCGCGATCTCGGCTCACAGCAACCTCCACCTCCCGGGTTCAAGTGATTATCCTGCCGCAGCCTCCCGAGTAGCTGGTATTACAGGCGCCCGCCACCACGCCCGGCAGATTTTTTGTATTTTTAGTAGAGACGGGGTTTCACTGTGTTGGCCAGGCCAGTCTCGAACTCCTCACCTCGTGATCCGCCCTCCTTGGCCTCCCAAAGTGCTAGGATTACAGGCGTGAGCCACCACACCCGGCCATAGTACAGATTTTTAAGATGAAGGATCACTAGTTCCTTTTGACAGTTTGGTACTAACATACCTTTTCCACTGAAGGTGGTGTTGGTTTGTTTCCATGCGTTCATTTACAAAAAAATAAAAAACACAACGGTGGTCCCCAATCTGAGGTGAGGAGGGGGCGGTGGTGGGTGCGGGCATGCTTCTTTGTGTTGACGAGGCGTGGGGAAGTGGGGAGGGCTGATGAAGGAAAAATCCGAGAGGTCTTCAAATACGTGATCTCTCTCTTAGGCTAAATTTACAAAGTACGTGTAATCTATTAAAATCGGGTTCCGACACTAAGAGGGCTTTGAGGTCCTGGTTGCGTTGTGTTTTTTGTTATGAGAGCTACCTGCATGAGTGTGTTCAGTTTGTGAAATGTAATTGAGCTGAACATTTTGGTGTGCACTTTTCTGTATGTGTAGTAAACTTAAATACAAGGTTGGTGGTGGTGGTTTTTCCTACAATCCTTTCTTTCTTTCTTTTTTTGACACATTTTCTTTTTTTTTTTTTTTTGAGATGGAGTCTCACTCACTCTGTCACCCAGGCTGGAGTGCAATGGCGTGGTCTCAGCTCACTGCAACCTCCGCCTCCTGGGTTCAAGCGATTCTCCTGCCTCAGCCTCCCGAATAGCTGGGATTACAGGCGCGTGCCACCACACCTGGCTAATTTTTTTTATTTTTAGTAGAGACAGGGTTTCACTATGTTGGCCAGGCTGGTCTCGAACTCCTGACCTCGTGATCTGCCCCTACGATCTGCCCCCCTGCCTCAGCCTCCCAAAGTGCTGGGATTACAGGCGTGAGCCACCGAGCCTGGCCTGACACAGAGTTTCATTCTTACTGCCCAGGCTGGTGTGCAGTGGTGTGATCTCAGCTCACTGCAACCTCCACCTCCTGGATTCTAGCTGCCTCAGCCTACCTAGTAGCAGGTATTACAGGGACCTGCCACCATGCCCAGTTAATTTTGTATTTTTAATAGAGATGGGGTTTCACCATGTTGGCCAGGCTGGTCTTGAACTCCTGACCTTAGCTCATCAGCCTGCCTTGGCTTTCCAACGTGCTGGGGTTACAGGCATGAGCCACCGGCTTGGCCTTTTGTTTGTTTGTTTGTTTTGTTTTTTTAATGGAGCTCCCTGAATGGAAACATTTCGGGAATCACTGACTTATCCAATGTCTACATGATGCCATACGCTGTTGTCCAAAAAATACAAAAAATAGTTTGACTGGCATGGCTCCTGTTTTCAAAGAGTTTATAATCTGGTCAAGGAGCTGTGAGCCAGTTTATTAATACTGAACCATCTTCACAGCATGAGGTAGCATGGGCATAGACTTTTTAAAAAACAAAAACAAAACAAAACAAAAAAACAGGAAAAAAAAAAACGTGATTTCAAAGAAGAGGAGGACTCCAAGTTTAATGACCCAGGAAGGCATTGGAAAGAAGCTGGAATCAAGGTTCAGGCTTAAAATGACCACTAAGGTTTCAGTAGGTGAAGGTATAGGAGGGAAATCCAGGTCTGGAATATGATAAAGGCAAAGGTCTAGACTAGAGGTAGGAAAGCGTGATGTGTGTTATGCCAATCTGGATTAGTTCGCCAGAACATAAAGATTTATATTTGGGAATATTGGGAGAAATTTTAGGTTTCCAAATTTGAGGCCAGATTGTAGAAGGTACATGGTACCTGAGTAAAGACTTGGCAATTTATTCAGAATACAATAGGAAACACTTAGGGTTTGTAAATAGGAATGTTTCAAAATTGATTTGCTGTTCTAGATAAATTGAGGTGAGGAGGAAGGAGATTTTGGAGAGGACAAAGATGGTTATTAGTCCATTGTAACTAAGTGTCTGATGAGAAGAACTGTAACTAAAAGCTGGTTATGAACAGTAATGAAAAGGAAGGGGTGAATATGAAGGGAGCTATTGAAAGATGTATGTGTATTGTAATATGACTTTTATCCATTCAGTAAGTATTGAGTGTTTACTATGTGTTAGATACTATGGAGATTTAGTAGTGATGAAAATACTCATTTCCATCTCATTTTCTGAACTTAATTTACTTTTAGGGAATTTACACTATCTATTGGGATGTGTAACTTTGTTTTTTTGTTTTTGTTTTATTGAGACAAGCCTCACTCTCACTGCTGGAGGGCAGTGGTGCAAAGAAGTAGCACAAGTACTCCTGAAAGTCAATCAAATCAAGGGCAGCTCCCAGAAGTTTTTGCTTTCACATTAACTCTGGGTAAATTATTACAGTGGCATATTGGGCAAATTTTAGAAGTACAGGAAGGCCTCTTAGCATGATCTTCTTGTAGAGAGATTCTTTTTAGACTCCTCTTGACCAGTTTGCTGCTCAAAAGAAAGACATTGCTTTCTTGTCCGCGCGTAGCCCTCAGCAGTACACAGAGGAGAAGGAGGAGGAGGAGGAGGGAAAAATGCAGAATTCTTCTAGTCAAAATGGAGTGTAAGCCTAATTTTGAGCAGATGGGTGCTGCATGCATTACACTTCTCAACTTTTCCTCATATCTGCTATGGTAGATTGCTTCCAGTGTTGGCCACAACAATGCCTCTCACCTACATGCCCTTAGGCAGTGTGACTTTGCCCCCTTTCAATCAATAAGTAAAGCTTATTCCCCCTCCTCTTGAATCTGAGCTAGGCTTCTGACTAGCTTTCACCAAAAGAATGTGGCAGAAGAGATATTCCCTGAGTTCTAGACCTTAAGAGGTCTAGACCTTAAAAGGAATTACAGCTTTCGGGATTTGGTTTTGTTTTGTTTCTAATTTTTGAGAGAGAGTCCCTGGGTCTGTTCCATCTAAACACTGTTGAAGCAAGAGACAGATCTGAGGGACCTCCAGATGTGCTGCCGCGGCTTCTGTTTCTGCCCTCTTGGAACCCTGGGCCTTCATGGAAGTCCAGTCACCCTGATAGACCACTTAAAAAGAGAGACCCTGGGGGATGAAGGATGGTAAGGAGAGAGGGTTCAGCATTCCAGCCAGCCATCTGAGTAGCCAGAAGTTGAGGCCATCTTGGCTTCTCCAGTCCAGATGAAAGCTGCATGAGTGAGCCCAGTCCTCACCACATGGAACATAGACAAGCCATCCTACCAGGCACTCCATGGAATCATAAGCAAATACGTAAGTATTAAGACACTAGGCTGGGTGCGGTGGCTCACACATGTAATCCCAGCACTTTGGGAGGCCAAGGTGGGCGGATCATGAAGTCAGGAGTTCGAGGCCAGCCTGGCCAACATAGTGAAACCCCATCTGTACTAAAAATACAAAAATTAGCCAGGTGCGGTGGCATGTGCCTGTAGTTTCAGCTACTTGAGAGGTTGAGGCAGGAGAATCGCTTGAACCCAGGAGGCAGAGGTTGTGGTGAGCTGAGACAGTGCCATTGCACTCCAGCCCGGGTGACAGAGCAAGACTCTGTCTCAAAAAAAAAAAAAGAAGACATTAATTGGCTGTGTGCTGTGGTATGTGCCTGTAATCCCAGCTGCTTTGGAGGCTGAGGTGGGAGGATCCCTTGAACTCAGGAGTTCAAGACCATCCTAGGCAACATACCGAGACCCCATCTCAAACATAGCACTAACTGTATACTTCACTTTTTTTTTTTTTTTTTTTTTTTTTTGAGATGGAGCCTTGCTCTGTTACCCAGGCTGGAGTACAGTGGCACGATCTCAGCTCACCACAACTCCCCCTCCCGGGTACAAGCAATTCTCCTGCCTCAGCCTCCCGAGAAGCTGGGACTACAGGCATGTACCACCATGTCCGGCTAATTGTATTTTTAGTAGAGACAGGATTTCACTGTGTTGGCCAGGCTGGTCTCAAACTCCTGACCTCGTGATCCACCCGCCTTGGCCTCCCAAAGTGCTGGGATTACAGGCGTGAGCCATCGTGCCCAACCCTTCGCTTTTTACTTGATTCTTTGGCTGAATGTTTTTTCCCTCAAGTCTTGTTCATATCTGACTAAAAACAGAATGCCCACTAGGGTTAGTCAACCTACTGTTATTAAATGTTAGAAAAGGAAATATAAAGGGAAGTCAAAGTTGGGTCTAATTGAGAATAAGACTAGTGAAATCTGTTTTAAGGATCAGAAGACAAGTGTTTGTTGATTGACTAAGAAGTTCCAGGGATGATAACCAAAGTTACAGGTGCAGGAGTTTCTGAGAGATGAGAATGTGCCAATAAATTCTGCGCCTTATTCAGGGGTGACACAGGTTGAATTCCCTGAGAAGCAGATGCTGGGACAGAACTGGTATAAGGAAAGACAGTGGAGGAAATGGGGAGTGGAATTGATTAGGGAGAGCTGTCAGACCACAATGCAGACCTGATAAAGTCTCTGCCAGTCCAGTGGGAAGTTCCAGAGCAAATATTGTTCATTAGAGTCCTATGTTCCAATGGCTAAGCCCTTGTACCTTGCTCAGTTTTGGGCCAAGGATTGGAGAAGAGCAGTACAGCTGGAGGTTGTCAGCTAACCAGGCTCCTTGCACTTGGTAGCCAGTTCTTTCTTGAAGGAACATCTCAAAAGCAGCCCATCTCTGTGTCTGCCAAACAGAGTGTGATGGATCTTATACAGGTTTTTGTTTTTTTTTTTTTTTTGAGATGGAGTCTTGCTCTGTCTCCCAGGCTGGAGTGCAGTGGCGCGATCTCGGCTCACTGCAACCTCCACCTCCCGTGTTCAGGTCATTCTCTTGCCTCAGCCTTCTGAGTAGCTGGATTACAGGTGCCTGCCACCACACTTGGCTAATATTTATTTATTTTTGAGACGAAGTTTTGCTCTTGTTGCCCAGGCTGTAGTGCAATGGCATGATCTCAGCTCACCGCAACCTTCTCCTCCTGGGTTCAAGTGATTCTCCTGCCTCAGCCCCCCAAGTAGCTGGGATTACAGGCCACTGCCACCACGCCCAGCTAATTTTGTATTTTTAGTAGAGATGGGGTTTCACCACGTTGCCCAAGCTGGTCTCGAACTCCTGACCTCAGGTGATCCACCTGCCTCGGCCTCCCAAAGTGCTGGGATTACAGGTGTGAGCCACGGCACCCGGCCTTATATAGGTTCTTAAATGGCAACTGCATTGGTTCCTAAGTTGTATAGGTTGAGTTAATATACTTGAGAGTGGTTATTGTGAAAGCTGAATTCAAGAGAATTGGATGCTCCCTTTCCCTTCTCCATTTTTGAATTACAAGTTTGAATTCCCTCTCTGATTCCACAGGACATTGTCCATTATCTGTCATAGTTCCTGTTACCCCCAAATAAAAGTATTTGTTTAAAGCTAGGCAATATGGTATGTGCCTGTAGTCCCAGGAGGCTGAGATGGGAAGATCAGTTAAGCCAAGGAGTTGGAGTCCAGCATGTACAATACTGAGACCCTGTCTCTTAAAAAAAAAAAAAAAAAAGTATCTGTTTACATTTTCCCACTGAGACTGAGCTCCCCTAAGGGCAGAAGTTTCTCTTACAGTCAAACATCACATAATGATGATTTGGTCAACTATGGACCATGTGCACAACAATGGTTCCATAAGATCATAATGGAGCTGAAAAATTCCTATCATCTAGTGACGTTGTAGTTGCCATAATGTTGTAGCACAGTTACTTCATTTTAAATAAATTTAGTGTAGTCTAAGCATACAGTGTTTATAAAGTTTACAGTAGTTTACAGTAATGTCCCAGACCTTCACATTCACTTACCATGCACTCACTAACCCACCCACAGCAACTTCCAGTCCTGCAAACTCCATTCATGGAAAGTGCCCTATATAGGTGTATCTTTTTTTATTGTGTTTTGTATTATTTGTATTATTGTATTTTTACTGTACCTTTTGTATGTCTAGATACACAAATACCATTGTGCTACAATAGCCTACAGTATTTTGTACAGTAATATGCTGTACAGGTTTGTTGCCTAGGAACAATAGGCTATAACATATAATCTAGGTTTGTAGTAGGCTATACCATCTTGGTTTGTGTAAATACATTCTATGAGGTTTGCACAACAACAAAATTGCCTAATGATACATTTCTTGGAATGTGTCCTGGTCATTAAGCGAGGCATAACAGTATTTACCTTTGCATCTAACCAACACTTGGTCTCTTTTTTAATTTTTTTTTTTTTTGAGACAGAGTCTCCCTCTGTCACCCAGGCTGGAGTGCAGTGGCACGATCTTGGTTCATTGCAACCTTTGCCTCCCAGGTTCAAGCAATTCAAGTGATTCAGGCAATTCTCCTACCTCAGCCTCCCGAGTAGCTGGGATTACAGGCCACTACCACCTGGCTGATTTTTGTATTTTTCGTAGAGATGGGGTTTCACCATGTTGGCCAGGCTGGTCTCGAACTCCTGACCTCAGGTGATCCGCCCGCCTCGGCCTCCCAAAGTGCTAGGATTATAGGTGTGAGCCACCGTGCCCAGCCTAAAAATCATTTTGACTGGGAATTGAGAACTCTTGGTCTCTGAAACAAAGTAAAACCTCAAAAGTCAACTGAATGAGCAAAGAAGCTGTCTCTTGCTTCTTATAATAGCAATGACTTTATTCATCCAATTTGAACTAGATCCTCTGTTTCACGGAAAATAAGTGTTTTGCAAGCTGCATTTATTTACATATTCATTCCTGCAGGTTAGACTTAATTCAACTTCCAAAAAGACTGTCCAGCAAAAAGTTACTGAAAGTGGGAAGTGGTGGGGCTGAGCGTAGAGATAGGGTCAGTTATAAGAAGGAAGAAATTAAAGGCTCTAAGAAGAGAAACAATAAATTAGGGATGAAGGGAGAAAAGAAATAGAAATAAAAGCTATCAAATAAGGGGAGGTCAATGAAAGGAGAAAAAGCAGGACAGGCGAGAGAAAAGAATGAAAAGGAGGCAGAAAGAAAAGAAAGTAGAGCTGTGAAAAAGCGGGGTGGGGATTCAGGCTCAGTGCTGGCCTGCCCAGGGAAGTATCCATCAATAAAAGCCTCACTGACAGCTGTTACCATAATGGGAACTGGCACCTAAAGAGAGGGCAAGTCTGGTTTAATTAGTTAAATGGCATTATCTGTGTCCAGTGGGGGTGGGAGAGGTTAAGGGGATGGAATGATTGGTGACCCACCTCCTTCCACAGGCTGAGAGAAAAAGCAGATCTACAAAGACTTGCCAGAAAGTAAAGATTCCCATGTGTTCCTATTTATCAGTTACATTTTAAAGGGGACTTGCACTGCTCTGGTGGGGGCAACTAGAATTAAACATTGGTTCTCTATCTTAAATTAAGTATAGGTTTATACTGGGCATGGTGGCTCATGACTGTAATCCCAGCACTTTGAGAAGCCGAGGCAGCAGATCACTTGAGCCCAGGAGTTGGAGACCAGCCTGGCCAACATGGTGAAACCTTGTGTCTACGGAAAATACAAAAAATTAGCCGGGTGTGGTGGGGCACACCTATAGTCTCAGCTCCCTGGGAGGCTGAGATGGGAGAATCATCTGAGCCTGTGAAGTTGAGGCTGCAGTGAGCTGTGATTGCACCACTGTACCCCAGCCTTGGTGACAGAGTTAAGACTCTGTTCCCCCACACCCCCCAACAAGGAATAGGTTTACTCACCTCTTTCCCTTCTTACAGGCAGCCTCACATCCAGAGTCTTAAATGATGTAGCAGGAAGCAAGTGCCATCTCTGATCAGTGAAAGTAGTGCAACGACTGGGATTCTGCCTACCTGGGTTCTATTTTTGTTTGAGACAGGGTCTCACTCTGTCACCCAGGCTGGAGTGCAGTGGTGCTATCATAGCTCATTGCAGCCTTCATCTCCCACTTCAGCCTCTTGAGTAGCTGGGACTACAGGCACTTGCCACCATGCTCAGCTAATTATTATATTTTTTTGAGACAGAGTTTTGCTCTTGTTGCCTAGGCTGGAGTGCAGTGGCATGATCTTGGCTCTCGGCAACCTCTGCCTCCTGGGTTCAAGCAATTCTCCTGCCTCAGCCTCCTGAATAGCTGGGATTACAGGTGTGCACCACCATGCCCAGCTAATTTTTTGTATTTTTAGTGGAGACGGGGTTTCATCATGTTGGCCAGGCTGGTCTCGAACTCCTGACCTCAGGTGATCCACTCGCTTCAGCCTCTCAAAGTGCAGGGATTACAGGCGTGAGACACCGTGCCCCGCCAGCTAATTATTTTTTTGCAGAGACAGGGTCTCACTTTGTTTTCCAGGCATGTCTTGAACTCCTGGGCTCCAGCGATCCCACCCGCATTGGCCTTCCAAAGCGCTGGTATTATAGGCGTGAATCACTGTGGCTGGCCCTACCTGGGTTCTTAATCCAACTTTGCCACTGAGTGACTTTGGGCAAATCATTTTACCAGTTCCATCCCTTTAGCACTAAGAGTCAATGATATTATAATCTTACAAATCAGTCTCCTTGGACTCAGGTAATCCTCCCACCTCAGACTCCTGATTAGCTGGGACCATAGGTGTGCACCACCACATCCAGCTAATTTTTGTATTTTTGGAAGAGGCAGTGTTTTGCCATGTTGCCCAGGCTGGTCTCAAACTCCTGGGCTCAAGCAATAGGCCTGTCTTGACCTCCCAAACTGTTGAAGTTACAGACGTGAGCCATTGTGACAGGGAAAAAAAAATATATGTTTTATTTGACCCCACCCCTATGTGCTTCCTCTGAATTCCTAATGATAAGAATCCTCCTTTGTCTTGTTGGTAGAAATTATTAGGGTTGAATTACATTTTTTTCTTTCTGATTATGACATCAGATCTCAAGGATCATAAAGTTTAATTCACCTTGGTTCTACAGATTCGCTGATGTCAGAAGGCTGATCTGTGGTTTGAGAAAGACGGAAAAGAAACAGTTTCCAACCTCCAAACAAAACCCACAGAAAAGCCTGGTGGTGGAAGGTTCTAGGTAGAGAAAATCTAGACAATGACTGGACACAGTGGGCAAATGCCTACCTTTTGGAAATACAAACTCCACAGGGAACAATTTCCACAGAGAAGTTACATTAACTGAAGGTTGTCTTAGGACAAGGCTGAATAAAGTAAATATTTCAACACCATATGTTCAGCTTTGGCAGGAGATGTAGGTGGGAAGGGAATCTCAATTTTGGGGAATGCCCATATCACACCCCAGCTGGCTATGTAATCATGAAATAAGGAGAAACACATAAATATTTGGTTAAAACACCTTTAATGATAGAGGGAAAGACACTAATATCTCCCGTCTGTTCTTGACATTTTACTAGGTTAGGAAGCTCTGGAGCCTACAGCTTGAGGAGAAGCCATCGTTCAAGTCAGTCAATAGCAAAACCCTCACTCTCTCCTCCTCAGAACTCCTGTTCCAAATGATCCTATGTTAAGAGTAAATACTACAACTCATTACAAGACGGAGAGGCAGGGAGGACGCCACCTGGAGCTGGTCTCCCAAAGTCTGGGACTCTTAAGAACCAGACAATGACAAAGACACAAGCCCCAGCCTACGGATAGGCAAAATGGGTAGGGGTCTTGAAAGAGGAAGATAAGGAAAATACAAGGGGCCAGGGAATAAAGGAGGGAGTTATCTAAAACTAGAAGCATACTAGTGCTAGGAAATCCCCCATGATCCCTGGTACACCTCTGCACACTATGTCACTATTAGCCCAAAAGAATATTAACGAGAATGTCCAGACATTCACAAGAATTTGAGGCCTTTTCCCTTACATCATGTCCCTTTCTTAGTCACATAGGTACCAGCAAGCCCTATGTTCTAGCAACATTCCTTAACTCTCTCATCATTAGTTCATCAACCATGCTGACCAAAAATGCTCCTTAAAGATACGAACTTCACATTTCCCAAATATCTCCTGGGAGACCTCTTGGCAAGAAATCAGCTTGTTTCCCAACTTTGAGAGGTCATCATGAATGAGAAGCTGGAGAGGTCTTGGCACACTGACCAGCCAAAACCTTTACCTTAATGTGACCATCAGGGGATTTACTGGGAAAATTTTCCTATGCCCTTCCTTCATTTCTCCCTACTTCCTAGGGTTGGGTCACCAATTACTGGAGCATCTTCAGTACCGGCACCTTCTGGAGCAGGGGGAGGAAGAAGGAATGTACAGTTTGCTACTTCTTGTCTATGATGGGCTTCTCAGGCACTGCCTTGGGTGCAGGAGGCTGAAATAGGAGGGGGGCTGTCTTCTCCTTGGCTTCCCTGGATCCCATTGTTGGAGGCACCTTCCCAGCCACAGTTCCTAGGCCAAACAGCACTGGTGGGGCCAGGCTTGGAGTGGTAGTGGAGGTGGAGCTGGAATTCCAGGGCTTCATGGGCAGGCCATTTGACAGGAATGCCACATACTGGTTCTAGAAAGATAGGGGACCCATACCCACCAGCTGAGCAGAAAGGTCACCCCAGAGGAGTGGCACTGGGCCCTCCAGAGACAGCTGCCAGCCCTTTTTGGCTAGGCTGCAATGCCAAATGTAGGTGCTCAGGTGCACCTACCAAAGGGAAAGGGAGAGGAGAGAGGAGGGGGAAGAAGGGTCACACCAGGGAAGCTGGAGAGGGTTCCCCTTGAGAAAGCTGCAGAGAATCTATGTTCCTCAGGTACAAAGAATGAGGAGGGAAGAAAAATTCCTTAGGGGGCCATCCCCTTGTAAGCACAGTAATTTCCAAGCTCAGGGACTACAGAAAAGCCACTAGGGACATAACATGTTAAGAACTTAGAGAAAAAGACAAAATCAGGGCTCATAACTCTGGGAGGTCCTTTTGTGAAGCTGTTTCTGCTCTGTGGGACAAAGAGCAGCAGGTACAGAAAAACAGGCTCATGGGATCGTGGGGTCATCTTTTCGGGGAAAGGGGGAGAGCCCTGTGGAGGTGATGGAAGGCGAACAGCCAGGGACTAGAGAAAGAGCAGCAATATTCTGAGGGCCATGGGGGGCAAAGGGCTGTACCTGGTGGTGTGCCAGGAGCATATGCTTCTTGAGGGTAGCCCGCTCAAGAAAGCCCTGCCTGCAGAAAACACAAGTGAAGAGCGGCCCCTCCTTGGGGTGGGTCTTCTGATGCTCCTCCAGAGCTGCCTGGGAGGGAAAGGCCTGGCCACACACTTCGCAGGCCTTTCTGCTGCTGCTCTCTCCTGGCTCCTTTCTCATTGCCTCCTGCAGGCTCAGCTCCTCTACCAAGGTCACGCTGGTGGCTTCCCCTTCTGGGGTGAGTGCTGATGCCGGACTTGAGCTTCTCTCCGGTTTGCCCCCCTCTTCCTTGCCTCCTAAAACACCACTGCTTCCCTGCTCCATTGGCTGAGGCTGATCCAGGCTGTCAGGTGGTGGTGGTGGTGGCAAAGAAGACTGTTGAGTAGTTTTCTCATTACTGTCCATCTCCTTCCCAGCTGTGGCTGCTGCCGCCACTGTCCCCACCTCCTCCTCTGCCCCAGATGCCTCTTCTGAATCACCTCTCACTGATATTGCCTTCTCACCTCCACTCTCTGAGCCTCTCCCTGCCAGGGAATCTTCATCAGTCACATCTTCCTCTTCTTCCTCATCCTCCTCTTCCTCCTCCTCAGACAACTCCTCTTCCGGTGATGGCTGCTGGGACTGCTGCTGGGGGAAACTCCGTGCCCCGGAGACTGTAGATTGCTCGGAGCCATTCTCCTGAGCAGCTCCTCCACCTTCAGGGAGTGCAGTACCACCGTTGGGGATCTGGCCCCCCAGGTGCATCCGGACATGCTGCTGCAGAGTGACAGCATTGGTGAACTTCTTCTGGCAGATGGGGCAGGAATTCTGTGCCCGGGCAGCTGGACTGGCCTTGTGGCCCACGAAATGTGCACGCAGATTACCCCTGGTGGAGAAGGCTCTGCCACACACTTTGCATTTGAAGGGCCTCTCACCTCCATGTTGGCCATAATGAAGGCGTAGGGCCCGAGGACAGCTAAGCACTCGGAGACAGATGACACACTGGTTAGGTCCAGAAGAGGCTGAGGATGAAGGTGCAGGGGCAGAGGTGGTGGGGGCTCCTGAGGCAGCTGAGGTCACCGCCACAGCTCCTTGCCGGTCAATCTTTTCTACCAGTTGCTGCAGCTTTGATGTCTCAGAGGGTGAGGCCCCCAAGGGCTCTAGCACATAGGGGAAGGGGAAGCTGCCAGTGGACTTGAAGTGGTTGGTAAGCAGTGCCCAGCTTGGTAGTGAAGTCACCAACTTACTTAGTTGCATGCGAGTTGCCGTGCTACTTTCTGCCACTCCACTGATGGCTGAGCCCTCACTCCCTGGGGGGGTGTTTTCATCAGCTTTATTCTTGGGTTCCACTGCTTTCATGAGCACAAACTTATTGAAAGCAGGGAGTCCTGGAGCCGTGGCTGTGCCTGCACTGGTGGAGAGCAGAGTCAGGCTCTCTGTGGCACTGAGTGCTGTTGTGGAGGCCACCAGAGGCTTGCGCTCAACCCCTCCACCTGGAGTGGCTGCCTCCTCCTCGGCCTTCTCTGGTGGCACGGACATACCATAAGGCAAGCCACTGCTGGTAATGACATAGTCTAGGTGCTCTGGTACTGGGTGTGGGTTCATCTGCACATGTGGGTACTTCTCACGATGCCGGTGGAAATGCACTTTGAGGTTGCCACGGGTGGTAAAACGGTTTCCACAGACATTGCACTTATAGGGCCTCTCACCCGTGTGGGAACGAAGGTGGATCTGCAGGGCACTGTCACTGCCAAATACTTTGGCACAGAAGCGGCATTTGTGCCTTCCACCAGGCTTCTCCAAGGGACCCATCACTTCTCCGTAGCTCAGCTCACCACTTCCATTCTTTGGCTTCAGGAGCCCTGGGGAGGCAGTGGCCTCAAGGCCTCGGGCTGCCCCAAGACACTGTGCTGCCAGTAGTCCCGTGGTGCTTGGGAATGCCAGATGAGGCGAGGCAATCAGCTGATCTGTGCTGCCTGGCAAGGCTGGGGAAGGGGCAGGGGTGGGTTTGTGGCTTCGCCCAACCCCTCCAGCAGAGAAAGGATGCTGTGACCCCAGTGGGTGGTAAAGGTGGAAGAAGGCCTGCTTGGGCGTTTCTGCCCCTGAAGAGGAAGAGGAGGAGGAGGAGGAAGATGCCAGTGTCTTGCTGGTTTGGACAGGCTTGATGGGGCTGAAGAGGGGTAGTAGGGGCTTGGTGGAAGAGGCAGTCCCTGTCCCAGGTAGCTCTGAGGGACTGGCAGGGGCACCCACCGTCTGGCCTAAGGAGCCAAGCAACAGCACCTGCCTGCAGATTTGCTCAGTCATCTGCATCTGATGGATCTGCCGCTGCTGCAGCACCCGTAGCTCTTCCAAGATCAGGGGGATATTCAAGTGGCCACTGCCTACCCCTGGGGGCGGAGGGGGTGGTGGAGGAGGAGGGGGTGCAGGGGTCGATTCTGGAGGTAATGGGGTTGCTCCCAGCTTGGGACTGGCCAAGATCAGGCCCCCGCCTCCCCCAGCCGCTGTACCTGTGGCAGCGACCAGGAAATGCCCTGAAGACTCCTCTCCTCTCCTCTCTGGGCCCCAGGTGGGATCCGTGGGCACGGAGGACCCAGAATCTGGGGGGTTGCTATGCTCTGTGTCCATGACCTGAGGATTATTGTGACCCTCAGGCCGGGGTTCAGAGGAGGCCGAAGAGTTGTTGGGGTTCTCCTGGCCCCCAATTATCACCATTACAGGAGGGTCAGTAGAACATGCGTTCTGGTGGGCGAGGAATTCAGTTGGGTCAGTGAATTGTGCGCAGCACTTGGCACAGACTTGGGGGTGATCCTCCTCGCTAGCATCACCTGGGGAGAAGACAAGGAGAGAGAGCGTGGGTGGCGCAGTTGGGTTGGGTATACCGAGGCTCTAATTAACAAGGAGGCCAGTAACCGCTAGTTGGGGGTGGGGAGATGAGCTCACCATCAGGGCCATGCAGAAGTCTAGAGCTCAGGCCTGATCCGTGTGGACAGGAGACAACCCGGCATGGGGCAGGGGGGTGGGGAGGGAGGAGGGGAGGGGGGCAAGAGCATGCTACTCCCCTCCTCAGCCACCCTCCCTTCCCCAGGCCACAAGCGAGTTCACGGAATAGGTGTGGGGACAGGGGCCTACGCAGAGAATCATGCATTTTCTCCCACCCACCGAAAGTCTTCGCCGCCCCTGCGCATCCCCCTCCGCCCCCACCCCTGCCCAGCCCGACCGACCCTACCGCACCTCCGAGCTCTGCCGGCTCCCCGCAGGGCACCCCGAGACGAGAGCTCCTCTCGGATTCGTGCGCCATGGTTGTGGGGGAAGTGGAGGGCCAGGTGGGGTGGGAGACAATGGATATTGGGATTGAGGGAGGCGATGGCCGCTGGGTCTGCGGCAGCCTCTGCACCCAGCGGCCCAGACTGCGGAGATGGAGATCGGCAGCGGCGGGGGCAGGGAGCAGCGGCGGAGGGGGAGGGGAGCGAGGAGGCGGGGAGAAGCTGGAGTGAGAAAGCGGGGAGAGGGGAGATCTGGGAGGAGCTGATGAGGAGGGGAGTTTATGGGGAGGAGCTGCTGGGGAGGGAGGCGGGAGCTAGAGGAGGCGGGAGAAGGGAGCGCTAGCGGGGGCGTGGGGGCGGGAGCTCAGAGCTCGGGAGAGTTTCCGGAGGCGCAGTGACAGGTGCTGTGAAGCACTGCGGGGGTCCACCTTTCCCGGTCCCTGGCCAGCTCCCCCCATCTGCAGATGCCTTTGCCCAGGCCTACCCTCCTCCCCCCGCCCTCCCCTCCTAAGCTCTAGGGGCACAGTGGGAAACGTAGCCCTGCTCAGTGGAGCAAGGCGATAGGCTTCTCTTATTTTTCTTTGGATAAAGGATCCGCTGAGCTTGGAAAAAGTGGATTCCAGAGAGGGTCGTCTGATCTCCTCAGAGGTCTGAGGGCCAGAAGAAGAGGGGGAGATCAGAACATCCACTCCTCACCAGCACACACACCCCAAAATATTCGAAGTTTTGTCTCGTCTTTCTCACTTCCATTCCCACCCTACCCCCATCCCTCTCCACAAAAGAAGTTTCTCAGGGTGGGCGGCTGCAAGGTAGAATTTCCCAGGAAGTCATTTCAGGACTCTCTGCGGAACACTAAGCCCCTTCACTCCCCGCCCCTCCTCCCCCTGAATAATAGCTGAATGCAGGTTACTCCGCAGATCGCCCAGCCTACACAACACCTAATTCATAGAGTCCATGCTTATTTAATAAGCCATCTCCTATTTAGTACCCTCTTCCTCCTCTATTCTCCTCTTGCAACATTCCTCACACCGTCACTATTAAAGACAGTGGGTTTGGGGAGACGCTAGCCTGCAGAGGCCTACGGAGGCCCACCCAGCTCTAACCTGGGGGGGAGGGGAGCCCTCTTGAAACAATGCGGTAGGAACTACCAGGCAGCCCTCAGTGTCTAAAGCCCTTTCAGCCCCAGCCTGATTTGAATGCTTAGAAATAGCTAACACCTGCTCACCATCACAGAGGCAGCCTCCTATTCAGACAGGATAAGTAAGAATAAAATGCCTCCTGGACCAGGTATTCTGGCATTCTCTTTTTTACCTTGAAATGAGTCTTAAAGTGCTTCCCACTTCCTAAAATACTTTCTCTTACATGCAGGAAGTGACCACAAGTCCTTGGTTTTGTGGTTTCCCTGGGCATCAGTAAACCTAAATTGTTTTAATCCCAGTTCTATTCTTGCCTCACTGATAAAACTGAGACATGGTGGTCAGTCACACCATGTTATACCACCGTTTCCCTCTTCATAAAGTGGTAATATTGTAGCTGCAGTATTTTACTCAGAAAAATATTGTGGGGACAAAAAATTGAAAAATTGGACAATATTAATGTGTAAACCAGGTATGGTGGTGCACACTTGTAGCCCCAGCTACTTGGGAGGCTGAGGCAGGAGAATTGCTTTAGTCCAGGAGTTTGAGGCTGCAGTGAGCTGTGATCACACCTGTGAATAACCACTGCCCTCCAGCTTCGGCAACATAGTGAGGCCCCATTACTTTAAAAAAAAAAAAAAGCCGGGCGCGGTGGCTCACTGTAATCCCAGCACTTTGGGAGGTGGGCAGATCACGAGGTCAGAAGTTCCAGACCAGCATGGCCAACATGTTGAAACCCCGTCTCTACTAAAAATACAAAAATTAGCTGGGCATGATGGTACACCTTTAATCCCAGCTACTGGGGCAGCTGAGCCAGGAGAATGGCTTGAACCCAGGAGGTGGAGGTTGCAGGGGGCTGAGATCGTGGCATTGCACTCCAGCCTGGGCAACAAGAGTGAAACTGCGTCTCAAAAAAAAAAAAAAGTCTAAAAAAATTAATATGTACATGTGAGATTTTTAAAGTTTGGGGAGTCCTGAATTTAATCAATGAGATAATTTACATTGTCAGTAGCAAAATAATCGAAGTAACCTTAAATACACATATACTAAAATTAGATCTGTTTTCCATGTTGTTTGTTAATCTTATTAATTTCTGAGGTAAGATATTGGCTAATATCAGCAGCATATTTCAAAGGTAGGAAGTCTTTTATTGCAGTGGGTGGGGGAGCTGAAACAACCTATTTAAAATATTAGTAACATCCACTTTACTTCTCAACATAAATTTTGCCTGTGTTTTTAAACTTAAAACAGTTTACTGAATTATGTTTTGAAACTTCAGATAATAAGGCTCTTAGCATTGTGAGTCATAATTCTGAAATGGACGGGTTCTGTGCTTCCAGGCCTGGACTTACAAATGAGGGAGGGGGGTTCTATTTCAGTTTATGGCAAGTCACAGTTTTGTGCAATGTGGTTTATTTTTACAGATAAGGAAACTGAAGCTTGGAGAGGTTAAGTGACTTTTCCAAGTTCACACAGTAATTCAGTGAAGCAAGCATTCAGAATTTTGACTCCTGTCCAATGCTTTCTCAAGCACATCAACTTTGTATGGCTTCCCTAATGCTAGAGAAAGGGCCCTGTGTGGCTTCTACCTGCCATTTGCTCCCTGGCCTTAGTCAGGGAGAGGGAATCAGATGGAGGCTTTCTACTGAGCATTTGTTAATTAGCATTGAACATTTGATATCCAGTTGCTGTTTTGTCAAGTCTTCTGACAAGAAAAGAAATCCTTTTCTTTTCATCTTCTCCTGGGAAACACTGTCCCCTTTCTTGCTCTTTAATGAAATGTGCTTTCTGATGCGTAATTTGATCTAAGCTCTTCTTTAAGGTAAATTTAGTCCCTGGTGAAAGGTGACTGGATCAACAGCCACCTGTAAGAGGAACCCTCCATTTCTCAGTACTTTGCACTCACTGCACATCCTGAAAAGGGGGGCAGGATTCTTACACAAACATGAATGAAGTCACAAATGCAGGAATAAACTAAACTGGTAATGGTGTCCCTAGATAGCAGATAAGGTGAGGTAAGCTATCTCCGGTCAAATGCAAAGTCCGGGGTGGGACTAAGACCTGGACAAGCTTGTTTAAACTTATAGAGAGCTGAAATGACAAAGAAAAGGGAAACCAGGTGGCTTCCCTTCTAAATCTAGTGTCCCATCAGATTGCTTCTTTAGGCTTCAGAGAGAACTGTTCGGGAGAACAAAGAGAAAAATAGGTGAGTTGTATGTAGCAGGGTGATACATTTGAACAGCGGTTTTCAAATTTTGCTGCCCATTAGGATTACCAGAAGAGAGTTTTAAAATTTTTATGTTTAGGTGCAGTGGTCTGTTCCTTGTAGTCCCAGCTACTCTGGAGGCTGAGGCGGGAGGATCACTTGAGCTCAAGGGTTTGAGACTCCATCTCAAAATCTCAAAAAAAAGAAGAAAAAAAAAAGAAAAGAAAGTTTAAGCACAGTGGGTACCTCATGCCTATAATCCTAGCACTTTTGGAGGCCAAGGCAGGAGGATTGCTTGAGGCCAGGAATTTGAGACCAGCCTGCATAACATAGTGAGACCCCCATCTCTGCAAAAGCAACCAACCAACCAAACTTAAAAAAAATCCCTGTGTCCAGGCCACATCCCAGGCTAATTAATTCATAATCCCTGAGGATAGGATCCAGGCATTAGTTTGATAAAGCTCCTCAGGTGATTCCAATGAGAATACAAAGATGGTGACACAATGATGAGACCCACATGGAGGACTGCCCTTTCCATCATACCTTCCACCCTGCTCCTCACAGATCTTACCTGAGCTAAACTTGGCCACAATTGGGACACAGACAAAATGAACTCTCAATGCTAAATCTTCCCATCAGGTCCCCTCCCTACAGTGCCCACAACCACACATTAACTTCCTTGTATCCTTTCCCAGTGAAAAATCTGCTTCCATGAATAGAATTTGATATAATTTACACCTTACTGTAAGTTTAAGTGATTGCATTTCTTTCCCAGGTATGGGTATCTTGAAGCATATTTTTTTCTTTTTTAATTGATATTTGAGCCATATTTCTTTTTTTTTCTTTCTTTTTTTTTTTTTTTTTTTTTTTGAGACGGAGTTTTGCTCTCATTGCCCAGGCTGGAGTGCAATGGCATGATCTCGGCTCACCGCAACCTCCACCTCCCAGGTTCAAGCGATTCTCCTGCCTCAGCCTTCCCAAGTAGCTGGGATTACAGGCATGTGCCACCAAGCCCGGCTAATTTTGTATTTTTAGTAGAGATGGGGTTTCTCCATGTGGGTCAGGCTGGTCTCAAACTCCCGACCTCAGGTGATCTGCCAACCTCGGCCTCCCAAAGTGTTGGGATTACAGGCGTGAGCCATCGCGCCCGGCCACCATATTTCTAATTGTAAGGTGAAAGGCTTTGTTCTACAGAGTTCAAGCATCATCCACCCATTAAGGCTGGAGTGAAGTGGCACAATCATAGCTCACTGCAGACTCTACCTCCCAGGCTTAGGTGATCCTCCCACCTCAGCTTCCTGAATAGCTGGGACTACAGGCATGCACAATCATGCCCAGCTAATTAAAATATTTTTTTCTGTAGAGATGAGGTTTCACTATGTTGCCCAGGCTGTCTGGAATACCTGGGCTCAAGGGATCCTCCTGCCTTGTCCCCACAAAGTGCTGAGAGTACAGATGTAAGCCACTGCCTCTGGCCCACTTACTTATTATTGACACTGAACAATGCTAATTGGTAGCTTCCATAATTATGAATTGATTCTGTAACTATTGCTACTGACTACTTCTTAGGGAAATATCTCATCTTCTCCTCCTTACTCCTCTTTCCTAAATGTAGACACATAATAATCCTTTGCAACCCAGACCTACTAATGTAACTATGGCCTATGTAACACAGTAGACTAACAGGCACAATGATTGGTACACCTGGTGCTAAGTGAGAAAAAGATATTTGTTTCCAGAACAGGAATATCTTAGATCAAACATAAGAATGTTCTTTTAATGAAAATTTCTTTGACTTCAAAGGACTCAACACTTAACATGGAATTCATACCATTTTGGAGCTGGGACTTCAGAGATCTGACACTCTCATTGTCATTGTGCACAGTGATTCAGACCTGAGTTAAAGTCCCAGCTCTAGAACATTCTAATATTTGTGATCTTGGGAAAATTTCTTAATCTCTCCCAGAGTTTGTTTTCTTATTTTTTTTTGGGACAGAGTTTCACTCTTGTTGCCCAGGCTGGAGTGCAATGGCACGATCTTAGCTCACCGCAACCTCCGCCTCCCAGGTTCAAGCGATTCTCCTGCCTCACCCTCCCTAGTAGCTGGGATTACAGGCATGTGCCACCACGCCCGGCTAATTTTGTATTTTTTTAGTAGAGACGGGGTTTCTTCATATTGCTCAGGCTGGTCTCAAACTCCCAGCCTCAGGTGATCTGCCCACCTCGGCCTCCCAAAGTGCTGGATTACAGGCATGAGCCACCGCGCCTGGCCAGCCTTTTTTTTTTTTTTGAGACGGAGTCTCGCTCTGTCGCCCAGGCTGGAGTGCAATGGTCGCCCAGGCTGGAGTGCAATGGTGTGATCTCGGCTCACTGCAATCTCCGCCTCCTGGGTTCAAACGATTTTCCTGCCTCAGCCTCCCAAGTAGCTGGGATTACAGGTGTGCGCCATCACACCCAGCTAATTTTTGTATTTTTAGTAGAGATGAGGTTTCACCTTGTTGGCCAGGCTGGTCTTGAACTCCTGACCTCAAGTGATTTGCCCACCTCAGCCTCCCAAAGTGCTGAGATTACAGGCATGAGCTGCTGTGCCCGGCTGATTTCTCTTCTTTAAAATGAGGGTACTGCCATACAAAGGAAGGAAATTCTGATACATGCTACAACATGAATGAACTTTGTAAACATTATGCTTTCAGACAAATTTGACTTTAATTGAGAAAAAAAGAGAAAACATACTAAGTGCAATAAAGCAGACACAAAAGGACAAATATTGTATGATTCCATTAGTATGAGGTACCCAAACATTATATGAGTCCATTAATATGAAATTTGGCAAGGTCACACATACAGAAAGCAGAGTAGAGGCTAACAGGGCTAAGGGAATGGGAGAATGGGGATTTATTGTTTAACGGTTACAGTTTCTGTTTGATGATGAAAAAGATATTGAAACAGCAGTAATGGTTACATAACATAGTGAATGTACTTAATGCCACTGAATTGTACACTTAAAAATGGTTAAAATGGTAAATTTTATTACACATATTTTACAATAAAAAAATTTTAGCCAGGTGTGGTGGCATGCACCTGTAATCCCAGCTGTTCAGGAGGCTGAGGCAGGAGAATCTCTTGAACCCTGGAGGTGGAGGTTTCAGTGAGCCGAGACGTGCCACTGCACTCCAGCCTGGGCAACAGAGTAGGACTTGGTCTCAAAAAAAGAAAAAAATTTTTTTTGTAATAATAAGGGAGTTGGGGCTGGGCGTGGTGGCTCACGCCTGTAATCCCAGCACTTTGGGAGGCCAAAGTGGGCGGATCATGAAGTCAGGAGATCGAGACCATCCTGGCTAACACAGTGAAACCCTGTCTCTACTGAAAATATAAAAAATTAGCCAGGTGTGGTGGCGGGCGCCTGTAGTCCCAGCTACTTGGGAGGCTGAGGCAGGAGAATGGTGTGAACCCGGGAGGCGGAGCTCGCAGTGAGCCAAGATCGCGCCACTGCACCCCAGCCTGGGCGACAGAGCGAGACTCCGTCTCAAAATAATAAAAATAAATAAATAAATAAATAAAATAATAATAATAACGGAGTTGGGAGGAAAAAGAGGAAATGCAAAAAGGGCCTAGCACAGTACCTGAATGCTCCACAAATATTAGCCATGGGTGTTAGTTATTATTTGAATGTCAAAAGCTGAATGAAGCCCTGGGGTAAGAAAGGTCACATGTGCCCAAGGTCACATAGCTTCAAGGTCCACACTAGATTGAAAACCAAGTTTTCTGTTTTCTTATCTAGTACTCTGTAACACCAGGACTGAGATACTCTCTATTCCAAAATGTGTTTTTTCTGATCTGGGAATACCTAGGTTGAGTGGCCCAGGGATCAATAACCTGAGAGATGAGGCTCTTTACTTCCAAATGTAAACAGAGCCCCCAAAACTCTACCTTTGCCTTCTTTCCTCTCTTGCTGTTCTTGCTATCTGCCAACTTCCATCTAAAGTACTCCCCTCTCTCCCTCTAGATCTGTTTGGCTGCTGTCCTGGTTTCTTCTTCTCACTAAATATCTGGGTTTCTGATTGTTTCCTTTATTTCCCAGATGTACTGGTTTGCATTTTTCCCCCAGTCACATCCTTTGTGTTCTCTAATCCAGATTTCTAGACTCTGTAGGGGAGAGAGAAGGTTTTTTTTTTTCCTCTCTAGAGTTTTTAAGTGAATAGAGTATTTCCTGCCCATCACTTATATGCAATAACTGTTCTGTTAGGTTTTGATGCTCTGGTTAGGGAAGCTGAGCAAAAACGGCTGGAAAACAGATTTTTCAGACTGTTTCTTGGTGATGTCTTAGGTCACTGCAGAATTTTGGCTTTTAAAATATGTAACAAAGGCTCAGCATTTGCATGTTGTATATGGCACATATTGCTTACAAGAAGGCAAAAGACTCCTGGAAACATTACTGGCACCCTAGACTACTGACTAAATGTCTTCTGATACTCATGATGATATCCATAATTTCACAGGTACACCAAAGGATACATGTGCCCCTAAATAAGAGCCCTTCCTCCCTAACTGTGGAGCATGCTCTGGGGTAGAAGGAAGTCAGATGCCTGAAGATCACATAAGTGAATAGAAACCCTGTCTATAAAAAATTAGGGAAAAGGAGAGCTCTCATTCTGTTTTGCAGAATGGATGCTGCCCCATTCATGATTAAGAAAATTTATTAATTTAAAAGAAAACCAGAAAATGTGAAATTTATATATTATAAGCTTATAAGATCCAGGAGGAATTTTAGATACGATCAAATAGAGCCACCTCATTTTGCAGATGAGGCCCAATGACATCCAGATCATAAGTAGCCTAGGATCTTTCACTCCAGGGGAATTCTGATGAGAAAATCCTTAGGCTTTCTTACGGTAGATCTTAACAGAGGGTGCTACTGCTTCCTTGCTCCTTACATTTGTTCCTGCCTTTCATAGCTCAAAGGCAAATTTTCATCAAAAATTTGTTGATGCCATTGGGTTTAAACCTTTACTGTTTCTATGGGGATGGCTTTGTAGCAGCATTACCATGCCCCCAGGTGGAAGCTATATCTTAAAGGGCTTGAAAATCCATTCAAGACAGCCGCTAAAGATAGCTTTTGACTCCCTCACAGAAGATTTTTCCTCAGCTATGATATGGGGAATGGGTGAGCAGATGGAGGAAGTAGGAAGAAGAGGAGAGAATGCTTCTTGGGGGTTTGGAGGGGTGTTCAGCATAGTTCCACAATCAAACCAGCAGGAGAGCAGAACTGTGAGGCAACTCTGGGGAGGAGTTGAGGCTCTAGGGGAAGTCTCCTGTAGAGCACAAGCAGGAAACATCCGGCCTATAGCAGCATTAAGAAGGGCTAATGTGTCTCAGGAGGGAAGGATGCCATCACCATAGAACCTCTAAATATGGGCACAGTAGGATCCCAGAAAAGCAGTGTTTCGGGGAGGATGCGTTCTGCCCAAAACATGTCTGTTAAGGTTATTTTGTAGCACATGGAGCGCTGATTTGACCTCAAGTTTTTGTTTTTTAACAGGTGGAAAGGCAAGTTTAATCTACAATTTTAGTCGCCACCAATACACTCTCTTAGAGCTTTTCATGACACGTCTCATAAAGAAATGCTGATGGCCGGGAGCGGTGGCTCACGCCTGTAATCCCAGCACTTTGGGAGGCCAAGGCGGGCAGATTACGAGATCAGGAGATCCAGAGCATCCTGGCTAACACGGTGAAACCCCGTCTCTACTAAAAATACAAAAAATTAGCCCGGCGTGGTGGCAGGCGCCTATAGTTCCAGCTACTCGGGAGGCTGAGGCAGGAGAATGGCGTGAACCTGGGAGGTGGAGCGGGCAGTGAGCCAAGATTGCACCACTGCACTCCAACCTGGGCGACAGAGCGAGACTCTCTCTCAAAAAAAAAAAAAGAAAAAAAGAAAAAGAAAAGAAAAGAAAAAAAAAGAAATGCTGACGTTTGCCAAGAGGTTCCTGAGTTTTGGTCATACTACAGCACTTGCAGGCAGTGTCACTGCATTCACATATAATGATAATAACGATATTCACACATATTAAGCACTTATTTATGCTAGGTATTTTTCCAAGGGATTTACACATATTAACTCATTTAGATTTTCACAACAACCTAATGAGGTAGCTAGTATACACATCTTTATTTCACAGATGAGGAAACTGAAGCATAGAGAGGCAAAATAAACCAGCCAAGGTCACATAGCTAACCAAGTGGTGGAGCTGGGATTTGTCTAAAAGTCTGGTTTCAGAACCCTTGTGCTTAATCCTATACTATACTGTTGGGTGTATCAACTGTATGCTAAACAGTTGCCTGTCTGGAGCCAGGACTTCCAGACTTTCAGTCTGCACATATGGAGCCATACCACTGACAAGTATGTCCAAAACTTCTTTGATCCTAAGAATTACCTGGACAATTGCAAAATATATAGATTCCCACACCCTGGCTCAGATGTACTCACAATCAGGCAAGTTTTTAAAACCCAGGTTTAGTGGGTTTAGTGAGCACTACCAGCCAGCCCTGAGCATTAGGAAATTGAAGTTTTTGTCCTGATTTTGCTTCTGTCTCTCAGACTCTGAGCAATTTCACTCTTCAATTCCCTGCTTGCTCTACTGTCTGCCTGTCACTTAACGGAATGTTACAAGAATACATACAATTTTTCCCCCTCATAAGGGACACCTGTTGCTTCAAAAACACGGTATCCTCATAAAATGATATGCATGTAGTAACAGGTGTATTTTCTTGCACTTCTTTTGTTTTGTTTTGTTTTTTGCTTTGCTTTCCTTGAAGCACAAACCTAAGCCCCTCATCCAGACCTAGCCTTCAGCTGTCCTCCAGGTGACACGCATACACACCCCAAACCAGGCTGCATTCTGACCGACCTTAGCTCTCTCCCTCTGGGAGCTCTGATCGGCTCTCAGTTCAGCCCAACAATGAGAAACTTTTTTCTCGTCTCCCTCAGGGGAGCCTTCACGTTTATCCAATTCATTCTCTTGCAACCCAACTCTCCAGAAAGAAAAGGGGGGAAAATCCCACCCCGAAGAGACGGTCTTCAGGTCTGAGGACGTTACTTAGCAACGGCACAAAGACCAGTGAGCAAAGGGAGACCTGAGGAGAAAACTCTTGGGTGGGGAGACAGAGCCAGTTTGAAAACTCCATTTCATCCAGAGAAAAACAAGGAAAACACAAACAGAATCAATCCCAAGTAACAAGCGGGGCTTCTCCCCAGCGCAGGTCATCTCTTACTCCCTGCATCTCAACTCCTTCAAACCCCCAGTGACCAAGTCCGCCCCCGCCTGGTTTCGCCCATGGCCCGAGTGCCCTCCCCTTGCCCTGGCCTGACCCACACAGGCTTGGACTTAGGGGCCCCCACCCCTCCCCAGGCACCCACCGTTCTCAGACGCGCTGGGACCTTCGCAGTCCGAGATTAACTGTTGGGGTTTCCGCTGCTTTCGCCGAGACATTCCCGGGTAGAGAGTTGGGAGAGGGAGGGGCAACGCTCACTTGGTCTTAACCGGGGTGACCTGGTCTCGTCTCCCCCTTGGGTCCGAAGCCAATTGATGCCTCTCCCCCAGCGCAAATCACTGTGAAGCAGAGATGTTCTTCTTTCCCAGAGACACAGACTCTCTCTCTCTCTCTGATTCTCTGTTCTTGACTCTCTCTCTTTCTCTCTCAATCTTTGCAAGTCTTTAAAGGGGAGACGCCCCCTTTTTTTCTTCAGCTTCTTCCCTACGCTTCTGCAGCTCCCATTGTAAAAGCAAAAATCCTAATCTTTCCGCACACTCTTTTCTTTTGTACTGCAGAGGAAAGGATTTAACCCTCTCCTCCCTGCAAGGGCCCTGGGCCTCTCCCTGTGCTGTCTGTTCAGAAACTGTCCCTGGCTTGTTTTTCTAACTCTTCTTCCAAGATCTTCACTGTGCTTTTTGGTTCTGTCATATTTCTATGCCCCTCTGATAATGTAGCTGCTTTTAGGGTATAAACTGAAATAAGAACCTTCTGATATGCCCTGATTATGAGTAATATATGTATAGCTCTTTATAATTTATAGAATATTTTCATTTATAACGTGTTTTGAATGTTATAACTCTGAGATGAACACAGTAGGCTTTACTACTCCTATTTATAGCTGAGTCCCTTTATAGATGAATCAAAAGGCCCAGTGAGGTTAAGTAACTTCTCCAAAGTTGCACAGCTGTGATGTATCAGACACAGGCCTGGAATCCAGGTGCATCTGACAGTAGCCTAACATTGTTTCCTCTATATCAGTAAAGACACAATATGCCACCAAACTGCTATCATGAAAAACAAAAGTGATTGATCTCAAGGAATCTCATTTAAAATAGCAATGGCTGGGCACGGTGGCTCACACCTGTAATCCCAGCACTTTGGGAGGCTAAGGTGGGCAGATCATGAGGTCAAGAGCTGGAGACCATCCTGGCCAACATGGTGAAACCCCATCTCTACTAAAACCACAAAAATTAGGCTGAGCACGGTGGCTCATGCTTGTAATCCCAGCACTTTGGGAGGCCAAGGCGGGCGGATCACCTGAGGTCAGGAGTTCGAGACCAGCCTGACCAACATGTTGAAACCCCGTCTCTACTAAAAATACAAAAATTAGCTGGGCGTAGTGGTGGGCACCTGTAATCCCAACTACTCCAAAGGCTGAGGCAGGAGAATCACTTGAACCTGGGAGGCAGCGGTGGCAGTGAGCCGAGATCGCGCCATTGCAGTCCAGCCTGTGTGACAGAGCAAGACTCTGTCTCAAAAATAAAATAAAATAAAATAAATAAAAAGGAATCCCTCCATCTCCACAATACACTGTTTGGCAACAACCAGGTTTCTCCTGCTTAGCCTGTACACTGAGGGTGATTCATTTATTTTTAACTTCTGGCTGTGATGTTCCTACCTATATTTGAGTACTACTGAGCTACTGGGCATAGAATATTCTGGATATGCCCTGTCTTCTGGCAATAATGCCTGGGCCCCTTTCTTTTAGCATGATTTCTGTTTTATTCTTCTGGCTGAGATAGCATCTGAAACACCATCAGTTGGAAAAGTGGGAAGTATTTTCCCCTTTTAGGATTAGTAATGTAAATCTCTGATGGCTTTATCTTCAGAGAAAAGCAAAAGAAAGCTCACTCACAGGTTTGGGTGCAAATTTGAAGGTTTTTGCATTTCTTCCCTTACACAATTTCAAGCTAGTTTGGCAATACCAAGAAAGGAAAAGGGAGACAGCAGATGGCAGGGGTGCTGCTAGTGATAATTGAAGCAGGTATCCACATTACATCTGAAGAGTTTTGGAAAATGCTCTCATCTTTGCTTTGGAGTTCACTGAATCTCCATTTTTTTTTCCAGTCCTTTGGTGTCAGGGCCCTGGGTGGCTTTCTCAAGTCTACCCTTGGAACTCTTGTTGCTGACATTATGTAATTCATCCTATTAACTCCCCTGTGGTAGACAGGTGCCATTATTTATTACTAGACCATTGTAGGAGAAATAGGGGTACTGAGCCTAGGAAAGCTTCTGATTCCTCCGTGGAATAGACTGAGTCCTGTCATCCTCTCACCCCACTGTTTCCATCATTTATTTCCTTCCAGGAAGGGAAAGGAGAGAAGGAAAATAGCTTTCTGCTTTTCTCAGGAGTCTGAAATCTCCAAGGGAGCAGATTTCAGGGTCCACATTTGTCTTTTTTCCTGAATCTTGGCTGTCTTCATCTTTTCCTATTTTTCCCCCTCCTTCTTGTGGGTCTTATTGTGAAAGGAAGGACTCTTTCCCCTCCTCTTCTTTCTTCCTCCCTACCCAGTTTACCATTTTTTTTCCTTTTACCTCTCCACTGTGGCCTCTTGACCTCCCCACAGAGTTACAAAAGTAAAATCCTTGAAGAGATGCTGCTGTGGGAATGTTAATGAGCCTTCCCCACAAAGGGGCAAAGACTTTACTTCACTGAGTTGGAAAAAAGCCCCTTTGAAAAGGGGTTTCTGTGTGTGGTGAAGTGGAGAGGGGAGGGGAAGGAGAGGGATAGAGGCAAAAGAAGGGAGGGAGAGAAAAAGAGCAAGAGAATGAAAGGAGACAGAGAAATAGAAGAGAGACACTCAAACTTCATACTAGAAGAGAATATTAAAAATAACAACACCACTTTTCTTTTTTCAATTTGTCATCTAATTTTTGGGAAATGTTCCTTGGTCTTTTGACCTTGTAAACTCAGGGCTTACATTCCCAAGAAGCTGAAGAGGGACTCGAGAGCATGGGAGATAATAAACGATAGGAAGAAGGGACTTATCTTGGCACCCCACCCCCAGTCTCTTCCCATATACGAGAGCCAGAGCTAGAGAGGCTCTAGGGTGGTTGGGAGGGGTGTGTAATATTCTGGATTGGGGGAACTGGTGGTGAAGATGGGCTCTTTTTTCTGGATTTGTGGTTGATTCTTATGATATTTTCTAATTTTATCAACATTTCTTATTTTGGCTTCCCTATTGGATGTTGGTCTAATAATTTATCTATCTTCAGGAATCGTTTACAGCATTGTTGAGGTGTTTTCGTCAAGGAGCCAATTTTCAAGCCAGGCCACTTGTGCATAATCTCTCTTTCCTTCATTTGTGTGCACAGGTTGCCTCTGGATTAGTTAAAATGAATGTTAAGGTATTTGGGTGTCAAAATTAAATCCTTAAAAAAATATATATATGTTTTTGCTTTTTATTTTTTTACCCTCATCTTCTTCTATGTGATGGTATCTTGTTGCTTTTTTTTTTTTTTTTTTTTTTTTTTTTTGAGACAGAGTTTCGCTCTTGTTGCCCAGGCTAGAGTGCAATGGAGAGATCTCGGCTCACTGCAACCTTTGCGTCCTGGGTTCAAGCAATTCTCCTGCCTCAGCTTCCAGAGTAGCTGGGATTACAGGCATGTGCCACCATGCCTGGCTGATTTTGTATTTTTAGTAGAGATGGGGTTTCTCCATGTTGGTCAGGCTGGTCTCGAACTCCTGACCTCAGGTGATCCACCCGCCTTGGCCTCCCAGAGTGCTAGGATTACAGGCGTGAGCCACTGCGCCCGGCTCCTGTTGCTTTTTAAAGAAAGCTGGGCCGGGTGCAGTGGCTCACACCTGTAATCCTAGCACTGTGGGAGGCCAAGGTGGGCGAATCACGAGGTCAGGAGATCGAGACCATCCCAGCCAACAAGGTGAAACCCCGTCTCTACTAAAAATACAAAAAATTGGCCAGGGGCAGTGGTTCACACCTGTAGTGCCAGCACTTTGGGAGGCTGAGGCGGGCGGATCACGAGGTCAGGAGTTCGAGACCAGCCTGGCCAATACAGTGAAACCCCATCTTTACTAAAAATACAAAAATTAGCTGGGTGTGGTGGCGCGTGACTGTAGTCCCAGCCACTTGGGAGGCTGAGGCAGAAGAATCGCTTGAACCCAGGAGGCAGAGGCTGCAGTGAGCCAAGATCACACCACTGCACTCCAGCCTGGGCGACAGAGCAAGACTCTGTCTCAAAAAAAAAAAAAAAAAAAAAAAAAAAAAAAGAAAAAAAAGAAAGCTGGCCAGGTGCAGTGGCTTATGTCTATAATCCCAGCACTTTGGGAGGCTGAGGCGGCTGGATCACTTGAGTTTAGGAGTTCGAGACCAGCCTGGGCAACATGGCAAAACTCTGTCACTACAAAAACATACTAAAAATTAGCCAGGTGTGGTGGCGCATGCCAGTGGTCCCAGCTACTCAGGAGGTTGAGGTGGGAGGATCACTTGAGCCCAGGAAGTCAAGGCTTCTATGAGCCATGCATGATCAGTGATCAAACTGGTACACTCCAGCCTGGGTGGAGTGAGAACCTGTCTCAGAAAATGAAATAGCCGGGCGCGGTGGCTCATGCCTGTAATCCCAGCACTTTGGGAGGCCGAGGTGGGTGGATCATGAGGTCAGGAGATCGAGACCATCCTGACTAATATGGTGAAACCCCGTCTGTACTAAAAATACAAAAAAATTATCTGGGCATGGTAGCGGGTGCCTGTAGTCCCAGCTACTTGGGAGGCTGGGGCAGGAGAATGGCATGAACCTGGG
The DNA here is from genome assembly GCF_000001405.40 of Homo sapiens. Taxonomy (NCBI): domain Eukaryota; kingdom Metazoa; phylum Chordata; class Mammalia; order Primates; family Hominidae; genus Homo; species Homo sapiens. The sequence goes on from NC_000014.9 coordinate 21,541,504, forward strand.
AGGCTGAGCTTGCTGTGAGCCGAGATCGCACCACTGCACTCCAGCCTCGGGGAGAGCGAGACTCTGTCTCAAAAAATAAATAAATAAATAAATAAATAAATAAATAAATAAATAAATAAAATAAAATAGTAAAATAAAATAAAAAATGTTAGTCATTGTATTTGACTCTCAGAGTTTCCTACATGCTGTTTTGTGGTATCAGCCCAACACCCCAGTTAAAACCAGGAACTGCGAGGAGCAAGGAGAAGGTGATTGGAGTGACATCTCAGGAAGAGAAAGATGAGGAGCCAGTCACGAATGCTTATTGCCAGAGCTCTCTACTCTCTTTTGGTCTAGTGACTCCCAAACACCACAATCACATGGGGAATTTATGGAGAATTCACATTCCTGGGCTCCCCCACAGATTTACTTAATCAGAATCTCTGGGGGTGGAGCCTAAGATATTTAAACAAGCTCTTGAATGATTCCTTTGCAGGGTTAAATTTGAAACAATTATGTTTGACTGGTTTTGGATACCCATGAACCAAGCGCTGCCTGTGGACGAAATACATAACATGCTTCACAAATGTGTGTACTGCCTTTAGCCAAATGTTTTGATGTTGTTAAGATGAATACACTTGGCCTGGCGCAGTGGCTCACGCTTGTAATCCTAGCACTCTGGGAGGCCAAGGCATGTGGATCACAAGGTCAGGAGTTCAAGATCAGCCTGGCCAAGATAGTGAAACCCCGTCTCTACTAAAAATACAAAAATTAGCTGGGCGTGGTGGCGGGCATCTGTAATCCCAGCTACTTGGGAGGCTGAGGCAGGAGAATTGCTTGAACCTGGGAGGCAGAGGTCGCAGTGAGCTGAGATCTCAACATTGCACTTCAGCCTGGGCAACAAGAGCAAAACTCTGCCTCAAAAAAATAAAAAGAAGAAGAAGAAGAAATTTTAAAAAATGCTTCTGACCGGGTGCAGTGGCTCACACCTGTAATCCTAGCACTTTGGGAGGTGTAGGCGGGCAGACCACCTGAGGTCAGGAGTTCGAGACCAGCCTGGCCAACATGGTGAAACTCCATCTCTACTAAAAATGCAAAGATTAGCTGGGCGTGTGGCGCATGCCCGTAATCCCAGCTACTTGGGAGGCTGAGGCAGGAGTATCACTTGAACCCAGGAGGCAGAGACTGCAGTGAGCCGAGATTGCGCCACTGCACTCCAGCCTGGGTGACAGAGTGAGACTCTGTCTCAAAAAAAAAAAAAAAAAAAAAAAAAGCTTCTAAGCTTCTAGGGGGTTTTTCCCTAAAAATAAAATGGTAGTCATGAGGGAGTCTGGAAAACTTTTTGCCATTTCATTCAATGCCTTTTCTCTCAGGAAAACACTCTGCTCTTATTCTTCTTTTTCTAGTTTGTTTTCAGAAATGGAGGTATTGTGGAGGCATTTTCTCTACCTTCTGAAGCGTTAGAATCCTATGATCTCATGACTTGATTTAATTGCAAGAGAAATGAACTAGGAATCTAGAAACACATGTACTGTTTCGGTTGATAATAATCATAGCTGTGGTGCATTCTGTGCACCCTGCCCTTTGGACACATAATCTCATTAAATCTTTAAAATAATTTTGCAAAGGGAGCATTATATAGTCCCCATCTCATGCATGGAGAACACCCCAATTTACAAATAAGGAAACTGAGGCTTAGAGAGGCCATATAGCTTAATAGCTCAAGGTCTTGTAGCTGATAAAGAGCAGGGTTGAAATTTGTGCAAGCAATGCCTGATTGGACAGCCTATGTTTTTTTCACACAATTTAATACTTTATTGCCATCTGGTGATTTCTGCTTCTGTTATGGGCCTTGCCTTCTGGCTGCAGACCTGGAGGATAACTTAAAATTACAAATTGCAAAGAAAATTTGAAGATCTACAAAGTCAACATTTATTAAAATTATGGATCTTATAATAACATATACTGTCACATGTTCTTTGTCTTGCTAGCATTAAGGAAGTGAGAGAATACAGAGTTAGGGTAAAGCGCCCTTTGCAAAACTTTCCTAAATAAGAAAGCCTTGGCAAACAACCTCTGGTCTTATTAGATGATTTCCGCCTAACCTCTTTCAGGTGGTAGTTGCCATGGTGTTTTAGGGGAAGAGGGAGGGAGTGAAGATCAAGGAGGGTCATTCAGACTGAGTGTTGTCTGGTGTTTCTTTTCAGAGTTCATTCAGCAGAAGATGGAAGGAATTTAAACGTTCAGAGGAGGAACGATAGACTTTATTCTTTTTGCTTTTCTTCATTTTTCCACTTCTCATTCCTCATGTTAAATATAAGGGAATTGGGAGAATGTAAAGAGGACAAGGTAGTCGGACAGGAAAGGGAGGTTGTGGGGGAAGGGCCAAGAGCCTAGCAGCCAGCGGAGAGAAGGATAGGGTGGTGGCAGGGAGTTGGCGGGGAGAGAGAGAGTGCTTTCGAGGGATAAATTATAAGGATATTTGTTAAAGTTCTGGGGATCCTAAGGTTGGCCATTAGAAAAAAAAATCCTCAGAGGGTGGGGATAAAGTAGAAACCATAGCATGAGGAGAGAGGACAATAAGAAAGGCAAAAAACCACAAAAAGATAAACAGAGCAATCAAAAAGGAAAACAAATCAATGATGGGAAAGAAAGAGTTAAATGGCAGAGGCAAGTCTTTGGAGGAACTGGAACATACGGGTTGAAGTATGACAGAGAATATGAATAATTGATAACTTATAATAGAAATGTGGTCAGAGCATCCAGGAGAAACATTTAAGAAGAGAAACAGGCCAGCCGGGCGTGGTGGCCCAGGCCTGTAACCCCAGCACTTTGAGAGCCCGAGGTGGGAGGATCCCTTCAGGTCAGGAGTTCGAGACCAGCCTGGCCAACATGGTGAAACCGCATCTCTACTATAAATACAAAAAAAAAAAATTAGCTGGGCATGGTGCACGCGCCTGTAATACCGGCTACTCTGGAGGCTGAGGCAGGAGAATCTGGAACCCGGGAGGCAGAGGTTGCAGTGAGCTGAGATCATGCCATTGCACTCTAGCCCGGGCAACAGAGAGAGACTCGGTCTCAAAAAAAAAAAAAAAAAAAAAAAAAGAAGAGGAACAGGGCGGGCGCGGTGGCTGACGCCTGTAATCCCAGCACTTTGGGAGGAGGAGCAAGGTAGATCACCTGAGTTGGGGAGTTTGAGACCAGCCTGAGAAACATGAAGAAACTCTGTCTCTACTAAAAATTTACAATTAGCCAGGTGTGGTGGCGCATGCCTGTAATCCCATAGCTACTCAGGAGGCTGAGGCAGGAGAATTGCTTGAACCTGGGAGGGGGAGGTTGCAGTGAGCCAAGATTGCGCCATCACACTCCAGCCTGGGCAACAAGAGCGAAACTCCATCTCAAAAAAAAAAAAACCACAAAAAAACAAACAAAAAAAATACCTTTTAGTGAGTTAATAATCTATTCACCATTTTAGAGATCATTCCAGGAAAGAGATACTGAGAAACTTCTTGATGATGTCTAATTAATTCCTAATTATATTTTAAGTGAAAATTATTTCAATATGTCCTTGGTTGAGTTTATTCAACAAATATTTTTTGGGCACCTCCTGTGTGCTAGGTACGTAGTATACGATGGGAAATAAAACAGATTCTGCCCTGTTGATTATTATACCACCATTTTGTAATTATTTGGACTTCATTCTTTCTTTTTTTTTTTTGAGACGGAGTCTCACTCTGTCACCCAGGCTGGAGTGCAGTGGCATGATCTCAGCTCACTGCAAGCTCCGCCTCTCAGATTCACGCCATTCTCCTGCCTCAGCCTCCCGAGTAGCTGGGACTACAGGCGCCCACCACCACACCTGGCTAATTTTTGTATTTTTAGTAGAGACGGGGTTTCACCTTGTTAGCCAGGATGGTCTCCATCTCCTGACCTCGTGATCCTCCCGCCTCAGCCTCCCAAAGTGCTGGGATTACAGGCATGAGCCACTGTGCCCGGCCTATTCTTTCTTTATTTTTGGGACAGGGTCTCACTCTGTTGCCTGGGCTGGAGTGCAGTGGTGCAGTCTTGGCTCCCTGCAACCTCTGCCTCTCAGATTCAAGGGATTCTTGTGCCTCAGCCTCCCAAGTAGCTGGGATTACAGAAACACACCACCATGACCCACTAATTTTTTGTAGAGACAGAATCTCACTATCTTGCTAGGGCTGATCTCAAACTCCTGGGGTCAAGCGATCCTCTCACCTGGGTGTTCCAAAGTGCTGGGATTACAGGCATGAGCCACCATGCTTGGCCCTGGACTTCATTCTTTTGGTGATATCTCTTTGTGATTTTTATTGGCACGGTCTGGTAAAGTTAAGTGTATTAGTCTGTTCTCATGCTGCTAATAACAACATACCTGGGACTGGGTTTTTTTTTTTTTTTTTTTTTTTTTTTTTTTGAGACGGAGTCTCGCTGTGTCGCCCAGGCTGGAGTGCAGTGGTGCGATCTTGGCTCACTGCAAGCTCTGCCTCTTGTGAGACCCATTCACTATCAAGAGAACAGCAGGGGAAAGACCCAGCCCCATAGTTCAGTCTTCTTTCATCAGGTCTCTCTCATAACACATGGTAATTATGGGAGCTACAAGATGAGGTTTGGATGGGGACACAGAGCCAAACCATATCATTCCACCCATGGTCCCTCTCAAATCTCTTATCTTCACATTTCAAAACCAGTCATGCCTTCCCAACTGTCCCCCAAAGTCTCAACTCATTTCAGCATTATTTCTAAAGTCTGTAGTCCAAAGTCTCATCTGAGACAAGGCAAGTCCCTTCTGTCTATGAGCCTGTAAAATCAAAGCAAGTTAATTACTTCCTAGATACAATGGAGGTACAGGCATTGGGTAAATACACCTATTCCAAATGGGAGAAATTGGTCAAAACAAAGGGGCTACAGGCCCCAGGTGAGTCCAAAATCCAGGGGGACAGTCAAATCTTAAAGCTCCAAAATGATCTCCTTTGACTCCATGTCTCACATCCAGGTCATGCTGATGCAAGAGGTGGGTTCCCATGGTCTTGGGCAGCTCTGCACCTGTAGCCTTGCATGGTACAGCCTCCCTCTTGGCTGCCTTCACAGGCTGGTGTTGAGTGTCTGCGGCTTTTCTTTTTTTTTGAAACAGAGTCTTGCTCTGTCTCCCAGGCTGGAGTGCAGTGGCGCCATCTAAGCTCACTGCAAGCTCCGCCTCCCAGGTTCATGGCATTCTCCTGTCTCAGCCTCCCGAGTAGCTGGGACTACAGGCACCCACCACCACGCCCGGCTAATTTTTTGTATTTTTAGTACAGATGGGGTTTCACCGTGTTAGCCAGGATGGTCTCGGTCTCCTGACCTCATGATCCGCCTGCCTCGGCCTCCCAAAGTGCTGGGATTACAGGCGTGAGCCATCACGCCCGGCCTGTGTCTGTGACTTTTCTAGGTGCATGGTGCAAGCTGTTGGTGGATCTACCATTATGGTGTCTGGAGGACGGTGGCCCTCTTTTCACAGCTCCACTAGGCAGTGCCCCAGTGAGGATTTTGTGTGGGGGCTTCCACCCCACATTTCCCTTCCACACTGCCCTAACAGAGGTTTCCCATGAGGAACCTGCCCCTACAGCAAACTTCTGCCTGGGCATCCAGGCATTTCCATATATCTTCTGAAATCCAGGCAGAGGCTCCCAAACCTCAATTGTTGACTTCTGTCCACTCGCAGGCTCAGAACCATGTGGAAGCTGCCAAGGCTTGGTGCTTGCACCCTCTGAAGCCACAGCCTGAGCTCTCCGTTGGCTTCTTTCAGCCATGGCTCCATGGCTGGACTGTCTGGGATGCAGGGCACCAAGTTCCTGGGCTACACAAGGTATGGGGACCCTGGGCCTAGCCCAGGAAACCACTTTTTTCTCCTAGGCCTTGGGGCCTGTGATGGGAGGGGCTGCCACACAGGTCTCTGACATGCCCTGGAGACATTTTCCTCATTGTCTTGGTGATTAACATTTGGCTCCTCATTACTTATGCAAATTTCTATAGGTGGCTTGAATTTCTCCTCAGAAAATGGGATTTTCTTTACTATTTATTGCATTGTCAGGCTGCAAATTATACAAATTTTTATGCTCTGTTTCCGTTTTGAAACAGAATGCCTTTTTTTCTTTTTTGAGATGGAGTTTTGCTCTTGTTGCCCAGGCTAGAGTGCAATGGCCTGATCTCTGCTCACTGCAACCTCTGCCTCCCGGGTTCAAGCGGTTCTCCTGCCTCAGCCTCCCAAGTAGCTGGTATTACAGGCATACACCATCATGCCTGGTTAATTAATTAATTAATTAATTATTTGAGATGGAGTCTCGCTCTATCGCCCAGGTTGGAGTGCAGTGGCGCGATCTCGGCTCACTGCAAGCTCCTCCTCCCAGGTTAACGCCATTCTCCTGCCTCAGACTCCGGATCAGCTGGGACTACAGGCACCTGCCACCAAGCCCAGCTAATTTTTTGTATTTTTAGTAGAGATGGGGTTTCACCATGTTAGCCAGGATGGTCTCCATCTCCCGACCTCATGGTCCGCCCACCTCGGCCTCCCAAAGTGCTGGGATTACAGGCGTGAGCCGCCGCGCCCGGCCACAGAATGCCTTTAACGGCACTCAAGTCACCTCTTGAATGCTTTGCTGCTTAGAAATTTCTTCCACCAGATACCATAAATTATCTCTCAAAGTCAAATTTCCACAAACCTCTAGGGCAGGGGCAAAATGCCACCAGTGTCTTTGGTAAAACATAACAAGAGTCACCTTTACTCCCATTCCTAACAAGTTTTTCATCTCCATCTGAGACCACCTCAGCCTGGATTTCATAGTCCATATCATTATCAGCATTTTGGTCAAAGCCATTCAACAAGTCTCTAGGAAGTTCCAAACTTTCCACATTTTCCTATCTTCTTCTGAGCCCTCCAAACTGTTTCAACTTCTGCCTGTTACCCAGTTCCAAAGTTGCTTCCACATTTTTGGGTATCTTTTCAGCAGCACCCCACTCCCAGCACCAATGTACTGTATTAGTCTTTTCTCAATGCACCAGGTCTCTCTCACAACCTATGGGAGTTATGGGAGCTACAAGATGAGATTTGGATGACACAGAGCTAAACCATATCAGTAAGCATTATTTTATGTATTTATTTATTTAATTTTGAGATGGAGTCTCACTCCGGCTATCACCCAGGCTGGAGTGCAGTGGCGTGATCTCGGCTCACTGCAACCTCCGCCTCCTGGGTTCAAGCAATTCTCCTGCCTCAGCCTCCCGAGTAGCTGGGATTACACGCACCTGGCATCACGCCTGGCTAGTTTTTGTATTTTTAGTATAGACAGGGTTCCACTGTTTTGACCAGGCTGCTCTTGAACTCCTGACCTTGTGATCCACCTGCTCAGCCTCCCGAAGTGTTGGGATGACAGGTGTGAGCCACCACGCCCAGCAGTAATCATTATTTTAATACCCCTTTATATGAAACTGAGGCACCTAGGTTTTTTTTTTTTGTTTTTTTTTTTGACAGAGTCTCACTCTGTTGCCCAGGCTGAAGTACAGTGGCATGATCTGGGCTCACTGCAACCTCTGCCTCCCACATTCAAGCAATTCTCCTGCCTCAGCCTCCGGAGTAGCTGGGATTAAGGTGCCTGCCACCACGCCCAGCTAATTTCTTGTATTTTTAGTAGAGACGGGGTTTCACCATGTTGGCCAGGCTGGTCTTGAACTCCTGACCTCATGATTTGCCTGCCTTGGCCTCCCAAAGTGCTGGGATTATAGGCGTTAGCCACCACACCTGGCTTTTTTTTTTTTTTTTTTTTTTTTTTTTTTTAAGATGGAGACTTGCTCTTGTTGCCCAGGCTGGAGTGCAATGCTGTGATTTTGGCTCACTGCAACCTCTGCCTCCTGGGTATAAATGATTCTCCTGCCTCAGCCTCCTGAGTAGCTGGGATTCTAGGTGCCCCTCACCACGCCTAGCTAATTTTTTTTTTTTTTTTTTTTTTTTAGACAGAGTCTTGCTCTGTCACCCAGGCTGGAGTGCAGTGGCATGATCTCGGCTCACTGCAAGCTTTGCCTCCCGGGTTCACACCATTCTCCTGCCTCAGCCTCCCAAGAAGCTGGGACTACAGGAGCCTGCCACCATGCCTGGCTATTTTTTTTGTATTTTTAGTAGAGACGGGGTTTCACCGTGTTAGCCAGGTCTCAATCTCCTGACCTCGTGATCCGCCTGCCTCAGCCTCCCATAGTGCTGGGATTACAGGCGTGAGCAGCCATGCCCGGCCTCACGCCTAGCTAATTTTTGTATTTTTAGTAGAGACGGGGTTTCACCATGTTGGCCAGGCTGGTCTCGAACTCCTGACCTCAGGTGATCCACCTGCCTAGGTCTCCCAGAGTGCTGGGATTACAGGTGTGAGCCACTGTGCCCAGCCCTAGGTTTGGTTTTTTTGTTTGTTTGTCTTCTTTTGAGACTCAGTCTTCCTCTGTCACCCAGGGTGCGGTGCGGTGCAGTGGCAAGATCTCGGCTCACCTCAATGTCCACCTTCTGGGTTCAAGCAAATCTCCTTCCTTAGCCTTCCGAGTAGCTGGGGATTACAGGCATGCACCACCACACCCAGCTAATTTTGTGTTTTTATTCTTTTATTTTTATTTTTATATTCTCCATGTTGGTCAGGTTGGTCTTGAACTCCCCCACCCTCCTCAACCTCCCAAAGTGATTACAAGTGTGAGCCACAGCACCTGGCCATGTGATGCTTTTTTTTTTTTTTTTTTTTTTTGAGATGGAGTCTCTCTCTGTTGCCCAGGGTAGAGTGCAGTGGTGCGATCTCGGCTCACTGCAACCTCCACCTCCCGGGTTCAAGAGATTCTCCTGCCTCAGCCTCCTGAGTAGCTGAGATTACAGGTGCACGCCACCACATCTGGCTAATTTTTGTATTTTTAGTAGAGACGGTGTTTCACCATGTTGGTCAGGCTGATCTCGAACTCCCGACCTCGTGATCCACCTGCCTCAGCCTCCCAAAGTGCTGGGATTTCAGGCGTGAGCCACTGTGCCCGGCCCATGTGATGCTTTTTAAGGGATCCCAATAGGCAAGCCAGGAAGGCAGCCAATGATATGTAGCAATTGCTGGAGGCAGTGACAGTTGATGGCAGAAGGTTCTTTTGGAAGCAGATGGGAAAGAGTACCTGATAGTGACTATGAACAGGGTGGCTGGGCCATGGGGAAGTTAGACTCAAAGTTTAGTATCACTGGATTTGGTAGAAAAAAGTGGGGATTGTAGGGGAAGGACTTAATGACTACATTATGTGTCTATGAGATTTAGGACTACATTTTCCTTATTTGATTCAATGACCTCTGCTCCCATCTTTTGGTCAAGGGATAAATATTACCAGGATGTGTGTGTGTGTGTTTCCAAAAAATTGGATGGAAGTCTTGAAGAAAAGAGAGGGGAAGGAGAGAGACCTGAGAGAAATAAGCCTGTTACTCAAGATAAATTATTCTTTCCATTACCTACCTCCGTCTCTCCCTTCCAAACATCTACTATCCTTCCATACACACCATTTGTAATCTGATTACAGGTGCCTGCCACCCCACCTGACTAATTTTTGTATTTTTAGTAGAGACAGGGTTTCACCATGTTGGCCAGGCTTATCTCGAACTCCTGCGTTCAAATGATTTCTCCACATTGGCCTCCCAAAGTGCTGGGGTTACAGGTGTGAGACACTGCACCTGGCCTCATCAGATTCTTGAAACAAACCTAGGGGTCGGGTGCAGTGTCTCACGCCTGTAATCCCAGCACTCTGAGAGGCCGAGGTGGGTGGATCATGAGGTCAGGAGTTGGAGACCAGCCTGACCAACATGGTGAAACCCCGTCTCTACTAAAAATACAAAAATTAGCCAGGTGTGGTGGCGCGAGCCTGTAATCCCAGCTACTCAGGAGGCTGAGGCAATAAGAATGAAACTCCATCACAAAAAAAACCTAAATAATAATAATAATCGATGCTGTTATTATCCAAATGAACAAAACCACTAAACTAGAATCGCTTGAACCCAAGAGGCAGAGGTTGTGGTGAGCCGAGATCATGCCATTCCACTCCAGTCTGGGCAACAAGAGTGAACTCTGTCTCAAAAAAAAAACAAAAAACAAACAAAACAAAAACCGGTAGGCTGGGCACAGTTGCTCACACTTATAATCCTAGCACTTTGGGAGGCTGAGGTGGGAGGATTGCGTGAGGCCTGGAATTCAAGACGAGGCTGGGCAAAATAGCAAGACCCCGTCTCTACAAAAAATACCTACTGGGCATCCACTCTATGCCAGCTGGGCATGATGCATGTGAATATAACTTCATATCCTTTCCACTCTCCAAGAATTTATATTGAAAGTCCACTTGACAAATAGAACTCATATGACATACATTTTCATTTTTAGTGGAAAAACCATCGAACTTGGGTTCTAGTCAAATTCTTTCTATTCCCAGTTAAATCCCCTTGGGGCCAGGCATGGTGGCTCATGCCTGTAATCCTAGCACTTTGAGAGGCCAAGGCAGGAGGACTGCTTGAACTCATAGTATGAGACCAGCCTGAGCAACATAGTGAGACCTCATCTCTACTCAAAAAAAAAAAAAAAAAAAAAAAAAAAGGCCAGGCACAGTGGCTCATGCCTGTAATTCCAGCACTATGGGAGGACAAAGCGGGCAGATCACTTGAGGCCAAGACCACCCTGGGTAACATGGTGAAACCCTATCTCTAGTAAAAATACAAAAATTAGCCCGGCATCAGGGTACACGCCTGTAATCCCAGCAGCTCGGGAGGCTGAGGCAGGAGAATCGCTTGAACCCGGGAAGTGGAGGTTGCAGTGAGCCAAGATCGTGCCACTGCACTCCAGCCTGGGCAATAGAATGAGACTCCTCAAAAATAAATAAATAAATAAATAAATAGATAAAAATTATCCAGGCATGGTGGCAGCCTGTAGTTTCAGGTACTTGGAAGGCTGAGATAGGAGGATCACTTGAGCCTGGCAGATTGAGTCTACAGTGAGCAGTGATCACACCACTGCACAATCCCCTTAGGAATTTTCCCAAGTGTTTACCTCTCAGACCTCAATCTGCATTGATGGAATTAGACCCAATGATTTTCTTACCCAGCTTTAACAGTTTGTGCTTGCATATGTGAACATCTGTATCAATCAACAAGATGCATCTATTGCAACAATTTCTACATAGGGTCCTACAATAATAAATCTATGATGGTAATTTTCTTTCTTTCTTTCTTTCTTTCTTTCTTTCTTTCTTTCTTTCTTTCTTTCTTTCTTTCTTTCTTTCTTTCCTTTCTTTCTTTCTCTCTTTCTTTCTTTCTTTCTTTCTTTCTTTCTTTCTTTCTTTCTTTCTTTCTCTCTCTCTCTTTCTTTCTTTTTCTGTCTTCTTTTTTTTTTTTTTTTGACAGTCTCACTCTGTTGCCCAGGCTGGAATGCAGTGGTACAATCTCTGCCTCCTGGGCTCAAGTGATCCTCCCACCTTAGCCTCTCAACTTCAGCCTCCTGAGTAGCTGGGACCACAGGTGCATGCCACTATGCCCAGCTAATTTTTGTATTTTTTGTAGGGACAGGGTTTTGCCATATTGGCCAGGCTGGTCTTGCACTCCTGGACTTAAGTGGTCTGCCCACCTCAGCCTCCCAAAGTGTGATTACAGGTGTGAGCCACCTCACATGGCCCCTGATGGTCATTTCTAAACCATTACTTAAGACGAGGTCTAGAGTCAAAGTCGAAAAATTTCTGAGGAAGGAATGCCCAAGAGACTGCTTTTGCTCTGGTATTAGAACAAGTTCTTGTCATTTATTTGGCGAATATTGGAGGAAGTAGTTGGCCTGCATTTATTTATGCGGTAGGTAGAATAAAACTATGCACTTCTCAATATAGGATCACACTCATGCTTATATAGAGAGGGACAGGAGGACAGAGAGACTCAACCTGGGCTAACTGCATGGAATGCCAGAGTGAGATTCCGTTGCATTCTTTACATTGCTGTTGGGGAATCCTAATTATAGTTTAATTTGCATATTCAAATTTAACTTGTATTAAATTAAATTAAAATATGAAAGTCCATCAACAAACCTCAGGTCTGCTAACCTCTGTGACCTCCAGAAGTAAGTCCAATCAAAAACCAAAGCAGCTTAGACATTCATGATTCTGTATCTCCAGATGGCAGAATCACCTCAGGATTTAGCCCAGGCCATAGAAATCCTTTCCTTCTTTTGGGACATAAGCTCCAAGGTAGATCTTCTAATTTGTTACATTTTCAACAAACATTTGGCAAATGCATTTGAGATTTCACTTACCAGGCCTGCATTTAGGGGGAAAGTAGAGTGAACGAGTAGACATTTCTCAACATAGAATCACATTCATGCTCATATTAAGAGAGAGATGAGAGAACTGGGATGCTGGGGTTACAAAGGCAAATAAGACACAGGCCCTGCTTCTCCCTGGGAGGAGGGGCAATTTCGAAAAGATAAAGACGATACAACATGAGAAACTGTCGTAAAGGTATACATAAAGTTCCCTGGGAAGAAGGGAGACTTGAATAATACTACCTGAGTGAACTGAAGAGATTTTCAGAGAGGAGGTCACATGTAAGATGGATGTTATGCACAATATGGTTTAGATGAATAAAGAAATGGTGAGTCCAGTCACGGTGGCTCACGCCTGTAATCCCAGCACTTTGGGAGGCCGAGGCGGGAGGATCACTTGAGCCTATGGGTTTGAGACCAGCCTGGGCAACATAGCAAGGCCCTGTCTCTACAAAAAATACAAAAATTAGCCAGGTGTGGTGGCAGCACATGCCTGTAGTTCCAGCTGTTCAGGAGGCTGAGGTGGGAGAATTCCTTGATCCCAAGAGGTTGAGGCTGCAGTGAGCTATGATCAGGCCACTGCATTTCAGCCTGGGAGATAGAGCAAGACTCTGTCTCAAAAAAAAAAAAAAAAAAAAAAAAAGAAGAAGAAAAGAAAAAAGAGTAGAAATGTATAGGGAAAGAAAATTTGAAAAGAAGTTTGGGGTGAGTGTAAAAGACCATTTATGCTATATTAACAAATTGAATATTATGAGAAGACACTGGAAGTTTTAAAACAAAGAATATAGCTGTATTTTATTATTATTTTAATAATTTTATTTATTTATTTATTTTTTGAGACCATGTCTCACTCCATCACCCAGGCTGGAGTGCAGTGGCACAATCTTGGCTCACTGCAACCTCTGCCTCCTGGGTTCACGTGATTCTCCTGCCTCAGCCTCCTGAGTAGCTGGGATTACAGGTGCCTGCCACCATGCCTGGCTAATTTTTTGTATTTGTAGTAGAGACGGAGTTTCACCACATTGGCCAGGCTGGTCCTGAATTCCCGGCTTCAAGTGATCCACCAGCCTTGGCCTCCCAAAGTACTGGGATTATAGGCATGAGCCACTGCGCCTGGCATAGAGCTATATTTTAGAAGGTCAACCATTGAAAGTGTGGAAAATGATTTAAAATTGGAAAGAGACTGAATGGACAGAAGAGATACCAGAAATCCAGGCAAGAGATGAAGAGTGAGGCTGGCCACGGTGGATCATGCCTGTAATCCCAGCACTTTATTTATTTATTTATTTATTTATTTATTTATTTATTTATTTATATATATTTTTTGAGATGGAGTTTCACTCTTGTTGCCCAGGCTGGACTGCAATGGCACGATCTCGGCTCACCGCAACCTCCACCTCCCAGGTTCAAGCGATTCTCCTGCCTCAGCCTCCCTAGTAGCTGGGATTACAGGAATGCGCCACCATGCCCAGATAATTTTTTGTATTTTTAGTAGAGACAGGGTTTCTCCATGTTGGTCAGGCTGGTCTCGAACTCCCGACCTCAGGTGATCCGCCCACCTCGGCCTCCCAAAGTGCTGGGATTACAGGTGTGAGCCACCGCGCCTGGCCATTTTTATATTTTTTATAAAATAGAGACAGGGTCTCACTATGTTGCCCAGGCTGGCCTTGAACGCCTGGGCTCGAGTGATCCTTCCACCTCAGTCTCCCAAAGCATTAGGATTACAGGGATTACAGGTGCTCCCCATCATGCCCAGCTAATCCAGGCTGGTCTTGAACTCCTGACCTCAGGTAATCCACCTGCCTTGGCCTCCCAAAGTGCTGGGATTACACGCATGAGCCACTGCACCCGGCCACCAAGTTCACAACATTTGATAGTTAATATTATTACACTGTTCTGCATAGAGAACAAGAGGTGAGTGCTATAAGCAATGCAGATCAACTGCATACAAGTTCAGAGGAAGGAAAGGCCATTTCCAATTGGAGGGCAGGAGGGTGAGCAGATTAAATTAGAATAATGAAGAAGTCACTTAAATTGGGGATTTCAAAAGAACATAAGGGCCGCGCACGGGTGCCTGTAATACCAGCACTTTGGGAGGCTGAGCGGGGTGGATCACGAGGTCAGGAGATTGAGACCATCCTGGCCAACATGGTGAAACCCCGTCTCTACTAAAAATATAAAAATTAGCTGGGCGTGGTGGCACACACCTGTAATCCCAGCTACTCAGGAGGCTGAGAAAGGAGAATTGCTTGAACCTGAGAGGTGGAGGTTGCGGTGAGCCAAGATCGTGCCACTGCACTCCAGCCATGTGAGAGAGTGAGACTTTGTCTCAAAAAAAAAAAAAAAAAAAGAAAAAAGAAAAAAAAAAGTAAGATGAACATTTAGACGATAAAACTTAGAGAAGGCTTAGTGATCCGGAAGAAAGAAAGAAGCTTGTCACCTATCATTTGTAGAAGTGACAAGCAATAAAAATGTAAGCAAATAAATAACTACAGAATGAATGATAATTAAACAGGGTAGTGGGTCAGAAAGTGAAGAGAAAGAGTGGGGCTGGTGGTTAAGGAATTAGAGGGAAGACTTGATTCCATCTCAAGGTAGAAAGCTGTTCATATGCAGATCAACTGCTATCTGTGAATGGATACCCGAATATTGTCACAAACAAACTGAAATGCAAATACTCTTAGAAACTGGGGTATTAGTAATGCAAGTATGAAAAACATCTGATTTAAGCAGAACAACAACAACAAAACACCCTCATCATTCTTTGAATGACTTAATCTGTGAATGAAAACATTCACATCCTCATGATTTTGATGACAGAATAGATGATTTTTCTTTGTGCTGAGTTTGTTATCTCAAGCTGGAACTAAGTAAGGCTAGTCAAGGCCATCTGATTCTTATTGCTCATTCATTCATTCATTCATTCATTCATTCAACCAATATTTTACTGAGAGCTTGCTGTATGCGGAATTATGCTTTGCCTGGGGAATGCAGTGGAGGTTTTTTCCTTGGAGTTCTCTTACTCCAAAGGGCTTTAACCTTGGACAGGTTCTGACACTTGTCTGCTGACGTTTTTGTTTTGTTTTGTTTTGTTTTGTTGAGACAGGGTCTTGCTCTGTTGCCCAGGCTGGCAAAAAGATAACGGCTCACTGTGGCCTTGAACTCCTGGGCTAAGGCGATCCTCCCACTGCAGCCTTCAGAGTAGCTGGGACTATAGGTGTGAGCCACCATGCCCAGCTAATTAAAACAATTTTTTTTTTTTTGTGGAGATGGGATCTCCCTCTATTGCCCAGGTTGGTCTCAAACTCCTAGGCTCAAGTGATCCTCCTGCCTCATCCTCCCAAAATGTCGGGATTACAGGTGTGAGCCATGGTGCCTAGCCTGTTGATTTTTTTTTGGATAAGAGATAGAGAGGACCTGGTAATATACAAGGCCCAGAGTGTGTCCTAAGATGATCTATGGGGAGAGAACAGAGTATCCCTGACTGAAGAGTTTTGGAAACTATTTTAATGTTCCCCAATTTTATTTGAACTAAAAAACATTGTCTGCCTTTCACATTCCTTCGTGCACTCCACCTCACCACTGCTCCCCCGGCACCTGTTGGCCTCTTTTGCTATCCAAATTTACCAAATAAATCTTCCCCGCCTTTCTACCCATCTGCTGTTCTTCACAGCTTGTCTCTGGGCTCAGCCCCAAGCCTGGAGGGGCAGTAAATGGATTCAGAGTTGCTGCTCAAACATGGATTCCCATGGAAACCAAACGACTAAGAAAACAAATAGGGAGGAAGAGGCAGCCACTGCCTGACCTCTTACCCTCCCCCTCCAAATTCTTTTCGCTTTTCAGCATGAAAGCAAGCGCTTATTTGTATAACTAGTAGAAGGACATAACCTGACCCCTCCCCCCACCCCCAAATTCTTTAAGAATCTCTCGTTCGACAATGAGTAAATGAAAGACAGTGGGACATCGCCACCTGGTGGTAGAAATGCCAAAATACTTAAGAAGAGAGAACTCAATTAACAAGTGAAAGCCTGCGATACAGGCCAGTAAGTATACAAAGAAGTAACATTCAGATACAAAAATAAGATACAAAGAAGTAACATTCAGAAGCCACTCCTAGGAAACTGTTTAATTGTGATGCAGTTAGTACTTGTTCCTTCTCACATATACAGATTTAAATATCATCTTTATGTTGGTGAATTTTTATTTTTATTTTTTAAAAATTTTATTTATTTATGTATTTATTTTTGCGACGGAGTCTCACCCTGTCGCCCAGGCTGGAACGCAGTGGCGCAATCTCGGCTCACTACAACCTCCGCTTCCTGGGTTCAAGCGATTCTCATGTCTCAGCCTCCCGCGTAGTTGGGGATTACAGGCACCTGCATTATGCCCGGCTAATTTTTGTAGAGACAGGGTTTCACCATGTTGGCCAGGCTGGTCTTGAATTACTGACCTCAGGTGCCTCAGCCTCCCAAAGTGCTGGGATTACAGGCGCGAGCCACCACGCCCGGCCGAATTTTTTTTTTTTTTTTTTTGCATCCAATTCAAATATGGGAACATGAGGTTTAGTCTTATCTCTCCCAACTCCATACCAGATTTTTTTTTTGTTTGTCTGTTTGAGACGGAATCTCACTCTGTCGCCCAGGCTGGAGTGCAGTGATGCAATCTCAGCTCACTGCAACCCCCACCTCCCGGGTTCAAGCGATTCTCTTGCCTAAGCCTCCCGAGTAACTGGGACTAATACACGCACACGCCACCATGCCCAGCTAACTTTTGGATTTTTAGTAGAGATGGGGTTTCACCATGTTGAGCAGGCTGGTCTCGAACTCCTGACCTCAGATGATCCACCCGCCTCGGCCTCCCAAAGTGCTGGGATTACAGGTGTGAGTCACTGTGCCCAGCCATATTAGATATTTTTTATCTGAACGTCATGCTGTTGCTACAGATTCAGTGGAGTTGGACAGTACTTTTCTCTTCCCGTCCTTTCCCTTCCATAGGGTAGCATTTGCTGGCTTACAAAGGAAAAGCAGAAGCTTTGCTCCACTATCTTGTCTTGTCTTGTCTTGTCTCTTTTCTTTTTCTTTTTTTTTTCGTCTTCTGTTCAGATAGTCTCACTCTGTCACCCAGGCTAGAGTGCAGCCGTGTTATCATGGATGGGTTACTGCAGCCTCTAATTACCTGGCTTGAGCAATCCTCCCACCTCAGCCTGCTGAGTAGCTGGGACTACAAGTGCACGCCACCATACCCGGCTAATTTTACTTTTTTTTTCTTTGAGACAGAGTCTCACTCTGTCACTGAGGCTGGAGTGCAGTGGCATGATCTCGGCTCATTGCAACCGCTGCCTCCTGGGTTCAAGAGATTCTCCTGTCTCAGCCTCCAGAGTAGCTGAGATTACAGGTGCGCACCATGGCACCTGGCTAATTTTTGTATTTTTAGTAGAGATGGGGTTTCACCATGTTGGTCAGGCTGGTCTTGAACTCCTGACGTCATGTGATCCACCCGCCTCGGCCTCCCAAGGTGTTGGGATTACAGGTGTGGGCCACTGTGCCCGGCCTTTCTTTTTTTAAAGACAGGTTGCAAGGTGGTGGCTCATGCCTGTAATCCCAGCACTTTCGGAGGCCGAGGCGGGGGTATTGCTTGAGCTCAGGAGTTCGAGACCAGCCTGGCCAATGTGGCAAAACCCCATCCTATGAAAAAATACAAAAATTAGCCGGGCATGGTGGCAGGCGCCTGTAATCCCAGCTATTCTGGTGGCTGAGTCAGGAGAATAGCTTGAACCCAGGAGGCAGAGGTTGCAGTGAGAGGAGATCAAGCCACTGCCCTCCAGCCTGGGTGACAAAGTGAGACTGTCTCAAAAAACAAAAACAAAATTATAAAAAAGAGAAGAAGCTCAACAACTGATATGTTTTTCCCGGCATGAATATTTTTATATTGAGGAAAAATAAATCACTTAAAATTTTTTTAAAAGAAAGAGGGTATACTAAAAATACAAAAATTAGCTGGGTGTGATGGCTCTCTCCTGTAGTCTCGGCTACTCAGGAGGCTGAGGTGGGAGGACTGCTTGAGCCTGGGAGGTGGAGGCTGCAGCCCACAACATTCCAGCCTGGGTGAGAAGGAAGACCCTGTCTAAAGAAAACAAAAACAAACAAACAAACAAAAATGAGTGGAATTGGCCGGGCACGGTGGCTCATGTCTGTAATCCCAGCACTTTGGGAGGCTGAGGCAGGCGGATCATGAGGTCAGGAGATCGAGACCATCCTGGCTAACACAGTGAAACCCTGTCTCTACTAAAAATACAAAAAAATTAGCCGGGTGTGGTGGTGGGTGCTTGTAGTCCCAGCTACTCGGGAGGCTGAGGCAGGAGAATGGTGTGAACCCGGGAGGCGGAGCTTGCAGTGAGCCGAGATTGTGCCACTGCACTCCAGCCTGGGCGACAGGGCGAGACTCCGTCTCAAAACAAAAACAAAAACAAACAAACATAAAAAGAGTGGAATTGTTCCCTTTAACCCTCAATTCATATGTTGAAGCCCTAACCTCCAATGTGATTGTATTTGAAGATAGACCTTTAAGGAGGTAATTAAAGTTAAATGATGTCATGAGGGTAGGGCCTTAATCCAATTTGATTGGTGTTTCTTTTATTTGTTTGTTTGAGACAGAGTCTTGCTCTGTTGCCCAGGCTGGAGTGCAGTGGCACAATCTCTGCTCACTGGGTTTGTGTGATTCTCCTGCCTCAGCCTACTGAGTAGCTGGAACTACAGGCATACACCGCCACACCCAGCTAATTTTTGTATTTTTAGTAGAGACGGGGTCTCTCCATGTTGGTCAAGCTGGTCTCGAACTCCTGACCTCAGGTGGTCCGCCTGCCTCAGCCTTCCAAAGTGCTGGGATTACAGGCGTGAGCCACTGTGCCCAGCCTGATTAGCGTTTGTATTTATTTTTATTTTTTGTTATTTTTTAAAATAATTTTTTTTTAAATTTTTGAGACTGAGTCTGGCCGTTGTCGCCCAGGCTGGAGTGCAATGGCGTGATCTCAGCTCACTGCAACCTCAGCCTCCTGGGCTCAAGCAATTGTCCTGTCTCAGCCTCCCGAATAGCTGGGATTACAGGCATGGGCCACCACGCCCGGCTAATTTTTGTATTTTTTAGTAGAGACGGGGTTTCACCATGTTGGCCAGGCTGGCCTCCAACTCCTGACCTCGTGATCTGCCCGCCTCGGCCTCCCGAAGTGCTGAGATTACAGGTGTGAGTGACCGCACCCGATGTGGTTAGCATTTTTATAAGAAGAGAAGAAACACCAGGAATATGTGGTCACAAAGGAAAGGCCACGTGAGGGCACAAGGAGAAGCTACCATCTGCAAACTGTGACAAGAGGCCTCAGGTTGGTTTCCAATCCTGCTAGCACATTGCTCTTAGCCTTCCAGCCTGCAGAACTCTGAGAAAATAAGTTTCTGTTGTTTAAGTCACCCTGTCTGTGATATTTTGTTATAGCAGACTAATACCTGGCCTTCCATACCATAAGCTCCTTTCCCTATATAATTTGCAATAAACAGAGGCCTGGAGAATGGAGACAAAGCTATTCTGGAGACCCAGGGGTCTAGGCTACCTTGCCTTTGCCTCATTTCACACTTCAGGCTATATGAGCTCTATCCCCAGGAAAATTCAGCTCTTGCTATTTGGATTCATTAAGTGGAGAATAGAATGAGATCTGTTTTGGGTATCAGGCCAGAAATTATCAGCATCTTGGAACGTCAGAAAATAATGGATCAGTACCCAAGTTACTTAGTCTCACCCCATACAGTCTTCCACCACCTACAGCTGGGTACTATAACAACACATCCTAAGAGAAAAGAGGCTCAGAGACTTCTTTAGCCTAAGAACCTCTAGGACCTAACTCCCCAGAAGCCTTAGCGTCAGGTCAAGTAAAGGAGCACACACAGGATAGAGAGTGGAAATGTTTCTGTTTTTTTTTGTTTTTTTGAGAGGGAGTCTCGCTCTGTCACCCAGGCTGGAGTGCAATGGCATGATCTTGGCTCACTGCAACCTCTGCCTCCTGGGTTCAAGCGATTCTCCTGTCTCAGCCCCCGAGTAGCCGGGACTATAGGCACACACCACAACGCCTGGTTAATTTTTTGTATTTTTAGTAAAGATGAGGTTTCACCATATTGGCCAGGCTGGTCTTGAACTCCTGACCTCAGGTGATCTGCCCGCCTCGGCCTCCCAAACTGTTGGGATTACAGGCGTGAACCACCGTGCAGCCGGGAAGTGTTTCTTTCACTGGAGGGGCAGAGGTAGTTGTGATGACCCTACTGTGGCCCTGGGGAGAAGAGTGAGAGGATAACAGTGAACAAGGGGCTAAGTGAAGTTCTTAGAAGTAGGGTGGAATGAGTGTGAGAGAAAGGGGGAAGCTAGTGAGGCTTTTCTCTTATGCTGATGTAAAGTAGGTTTCCAATAGAAGAAATTTATAAGTAATACAGAGGATAGGATGATTAATCTAAATTGGACCAGAGCAGAGTTTTGTTGGCCCCAGAGGTTTTAAGATTTTGTTTAGGTAAGATTTGTGTTTAGTCCCAGCAATTTGGGATGCTGAGGTGGGAGAATCACCTGAGCCCATGAAGTCGAGGCTGTAGTGAGCTGTGATTGTGCCGCCGCACTCCTGCTTGGGCGACAGAGCGAGACCCTGTCTCAAAAACAAACAAACAACAAAAAAGAAAAGATAAATAAACCTAGATTCTTATTGCACACCATATGCGAAAGTAAATTTCAGATGGAATAAAGATATAAATGAGCATAACAAAACTATAAAAACGTTAGAATCAGGCCAGGCATGGTGGCTCATGCCTGTAATCCCAGCACTTTGGGAAGCCGAGGTGGGAGGATCACCTAAGGTCAGGAGTTCAAGACTAGCCTGACCAACATGACAAAACCCCATCTCTACTAAAAATACAAAATTAGCCGGGTGTGGTGACGGGTGCCTGTAATCCCAGCTACTCGGGAGGCTGAGGCAGGAGAATCGCTTGAACCCGGGAGACGGAGGTGGCAGTGAGCCGAGATGGCGCATTGCACACCAGCCTGGGCAACAAGAGCGAAACTCCGTCTCAAAACAAAACAAAACAAACAAACGAACAAAAACGGTTAGAAGAATATTTAGGACTCTATAAAATCTTGGGATGGGGATGTGCTTCATTTTTTTTTTTTTTTTTTTTTGAGACAGAGTCTTGCTCTGTTGCCCAGGCTGGAGTGCAGTGGCGCCATCTTGGTCTCGATCTCTTGACTTCGTGATGTGCCTGCCTCGGCCTCCCAAAGTGCTGGGATTATAGGAGTGAGCCCCTGCGCCTGGCCTGGGGATGCGCTTCTTAAACAAAATAGCCCAGAATCTATAAAGAAAATATTATTACACAAAAATAAAATCTTTGGGATGAAAAAAGGCAGCATAAACACAAATAATACAGTTGGTAGAAAATATTTGCACCCATACCACCAATTGATGAATTTTCTAATATACAAAGACCTAGTATTGGAAGAAAAAGTTGACAACTCAGTAGAAAAATAGGCAATTGATATAAACAGACAAAAGGCAGACGAGCAATTCTGAATGGTAAATAAGTCTTTTTTTTTTTTTTTTTGAGACAGAGTCTCACTCTGTGAGCCCAGGCTGGAGTGCAGTGGCATGATCTCGGCTCACTGCAAGCTCCGCCTCCCGGGTCCACACCATTCTCCTGCCTCAGCCTCCCGAGTAGCTGGGACTACAGGTGCCCGCCACCATGCCCGGCTAATTTTTTGTATTTTTAGTAGAAACGGGGTTTCACCATGTTAGCCAGGATGGTCTCGATCTCCTGACCTTGTGATCCGCCTGCCTCAGCCTCCCAAAGTGCTGGGATTATAGGCGTGAGCCACCACGCCCAGCCTTCTGAATGGTAAATAAGTCTAATAAAAGCTACCCAGGCAGCCTCCCCACCCCTCCCGCAATGCTCGACCCCAGGATTGCCCCGGCTTGCCTGCCCGCCATGGCCGTCAAGGAAGCAGCCTTCGATGATGGAGTGGAAGACGAGTGATCAACGATGAGTACAAAATACGGAAAAAAAACACCCCTTTTCTTTACCATTTGGTGATGACCCATGCTCTGGAGTGGCCAGCCTAACTGTCCAGTGGCTTCCAGATGAAATCAGACCAGAAGGGAAAGATTTCAGCATTCATCGACTTGTCCTGGGGACACACACATTGGATGAACAAAACCATCTTGTTATAGCCAGTGTGCAACCCCTAATGATAATGCTTAGTTTGACGCGTCACACTACGACAGTGAGAAAGGAGAATTTGGAGGTTTTGGTTCAGTTAGTGGAAACATTGAAATAGAAATCAAGATCAACCATGAAGGAGAAGTAAATAGGGCCCGTTACATGCCGCAGAACTCTTGTATCATCAAAACAAAGACTCCTTCCAGTGATGTTCTTGTCTTTGACTATACAAAATATCCTTCTAAACCAGATCCTTCTGGAGAGTGCAACCCAGACTTGCGTCTCTGTGGACATCAGAAGGAAGGCTATGGGCTTTCATGGAACCCAAATCTCAGTGGGCATTTACTTAGTGCTTCAGATGACCACACTGTCTGCCTGTGGGACATCAGTGCCATTCCAAAGGAGGGAAAAGTGGATGCAAGGACCATCTTTACGGGGCATACAGCAGTAGTAGAAGATGTTTTCTGGAATCTGCTTCATGAGTCTCTGTTTAGGTTAGTTGCTGATGATCAGAAACTTATGATTTGGGATACTCGTTCAAAAAATACTTCCAAACCAAGCCACTCAGTTGATGCTTACACTGCTGAAGTGAACTGCCTCTCTTTCAATCCTTATGGTGAGTTCATTCTTGCTACAGGATCAGCTGACAAGACTGTTGCCTTGTGGGATCTGAGAAATCTGAAACTTAAGGTACATTCCTTTGAGTCACATAAGGATGAAATATTCCAGGTTCAGTGGTCACCTCACAATGAGACTATTTTGGCTTCCAGTGGTACTGATCATGGACTGAATGTCTGGGATTTAAGTAAAATCACAGAGGAACAATCCCCAGAAGATGCAGAAGACAGGCCACCAGAGTTGTTTATTCATGGTGGTCACACTGCCAAGATACCTGATTTCTCCTTGAATCCCAGTGAACCTTGGATGATTTGTTCTGTATCAGAAAACAACATCATGGAAGTGTGGCAAATGGCAGAGAACATTTCTAACGGTGAAGACCCTGAAGGGAGTGTGGATCCAGAAGGACAAGAGTCCCAGACGTATCTTTACTTCTTGTGATTTTAGACTCCCCTTTTTTCTTCTCAATGCTGAGAGTGATTTAACACTGGTTTTGAGACACAAACTTTGTTCAGCTATCCCTCTATATAATAGGTACCACCAATAATACCATTAGCCCTAACAGTGGGTGTTTTCTAAATATTAATGGTGGGGCTTGATTCAGCAAAGCCACAGACTTATTACACTGAAGTTTTCTTCAGGAATTTTCTAGTAACAAAACCAGGTCTAAAGTAGCTACAGAAACGGGAATATTATGTGTGATTATTTTTCTTCTTATGCTATATCCGCAAGTTTTTCAGACTCATTTAAGTAAAGGCTAGAGTGAGTAAGGAACAGAGCCAAATGAGGTAGGTGTCTGAGCCATGAAGTATAAATACTGAAAGATGTCACTTTTATTCAGGAAATAGGGGAGATTCAAGTCATATAGATTCCTACTCGAAAATCTTGATACCTGACTTTCCAGCATGCACATGAAGACCAGTAGACCAGGAAACAGGTAGACGAGTTTCCTCTTGGTTCCTTCAGTTAAGTCAGAACTACACGTTCCTCTTTCCCCATATATTTTTGCTTGTTCGTGTATTTCTTAAGCTGTTTTCATGCTGTTTCTTTCCTTTCTGTGGAATGGTTTTTTTTTTTTTTTTTTAACTTAGGACTACCAAGTTGTAAAGATGTATGTTTTTACCTGACAGTAATACCACAGGTAGACTGTCAAGTTGAGAAGAGTGAATCAATAACTTGTATTTGTTTTAAAAATTAAATTAATCCTTGATAAAAGTTGCTTTTTTTTTTTTGAGATGGAGTCTCGCTCTGTTGCCCAGGCTGGAGTGCAGTGGCGCGATCTCGGCTCACTGCAACCTCCGCCTGCCAGGTTGATGCCATTCTCCTGCCTCAGCCTCCCGAGTAGCTGGGATTACAGGCGCCCGCCACTACGCCCGGCTAGTTTTTTGTATTTTTAGTAGAGATGGGGTTTCACCATGCTAGCCGGGATGGTCTCGATCTCCTGACCTCGTGATCCACCCGTCTCACCCTCCCAAAGTGCTGGGATTACAGGTGTAAGCCACCGCGCCCAGCCTTTTTTTTTTTTTTTTTAGGAGTTAGTCCTTGACCACTAGTTTGATGTTTGATGCATCTCCATTTTGGGTGACCTGTTTTACCAGCAGGCCTGTTACTCTCCATGACGAACTGTGTAAGTGCTTAAAATGGAATAAATTGCTTTTCTACCTTAAAAAAAAAGCTACCCAGTCTCTTTATTCATCAGGAGAAATTAAAACAAAAATGAACTGCCCATTAGATTGGCAAAAATTAGTTGATAAGATTCAGTGTGGGTGAGAGTGTGGGAATAGGCATTCATACAGACACACACAAACACACATATATATGCCTCTTGGGTGTATGAATTAGGGGTGGGTGTATGAATTAGGAGCATGAATTGCTACAATTTTGGGGGAAGAAACATAGTAATATCTACAAATATTAAAATTATGTATCCTTTGGCCAGGGGCTGTGACTCATGCCTGTAATCCCAGCACTCTGGGAGGCCGCGGGGCGGAGGGGGTGGGGTGTAGATTGCTTGAGGTCAGGAGTTTGAGACCAGCCTGGCCAACATGGTGAAACCCTGTCTCTACTTTACTAAAAATACAAAAATTAGCCAGGTGTGGTGGTGTGCACCTGTAGTCCCAGCTACTTGGGAAGCTGAGGCAGGAGAATCACTTGAACCCGGAGGCAGAGGTTGCAGTGAGCTGATATCTCGCCATTGCACTCCAGCCTGGGTGACAGAGTGAGACTCCGTCTCAAAAAATAAATAAAAAGTCAAAGGCATATACATTGTTCTGCACCTTACTTTTTCAGTTAAGTATATGTCTTAATTTTTTTATTTTTATTTATTTATTTATTTATTTATTTAATTATTTTTGACACAGGGTCTTGCTCCGTCACCCAGGCTGGAGTTCAGTGGTACAATTTCAGTTCACTGCAGCCTCTGCCTCCTGGGCTGCAATCCTCCCACCTCAGCCTCCAGAGTAGCTGGGACTACAGGTGTGCGCCACCACACCTGGCTAATTTCTTTGTATGTTTTGTAGAGATGGGGTTTTGCCATGTTGCCCAGGCTGGGTTCCAACTCCTGAGCTCAAGTAATCTGCCCGCCTTGGCCTCCCAAAGTGTGAGACCCTGTACATGGACTGCTGATTTATAAATCTGTGAGCTAATAAATTGGATATTGTTTCTTTTTTCTTTTTTTGAGACGGAGTTTGGCTCTTGTTGCCTAGGCTGGAGTGCAATGGTGCGATCTCAGCTCACTGCAACCTCCGCCTCCCGGGTTCAAGCGATTCTCCTGCTTCAGCCTCCCAGGCGTGCGCCATCATGTCTGGGTAATTTTGTATTTTTGGTAAAGATGCAGTTTCTCCATGTTGGTTAGGCTGGTCTCGAACTCCCGACCTCAGGTGATCCACCCGCCTTGGCCTCCCAAAGTGCTGGGATTACAGGCGTGAGCCACTGCGCCCGGCTGGATGTTGTTTAAGGCGCTAAATTTCTGCTGCTAACACATTGCCTATTATGTTAGATTAAATCCAAACTTCCTACATAGTTTCTGAGGCTTTACAATATCTACCCTTCACGTGTAGTATGGTCATGTAACCTCTCCCCCATATACTACCTTTCACCAACACTAGCTTTCCTTTCAAACATGCCAAGCTTTTTTTTTTCTTTTCCATCCTAGAGCCTTGTATTAGCTTTTCCCTCTATTTTTCCTGAGATTCTTGTGGCTATGGCTTTGAAAAAGTATTTTTTATTTTTATTTTTATTTTTTTGAGACGGAGTCTCGGTCTGTCGCCTAGGCTGGAGTGCAGTGATATCTCGGCTCACTGCAACCTCTGCCTCCCGGGTTCACGCGATTCTCCTTCCTCAGCCTCCTGAGTAGCTGAAATTACAAGCACGTGCCACTACGCCTGGCTAAATTTTTTTTTTTTTGAGATGGAGTTTCGAGCCCAGGCTGGAGTACAATGGCGTAATCTCAGCTCACCGCAACCTCTGCCTCCCGGGTTCAAGTGATTCTCCTGCCTCAGCCTCCTGAGTAGCTGGGATTACAGGCATGCGCCACCATGCCCGGCTAATTTTGTATTTTTAGTAGACACACGGTTTCTCTATGTTGGTCAGGCTGATCTCAAACTCCTGACCCCAGGTGTTCCGCCCTCCTCGGCCTCCCAAAGTGCTGGGATTATAGGCGTGAGCCACCATGCCCGGTCAACGCCTGGCTAATTTTTGTATTTTTAGTAAAGACGAGGTTTTGCCATGTTGGCCAGGCTGGTCTCAAACTCCTGACCTCAGGTGATCTGCCCTCCTCAGCCTCCCAAAGTACTGGGATTACAGGCATGAGCCACCATGCCTGGCCCCAGAAATAGTAATTTTTAAAAAATTGCTTTTTAAGAAAATTTTATTTCAATAGTTTTTGGAGTACAGGTGGTTTTTGGTTACATGGATAAGTTCTTTAGTGGTGATTTCTGAGATTTTGGTGCACCCATAACCCAAGCAGTGTACACTGTACCCAATATGTAGTCTTTTATCTTTCACCCCTGTGTTAGTCAGGGGTCTCTTTGTTTTTTTTTTTTTTATTTTTTTATTTTTTTGAGACGGAGTCTCACTCTGTCGCCCAGGCTGGAGTGCAGTGGTGCGATCTCGGCTCACTGCAACCTCCGCCTCCCAGGTTCACGCCATTCTCCTGCCTCAGCCTCTCTGAGTAGCTGGGACTACAGGCGCCCGCCACCACACCCGGCTAATTTTTTTGTATTTTTAGTAGAGACGGGGTTTCACCGTGGTCTCGATCTCCTGACCTCGTGATCCGCTTGCCTCAGCATCCCAAAGTGCTGGGATTACAAGCGTGAGCCACCGCGCCCAGCGTTAGGGTTTTCTAGACGGACAGAACTAATGGGAAAAAAATATATATATATTTATATATATATAAAGGGGAGTTTATTAAGTATTCACTCACATGGTCACAAGGTCCCACAATAGGCCATCTGCAGGCTGAGGAGCAAGGAGAGCCAGTCCAAGTTCCAAAACTGAAGAACTTGGAGTTTTATGTTTGAGGGTAGGATGGTTCCAGCACAGGAGAAACATGTAGGCTGGGAGGCTAGGCCAGTCTTTCTTTTCACATTTTTCTGCCTGCTTATATTCTAGCCTCGCCGGCAGCTGATTAGGTTGCGCCTGCCCAGATTAAGGGTGGATCTGCCTTTCCCAGCCTTCAAATGTTAATCTCTTTTGGCAACACCCTCACAGGCACACCCAGGATCAATACTTTGTATCCTTCAATCCAATCAAGTTGACACTCAATATTGACACTCAATATTAAATATCAAATATAATATTGGGAAATATCATATTGAACTCTACGTTTTGGTGTGGGAGAATTTATTACTGAGACATTGGAAAATACACTATTGCATTCTTTCTTCTGGATTGTTTAATGTGGTTTAGTTTGTGAGAATTTGGTCTCATTCTCTACTCTTGCAGTGGCTGAGAGTTATCTTGAGAGGATACTAAGGAACTGTTAGAAAGTTAGTATTTTACCTTAAACTGTGTTTGATCATACAGTATGGCTATATAAAAGAGAAAAAACAAGAAGAAAAGAAAAAAGTTACCGAAGCCTAAACATTATAATAAATTCTAATTGTGGCAGCTTCCCTAGTGGGAGAAAGACACTTTCAAACCTCACTCGGAGTTCTTGGGCTTCTGAGCATTCTTTTCAGGGCCAGCTTCACCTCTTGGTTCCGCAGAGTGTAGATAAGGGGGTTGAGGAAAGGAGTGATGGCCGTGGGGACTAGGGCAGCTGCCCCATCCAGGGGGCTGTTGGTTTCAGGCCTCAGGTAGATGAAGGCACAGGGCACATAGTACACGGTGACCACGGTTACATGGGCTCCACAAGTTGAAAAAGCCCGGCGCCGCCCATCAGCTGTGTGGATTCTCAGGATGGCCTGAATGATCTGTATGTAGGAGAGGAGGATCAGGGAGAAGCAACTGGCAACCACCACCCCAATGTCTACAAACGTCACCAGCTCGTTGACTGTTGTGTCAGCACAGGCCAGTCTCAACACTGCAGGGATGTCACAGAAGAAGTAATCCACCTGATTGGGCCCACAGTAGGGCAGGCGGAAGGTTAGGATGGCCTGGAGAGCCCCATGGATGGATCCTGCCATCCAGGCTCCAGCCACAAGCAAGGCGCTCAGCTTAGCAGTCATGAGCACAGGGTAGCGCAGGGGCTGACATATTGCCAGGTACCTGTCATAGGCCATTAGGGTGTAGAGGAAGCACTGGGTGCTGCCCAGGAAGTGATAGAAATAGAGTTGAGCAACACAGCCACCAAATGGGATGGGTTTGACACCTAAAGTGAAGTTCATCATGAGGCGAGGGACAATGATGGAGGAGATGCTCATATCAATGACTGAGAGAACACCAAGAAAGATGTACATGGGGCGGGCATGGAGCCTTGGGTCTGCCCAGACAGTGATTAAAATAAGCAGGTTTCCCAGCTGAGTCAGGATGTAGATTAGAAAAAAGAACACAAAAAAGAGTGTCCTTAGCCTGAGTGGATACGGAATTCCTGTCAGGATAAACGCAGTCAACAGTGTGCTGTTGATTCTTTCCATATCCCAGAGAATCTTACCTAGAGAATGGACAAAACAAGAATTAACATAGAGGTGAGAGGAAAGTGAGGGGGAACTAGAAAGAGATTGTAAAAACTAGGGGCAGTGGCAGAGAAGTTTCTTTCTTACGTGGAAAGATGACAAGTAGGGAGAAACAATGTTCTCTGGCAGGTGTTTTGTAAACAAGATCTTATTGGAACACAGCCTTGCTCATTTACTTACATATTGTCCGTAACTGTTTTGGAGCTACTATGACAGAGATGAGTGGTTGCATTTAGCTTGCAAAACATAAACTATTTACTCCCTGGACATTTATAGAAAAAGTTTGCACCGAGGGTTTTGTACTTAGAGCACTTTTTCCAATAACCTTTGGAAAATAATCATTGACTGTTGTGTTAGTACAGGCCAGGATTTCCTGGAAACATGATATATGTGAGAAAGGGTATTTGTTTCATTAGGTGCTCTGCCCGCTCAGAATCTTCCAGAGGCCACTGGCTCACTCTTATCTCTGCCAGGACATAAACTTACATAGAGTGGGGAATATGCAGAAAGGAAATGCAGAAAATAAGTGGCTGATTTTTATGTGTGACAGTGCTTGATGCTGTACAGATCTACTTTCCAAGTTCTTTACCATTAAAAGGAAGAGAATGACCATGAAGCTGTAAGTACATAAATAAAGTGAGGACTATCGCCACTATGCACTGTGGTTGGTACTTGGTGCTATATAATTCAGTTGCTTTGCATGTGATCATTTAGCCTTAAGACACAGTAAAGAGAGGAGAGAAAGAAGAAATGAGGGCTGGCTCTAGTGAGAAGTCAGAGATTTAAGGAAAATTAAAGGATGATTGGAGAGAATGAGAGGATTGCTAGACCAGAACAAACCACTCTCAGTGTGGAAGAATTATTTTAAGTTCTTAGTCCAACTCCTTGATTCGCATTTCTTTTTTTTTTTGAGACAGAGTTCTCTCTGTCACACAGCCTGGAGTGCAATAGCATGATCTCAGCTCACTGAAACCTCTGCCTCTCAGGTTTAAGCAATTCTCATGCCTCAGTGTCCGGGTAGCTGGGATTACAGGCATATGCTACCATGCCTGGCTAATTTTTGTATTTTTAGTAGAGACGGGGTTTCACCATGTTGGCCAGGCTGATCTTGAACTCCTGGCCTCAAGTGATCTGCCTGCCTTGGTCTCCCAAAGTGTTGGGATTACAGGCATGAGTCACCACACCCAGCTTACTTGGCATTTTTTAACCTAAAGAAAAGGGTTGGCGGGTGGGCTCGGTGGCTTATGCCTGTAATCCTAGCACTTTGAGAGGCCGAGGAGGGTGGATCACCTGAGGTCAGGAGTTCAAGACTAGCCTGAACAACATGGTGAAACCCTGCCTCTGCTAAAAATACAAAAATTAGCCAGGCACGGTGGTGGGCACCTATAATCCCAGCTACTCGGGAGGCTGAGGCAGGAGAATCACTTGAACCCAGGGGGTGGAGGTGAGCTGAGATTGCACCACTTCACTCCAGCCTGGGCAAAAGAGTGAAACTCCATCTCAAAAAAAAAAAAAAAAAAAAAAAAAAAAAAAGGCCAGGTGTGGTGGCTCACGCCTGTAATCCCAGCACTTTGGGAAGCCGAGGCAGATGGATCACAAGGTCAGGAATTCGAGACCAGTCTGGCCAATATGGTGAAACCCCATCTCTACTAAAAATACAAAAATTAGCCAGGTGTGGTCGTGGGTGCCTGTACTCCCAGCTACTTGGGAGGCTGAGGCAGGAGAATTGCTTGAACCTGAGAGGCAGAGGCTGCAATGAGCAGAGATTGCACGGCTGTACTCCAGCCTGGGTGACAGAGCGAGACTCCATCTCAAACAAACAAACAAAAAAAAAAAAAAAAAAAAAAAGAAGGAAAAGGGTTGGAATAATGAGCTTTTAAAATTCCTTCTAGTCCTATAATTTTCAGATATCTAAATTCATGGCTTGGAAACTTTTTTGAAAATTAACTGACCTTAAATGGATGGGTTGATTTCTGGGCTCTGTATTCTGTCATTGGTTGATGTGTTTGTTTTTATGCCAGTGCCATGCTGTTTTGATAACTATAACTTTATAATATATTTTAAGATAAGATAATATGATGCCTGTGGCTTTTTCTGTGTGTGTGCAAGACTGCTTTGGCTATTTGGTATCTTTTTGTTCCACAATGGGGAAAGGACAGTCTCTTCAATAAATGGTGTTGGGAAAACTGGATATCCATATGCAAAAGAATGAAATTGGACCTTTATCTCACACCATTAGCAAAAATCAGCTCAAAATGAATTAAAGACTTAAACATAAGACCTGAAATTGTAAAACTACTGGAAGAAAACGGGAAAAGTTCTACCACATTTGTCTGCAAAATGTCATATATATTCAACAGAATACTATTCAGCCCTAGAAAAGAAGGAAATCCTGTCATTTGTGACAATATGAATGAACCTGGAAGACATTATATTAAGCAAAATAAGCCAGGCATGGAAAGACAATATTGCATGATCTCACTTATATGTGGAATCTAAAAAAAATTGGACTTACAAAAGAAAAAAAGAGAATGGTGGTTACTAGATGCCGGGGATGGGAATGCGGATGGGGAATGCAGAGATGTTGATCAAAAGGTACAAAGTTTCAGCTGGGTGCAGTGGCTCACGCCTGTAATCCCAGCACTTTGGGAGGCCAAGGCAGGCAGATCACTTGAGGTCAGGAGTTTGAGACCAGCCTGGCCAACATGGTGAAACCCTGTCCTTGCTAAAATAAAAAAATTAGCCCAGTGTGGTGGCATGCACCTGTAATCCCAGCTACTCAGGAGGTCGAGGCGGCAGAATTGCTTGAACCCAGGAGGTGGAGGTTGTAGTGAGCTGAGATTGTGCCACTGCACTCCAGCCTGGGTGACAGAGCAAGACTCTGTCTCAAAAAAAAAAAAGTACGAAGTTTCAGTTAGACAGGAAAAGTGAGTTTTCAGGACCTATTGAACAGCATGGTGACCATAGTTAATAATAATATATATTTCAGATTGCTAAAAGAGCTTATTTTAAGTGTTCTTACTACAAAAAAAGACAAGTATGTGAGGCAATGGATATGTTAGTTTGATACAATCATTCTACAATGTATATGCATCTATCAAAACATCACATTTTTAATTTAACTATTATTTATTGATTAAAAATAAAAGTTTAAATAAAACAGGCTTGATGAAAATTTTTACTGAAAAATACTCATGACTTGAGGTAGGATGTCAAAAAAATTGAAATTGATTGATTTGGCTGGGCGCGGTGGCTGACGCCTGTAATCCCAGCACTTTGGGAGGCTGAGGCAGGCGGATCACGAGGTCAGGAGATGGAGACCATCCTGGCTAACACGGTGAAACCCCGTCTCTACTAAAAATACAAAAAATTAGTCGGGCGTGATGGTGGGCACCTGTAGTCCCAGCTACTGGGGAGGCTGAGGCAGGAGAATGGCATGTACCGGGGAGGCGGAGCTTCCAGTGAGCGGAGATTGAGCCACTGTACTCCAGCCTGGGCCACAGAGCAAGACTCCATCTCAAAAAAAAAAAAAAAAAAAAAAGAAATTGATTGATTTTTTTTTCTCTGGACTGATTTCCATCCACTCAGAAGGAGGAGAGTAAGATTAACAGGGAAATGTCAGGAGCTTTCTGATTAATGATTCTCTCTACCTTCACTCCTGTGCAGGGCAGCATTCTGCCTTGCTTGGGTCAGGGGACTGTGGAGAGCAGGGAACTGGCAACTCTGGTGAAGAAGTAAGTCATCGTAGACAGATGGTCCTGCTGCTGGCTGAGAGCAACAAATGTAAACATTATAATGGATCTCAATCGTTAGGTTGCCATCATAATGGATCTGGTCATTAGTTCACTTCTTGGTTCTGAGCGAGTCTCAAAGCTCCTCTGGGACTGGGTGTGGTGGCTTATGCCTGTAATCCCAGCACTTTGGAAGGCTGAGGCAGAAGGATTGCTTAAGCCCAGGAGTTTGAGACAAACCTGGGCAACATAGCAAGACCCTATTTCTATAAAAAAAATAAAAAAAATTTACTGGGCGTATTGGCACGCACCTGTGTTCCCAGCTACTTGGGAGGCTGAGATGGGAGGATTTCTTGAGCCCAGAAGGTCAAGGTGAACCACTGCCCTCCAGCCTGGGTGATAGAGTGAGAGACCCTGTCTTAAAACAAAAACACAAACAACATACAAAAAAGCCAACTCCTCTGGGTTTCAATTTCTTCACTGGGGCTATGAGGATGCGGAATGAGACTGTGGATCCAATTTTGACAAATAGTGAAAAACAAGGGATAGTTACATTCAAGTCTTTTTTGTTTTATTTTGTTTTTTGAGACAGAGTCTTGCTCTGTCGCCCAGGCTGGAGTGCAGTGGTGCGATCTCGGCTCACTGCAACATCCGCCTCCCGGGTTCTCGCCATTCTCCCGCCTCAGCCTCCTAAGTAGCTGGGACTACAGGAGCCCGCCACCACACCCAGCTAATTTTTTGTATTTTTAGTAGAGACAGGGTTTCACCGTGTTAGCCAGGATGGTCTCGATCTCCTGACCTCATGATCTGCCCGCCTCGGCCTCCCAAAGTGCTGGGATTACAGGCGTGAGCCACTGTGCCTGGCCTCAAGTCTTTTTTTTTTTGAGATGGAGTCTTGCTCTGTCACCCAGGCTGGAGGGCAGTGGCACGATCTCAGCTCACTGCAACCTCTGCCTCCTGGGTTCAAGCAATTCTCCTGCCTTAGCCTCCTGAGTAGCTGGGATTACAGGCATGCGCCACCATGCCCGGCTAATTTTTGTATTTGTAGTAGAGATGGGGTTTCACCATGTTGGCCAAGCTGGTCTCGAACCCCTGACCTCATGATCTGCTCGCCTCGGCCTCCCAAAGTACTGGGATTACAGGCGTGGGCCACTGCCCTCGGCTCAATAGTCTTTACATTAAACACTTAGCTTTAAAACTGCTGTACCCAAGCTCTTTCAGAGCTTAGCTCTCATCATTTAACCATCTCTGTTATGAAACTTAAAAAAAAGGCAGTAAATCCCGCCACCCCATGCCATTTTATCCTCTTTCAAGTCAATAAAATGCAGTTTATAAATTCTTCAGTTTTAAACATTATAGCCACAGGATCACAGCGATGGCTGAACTTCAAAAAGCTGACCGCAATCCTCTTCCAGATGCCAGAGCTACAGATGCTGGCCTCCTCCCCGCGTTCCTTGACTTCAGAAAGTACAGAGGCTCAAGTTCCCACACAGGTTCCTTGGGAAATTCATGGCAGTGCACAATGGTAGCCCTGGGCTGAAGGAGCTCAGGTGGCTGCTCTGGTCTGTGTGTCGTGTCATGGGATGCTATAGTTTTCTGGGGTCACTGAGGTCTGTTGTTAAAGTGTCCAGATTTAGAAGCCTGATTTGGTTAGGTCTCTCTGGGGGAATCAGGCTGAGGGAAATCAGTTCACACTATTCAAGTACCTGAGAGAATGACTTAAAAACTAAACAAATAATTTATTACTTTACAGTGGGAGATCTTGCTCCCATGTCTGAAATGATGTGTCTACTGCCCAGGGCACCCACGTATTAATACTTCATGGTCCCTGGAAATGAAATTAGGAATCAAATGTGTAATTCTGAGTTTTGAATCACAGCAAGGGGAATTTCATGAAGCACACTTAAGTTAGGTCACAGTGAACTACACCTGGTAAATCACACAGCATCTGTATCTAAGGGAATACTTCAATTTTCCCTTCAGATACAGTTATCTTTTTCCCTTGGGCAGTAACGAAGATACATCAACAAAGTTTTATTCTAATTATTTTCTCCCTGAATTTCTATCTTTTTAGATTGCCTTTGTTATTTCCATTGGCTCTTTTTCAACATTTTTCTAACTTTTTAGAGTTCCCTAATTATTTTTCCCTGATTTATTTTTCATACTGTTTTCTTGTTTGCTTTGGAGAATATTCTAAGATTTACTCCCTAAAAAGTGTTATTTCTTTTGCAAAATTTTCCATTGATAGGGAATGACAGTCCACCCATAGCATGATGATTCTTGTTTTATTCAACCAGAGAATAGAATTTTCTAACTTTGTCCTTAGATTTCAGAACCATCTTAAAGGGAGGAATGAGAGGAAAGAGTGCAGTTTTATTTGTAATACCGAGTATCTTTATTGGGTGTGATTTCATCCCAGTTACCTCTTTTTGTTTTCTTCTTTTTGTTTCTCTAACTTTTTGCTCCTCAGTAAGTTATAAATATTAATAGAAAAACTTCCCTTTACCTCTGATCTGTTAAGACCTTTCTCCCTGTGTCACTGCCATTATCATAAACCTCCAAGCATAAAGCTTAGTATTTGCCAGGTAACCACCCTTCTGCATACTCTCTGGCTCATTAATATCCCACATGTGGTTCTGAGACACTTTATTTAAATGCTTTCAAAAATAAAAGAGAGAGAGAGAGAGAGATACGGAGGGACAGAAAGAGACATGGAGGGAGAGAAAGAGACATGGCACAAGGAGAAGGAAACATGGCACCGATGAAACCTCCGGGGACCAGAGTGATAAAAAGTCATAGAATAATGGTGGCATTTTGCACCTGTGTAGTGTTTTTTAATCCTTAGAGGTTAAATGGCAGAGGAGTCTCACAGCTGTATAATGCTGGAGTAAAGGCTCCAACCAGATTGTGTTGTTCCTAGTCCAGCACTCTTTCCACATTTTACTGAAAATTCCTTCCCACAAGGAACCAAATCAAAATAATGTAGTAAATCATGTGAACTGAATCACAATTTTAAGAGTTTTATGGTTCATTCTGTCAAGGATTCTAAACTGGTGTTACTACCCTATTTCAAAATTGAGACATAGTGGAGTTAAGAGCAAGTTCTAAAATCAAACTAGAGTGAAGTTTAGTTACAATGAATTCATGAAGTTGCCCGACTTCTTTCATTGACAATCTATCACACTGAGTGTTTCTTAAAAAAGCCCGAGGGAGGCCGGGCGCGGTGGCTCACGCCTGTAATCCCAGCATTTTGGGAGGCCGAGGCGGGCAGATCACCTGAGGTCGGGTGATCAGCCTGACCAACGTGAAGAAACCCCGTCTCTACTAAAAATACAAAATTAGTGTGGTGTGGTGGCACATGCCTGTAATCCCAGCTACTCAGGAGGCTGAGGCAGGAGAATCGCTGGAACCTGGGAGGCTGAGATTACAGTGAACTGAGAGCACACCATTGCGTTCCAGTCTGGGCAACAAGAGCAAAACTCCAACTCAAAAAAAAAGAAAAAAGCCTGAAGGCTTAGTAGTGTTTTTATTTCACAGATACTTAGTCTTTGAATATATTGATTAAATGTGTTTTTGAATTCTCATCTGATATCAAATATTAAAGACCATCTAGAGGCCGGTCGCGGTGGCTCATGCCCGTAATCCTAACACTTTGGGAGGCCAAGGCTGGTGGATCACCTGATGTCAGGAGTTTGAGACCAGTGTGGCCAACATGGTGAAACCTCGTCTCTACTAAAAATACAAAAATTAGCTGGGCATAGTGGTATGAGCCTGTAATCCCAGCTACACAGGAGGCTGAGGCAGGAGAGTAGCTTGAACCCGGAAGGCAGAGGTTGCAGTGACTTGAGATCGTGCGATTGCACTCCAGCCTGGGCAACAAGAATGAAACTCCATCTCAAAATAAATAAATAAATAATAAATAAACAAAATAAAATAAAGACCATCTAGTACATGAATGTTTGAAAAATATATGAGAAATATTAGGGGACCACAAACTAAATAAAAGTGTATAATTTTGAGCAACCAAGGAGATTAGACATCTTTTCTAATGAGGCGAAGGGCACAGGCTTAACCTCATTTCAGCAAATGAATTTTACTTAATTCTGGTCCCAAACTGTATCCCTAACCCATCTTTCAAATGGCCATGAAGAAAACTTTAAAAATTTTATTATTTTCTGAAAATCGACTCAAAGCACACTTTTTTATTTATAAAAAGCATTTCAAATATTTGGAAAACTAATATAATTAATTTCTTTTTAAAATAAATTTCACAATAAGACATATAAAATGGAAAATAATTTAAAGATGAATAACAATGGAACAAATATATACATATATAATATGAGAAAAGTTTGAGTTATTAAATTGAGAGACATGAGACAATTTCTATTAAAATGTAAAACCCTTATTAGCAATGAGTTAGAATTGTCTGTTTAAAATATTTGCCAACAAAGAAATCAGGTTATAGCTTTACTCATGTCCATTTTTCAAATTTTGGGCAGAGAACTTGTCTTATAGGTGGAAGGGACCTGGTGAGGACAAAAAGAACAGAGCAAGGGTGGCACCACCACAGAACTCGAAGATGCTCTTCCTAGTCTGGTTGGTATTAAAACCAGTGAATGGACTTTTAATGGAGAATAGCTTTGGAGAAAAATTTAGCCAATTAAAGGCCTGGGGGAAATAGTGTTATCCAATATTAGCCACTATTTTTTAATTTTTTAATTTTTTTAATTTTAATTTTTATTTTTGAGATGGAGTCTCTCTCTGTTGCCCAGGCTGGAATGCAGTTGTGCCATCTTGGCTCACTGCAACCTCCATCTCTCAGGTTCAAGTGATTCTCCTGCCTCAGCCTCCCAAGTAGCTGGGATTACAGGCGTGTACCACCACCCCCAGCTAATTTTTGTATTTTTAGTAGAGATGGGGTTTTACCATGTTGGTTAGGCTGGTCTTGAACTCCTGACCTCAGGTGATCCGCCCGTCTTGGCATCCCAAAGTGCTGGGATTACAGGTGTGAGCCAACATGCTTGGCCTATTAGCCACTATTTATAAAAAGGCTAAATGGTAGTTACATAGTCATATGAGCAGAACAGCAAAGAAAATTTTTGTGACAGCAGAAAAAGAACTATACTGAGTAACTAAACAAGTAAGAATATTGAGAGATGAAGTGACTCAGAGTAGAGAAACCCCTTACACAATGTTTGGACTTAACATTTATCTCTGAAAAATGGGATTAGAACAGTGGCAGGTGCTATTTTGAGAAGAGGAACTCACCTGAAGGTGTCAGCATCCATCAAAAACTCTTCTTGCAGACGGAGAGAAAGGATACAAATCTATTCCTAAGGAATCTTGAATATCTCATAGGTCAGCAGCAATTATTGTGAAGAGCTCGTGGCAGAAGACCCAACTAATTACTTTTGGCTGGATCAAAGTAAAGAGTCAAACTATGGAAACTTAATTTATTATTTGCCTGCTTATTTGTAGAGATATCTGCTTCCAGCTTCCTTATGAACTGGGGGAGGAGCTGTGGCTCTTACTGAAGATAACTGTTAAGGTTGGTCTCTCCTGTGTTCTACTACTTCTTCTATTTCCCTCAGAGTCAGTTTTTATGTGTGAGACCTTTAGCTTGGGGAATATTGTAATAGCACTCCTGTGATAGGCAAGACCAATATCCATAGTTTGTTTCCTAGGAGACTCTCTGGGTTTCTAGCTTTTTCCAATTTTGTAACAGCAGGTGCGACAAAGTCTGTGGGGCTTAACAGGTCTCGTTGAAATCTTCAGATCTGTGGTTTTCTTTCTGTTCCAAAGCAAATTTGGAAAAAAAGAGAAGAAAAAGCTAACATGGTTGTTACTTGGCAAGAGATGTGTTCTTATTGGTGCATTCACATTTTAAGAAATTCACACTTTGAATTACTAAGGTGCTAACATAGACCTTCACAGACTAGAAGAAACAGAATTTCAGGGTTGGAGGGACATTAGAGGTCATCTGATCCAACTATCATCTGTAATGTTTTAAGTCAAGCTCCCTGAACAGTGATTTTTCTTTTTTAATTTTACAATTTTATTTATTTATTTATTTTTTGAGACAGGGTCTTGCTCTGTCGCTCAGGCTGGAGTGCAGCGACGTGATCACGGCTCACTGCAGCCTCATCCTCCTAGGCTCAAGCGATTCTTCCACCTCAGCCTCCCAAGTGGCTGGGACTACAGGCACATACCACCACACCTGACTAATTTTTAAATTTTTCGTAGAGACGAGGTCTCACTAGATTGCTCAGGCTGGTCTTGAACTCCTGGGCTCAAGTGATCCTCCTCCCTCTACCTCCCAAAATGCTGGGACTACAGGTGCAAGCCACTGCCCCCGGCCTGTTATTTTTCTTAGTATTTCTTGGTCTTGTTTCCTTGAATACTTTGAATTTGGTCTAACTTATTTTCTTCTAGACTTAAATTTGGTGTTGTCGCAACATTTTTCCCAACTGTCTTCAAATGTCCAGAGATGGTCTGTGTTGTAAAAGAACATCTTGAATATGGTTTAGTTTTATTATTTTTTCCACCAAACTTTTGTGGAGGTCTCTGTAGCTTCCAAGCCACAATTGTGTTAAAGTGTCTAAAGCAGAGGAAAGCACACTTTCTCTCTAAAGAGGCAGATAATAAATGTTTTTGGCCTTGAGGACCATACAGTCTCTGTTGCAGCTACTCAACTCTGCC
Source organism: Homo sapiens (assembly GCF_000001405.40). Classification (NCBI taxonomy): domain Eukaryota; kingdom Metazoa; phylum Chordata; class Mammalia; order Primates; family Hominidae; genus Homo; species Homo sapiens. The sequence continues at coordinate 21,581,217 of NC_000014.9, forward strand.
ATTGTATGGGAAAGCAGCCATAAAATACACATACAAATGGGCATGGGTTTTTTTTTTTTTTGAAACGGAGTCTCACTCTGTTGCCCAGGCTGGAGTGCAGTGGTGTGATCACGGCTCACTACAACCTTTGCCTCCGGAGTTCAAGTGATTCTCCTGCCTCAGCCTCACGAGTAGTTGGGATCACAGGCACCTACCACCATGCCCAGCTAATTTTTGTACTTTTAGTAGAAACAGGGTTTTACCATGTTGGCCAGGCTGGACTAGAACTCCTGACCCCAGGCAATCTGCCCGCCTCAGCCTCCCAAAGTGCTGGGATTACAGGAGTGAGCCACCTAGCCCAACCCCGGCATGGTTTTATTTATTTACTTAATTATATACTTTACTTATAGATACTATAATTTGAATGTCATAATTTTCATGTATCATGAAATATTATTTTCATTTTGCTTTTTTCAACAACTTAAGAAATGTAAGTTCTAGCAGGGTGCAGTGGCTCATGCCTGTAATCCCAGCACTTTGGGAGGCGAAGGTGGAGCCCAGGAGTTCAAGAACAGCATAGTGAATATAGTGAGACCCTTTCTCTACCAAAAAAAAAAAAAAAAAAAAAATTAGCCAGATGTGGTAGCACATGCCTATGGTCCCGGCTACTTGGGCAGCTGATGTAGGAGGACCACTTTAGCCTGAGAGGATGAGGCTGCAGTGAGTCGTGATTGTACCACTGTACTCCAGCCTGGGTGACAGAGTGAGATCGTTTGTTAAAAAAAAAAAAAAAAGTAAGTTCTTAACAGGTTGTACAGAACACACGGGGCAGGCCAAATTTGGCCCACAGGTGAACAGAGCTGATGTGGGGAAACACGAAGCATGTTTGTGGCTAATCAGTGAGGAGAAATGGCTGAAAGTCTGTGTGTGTGGCTTTTGTGCAGAGCCACAACCCATACTGATCCCTATAACTTCAGGAATTGCAGCCTAGGTTTGAGATTTGACCTTCCAACAAACTGTGGACTCATAATTCTGATTGTGATCTGTTTCCCGGGTATAGACTGGTTTGCGAATAACCAGGAATTAAGTTGGAAAGTAGGATTGCTCTGGGACTGACTTGAAGAGGGCTGCCATGTATCCTACAGGATAAATTGCATAGAACTGTGATGGTTGGCAATCAATCAAACTCATTATACCACGTGTGGGTGGAAGACTGCTGCAGGTGGGCAGGTGAAGCCACGCAAATATTGGTATTTCTCCTTGAGGTCCTGATCTTTTCTTGTATTTTGCTGCTTCTACTACTCCAGGAAGCATACTTTCAGCATGAAATGCAATACTGTATTGAGTCATGTACGCAGACATCATGTTTAAACCAGGCAGTAATTTGGAACTCAAGTTTTCTTTCTTTTTTTTTTTTTCTCCTTGTGTTTTCTTCTGCATGATCCTGGGAGATCGTCTCCAAATGAAAACATTAATAAAGATGATTGTGATTACTGATTGTTTAGATTTGTTTTTAGGTGGGAAGGAACATAGCTATATTAAGATTAGCTTAAGTAATAAAGTCTACCATATGTTTACATGTGGAAAGTAAAAAAATACAAACTACTGAAAGCCAAATTGCCTAGACAAACAGGATCTGCAGTAGAGCTGGGCCTCATGAAGATGGACTGGTCAGGAACAGGGAATGAATCAGAATATAGGGCAGCTCTGGTGACTGGGATATTTTGTTGTCCCTATCAGAAGAAGACATCATTTGGTCCAAATTGTGTGTTGCCTTGTTATGGTAACTCAATAGGTCTCCATCTCTGCTTCTTCCAGTACTCCTGTGACTGACAGACCAATTTTTTTTTTTTTTTTTTGAGATGGAGTTTTGCTCTTGTTGCCCAGGCTGGAGTGCAGTGGTGCGATCTTAGCTCACTGCAACCTCCACCTCCTGGGTTCAAGCGATTTTCCTGCCTCAGCCTCCTGAGTAGCTGGAATTACAGACACGTGCCACCATGCCCAGCTACTTTTTTGTATTTTTAGTAGAGATAGGGTTTCATCACGTTGGCCAGGCTGGTTTCGATCTCCCAACCTCAGGTGATCCACCCACCTCAGCCTCCCAATGTGGAGGGATTACAGGCGTGAGCCACTGTGCCCAGCCGCTTTTTGTTTTTTTATGTATCTCTTTGGTTTGGTTGGTCACCTTCCGTAGAATGGCTCACACTGCCTCTTGTAGGGGATTGTGGCCATTTTCATCAAATAATTTTTCTGATTCCACAGTCATCCATACTTGGCAATCTAAGCTTATGATCCTTGTTCTCAAATTTCCGACACATCTTTTTTAAGACTCTTTATTTATGCTACTACTAATAATACAGTATGGATGATGATGTTTATTATTATTTGTTGGATACCTCCCATGTTTAAGAGCTTTACAAGTGTTAATTTATTCAATTCTTGTTGAGGTAGATATGAATATCCTTATTTTATAGAAGAGGCAACTAAGTTCAGAGAGTTTAATTTGAATTTGGCACAAGGCCATATTTCCAGTAGATGGAAAAGTCAGGATTCAAATCCAGTGTATTTTTTTTAATACCTATGCTCTTTCTACTCCACTATATCATGATGTCTCTCTAAAGGACATACCAGGATTTAATCAGAGAATACTTTGTTTAAAGGCGTGTATATTTACCAGATAAAACACTGGGTCCCTCCAGTGAAGCCTTTCTCTAGCACCCATTAGCAATATGATGCTCAAATATCTTTTTTTTCCCCTGTCCCATGTCTTGCCTTGTCTTTTATTTTTATTTGTTTATTTATTTTTGAGACAGTCTCACCTGTTGCCCAGGCTGGAGTGCAGTGGCGCGATCTCAGTGCACTGCAACCTCCGCCTTCCAGGTTCAAGTGATTCTCCTGCCTCAGCCTCTCAAGTAGCTGGGATTACAGGTGCGCACCATCACACCTGGCTAATTTTGTATTTTTAGTAGAGATGGAGTTTCACTACGCTGGCCAGGCCGGTCTCGAACTCCTGACCTCAGGTAGTCTGTGCGCCTCGGCCTCCCAAAGTGCTGGGAGGTGTAAGCCACCGCGCCCAGCCTGCCTTGTCTTTAATGCAAGAAACAGAATGCGAGTAATCAGAAAGCCCTAGAAGGCATCAGTTAATACAAGATATTAATTTCTTAATTCCAAAAGCACTTGCAAAGAAAAACTTTTAAGGGGGAGGGGAGCAGGGGGATTGAAGCACATCATAATAACTGGAATCCCATGAGTGTGCCAAGTCTCATGAGGCTATTTTTTGAATTTATCCTTTACTTGTTCATTTTTTTCTCTCAAATAATAAGTATTATTTTTCTTTGATATTTCCCCTCAAAGGATAAAACATATGAAATATAAAATATAAACGAACTCTTGTATTGTACAGTTAGAAGTTATAGAACTATCCGGCTGGGTGCGGTGGCTCATGCCTGTAATCCCAGCACTTTGGGAGGCCAAGGCAGGTGGATCACGAGGTCAGGAGTTCAAGACCAGCCTGTCCAAGATGGTGAAACCCCGTCTCTACTGAAAATACAAAAAAAAATTAGCTGGGCGCGGTGGCAGGTGCCTGTAATCCCAGCTACTCAGGAGGCTGAGGCAGGAGAATTGCTGGAATCTGGGTGGCAGAGGTTGCATCGCGCCACTGCACCCCAGCCTGGGCAATAGAGTAAGACTCTGTCTCAAAAACAAAACAAAACCAAAACCAAAACAAAACAAAAAAATGAAACAAAAACAAAAACAAAAAGAAAAAGAAGTTATAGATCTACACACTGATAAACTGCATAAAATCTTGGATAACTCGTGAATATACAAAATATCAGGGCACAGAAAGAAGTAAACCCACTTTATTTTTGTCACACATAAGATTCAAATATTCAATCTGAAGAAAAGCAATCATTTTTGCTGTGTTCTAGGTTGCATGTTGATACATTTATTAAAATATTCCTGCATAATCACATTTGGTATTACTATTTCAAGTCAGATATAAAACTTCAAAATCTGCCATCCAGACAAAATGGGTAATCAGAAAGATTATCTCTGCCCCACCTCCCTAACCTCGATAAGTATAAACTCAATTTTATGACATGACTCCAAACCCTAGATTGTGATGACAAATGCTAGGTCCGATTTCTTTATAATCCTTTTCGGGGTGGCATACTTGATAGAACTCAAGCATAGAAGTCTGCATTGGTCCTCCAAACCAAATTGCATATTGCTCTACGTGGTGTGTAATGACTTGTACATCAATAGCTTCTGGCTTCAATCTACTGCTACTTAATTCCTCACTTAAGGTCAGCCTGACATCTACAGTTCTTTTCATATCTCATTGCAAGTGATGTACAAAGTCCCTGAACACAGTTGAACCTCCATAGACAACAATATTCTTGTTGAGAGGATGTCTCACATCAATAGGACAATTCTGAATTACTTCATCTGCAACATCTGAGATGGGATGTATAAAGTCTGGATTAGCAAACCTGGTTGAGAAAAGATTTCAGGTCCCAAGAATCTCTCATGTCCAATATCGATGGAAAATTATTTATTTGAGATGGCATTGATTCTTATACACTGTTTAAATCCACTGCGACCCATCTGCACCTTACTTTTTAAATTCTTTTACTAAATCTGAGCTAACATAACTATAGTGATCCTCTACTGCCTTAGCAGTTTCCAGGGATTGCTCTGGAGGGATTCCTACTTCTTGGTCTCTCAGTAGTTGCTGAGTAAGATATGTTATAGCTCATCCTGCAATTGGAATGTGTTTAATACAGCTGCCAATCACATACCCTTCAGGCGCGGAAATGCCATGAGTGACACCGTTTCAACTTGTCTATAACCTACCAGTCAACATGTATTCTCCTATTTGTCTTGTGGTCCAGGATGTAGCTACAGCAAGAACAACCTGCACAGCAATGTACAAACCTGAACATTGAAGGACCCAAACACTATTTCAGGAATATATTCCCTGCTTTCTGGAGTATTCAGCGGAGGTCCAGTCAAAAGAAAATAATGGTCTTCAGGTTCTGCCCTTAAATATTTAAAGATCACTTGCTCTATAAAGCTTTCCATTGAGTTCCAATCTTTAACTAGACCATGATGGATGGGCTCTTTGTTGTATATGTAGATTTTCCAATGCTTCATCGCCAGTAAAGACGTCTAGGTCATCAGCATGTTTCATCACCCTCCTTTTGAACTTGACCACCCACTTTTGTTGAGTTTTTTTTTTCATGGATGAATAATTTATTGGTAGAATAATACAGAGTTTACCTTCAATTCTATATCTGTTTTGTTGAGTTGTTAATGGCAGTACAGGAAGGGATGGTAAACGGAGATTCTTTATTTTGGACATATCCTGGTTTTGTATACCTGGTACCACAGTCTGCTATGTAGGCTGTCAGCTGTCAGGTCATCTTTCCTCCTTTTATCCTGCTGCTGCTGCTGCAGCGGCTGCCACTTGCTCCATGCTGGTAGGGGCCAGAAATTGGCAGTGGGAGATGGGGCATCTGACCATCCACAGCTGAGCTGCCTTCTCTGTGGGGGGTGGGTGGGATGGGGATCTGTGAAGGCAAAGCAATAGCAAGAAAGCATCAGGCTCAGTCAGCACTATTCACCACCCAGCACTATCCACAACCCAGGCAGGCAGGCCATACCTCCCCTGTCCCACTGTGGCCTCCTCATCCTCTCCCTTCCCTCCTCGTCACTCCTGCTCCCACCCTACAACTTGGTGTCCTTGTGCTGCTTTTCCCCAGGTAGCCAAGATGCCCAGGCACCCTAAATACCTTTGAAATGGTTAGAGTGTGCATCAGTTATTTTCACCTAGTGTGGCTCAGTTTAATCAGTTCCTTAGTAATGCTACTTGAGATCCTGCCAGTAAGATGGAAGCCATTTTAGTATGGATGAAAGGAAAAAGGGAAGGAAAAGAAAAGAACTGGGGAAGGGAGGAGGTTTCACTTGAAGTAGGTTTCAGAAAGGAAATTGTATATATTATGGGACCAGGTTTGTATGTGGCAACCAGAGTGTGTGTGAGGAGGTACTTTATGAAGTGGGATATGAATAGGTGCAGGTTTATATATCATTTTAAAAGTTGTTCACACCTTGGTCTAGTTTCATGTTGAAGCTAGCTGAGTCCCTGCTGGCAGCTCTGTTCCACAAAAGTCATGCTGTATTCTACAAAAATATGTTTATTGATGAAATTTGTAATGATACATATACTCCTAAAAGAGTAGTTAGGTCTTATGGATTAAACTTACATATGAACCCAAGATCTCACAGCCTTAACAGCATCTCATTTCCACTGACAAGAACAATAAGGTTTTCCAGCTTAGGTGCTATATAAAACACATGTCCCTTAACTCTGGTTTCTATCTAACATTATTTTATTTATGTCACAATTGGCAATTTAAACAAAAGTAGCTGCTCCAACCTTAATAAATTATTGTAGGTCTATGAGTTGGGATTTCTGGCTTCCAAAGGGTGACATAGAAGCAAGCTGGGGCCGGGCGCGATGGCTTACACCTGTAATCCCAGCACTTTGGGAGGCCGAGGCGGGTGGATCACAAGGTCAGGAGTTCGAGACCAGCCTGGCCAACATGGTGAAACCCTGCCTCTACTAAAATACAAAAATTAGCTGGGTGTGGTGGTGCATGCCTGTAATCCCAGCTACTCAGGAGGCTGAGGCAAGAGAATCGTGTGAACCTGGAAGGTGGAGGTTGCAGTGAGCCAGTGAGCCGAGATTGTGCCATTGCACTCCGGCCTAGGGGACAGGGCAAGACTGTGTCTCAAAAACAAAACAAAACAAAACAAAACAAAACAAAACAAAACAAAACAAAACAAGCAAGCTGGCTTCATTCCTCCCCATAAAAAACCAAAACTCAAACATGAGATGAGACTGTTCCCAGGGTCACAGAGAAATGAAAAAATTTTGAGCTGATGGTAAGATAATTGGACTTACATATCTGCAGTGCCCCACCCCATAATCTGCCCAGCACCAAGTACACAAAAATTTTCCCTTGGCTCACAATATTTACATTGAAAAAGGTGAGATTGAGGTGGACAACCTGCTTCCCCACCATCTTGGGTTCCCTGGCAGGAGACCTGTTCCATAAGAAACATCACGAGTGCCTGAAAGGAGAAATATTCCTGAGGACAGCCAGCGACAAAGGCAGGAGGTGGGACTACCATCCCCAGCCCTGGAAACTGTGCTCTGTAACTGGGCCAAATCAGAGTGGCTGTTCAACAGCACCATGTTGAGGTTTGTTCCACACCCCCTGGGTATGTGCCCTTAACCAGCCTTCCCACATTACTGAGATATCTCATTTAAGACTTCTTCAATTCAGAATAAGGGGCATTCTGATTGTTCACTAAGGCAAACCTGGACTTAAGATGCCATTTAGTACTGAAAAGGACACAGTGGCCTAGTGGGAAAAAAAAGCAAGAAAATCAACAGGTAAATTATAAACAATCTCTAAACAAACATATCTAATGAAACCAAAACAAGCCAGACAGAGAAGACTAGAATAAATAACTAATCCTTCAGTGAAAAGACATAGATGTACATCCACAAGAAACAACAGCAATCATGGAACATGACCTCCTTAAACTCATAAAACAAGGAACCAGTGACTAACCCTAATAAGATGGCAATATGTGAACTCTCTGGCTAAGAATTCAAAATAACAGCTTTAAAGAAACTCAGTCCAATACAGAAAAGGACCTCAGAAACTTATCAGAGAAATTTAACAAAGAGATTAAAATAATAAAAAAAGAAACATATATTAAAACTGAGAAATATTTTTTTTTAAACTGAAAAATTCATTAGAGACTGTCAACAGTGGAATGGATCAAGCAGAAGAAAGCATCAGTGACCTTTAAGGCAGGTTATTTGCAAAAACATAGAGGAGAAAAAGGAGCAAAATGAAAAGGAAGAAAGATCACCCACAAGATACAGAAAGTTAGTTAAAAAGACCAAATCTTAGAATTATTGGTGTTCAAGAGGGAGTTGAGCAAGGGCAAAGAGTAGAAAGCTTGTTCAAAGAACTAGTAACAGAAAACATTCCAAAACTTGAGAAAGAGATAAATATCCAGGTATGGCAAGGTCAGAGAACACCATGTTAAATACAGTGAGTTCTAAATTTCTCTTCAAAGAATCAGTATATCAGTATGTTCAGTTCTTCGTTCTCCATTTTGAAGTTTAACTTCCTCATTCTCCTTGTCTGCTTGCCCGAAGTTTCAGTAAACAACCTTTCCCAGCAGTTCTAATCAGTAGTTCACATCTATTCCCCTGGTTACCTGCTCTGTCCTGAGTCACCCCTGGTCACCTGCTCTGACCTGAGTCACCCCTGGTCACCGGCTTGATCTGAGTCACCTTTAATCACCTGTTCCTAACTATCCTTCCCACCAAACTACTCACCCTGCCACCCTGGCTCGTACCCCTGCTCTTTAAAACAGCCAATCAGAATTAGCTTAGACTGTGTGGTCCAACCCTATCCAATAGGGGAATGACCCAGCAGTAGGGGCTACCTGCATCAGGGATAAGAACCCCTTCCCCTCCCTTGTTCAGGTGTGCTCTCGCCATTGCTCCATCCATGAGATGCACCCTTCTACAGAAGTAAAATTGCCTTGCTGAGAAAATTTATGTTGGAGTGCTATTTCTTTTGTGGCACCAAAAATTTATTTCCAACAACCAAACAGATTTGAATCAAATAAGATCACCCCAAGGCATATAATAATCAAACTCTCAAAGGTCAAGGACAAAAAGAAGATCCTAAAAGCATCAAGAGAAAAGAAGCAAATAACATATAAAAGAACTCTGATTCATCTGGTGACAAAGTTCTCAACAGAAACCATATAGGCCAGGAGGGAAAGGGACAACATTTTCAACATGCTGAAAGAAAAAAAAAACCTGCCATCTGAGAATACTGTATTCAGCAAAGCTACCCTTCAAATATGAAGATGAGATAAAGCTTTCCCCAGACAACAAAAGATGAGAGAATGCATCACCATGAGGCCCACAAGAAATGCCAAAGGGAATTCTTCAATTTGAAAGAAAAAAAGAAGCACTAATGTGCAAAAAGAAAACATTAGAGGCCAGATGTGGTGGCTCATGCCTGTAATCCCAGCACTTTGGGAGGCCAAGGTGGGCAGATTACCTGAGGTCGGGAGTTTGAGACCAGCCTGGCCAACATGGAGAAGACCTGTCTCTACTAAAAACAATATAAAATTAGCTGGGCATGGTGGTGTATGCCTGTAATCCCAGCTACTCAGGAGGCTGAGGCAGGAGAATCACTTGACCCCAGAAGGTGGAGGTTGCAGTAAGCTGAGATTGTGCCATTGCACTCCAGCGTGGGCAACAAGAGCAAAACTCTGTCTCAAAAAGAAAAAAAGGAAAAAAAGGAAAACATTCGAAAGTATCAAACCCATTAGTAAAATAAAGTACATGGACACACCTAGAATACTCTAATACTGTAATTGTAGTGTGTAATATACTCATAACTCTAGTATGAGGCCCAAAAGGCTATCTATTAAAAACAATAATAGCTGCCAGGCATGGTGGCTGACGCCTGTAATCCCAGCACTGTGGAAAGTCAAGATGGGTGGATCACCTGAGGTCAGGAATTTGAGATCAGCCTGGCCAGCATGGTGAAACCCCATCTCTAATAAAAATACAAAAATTAGCCAGATGTGGGGGCGTGCACCTGTACTCCCAGCTACTTTGGGAGGCTGAGGCAGGAGAATCGCTTGAATCCGAGAGGCAAAGCTTTCAGTGAGCAGAGATTGCACCAGTGCACTCCAGCCTGGGCGACCGAATCAGACTCCATCTCAAAAAGCAAACAAACAAAACAAAACAAAAAAACAATAATAGCCGCAGCAACCTGTTAGGAGGTACGCAATATAAAAATGTTTTTTTTTCTTTTTCTTTTTCTTTTTTTTTTTTGAGATGGAGTCTTGCTCTGTCACCAGGCTGGAGTGCAGTGGCACCATCTTGGCTCACTGCATCCTCCGTCTCCTGGGTTCAAGTGATTCTCCTGCCTCAGACTTCCGAGTAGCTGGGAATACAGACATGCGCTGCCACGCCCAACTGATTTTTGTATTTTTAGTAGAGATGGGGTTTCACCATGTTGGCCAGGCTGGTATCGAACTCCTGATCTCAAGTGGTCCACCCACCTTGGCCTCCCAAAGTGTTGGAATTACAGGCGTGAGCCACCACATTCAGCAAAAATATGTAAATTGAGACAACATAAAATCAAAATATGGGGGGATGGAGTTGAAGTACAGAGTTTCTGTTTTCATATTTCTTTATTTCTTTTTTTTAAATTTTTAAAAGTTTTTTTACTTTTTTTTTTTTAGACAGAGTCTCGCTCTGTTGTACAGGCTGGAGTGCAGTGGCACGATCTCAGCTCACTGCAACCTCCGCCTCCCGGGTTCAAGCAGTTCCCTGCCTCAGCCTCCGGAGTAGCTGGGATTACAGGCTCCCACCACCACGCCTGGTTAATTTTTGTATTTTTAATAGAGACAGGGTTTCACCATATTGTTCAGGCTGGTCTTGAACTCCAGACCTCGTGATCCACCCACTTTGGTCTCCCAAAGTGCTGGGATTACAGGTGTGAGCCACCGCGCCCGACGTCATTTTTCTTTATTTCTGTTCTATTCATGATGTAAGATACATTGTCACCTCCTTAAAATAACTTGTTATATCTATATTTTTTGTAAGCCTCATGGTAACCACTATGTAAAAACGTATAATAGATTCATTAAGAATAAAAAGCAATGATTTAAAACATACTGCCAGAGAAAATAAATCAAAGGAGGACAGTAAGAAAGGAAGAAGAGAAGAGTTATAAAACAACCAAAAAAACGAGCAACAAAATGGCAGTAGTAAGTTTTTACATATCAATAGCACTAAATGTAAACAAACTCAATTCTTCAATTAAAAGGCATAAAGTGGCTTAATAAACAAAGAAATAAGACCCAACTTATAAAGACACACATAGAATGAATGTGAAGGGGTGGAAAAAGATATTCCATGCAACTAGAAAAAAAAAGGGGAGGAGTAGCTATATTTATGTCAGATAAAGTAGACTACAACTCAAAAACTATAAAAAGATACACTATATAAATACACTACAAATCAAAAACTGCAAAAAGAGACACCATAACTGTAAAAAGGTCACTATATAATGATTAAGGGGTCAATTCAGAAAGAGGATATAACAATTATAAATATCTATGCATCCAATGTGATAATTCCCAAGTATATAAACAAACATTAATAAATTTGAAGCAAGAGAGAGACAGCAATACAATAATAGCAGAGGACTTCAGCACCACGCTGTCAGCAATGGACAGATCATCCAGTCAGAAAATCAACAAAGAAACATCAGAGTTAAGCTACACACTGGACCGAATATGTCTAACTGACATTTATAGAACATTTCACTCAACTGCTGCAGGATGTACATTTTTGTTTGCGTTAGCACATGGAACATTCTCCAGAATAGACCATATCTTAGGCCACAAAACAAGTCTTAACAAGTTCAAAAAAGTAGAAATTATATCGAGTATCACATTGATCAAGTACCACATTGATCGAGTATCACATTGATCAAGTACCACATTGATCAAGTATCACATTGGTCAGAAAAGAAGTCAATAATAAGAGAAATCTTGAAAAATACACAAACACATGGAAATTAAACAATAAGCTCCTGAACGACCAGTGGGTCAGTGAAAAAATTAAGAAGTTAAAAAATTTCTTGAAACGAATGAAAATAGAAATACAGAATCCCCAAATCTATGGGATACAGGACAAGAAGAACTAAGAGGGAAGTTTGCAGCAATAAATGCCTTTATCAAAAAGGTAGAATGTCTTCAAATACGCTGGGGGTGGTGACTCTTGCCTGTAATCCTAGCACTTTGGGAGGCCAAGGCAGGAGTATTACTTGAGGTCAGGAGTTCAATACCAGCCTGGGCAACATAGCGAGACCCCATCTCTACAAAAAATAAAGAATATTGTCTGGGCATAATGGCATGCACTTGTAGTCTTAGCTACCCAAGAGGCTGAGGTGATAGGATGGCTTGAGCCCACAAGATCAAGGCTGCAGTGAGCTGTGATTGTGCCACTGCACTCTAGCATGGGTGACAGAGTGAGACCCTGTTTCAAAAAAGAAAAGAAAACAAGATTTCAAATAAACAACCTAATGATGCACCTCAAGGAACTAGAAAAGCAAGAATAACCAAAACCTAAAATTAATATAGGAAGAAAAAATATAAAAGCAGAATTAAATGGGATTGAGATGAAGAAAACAAGGCTAGGTATGGTGGCTTATGCTTATAATCCCAGTGCTAGGAGGCTGAGGTGGGAGGATTCTGTGAGGCCAGAATTTGAAACCACCCTCCACAACATAATTAGACTCCTGTCTCTACAAAAAATAAAATAAAAATATTAGCCAGGCATGGGGCAATGCACCTGTAATTCTAGCTACTTGGGAAACTGACACAGGAGGATCCCTTGAGCCCAGGAGTTTGAAGTTACAGTGGGCTGTGATTGTGCCACTGTACTCCAACCTGGGTGACAAAGTAAAACCCTGTCTCTAAAAAGAAAAAAATCCGGGCGCGGTGGCTCACACCCGTAATCCCAGCACTTTGGGAAGCAGAGGCAGGCGGATCATGAGGTCGGGAGATCGAGACCATCCAGGCTAACACAGTGAAACCCTGTCTCTACTAAAAATACAAAAAATTAGCAGGGCATGGTGGCGGGCGCCTGTAGTCCCAGCTACTCGGGAGGCTGAGGCAGGAGAATGGCATGAACCCGGGTGGCAGAGCTTGCAGTGAGCCGAGATTGTGCCACTGCACTCCAGCCTGGGCGACAGAGCGAGACTCCGTCTCAAAAAAAAGAAAAAAAAAAGAAAAAAAAGAAAAAAATGAAAAACAACAACACAGATGATCAACAAAATAAAAGTTTGTTTTTTTGAAAACATAAACAAAATTAACAAACCTTTAGCTAGACCAACTAAGAAAAAAAAGGAGAGAAAACCCAAGTAAATAAAATCAGAAATGAAAAAGGAGATGTAACAACTGAGACCACAGAACTACAAAGTATCATTAAAGACTATTATGAATAATTATATGCAGACAAATTGGAAAAGCTAGAAGAAATGGATACATTCCTGGACACATACAACGTACCAAGATTGAACCATGAAGAAAGAAAACCTCAGACCAGGAGTGATGGCTCATGCCTGTGATCCCAGCGCTTTGGGAGGCTGAGGCAAGCGGATCACCTGAGGTCAGGAGTTCGAGACCATCCTGGCCAACATGGTGAAACCCCACCTTTACTAAAAATACAAAAATTAGCTGGGCATGGTGGTGCGTGCCTGTAATCCCAGCTATTCAGGAGGCTGAGGCAAGAGAATCTCTTATCTCTTGAACTCGGGAGGCAGAGGTTGCAGTGAGCCAAGATCACGCCATTGCACTCCAGCCTAGGTGACAAGAGCGAAACTCTGTCTCAAAAAAAAAAAAAAAAAATAGAAATAGAAAACCCCAACAAAGCAATGACAAGTGATGAGATTGAAACCATAATAAAAAGTTTATCATCAGAGAAAAGTCCAGGATCTGATGCTTCACTGCTGAATTCTACCAAACATTTAAAGAAGAACTAATACCACCTGTACTCAAACTCTTCAAAAAAATTTAAGAGGAAGAAATATTTCCCAACTAATTTTTTTTTTGAGGTGGAATCTTTTGCTCTGTCACCTAGGCTGGAGTGCAGTGGTGCCATATTGGCTCACTGCAACCTCTACCTCTCAGGTTCAAGTGATTCTCCTGTCTCAGCCTCCTGAGTAGCTGGGACTAGAGGCATGCACCACCATACCGGGATAATTTTTGTATTTTTAGTAGAGGCAGGGTTTCACCATTTTGGTCAGGCTGGTCTCGAACTCCTGACCTCAAGTGATGCACCCACCTTGGCCTCCCAAAGTGCTAGGATCACAGGTGTGAGCCACTGTGTCCGGTCCCCAACTCATTTTACAATGCCAGCATTAACCTGATACCAAAACCAGATAAAGATACAACAAATGAAGAAAACTATAGGCTAATATTACTGAAGGACATAGATGCAAAAATTAATTAAAGAGATCATTCATCATGAGCAAGTGGGATTCATCTAGGGATGCAAGAATGGTTCAAAATACACAAATTAGGCTGGGTGCGGTGGCTCACGCCTGTAATCCCAACCCTTTGGGAGGCCAAGGGTGGGTGGATCACTTGAGGTCAGGAGTTTGAGACCAGCCTGGCCACCATGGTGAAACCTTATCTCTACTAAGAATACAAAAATTAGCTAGGTGTGGCGGCACACACCTGTAATCCCAGCTACTTAGGAGGCTGAGGCAGGAGAATCACTTGATCCCAGGAGGCGGAGGTTGCAGTGAGCTGAGATCGCACCACTGCACCCCAGCCTGTGTGACAGAGGGAGAATCTGTCTCAAAAAAACAAAACAAAACAAAACAAAAAAACAAAAACTAAAAGACACGAAAACCCAAAAACAATTCCCTCACAAATCAATAAATGCGATGTATGCCATTAGCAGAACCAAAACCAGCATCCATATGATCACTTCAATAGATGCTAAAAAAATTAGATAAAATTTAACATCACTCTATGATAAAAACCCTCAACTAACTAGGTATAGAAAAAAGATACCTTAAAATAATAAAGGCCGTATATGACAAACCCACAGTCAACAACCTACTGAATGGGGAAAGATTGAAAGTCTTTCCTCTAAGATCTGGAACAAGATAAGGACAACCATTTTCACCACTTTTATTCAGTGTAATACTGGAAGTCCTGGCTGGAGCAATTAGGCAAGAGAGAGAAATAAAGAGCATCCAAATTGGAAAGAAAGAGGGCAAATTAGCCTTGTTCGCAGATGACATGATCTTGTACTTAGAAAAATCTGAAGATTCCACCAAAAACTGTTAGCACGGATAAACAAATTCAGAAAAGTTGCAGGATATAAAATCAACATGCAAAAATTAGTAGCACTTATTTACACCAATAGTGAACAATCTGAAAAAGACATCAAGAAAGCAATCCCATTTATGGTAGCTACAAATAATATAAAATACTTAGGAATTAATTTAACCAAAGAAATGAAAGATCTACACAAGGAAAACTATAAAACACTGATGAAAGAAATTGAAGAGGACACAAAAATGGAAAGATGTTCCATGCTCATGGATCAGAAGAATTAATTTTTTTTTTTTTTGAGATGGAGTTTCACTCTTGTTGCCCAGGCTGGAGTGCAATGGTGCGATCTCGGCTCACTGCAACCTCTGCTTCTCGGGTTCAAGCGATTCTCCTGCCTCAGCCTCCCGAGTAGCTGGGATTACAGGTGCGCACCACCACGCCTGGCTAATTTTTTGTATTTTTAGTAGAGACAGCGTTTCACTATGGCCAGGCTGGTCTTGAACTTCTGACCTCAGGTGATCCGACTGCCTTGGCCTTCCAGAGTGCTGGGATTACAGGGGTGAGCCACTGCACCAGGCCAAGAATTAATACTTTTTAAAATGTCAATATTACCCAAAGCAATGTACAGATATCATACAATATCTATCAAAATATCAATGACATTCTTCACAGAAATAGAAAAACAACTCTAAAATTAATATGGAACCACAAAAGACCCTGAATAGCCAAAGTAATCCTGAGGAAACAGAGCAAAGGTGGAGGTATCACACTACCAGACT
Source organism: Homo sapiens (assembly GCF_000001405.40). Lineage (NCBI taxonomy): Eukaryota > Metazoa > Chordata > Mammalia > Primates > Hominidae > Homo > Homo sapiens. The sequence goes on from NC_000014.9 coordinate 21,596,954, forward strand.
TCAAAGCATACTACAAAGCTATAATAACCAAATCATAGTGTTGGCATAAAAACAGACATATAGATCAGTGGAACATAATAAGGAACTCAGATATCAATCCAAGCATACAGCCAAGTCACTTTCAACAAAGGCACCAAGAACATATGATGGGAAAAGGATAGTCCTTTAATAAATGGTGCTGGGAAAACTAGATAACCAAATGCAGGAGAATGAAGCTGGATCACTATCTCTCACCACGTACAAAAATCAAATAAAAATGGACAAAAGACTTAAATGTAAGATCTGAAACTATGAAACTCCTACAAGAAGTTATTGAGTGATGCTCCAGGACATTGATCTGGACAAAGACTTTTTGTGTAGGACTTCAATAATACAGGCAACCAGAGCAAAAATGCACAAATGGGATGGTAGCAGTTGAAAAGCTTCTGGATAGCAAAGGGAACAATAAACAAAGTGAAGAGACAATTCACAGAATGGGAGAAAATATTTGCAATCTATCCATCTGAAAACGGGTAAATAATCAGAATACATAGGGAGCTCAAACAACTCAATAACAAAAAACCCCATATAATCCAATTAAAAAGTGGGCAAAAGATCTGAATGGATATTTTCCAAAAGAAGACACACAAATGGCCAATAGTTATATAAAAAATGTGCAACAACTTTAATCTTCAGAAAAATGCAAACCAAAACTACAACGAAATATCATCTCACCCTAGTTACAATGCTTTTATCAAAAAGACAGGGAGTAATGAATATTGGCAAGAATGTGGAGAGAGGGAAACCCTTGTACATTGTTAGTGAGAAGGTAAATTGGTAGAAGCATTATGGAAAACTGCATGGAGGTTCCTCAAAAAACTAAAAAAAGAATTCTCATATGATCCAGCAGTTCCACTAATTGGATATATACCCAAAAGAAAGGAAATCAATATATTGAAGTAATATCTACACTCCCATGTTTGTTGTAGCACTATTTATAATAGCCAAAATATGGAATCAACCTAAGTGCTCATCAATAGATGAATGGGTAATGAAAATGTGGCATATATACACAACAACATAATATTCAGCCTCCCCTCCGCCCCCCACACAAATCCTGTCATTTGCAGCATGGATGGAACTGGAGGCCATTATGTTAAGTGAAATAAGCCAAGCACAGAAAGACAAATATTGCATGTTCTCACTCATATGTGGGAGCTGAAAAAGTGGATCCCATAAATATAGGGAGTGGATTGGTGGAAGGCAAGAAGTAGGTGGGGATGAAGAGAGGTTGATTAATGGGTACAAATATACTATTTGGTAGACAAAGTAACACCTAATGTTTGATAGATTAGTAGTGTGACTATAGTTTATCATAAACTATTGTATATTTCAAAGTCACTATAAAATAATAATTCAAATGTTTCTGGCATAAAGAAAATACAAACATTTAAGTTGATGGACATCTCAATTACACTGATTTGATATTTACAAATTATGTGAATGTATTAAACTACCACATGAACCCTGAAAAAAAATATATCTATTATGTATTGGTGAAAAATATTGGCTTTGAGAAAAAATAAATTACTGTAGACTCAGAAGTTGTCTTAAGTGGCTTCTCTTATAGGAGAAGATATAGATATATCTTGTAATCTCACCGTAACAGTTTTTTCTCATAAATAATTTTTTTTCTTTTAAGACAGGGTCTCTCTGTTGCCCAGGCTGGAGTGTAGTGACACGATTATGTTTCACGGAAGCCTTCACCTTCTAGGCTCAAGTGATTCTCCTGCCTCGGCCTCTCAAGCTGCAGGGACTACAGGTGTACACCACTATGTCTGGCTATTTTTTTTTTTTTTTGAGAGGGGGTCTCACTCTGTCACCCAGGCTGGAGTGCAGTGGTGCAATCTCTGCTCACTGCAAGCTCCACCTCCAGGGTTCACGCCATTCTCCTGCCTCAGCCTCCCAAGTAACTGGGACTAGAGGCACCTGCCACCATGCCTGGCTAATTATTTTTTTTGTATTTTTAGTAGAGACAGGGTTTCACTGTGTTAGCCAGGATGGTTTCGATCTACTGACCTTGTGATCCACCCACCTCGGCCTCCCAAAGTGCTGGGATTACAGGCGTGAGCCACTGCACCCGGCCTATTTTATTTTATTTTACTTTTTAATTAGTAGAGATGAGGTCTTGCTATATTGTCCAGGCTGGTCATAAAGGCATTTAACAAAATTGATGTTCATATTTATTCCAGTTGTCTCAGAGATATATACATATATATATATATATATATATTTTTTTTTTTTTTTTTTTTTTTTTCTGAGTCTTTGACTTGATCTATTATTTAAAATTAGGCCAACATGATCTCTCACATACAGATGAATAAAAAACTGTTGGCAAATGAAATAACACATTTACCTTGTCCTTCATTTTTCTGGAAGGAGCGATTGACCCTGCTCTTATATTGTTCCATACTTGAGTCTTCTGAAATGTTTTCTTTTTCCTCCAGGTAAGACCAGGATAGGTCACAGAGGAAAACACAAGGGTTATTTACATCCGCCTGGCCTGGTCAGAAGACATTGCATGATTTACTCAGTGACCTACTGAATGACTGACCAGCTGGCTTCTAGATCTTTGTCTACTTGGCTTGTGATAACTAACCAAAAGTTTTTCTGGATGCTTTGGACAATTTAGATGCAGTTCAAAAGACTTTCCTGGTGCTGTTTTTGTTTGTTTGTTTGTTCATATTCTAGAGATGGGATCTTGCTTGGTTGCCTAGGCTGGTCCTGAATTCCTGGCCTCAAGCTCTCCTCCCAGCCTCAAGTAGTTGGGATTACAGACATGAGCCACCGTGCTCAGCCCTGGTGCTGTTTTAATTTAAAAAATTGTTGATTGGGTAAAGTATTAGGATGAGGTAACAAAGTAACTCGACAATAAATCAGTGGATTAAAAACTGCTCTAACAAAGTAACCCAACAATAAATCACTGGATTAAAGAAGCTAAAGTTTTATTTCCCTCTAACTTAAAATTCTGAGGTGAGTGATCCAGGTTGGTTCTCTACTTGCTCAGAAGTTGCTCCTTGTGGGTCCCCATCATGTGCCTTTTCCAGCTTAGAGCAGAAAAAGAATGTGGAAAAATTCATGTGCCAGTTTTTTTTTTTTTTTTTTTTTGAGATGGAGTCTTGTTCTGTTGCCCAGGCTGGAGAGCAGTGGCATGATCTTGGCTCACTGCAACTTCTGCCTCCAGGGTTCAAACGATTCTCTTGCCTCAGCCTCCCGAGTAGCTGGGATTACAGGCATGCGCCACGACGCCCGGCTAATTTTCATATTTTTAGTAGAGATGGGGTTTCACCATTTTGGCCAGGCTGGTCTTGAACTCCTGACCTCTGGTGATCCACCTGCCTTGACCTTCCAAAGTGCTGGGATTACAGATGTGAGCCACTGTGCCTGGTCATGTGCCAGTTTTGAGGGCCTTATGTGTATATGTAAGTGGAAGTATCTCACATGTACAGCCTTCTCATATTCAATTTGGGAAAACTTAGATATATGACTAGATCTGGCTGCAACAGACACTGAGAAATATCCACAGAAGAGCAGCCACATTCTAGCTACAGCCTTCTAACTAGGGAAGGAGAGAATGGATTTTTGTGGACACCCAGCCATCTCCTCTATAAGTGGATACTAGTAGATATTGGGGAAAAGGAGGCTACAACATAAACATCAATAAAACATACTTTCCTGGCCGAGCACGGTGGCTCACACCTGTAATCCCAGCGCTTTGAGATGCAAAGTGATAAACAGAGCAAGACTCCATCTCAAAGAAAAAAAAAATGCTTTCCTTTCTCTAGAAACTCCAATCTAAGCTATAATATAGTCCAGCCAAAGAAAAGTACTATTATAAAATTTGAAGGCCCACTGGAATACAAGGAGGAGGATATAACTTATGAGTGGAAGAATAAGAAAACTTCTTGTAGGAATAAAGATTTTTCTTGGACCTCAAAGTTAGCATAAAACATCAGTTTACCAATATGGAGGAGGAAGGCTATTTCAGATATGAGAATAACTCAAGCAAAGGCTCAGAGGCGGGGAAGTATAATGTTTAAGGAATGACAGGTAAATTAATGGGGCCGGAAGAGAAAAGGGAGGTAGAGATATGTTGGGAGATGAGGTATGTTGGTACCAGATTGTGGGGAACTTTGAATTCCAAGCTAATAGGTATGGGCTTTATTTATATGCAGTGGAAAGCCAGTAAATATTTATAGGGACAGGAAATAAAATATTTAGTTGTATGTTTCAGAAAGAAAACTCCGGTAGTTGTATGGAGGAAAGTGGAGGTGACAAGGAGACCACTTAAGAAGCCAGAGAGACATTTCTGAGGCAGGGTGAACAGGATTTGATGAATTACTACATGGAGAAAAGTGAGGGGCTGAAAGGAAACACAGATGAGCCACACAGAGATTCTAACTAAGTACCTGGAAGGATGGATTTGCCTTGATGTGAGCAAAGCAATTCTGATGCCTAGAGGCTTGGGAAGTTAGGAGCAAAGCAAATGAATGTAGGACAGTATTATGTTGGCTTTCCCCAAATTTGCTTGGAATAATTTCCCCTCCTTCTAGAAGAAAACATCAATTTCTCAGAGTCAACATATGTGCTTTCTCTTGAGAGCTGGGTCAGAAAAGGGTAAAACAGCTATGGATAACTTCTTGAGGTTGAATATAGCACCAGAAGCCTCTTTCTAGTAGAATTATGTTCATTTCCGCTGAAACTAACATCTATTTATTGAACATTTGTCACGTGCAGCAGTAGCTGAAGAGAGTGGTAGCGATGGTTATGTGGCTGTAGTTACTTATTTTCCCACCCAAGTAATAACCAGGCCCGACCCTGCTTAGGTTCTGAGATCAGACGAGATCGGGCGTGTTCAGGGTGGTATGGCCGTAGATAGTTACTTATTTTCATTCAGTCCCTTGACCTGCTGTTATCCTCTTCAGGGCAGACTTCACTTCCTGGTTCCTCAGTGTATAGATGAGGGGGTTCAGTAATGGAGTGACAACAGTGTAAAACACAGCTGCTGCCCCATCCAGGGGGCCTTTGGAGCCAGCCCTAAGGTAGATGAAAATACAGGGGACATAGTAGACTGTGACCACGATTAGGTGGGAGCCACAGGTGGAGAAGGCCCGGCGCCTCCCATCAGTGGTGCGTATCTTCAGGATGGCATTTACTATGTTGGCATACGAGAGCAGAATTAACATGAAGCAACTGGCGGCCACTACCCCGATGTCCACAAAGGTCACAAGCTCATTGACAGTTGTGTCAGCACAGGCCAGTCTCAATACTGCGGGGATGTCACAGATAAAGTAATCTACCTGATTGGGCCCACAGTAGGGCAGGCGGAAGGTCAGGGTGGCCTGGATAGACCCATGCATGGAGCCAGCGACCCAAGCTCCAGCCACAAGGACTGTGCATAACCTCCCATTCATGAGCACTGGGTAGCGCAGGGGCTGACATATTGCCAGGTACTGTCATAGGCCATCAAGGTGTAGAGGAAGCACTGGGTGCTGCCCAGGAAGTGAAAGAAATACAGTTGAGCCACACAGCCACCAAACGGGATAGCCTTGTTGGCAGGAGTGAAGTTTAAAATAATTCAAGGAACGATGACTGAGGAGAGCCACATGTCCAGGAATGAGAGCACTCCCAGAAGAATGTACATGGGGCGAGCACGGAGCTTCGGGTCAGCCCACACGGTGAGCAGAATGAGCAGGTTCCCCAGCTGAGTGAGGATGTAAATGACGAAGAAGACCAGGAAGAGGAGGCTTCTTAGATTCGGGGGGTGAGACAAACCCAGAAGAATGAAATCTCTCACCACGGTGTCCAGCGATGTGTTTTTGGTCTTTCCCATGTCTTTTTGCAGTCTGCTAAGATGAATGGTGAAGTCTGATAAGGAAAATGCAGGTGTGGAGTGATAACAGAATGCTTTTGTCTAATGATCAGAATTTGAGAGGTAAACAGAAGTCTTCTATATTTTAAATAGAAAGCATTTGCCATCAGTCACCTGGGTTTGCTTGGCAAAACAACCTTCAGAGCTGTTTAGTCTCTAGGTGCCCTGAAATGCCTCTTTAATAGGGGATACGACATACAGGTATTAGAAACCAAGCACAGGATTGTGTCTGAATAATAGTGTAAGTGCATATGATAGGTCTACGCCCCCAAAGGGGACCACAGAGAAATAGATTTTGGTGATATGAAGCAGTGTGGAACTATTACCCCACAATTATCATTCCTATTGTTGGTTTATGACTTAATATCCTTGAAATGTCTCCTCCTGAGATCTACAAGAAACTTTGTGATCTGGTTCTTGCATATTTCAATAATCTTTGTTTTAGTTCTCTCAGATCACCATACCCTCCTTCCTCTGGACTTAGGAGTATGCTGATTGATCTAATATGTCTTCATTCCTCTGTCACCTCCTTGGAAAGAATTATCCTCCACTAGAAGACAATTTTCTGGGAAATAAGAACTTATATTAAAGGGTGATTACAGTACATTATTATAAGAGCTATTTGCTTAAGTACTTACCGTTTCCTTCTACTAGATTTTAAGATCCTTCAGAGCAAAGAGCACTCTATTTTGTTCTTTGATGTATTTGCAGCAACTACTCTGGTGCTTGGCAATAATAAGTTAATAAATATTTGTTGGTTGACTGGCTAAGTGGATAGTGTCAACTCCTACTAATCCTGTATCATGTTTCCCTCCATGATCACATCTCTCATGCTTTTTCCATATAGTCAAGACTGTAGGACAGGGCCTGCACTTCAAGCAATGTGAGCCTATGCTCAGTGTAAACAAAGTCTAAGGTACCATTTGTACCTTCTGTTTGCTCTGGAATGTTATTTACATTTATTAATTGACCTAAGTAGTTTAGTAGTTTTGTTCATTTGGATGATAACAGCATTGATTATTATTATTATTATTATTTATTTTTTGAGATGAAGTTTCGCTCCTGTTGCCCAGGCTGGAGCGCAATGGCGCAATCTCAGCTCACTGCAACCTCCACCTCCCACGTTCAAGCAATTCTCCTGCCTCAGCCTCCCGAGTAGCTGGGATTACAGGCATGTGCCACGATGCCTGGCTAATTTTTGTATTTTTAGTAGAAGCGGGGTTTCTCCATGTTGGTTAGGCTGGTCTTGAACTCCCCACCTCAGGTGATCCACCTGCCTCAGCCTCCCAGAGTACTGGGATTACAGGCATGAGCCACTGAGCCCGGCCACAGCATTGATTATTATAGGATTTGTCTTTTAGTACATTGTTATTTTAATAGTTTTTGTTTGTCTTCCAACAAAAAGGATTTCAAAAAGCCTTCAAAGGTATTAAACATCTAAGCCAGATGTTATTTAAAAACTCCCTTTGGCTGGGCGCAGTGGCTCACACCTGTAATCCCAGCACTGTTGGAGGCTGAGGCAGGCGAATCACTTGAGGCCAGGAGTTCAAGACCAGCCCTGGCCAACATGGCAAAACCTTGTCTCTATTAAAAATACAAAAATTAGCCCGGTATGGTGGTGCATGTCTGTAATCCCAGCTACTCAGGAGGCTGAAGCACGAGAATCGAGACTCACCTGAGCCTGAAAGGTGGAGGTTGCAGTGAGCCAAGATCAGGCCACTGCACTCCAGCCTGGGCCACAGAGAGAGACTAGGTCTTGAAACAAAACAAAACAGAAAAACTGTCTTTGATAAATGGTTTGTTCAAAAAAGAATGTTTTAGGTATTTTTACCCATTGCTTAAACTAAAATATCTTACAGTTCTTTTTTGTTGTTGTTTGTTGTTTTTTTAAAATAAATTTTATTATATATATTCAAAGTATGCAACATGGTGTTATGAAATATATAGATAGTAAAATGATTACTACAGTGAAGTAAGTTAACATATTCATCATCTCACGTAGTTACCCATTTTATTGGGTGGCAAGAGCAGCTAAAATTTAGTCATTTAGCAAAAAATCCTAAATATACAATATTATTAACTATAGTCCTCATGTTGTACATTAGAGCTTTAGACTTGTTCATTCTGTGTACTTGCTACTTTGTGTCCTTTAAGAAACAAAAATTAAACTAGTAAGAAATTAATTATACAAAGATCTGAGCATTAACAGTTATAACCACAGGGATGCCATTAGAAAAATTCCCTTTTATAAATGTCAGACTCAAACATATTTTATCTTCATTATTATTTAAAAGGAATTAAGTGCATATAATTATTAATAATACTGCATTTGTACTAATTATTAATAATAATGCATTTATACTAATTATACAGTCCATAGAAATAAGTACAGACTTTGTCCACAAATCTCTTTATTAGAGTATATTAGATTTTTATTACCTTATTTTCAGAAGGAAGGATAATTTCTTTTGGGATGGGTGGATGGTACTTTCTTTGTCTAGAATGGAAAGAAATGGCAAAGTTTGAGCACTTGTATATGATACTAATTATGAGCAAAATTTATATTCTACCAGTGAGAGGAGATACATACTAGAGGAGATATATACTATAAATGTGAGTCTACTTTAGACAAATAATTTTTTTTTTTAAATGGAGTCTCCCTCTGTCCCCCAGGCTGGAGTGCAGTGGCACCATCTCAGCTCACTGCAACCTCTGCCTCCTGGGTTCAAGTGATTCTCCTGCCTCAGCCTCCCCAGTAGCTGGGACTACAAGCAGGTGCCACCACACCTGGCTAATTTTTGTATTTTCAGTAGAGATGGGGTTTCACCATATTGGCCAGGCTGGTTTTGAATTCCTGTCCTTAAGTGATCCACCCGCCTCAGCCTCCCAAAGTGCTGGGATTACAGGTGTGAACCACCGTGCCTGGCCAAATTATTTTTGAAAACTTTTTATAAAAATCAAAATTTCACAAATTAAATCATATTAGAATTATACTAAAATGTCAACCATTTGGATGTTCATACATAACGAACATAATAAATCCTTATGCATAATGAAAAATGTTATCTTTCTTCGGCCAGGCACGGTGGCTCACGCCTGTAATCCCAGCACTTTGAAGGCCGAGGTGGGCGGATCACGAGGTCAGGAGATCGATACCACCCTGGCTAACATGGTGAAAACCCATCTCTACTAAAAAAAAAAAAAAAAAAAAAATTAGCTGGGCATGGTGGTGTGTGCCTGTAGTCCCAGCTACTTGGGAGGCTGAGGCAGGAGAATCTCTTTAACGTGGGAGGTGGAGGTTGCAGTGAGCCGAGATCGTGCCACTGCACTGCAGCTTGGGCAACAGAGAGAGACTCTGTCTCAGGAAAAAAAAAAAAAAAGGAAAATGTTATCTTTCTTCACCAATCTGAGTTTTTCCCTGGCTGTGGTGCATAAATATGGGTACACTTTCCCAAATCCTCTGCTGAGAGAAGGTTCCTTCTACCCTCACCCTGCTTTCCTATCTGGCCCTGGGCATCCTGGTTGGCAGGACAGGGACTCTGGTGGTGCTCACAGTAGGTGAGTATAAGGGCAAGGCTCCTTTTCCAGGCAGAGGCAGCAGAAGATGGTGATTTTGATGTGGTGTAATGGGGTTGCAGAGGAAGGCAGACTGTGGGAAGGTGGGTAGAGGAGAATTTCAGAAGGAGGAATCTCTGTAGGGCAGGGAGCATGTTTGCAGAAGGACCAAGTCATTCTAAGAGAGAGAGTGTGGTTTTAGAAGAGAGAAGTCTTTTTTTTTTTTTTTTTGTTCTGGAGAAAAATGGGCCAGCCTAGAAAAATACAAAAGAAGAAAACTGATCAAATGTTTTCCTTCCTAACGTAAATGTGATATTTTATTATGAGCCTACTAATCTTTTGAAGCTGTAGAGTCTTAGGCTTCTTATATTGAGGAGTGAAGGAAACTTAGATGTATCAATTAAAAAAAAGTTGAAGTATCTACATCTTGGCTAATTTGTTACATATTCTAAAATTTCTTATTTTAAATAGTATTTAGTATTGTTAAGGTCATCTTATTAAATGGTTGTAATTTAATATCAAAATATATGATTAAAGAAAATAAGAATCTACCACTGATAGATTCAGCATTTAAAACAGCAAATAATTAGGGGCAGGGGCTTTGGTCCAGAAATTCAAGGGAGGGGGTCCTAGGGATGGAATGAAGGAGGTTAGCATTGAGAGAGCATGGTAAGGAAGGGATGAGATAGGGTTAGGTAGGAAACCATAGGATGGGCTAAGTATTGTGCTCTTCTTTACTAGGAGGCCAATTCATGTTGAACGCTTTGCAGGCAGTAGCATTTTTCACTTTGTAAAAAGTCAGATTATCCCAGAGAAAAATTGGTTTCTTTCTGGCATGTCTGCACCGAACTGGGGTTCCTACAGGGCACTTTTGAGTTGGTGCCATCCCCATTTAGAGCAGATGTGAATCGCTGAGGCTGAGAGATGAGGACTGACCCAGCGTTGAGTTGTTCACTCTTGTTTGCTTTTAGGGCCAGACTTGACCACAGCCCTTTTAGGCCATTAGGCAGCCTGAGCAAAGAGTTGAAGCAAGGAGAATGAATAGAGTTTGGGTACAGTGGGGAGGCAGAGCTCATATTTTCTTGCTCTGATTATTCTGCCAGTGTTCTTGTATTCTTAGTTAAAACAAAAAGAGCTTACTTAAGAAAAGATACTTGAAACAAAGACCTTCCAATTTTCAAGTAGGTTGAACTAACTGTGTTCTGGGAAACACAGGTTTAAATAATCCATCTCTTACTGTGTTTACACAGTAACACTTAATCTGATACATCATCTATATTGTTTATCATCTCTCCCAAAAGAGAGAAAATAAACGATAGCTCTTTAAAATTATTTTCCTCAATTCAAAGAAGAATGTTCTTTAATTGGGAGAAATAATAATTTAATTCAAAATTTATCTGCCTACCAAATTAACTCTGGGTGTAGAGGGTGAGTTGAGAAAGAAGATGGGGGAAAGAGACAGATTAAATACCGTTTTTGACAAAATTGTGAAAATGTTTAAAGTCTGGGAATTAAGTATTTGTTCCATTTTGAATTGCCCCAACCTTAGGAATGCTTTTCTTCTTGGACTCACATGGACACAGGAGCAAAATCTTGGGGAAAGTTGGTGTATTCTCAGGTGGAATGTGGAGCAGGTAAGGAAAGCATCCTTCAGAACATCGCTTTGGCTTGTGGTGATGGATTACTGAATCTCTGTTTTGTAATGGAATTAAAATCTTCCAAGGGATCAGCTCATTGACTGATTTAAGAATCGATGAGACTTGGTTATTTATGGAGTGTGACTCTTCTACTTATGATCTTGAATTGATTACCCTTATTAGCTGGATCTCCTTTGATCCAGTTTTTAAAAACACTGTCAAGAGATTTGAAGAAAACTGTCCACCTCCTTGGAATCCTACCTTGAAACATTTCCCAGATGAGAACTACATTCCCAAGATCCTTGTTATTTTTTGTTTTGACGGCAAGCAGGAATCATTTCTGCATATCTAGAAAGTGAGCTGTGAAGAACAACATGAGCTGTTTGAATGACCTCAAATTTCTGTGATTTCTTTATTTAAGTTGTTGCGAGGGTCACACATTTACCCACATTATACTCAGAAGTGAATTGATAATGTATTGAATTTTTAAGAGTGTCTCCGTTTAAAAAAATGGAAAAAGAAAAAAAGAAAATGTATCGAATTTTTAATAATTAAGCTAATCTTTCTTATATATTCCCACTTCTCTGGACACTGAGAGAAATAAAAAATCCCCTAAATGTAGGTCAATTGACTAAATTTGGTTACTTCCAGTTTATAAAATATTGGGTTGGGCAGCAATGGCTCACACCTGTAATTCCAGCTATTCAGGAGGCTGAGTTGGGAGAATCATTTGAGCCCAGGAATTTGAGACCAGCCTGAGCAACATGACAAGACCCTGTCTCACAAACAAACAAACGCCAAACAAATTTGCCAGAGATTCTAAAAAGTCTTGGATGACTCCATTGTTTCTATAACAGTGGGGAAAAAGATGGCTTCAGATTGTTGGAGCATTCCTTAGATACTTCTTCTTGTTTTGGAAATTATTTTAATTAAAAAAAAAAAAAGGCCGGGCATGGTGGCTCATGCCTGTAATCCCAGTACTTTGGGAGGCCAAGGCAGGTGGATCACCTGAGATCAGGAGTTCGAGACCAGCCTGGCCAACATGGTGAAACCTCATCTCTACTAAAAATACAAAAATTAGCCAGGCATGGTGGCGAGTGCCTGTAACCCCAGCTACTTGGGAGGCGGAGGTAGGAGAATTGCTTGAACCTGGTAGGCGGAGGTTGCAGTGAGCCAAGATCGCGCCATTGCACTCCAGCCTGGGTGACAGAGCAAGTCTCTGTCTCAAAAAAAAAAAAAAAAAAAAAAAAATGGAGACAGCGTCTAGCTCTGTTGCCCAGGCTGGTCTCAAACTCCTGGCCTCAAGCAGTCCTCCCACCTCAGCCTCCCCAAATGGTGGGATTACAGATGCGAGCCACCGTGCTCAGCCTGACTTTTGTTCTTTTTTGCTGGGGTGTGGCAGGTAGGTCTGGTAGACTTCTTGAATCATATAGGTAAGGATAGTGATGCCTAGACATTTGGGGTGCTTGCTCTTATCCATAGTTGGAATCAATCGTGTGCTGGAGTTGGTTTGTACTGGCTTGCAATAGCTGATTGTTAAAATTTCAGAAGTTTTGTGAGCTCTTTGCTAAACCTGCAATTAAAATACACATTTGTAGGCCTAGCACGGTGGCTCATGTCTGCAATCGCAGCTCTTTGGGAGTCTGAGGTGGAAGGATCGCTTGAGCCCAGAAATTTGAGACTAGCCTGGCCAAAATATCAAGACCTTTTCTCTACAAAAATTAAAAAATTAACCAGTTGTGGTGACGCATGCCTGTAGTCCCAGCTACATGGGAGATTGGGGCAGGAGGATCCTTTGAGCCCAGGAAATTGAGGCTGCAGTGAGCCATGTTCATGCCATTGCACTCAGCCTGAGTGACAAAGCAAGACCCTGTTTCAAAAAAAAAAAATATATATATATATATAACTTATATAAATTTGTACTTAATAGACATTTTCACTTAAATAAATTATATCAAATACAATACTAAAAACTCATCATTTCCTGAGTATTTTACTGTGTTTTACTAATATCTATGAGATCGTTCACATCTATCATATCTTTATGGTAGAAATACCATAAAATAGTGTGCTACTACACATCTCTTACTAAACTCATAAGTAGTGATGTCATGTTGGAGCTTGAAATTGACTATAGTGGGATGATTTACACCATAAAAATGGGCAAATACTACCTATCAGGTTTTTTTTTTGTTCTGATAGCGAGTTTTTAAATATTTAACAGCATACTCATGGCTGGAATCTCTAGCTCCTGTTCTTCCTGGAAGTCATTGCATGCTGTAGCAACTTTGCTTTGACTCTAGCCTTGTGCTGTTGCACTATTGTTCTGCATGCTTCTCTATCTTCCCTGGCAAAACATACAGGCATCTTTGATTTCCTTATTTCCAGGCACTGGAAAACTAGATTCGTATAGTCATGTCCCCTTATACAATGAGCCAGAGTTGTTTTAAGGATCTGCAGCCTCTCTGTGTCATGCCCACAGAAACATGCTACTATCTTTGGTGACCTTAGGTTTTCTTATACTCCATAAGCTCCCATTTATCTTAAGGGTTGGTTTCAAGTCAAGGAAAAGAAAAAAGAACCCTGGCATCTAACCTCCTTGGTCTACCTCTGTTTCCCTTCATGATTCTCCCAAATTTGCAGGGGCGAGGTTTTCCTGCTTTCACTTAATTCTATGTGGAGCCTTCAACATATAAATTCTGTGACCAAGTCTACCAAGCCTGGCTTGATGTATTACAGAGGGAGATAAATTAATTTAGAAAACTTGTTTCTCTCATGACAAGTCCTGCCTTTCAAGCTGATTGGCTTGTTGCCGACATGAAAACCTATTTTGGCTATGGGAGGCTGAATAATGATTCTTTTTATCTTGCTTATTTCTACTGCAACGCTGCTATCCTAATCTTCTTTGCCACACTTCCTCCCTTTTCCCCCTTCCCAGCATATTGATGCTTTAAGTGGCTAGGAATAAGGTGCTATTCATAGACTTGCAAATAGAAGAGCACATCAAGATATGTAAAAGTATTGCTTCTTTGCAGAGGTATAAAGGACAGAGGGATGTAAGACTGATTCTTCCTATAGCTGGGAGGAATGAATATAAGGAGCTGGTATGTCTCACTTCACCTTGTGATATAAAATAAAGTGGCAGCTTTGAATATTTGAGTTAAATTTCAGGAGTCTCCATGTAGCTATTGTGGAAATATTCTTATTGCCACTACCTTCTTTGTCGTTTTTTTTTTTGAGGCAGACTCTCGCCCTGTCACCCAGGCTTGAGTGCAGTGGTGCGATCTCGGCTCACTGCACCTCTGCCTCCCGGGTTCAAGCGATTCTCCTGCCTCAGCCTCCCAAGTAGCTGGGGCTACAGGTGCGCACCACCACACCCAGCTAATTTTTGTATTTTTAGTAGAGACGGGGTTTTGCCATGTTGGCCAGGCTGGTCTTGAACTCCTGATCTCAGGTGATCCACCCGCCTTGGCCTCCTAAAGTGCTGGGATTACAGGCATGAGCCACCACACCCAGCTAATTTTTGTATTTTTAGTAGAGACAGGGTTTTGCCATGTTGGCCAGGCTGGTCTCGAACTCCTGATCTCAGGTGATCCACCCGCCTTGGCCTCCCAAAGTGCTGGGATTACAGGCGTGAGCCACCACGCCGGCCTGCCACCACTACTTTCTTTCTGTGATAAATTCAAGGACCCCGGGGCTTATCCATTACTTTTTTTTTTTCTTTTGCATTTAATCACCTAAGGCTGAAGATATCTGGGCTTTTTTTGTTCTGTAATGTTTCTAAGACTGTGTCCATTAAATGCAAACAAAAATAAGGAAGTCTTGGCAGAACAGGAGAAGCGATGCACACTTGGCGATTGGATCAATTTAAATATTATTCATGGCATATAGCCTAGTCGCTGCTCTAGCTGTTTCTATGGCTTGGGCTTCGTGGGTCTTCCATGTCTCCACTACATCATTTGCTAATGGATCATCTGGATTGGGAGCACTTAACAAGGCCTGGATCGATAGCAGAACTGTCAGATCTGCAGTGCTGGGGACCACTCATCTTTCAAAATATCTAAACATATTCTTCCCAACTTGTCTACATTAGGATGATAAATTTTGGTCATGAAACGTACTTTAGGGGCTGCCATTGCTTATTCTTCTGGAAGGAACAGTTCAAGTTTAAAAGTCCTTCCCTCAAAGGGGGAATCCTGAGGGCCAGCAATGACCACATGAAAATAACAGGTGTTGCTCTCACGTGATTCTGCTTGGATGCCAGGAACTCCTTCTGCCAGCAAATGCTGGGTGTCCTTGATGATTCTACGGGGCAGCCCAGCCATCTTGTCAGAACCCGAGTTCGACCTCTGGTCCCGTCTCCGGCTCCACTCCCCTCAGGCAGGAGTGGAAGTCCTGGGCTGGCTTATTCATTTCTAGAGGTCAGTATAATTGCAACATTCTATAGAAGGGAAAATCCAGCAACCTATTTTTAGTAGAGAAGTCTGGTGATCTTTGGCCACATGATGTCACTGGTGGTACAGAAGATTTTTTGCCATCTCTGCCTCAGTGCCATGGGCAAGTTCCCTCCATCAACCTAGTCACGACCTCTTATTGTTCAAATGTAGGCAGGATGTCTTTCTCCCCTCACTGCCATGGCCATGCTGTTTTCCCACAGCCACCACAGCCTGGGCTGCCATTGCCACAGCTCCTCAGTGACCTGGCTCTTCGGTTTAGCTCAGGTAAGTGTAACCCTCTTCCAACAGAGCTGAGTTTGGAGGCCTGCCATCTCACCCCCCGACATTGTTCCTGGAAGCATACGTTTCCCCCTCTCTGAATCCAGGCTGTTCCTTTCTCCCTCATCTAATATTTATTCTCATTTCCCATTCTAGCATCACCACTATCTCTTTTGGGAGAGCAAAACCTCACTTACATAAAAAAATTGTATATTACTCATAATATATCTTATACATTTTACCCACATCTTTTCTATTTCCGTGATTCCTTCTATGCCAGAATCCTTCAAATATTACTTAATATTCACTGTTTTGACTTTATCTCTTAAGTTTAGTGCAGTAGGATTTTCCTCGTCTTCCACTTGCACAAAACTTTCATTTTCAAGATCATCAGTGACTATACATATACACACAGGTATTTATTTGGGGAAGAAATGGTTTAGTCCTACCTCATCTTCAATAAGTTTATAGTATAGTGGGAAGAATATATTAACTACAGGTTAGAGTGGGACCACAAAGAAGAGTGAAGTTATGTTTGCTGATGGTTTTAGTGGAATTAGAGGCAGAGACTAGAGAAATTTCACGGAGTAGGTAGCCCTGTGCTCCTCTTGAAAGATAAGTAGACAGGGAGGGACACTTCAGCAGAGGAAAAAGGGAGCAATAGGTGGGGTGCTTGAAGCCGCCCTGTGTGAATGGGGAAAGGCCATTCACACCAATCTGCAACTCAGAGTATCTGCAGTATAGGTTAAGTGGATTTAAGTGATACATAGTTGGAATTTTATATGATGGAATAATAATCTGCCCTTACTTTGTAGGGGCTGGGGAGCCACTGAAGGCTTTAAGTAGGAGAATGTCACAGTCAAGTTGAAATCGTACATTGATCACTCGTGTATCTGTTTAAAAGGTAGTTTGGAATAGAGATAGACTATGGTGAACAACACTGATACTCTGCTAGTATAAGATCCCTGGCCGGGCGCAGTGGCTCACGCCTGTAATCCCAGCACTTTGGGAGGCCGAGGTGGGTGGATCCCTTGAGGTCAGGAGTTGGAGACCAGCCTGGCCAACGTTGGTGAAACCCTGTCTCTACTAAAAAAATACAAAAATTAGCTGGGCATGGAGGTGGGCACCTGTAGTCCCAGCTACTTGGGAAGCTGAGGCAGGAGAATCACTTGAACCTGGGAGGCGGAGGTTGCAGTGAGCCAAGATTGGGCCATTGCACTCCAGCCTGGATGACAGAGGGAGACTCTGTCTCAAAAAAAAAAAAAAAATTTAGAATCAAAACAAAGCTTAAAAACCATATAGTCCTTTAGTTGTCTCATTCTACAATTGATATGTAAATCTACAGTAGGTAGCAAAATTCCTTATAAGGCTGTGTTCCTATATCCAAAACCAGGTTTTTTTCCCAAAAGTTGTTCAAAATAAGAGTAACCATTGTTAAACAAATAAAGCCCCACTACTATTAATTTAGGCTAATGCAGAATCAAGTGGTCTAGATGAGAAGCAGTGTGATTACAAATCTACCCCTGCAATTTAGAGCATTTGTCCTGGTGGCTCCCAATTTGAAGCTCATATATTTGAATCACTGTGTGTTTTCTCTGTCCACAGACATCCAAGATGTTTCTCTCTCCACTGGCACTGACTAGAGCCTCTCAGTGAGACTCAGGTACATGTGACTTGACAAACAGGTTCCTCCAACCCCTCAAGAAGAATTAACAAGTGCTAATCACTGGAAGCACACCCAAGGAAGGGGGCTCATATAAATAGTGGTAAGAGATAAGAATAAGAAGGATTCCTTTTTTTTTTTTTTTTTTGAGATGGAGTTTCACTCTGTCGTGCAGGCTGAAGTGCAGTGGCCCAATCTCCCAGGTTCAAGGGATTCTCCTGCCTCAGCCTCCCGAGTAGCTGGGGTTACAGGCATGTGCCACCACATCTGGCTAATTTTTGTAGTTTTACTTGAGACGGGGTTTCACCATGTTGAACAGGCTGGTCTTGAACTCCTGACCTCAGGTGATCTGCCTGCCTTGGCCTCCCAAACTGCTGGGATTAGAGGCGTGAGCCACTGCACCTGGCCTTGATTCTAAATTTTTATATTTATTATTTCAATTGGTTTTGGGGGGACAGGTGATGTTTGGTTACATGAACAAGTTCTTTAGTGGTAATTTCCGAGATTTTGGTGCACCCATCACCCAAGCAGTGTATACTGCACCCAATTTGTAGTCTTTTATCCCTCACCACCCTCCCAGCCTTTTCCCCTGAGCCCCCAAAGTCCATTGTGTCATTCTTATGCCTTTGCATCCTCATAGTTTAGCTCCCACTTATGAGTGAGAACATACGATGTTTGATTTTCCATTCCTGAGTTACCTCACTTAGAATAGTGGTCTCCAACTCCATCCAGGTTGCTGCGAATGCCATTATTTCACTTGTTTTTATGTCTGAGTGGTATTCCACGGTGTATGTGTGTGTGTGTATATACATATATCACAATTTCTTTATCTACTCCTTGATTGGTGGGCATTTGGGCTGGTTTCCTATTTTGCAATTGCAAATTGTGCTGCTATAAACATGTGTGTGCAAGTATTTTTTTCGTATAATGACTTCTTTTCCTCTGGGTAGATACCCAGTAGTGGGATTTCTGGATCAAATGGTAGTTCTACTTTTAGTTCTTTAAGGAATCTCCACACTGTTTTCCATAGTGGTTGTACTAGTTTACATTCCCAATAGCAGTGTAAAAGTGTTCCCTTTTCATCACGTCCATGCCAACCTCTATTATTTTTTGTTTTTTTATTATGGCCATTCTTGCAGGAGTAAGGTGGTATCGCATTGTGGTTTTGATTTGCATTTCCCTGATCATTAGTGATGTTGAGCATTTTTTCATGAGTTTGTTGGCCACTTGTATATCTTCTTTTGAGAATTTTCTATTCATGTCCTTAGCCCACTTTTTTTTTTCTTTTTTTTGAGATGGTGTCTTGCTCTGTCTCTCAGGCTGGCGTGCAATGGCGCAACGTCGGCTCACTGTAAACTCTGCCTCTGGGTTCAAGCGATTCTCCTGCCTCAGCCTCCCAAATAGCTGGGATTACAGGTGACTGCCACTGCACCCAGCTAATTTTTGTATTTTTTTTTTTTTGAGACGGAGTTCACTCTTGTTGCCCAGGCTAGAGTGTAATGGCATGATCTCGGCTCACTGCAACCTCCGCCTCCTGGGTTCAAGCGATTCTCCTGCCTCAGCCTCCCGAGTAGCTGGGATTACAGGCATGTGCCACCACACCTGGCTAATTTTTTGTATTTTTAGTAGAGATGGAGTTTCTCCATGGTGGTCAGGCTGGTCTTGAACTCCCGACCTCAGGGATCCACCTGCCTTGGCTTCCCAAAGTGCTGGGATTACAGGCATGAGCCACCACACCCCACCTAATTTTTGTATTTTTTAGTAGAGATGGGGTTTTGCCATGTCGGCCAGGCTGGTCTCGAACTCCTGACCTCAGGTGATCCACCTACCTTGGCCTCCTAAAGTGCTGGGATTACAGGCGTGAGCCACCGCACCCGGCCTTAGCAGACTTTCTGATGGGATTGTTTGTTTTTTTCTTGCTGATTTGTTTGAGTTCCTTGTAGATCCTGGATATTAGTATTTTGTCAGATGTATTGACTGTGAATATTTTCTCCCACTCTGTGGGTTGTCCATTTACTCTGCTGGTTATTTCTTTTGCTGTGCAGAAGCTTTTTGGTTTAATTAAGTTCCAGCCAGGCGCGGTGGCTCAAGCCTGTAATCCCAGCACTTTGGGAGGCCGAGGCGGGTGGATTACGAGGTCAGGGGTTCAAGACCAGCCTGACCAAGATGGTGAAACCCCTTCTCTACTAAAAATACAAAAAAATTATCCAGATTTGGTGGCAGGCACCTGTAATCCCAGCTACTTGAGAGGCTGAGGCAGAGAATTGCTTGAACCCGGGAGGCGGATGTTGCAGTGAGATGAGATCATGCCACTGCACTCCAGCATGGGTGACAGAGCAAGACTCCATCTCAAAAAAAAAAAAAAAAAATTAAGTTCCATCTATTTATCTTTGTTTCTGATGCATTTGCTTTTGGGTTCTTGGTCATAAATTCTTTGCCTAAACCAATGTCTAGAAGAGTTTTTCTGATGTTATCTTTTAGAATCTTTATGGCTTCAGGTATTAGACTTAAGTCTTTGATCCATCTTGAGTTGATTTTTGTATAAGGTGAGAGATGAGGATCCAGTTTCATTCTTCTACATGTGGCCAGCCTATTATCCCAGCACTATTTGTTGAATAGGGAGTCCTTTCCCCACTTTATGATTTTGCTTGCTTTGTGGAAGATCAGTTGGCTGTAAATATTTGGATTTATTTCTGGGTTCTCTCTTCTGTTCCATTGGTCTACATGCTTATTTTTATACCAGTACCATGCTGTTTTGTTTGGGTGACTATGGCCTTACAGTATAGTTTGAAGTTGGGTAATGCGATGCCTCCAGATTTGTTGTTTTTGCTTAGTACTGCTTTGGCTGTATGGGATTGTTTTTGGTTCCACATGAATTTTAGGATTGTTTTTCCTAGTTCTGTGAAGAATGATGATGATATTTTCATGAAAATTGCATTGAATGTGTAGACTGCTTTTGGCAGTATGATCATTTTCACAATATTGATTCTACCCATTCTACCCATTCTACCCATCCGTGCCTAGGCAGGTAGAGAAAGACCATCAGGTGGGGGCAGGGCTAGGCATGTCTGAGCTCAGACTCTCCTTGGATGGGGCTTGCTGCCACTGCTGCGGGGGGTGGAGGTGTGGTTCTCAGGCCAATGGAGTTATGTTCCCAGGGGGATCATGGCTCCCTCTGCTGTGTCACGCAGGTCTCCAGGGAAGTGGGGGAAAGTCGGCAGTTACAGGCCTCACTCAGCTCCCATGCAGCCCAAAAGGCTGGTCTCGCTCCCACCATGACCCTCCTTTCCCACTCGCAACAACACTGAGTTTATTTCCAGGCAGAGGGTGAGCAGAGCTGAGAACTTGCCCGGGGCTACCAGCCTCCTGGCTGAGAAAGCAAGCAGGGCTTTCAGGTTTCACACCCCCTGCCTGCCATGGCTTCTGTGCTGTGTCTGCGCTCCGATTCACCCCCTCCCCTAGGTTCTGTCCAGGAAACTTTGCGTTTGGTGGAAATTGTTACAAGGTTCAGCTGGAAGTTTTCTTCTCCCTATGGTCTTTTCCTAGTTCTTCTGGCAGCCCTTCCCAAAGCTCCTGTGAGACAAAGTTAGAAATGGCTTCTCTGGGGACTGAGGGTACCCAAAGGGCTCTTCCCACCTCTTCTTCTACCCCTGTATTTTGCTCAGCTCTCTAAATTTGTCTCAGCTGTATATGAGGTCAAATTCTTCTCCTGTGATTTGGGCCTTCAGATTCCCCAATGAGGGTGTGTGTTTGGGGGCAGATGATCCTTCTTTCACACTTTCACACTTTGGGCACTCACAGTTTTTCAGCTGTCTCCGGGGGCCTGCAGCAGCAACCCACTTCCTCCAAAAGGTCTGTGGATTATCTCAGCTTTCCTGGTATGTTTTTGTGGTAGTCCTTGGAGCAAAAGTTTATGATGTGAGTCTCCACACGCTGCTCTGTGCGTCCAAGTGGGAGCTGCAAGTTAGTCCTGTCTCCTATCTGCCATTTTTCTGAAGTTCTCTGGTCTGAATTCTTCAGTGCCTTCTCACTGCCCTAAGGACTAAGTCCAAACTCTCCAGCCTGGCTTTAAGGGCCACCTTGAGCTCTTTTTTATATTTTTGATAGGGAAAGAACATTTTAATCCTTGGGGGTGTGTGTATAAAATGGCAATGATATGTGGTGTCACAAGATGGCAACATTATATTTATTATATCCAGGTGCTATGAGCCTACTATGTGCAGTAAATAGAAAATAATGCTTTTAGTGGGTTCATAAGGATATAAATTGCCTTTGAAATTTTTTTTCTTACAGCGTGTTTATTTCTATCTTTATCCTAGTTGCATGCAGTTTATTTCAATTTTTTTCATCCCTGGCACTAAAAATTTAAGTTTCTCGTTTTCTACTAATTTTTATGAAACATGGGCAAAATGCACAAATAATGCTGTTTAAGGTGAGGAGGCAGGCAATACCCCCTCTCCACCGCATTCTCAATCCACCTACTGCTGCACCAAAGTCTGCTGTTGTACAAGCGACTGAATTCAGCATATACAAGTTATACTATATACTTACGAAAATCAAGGAGAAACTTAAGTCAGAATGGACCCAGCAGTAGTTTTAACACTTTTTTTCCCCATGGTGCAACAGTAGCATCAGTTTTTTTTTTTGAGACAGGGTCTTGCTTTGTTGCCCAGATTGGAGTACAGTGGCATGATTATAGTTCATTGCAGCCTCGAACTCCTGGGCTCAAGTGATCCTCCCTTGTTGGCCTCTTGAATAGCTGAAACTACAGGTGCCTGCCAACATGCTTGGATAATTTTTAAATTTTTTTGTGGAGACAAGGGTTTTTTCTATGTTGCCCAGGCTGATCTCCTTATATTGCCCAGGGTTCAAGTGATCTTCCTGCCTCAGCCTCCCAAAGTGGTGCAATCATGGCTCACTGCAGCCTTGACCTTTTGGGCTCAGGTGATCCTCCCACCTCAGCCTCCTTTGTAGCTGGGACCACAGGTGCATAACACCATGCCTGGCTAGTTTTTTATTTTTATTTTTTGTAGAGATGGGGTCTCCTTATGTTGGCCAGGCTGGTCTCCAACTCCTGGGCTCAAGTGATCCTCCTGTCTCAGCCTCTGAAAGTGCTGGGATTAAAGGCGTGAGCCACTATTCCTAGTCCTGGCCAATTTTAACATTCTTGATTCCATAGCTTTCTTTGTGGGAAGATGATTTTGACTCTGTGGCAAAAAGGAGCAGCAAAGATTTAAAATGCCAGTCAGACAGCAGGTTACAAAAGTTGAACTGTGCTCATGGCAGGACTCAGTAAATACCTTTTTAAAAAATATAGTACATTGATTTCAAGCATAGTGAGATTCTCCAACATCTATGAACATTGGTTCACGTAACATACAATTTATTCTTTTAAGGTATATTACTTAGGAATTTTTAGTATATTTGCAAAGTTGTGAATTGATTACTAGCTAATTCCTGAACATTTTTATCACTTCAAAAAGAAATCCCATACTCATTAGTAGCCCCTCCCTGTACTTACCCTGGCTCTCCCAGCCCCCAATTCCTGGCAACTGTTAATTAACTTTTTATTTGTATGGATTTGCCTATTCTGAACATTTCACACAAATGGAATCATACAATACATGATCTTTTGAGTCTGACTTCTTTCACAAAGCAAAATGTTTTCAAGGGCCATCCATGTTGTAGCATGTAATTAATACTTCATTCCTTGTAATGGCTGAATAATATTTCATTTTATGGATATACCATATTTTATCAGTTTATCAGGTGATGGGACATTTCAGTTGTTTACACTTTTTGGCTAGTGGGAATAATGCTGCTATTAGCATTTATGTACAAGTTTTTGTGTGAACATATGTTTTTATTTCTTTTGGATAAATACCTAGAATTCCTGGGTCGTATGGTAAATCTATGTTTAATGTTTTGAGGACCTAGCAAACTGTTTTCCAAGTGGTTGCACCATTTTAAATTTCCACCAGCAATGTATGAAGTTTCTAACTTCTCCACATTCTTGCCAACACTTGTTATTGTAGGTCTTTCTTTAATTGTAGCCATCTTTGATATTAAATAGTATTAATGAGAGGCCAATAGGTATGAAAAATAGGTATGAAACAATTTTGTAGACATAAGAAATTTCTTTCTGAGACATCTGATAAATAGTTTAACATATTGTTGAAGTTTCCATTTTTTCCTCTCTGTTTTCCTCCTTTTTTCTCAGATCTTTCTTCCTCTATTTTTTTTTTTTTTTGAAATGGAGTCTCACTCTGTTGCCCATGCTGGAGTGCAGTGGCCTGATCTCAGCTCACTGCAACCTCTGCCTCCTATGTTCAAGTGATTCTCCTGCCTCAGCCTCCTGAGTAGCTGGGATTGCAGGTGTATGCCACCACACCTGGCTAATTTTTGTATTTTTAGTAGAGATGGGGTCTTACCATGTTGACCAGGCTGGTCTCAAACTCCTGACCTCAAGTGATCTGCCTGCCTTGGCCTCCCAAAGTGGTGGGATTACAGGTGTGAGCCACTGCTCCCAGCTCTTTTTTCCTGTTATACCTCTTTTCTTTCCTTTAGTTTTTTAAAAAATTACATAATCAAACATGTCTATTTTAACATTAACCAATAGAGGGATGTACCAAAAAAAATTAACTCAACTCACTGCAACCCACTGCAACCCCTGACATAACCAATGTTAGTAGTTTATTGAGTATATCCTCACACTTTTAAAAATGTATGCATATGTACATAAGTTTATGATAAAAATATCATTCAATACTCATCACTCTGCAACTTACTTTTGAATATATTAAAGATTATTTCTATATTAGCTGTTGTAAGCACACTTAAATGGTAGGTAAATTTCCTTGTCTTTCTAGCTTCCAAAATATATATGACACACAAACAAACAATATTTAGTATATGCACACACACACTGCATCTCTAATTGATCCTGGATTTCATTTTGTTGTATCATGAGAAAGAAAACTGTTAGTATGGTCAAATTGATTAGTTTTGACTTTGCCTTATGTTCCCATTTGTTTTCTCTGTTCTTTACATGTTCGATGTTCACCATAATCACTTGGATTAAAATGTGTGGATTAGTTTTTGGAGATAGGGACCTCACCATGTTGCTTAGGCTGGTCTCCAGTTCCTGGCCTCAAGGGATTCTTCTACCTCAGCGTCTTGAGTAGCTGGGATTACAGGCATAAGCCACTGTGCCCAGCTTAAAACCTGTGGATTTATCAGTAGAAAATGTTCATGTAAAGATACTCCTGTAAGAGAAACCATAGCTGCTCCAGTGGAAGGAAGCTTAAACTCATCCCTTCAAGAAAGAAGCTCCTCCCTTTGTATTTCTACTGGGTTTTGCATCCGGACTGATCTTCCTTCCCTCACCCACATGAAGTGTCTACCTTCTGCAGACTACAGTGGCTCAGGAACCGGGGATGCAGTGCCAGGCTCATGGTATCCTGCAGCAGATGTGGGGAGCTTTCCTTCTCTATGTTTCCATGAAGATGGGAGGTGAGTCTCAATCTAATAGTAAATGCTGCTAGGAATTTTCAAAACAATTTCCTTTCAGCTAAATTATTGCAAATTTTGACATTTGTAATGAGAGTATTTCCTGAATATGCATTTTCCTAACGTGGTGCTAATTGTCCTCCTGTTACTATTGCTGCTGCTGTTACTGCAACCATTTATTTCAGTCTAAGAAATTCTCCCATCAATGGCAGTTCTTTTGTGACCACATGGAAGCATCATTTAAAAAATTATTCCAATAGTTTTTGGAGGAAACATCATTTTTAATAATGATGGGGCTTCTGGGGGTGCTGCCCTAGTAACAATCATGTATCTTGTCATAGGCACTGCAGGACAAAGCCTTGAGCAGCCCTCTGAAGTGACAGCTGTGGAAGGAGCCATTGTCCAGATAAACTGCACGTACCAGACATCTGGGTTTTATGGGCTGTCCTGGTACCAGCAACATGATGGCGGAGCACCCACATTTCTTTCTTACAATGCTCTGGATGGTTTGGAGGAGACAGGTCGTTTTTCTTCATTCCTTAGTCGCTCTGATAGTTATGGTTACCTCCTTCTACAGGAGCTCCAGATGAAAGACTCTGCCTCTTACTTCTGCGCTGTGAGAGACACAGTGACTATGAGGCCTCCTTAACTGTGCCAAAATTCAAAAGACAATCAGTGGAGTACAGGTGGGCTTGAGAAGTTCTAGAACTTCCTGAGTGTATCTTTGCTTACCGTCTAATTTTAAACTTGTTTAGAATATGTAGCATAGGGCTCTGAGACGGAACCCCATTATTTTCTGAACCATTGATTGCTAAAGAGAAGGATAAACTATTTTCTCTCTCTCTTTCTTCTTTAGTTTCTTCTTTTCCTCTTCCTCCTGCTTATTTATGCCTCCAGTATCCTGTGGTTCCACGTATGGAAGATGGAATTTACTTTTGGAGGAAGCTTTTTATACAAGGGAAGGATCCCTTGGTGAGTGCTTTAGTTTATGCAGTAGTAAGTTACATTAATATTCATGTATCCTTGGGAGGCTCTGAAATTTGTGAAGTAAATGCAAATTCCTCAGCTTGAGATAGTATGATTTCATTTAATTATGTCAAATATATCCTCATTTTTGTATTTACCTGAGTGATAATGTTGATATTATTTAGCATTTTTTGGTGGATTTATCCAACATATTGGAGAGTGTGGGGGCTGTGGACTTAGAGGGTGAAGAGAAGATCATGGAGAGCTCTTCTCTGTGAAACAGAAGAGTGAGGTCATGCGATGA
This sequence comes from Homo sapiens, assembly GCF_000001405.40. NCBI lineage: Eukaryota > Metazoa > Chordata > Mammalia > Primates > Hominidae > Homo > Homo sapiens. Next base: position 21,623,214 of record NC_000014.9, read on the forward strand.
GGTGGGGGTCAAGTGTGGAAGGAATTGGTCAGTAGGGAATTCCTGTAAAAGCACTGGATAATGGACAGAACAGTAATATAAAATATTCAGTTTAAAGATTTTCTTTTACTGAATTGTAATTTTTGTGTGCTATCCTAAATGTTTTTGAAGTTTGTTAAACATTACAGCCTACATAGTTTGTCCTTAGAGGGCAATGCAGAATTTCTTCCCCATAGGTGAATTATTTTTTGGCTTAGTACATTTATGTATGTATGTATGTATGTATGTATGTATGTATGTATGTATGTATGATGGAGTCTCGCTCTGTCACCCAGGCTGGAGTGCAGTGGCCCAATCTCGGCTCACTGCAAGCTCCGCCTCCTGGATTCACGCCATTCTCCTGCCTCAGCCTCCTGAGTAGCTGGGCCTACAGGCATCGGCCACCACGCCTGGCTAATTTTTTCTATTTTTAGTAGAAAGGGAGTTTTACCGTATTAGCCAGGATGGTCTTGGTCTCCTGACCTCATGATCCACCAGCCTCGGCCTCCCAAAGTGCTGGGATTACAGGCGTGAGCCACTGCGCCGACCTCTATTAGCTAATTTTTAATGACTTATTTTGGGGTAAACAGAATAAGAGGGACTTGGTGGTAGGGAGTAGAAAGGTAGAGTGGATGGTTTTCACTCAACAAATATTTTACTGAATACTTATATGTGCTAGGCACTCTTTCAATTGCTATGGTGCATCACTAAATAAAACATACCTGCACTGAGGTTGCTTATGTTCTTGTGAAGAGAGAGAGTAAGTAGATGTTTTAGCAGACTTTGAAAGCACAGGGAAAATACATTTGACCCTCAGAACTCAGCTTCATTTTCTTTAATAGGAAGAGAGCTGAGATGTATGTAAGCAATGCTGATGTCCTGTGCTTGTTATAATTTTATAATATAAATTAATCATCAGCTGAATAAGGGCTGTATAACATTGGATAGTTATAAGACTGCAAGTCAAGTTATCCAAAGAATCTCAGTCTTTCAAATTATTCAAATGTAGCTGTGTCTATAGTGGGACTCTATATAAAATCAGAAAGATACTGAACGTTTGAATGGAGAATCTAACACTGAGGCAAATGACCTTTAACATGTGAGTTATTTGTAAAAATGAAAAAAATTTCGAGTGCTTCATTGAAATCAAGAAGGAGATAAAGTCTAAAAAACTTTCAGCAAGGAGTGAATGGTCAATGGAAATGAACTATACAAAATCAATTATCTTAAATTTGAAGACGTGTAAGTTACTGATATTCTCCTTAATCAGTATGCTATCTTTTTATCTTTTTAATTTAGTGACCATGAAGAGTATCCGTAAGAACTTTTATAGGTTCATTTTGACCTTGTTTTCATATCTATTTTCTCCTAAAGTCTTAATTTTTTTTTTTGAGATGGAGTCTCACTCTGTCGCCTAGGCTGGAGTGCAGAGGTGCTATCTTGGCTCACTGCAACCTCTGCCTCCCAGGTTCAAGTGATTCTCATGCCTCAGCCTCCCAAGTAGCTGGGATTACAGGTATGCCACCATGCCTGGCTAACTTTTGTATTTTTAGTAGAGATGGGGTTTCACCATGTTGGCCAGGCTGATCTCGAACTCCTGACCTCAAGTGATCCACCCACCTTGGCCTCCCAAAGTGTTGGAACTATAGGCATGAGCCACCATGCCCAGCCAAGCCTTAAGTTTTTAGATAACATGTTTTTCTGCCACAGAGATTTTCAAGAAGAAAGAGTACCATTCTTTGTTACTTTCTCTCTCTGCTAGTAGAGTTTCTCTTTAACCCAGCAACTTCTTTCATTTCCACCTAGAAGGTGGTTGAATGCTAGATGTTGGAGCAAGCCATTACCAGAGGATAGGAGACAAGGTTTTTCGAATTATTGTAGATCAAACTGGGAACCCAGCTCTCTTGTCATGTTCAAAGAGCAGTAGCTGTGTTTGGACTTCGGAGTTAGATATTTCTAAGTTCAAATCCAAGCTTCACAGGGTGTTCAGATAAAATCTCACAGAATGAAAGAAACATAGGAAGGATTGGAAGGAATTTGACATGTATCAAATCTAACTATCTTCTACAATGTTTGAGTAAAGCTCTGATTTTTGAGCATCTCTTTGACCTTGTTTTCTTGAGTAGTTGGGGATGAGTCCAGCTTCAATGTCTCTTGCCTTGAGATCTTACCTTTGGAGCTTTTTATATCCCTCAGTTCGGGCAAGATAGAACATCCCATTGTCCAGTTATTTTCTAGTCCTGTGGTATCTGTGGAGTTTCCAGAGCCACACTGGTGCTCGGATGTCTGGAGCATGTTCTCACTGTGGAAATTAACCTCGCTTTAGTTCTAGTTCCTAAGGAAGATAACCAAGAGAACACAGGTGGAAGAAGCTTGCATCAAGAAGACTACACTCTATCTTGGAGGTGAACTGTTCACTATTACATACATAACTCAGGAAAACTTAGATACCTCTCTTGTTTCTTTTGGCTTAATGGTGGTAAATAATTTAGGTGTTACTGAGCCCTAGGTTATTCAATTGTTTCTTGTGGTTTCTCTACTCCCATATCTTTGTACATAGTTCCTATGCAGAGAAAACTCTCCGCAAATTATCATGTTTTGAGTAGGCTATCTATTGCTTTTTGGAAAATCAGCACCATCCATGTGCCTTAAGAGTGATTTGCACATGTACTCAGGGGTACAGGGAAGTGAAGGAGGTCAGTTGGAAGAAATACAAAAACCAAGATCTTCATTAAGAAGAGTTTAAAAATTTTGAAGGAATAGTTGGATCTTTTTCTAAGAAAAATCCTTAAGAGATTTGATAATATGAATTTGGATGGGAAATAAGGAGTGTGCTGTGTACCACTGGATTTAGGACATGAGCGCTGGAGGCCCAGAATGCACACATAACCCTTCTCAGGCAACCCTTGAGGCTGTGGTTTGGATACTGAACCAAGGGTAAAGGCACAGACAAAAGCTGACATTTTGAGGGATCAGTTTATGAGGTGGAGTAAAACTCTAAGCTGGACTCTGCCAGTACCCTTTTGAAACCCTGTCTTTTTTCCTAAATGAGGAATCTCAATTCCAGATAGAAAATGAGGACGAATGGCTCACGCCTGTAATCCCAGCACTTTGGGAGGCCGAGATGGGCAGATAACAAGGTCAGGAGTTTGAGACCAGCCTGGCCAATATGGTGAAACCCCGTTTCTACTAAAAACACAGAAATTAGCTGGGCGTGGTGGCGTGCACCTGTAATCCCACGTACTTGGGAGGTTGAGGCTGGAGAATCGCTTGAACCTGGGAGGTGGAGGTTGCAGTGAGCTGAGATGGTGCCACTACACTCCAGCCTGGGCAACAGAGTGAGACTCTATCTAAAAAAAAAAAAAAAAGAAAATGAGGACGAAACACAGCCTTGGTTGAATGTTCTGCCAGGCAGTGTTCTGTGTGGCTTTTGAGCAAGTGCAAGCACATAATTTTCCTATTTGTCATCTTTCTGAATCTCAAGCAAGTGCTTCCTGCCTGGAAGACATTAGTTCACATATTTGACTCACGTATACTCTGAATTTTAAGTGTATTTTGACTCTGCCTCTACAGTGGTTACCACATGCTTATCCATTATTTATTATTGAGTTTTATATGCATTTGTACTTTTCAACTGACCCATATCCAGCCATTGGTCATACATGAGCTTTCCCTTGGCTCTGTTCTCCTGGGCCAATTCTGGGCATGGACTTTTAAACTCACCTTCCCATTTTGACCCAGCCATTCCTCAGTTATCCCCTCAGCTGAAACTTGATTTCTGTGAATGCACTTAGTCACTGAGTGTGGGGAGGGAGGTGACTTGAAAAGCAGGTGCTACATCTCATAATTAAATTATGTAATCCTGGTACTTCAGAATCTCCTGGTCTCTGTTGTTACATTTCCTTATGAACTTCTGAGGGGATTAGGAAGTACTTCAGAACTTCCTTTCCTAGTAGGCATATGTTTCTTTTTTTTTTTTTTTTTTGAGATGGAGTCTTGCTCTGTTGCCCAGACTGGAGTGCAGTGGTGCGATCTCGGCTCACTGCAAGCTCTGCCTCCTGGGTTCCCGCCATTCTCCTACCTCAGCCTCCTGAGTAGCTGGGACTACAGGCACCTGCCACCATGCCTGGCTAATTTTTTGTATTTTTAGTAGAGACGGGGTTTCACCGTGTTAGCCAGGATGCTCTCAATCTCCTGACCTCGTGATATGCCCACCTTGGCCTCCCAAAGTGCTGGGATTACAGGGGTGAGCCACTGCACCTGGCCAGGTAGGCATACCTTTAAATAATACTACTGATTAAGAGAGGCCTGTGCATGTTTTGTGGCTAATAAGTAGGCAGAACTAGAATAAATAAGATTTACACTTACTGGTCTAGACAACTTACCTTGGGAATTGCAACCTAGGTTTGGGGACTTGACCTTCCAAGTCTGTGGACTGACTTGCAAACTAACCATACTTTTCGGCTTGCTAACCAAGTCTTGATCTGGAAAGTAAGATCTCCCCGAGGACTGTCAGATCTACTTGGGCAATACTTTTCAGTCTGCATTAGAATCACATTTTAAAATTCCCTATGCTTAGGTCCCATCCCAGGTCAATTTAATCAGAATTTCTGGTGATGGAGCCAGAACTATTTAAATAAAAGTCTCCCAAGTGATTCTAAATGAAACAAAGTTGGAAAACTACAGTCTCAAAAGATAAATTGGACTAAACCTCTAGAGTTGAAAACTCACCCAAATTTATTGTACAAGGGTCAAAAAGTGGCTGAGTGCCCCATCTGGGATGGTGAGGCAGATGAGGGGTTGCTGGTTACTAATATTGGCATTCCTTCCTTTCATTGTGAGTTGCTCTTATAACTTGCACCTGCTGCTCTCTAGCAACATGAGCCTGAGGTCCAATGTTAAACTGAGGCATGTGACACCTGTGCTCAGATCAGTGGGCACCCAGGGACCATTAAAGACTTTTCTTTCTTACACTCTTTGCCTTTGTGTTCCTTGGAGAAGAACTTCAAAAGAGCAAGCCCTTCCTCAGGGCCATCATGGTCATCTAAGGTTTAGTACACATTTTAGTAATGACACATTAAAGATAACTTAAATATACATTTTTTGAGGGATAAATATCAACATGAGGAATAGAGGACTCTTGGCCAGGTGCGGTGGCTCATACCTGTAATCCCAGCGCTTTGGGAGGCTGAGGCAGGAGGATTGCTATGGGTTCAAGATCAGCCTGGGCCAATAGTGAGATTCCTATCTCTACTAAAAAAAAAAAAAAAAAAGAACAGAAGGCTCTTAATTACCTGTCCAAGCTCTTCAGACAATCAAGACCAGTCCTTGTGGAGATTAAAAATTTCAGAAACTAAAAGTTTGTTATAGCTTGGTCATTGCTCTCATGAAGCAGCATAACTTGGTCCTCCTAGTGCTCTGTGAATGTGAAAATGAAAACTCTCTTTGTCTGTGCTTCTGTTGCTGTTGCTGACGTACTCTCCACTTGTCTGGTTTATTGATAATTCACTCTCCAGTATTACACTCCATCCTCTGGAGGGAATGATGGATCCCTTCATCACAAAATGTTTTCTGTATTTGCACTCTTCTATGATTCCCTGCTCATCCCTTAAGACAAACCCTTCTTTAAGTCCCGGATGATAACAAGAGTGATGATTGCAGCACTCTGTATTTATTAAGTGTCTACCATGTTTCAGAAACTTCACATTAGTTATCTTATTCAATGCTCTTAATACCTTGTATTGGTCCATTTTCATAGTGCTATAAGGAACTAGCTGAGACTGTATAATTTATGAAGAAAAGAGGTTTAATTAATTCATAGTTCCACAGGCTTAACAGGAAGCATGACTGGGAGGCCTCAGGAAACTTACAATCATGGTGGAAGGTGAAGGGGAATGACACATGTCTTACCATGGTGGAGCAGGAGAGAGAGACAGTGAAGGGGGAAGTGCCACACACTTTTAAACCATCAGATCTCATTAGTATCAGTTAGTATCAGTCAGTTTTCACACTGCTACACTTACTACCTAAGACTGTGCAATTTATGAAGAAAAGAGGTGTAACTGACTCACAGTTCCACAAGCTTAACAAGAAGCATGACTGGGAGGCCTCAAGAAACTTACAATCATGGCGGAAGGTGAAGGGGAAGCAACACATCTTACCATGGTGGAGCAGGAGAGAGAGAGCCAAGAGGGAATGCCACAAGCTTTTAAACCATCAGATCTCATGAGAACTCACACACTATCACAAGAACAGCAAGGGGGAAATCTGCCTTCATGATTCACTCGCCTCCCACCAGGCCCCTCCTCCAGTTTGACATGAGATTTGGCCAGAGACGCAAATGCAAACCATATTATGTCTCCTTTGAAGTAAGTCTTATTGCCCTTATTATATACGTAAAGTAATCAAGGTTTAGAAAGGATAGTTAATTTTCCCAAGGACACATAGCTGGTTGATGGCGGAACCAAGATTCTTCTAACAGACTCTAAAAGTTGTACTCTTTCCTTTTCATACCAATATATTTTTAAAAATGGGTAGATATGCTGAAAGTTTATCAGGTTTTATCATTAAAACCTGGGGTCACTGAAGTAAAGCTATCTTTCACTAACTATCTGTAAATTGATAGTCAACTATCCTGGGAAGTTAAGTGACCCGCCACCCTTAATATTTAGCATGAATCAATTTAATTAGTTCCTTTAGTTTCTTCAGACAAATGGAAGTTATCTTAAAGGGGATGGAATAAAGGAAGAAAGAAGCAGTTGTGCAAAAGGAGGTGGAAATAGGTCTCAGAAAGGATGCTGTTGAAATGAAGGGGCCCACTTTTTTTTAAATGAAATTGCTTTTTAATTCAGTTAAGAGAATAAAAGAGATGAAATATGCAGTTATATTTTCTTTTATACTTACCTACATAATTACCTTTACCAGCACTTTTTTTGTGTGTGTGCATAGATTCAAACGGTATTGTGTGGTGTCACTTGCTTTCTGCCTGAAGAACTTCCTTTATTATTTCTTGTAAAGCAATCTTCTACTAACAAATTTTTCCCTGCTTTTGTTTATCTTGAATGTCTTTATTTAGCCTTTATTTAAAACTAGCCTATTTTTTCCAGAGATTTAAAAGCTCACTTTATATTTGCTTTCTTTAACCTTTTATTTTAGGTTTGGGGGTACATGTGCAGGTTTGTTACATAGGTAAACTCGTATAACAGGGGTTTGTTGTACACATTATTTCATCACCCAGGTTAAGGCCAGTACCCAATAGTTATCTTTTCTGCTCCTCTCCCTCCCTCCACTCTCCACCCTCAAGTAGACCCTAGTGTCTAGTGTCTGTTGTTCCCTTCTTTGTGTTCATGAGTTCTCATCATTTAGCTCCCACTTATAAGTAAGAACATATGATATTTGGTTTTCCGTTCCTGGTTCCTCCAGCATGGATGGAGCTGGAGGCTATTATCCTTAGCAAACTAACCCAGGAACAGAAACATACATCTCATTCTTTTTTATGGCTGCATAGTATTCCATGGTGTTTATGTCCCACATTTTCTTTATCCAATCTGTCATTGATAGGCATTTTGGTTGATTCTATGTCTTTGCTATTGTGAATAGTGCTGCAATCAATGCACATTTGCTTGCATGTGTCTTTATGGTAGAATGATTTGTATTCCTCTGGGTATATGCCCAGTAATGGGATTGCTATTAAATGTAAATGGTAATTCTTCTTTTAGCTCTTTGAAGGATCGCCATACTGCTTTCCACAATGGTTGAATTAATTTACACTCCCACGAACAGTGTATGTGTTCCCTTTTCTCCATAACCTCACCAACATCTATTATTTTTTGCCTTTTTCATAATAGCCATACTGGCTCAAGTGAGATGGTATCTCATTTTGGTTTTGATTTGCATTTCTTTAACGATCAGTGATACTGAGCTTTTTTTTGTTTGCTTGTTGGATGCATGTGTGTCTTCTTTTGAAAAGTGTCTGTTCATGTGGGATCCAGGTTTCATACAGCAAACAGAAGCAAGCACAGGTGCAGCCTCATGTTTGTTTACATTGATTCAGAGTTTGAGCTGGTTTCACCGGTTTGACTCACAGTTTTCTTTGTTGAGGCTAGGTGAGTTCCTGCTAACGACTCTGTACCACACACACACAAATCACTCAGTATCACTCAAGATTAGTTCTGTTTTAATGATGAACTTAGCATTCATACATGTAATCCTAAGAGTAGTTATAGTTTGTGGATCAACTCACATATGACCTTAAGATCTCATGTCTTCTGACAAGAGCAATATGGCACATTGGCTTAAGTGCCGCATAGAAGACTTGCTAGACCAATCAGTGTCTTCTAGATTCTATTAGAAATGCTATTTTTTAAATGTCCAGTTGGAAATTTTCAATGGCTTGTTTCAAGATTAACAAATTATTGTGGACTCTGTACTGCCTTGCTTGTCGTCTCATACTATGTGTAACATGTATTATATGTATGCATAACATATAATATCCTTCCTGATATTATGGTGTTTCTGTATAGCACAGTGTGATTCTTATATCCACATTAATATATTTTTACCTTTACGAATTTTGAATCTTTCCATGCATTTGTTTAAATTTTACTGTTAAAATGGGCCAACATGATACCACACATCCAAAGAAGTGAAAAATATGCCAGCGAATGAAAGAATACATTTACCTTGTTTTTGGTTATTCACCAAGGAACTGTCCATGCTTGCTTTTAGGTTGCCATGTAGTTGAATCTTCTGTCTTCAGTTTCCCTTAAATGTTCTCTTTTTTTTTTCTTTTTTCAGGTGAGACCAGGACAGGTAATCGGCAGAACTGACAATAATTTCTTCAGTTTAAGATACATTTCAAGAGACTTTTGCAGTGCGGTTTAAATTCAGCAACAAATGGCCGGGCGCGGTGGCTCACGCCTGTAATCCCAGTACTTTGGGAGATGGAGGCGGGTGGATCACGAGGTCAGGAGATCGAGACCATCCTGGCTAAAACGGTGAAACCCCATCTCTACTAAAAATACAAAAAATTAGCCGGGCGTGGTGGCGGGTGCCTGTAGTCCCAGCTACTCGGGAGGCTGAGGCAGGAGAATGGCGTGAACCCGGGAGGCGGAGCTTGCAGTGAGCCGAGATCGCGCCACGGCACTCCAGCCTGGGCGGCAGGGCGACACTCCATCTCAAAAAAAAAAAAAAAAAAAAAATTCAGCAGCAAATATTGATTTCTGTGTCTGCTCGTAGTTATTAGGCAATAGAGGCAGACAAACACAAATGAATGCTTTATGTCCTTTGAGGGCTCACAATCCATTTGAAGTGGAAAGAGAGATAAATTCCTTTTTTTTTTAGACTTTTTTTTTTTTTTTTTTTTAGATGAAGTCTGGTACTGTCACCTAGGCTGGAGTGCAGTGGTGCAATCTCCGCTCACTGCAACCTCTACCTCCTGGGTTCAAGCAATTATCCTGCCTCAGCCTCCCAAGTAGTTGGGATTACAGGTGCATGCCACTATGCCTGGCTAACTTTTTATATTTTTAGTAGAGATGGGGGTTTCACTATGTTGGCCAGGCTGGTCTTGAACTCCTGACTTCGTGATCTGCCCACCTCGGCCTCTCAAAGTGCTGGGATTACAGGCGTGAGCCACTGCGCCCGGTAGGAGATAAATTCTTGACTGTAATACGTGACAGACTGGGGCAAGGTCTATACTAAAGAAGCCATGGCAATACCAGGGAAGAGGAGTTAAGTCCTGCCTGGGAAAAACAGATGAGGAAGTATTTAATATGGATCTGAAGGAAGCATAAATTGTCACTTGGTCAATATGGAGAGGGAGGACTTATATTCCAGGCAGAGAAGAGAGCTTGAGCAAAAGAGTACAGGCAAGTATAGAGCATGCTCACGGAACGGCAATAAATCAGTGAGGGTGGGAGAGGGAAGCAGAGGAAATGGCTTAAGAGAACATGTATGTGAAGCCAAGATTGCATTGGATTTTGAATTCCAGATTAAGGAGCCTGGCCTTATTCATTCTACCTTCGCCGAAGAGTCCTACAGATTCTGTGTTTCAGAGGGTAATTTTGATTGTGGTCTAGATGAGGAAGAACTAGTCAAGAATTAAGAGAGACAGTCTACACTGAATCAGTTTGAGCTGGTTTCATAGTTTTGAGGAGACAGAATCTGATGTGTTAGCACATCACGAGGGCGAGGGACAGGAAGAAAACACAAATAATCCAGAATTTTCAAGTTCAAGTGCTTGGAAATATTCATGCCATGCACAAGCAAAGAAATGGAATTTAGAGGGGTCTAGGATTAGGAGCAAAGACAATGAAACAAGGGGTTATGGAGCCCCCTTTTTACTCTTTTCAAATTTTCTGGCATGATATACTTTCTAAGACATTGACACATTCTCATCTTATTCAACCTTTGGTAAGGCATTTTCTCATCTCACAAGATAGAGGTGATAGAAATAATGTATCCATTTATTTCTAAAAGATTATGTAAAACAACCTGAACCAGTTTAATTAGGGGAAAAGATTTTGGGTCGAAATAATTCAGAATTTTCTGCCAAAGAAAATGAAAATAAATTCACTTTAAATCCTTAGCAGTTTATTGGGCATTTGTCACATGCAGCAGTAGCTGAAGAGAGTGGCAGTGATAATGATGCAGATGTAGTTACTTATTTTCATTCAGTCCTTCAACCTGCTGTTATCCTCTTCAGGGCAGACTTCACTTCCTGGTTCCTCAGTGTATAGATGAGGGGGTTCAGTAATGGAGTGACAACAGTGTAAAACACAGCCGCTGCCCCATCCAGGGGGTCTTTGGAGCCAGCCCTAAGGTAGATGAAAATACAGGGGACATAGTAGACTGTGACCACGATTAGGTGGGAGCCACAGGTGGAGAAGGCCCGGCGCCTCCCATCAGTGGTGCGTATCTTCAGGATGGCATTTACTATGTTGGCATACGAGAGCAGAATTAACATGAAGCAACTGGCGGCCACTACCCCGACGTCCACAAAGGTCACAAGCTCATTGACAGTTGTGTCAGCACAGGCCAGTCTCAATACTGCGGGGATGTCACAGATAAAGTAATCCACCTGATTGGGCCCACAGTAGGGCAGGCGGAAGGTCAAGGTGGCCTGGATAGACCCATGCATGGAGCCGGCGACCCAAGCTCCAGCCACAAGGACTGTGCATAACCTCCCATTCATGAGCACTGGGTAGCGCAGGGGCTGACATATTGCCAGGTACCTGTCATAGGCCATCAAGGTGTAGAGGAAGCACTGGGTGCTGCCCAGGAAGTGAAAGAAATACAGTTGAGCCACACAGCCACCAAACGGGATAGCCTTGATGGAAGGAGTAAAATCCAAAATAAGCAGAGGAACGGTGACTGAGGAGAGCCACATGTCCAGGAATGAGAGCACTCCCAGAAGAATGTACATGGGGCGAGCACAGAGCTTCGGGTCAGCCCACATGGTGAGCAGAATGAGCAGGTTCCCCAGCTGAGTGAGGATGTAAATGATGAAGAAGACCAGGAAGAGGAGGCTTCTTAGATTTGGGGGGTGAGACAAACCCAGAAGAATGAAATCTGTCACCACGGCATCCAGCGATGTGTTTTTGGTCTTTCCCATGTCTTTTTGTAGTCTGCTAAGATGAATGGTGACGTTTGACAAGAGAAACACAGCACAATGATGTTGTAAGTGAATGCTTTTGTCGGATGATTGATGCCTAGGAATTATGAGATAAACAAGATAGAGTCAAATTGTTTTTTAAAAGAGGAGGTGGTGTCACCATTAGTTATTTAGGTTTACTTAAAAGGAGAAGTCCTCCAGAGGCTGGTTAGTTTCCTAGATGGGAGGAAACTCTTGTCCATTGAGAGATACTGAAAGCCAGGATTTGCCAGATGAAGGAAGAGGGACACATGAGAGTGATAGAGAAGTACCGAAAATTCCAACCAAAAAGTGAGTTCGCCAAGGAGGGGCTAAAGTTGATGCAGAGCAGTGTGGAACAAACACCCTATAATGACCACATCTACTTTTTCTTCACCTACTATCATTGTCCCCTTTTTCCTCAGCTAAAATCTCATCTCCTTAACATATCATGCAAAAATATTCCTCATCTGGCCCTTATTTATATCGCTATTGTACCACTTGTAATTCCTTCTTATTGTTGGGAGGCATGACACTCTTCAAGCTTCTCACAGTAGTGTGCTCTAACTTGGGACTTACGCACACACTATCTTTTCTGCTCCCTTCACATAGGTAGTGCCCACTTTTCCTTCAGGATTCAGTTTGAGTGTCTTCACCTTCAAGAAGGCTTTCCGGATCCCTGAGGACAATGCTTATACTTTTCTGAGCACGTACATTATGTTGCATTGTCTAATTTCTGTTTTTCTCTCTTAATAATCATCCCGTCTAGCATGCTAAAAGTGATAAATACCGTAATTATTTTCTGAATGACTGAGATAGATAGAATGGATGTTGCCAAATCCCCCTGACTGAATACATTGTTTCTCTTGATCTTTTTTGTCTGACCCCTGTGCTCACATGGCTGGGACTTTTAGGTCAAGGGACCACCTCATTCACCATGTAATATGGGTATAATTTCATTATAAAAAACTCCAAGAAACATTTATGCCTGTTTTTGCTCCAGGATATCATTTAGATTTATTTGTTGATTTATATGGTTCATTGGTTTGGGATTGGGTTTTTTTTTTGGTATGAGGTCACAGAGGAATTTTTATTGTTTGTTATAAAATCATTGATTAATGCAGGACTTGATCTTTAGTGTGCTTGTGTGTAATATCTATGTATTGCAGTCTATCAAACAGCAACTCTCTCTAAAGACATTTACAGATTTTCAAGTATCTGAACAAGATGATAAAATAGAGGGATGGAATGTGTTTGTTTCACTCTTTTTGTTAAATAGGTTGCTTGATAAAGACTTTTCGCTCTATATATGGTTTGAGATGCATTTATCTTTCATTTAACTACAAAATATCTTTGTAATGCAAATGACTACTTTCATAAAGCAATTAAAATGACAATAGATTATTATAAATAACATGTGAATATTAATAAGTTTAATCTCTATCGGAAATTCTCCAAAGAGATTTTATCTTAAGTATTCTGTGAAATAACTTAATTCATATGTTAACATTCAAGAGTTATTAGTAGTAATAATAATAATACTGAATATATCTGGCTCTTCGAAGTCTGGAAAATGTTAAACTTGTCCTTTGCCCACCAAGAACGAAGAAATATCAGATTTTTATTGCCTGAGTTTCAGGAGGACACTTTGATTTATTTGAAAATGGATGGGAAAACTAAATCTTATTTTTGTGGTTAGAATATAGAGAAAAGAGGCTGGGCGTGGTGGCTCACGTCTGTAATCCCAGCACTTTGGGAGGCCGAGGCAGGCAGATCATGAGGTCAAGAGATGGAGACCACCCTGACCAACATGGTGAAACCCTGTCTCTACTAAAAATACAAAAAAATTAGCTGGGTGTGGTGTCGGGCGCCTGTAGTCCCAGCTACTCGGGAGGCTGAGGCAGGAGAATCTCTTGAACCCGGGAGGCGGAAGTTGCAGTGAGTGGAGATCGCACCACTGCACTCCAGCCTGGTGACAGAGAGAGACTCTGTCTCAAAAAGAAAAAAAAAAAATGAATATAGAGCAAAGATAGAAAGAGTTGAGATTAAAATGGTGCATAAAATACTAATTATGGCCAGGCGCGGTGGCTCATGCCTGTAATCCCAGCACTTTGGGAGGCCAAGGTGGGTGGATCACGAGGTCAGGAGATTGAGACCATCCTGGCTAACACGGTGAAACCCCGTCTCTACTAAAAATACAAAAATTAGCTGGGTGTGGTGGTGGGCGCCTGTAGTCCCAGCTACTCGGGATGCTGAGGCAGGAGAATGGCGTGAACCCGGGAGGCGGAGGTTGCAGTGAGCCAAGATTGCGCCACTGCACTCCAGCCTGGGTCACAGAGCGAGACTCCATCTCTTAAAAAAATATATATACATATACATATATATATATATATATACTTATTATGAGCTAAAAGTAATTTTCTTTTCTTTCTTTTTTTTTGTGTGATTGAGTCTTGCTCTGTTGCCCAGGCTGGAGTACAGTGGCCTGATCTCGGCTCACTGCAACCTCTGCCTCCCAGATTCAAGTGATTCTCCTGCCTCAGCCTCCCAAGTAGCTGCGACTACAGGTGCGCGCCACCACGCCCAGCTAATTTTTGTATTTTTGGTAGAGAGGGAGTTTCACCATATTGGCCAGGCTGGTCTTGAACTCCTGACCTCATGATCCACCCACCTTGGCCTCCCAAAGTGCTGGGATTATAGGCGTGAGCCACCGCGCCCAGCTGAGCTAAAGTAATTTTCTTTGCCAATACAGGAATATAAACTAGTAGGCTTCTACTTAGGCAAATAATATATTCATGAAATGTTTTATGAAAATCCATTTTTATATTTAAAATCAGATAGAACTGTACCACTGGGGCAATTATTTGAAGGACTTCCATGATGCATACTTTCGTATAGTGAAAAGTTTATCCCTAATTTATCTACTTTGCCGGTCTGATTTTCCCCCTTTTGTTGTGCCTAAGTCTGGTTTCATTTCTCCCAGGCTCCCTGTTGAAAGAAAGCTCTTTTTACCCCTCTAGGTTCTGGGTTCCCTGCCTGGGAGGAGGCAGGAAACTGAGATGGGTTATAGCTGGTCGGTTTGAGGACAGGATACCTTTCCAGGCAGACTTGGTAAAGAACAGTGGTTTTAGCTTGGTGTTTGGTATTCAGAGGCTGCAGAGGAAGATAGCTTAGACTTCCAGAAGGTAGATTTTTGGAGAAACAAAGAGTGTGTTTACAGAAGGATTGGCTTTCTTGGCAAGAGAGGTGAACAGTCTGGGACCACCTTAGAGGAGACAAAAGAAAGGCCGGGCATGGTGGCTCATGCCTGTAATCCCAGCACTTTGGGAGGATGAGGCTGGAGAATCGCTTGGGCCCAGAAGTTTGAGACCAGCCTAGGCAACATAGTGGGACCCTGTCTGTAAAAAAAATTTTAAAAATTAGCCAGGTATAATGGTGGGCACCTGTAGTCCTAATTTCTCAGGAGGCTGAGACAGGAGGATCACTGGAGCCTGGAAGGTCAAGGCTGCAGTGAGCCATGATGGTGCCACTGTACTCCTTCCTGGGTGACAGGTTGAGACCTTGTCTAAAAAAAAAAAAAAAAAAAAGACAAATGTAGAGGCCGTATTTGTGTATCCTCTTTTCCCCCTCCCTTATCTTCCAGATTTGTGTCATTTTATTTTAGGTCTGTTCCTCTTTTTTAGCTTTTGAAACTTATGATATTTAAGATAAGGAAAGTTAAATACAATTTTAGTATATCTACCCTAGCTAATTAGATAACCAAAATATTCTAAAATTCCCCAAGTTTTAGACTGTATTGGATATTCTCCAATTAGATAGGTCAGAATTTAAATAATCAAAACACATGAAAATAACAAAAAGTTAAAGTTCAATATAAAAAGCATCTGAAAATAAGAGCCCAGTGACATCAGAGAATAAACAGCATATTTTTACAAAGCAATTATCCTGGAAACTCTAAGAAGAGACTTTGGGAATGGGGTGAAAGAGTAGCACTGAGAAGGTAAGGACAGGGAGGGTCAAGAACACCTTCAAGGGACCTCTATGGCATTATGGGATCACAGGATAAGCTGCTTTCTATGCCCCTACTCTGCCCCAAATCAAGCTAGTTTGATATGTGAACACATTTCTTGCAGTGTATTTAGAGAGGTGCCGAGGAGGGCAAGCCTCTATCCAGCAATTTGAACCTAGATTTCTACAGTGACCTTTGGGATCTGGACTACTATGCAACGGTTATGAAATCTTGAAGATGAGGAGTGAAGGCTGGTCCAGCATTGCGTTGGACACATTATGATCAAAGGACTCCTGTTTACCCTTGTGACAAAACTCAACCCAATCTGCTTCCAAAAAGAAGTTTCACCTTCTGTCATCCTTTATTCAGAGTTAGACATCCTGGTAGAGCTAGGGCAGAGTAGAGGAAATGGATAGAATTTGAGGTGGCCTAGACATATTTTATCGAATTCACAAGAGTACATTCTTTCCTATTACCGGGGGTTAAAAAAAACGAACTTGCTTTAGAAAAAGTACTTAGTGCCCTCTTCATTGGAGAAGGGGAAGGTTATGAATCCAGCCTTTCTTTGTGTTTGCACAATCACTGAAGAATATTCTTCAAGACCCCTATGACTTTATCACTGCCCAACTCTGCCCTTTATCACTGCCCTAATAAAAAGAGAATATGAAAAGAAAATAGTGTTGTAATGCTTTTTTTTGAGTCATTTTCTCAACACAAAAAGAGTTTCCCCAAGTTTGAAAAGAAGGAACTTAATTCTAGCCCGTTTGGGAAAGAGTTGAGGAAACGCATGGAGAAAAGAGACGGATTAAATTAACACTCGGACAAAATAACAGAAAGTCTTAAAGTTCCAAAATTAGTCTGCAGCCTTATTTTGAACATAGCTGGTGTCAGGCCTGCTTTTTCCATCCTTTTAGACTCACTTGTATAGAGCTGCACAATTGTGGAGGAGGCTGGCTGCCCTTGAGTGCAACGGTCCAGCGGATGGAGAGATGGTCTTCAGAGATTCAGTCTAGCCTACTATAAAGGGCTCCCACATCTGTTTCGGAAAGCCTTTATAATTTTTTTTTAAGGAGTTTGGCCCAGCAAATAAGTGTTCAGAATCTTTGAGAACGCCTGTCTTTGGGGTTCTTGGACAAGTGTGACTTCTGTATATATTCAGTCATATTTTATATCAGTTTCCATCAGCTGTTGCTTTTTTGGATTAAAAGAAAAAAAGACACTGCCAAGAGATTTAAAGAAAAATTCTAACCTCGAGGGAAACCCTACTACTCTGAAGTATGTCCCTAATGAGATCTTTCCTCACCAAATCCTCATTATTTTGTTTTGAGAGAGAGAGCTGGAAATGTTTCCAGTAGGATCCCTGGATAAGGAACTGTGGGGAATAACCTTGTTTGCATGTTATTTGAATGACCTCTAATTTCTTAGAGGTGTTATGAAGTCTCAACTGATCCCCTTCCCTCCCCAAATACTCATCAGGATTCCACCATCATCTTCAGGTTTCTGTTCAGGCATCACCTAATCAGAGAGGTTTCTGTTGACTCTCTCCTTTCCCTTCCCTATTTTATTTTTCTCTCGGCACTTGCCACCATTTGACATACTGTATTTACTTGTTTGTTTACTGCTTGTCTCCCTTCACTAGAATGTGGGTTTTGCTTAGCTTTGAATCCCCAGCACTACTAGCATAGTGCCTGGCATGTAATAATTTCTCAATATGTACTTCTGAATAAATTAATAGTTGAAACTGCCACACATGTTAAATGCTGTGGGCAGAAAAAAAAAGCTGTGGTTTCAAATATAAATCTAATGTTTAAAATTACCTGGAGTAGATCTGACATCAAATTGATCCTCGAGTGACCTGCATATACCAGGGCAAGTAGCTTCGGAAATCTATTTATTCATTTTTTCATATTTAATGTTGGGCAGGGCACAGTGGCTCATGCCTGTAATCCCAACAGTTTGGGAGGCTGAGGCAGGAGGATCGCTTGCAGCCTGGAGTTCAAGAGCAGCCTGTACAATATAGCGAGACCTCATCTCAACAATAAAATACAAAAAATTAGCTGGGTGCCTGTAGTCCTAGCTACATGAGAGGCAGAGGCAGAAGGAGCGCTTGAGCCCAGAAGGTTGAGCCTGCAGTGAACCATGATCCCGCCACTGCACTCCAGCATGGGCGACTGAGAGAGACCCTCTCTCAAAAAAAAAAAAAAAAAAATTCATGTTAATCTAAATAACAGTGGGAAATTGACTACAAATGAAGATATGAAGCCTGGAGTGTGATAAAAGCTTCAAGAGTTTCAAGAACTTCCCCTGTAAGATGATGGAGCTCGACAAAGACTGGATGATTTCTAAGTTTCTTTTAATTCTAAAGTAAGAAAATGTTAGGCGTGTGTGTGTGTGTGTGTGTGTGTGTGTGTGTGTGTGTGTGAAGTTGCACTGCTACCTGTTGCCACAAGATGACAGTATCATCTTTATTGAAACAAAGTACAGTTGCTATATGGAGTAAATAGAAATAAATCCAGAGAGTTCATGAGGGATATAAATTACTTTGGTAAAGATATTATATGTGAGGCATTAATTAGTTTGGGAAAACTATGTATCAAAAAGAGTTAACTTCCTTTTGTAACACATGGGAAATAGTTTGAAATATAGTTTTCTTCCTCCCTCCGTCTTTTCCTTCCTGTTTTACACCTAGTCTTCCTCCTTCCTTTTTTATTCTTTCTTTTTCTTTCTTCCACATTCTCAGTTTATTATGTAACAAATTTCAAGTCAAAGGAAACAGAGATATATAAGAAAAAGTTAACATTTTCACCATTTCTTTTAATTTCACTCATCTGAAGAAACTAATTTTTTTTTTTTTTTGAGGGAGTTTTGCTCTTGTCACCCAGGCTGGAGTGCAATGGTGTGATGTCAGCTCACTGCAATCTCCACCTCCCAGGTTCAAGTGATTCTCCTGCCTCAGACTCCCGAGGAGCTGGGATTACAGGCATGCGCCACCATGCCCGGCTAATTTTGTATTCTTAATAGAGATGGGGTTTCACCGTGTTGGTCAGGCTGGCCTCAAACGCCTGACCTTAGGTGATCCACCTGCCTCAGCTTCCCAAAATGTTGGGATTACAGGCGTAAGCCACTGTGCCCGGCAGTAACTAATGTTAATAGCTTTTTTCTCATTTCTTCCTGTATATTCGTACATGTACATACACCTACAGACATACAAATTATGTTTCTTTTGAACTTTAAATTAATATCTGATCATCTGTTGGGAGACAAATTTAGATGGTTGAAAACTCTCTGTTTCTTCCTTATTGTCACAAACACCACCACCACCACTACCACCAACACACACACACACACACACACACACACACACACACACACACACCCCACCTCTAATTGCAACCTTGTTTCCATTTCTTCCTGTCTTGAGAAGAGAAACACTTATGGGGAAATTGAATACTTTGTCTTTTTTTTTTTTTTTTTTTTTTTTTTTGAGACGGAGTCTCACTTTGTCGCCCAGGCTGGAGTGCAGTGGCGCGATCTCTGCTCACTGCAAACTCCGCCTCCCGGGTTCCCGCCATTCTCCTGCCTCAGCCTCTCGAGTAGCTGGGACTACAGGCGCCCGCCACAGCGCCCAGCTAATTTTTTTGTATTTTTTGGTAGAGACGGGGTTTCACCGTGTTAGCCAGGATGGTCTCGATCTCCTGACCTCGTGATCCGCCCACCTCGGCCTCCCAAAGCGCTGGGATTAAAGGCGTGAGCCACCGCGCCCGGCCTACTTTGTCTTATGTTATTCCCATTTGCCGTCTCTGTTCCTTATACATTATGCTTTTTCAACTTTACCAGAATCACTTGGATTAAAACCCGTGGATTTCTCAGTAGGAAATGTTCATGTGAAGACACTTCTGTAGTAACAGAACCTACAGCTGCTCCTGTAGAAGGAAGTTGAAAGTCATCCCTTCAAGAAAGGGGCTCCTCCCCTTGTAATTCTACTGGGTTTTGCATCCAGACTGAGTTTCCTTCCCTCACCCACATGAAGTGTCTACCTTCTGCAGACTCCAATGGCTCAGGAACTGGGAATGCAGTGCCAGGCTCGTGGTATCCTGCAGCAGATGTGGGGAGTTTTCCTTCTTTATGTTTCCATGAAGATGGGAGGTAAGTCTCAATCTAATAGCAAATGCTGCTGGGAGTTTTCAAAACGATTTTCTTTCAGCTAAATGATTGCCATTTCTGACACTCGTAACAAAAGTGTTTCTTAATAGATATTTTCTTTATGCGGTGCTAATTGTTATTGGATATCAAATAATAACGACTTTGCTGCCATTTATTTCTAAGAATCTCTCCTTAATGGCAATTCTTTTGTGACCACATGGAGACATCGTTTTTAATGATAATGGGTTTCCAGGAGCGCTGCCCTAGTAACAGTCATGTATCTTGTCTTAGGCACTACAGGACAAAACATTGACCAGCCCACTGAGATGACAGCTACGGAAGGTGCCATTGTCCAGATCAACTGCACGTACCAGACATCTGGGTTCAACGGGCTGTTCTGGTACCAGCAACATGCTGGCGAAGCACCTACATTTCTGTCTTACAATGTTCTGGATGGTTTGGAGGAGAAAGGTCGTTTTTCTTCATTCCTTAGTCGGTCTAAAGGGTACAGTTACCTCCTTTTGAAGGAGCTCCAGATGAAAGACTCTGCCTCTTACCTCTGTGCTGTGAGAGACACGGTGACTATGAGGCCTCTTTAGCTGCACCAAAATTCAAAAGGCAACCACAGCAGCGAGAAGCTGTATTTCCTGAGTGTATGCCTGCTGTGAGTTAAGACTGGGGACTTTGGAACCAGACTGCCTGGATTTGAGTTTGCTACTCTCTAGTTGGGTGGTCTTAAGTCAGTCACTATTTTTTTTTCTTTTGGTTTATTTCCTTATCCAGAAAGTGAGAATAATGAGTATCTACTTCACAAGCCTGTTGTGAGTTATGACTCTCTGTATCATCTATATCTCTATCTATAGCTATATCTAGTGTTACTCAGAGAAGTAGTGGCACACAGTAAACTTTATTTAAGTTTAGTTATTTCAATTCTAGTCTTGAATTTTCACTAAGTATTACGTGGTAGGACCTCTGAGACTGGAACTCAGTATTTCTCTACCCTTGGTTTGTGGAAGGTGAAATCCTGACCACTATTTGTATCTTGTGGATCTAAAGCTCCACCTAATGATGGAGTTTGTCGTTCAGGTGGATTGTTGCTTTGGAAGGATCACTGTGGTGATACTCATTTTCTTTGGGGGGACTCCGAACTTTGGAAATCCAAATGCAAATGCTTCAGAGTGAGATGTTAAGTAGCCTGATTAATTACGAAAGGCTATCTTCATTATGTGCATCCTCTATAAATAAATGTAATCTTAACATATTTTGGAGGTTTATAACTCAGACTAGAAGTGAAGTTTAGGGGCTTCAGACTTGGGGAGCATGAACATAATCAGGGGAGTCTATAGAAGATGGGAAAAAGAATGAACATAAACAATTTGGTGGCAAATCTGGGTGAGGCAGGAGAGCCAGTAGGAGATTCCTATGACAAGATGCAGTCAGTAGGCATTAAGCACAATAAAAATTTACAGTAAATGTTAAGATTTTCATTTCCTGCTTTATAATTCCCTTATGTTCTCTTCAAATCTTTTAATGAAGTCTGTTAAATGCTACAACTTGCTGTCAGCTAGGTTTAGAGAGTACACGATTGCTGTGTGGCTACCTCCACATGAGATAAAGCCGATCAGAGTGCAGAAGCTCAGATTGCAGGTTATTGGGACATCAAAAGTGAGGGCTGCTCCAAGTTAACATAGTTATATGGCCAGTCATATGTTACATATATATATATTTTTTGAGTCAAAGATTAAGCAAAATTCTCTTTGGGTGAGATAGGAGTGCTTTTTCATTCTAATTTATAAAATGAACATTTGAGGTGGAATTTGAACAGACATAGTCACACTGGAAAGTAATCTTGACAACATGAATCCAGGCCACTGAAATGTTCATGTTCCTTTTGTCTAATAATTCATTTTTTTGAGCTCTCATTTAAATAAATGCAGGCTAGAAATGAGGCTTTGTTTTTTTCCAGTTTACAAGACAACCAAAGAAGCCATAGAAATGATATTTAAGGGCTTTGGACTTGGTGAGTATGAATTGTTCATATAGTTATCAATTAGGGAAAACAATACTATGCAAATGATATGGTGAATGCTATGATCAATGGAATATTTTAAAGTTGTATTAGTTTCTATTGCTGCATAACAAATTACCACAATACCCATATATTAGCTTGTAGTTCTGTAGGTCATAAGTCCAAGCAAGTTCAGCTGAGTTCCATGCTTAGGGCATAACCATAGTAAAGTCGAGGCATTGGCTGGGTGAGTACTCAAGTGCTCACACAGAGTTCAGAGTCCTCTTCCAAGTTAATTCTTTAAATTTTTTTCTATTTTATATATATATATATATATATATATTTTTAGACGGTGTCTCGCTCTGTCACACAGGCTGGAGTGCAGTGGCGTGATCTCGGTTCACTGCAAGCTCTGCCTCCCTGGTTCATGCCATTCTTCTGCCTCAGCCTCCCGAGTAGCTGGGAATACAGGTACCCGCCACCATGCTTGGCTAATTTTTTGTATTTTTAGTAGAGACAGGGTTTCACCATGTTAGCCAGGAGGGTCTTGATTTCCCTGACCTTGGGATCTGCTTGCCTTGGCCTCCCAAAGTGCTGAGATTACAGGTGTGAGCCACCGTGCCCGGCCTATTTTTTATATATTTTTTAAAATTTAGAGACAAGGTGTTTCTCTGTTGCCTGGGGTAGAGGGCAGTGGCATGATCATAGGTCACTGTGGGATCAAATTCCTGGGCTCAGGAAATTCTCTCACCTCAGCCTCCCAAGTAGCTAGGGCTATAGGCACATACTACCATACCTGGCTAATTAATATATATATTTTTGTAGAGACAGGGTCCTGCTCTGTTGCCTAGGCTGGTTTTGAACTCTTGAGCTCAAGCAGTCCTCTGGACTCAGCCTCCTGAGTTGTGAT
Organism: Homo sapiens; assembly: GCF_000001405.40. Taxonomy (NCBI): domain Eukaryota; kingdom Metazoa; phylum Chordata; class Mammalia; order Primates; family Hominidae; genus Homo; species Homo sapiens. Next base: position 21,645,931 of record NC_000014.9, read on the forward strand.
TACAGGTGCTTTTTTTTTTTCTTTTTTTTTTTTCGGAGATGGAGTCTTGCTCTGTTGCTGAGGCTGGAGTGCAGTGGTAGGATTTCAGCTCACTGTAACCTCTGCCTCCTGGGTTCAAGCGATTCTTCTGCCTCGGCCTCCCAAGTAGCTGGGATTACAGGTACCTGCCACCATGCCTGGCTAATTTTCCTATTTTTAGTAGAGACAAAGTTTCATCTTGTTGGCCAGGCTGGTCTCGAACTCCTGACCTCAAGTGATCCGCTCGCCTCGGCCTCCCAAAGTGCTGGGATTACTAGTGTGAGCCACCATGCCCGGCCAGTTCTTATTATTGTCAGAATTCTAGTCCATGTAGATGTGGGACTAAAGTTCCCATATTCTTAATGTTTGTGGGCTGGGGGCATTTCTGAGCTCCTTAAGGCAACCTGCACTCTTTCTCATGTGAGTCCCACCATCTTCAAACGAGCAATAGCATGTGAAGTTCATCTCATGCTTGGAATCTTTCTGGCTTAATCTTCCAAAGTTCATGTGTTTTTAAGGTCTCATGTCAACCGGTACATAGATATCTCCCTTTTGAAAAGTCAACTGTGGGCCTGGTGTGGTGGCTCACACCTGTAATCCCAGCACTTTGAGAGGCCGAGGCGGGTGGATCACCTGAGGTCAGGAGTTTGAGACCAGCCTGACCAACGTGAAACCCTGTCTTTCTACTAAAAATACAAAAATTAGCTGGGCGTGGTGGTGGGCGCCTGTAATCCCAACTACTTGGGAGGCTGAGGCAGGAGAATTGCTTGAACCCGGAAGGCGGAGGTTTCAGTGAGCCGAGATCTTGCCATTGCAGTCCAGTCTGGGCAACAGAACGAGACTCCATCTCAAAAAAAAAAAAAAAAAAAAAAGTCAACTGTTTGTTCAGCGCGGTGCCTCACGCCTGTAATCCTAACTCTTTGGGATGCCGAGTTGGGCGGATCACTTGAGGTCAGGATCAAAACCAGCCTGGCCAACATGGTGAAACCCCATCTCTACTAAAAATACAAAAAAGTTAGCTGAGCATGGTGGTGGGCACCTGTAATCCCAGCTACTAGGGAGGCTGAGGCAGGAGAATTGCTTGAACCCAGGAGGCTGAGGTTGCAGTGAGCCGAGATTGCACCACTGCACTCCAGTCTGGGGGACAGAGGTGATTCTGTCTCAAAAAATAAAATAAAATAAAATAAAACAAAACAAAACAAACAAAAAGTCAACTGTGCCATAGAACCCAACACAATCACCAGAGTAATATTGCATAACATTCAAGATTCTGAGGATTAGGGCAGGGAATCTTGGGTCTATTCACTGAAATTTTACCTACCACATAGCAAATAAAGGATGTCCATTAAGACTGCATAAAAATGGTGAACTGCTTATGATATAACAATGAATCAAGAAAACCAGTGTGCATAATTGAATATGCGGAATAATCACAGCTGTGTAAAAACTTTTGGGCATAGAAAAACAGGGAAAGGAATTACAATCTTCCCTCTTTACTGCATTTCCCTTACTCAAAGTCTTAGTATGGGTAGATTTTCTTCTCTCTCTCTCCCTCTAGTCTCTTGGCTAGGATTGGAGGGTGCACTTCCAAGATGGCTTGCTCACATAGCTGTTGTTGGCAAAAGTCCCCAGATTCTTATCACATGGCTGTAGTGTGTTGACAGAGAGAGAGACAGAGAGAGAGAGAGAGAGAGAGAGAGAGAGAGAGCCATCTTTTATTGTCCAGTCTCAGAAGTGTTATACCATCACTTCTGCTGTTTTTTTTCCCCCAGCTTCTAACATTTTTCTCCTTTTACATATAACAAAGTAGAAGAAATAATATAGGATTCAAACTGCAAAAGTAGTTAATCAGTAGAATGTATACACACACAAAATATCCCCATAAGAAGACAGGCTTATTTACAATGAAGAAACACATGTACATTTAAGATAGTTCTCATATAAAACATTTAAAAAATAAAACATATCCCACAATGGGCACCACTGTTTACAGCAATATTAAAGGGGAGAAAACAACACTCATTTAATGGTGAGCATTAAATGTAAAGGTACAGCATCAGTGGAATAAATTCACAAAACTATATTACAGCTTGTTAATCCATTTAAGAATTGTTCCAAATATATCATATATTTGGCCCTCAGAGGTTCATTCCTACAGATTTCAACTACTGTAAATTTCTAGCTACTGAGAGGTAGAAAATGGTTATTATCATGATTATAATGATTATTAGAAACACACACACACACACACACACACACACACACACAAACTCACCAAGGAGTTACAAAATCTATGGAGACCAGAGGCCAACTATCATCACCTCATGTCTGCTCTCACCAACAGCCTTGCATTTTTCAGAGAACTATCTAAAAAAATAGTCAGACACCAGTGTGATCACTATCTCCTATGCCAAACCTATTGGGAATGAAACAAGCAGTATTACCATAAATGAGAACATTGAGGCTTACCTTTCAAGGCTTATTCTGGTCTCAGAAATTAATTAGATACGATTATTTTCTATTGAAATGAATTTTAGCTAACATAAAAGACTAGTCCTTTACTAGCTGGTCTTAGGGTAAAGGTCGTACACATGAGTCTTAACCTACTCTCTGTCATAGCTAAAGTCAGCTGAAAATCCAAAATTAAAAGTATGCCAAAAATCCTAAGTACAATCTTTTGGAAGTCTGCTGTGAAAAAGCCTTTAAGGATGTACTAACTTGAAGTCTAAGTGCAAGGTCATAAGAGCTCTAACGCTGTTAGATCTTCCTCGTTTGGGAGAAAGGATCAATGTTCCCTACAAAACGCTAAGTTTTGCATAAAGGTGAAACCTACATATACTAGGGTATAGAATTAATTTAATTTTGTTCCATCAGGATCCTTTTTCCATGGTAAAAAAGCAGAATGAGGAATGAAGGAATGAATCTTTTTTTTTTTTTTTTTTTTGAGACGGAGTCTCGCTCTGTCGCCCAGGCTGGAGTGCAGTGGCGCGATCAGGGCTCACTGTAAGCTCCGCCTCCCGGGTTCACGCCATTCTCCTGCCTCAGCCTCCCGAGTAGCTGGGACTACAGGTGCCCGCCACCACGTCCAGCTAATTTTTTTTGTATTTTTAGTAGAGACGGGGTTTCACAGTGTTAGCCAGGATGGTCTCGATCTCCTAACCTGTGATCCGCCCGCCTCGGCCTCCCAAAGTGCTGGGATTACAGCCATGAACCACTGCGCCCGGCCGAGGAATAAATCTTAATTGGCCTCTTCATCAGAAGAGGTAAACTTGGTCTCTGTATTCATGAAGCTAGACAGTTTTTTAAGCAGGCAGTGGAAGCAGACAGTAGAACAAGATTCCTGTAGCCACAGACCACTACCTGGTATCAAACTAAAGCAAGGATCAACTTAAACAATTATCCAAAGTCATTTTAACTGTACTAAAGGGTAAAGTTCACCACTGTATTATTTTAAAGGAAGTTGTTTAATGTAAGAATTCCATTAACCCTGGGTGAGAAAAATCAAAACAAGTCATACTCTCTAATGAGTTATCCATGTAAGACCACCAATAAAAATGCTTTTAACTGTATTTGACTCGAAGACACTTACTTGGTAAGTGTGAATTTCTTTCTTTTTTTTTTCTTTTATCCCATTGGATTTAGACTATTGAATAATTAAGGGTAGAGTGAGGGAGAACAAAGAGCTACTTCTTTAACATTTTAGTATCTGGATAGTATAGCAGAAACTGTTCCTAGGGACAATGTATATGCCATTAATCACATTGAATAAAGTGGATGAATTATTCATTTTTCTTTTCTTTTTGTTCGAGAAGCTTGTTTATCTCCCTTTGGCCTTTCCAGTGTGGTTTGAAATGATTCCGTGTTGGTTTAGTTGAGGAAGCAACAGTAAGAAAGTCACTGTCAGGTAGCTGAGAAGCAGGTTGTGGACTTGCTGTCCCATCCAAACAACTGCAGCGAGATAAATGATCATGGCCATGAAACACATTTCAGGCTTTTCTTCCTTCAGTGCGAAGATTTGTTTCCACCAGTCCATAGCTCTGCATTGAGTTTTTAGTAGATTGCTGCAAATTTCATGGAATTTTTGCTGTTGATTGCTGGTGCATTTATTGGAGCCAAAAATGTTAGGTGCTAGAATGGGAACAAGGTAGTCAGCCAAGCACCAAAACACAACAAAAGAGGAAACAGCAGACAGAACAGATGGATCTAGATAGTAGATAATTGAAGCACCAAAGAAACCAAGTCCATGATGGCAGGTGAAAACCAAGCTCTTTCCCATAATAAGACTTTATCCACCATCAACATCACTTTTCCCCATTCTTGCAGCTATTGTTCTAAACTTGCAGTCTCTGCAGCCAGCAAATTGGTGCCGTGGTTACCTCCCTCTGCCATCATCCCTGAAGTGCTGTCTCAGCAAGCACAAACCACCCTCCAACTCAGCCTTCCTCCTGAGATCCACAGGGCGATTCTGGCCACTTCTGCTGTATTCTGTTGGTCACACAGACCCACCCTTATACAGTGTAGAAGGCGATTGCACAGTGGTGTGAATACCAGAGATGATGGAGATCATTGAGGTCATCTTGTTGACTGGCTTCCATTTACCAACTCCTGTCAGCCATTGGTTGAAGGATATTAATTTTATTAATTACCAGGGATATTAATTTTCTAGTATTCAGGGTTTACTATGTACATGGGCAAAGAAAGCGCCAGTTGCCAGAAAGATCCCCTCAGGCACAGAGGTGCTGACAGTTGAAAGTTGGGCCGTCCATGGAAAATGTAAACGGGTTATGCAGAGGAGGGTATTGATAGTGTCAGTCAACCCTTCCACTGCTTTGATACCCTCTTACCCAACATTATATTTGCTTTGTACTGTCATTGATTCCTCAAGGTGGTGGCTGATTACAGTTTCTTAAAAAAAAAAAAAAAAAAGACCTAAAACAGAGGATTTAGCCAGATAAGTAGAGTTGTTGCTGCAGTTGGTCCCAAGACCATCACTGTTATCTATTGTCTCCCTCTTCTATCACTCATTCTAGGCTCCCTCATTCAGCATTCCTGCTGGTCTCAGTTTCTTGCTCTTTGGTGACTCAGACCTTCATCCCTGAAGGGCCCAAGCCCCTGGTTACTGTACCCTTTTCAGACCTTGGTTGATGCAATTACCTCTTCACTGCTATCACCAAGCATGGAAACACCAAGACATGTTCCAATACATCTCTGAGTTCCATTGGTACTTCTCTCTATCCCCGTTACATAGTAGCAACTCTATATCCTCATGATAGTAGTCAATTACCTCTGCCACTATAGTTTTGCCAAATTTGGGGAGTTTTCAGGCATTATTTCTTTGAATACTTTTTCAGTCCCACTTCTTTCCTCTTAAACTCCAATGATATGAACTTAGATCTCTTGTTATTATCCCATAGGTCTCTGAAACTCTGCTCATTTTTCTTTCAGTCTATTTTCTCCCTGTTTTTCAAACTGAGTAAATTCTATTGATCTGTTTAAAGTTTACAGATTCAGTTCTCTGGCATCTCCCCTTTATATTAAATCTATCCAGAGAGCTTTTTAATTTCAGTTATTGTATTTTTCAGTTCTCTGGACTCAGCTGCTGCCTCAAATTCCTGGGCTTAAGAAATCCTCCTTCCTCAGCCTCCCGAGTAGTTGGAACTACAGGCACTCACCACCACGCCCAGCTGATTTTCAATTTTTTGTAGAGATGGGATCTCACTATATTGCCCAGGCTGGTCTCAAACTCCTGGGCTCAAGTGATCCTCCTACCTCAGCCTCCCAAAGTGATGGGATTATAGGCATGAGCCACCATGCCTGGACTCACTTATTGAAGCATTTTTGTGAGAGCTGTTTTAAAGTCCTTTTCCAATAATTTGAGCATCTGATTCGTCTTCGTATTGAATCAGTTGATTGTCTTTTCTCATTTATGTTCTGATTTCCTAATTCTTGGAATGAAAAGTAATTTTTGATTGTAGCCTGGACATTATGGGTTTTTTATTAGGAAACCTGGATCTTATTTAATCTTCTTTTTAGCAGGTAGTTCTCCTGTTGAGATGTAGTGTAAAGTTTGGTGAATATATATGTTCAGTTTCCTGCTGGGTGCCACTGGCACCACCCCACCAAAAGGGGACCATTAAGTCACATTGCCTTATTGCCTCTGAATGGAGATGATCAGCTTTCTGCTGGGCCAGCTGGGAGAGGGGAAAGGAGAGGGCCAACTAGACTTACCTCCTGCCTGGTTGGTATGGCAGGAGTGGAGGCTTAGCTCACCAGTGGTCCTTGTTGACAAGGGAGTGGGAACAGGAACTCTGATTAGCCCTACTTTCCATTGCTTTGTTCAATTACATGGCCACTGGATGGGTGTGGAGGTTCAGCTCCTCACTGGGCATTGCTGACATTGGGGTGGGGGAAGCTGAGTGTTTACTGTCTCACCTCATAGCACCTCATTCTACCTCATTGTTGCTAGGTAGAGATGGAGGCTCAGCTCATTGTTGGACCTCACTGACAGTATCTTGCTGGGAGACTGGAGCACCACCTGCTTCTGCCATCTGGGGAATGGAAGATCAGCTCCCTGTTTGGCCTGCTGACACTACCAAGGGGGAAACCAGAGTGCACAGTGGCTTCTATTGGGAAGGAAGGTGGGGTGGAAGATCAACTTCCTTGCTCACTGACTGAGACCTGGGGGTGTGGTTTATTTGTTGGTGTTTAGCTGGAGCAGGAAGGGTATTGCCAGAAAGATTTCCTGCTGTTAGGCCACCGCCTTTTTCCTTGTCCTTTGGCTAGAAGGAATGGGCTTTCCTTGGAGCTTTTGTTATCTATGCATATTGGTGTCTCCAGGTTGGAGGTTTCTGTAACATCCTGTCCAGAAATTTTTTTGATAAATATTAGGGTGGTATATTATTTTTCCTTTTTTAAAAATTCTAATGTAGTTATTGATATGATTGGTTTAAATCTACCATTTTGTGATTTGTTTTCTATTTTCCCCATTTCTTCTGTGTTCATTTTCTTTCCTTTTTGGTCTAGATTGAGTTTTTTTGTATGTTTGTTTTTGGGTTTTATTTTAGTATTTAATTTTATTTCATCTTCACTATAATCTTATTAGTTATATTACTTTATGTTAGCTGTTGCTCTAGAATTTAGATTATACATCTTTAATATAGTATAACTTCAAGTGATATTATATCATTTCCTGTATGATATAAGAAACTTTCAAACTTCTGTTTTTCTCCTCCCAGGCTTTTTGTTATTACTTTAATATATTTTACTTCTACATGTTATAAATTTCACAATATATTTTTGCTTTATATAGTCAAAATATTTAAAAAGCGATTTAAAAACTGATTATAAAACACTTTGATATTTTTGCCTTACTTATAAAGATTACCTTACCCAGACAACCTGTAAAGTGTGGAGAATATAGATTTATAGATATTGCTTTGAACATCTGCCCAAGCAGTAGAAGAGGCAAATTAGGAAGTGTTTAGCAAGATGCTTCTGGAAGCTAAGTTAGTTCGAGGCTGTATATCAGGCATCCTGGGTACCCACTGACTGGTACCAATTTACTTAGTGTTCATGGGTGAGGTTTCACTTGTCCATGGACTTTGAATCCCTGGTGTGTATGCAGTGGTTATTACAGTGGCTCTACAAACTAATGTCATGCTAATTGCCAAAGGTTTGGAACTCTTCCATATTTGAAGGCTTCTGGATTTTTTGTCCACTTATTAAATGGCTAAATGAATGAGACTAATAACAGGAAGGGCATTGGAATGGAAAACTTTTAATAATACCTCCGAGTATTCATTGATGGCAAGTTCAGTTATGTCATGTGATGATCACTTCAAAATCCTGTGTCAGATAGGTAAAAATTCCAAAGCTTTCAAGCCTAAAATTTACCCTGTGCAGAATTTTGAGTTTCATGATTTTATATCCTAGGCTTCTATAATAGGGTATCAGAGGCGAATGGAATCATTAGAGGAGATACAGAGTAGATGGTAAGTGTGTGATATATATTGAGAACATTTATTTTAAACAAATAAGATAGATAGTTTTTATGTATAAACAAATGTTACTGATTATACATTGAAGAATATTGCTTTGGACTTTAGAAGACAGCCTAAGCTTAATAGAGCTCCTGGGTTGATTGATTTGATTTTATGATGCTGAGTTTTGCTATCCTCTTCCTGCCTCACCTTTATAATGTGATCATGATTATTGTTACTTATTTAAGGTGGGTGCTGAGGTGAGGAGAAAGGAGATAATAGGCTCTTTAAGAAAAGCTTATCTCCTGAGAGTGATAAATGTACAGTGGTCTTCCTAAACTTCACCACAGTCCCATCTTGATGATCATTGCAAAGAAGGTAATTATATTAGTCAGAGTTCTCCAGAGAAGCAGAACCAAAGGTTTTACACACATGCACGCACACACACACACGCATGCACACACACACACGCATGCACACACACACATGCACACACACGCTGCATGCACACACATGCATGCACACACACACAGATGCACACACACACACACGCATGCACACACACATACATAAATTAGTCCTTTGGTATACATGGGAGGATTGGTTTCCAGGATGCCCCTACCAATAGCCAAATCTGTAGTCATCCCTGCAGAACTGGTATATACTAAGTTGACCCTCCATATACATGGGTTTTGCATCCTGTGAGTGCTGCATTTTCAATCTGCGTTTGGTTGAAAAAAAATCTGCGTATAAGTGGACTCAGTTCAAATCCGTGTTGTTCAAGAGTCAACTGTGTGTATATACATTATATATATAAAATGAGAGAGAGAGAGAGAGAGAGAGAGTCAGAGATAGCTTGATTTATTATGAGACTGTGGATTGTGGGTTTGGAAAGTTTAAAGTATTCACAGCAGGGCTGCAGGCTGGAAATTCCAGCAGGAGTTACTGTTGCAGTCTTGAATCTAGAGGCAGTCTGGAAATAGAATTCTTTCTTCTTCTTAGGACCTCAGTCATTTTTCTTAAGGCCTTCTACTGATTACATGAAGCCTCGCCACATTATGGAGGGCAATTTGCTTTACTTGAAGTCTACTGATATAAATATTAATCACATCTAAAAAATACCTTCAAAGCAACAGCTAGATCATAGTTTGACCAAATAACTGGGTACCATGGCCTAGCCACGATGACACAGAAAATTAACTATTATAGTAATTAAAGGGATAAAATTATTACCTGCATTCCATAATGAAAATAAAGAGACTTGCTCAAGTATACGCAGAGTAATATATGAGTTGGCTAAAGGAGCAAAAAGAAGCAGAATCCAAATTTATATATGTATATTGACAGGAAATATGCTTTCATTTGACAATATTTATTAGTTCTGATGCACAAGAATAGACTAAGACAAATTGGCTTTGATTTGCCACAGACCCCTTAAAAATTTTTGTATTTTCTTACCGGGCCCCATGGCTCCAGCCTATAATCCTGGCTACTCAGGAGGCTGAAGTGGGAGGATAGCTTGACACCAAGAACTCGAGACCAACCTGGGAAACATAGTGAGAACTTGTCTCTAAAAAAATTCAAAACACCAACAAACTAGCCAGGTATGGTGGCATGTGCTTGTAGTCCCAGCCACTGGGAACGCTGAAGTGGGAGGATTGCTTGAGTCCAGGAGTTTGAAGCTACAGGGAACTATGATTGCACCATTGTATTACAGCCTGGGTGACAGAGCAAGACTCTGTCCCTAAAAAAAGTTTTAAAAATTTTCTTAATACAAAACTTTAAGCTTAATGTTAGTATCAAGTTATATCCCCTAAAAGTGTGCTTTCTATTAATATGAACTAAAAATGAATACTTTTTTTCTATAAAAAAATTTGTTGAATGCGTCTTAAAATGCAGTTCCAATGGTGCCCATGGTAGTTACTGATTAAAGTGGTAATGGCAAGTAGACGTAGTTCTGTCTTAGTTGGCCTGACAAAAGTCAAAGTATTGTAAAGGAAAAATGTAAAATTTGCAGAAAAGAAAAAGGATTAAAAAAAACCAAGGACCAATATTAAAAAGGCGAAACCGCTGGGCGTGATGGCTCATGCCTGTAAACTCAGCACTTTGGGAGGCTGAGGCAAGAGAATCACTTGAGCCCAGGAATTTGAGACCAACCAGAGCAACATAGCGAAGCCCCTGTCTCTACAAAAAAACCAACCAACCAACCAAAAACAAAAAACAAGAAACACAACAAAACAAACAACCAAAAAAAAAAAAGCAATGAACAAAAAAACAAAAAATTAGCTGGACATGGTTGGTGTGTGCCTGTAGTCCCAGCTACTTGGGAGGTTGAGATGGGAGAATCGCATAAGCCCAGGAAGTTGAGGCTGCAATGAGCTGTGATCATGCCACTGCACTCCAGCCTAGGTGACAGAGTGAGACTCTCTCTCTCTCTCACTCACACACATGTACACATACACACAACTTAAAAAGGTGAAACTGTTCAAACAGAAAGCCAGTTACTAATATCCAAATCAGAGTGTATTTTATTTCATGTTTTTTAGGATTTTGCTTTTTCTGTTTCATTTCTAGAAACAATTATGAGAAAAGTGAATGAAATAACATTATAGTAACTTTATAACAATTAGCTAAAGCATCCCTGCACAACTGGAGAAAACTGGTAAGTTTTACCACTACCTGCGCTGCTTGTCATGCTTTTTGTGGGTCTGCACATGTATGCTCATATGTACATTACGTACTTGGTATTGAGCAAGACTTGTCTGATATGTCACTTAAGTGTGTGTTTAGAAGTTTAATAGAAGACCTTTTAATTTATGAGAGTTGTTTTAACCTCTTTTCTGTCTAAGGAATCAGAATACTTTTTTAACATGTTGCTGCCTATGAAGGCACCTGCACACACAGACAAAACACACATACGCACACCCTCCAGGATTCCTCAAGATGTCTGGGGTTACGACTTGTCACCTTTAGAGTTTGCCACAGCACTGATTTCTTTTTCCTAGTTATCGAACACTCCGTAGGTTATGGAGTCTTGAGGTTGTAAGGGATCAAGACCATCACTTCTGTTTGCTTTTTGGATTTGAATACCTAGAACAGTGCCTGGAATATAGCAGACACTCACACATAATTATAGGATGAATGTTGAATGTTGAAAAGATGAAGTCTTTTTTACTGGCAGATGGCCATTCAGTCTTTGTTTCTAAGAGCAAGGAAGTCCTTACGCAGCAAACCTGTGCTCTGAAAGTCAGTGTACAGATTAGTTTTGGGCTGTTCTGGAGAAGATTTGGAGGACTACAGTTGAGGCCTGGTAGCTCTGCTCCTCTGGGATTTCTTACCCTGGGTCACTCTTTGGGACATAACTCACCATGACTACATCATTGTAATGTATGGAGTTGTGATGTTAAATGCTTCCTTCCTTCCTTCCTTCCTTCCTTCCTTCCTTCCTTCCTTCCTTCCTTTCTTTCTTCCTTCCTTCCTTTCTTTCTTTCTTTCTCTTTCTTTCTTCTTTCTTTCCTTCCTTCCTTCCTTCCTTCCTTCCTTCCTTCCTTCCTTCCTTCCTTCCTTCCTTCCTTCCTTCTTTCTTTGTTTTTCTTTCTTTCTTTCTTTCTTTCTTTTTCTGTCTGTCTCTCTCTCTCTCTCTCTCTCCCCCTTCCCTTCCCTTCCCTTCCTTTCTTTTTTTAACGGAGTTTTGCTCTTGTTGCCCAGGCTGGAGCTCGGTGGCACGATCCCAGCTCACTGCAACCCCTACCTCCCAGGTTCAAGCCATTCTCCTGCCTCAGCCTCCCAAGTAGCTGGGATTATAGGCATGCGCCACCACGCCCAGCTAATTTTGTATTTTTAGTAGAAACGGGGTTTCTCCATGTTGGCCAGGCTGGTCTCAAACTCCCGACCTCAGGTGATCCACCCCCTCGGCCTCCTAAAGTGCTGGGATTACAGGCATAAGCCACTGCACCCAGCCTCTAAATGCTTTCTATGTATGCAGAAGCAAGGACATCATTTTGTTCTTACCCTACACAACCTTCAGCTCTAAAACTTTCACAGCAGTTTTTTTTTTCTCAGAGATTTCTTTCCCAGTTTTAGTTGGTAACTGAGTAGATGGTCTCCTCATATACAGAGAAGAATCAAATCTTTAAAAAATAAACTAAATTTAATATGCTGAAAGGGATTTAGGAGTTAATCCAACTCAGCTCTCTGCAGCCAACTATTGAGTAATAGAAAGGCCTAGGGACAGGAGAATTGGGACAGAATTCCAATCTTGCCATGCAAAAGCTGGGAAAGCCACAAAACACCTCTGAAGCTTACCTGCATCCCATTTTATTAGGGAGATGAACCTGTCAAAGGTTAGAGCGTGTTCCTATGAACTTCTGCCTTGTCTCTTCTTGAGGGTTTAAGCCCTGGCATTCAATCAGTATAGGCAGTTCTCTTATATCAGATCCATCTAAGCAAGACCTTGGAAGCTCTGGATTTTACAAATCCATTTGAGGCTAACACGATAATGGTCTACTGTGATGGAAAATCATGTTCCTCTTGGCAAAAGGAGCCTTCTCTAAGTAACACTTCTCTAAGTGGGTCCTTGCCAAGGATTGAGCCTTTAGTGCTGAAAGAGAGATCAGGTAGAAACAGAGACAAGAGGCAGAGAAAGATAGGGTTGGAGGTATCATTGATGAAAAGTAAAGATGAGTAGGCTGAAACTGGGGTCAGGGAGTAGAGGTCACTGATCTCTGGAAAGTCACGATACTCTTCAGAGGTATGATTTCAAAAAGGGGAAAGTTGTTGCTGTCTACATTGTGGAGCTGCTGTGGGAACTCTAGAGCTCTTGGAAGAAAGGTAAAAAAGGTAGACAAAGAGCAGGAAGAGATAGATTTCATTGACCTTCAGTTTTTTTTTTTAAATGAAGAATTCTAATATACGCAGTATACAATACACAATACTGATGTCTAGTGGGGATTCTGGTGCTTTTAGCTCAATTGCCCCTTTGTAAATAAGATTTCTGCTGATTGCCTTAAAATGGGTAATTATTTTGATGTACAGATCAACTTACCCCCAAATTTTTGGATTTTTCATAATTCTTCCTTGCAGTGCTACTTTGAAAATATCTTTAAAAATTTTATTTATTTTATTTTTAGACAGGGTCTTGATCTGTTGCCCAGGCTGGCTTGCAGTGGCATGATCATAGCTCACTGCAGCCTCAAACTCCTGAGCTTAAATGTTTCTCCTGCTTCAGTCTCTGGAGTAGCTAGGACTATAGACATGTGCCACCACACTCAGCTAATTTTAAAATTTTTGTAGAGATGCAGTGTCACTATGTTGCCCAGGCTGGTCATGAACTCCTGGCCTCAAGCAATCCTCTTGCCTCAGCCTTCCAAAGTGCTGGGAGGCTGAGGCAGGAAGATTGCTTTGTCCTACTTTTAAAACATTAAAAAAATTAATTCAATAAGTATTCAGTGAGTTCTTCCTTTATGCCAGTTACTTTGCTCTGTGGATAGAAAAATGAATGAGATATTTCCCTTCCTTCAGGGAGTGCATAGTTGGATCTTATTGCTACTTAAATCCCATTTTATGTTTTTTTCTTTTAGTTCTTTGGTTAAGAACGTAGGCTCTGAAAAATTCAAATTCCATTTTAGCCAGTTGCTGAGTGACCATGAGTGAATTATTTAATCTTGCAAATATTTTGGGAAGCAATTTGATAATAATATATTTTGAGGTATAATCTTTAAGCTAGTAAACTCATTTCTAGTAATCTATTCCTAACGGAATAATATATTAGAGAAGTTATAATCGTTCAAAAATATGTATTGAGCAACTGCTATGTTCTATATACTTTCCTAGATAATTTGGATGATTCATAGAGCGAAACAAAGATCCCTGTCCTTTTAGAATTTATATTCTAGCAGCAGGAGAAAGAAAATAATAAACAATAGACTAAATAAGTGAATTATACAGTATATTAGAAGGTGATCAGTGCTTTCAAAAAATAAAAAAGGTAGATCAGGATAAAGGGGATCAGGAGTGCTGGAATTCTCGGTGAGTTTTAGTTTTATATTATGTTCATCAGCATAAACCTTGTTGAGAAGGTGATGTTTGAGCAAAGACATCAAGGGGGTGAGGGAGTTAATTATGCCAGTGGTCCCCAACCTTTTTGGCACCAGGGACCAGTTTCATGGAAGACAAATTTTTCCATGGACTGGGGGTGGGGGCGATTGGTTTCAGGATAAAACTGTTTCACCTACATCATCAGGCATTAGATTCTCACAAGGAGTGCACAATCTAGATCCCTCACATGTGCAGTTCACAATAGGGTTTGCGATTGAGGATTTAATGCCAAGGCTGATCTGACAGGAGGCAGAGCTCAGGTGGTGATGCTGAAGCACTCACCTCCTGCTGTGCAGCCTGGTACCCATCTGTGGCCCAGGTGCTGGGGACCCCAGAATTATGGGATATCTGGGGGAAGAGATTCCAAACAGAGGAAGCAGCCAGTGCAGTGGCCCCAGAGTGGGACTGTGTTTTGAGTATTTGAGGAATACCAAGGAGGACAACGTGATTGGAGCTGAAAGGAAGAGTGGTAGGAGACGAGGTCAGAGAGGAAATGGGAAGTTGTGTCATTGAGGGCTTTACAGGCCAAAGTAAAGACTTCACTTACAATGTGTGAACAGGGAGCCATCGAAAGTCTTCGAATTAGTGAAATGATTTAATCTGATCTATTTTTTTTTTTTTTTTTAAAGATGGCATCTCGCTGTGCTGCCTAGGCAGACCTTGAACTTCTGGACTTAAGCGATAGATCCTCCACCTCAGCCTCTTGAGTATTTGGGACTACAGGCACGTGTCACTGCACCCAGCTTGACCTATGTTTTAATAGGATTTCTCACTGTAATGTTGAGAAAGATTGTACCATTATTTTTAATAGTGAGAAATTAGAAACATCATAAATGGCCACAAAGGATGGACTGGGTGCACACATTTGAATACATATATGTGATGAAATGTCACTTGGTTATACACTTATGATATAATACTGAGTGAAAAATAGAATATAAAATTATATGTTTATAATACAATTGGAACAAATTAAAGATAACAGCAGTAGGATAAGAACAAGCTATGGGTATTCTTCTCACTTGCTTTTCCCTGTGCATGCTTTTAATACTTTGTTTTAAAACAAAGTAACCCATGCTTATTATACAAACTTGAACAATTATGAATTATAATGTAAAAATTAATAAAATCCTATCATTTCCTTCAATTCCATACTTCTAGAATTAACTAATGTTAAAATTGATGTGTGTTCGTCAACAACTATCTTGTGTCCTTCTAGGAATAAATATATACAAACATAATTCATGAATATGTATATATGTTTGAATATGTATAAATATTAATATGTTGAAGCATATGCATGTACATATATGCGTAAATATATATGCATACACACACAAATCTTTTTCGATTTCTTTCTTCCTTTGTTCATTCATTCCTTTGTCCCTCCCTTCCTCACTCCCTGCCTTCTTTCCTTCAAGGTTCGTAATATACTCATAATAGGTTCTTTTGCTTAACAATATGTTATTGACATTCCATGAATTAGTAGTTTGTAATCTTGGCTGCACACTGGACTCTCCAAGGAGTATTAATAGTGCTGATGGGTCCAATTGTCAGAAATTCTGAATTGATGGTTTGGCATGAGGCCTGGGTATCAAAATTTATAAAACTTCTTTAAGTGGTTCTAATGTGCAGCCACATTGAGAACCACTGCCTTAGGTTATACATATAGATCCAACTCATTATTATTATTATTCTTAATAGCTCATAATATTCCATACTGTGGCTGTACTAAAATGTGTTTATCTAGTCCTCTATTGAGAAACATTCAGTTTGTTTCCAGTATGTTATTCTACTAAAAAGTCTTTAAACATGTATCTTTAGTTCTTTAGTTACCAGTTTCTTTATTTCTACAAAATACAGTCCTATAAGTAAAGTTGCTGGGTTCAGAGGTATGAGTGTTTAAAATTTTAATTGGCACTGCTAG
This sequence comes from Homo sapiens, assembly GCF_000001405.40. Lineage (NCBI taxonomy): Eukaryota > Metazoa > Chordata > Mammalia > Primates > Hominidae > Homo > Homo sapiens. The sequence goes on from NC_000014.9 coordinate 21,661,951, forward strand.
ATTATTTTCCAAAAAGATCTCAATAATACCTACTTCTAGTAGCAGTGTTAAGAGTACTCCTTTCCTTATATCTTTGTTAATCCGATGAATGACAAAAAGTATTTGATTTTCTTTTTAATCTATTACTAATTAAGCATATTTTTATTCATACTTATTTGTCATTTGAAGTTCTTTTTCTGTGACTTAAGTATATCTTTGCTCATTTTTAATTGAGTCGTTTGTCTTTTCTTATCAAGTTTTAAGAGATCTTGGATAACAGGAGTATTCTTTTTTGGTTATCTATGTTACAATATTTTCTTCACGTCTACCTTTTTTTTGATAATTTATATGGCACTATATATTTTGTTATTATTATTATTTTTTTCAGACGGAGTCTTGCTCTGTTGCCCAGGCTTGAGTGCACTGGTGCAATCTTGGCTCACTGCAGCCTCTGCCTCCCTGGTTCAGTTCAAGCAATTCTCCTGCCTCAGCCTCCTGAGTAGCTGGGATTACAGGCATGCACCACTACACCTGGCTAATTTTTGTATTTTTAGTAAAGATGAGGTTTCACCATATTGGTCTGGCTGGTCTTGAACTCCTGACCTCGTGATCCACCTGCCTCGGCCTCCCAAAGTGCTAGGATTACAGGCATGAGCCACCACGCCTGGCTGGCATTATATATTTTAAATTATTGAGAAAGTTTAACACGCTTTATCTCATTTTTATTCATTATGTTTAATATTTTTTCACGTTGGTAGGCCTTTGTCACTATTGTTCCTAATGTAAGCCCCATGACATTGTTCCTGATGTAAGCCCTGTGAACTACTGTTCCTAATGTAAACCCCTAATGTAAGCCTCACGTTATTTTAAATAATACTATAGTTAATATTTCCTTGCATTTAGCTTTTTTCATAGTTTGAATGCTTACAAGTGAAATAATTGGATCAAGAATATAAATTATTTTTGTGGCTTGTGATAATTATTTCCCAACGGTTATAGTTTTTGGCCAGCCATCAGTATAAAAAGTTAGGGTAATATAACTTTAGTATTTATACAATAATATCATATTACGTAATTTAAAGAAGTAAGTTTCTTAAGTATTTTCTTAGCTCCATTGTGAAGGAAGGCTTGAGTTCTTTTTCAGGCTGCCTAAGAAGTTAGGTTCAGTTCAAGTAAAAATTGTTTTTGCATACCCATTGTGTACAAGGCACCTACTAAGTGCTGCAAAGGATAAGTCCTGTGTGGTTACTACTCTTAAAAAAATTTTAGTCTGGGCGCGGTGGCTCACGCCTGTAATCCCAGCACTTTGGGAGGCCGAGGTGGGTGGATCACGAGGTCAGGAGATTGAGACCACCCTGGCTAACATGGTGAAACCCCGTCTCTACTAAAAATACAAAAAAATTAGCTGGGTGTGGTGGTGGGAGCCTGTAGTCCCAGCTACTTGGGAGGCTGAGATAGGAGAATGGTGTGAACCTGGAAGGCGGAGCTTGCAGTGAGCCGAGACCATGCCACTGCACTCCAGCCTGGGCAACAGAGCAAGACTCCGTCTCGAAAAAAATTTTTTTTTTTTGATTTAGTGGAGAGCAAAAATGAACATCTTATTTTACTTTATTTTACAGGTCAAGGACCATAAAAGAAGCCTGAGAGGGAATAGATAGGCTTTGACTGGGTCAGGAAAGTTTTCTTAAAGGTAGTGTTCTTTGAAATAGTCAAAGACAAAGTGAAGGATGAATAGTATTTTTTTCTTCACCTTTAAGTTCATGGATAAGTGTGCAGGATGTGCAGTTTTGTTACATAGGTAAACGTGTGGCATGGTGGTTTACAGCACAGATCGTCAGGTATTAAGCCCAGACCTCCACAGGTGTAGAGTGGGTCCACGTGTTCTCATTATTCAGCTCCCACTTATAAATGGGAACATGTGATGTTTGGTTTTCTGTTCCTGCATTAGTTTGCTGAGGATAATGGCTTCCAAGTCTATCCATGTCCCTGCAAAGGACATGATCTTGTTCCTTTTTATGGCTGCATAATATTTCATGGTGTTATGTACCACATTTTCTTTATTCATTCTATCATTGATGGGCATTTAGGCTGATTCCATGACTTTGCTATTGTAAACAGTGCTGCAATGAGCATACATGTACATGTATCTTTATAATTGAATAATTTATTTTCCTTTGGTTATATACCCAGTAATGGGATTGCTGGGTCAAATGGTATTTCTGGTTCTAGATCTTTGAGGAATCACCACACTGTCTTCCACAATGGTTGAACTAATTTACAGTCCCATCAACAGTGTAAAAATGTCCCTTTTCCTCCACAACCTCACCAACATCTGTTCTTCTGTTGTTTTTTGGCTTTTTCATAATAGCCAATGGTATCTCATTGTGGTTTTGATTTGCGTTTCTCTAATGATCAGTGATGTTGAGCTTTTTTTCCTGTTTGTTGGCCACATAAATGTCTTCTTTTGAGAAGTGTCTGTTCATGTTCTTTGCCCATTTTTAATGGAGTTGTTTGTATATTAATAGTAAACAATGAGGTGAGGAGAGTACACTTGAATAGAGTGTATGTTTTCTGAGCAGAGGGAAAAGAAAAAGTAAAGACAAAGATTTTGGAAGGTAAGTAGGTGGAGGTAGGATGCCTGGAGGACAGTGACTTGCTTGGTCAGAGAGAAGAATTAATAGGGAGAATAAAAGGACACTCACATTGAAAAAATGAAAATGTGCAGCAGACTGTTGCAGGCTTTGAATGTATATCTAATTTGATAGAAGAGTCAAATTATTTAGTTGGGAGTTGTATTGGAATATTAGCTTAATGTTATCAGTGCTTTAGTTTGAAGTGAAAAGAGCCAAATAACTAATGTGTAAGGTTTCGGGCATTTATTTATTCTTGTAAAGGCTCACTGATCTCATCTGCAAGGCAGAAACAATTGATTCATGTGCCATAGGGTGGTTGTGTTTAAATAGAAGTGCCTGGCATGGCTCCTGGTAAGTAGTGGGTATACTGTAACAACTACTGTTAAATTGATTTCATAAGCTATATGCTCTGATGATAAATAAGCAATTCAGATAAGAATACAAAGTCATTTCAATTAGTTCTATTCCTATAATAATAAAACTAAATTAGCTTTCATTTTTTCCCCCCTAAGCTCATTGAATGGACAGTCTAAACCAAACAAGAGTGACTGAATTTGTCTTCTTGGGACTCACTGATAACCGGGTGCTGGAAATGCTGTTTTTCATGGCATTCTCAGCCATTTATATGCTAACGCTTTCGGGGAACATTCTCATCATCATTGCCACAGTCTTTACTCCAAGTCTCCATACCCCCATGTATTTCTTCCTGAGCAATCTGTCCTTTATTGACATCTGCCACTCATCTGTCACTGTGCCTAAGATGTTGGAGGGTTTGCTTTTAGAAAGAAAGACCATTTCCTTTGACAACTGCATCACACAGCTCTTCTTCCTACATCTCTTTGCCTGTGCCGAGATCTTTCTGCTGATCATTATGGCGTATGATCGTTACGTGGCTATCTGCACTCCACTCCACTACCCCAATGTGATGAACATGAGAGTCTGTATACAGCTTGTCTTTGCTCTCTGGTTGGGGGGTACTGTTCACTCACTAGGGCAGACCTTCTTGACTATTCGTCTACCTTACTGTGGCCCCAACATTATTGACAGCTACTTCTGTGATGTGCCTCTTGTTATCAAGCTGGCCTGCACAGATACATACCTCACAGGAATACTGATTGTGACCAATAGTGGAACCATCTCCCTCTCCTGTTTCTTGGCCGTGGTCACCTCCTATATGGTCATCCTGGTTTCTCTTCGAAAACACTCAGCTGAAGGGCGCCGGAAAGCCCTGTCTACCTGCTCGGCCCACTTCATGGTGGTTGCCCTCTTCTTTGGGCCATGTATCTTCATCTATACTCGGCCAGACACCAGCTTCTCCATTGACAAGGTGGTGTCTGTCTTCTACACAGTGGTCACCCCTTTGCTGAATCCCTTCATTTACACCTTGAGGAATGAGGAGGTAAAAAGTGCCATGAAGCAGCTCAGGCAGAGACAAGTTTTTTTCACGAAATCATATACATAATGGGCACTGGGATTGCAGACATAATTGCAGCCACATCCTTAATGAAAGAGCAAAAGTAAAGAGTCAAAATCAACTTATATAACTTGGTAAATTAGGTAAAATGGCATAGAGCAGGTCAGATTTCTGCTCATTAAAGATAAGAACTTATTCTGTTCATTAAAGATAAGAACTTATTAACTATTATTTAAATAAAGCAAAAGATCATAGTGGAAGTTATAAGGAAAAATAACGTGGGAAAGTTTAAAGACAGCTTTTGATTTCATCAGTAAAAGAATACAATTTGGGGAACTCAGTTCAGTCTCAGTTTCAGGAGCAGGTAGAGTGAGAATTGACTCTCTTGATTTATACTGTTCTGTGGGCTATTGCCTCTGGGAAGCTATACATCACTCCTGTGATTTATACATTATAGTAGTTTCAATCTTGTTTTCCAATATATTTTCAAGTGTATAAATAAGCCTTTACTTATTTATATTGAATTAAACTTTTGTTGCTTTTGAATGTAATTCTCTCATGTCTAGATCTATTTTGTACTTTTTTTTTGAGACAGGAATTTTTTGTACTATTCCTGCAACTTCCTGTAAGTCTGAAATTATTGTCAAAATAAAAAGTTAAAACAAAACAAAACTATACACCCACAAGAATAGTAAAAATTAAAAAGGTAGAAAATACCAAGTGGTTTTTTTTTTTTTTTTCCTAATTACTCTGTCGCCCAGGCTGGAGTGCAGTGGCGCCATCTTAGCTCACTGCAACTTCCACCTCCAGGTTTAAGTGATTCTCCTGCCTCAGCCTCCTGAATAGCTGGGACTATAGGTGCATGCCATCATGCCTGGCTAATTTTTATATGTTTAGTAGAGATGAGGTTTTACCACGTTGGCCAGGCTGGTCTCAAAACTCCTGAGTTCAAGCCACCTGCCCCTCTCAGCTAATCATTAACTACTATCACTCATTGGGCTGAAGTATATCAGTTTATTGTGGAATGGGCAAGTCCATATGAAGAGGGATCCATGACAAATTTCTTAGGTAATGATGATGATATTCTGTGACTGAAATAAGTAGGATTAGCTGTAAATGAAGATCCTATAGATGGTCAGAGAGCTACCATACAATATCAACTTTAATGGAGCTGATGGAATGAAATGAAATATGGTTAATAATAAAAATATTAAGTATAAATATGTTTCTTTGCTTATTCTGAAAAAAATTTATAATTGATTGGGGTCTTTGTCACTATTTTCCACATGGTCTGTCAACTTATAGAAATAATACTTGAGTATTCTGGAGAACTGGAGAGCAGACAACATAGCCATCCACACATTACAGACATACACAATACAGAGTGAGTGACCCACTAACTCTAACTAAAGAGTAATACATGATTACCTTTTAGTAATCAAAAGGACAAAGAATCAGAAGCAGTCTATTCATTAAACTGAGAGATGCTCATGAAAATATCTAAATATCATTACTTCAAGTTGACAAACAAGGGTAGAAAATGGTCAGTCCCCTATAATTCTCATATAAAACTTGAGTCATAGTAAGAGTTTTAGATATCTATGATGAAATGAAGTCCAGATATCACTACTATGTACATGTTAAAAACTTAGAAAAATGATCTAATTATGCCTCTAGTTTCTGGACTTTTATGTGCATAAGTATTCATACTCATTAATATCTTTTATGCAGAAATAAATTCCCACTGTCTTATTTGTTTATTTGTATTATGGCACTATTCATTATTTTACCGTATAGAACATGGTTGTAACCTGAAGAATTCAATTGTTGAATACAAAGTTGCTGAGCAGATTTCTATATTAATAAATAATGATTCCTCTCTCCTGTTAAAGTAAGTAAACCACAGAGCCAAGCATCAAGATCTTTTATTTTTGTTCTTTAAGACTCTCTATTTATTTAGTGAGTAATTAAATACATTTTTATCTTGTCTCTGAGTCTGAAAAGCTTTTTTCTGTAAAACGGAGACAAAATGTTTTATTTTTACGTCCCCAGAGAGTTGAAAAATTAGTGTGACTAAAAACGGGTAGTGTCAGAAATTTTGCTTGCTGCTATGAAAAAAATAAGCAAACATCACAACGTTGTTCCGTTATAGTTTTACCAGCTACAATCTTAATGGCTACGTTGAAGCATTGTGTTGTTGACAGACAATATGACAATTTTGCACGTGTTCCTCTGTATGGCTGATTCCTGCACAAGCAGTTCCATTTGGGCTCATTGGAAAGATATTTAGATATTTCTCCTTATTGTCTGCCATTGCCTATAATAAAAGGGCATTTATTTTACATAAATTTTATAATTCTTGTGTCACTTGAATATCCTTCCTAACACATTTCCTAGCAAATAAAAATTTTCCTCCTAAAAATCATGATGTAGACCTTGTGGCTCACAGGTTTATTGATCATACACTCACTGAGTGCCTAGGAAATCCCAGCTGCATTTAAGCATGCCTTTTTTAGCGATGATGTGAGAACAAACTGATGATTTCCAATGTGTCATGCTCTTTTGTAAACATGAATATGAGATGCCGTTATCTGGGATATCCTCTTCATATCCCAGTTGATTCACCACATTCCATTCTGCTACACTATGTGCCGCCACAGTGAGATTTAAGATGTTGGTTTATAGACAATGGTTTATCCAACTTGGTGTTTTCTACCAAGTTTCTACCAAGTTGTTTTCTAAGTATTTATGACTAAGTACTTAACAGTCATCCATTGCTCTAAGAACAATATTGGATGCTGTTGCTTAGTTGAGTGAATTCTCTACATAATAACTAAAATAATTTTATTAAAACATAAATTATTTCATGCCACACCTGTGCTTAAATCATTCTGGTGGCTTCTTATTGTACTGGAAAAGATTCTAAACTTCTTGAGAGAATATGGAAAGATTCTTTTTAGCTCTCTGATATCACTCTCTTGCCACTCTCTGCCTTATAGTCTAAGCTGTAATCACACTGATCATTTACTTCCTTGAACAAGCCAAGGTCTTTCCCAGCATAGATCTTTGCACCGGCCATTTCCCCTGTCTAGAATGTCCATCACCTCTCTTATGGCTGGCTCCTTTTAATCTTAAATGTAACTTCCTCAGAGAGGCCATCCTTGACCACTAAAGCAAGTCTCTTCCATACTCTCTAACAGCACCCTGCTGTTTTATAGCATTTATCACAATCTGTAGTTAAAATTTATTTGTTCATATTTTTGTTTTCTATTTTCACTAGACCCTAAACTCCATGAAGGAAGGACTACATGTATGTCTTATTTATGGCTATAAACCTAGTATCTGGTACATAATAAGTGCTCAGTAAATATTTGTCAAATGAATGAATAGTAAGATATCCCCATTTCATTGCTCTGATGGCAGATTTTGCCTGGATACTTGAGAGTGTCAGTAACTTCACCTGTTCAAAGTCTTCTTTCTCTGTCACCAAAGTCATGTGGAAACTCACTTTATCTGCTTCACTAGTGTTTGCTAAGCTGTTTACATAAGCATCTGAGTGAATGATGCAGGCAAGGGCTGCCCAGAAATCTGAAGGTTTGTTTAGACCTTGGTTATCACTCCAACAGAAAAGCAGAAAGAGGCAGCATATGTTGTGAAAAGAGCTTGAGTTTCTGTTGATCCACTTGGATTCACATGCTGCCTTCATTGTTTTCTAGCTGAGTGACTTTGGGCATGTTATTTACTCTCCTCGAGCTTTAGTTTCTTCATGTACAAACAAGCATCATAATATCTACCTTTCAAAGTTGTGAGAATTAAGTAAATGCACAGTGCCTAGAATAATTTCCAGCACAGAGAAGATATTAATAACCATAACGATTGCTATGACTGTCAGATATTGGACCAAGGATAGTTTTATAAGTCACATAGTCTGATAAATATGGTATGTAACTTATTCTTTGCAAGGCGCTTCTTTAATTTGGAGCACCACGTATCCTAAGGACGTAGACATTTTCATTTTTCTTCTTTTCTCTCTTTTCTCCCCACTAACTTGTTTAAGGCACTCTTCATTTCTTCATTCCTAAGGGTATAGATAATGGGGTTCAGCAGGGGGGTGACTGCAGTGAAAAACACAGATACTACCTTGTCCTCTGGGAGGCTGGTGGATGGGCGGGAATAGATGAAGATGCAGTGTCCCAGGAACAGTGTAACTACAGTGAGATGGGCTGCACAGGTGGACAGGGCCTTCCGCTTGCCCTTGGAGATCTGCTGCCTCAGACTCACCAGGATGACTGCGTAGGACACCACCAGGACCACAAAACAGACCACGGAGATCAATCCACTGTTGGAGACAATGAGGATCTCAATGACGTGGGTGTCAATGCAGGCCAGCTTGATCACCTGAGGTACATCACAGAAGAAGTTGTCAATCTCATCAGGACCACAGTAGGGCAGCTTGATGGTAAGGGAGGTGAGGGCTATGGAGTGGATGGTCCCTCCTGTCCAGAGGGCCACAGCCAGCAGCACACATACCTTCCAGTTCATCACTATCATGTACTGCAGGGGTTTACAGATGGCCACATACCGATCATAGGCCATGACGGTGAGGAGGAAGATCTCTGTGCAGGCAAAGAGGTGCAGGAAGAACATCTGGGTCACACAGGCATCAAAAGAGATGAGCTTTTCCTCTGACCACACGTCTCTCAGCATCTTGGGGACAGTGACAGTGGAGTGGCAGACATCAATAAAGGACAGGTTGCTGAGGAAGAAATACATGGGAGTATGGAGCCGGTGGTCATAGATAATAGTTATGACAATGAGAACATTCCCAATCAGTGTCAGGACATAAAAAATGAGGAACATGGAAAACATAGCTATCCGTGCCTTATGATTTACAGATAAACCTCTAAGCCGAAAATATGTCACTAAAGAAGTTTGATTGAGTAGGATGGCCTCTTCCATTCTCTTTGTTAGACAACCTGTAAAGAATTAGAAAAAAAGTCTAATATAACACAGTATCTGCATCAATCATTTGGTCATTTAATTTCTTGTGTGTTTATGCCTTTTCTCTCCATCTAGAATTTATGGTAAAATATCTTGCATTTCTTTTAAAAATCCCCATTAACATCTTACATGATGATACACCCATAGTAGGTACTTAACATACACTTTTGGAATAATAAAATAGAGAATCTTCATTCATTAAGAGATATAAAACAATCTTGAAGAGGGAGAGAGAGAGGGAAAGACCAAACAAGTTATTTCTCCATTAATGTAGTAGGATATCAATGTTTAGATTTAGGTTATGGATTTTTACAGGAGAAGAAGTTAAGATTCTCTTTAACTCAAATACATAATTTGTTCAAGGCTACACAAATATGGTCCCTGAACATAGCTTTTTTTTTTAATAGTCCTGCAGACTGCACTTTTCATCAACCCAAACCACTTGCTCAGCTGTTGGCTTTGCCATGGGGCTCTGAGACTGTAATTTCCATGACATAACTTTCAGAGGGCAGAAGCTTTGTACCAAGCTACTGGACAATTGGCAACGTGGCTGTGATGTTCTTGAACAATTGTTTAGAGAAGGCAGGATAAAACCCTGGAAGCCTTGGAAAATGTGGAAGTTGACCTCTCCTCCACCCCTCAGCTGAGGGCAGACTTATTCTTAAACTGGGAGTCAAGATCCAAGCCTAATAACATTACTGTCTTGATTAGATCACTCTAGCTCTTTTCAAAGTCCCGTTCTGTTGTCTTACTGGCCCACAAGTGAAATAAAAATAGTTATTTTCTTTTAAATTAGCCTATGACTCAAGCACCACTATTTTTTAAAATAACGAGCATATGCATTATAGTCACAGGATTTTAGCCCTTAAAGGGACTTGAGAGTTGACATAATCTATTTTTTTTTCATTTTACAAATAGAGAAAATGAGGCACAGAGAGTCAAATCAACTGGTCCAAGGTTACACGGAACTGGAGTCACAGCTGGGTCTAGAGCTCAGGTCTCCCGACTCTTGGTTCAGGCTTCGTCCGCTCTACCACCACTCTCATCTGAATTTTTGTGGTAGTTGGTAGAATCAGGGAGTGAAGCAGAATATGTCTTAGTGGCCTCTCTCTTCCTCTCCTTGGTGTCCTGAGTCAGATTGTGGGGCAGGGTTAGGGGGACTATGAGGAATCTCTCTTTTCTAGCTTTCCTCCTTCATGCTGCTGCCCTGACACACACAGCCTTCCAGGGGTGGCCCACCCAAGGAAGCTGTCTCTCTTGGTTGCTTGGGCCCCATGATCCTTGCTACTTCCTTCCTATCACAAGTGACTACTGGAGATTTATATCATCCCTCAAGATCAGGCTCCCTGGCAGACTAATGAGTCAACCCCACACTGCTTGTGAAATGTGGCAAAGAAGATATTTTTGGGGCCAGAGAAGTCCTTCAGTTAACACTTAAAAATTAAACTCACTGTGTCCAGTGTTTGGATTAATATTTACAGCAGCATCTAAATGTAGCTATTGATTGATTTTACTGTTTAGAAATTTTTCTTCGAGTATTCGTTTGAAGCTTTTGCTCCAAGAAGTGATTTTAAGTGTTACTGATTTACACTTGTTTTCATGGTCGCAAAATTCAAAGCCGAAGAGCTGACCAAGAATGGGGCTAGGATTTTATTCAGTATGGGAAATTTCACCTGCACAGACTGAAGAGGGTGTGCAGACCAAGAACTAGGTCTGAAATGAAGGCTTCTGTTCTCCCCTCATAGAATATGGATATACATTTTAAACTAAACTTTTTCCATAATTATCATTTTTTTCTATTTCTGTGGAGCCACAGGAAAAAAATGCTTTGCAAAATGGAGATGTGTTCAACTGCAGTAGAAAGAATATGGTGCACAAGAAGAAAACCTAGTGTTTTTTGCATACATTTCAAGGAAATGGGGAAAGATGATTAAGAACAGATATAAAATCCAACTAAAATATCTATAAAAGTCACCTGGGTTGTTTCTGATGCTCTTAGTACCTCCAAAAGTAACAGAAGTGTCAGTCCTGCACTTTCAATATCAAGACTTTTATCTTCCAGTAGAAATAACAACTTATTTGAAGTTGGACTAGTCAGATAACCCCATTTACCTTGCTTTCTCCAATAAGAAAGGTGAGAGCCCTTGAAGTTCCCTCCTTAGGTCTTGTTCACAGTTTTGGTGATGTCACAGTAGATGTATTTGGCGATATTTTCTGGTAAAAGGTACTATTTCAGGCTGTCTGTAAAAATCACACCTTTGTAGCTATATTATTATCATATTTTTCAATATGTCAAAATATGTAATTCTGCACCAAGATTTTCTAGGATTGGTTTCCAGTTAACAGAAAATGTAGTACAGAAATAATATATATGTTTTCACTTTTCCAGATTGTAGTGGTGAGTAGAGGAGATTAAAAGCCACAGTCAAGCCCGGGCAACATGGCGAAACCCCGTCTCTACAAAAAATACAAAAAATTAGCTGGGCATGTTGGCTTATACCTGTGGTTCCAGCTGCTCAGGAGGCTGAGGCAGGAGGATTTCTTGAACCCAGGAGGTCAAGGCTGCAGTGAGCCGTGATTTTACCACTGCACTCCATCCTGAGCAACACAACGACCCTGTCCAAAAAAAAAAAAAAAAAAAAAGAGTCAGCCACTTTTGCAGGCCCTTCAGGTTTATTAGGACACTTCTAACACAAAACTTGATCTAATTATTCAGAAAACCAGTGCGGCAGAAGCATCCTATTTCCTTTGCAGCACACTGTTTAGGTGCAAGTTTTGTATTGCCAGTTTCAGGTGGATTATTCCACCTTCAAGTACTGAAGGGGAATCTGTAGAGAAAGAAGCGCTGGCAGCTGTAGTGTTGGTGTTGTTCTACCTACATTATATAGGCTTTATGTCCTTGGGAACTTTTAAGCAATGACATCAGCTTGCCCTACTCACTAGTTAAGAAAAGTTAATTCTGTGGGGAATGAAGTTACAGACTTTGCAATAATCACCAAGAGAATTAAATGAGAAAAGCAGTACTTAAATACCTAAATCTTTAGGATGTATTTATATATGGTTAGATTAACTACTATTTAGTGATTGCCTACTATGTGCTAAGTATTAGGTAATAGGCTTTCATGTTTTCTTATTTAACTCATATAAAAATACAGAGATGAGAGAAGGGTAATGAAGTTAAGATTTTTTTTTTTTTTTGAGATGGAGTCTCACTCTGTCACCCAGGCTAGAGTACAGTGGCGCGATCTCTGCTCACTGCAGGCGCCGTTCCCCAGGTTTACGCCATTCTCCTGCCTCAGCCTCCTGTGTAGCTGGGACTACGGGTGCCTGCTACCTTGCCCGGCTAATTTTTTTTGTATTTTTAGTAGAGACGGGGTTTCACCGTGTTAGCCAGGATGGTCTTGATCTCCTGACCTCGTGATCCGCCTGCCTCGGCCTTCCAAAGTGCTGGAATTACAGGCATGAGCTACTGCGCCCAGCCGAGGTTAAGATTTTAGTCAGCTTTCTGACAGAGAGATTAAGTGCTTTGACTCTAGAGCAGATTGGGTGCAAATTCCAATGTCCTACACGTGCTAATTGGAGCAAGTTATTTAGCTTCTCTGGTCCTTAGATTTCCCATCCGTAAGCTTGAATAGTAATAGTAAAACTTTTTAGAACTCTTGAAATATTTGTAAAGCATGTAGCTCTTAGCATATTAATATAATTATGTTAAATGCAATTCAAACAAACAAAAAAACAGCCGACCATCACTACCAGTCAACATTTTTGGCTTCATTTTTTCATTATTTTGGATAACAGTGAAAATTTAGAACCTCTTGTTCCAATTTTCTTTTTGCTTTCTCTCTTTAGATAGATGAGCTTGGTGGTTTAAATTGGTGAAACAAGACTCCAAAGGAGAGGTATGAAGATTATACTTTCAGTTTGAATTTCAAGACTGAATAGTTTTGTGGGATGGTTAGGATATCTTAAATAAAGGGTATGGAGCATAAAATAAATCTTATAGCCAACTCTCCATGTGACAGTGAGTAGAAGAGAAGATGGTAATAAGAGTGAACATATCAGAAGTTACAGAAAATGCTTTCTCCTAAGGCCTTGTGGCTTGGGCTTCTTTTCCCTAGTTTTCTTGTTTGATTCATTATCACTGATCAAAGTCCAGACTTGGCTGTAATGAAGAAGGTGTAGCTTCCAGAACTTTACAGATATTGCCACTTGGTCACTGTGGGACTTCTATTGTCATTGTAATAGCCTTGGAAATCAGGGGACACATTAAGAACAGGGATATGCTGGCCATACTAATTATCTGTTAAAACAAATGAAATATGGCCTGAGAAGGACTCTGTACTTGAGTCCTTGTGGATGACCTGTAACCTAGCTTAATAGGCAGACAAGATTGAAAACCTAACTTAGGAGTATGCACCTGTAACAGTAGCTGAGTTTTGGCCAATCCCAGCAGCCATACTTCAACCACTCATAGTCTGCTAAGTGTTCAAACTGTGTTCAAATAAGGCAAATGTCAACCTGGTGCACCAATCCAGCTGTTTCTATACCTCACTTCTGATTTCTGTACTTCATTTCCCCTTTTCTTTTGTCTGTAAATCTTCTTCCACCATGTGGCTGTGCTGGAGTCTCTCTGAATCTTGCTTTGATTCTGGGGGCTGCCTGATTTGCGAATGATACTTTGCTCAATTAAACTTCTTTAAATTTAATTTGGCTGAAGCTTTTCTTTTAACAAATGGTGTCAGAAGTGGGATCTGAAGTAGACCTTCTAACAACCTCCAAAATTGCTGAGTCAACAAGCAAGTTACCTGATGAACGTATTTGTGTCCTTTGATGTCTCAGAATGGCTGGGGATTGTGGTAAGTTCTCTCTCAGATTTCGGAGCTCCACAGATTTATGTTTTGAGCTCTCCAGGTTTCTTTGAGCAAATTTCTGATCCAAACTGGGTTTGAAAGTCATGACAGAAACTGGACGGGTTGAGGATCAAATTTGATCTGGTAATTAACTAGCTTGGATCCAGTTAGAAGCCTCTTACCTCTGACTGGGTCAGAAAGAAACTGGTAGTAAGAGGTAATATTGCAGGGGTTATAAAATTTTGCTTTTAAAAATTCACAAGGATTTTTGTGTTCTACTCCTTTGTTTCATTTTTCTTGCACACTTAGGTAGGAAAGATCATTGGCTAAGTTAATCAATGGAACCTAGAGCCACGCCAATATTTTAGGTAAAAATGGGATTCTCAGTTTCTGAAAAACTGAGTTCCTTCTAGCTTATACATTATACATACATTATACATACATATACATTCCTTCCAACTTATACATTAGGCCTGGGAAGCAGCAAAGTCTTAGAGAAATGGTGAAATCTTACTAAAGATAATTTACAGTGGAATGTTCTGAATAAACAACAACATAGAAGTGTATTTAAAAATAAGGGCTCCTCCACGTGGCTCAGGCCTGTAATCCCAGCACTTTGGGAGGCCCAGGCGGGCGGATCACGAGGTCAGGAGATCAAGACCAGGGTGAAACCCCGTCTCTACTAAAAATACAAAAAATTAGCCGGGCGCAGTGGCGGGCGCATGTAGTCCCAGCTACTCGGGAGGCTGAGGCAGGAGAATCGCATGAACCCGGGAGGCGGAGCTTGCCCTCAGCCGAGATCGCACCACTGCACTCCAGCCCAGGCGACAGAGTAAGACTCTGTCTCAAAAAAAAACAAAAAAAAAACAAAAAAAGGGCTCCTCAAAATTAAATCTGCTAACTGTTTAGTTTAGTTACTATCCTGATCCAAAGGAAACAGACTGCAGCACCAATTGGCTGACTTTGGGTAAGTAGTGGGGTACATTTTACCTGAGTAAAGGATGGGATTGCATTGGAGGCCCTCCCCTCAGTAAAGTCCCTCTTGGTTAAAAATGGATTAAAGATGACAGGGCTCAACCAGGGGCAAGTTTGAGCCTTGCCAGTTCAATACTGCATGCTAAGCAGAGTGGCTAATGTCTATGTTTTGTCACATGTATTTTGCTCTGTCCAGAATGCCAAATGTTAATTTCATTACCCTATGCAACCCCTTGGGTGGCATCCTGCAACAGTGAGAAAATTTTGCCTGTGGTTCCATGATTTTTTGTGTATGTGGTTGGCTCCCTGGCACTATAGTATGTTTCAGGGAAGGGGAACCCAGGAACCTAACACGCTGGCAAAAGTGTAAGAATTTCTTACCAGTCAGGTTTCTGGCCTCTCTTTCCCTGTGCTTCTCTTTCCTTGTGCAAACTGGGAAAGTTCTGGCCTCTCTTTCCCTGTGTAAACTGGTTAAATGAATGGTAAAAAATCACTGTTTATCTTCTGCAAAGTTTTGATTAATGGAAAAAAGTATTTATGAGGTTAGTCTTAAGCTGTAGCGAATCTGGTATGTTTATGCATCTTCTGTATCATTCTTTCATAAAGAGGGGTACCATAGGATTGAACATGGGCTTTAAACCCCATAAGCCCACTGCTCAAGATGGCCCAGCAAGCTGGTCAGTAACAAACTTTGCTGCAGGATCCTGAAACAAACAAAAAAACTGGATAAGGTCTCCATATTGTTTTATGTCTTTGGGAGCTTGACCTTGTGACCATATGGTGGTACTTTCTCTTGCTCTCTGCCTTCCAGGGAAAAGGAATTTTAGGGTTCATGTCATAGTTACCTCTAAAAATTATCTTGAGTAGTTAAAAGCCTTTGCAAGCTCAAAATTAACTACTCTAGACTCCTTCTGGGATGGGCAGTGGAGACTTCCCAGTGCTGTAGCTCAGTAGCTAAGATTTTGTTCTTTCACAGTGGTGGCTTGGATTCAATCCTGGCTTAGGAAATGCATACTTTCTGGTTGATATCTGTGTGACCTTTATCATTTGTTAATTCTCTTCCTCTCCATGAACAACTTCTGACTTCCCTTCTTGAATTTTCCTTTCTTTGAGCTACCTTTGAAGATTCTAGATTTTGTAAAAACTGCATGTTTTCCTAGCCCTGTTTCTTGAAGGGCTCTGCCCTAAGGCCAGAATTAAGAAACTGGCAAATAAAACATCTAATAACTACTGGATCTTCTTCTGTCTGTGTATTTATGTATGTGTTGTGTGTATGATGTTTATATAAAAGATCTCTAATTAATTGGCATAAAAATAAGCTCTTAAATCAAATATTTTGAAAGAAAGATAAAAATCCTAATGTCTTTTAGCTCATGTAACTTTAGTAATCTTTGGGAAATAAAAACAGCTTTAAAGATTATTGGTAAAATAAAGACATTTGGTCTAAATTAGGCAGGTCAGATATTAGGTTTATTAAATGCTTTAAGGTCATGAACTGTTTTGACTTTTGAAAATTGTTCAATTTACCTACCTTGAAGACACTAGATTCTAGATAAGCCCTGGGGACATGTGGAATTAGCAATGCCCCTTAGCCATGCAAAGAAGGTTATAAAGAAAAGATATTTTTATATAAGAAAGAATACTGTATGTTAAATTCTTATCCTAAAGTAAAATAATGGTTATTTAAAAAGAGAGATGTTTAGGACAAGTCAGAAAGTCCAAGCACACTGTAGATGAAAGTCTGTGTAAGTCATGAAAGGATTCGTGAAAGGAAATCTGTGCACCAAAAGCAAAAGTTGCTGAGTTACCATTATAAGATGTGATTGAGATTACTGAAAAAAATAGTTTTACGTGCAGGGTATGTGAGGATAGTAAAATGTGTTTTTGGCAAAAGATTATAAGAAGGCATGGGAATGTAAATTTTTGCCTAGTTTAGAGGGTTAAAGGATTGTTTTAAATTATGTTAGAATAAGCTAAAAGCTTGAACAAGGTGTAGAAGGGTTGTAAAAATTAATCTTGTAAAAGAAATTCTGTGTGTGAACATATTGACTAAATTTAAAAGGGGATTATTTGTTTTTTCTGTAAATTGAACATCAAAATAAAAGCACAAACAGGGGTTTCTTAAAGCACTCATCTGCTCTTTAACAAAAATTTGTAAAGGGTTATAAAAGGTTTATCGGAATCTCACCTTATGGTCAAACTGATGAAGACTGGTTAGATTTGTCTATAGACAAATAGACAATAGATAGATTATAATCTATCCAAATTATATATAATTTGTTTTATTAAGAATTGGGTTTGACATTAATAATATACTAATGCAAGGGTAAAATTTGGCTTTCTCTCTTGAACAAGATTTTCATGTAATATTAAAGGATAATGAAAGATTTTTCTTTGCCTTTTGAGTAAACTACTGAAAAAACGGAAAGACAACAGACCAATTGGAAAGCTAAGTCTGTCCTTTATCAATGAGTAAAGGTTTTTGTCTTTTGAAAACTTCGAGTCATCATTTTGGCTAAATGAATGACTTATGGTAATCTGGAATACTAGTTCATAATATTAAGTGTTTTAAACCTTTAACATATTTAATAGGCTTCTCAAAATCAAATTTCAGCTTCAAAATTGTCTTTTCTGACCTCTAATTTTGAGATGATACAGAGGGCTCTTGAAGCATCTAAAAGAGAGATAAACAGGATTATTTGACATGTTTAGTTACATGGGATCGTCAAAATAAAAACAATGTTTAATCTTCTTCAGGTTATATTTTCATGAATAATAATAATATATTCCAAAATTTTATGCATTTCTAAAATTCTGATATGTCTGAGTATATGCTATCAATCATAATTATGGTTATTGTTATTATAGATCACAGAAATAACCACATTTCCTTGTCTGTTCTGTCTTTACAGCTATTTAAAGTCACTTCCACAGGTAATTGCATAATGCTGATGCAATTTCTAAAAATTTCACAAGCACATAAAATCCTAAAATATGATGTCTTTTAGGAGATTCATGAAAGGATGGAAAGGACCCTGAAAAGTGCTCTTGAATATAGGTTTCTAATAACTTTAAAATCACATCGTGGGTAAAATTCCCCAATTTCCCCAGAATTGGACCGGGTAAGAATTCCTGAAACTTTAATAAAAAGACTGATTGGTTTATAAAACTGCTTACCCCAGTAGAACAAAAATTAATTAAATACCGAGAAAATACTTTGCCAGGTTTTCATGCTAACTCAGCCAATATTAAAATTGTTGAGACATACAATTTGAATGAACTCCATGCTCTAACTGAAATTACCTATGACAACCCGTCAGTTATCAGTGTTATGCACCTAAGTCAGAGAAACAACTGGTATTCAAGAGGACATAAGTCTAGTGTTAAGCATGGACTCATGGAGAACCAGGAAGGCTGCCTTGTCCTTCCTGAGTCCTTAAAGCTTTTGTTATTAAAGGTTCTGCATTTCATGACTCATCATGGAAAAGATAAAATTATCCACATTACATGCATACTGGTGTGGTGACTTATACATTGCTAAATTAGTTTGTAACCAGTATTTGGTTTGTTAAATCCATATTCTTGGGAAGACAACCAAAGCTTCAGGTACACTTGGCTACCCGATGGGCCATTTAAACATTTATAAAGGGATTTCATTCAATTGCCATTTTCAACGCATGTTTTCTGTTTGTATAAAAGCTTTCCCATGCAAGAGGGCTGATGTTATAACAGTAGATTATTACGCTACAGTGTATTTTCACCTGGTAAAGAAAGGTTTTTATGATTCCCTGAGGACAATCAGCCCCTACACAATCTAGAACCCAAAGATTGGATCTTCTGAGAACATCAGAGAAAGACTGTCCTTGACATCCACACTATAGCAAAACTTTGGAACTTTGAACTTTGGGTTCGTAATCTCACAACTGAGAAGGGTCCCTCCACACTCTTGGAACTGTACATCCATTGGAACCCTTAAGGTAAAGCTAACCAGGGAAATTTCTCCCCAGAAGAAGATGCCATCCTTGATATAAACAGCTTTTCCCAAGATCACAGATCAAGACTTCTACTATTATGAGACTCTTATCTTTGAATACTTTTTCCTTGTTTATGCCTCTGTGAACAATAGAAATGGAAAGGGGGTCTGTTGTGTGCACTTATATGGTATACTTTTATTCATAAATGATTTTGCAGCCAGCCTTACACATGAATAACCTTATACCTTTACAGATAAAAAAATGAAAGCCCATTGTAGTTGAGAAACTTTAAAGGTAGAAATATTGCCATGTAATCAGTCAGAAACAGAACATGGATTCACTCCTCTTAACCCACATCGTGGGCTAAAGAGAATGTTGCTAGGAGGTCTTCACTCTTCCCAAAGGCATCATTTGTTAGGTCATTTTTCTGTGGTTTGAAGTAAAAGAGGCAATGATTAGAAATGTATCCCTCATGATAGGCACTATAGCAGATTCTACTGCAAAGACTATGCTTACACAACAGACTTTAAAGTCTCTTGTGACAGTTATGCTAAACAGTAGAATTGGCTAAACAGAGAAGAATCTGTGCAGTGCTAGCACTTGTGGCCTAGGAAGAAATACATTGGGTATTATAGAGATTCAGTTGTAGGGGATTAACAAAAAGATCACTTAGTTAAGCAAGTGGACTCTTTATCTAGCTCATTCTTTGATCTATTTGATTTTAGGTGGTTTGGTTTATGGGGAACCTGGGTAAGGAGCATACTCCAAACTCTTGGTATTATCCTCCCAATAGTTACCACAGTAGTCTCTCTGGTGCACTATATTCTCTTGAAGGTTTTAAATGTTTGCATGCAGCCATCTCTAGAATGTCAAATGGTCTCTCTTCAACTGGAATGACAAAAGCTGAAGTAAACATGTGACCATGAGGACACCGTAAACTATGAAGGACATGCTGATACCAGAAACCCAAAATGATGGTAACTGAGAGTGGCACTAAGGCCTTAAGTTTGGTTACGCTCTCACCTAAGTGAGAACCTGGCCAAAAAGGGGGAATTTTTTAGAACAAAATTATGGGAGGCCATTGTATTGGACTAAGATCATGCACTAGACCCCAACAGACCAAACCAAACCAAAACGGAGTTGCTTATGCTAAATTTGACGTAATGAAACTAAGACTTTAAGGAAACACATAAATTCTAGAACAGACCAGGTTTTGTTTTTCTCCTGAAAACAGAATATTTCAGCATAGGGAGGTACCCACTCAGTCCTTATTCTCTCCTTGGAAAACTCATTCTTCTACTGTTTCCCAGCGGGTTTGAAGACCAAATAAGTACATTTATGATGGTGATCATGACATTAATGACTAAAGTTTTGGTCAATCTCTCAAAATTGAGAAAATGACCAAAAGTGGGGAATTGTTAAAGCAAGCTAAATATAGCCTGAGAAAGACTACATACTTCTATATTTGAGTTTTGTGGATGAACTGTAACCTAGCTTAATTGAAAACCTTGCTTAGGAGTATGTGCCTGTAACAATAGCTGAGTCTTGGCCAATCCCAGTGGCCATACTTCAACCACTCAAAGACTGCAAAGTGTTCAAACTCTGTTCAAATAAGGCAAATGCCAACCTGTAACCAATCTAACTGTTTCTATACCTCACTCCTGACTTATGTACTTCATTTTCTTTTTTTTTTTCATCTATAAATCTTCTTCCACCACAAGGCTGCACTGGAGTCTGTCTGAATCTGCTGTGATTCTGGGGGCTGCCCAATTTGTGAATCACTCATTTCTCAATTAAACTCCTTTGGCTGAAATTTTTCTTTTAACACCTCTGTACTTTTGGAATAGAAGTACTTTATCATAGGCATGATATATCAAGGGCAATACAGAAAATGATATTCAGTTGATCGTAAGGCAATTACTCTCACCACTTTTTTAGTAAAATGCAAGATTGAGAATTAATCTTTGACTGTCTTATATCACAGTTCCCTGCTTTCCCCCAAGCCCTTGGTGGCCTTTCTCCTTGGCCCATGACTTTTTTCTGACTATACACAGATGGCCTCTGAGGTGTCCCACTAAGGCTTTTCCTCCCTGAAAGTATGTCCCTCTTATTCCAAAATGTATTCCACAGAATAAATGAAAACAGTGGTTTACACTTGCATAGCACTTTAGAGTTTACAAAGCTCCTTCTCACTCATTATTTTATTTGCTTTTTATAACACTCCTGTGAGGTAGGGAGCACTATGGAAAAATTGGATTGGTGTTAAGTGATTTTCACAGAGTTTACATGCCAGGTTAGCTCCCGAACCAGGGCTTAAACTCAGTCTTCTGGTGCCAAGTCCAGTGTTTACTCCATTACTTCACTTGGATGCTGCATATTATAAAGGAGAAATAGCTTCAAGATATGAATGATTGGTTAACCTCACCTTCTATGGAAGATGCACACTTAAAAGAATTGCTTGTTAAATCATATAGAAATTTTTCATTGGTGTAGGAGAGAGAGCAGTTTTTTAATTATTAACTGACATTTTCCTTCTTCCCATTCTACTCTTTCCATTCCAAAAGATCAGTGATATGGTCTTCACTGCTGAAAGGTCACTGACTCACTACTAAAAGTAATCAATCAGCAGCCAATAACCTAGGATGTGTACAATATCATACTTACTGTAGTATGAGATAAAAAGGCTCATAAGAGTAATGATCCTTTCCTATGAGGAATTTATAACACAGTGAATTAAGATGACATTTATTTTAGGAGTTGAAGGAAACCCCTTGAAAAAAACTTTGGGGTGATATCTGTAAACGCAATATGAATTAAATGTGTTGTGACCTTCCGTCTGAGCCCTTCCATCCCCCACAGAAGAAGGTAAGAAATCAACAGAGCTTGCATGCCCCTGGTGGGACCATCATTCTGTTTTTCACAATAAACTGCTGAAACCAGACCTTAAGAGGAAGCTACAATTAGATCTCATCACCTACCCACCTGCTTTCAAAAGAGACCAATCAGGTTAATTCCCTCAAGCTATGTATGCCTGTTTATTCCAGTGTTCACAACATCTTTGAACCTTCAGATCACCCTTATGGACTCTTATGTCCATAAAGCTTGGTACTTTCTGTAGTCTAACTTTTATCCTTTTCAGACCCTGCACACACTCTTCATTATGTACTCTGGCTAGCATTTTGCAAGCAGAATCCCTTATGACCTCCACTGTTTTTTTTTTTTTTTTGCACATTACCTTTATATTACTGCAGTCCTGTTAAGCAGTGCAGGGTTTTTCTGCTATGCTGGGTCTCAAGTTTTGGTAAGTGCCATTTTTGTTTTTTCAAAACCATGCTGATTCAGATAATTTCTCTTTCTTCCTTTGTAGAAATTTCTATGCTTCGAAGAAAATTTTAACAGACTGTTCCAACTGCAACCCTTTCTTGTTTTATCTTCAATGATCCTCTCAGCCACTCACCCTCCCTCCTCAAATATTTTGCCAATTATAATCATCTGCACAGATGACCATTCAATACTTTGGCCTCAGTTATTTAGCCTCTTCTACAGTAATTTCACCCTCCAACCCTAACTCAGCCATTCCCATGAACATGCTCCTGAATTTTCAGTATCAATAACAGCAACCCATCCATGCTGTTTCAAGTATTCTACTTTCTGATCACCAACTTTTAACCTTTCCTGTTCATTCCTTCTAGTACTCCCAATTATACATTTTTTCAAACCTGCCAGAAACACCAATCCATTGATCCTATCATCCTCTCACTATCCTTTATTCCTCTCAGATTGTTACTCCTTCCTTATCCAACTTAAACTCCAAGGTGTAAGTTTATAATAATACCTTTGCATACACCTTCTACTCATTTGTTCATCTGCCCCATCCACTGGAGGTTTTTCCAGGAATTATGTTCAATGCAATGCCCATTTTTGGGGTATGCCTGAGCTGATGAAGGAAAACACACAACAAGATAGAAGGTCTTACAATTGTGACCACAACCTCAAATAGGCAGTTCTGCATTTTCTGTAGTCAATTTACATTTTTACTCTCCGTGGTAATTGTTTTATACAGAGTTTACTCAAATCTTTAGCAAATCCTTCTAACTTTTAGATTCAGCTAAAGAACCGCTTACTATTTTAATAAAAAAAGTAATCAGAAGAGAAGTTTTACCCCATCCCACTGCTAACTACATCCACCAGTCTGCATCTGAAACTGCAAACTCTGCCTATTCTTATAATGGGCATTCTGCTCTATCTAAGGCCAACCCCTCCATTTGTACCCGGGATCCCAGCCTTTCTTGCCTCTCAAGGACTTTGCTCGAGCAACTGTGTCTCTAGCATCATCACATTTCGGTCACTGTTGAAGCATTCCCATCAGCACACAAATATGCTGTAATAATTTCAATATTAAAAAAAATTCCTTGACATCACATTTTTCTTCAACGGGCCACCTATTTTCTCTGCTTTTCTTTATAGCTGCATTCCTTGACAGAATTACCTATACTAATAGTTTCCACTTCATCTGCTACCATTTGTTTATTGAACCTACTCTGATCTGACTTTGTGTCTCAATGACTCCGCTAGAATAGTTCTCACCTAGATCACCAGTGACATCCATACTTCCAAATTCAATGGGCAGTTCTTGGTCCTTGTCTCATTTGACCTTTCAGCATCATTTAACATGGTCAACTTTTTTTTTGTTTAAATTTTTATTTTTTAAATTAAATTAAAAAAATTTTTTTTTTTTTTAGGCTGGGTGTGGTGGCTCATGCCTGTAATCCCAGCACTTTGGGAGGCAGAGGCAGGTGGATCACCTGAGGTCAGGAGTTCGAGAACAGCCTGGCCAACATGGCAAAACCCTGTATCTACTAAAAATACAAAAATTAGCCAGGCATAGTGGTGCATGCCTGTAGTCCTAGCTACTTGGGAGGCTGAGGCAGGAGAATCGCTTGAACCCGGGAGGCAGAGGTTGCAGTGAGCCGAGCTAGTGCCATTGCACTCCAGCTGGGGTGACAGAGTGAGACTCTGTCTCAAAAAAAAAGAGAACAGATTTTTTTTAGAGTCAGGGTCTTGCTCTATTGCCTAAGCTGGAGTGGTGTGCTGCCTTTGCCTCTCTAGAAGGTAGGACTATAGTTGTGCATGACCACGCCCAGCTGATTAATTTTTTTTTTGTAGAGATAAGGGTCGCACTAGGGACTACTGGAGATAGCCACCATGCCTGGCTCTTTCTCTTTTTTGAAAGAGGACACTTCACTCTCCTATTCCCCCTGCCCCAATTTCCTGGTTGCTCCCTTAAACTCTCCTTTATAGTACCCTCTTTCTCTTCATGACCTCTAAATGAAATGCCTCAAGGATCAGTCCTCAGATTTTTCTTTTCTCTGTTTATGCTTTCTAAGTGAACCCATCCAAGCTAATTATTTTAATGCCATCTTTGTGCTGATCGCCGGAATTTTTATCTATAGCCCTAACTTCTCTGAGCCATAGTTTTGTATATTCTTTTGTGGCCTACTTAACGTCTCTACTTGGATTTCTAAAGAGTATCCAAAGTTTAAAAGCAATCTAAAACAAAACTCTTCTTTGCATGCTATCTGAAAGTGATAACTCCATTGTCCTCCCCATTTTTGTAACAGCATTACCATTCATCCAACTACTAAACAAGACATTCTGAATTCATCTTTATCTTCTCTCTGGTATCCCACAGTCAGCCATTCATCAGCAAATACAAATAGCTCTGCACTTAAAGTATATTCTGAACCTCACCACTTCTCAGCCATAATCAAAGGCACCATTATCGCACTTTGACTACTGCAACAGCTTCTTATCTATTTCTCTATTTCAACTCTTGCCTTCCTCTTAGATCCTGCTCTCCAATCAGCAATCTGATTCATTCTTCAGAATGAATCATGTGTCTGTTTGTACTCAAAAGTAATCACTTCCCTCTATCCTTTCTTGTTCATTAAACTCTAACCACACTGAATTCCTTGTGTTTCTTGAGCACACTAAACATCCTCTCCTCGCATGACCTTTGAACTAACTATTCCCTTTGTCTAGAATAGTTTTTCACCTTATAGTACCTGGTTCTCTGCTTCATTTTCTTCAGGTCTTTGGTGCAATGTCACCACTTGAGAGAGGACTTCTTTGAGAGAGGTTGCCAAAAAGAACACTCCAAATCTAATTCTGCTGTCAATGACCTCCAACCAATCACAATTAGAAGCAAACCTGTAGTCAAACTAAGTTGGGTTTGTTGACTCCTTGTAATGAGGGAGACCATGGAAGTTCCAGTAAGTAAGAGGATTTTAGAAAGAACATATAGGGTTTGGGTTTTTGTTAGGTGATAATGGGAAAGGTTCAAGGAAGCAGGCTTTTCTTTCAAATGACTATTGTTAGGAAGTAAGAGTAATTCTATAGTTGGATATCTTGATAATTCTCCTCTAGAAGGCAGTAAGAATGCAGAAAATGAAAATTTTAATGGGTTAAAAAAGCAACGATCACTCATATAACCGGGATAGGGAACTATTTGGTTATTTTTATGGTTTGGACATGGTCTTCTTTTTGTCTGTGTTAAGACATGAATATGGAATAGTCTTATTTTTGAAAATGGAATAGTCTTGCTCCATTATGGTACTGAGTAGTCTTGTCAGATATTGGTGTTCAGAGAAGCTGTTTAGTAGGAGATCATCAAGTCCTAACTATGAGTGCTGGACTAGCTCCTAGCCACACCAAGGCCTATGTGATAGTGCCAGGCCATTTTCTAGTTATCAGGGGTAGCTTTTCTCCTTCATAGTCCTCTCTTTTGGCTGAAAGCAGACTAGGACAGGCCACAGGACATTAATCTATAATATCCATACAGTGTTTTCATCATTGTCAAAACTATGTCGGTTAGGAGGTTGTCTAGAGAATGTTGTCTGTAGTGGGACTAGGATTGGTCTCTCTGTTCTTTTTGCTGCAAAACAAATTGTTGAATCCCTTTGACATGACAATAAATTTGAGGTAGCATTTAAGAATATGGAAAGTGTACATTAGCTATATTAACTGCAGTGCAGGCAATTACCAGTAACACAATGGTTATTAGTTCTTCTTTTTTTTTTTTTATTATGCTTTAAGTTCTGGGATACATGTGCAGAACGTGCAGGTTTGTTACATAGGTGTACACGTGCCATGGTGATTTGCTGCACCCATCAACCCGTCATCTACATTAGGTATTTCCCCTAATGCTATCCCTTCCCTAAACCGCCAACCCCTGAGAGGCCCCAGTGTGTGATGTTCCCCCCGCTGTGTCCATGTGTTTTCATTGTTCACCTCCCACTTATGAGTGAGAACATGCAGTGTTTGGTTTCTGTTCCTGTGTTAGTTTGCTGAGAATGATGGTTTCCAGCTTCATCCATGTCCCTGCAAAGCACATTAACTCGTCCTTTTTTATGGCTGCATAGTATTCCATGGTGTATATGTACCACATTTTCCTTATCCAGTTTATCACTGATGGGCATTTGGGTTGGTTCCAAGTCTTTGCTATTGACCAGTGCTGCAATAAACATATGTGTGCATGTGTCTTTATAGTAGAATGATTTATAATCCTTTGGGTATATACCCAGTAATGGGATTGCTGGGTCAAATGGTATTTCTGGTGCTAGATCCTTGATGAATTGCCACACTGTCTTCCACAATGGTTGAACTAATTTACGCTCCCACCAACAGTGTAAAAGCATTTCTGTTTCTCCACATCCTCTCCAGCATCTGTTGTTTCCTGACTTTTTAATGGTTGTCATTCTAACTGGCGTGAGATGGTATCTCATTTTAGTTTTGATTTGCATTACCCTAATGACCAGTGATGATGAGGTTTTTTTCATATGTTTCTTGGCTACATAAATGTCTTCTTTTGAGAAGTGTCTGTTCATATTCTTTGCCTGCTTTTTGATGGGATTGTTTTTTTTTCTTGTAAATTTGTTGAAGTTCTTTGTAGATTTATTAGCCCTTTGTCAGACGGATAGATTGCAAAAATTTTCTCCCATTCTGTAGGTTGCCTGTTCACTCTGATGATAGTTTCTTTAGTGGCGCAGAAGCTCTTTAGTTTAATTAAATCCTATTTGTCAATTTTGCCTTTTGTTGCCATTGCTTTTGGTGTTTTAGTCATGAAGTCTTTGTCCATGCCTATGTCTTGAATGGTATTGCCCAGGTTTTCTTCTAGGGTTTTTATGTTTTTAGGTCTTACGTTTAAGTCTTTAATCCATCTTGAGTTAATTTTTGTATAAGATGTAAGGAAGGGGTCCAGTTTTACTTTTCCGTATATAGCTAGCCAGTTTTCCCAACATCATTTATTAAACAGGGAGTCCTTTCTCCATTGCTTGTTTTTTGTCAGATTTGTTAAAGATCAGATGGTTGTAGATGTGTGGTGTTATTTCTGAGGCCTCTGTTCTGTTCCATTGGTCTATATATCTGTTTTGGTGCCAGTACCATGCTGTTTTGGTTACTGTAGCCTTGTAGTATAATTTGAAATCAGGTAGCATGATGCCTCCAGCTTTGTTCTTTTTGCTTAGGATTGTCTTGGCTATAGAGGTTCTTTTTTTGGTTCCATATGAAATTTAAAGTAGTTTTTTCTAATTCTGTGAAGAAAGTCAGTGATAGCTTGATGAGGATAGCATTGAATCTATAAATTACTTTGGGCAGTATGGCCATTTTCACTATATTGATTCTTCCTATCCATGAACATGAAATGTTTTTCCATTTGTTTGTGTCCTCTCTTATTTCCTTGAGCAGTGGTTTGTAGTTCTCCTTGAAGAGGTCCTTCACGTCCCTTGTAAGTTGTGTTCTTAGGTATTTCATTCTCTTTGTAGCAGTTGTGAATAGGAGTTCACTCATGATTTGGCTATTATTAGTGTATAGGAATGCTTGTGATTTTTGCACCTTGATTTTGTATCCTGAGACTTTGCTGAAGTTGCTTCTCAGCTTAAGGAGATTTTGGGCTGAGACGATGGGGTTTTCTAAATATAAAATCATGTCATCTGCAAACAGAGACAATTTGACTTCCTCTCTTCCTATTTGAATACCCTTTATTTCTTTCTCTTGCCTGATTTCCCTGGCCAGAACTTCCAATACTATGTTGAACAGGAGTGGTGAGAGAGGGCATCCCTGTCTTGTGCCGGTTTTCAAAGGGAATGTTTCCAGTTTTTGCCTATTCAGTATGATATTGGCTGTGGGTTTGTCATAAAGAGCTCTTATTATTTTGAGGTACGTTCCATCAATACCTAGCGAGATCAACGCAGAAGGCGAGTGATTTCTGCATTTCCAGCTGAGGTACCCAGCTCATCTCCTTGGGACTGGTTAGACAGTGGGGGCAGCCCACAGAGGGCAAGCTGAAGCAGGGTGGGGTGTGTCACCCGGGAAGCGTAAGGGGTCGGGGAACTCCCTCCCCTAGCCAAGGGAAGCCGTGAGGGACCGTGCAGTTAGGAACGGTGCCCAGATACTAGGCTTTTTCCAAAACCAGCAGGATGAAGATAGGGAAGATTATCTTGATGCATCTTTTAGTTAGGTAATAAAGGAGGTTAGATTAGTGGCAGATCAAAATGAAAGAAAGAGGGCTGAGAAATCAGAAAATTAATCTTGTTTTGTGGTCTTGGGTGAAAGCTATCCACTTCTGTAGTCATCAGCTTGTAGAGAATTTTTAAGAATCCTTAACTCGGGGTCTTCCAAGTGCATGGATTTCCAGGCTTTGTAAGAAATAGATGTATCTTTTTAGTTAGAAAGCCTAACTCCCATTACTGGGTATATACACACCCAAAGAAAAATAAATCATTTTACCAAAGGACACCTGCACTTGCGTGTTTATCGCAGCATATTCAAAATAGCAAAGACATGGAATCAACCTAGGTGTCCAACAATTGTGTGCTGGATAGAGAAAATGTGGTACATAGATACAATGGAATACTACATAGCCATAAAATAGCATAAAATTATATCCTTTGCAGCAACGAAGGATGAAGATGGAGGCCATTATTTTAAGCGAATTAACACAGAAACAAAAAACCAAATACTGCATGTTCTCACTTATAAGTGGGAGTTAAACCTTGAGTACTCACAGAAGATGAGAACAACAAATACTGGGGAATCCAAAAGTCAGGAGGGAGGAAAGGGGGAAAGGGCTGAAAAAAAAACTTCCTGTTGGATACTATGTTCACTATCTGAATGATGACATCAATAGAAGCCCAAACCCCAGCATCGTGGAATATGCCCTTGTAATAAAGCTGCACATGCACCCCTGAATCTAAAATAAAAGTAAAAAATAAAAAAGCGTGACTCCAACGACCAACACCTTGAAGTTTTACTGTTGTGTCAGTTGTTAATAATCCCTGCCAAGGTTCTTTTCACTGGGGCTGAAGGGCTGTTTCTCTCTGACGTATTTTCTAGAAGACTAGATCTCCCTATTTCAGATCAGACAGTGGGTGTTTTAAAAATGTAGTTTGAACCTGTTTGTGTTAAAGCTGGCAGCATCATATGTGTCTCATGTGATATTTGGTCACATTAACCTGTAGTATGGCATAATCTAGGTTTAGAAGTAAAATTTTCAAATGAACTGGGTAGCTTATTATTAGCTCATACGGAGATCACCTGTGGGTCCCAGAGAAGGTAGATCTCATTGTCATGAAGGCTAATAGAAGTCTGAGTACTTTTGAGAACTATGCCAATTTTAGTTTTAGAATTTCATTAGTTCTTTTTACTTTTCTTGATGTTTGTAGACGGTAAAGATAGTGAAGTCTTAAGTAAAAGATACAGGTTTACAGAGTTATTTGGTAATAGTATAAGTGAATTATATGCCCCTATTACTAGAAAGATAAGTTAAAATTTCCCATATTGGAGAAAAAGAAATTAAACATTCTGGTCACAACTGGGCCATAGCTCTTTGTCAAGGACAAGCATCAACTCATCACAAGAGTAAATAATAACCAGAACATATTTATAGTCCATTGCTGGGGCATTTATATAAAATCCATTCAGAGGTGATCAAAGTGGCCTTGAGCCTTTGGTTCCTATCAATATCCTACTTTTGCAATCCTCCCAGAATAATCTCATCAGAAAGTAGGGCATGCATAGAAAATGTCTTTGGCAATATTCCTAAAATTGTTCCACCATGTTGGTTAAATATTATTGTCAATGCATCTTTATTATTTTGGATAATATTGTGAAGCATTTTTGTTAAATGCACTTTTATTATGGCTATATCCTTAGGTAATATCAAATTGTCTAAAAGTTTATTAATTCTCCTTTCATTTTATAGGGATTCCTAAAGAGATGAGGAAATTTGCTTGTTTTCAAAGCATTTTAAAATAATAGACTAACTCAAAATTATATCTACTATCAATATAAATGTTTGTTTCTTTACTGTTTTTCCTCTGGCAGGTCCAGGCAAGGGCAATGAATTTAACTCTCCAAGCTGATTTAGTTTCTGGGAGAAGCTTAATTTTCAAGAGTAAATTCAAGCTCTTGAATTAAAGCTCTTGAGATAGCATAACCTTCTTTGCAATTTTCAGTTTTTAAAAAATAATAAACTATTATGTAATATTGAATCAAGAATATTTAAGGGAGTCTCTAGGTCTGTGCAAGGTATGAGCTGTTGTCTAATTTAAGTAAGCAGTCATGGGCTTTTCCTTTGGGTCATGTAAGGAAGGTGACTGGGGTTAGAGCGTTAAAGTAATAGACAGTGATGTGTAAGTGTTAAAGTAATGGACAGTGACGTGTAAGGGCAAAGAAACAATAATTCATAAGAAGTTTGGCTAATAGCTAAGAAGCTTGAGGGATTTTTGTCATTTGCAGGGTCTGTAAAGTGTAAGGAATCATTAAGGTCGGTGTAAATCCTAGAACTAAATTAACTGAAGACTCTCATTGCTGATATAGGTTTTAGGCAAGGTGATGTATCTTGACTATTGTACCATAAAAAAGACTGAAATTAGCAATAAACTTCTGAGGATTCCTCTATATTTGAGTCAGTATTCCTAGTGCTTGTCCAGCCCTCTCATAAACAAAAGGAAAAAGGGGTTTGTGGATTTAGAAAACTGGAAGCAAGGTTGTTTTTTTTTTTGTTTTCAGATAGTTGTATCACTCTTTGGGCCTAAATAAAAATATTCTGCCTTTAACTGGAAAAGAAGAGTTTTAGATGGAGAAGAACCAATTAGCTGCCTCCTATAAGGAGTCTCTTATGTGAAACAGGAATAAGACTATAATAATCTCCAATAAGAAAAGATAATGGGACTAGAAGCTAAAGTTTTAAAACAATATAATTTTTTTTTTTTTTTTTACTAGTTAGAGGTATTCAAGGATGGAACAATTTCTTCATTAGAAATGAGGAAGAATAGGGTCGGGCATGGTGGCTCACGCCTGTAATCCTAGCACTTTGGGAAGCCGAGGTGAGCGGATCACCTGAGGTCAGGAGTTCGAGACCAGCCTGACCAACATGGAGAAACCCCATCCCTACTAAAAATACAAAATTAGCCGGGCATGGTGGCGCATGCCTGTAATCCTAACTAGTCGGGAGGCTGAGGCAGGAGAATCGCTTGAACCTGGGAGGCGGAGGTTGCAGTGAGCCGATATCGTGCCATTGCACTCCGGCCTGGACAACAAGAGGCAGATTCTGTCTCAAAAAAAAAAAAAAAAAAGAAATAAGGAAGACTAGTAAAAATTTCAATCAAAGCCTGGACTATCATTTGTTTGAAATAAGAATTCAAATATTATTTGGATGGCTAGAATAAATTATTCAGGCTATTTAGACCAAACCATTATATGAGTGCACAAAAGGCTCCAGTTGTAAGGAACAGGTGAATATTCTGAAAAGAAGGGCAATTCCTGTGCTTCAAAAGCCAATCATGTATATTTATGGTTTTGTTTTGTTATAAACTCAAGAGAAAGAGATGAACAAAAGTGGTTGGTGGCTTTCCAATAGGGTTAAGAGGAAAAGAGGGAACTAATATTTATCGCATGTTTACAATGTGCCAGTAAAATAAAAGGGAGATGCTGGAATTTTTTTTTTTAAATTCCCAATTTCTATACAGCAGTATATAGTTTATCAATAGCAAAGAAAGACAATTTGAAAAAGTAATGGTTATTGTTAAACCTGCTTTATTTTCCACCAAGTCTTGGCAGGATGAGATTCAGGATTAGAACAGAAGGTTTACCTTGTTCATAAGATACATCTAAATGAAGGTGTGGGAGGGGAGGGCTAGAACTGCATGTTAAGAAGTATGTAAGTGTATGGAAACCCATAAAGTTAAGAGTTGAAGTGTATGGGAGTGAATTTGGATGAGATTTCTTTAGAGCAAAATAAACATTTTTTCTTAATAAATACTACAGGTTGCTTAATCAGAATGACAAAACAGGTAAAGAGGCAAGGTGGTCATGATGGTGTGGTATTAATTTCATAAAGCTATCTGTTGCTTTGGAGGCATGGGCCCCAGTCTTAGCATACCTGAGCTTGAGTTCTAGTATTTGCATTTTATCCTTTTCATTACTGACAAAATGAGAATTAATCAAACTTATTTTAATTATTCAAAGTAATGAAATGTATGTGAAAAGCCTTTGTAAGGTGTAAGACACTATGAAGTGTTTGTTTTGGTAACAATGAAGTTATCCAGTAAGAGTCTTATTCTGCTAGTCATGGATATGCATGGGCAACAATGTCTGCCTCCCCAGATTCCAGTCACTCCTCTCTATTGTGTTGCATCATGAAGCTTGAGAGGAATGGATTGATTGATTGGTCCCATTCCCTAACCCATATCTCAATAAAGTCATTGGACTGTAACCCATATCTCAATAGAGTCATTGAGATATATTGCATTAAGCCATGCCTGAAGCCCTATTTTCTCTCTGGGCATTCTAGTTTTATGAGCCAATAAATCCCCTTCAGCTTGAGTTGAAATTTTTGTTTCTTGCAATTGAAACAATCTTGATTGATGAAACATTTAATAAATTTTGACTCACTGACAGTTTTATGGAAAAGAATGTAATGGAGACCAGGAAGAATACTGTTACTCTGGATTTAATTCTGATTGATAGGAAAGAACTTGTTAATGACATGTATGGTAGGTTAAATGAAAGTAGCTTTGGAGTCAAATATATTTGGGTCTAAGCCCTCATTCCAGCATTTGTTATCAGTGTTACTTTAAGCAAATAACTTAATGCCTTTCAGCTTTAGTTTCCTCATCTATAAGTTGGGTGTAATAATAATGTCTATATCATCGGAGTGGTAATTAGGATTAATAGATAATTAATAGATAACGCACATAAAATATGCCATAGCACATATTAAGGATTCAACAGGGATTAGGTTTGAAAAACTAGAAATGGAAGATGCAGAATAAAGACTTAACTGCCCATTATTGCCCTATCTCTAAAATAAACTGAAGACAATAAGGAAAATGAATGAGAAAGGGAGAAACATCATCTTTTTAAATTAAAAGGCAACACTTTAAGTGTGAAAATACACTAATTAGAAGAGCTAATGAGTGTATCTGAAATTAGATCAGGGTAAAGGAAGATGCCAGGAGAGGATGACTACATTATAGAGTTTGGACAGAGTCAGCACAGCATAGATTTCTCCATAGGGGCCAATGGGTAGCTGTACTTTGGAACATAATCATGAAAGGCTGTAAGTCTCTGTAACCTCCTTGCTGTTACAGTGTAACAGAAGAGGCAAGGTTGAATGAGGAAACCTTAAACATACTATCTTTGGAACAACGCTAATTATGAAGAAGAATCTGTGTATGACAAGCAACTCTACAGCTATTTACCTTTGTTAACCAATGAAGAGAGAAGGTCAAATCACCTTGCAATCTCACAGACACAAAATATGTACTATGTAGGGCTTCACTGTGAGCTAGAGGGTATCCTTATTGGCCTAGAACATTCTTCTGAAGCCTTATGCACACTATCTTCCTAAAAATAACTTAACCAAGAAGAAATCACTTAATTTAAAGAGAAATATTATTTAAAAAGCAACAGAGGATTTATATAAAACACTACAATCTGAAAATGAAATAAGAAAACAATTTTATTTACAATAGAATACAAAATACTTAGGAGTATATTTAATCAAGGAGGTATAAAATTTGTACACCACAAACTATAAAACATTGCTGAAAGAAATTAAAGAAGGCCTTAATAACTGTAAAGACATTCTGTGTTCATGCATTGGAAGACTTAATATTGTTAAAATAGCAAACTACTCCAAATGGTTGACAGACTCAATGCAATTTCTACCAAAATCCTAATACCCTGTTTTTTTTTTTTGTTTGTTTGTTTTGCAGAAACTGAAAAGCTGATTTTAAAATTCACATGGAATTGCAAGGGATCCAGAATGGCCAAAATAATCTTGAAAAAGAAAAATAAGGTGGGAAGACTCACATTTTTATATTTCAAAACTTACTACAAGCTGTGGTAACAAAGGCATTATGCTAATGGCATAAGGATAGACATACAGATCAATAAAATAGACTGAGAGCCCAGAAATAAACCCAATAATGATAAGCCCAAGAAACAAGCTCAATAGAATAGATTGAGAGTCCAGTTAATTTTCAACAAAGGTGCCAAGACATTTCAATGGAGGACAGAATGATCTACTTGACAAATGGTGCTGGGGCAACTGGATATCCATATGCAAAAGAATGAAGTTAGACCTCTATCTCATACCATATGAAAAAATTAACTCAAAGTGGATCAAATATCTAAATTAGAAACTAAACTATAAAACTCTTAGAAGAAAACACAAGAGTAAATCTTTATGACCTTGGACTTGGCACTAGATTCCTAGAAATGGCACCCAAAACACAAGCAATACAAGGTAAAGTAGATACATTGGACTTCTTCAAAATTAATAACATTTGTTTGTAAAAGGACATATCAAGAAAGTAAGAAGCAAATCTAAAGGATGGGAGAAAATATTTATGAATAATTTATCTGATAAGGGTCTAGTATCTAGAATAAAGCACTCTTACAGCCCAACCCCAAATAGACAAACAACCTGATTAAAAATTGGCAAAAGACTTGAATAGACATTTTTACAAAGAAGATGTACAAATGGCTGACAAACATATAAAAATATACTCAACATTTTTAGTCATCAGGAAATTACAAATTATACCACTTCACACTCAACTAGGATGGCTGTAATTTAGAAAAAATTAAAATAAGTGCTGGTGAGAATGTGGAGAAATTGGAAACCTCATCAATTGCTGGTGGGAATGTAAAATGGTGCGGCCATTGTAGAAAACAGTTTGGCTATTCCTCAAAAGTTAAATATAGAATTATAATATGATCTAAAAATTCCAATCCTAGATATATAACCTAAAGAATTGAAGAAAGGTATTCTAATAAATTATTATATATGAATGTTTATAGTAGCATTATTCACAACAGCCAAAAGATGGAAACAAGCCAAATGTCCATCAGTGAATGAATAAACAAAATGTGATATAGCTACAAATTGTTATTATTCAGCCATAAAAACAAATGAAGTTCTGATTGACCTTCAAAAGCTTTATGCTGCCCTCTCCCTCTCCCTCTCCCCTTTGCACGGTCTCCCTCTGATGCCGAGCGGAGGCTGGACTGTACTGCCGCCATCTCGGCTCACTGCAACCTCCCTGCCTGATTCTCCTGCCTTAGCCTGCCCAGTGCCTGGGATTGCAGGTGCACGCCACCACGCCTGACTGGTTTTTGTATTTTTTCGTGGAGACGGGGTTTTGCAGTGTTGGCCGGGCTGGTCTCCAGCTCCTGACCGCGAGTGATCTGCCAGCCTCGGCCTCCCGAGGTGCCGGGATTGCAGACGGAGTCTCGCTCACTCAGTGCTCAATGTTGCCCAGGCTGGAGTGCAGTGGCGTGATCTTGGCTCGCTACAATCTCCACCTCCCAGCCGCCTGCCTTGGCCTCCCAAAGTGCCGAGATTGCAGCCTCTGCCCCGCCGCCACCCCGTCTAGGAAGTGAGGAGCGTCTCTGCCCGGCCGCCCATCGTCTGGGATGTGAGGAGCCCCTCTGCCCGGCCGCCCAGTCTGGGATGTGAGGAGCGCCTCTGCCGTGCAGCGACCCCGTCTGGGAACTGAGGAGTGTCTCTGCCCTGCCGCCACCCCGTCTGGGAGGTGAGGAGCATCTCTGACCGGCCGCCCCGTCTGGGAAGTGAGGAGCGTCTCCGCCTGGCAGCTGCCCCGTCAGGGAGGTGGGGGGCAGCCCCCGCCCAGCCGCCGCCCCGTCTGGGAGTTGCGGGGGCGCCTCTGCCCGGCGCCCCGTCTGGGAAGTGAGGAGCCCCTCTGCCCGGCCGCCACCCCGTCTGGGAGGTGTACCCAACAGCTCATCGAGAACGGGCCATGATGACGATGGCGGTTTTGTCGAATAGAAAGGGGGGAAGTGTGGGGAAAAGAAAGAGAGATTGGATTGTTCCTGTGTCTGTGTGGAAAGAAGTAGACATAGGAGACTCCATTTTGTTCTGTACTAAGAAAAATTCTTCTGCCTTGGGATGCTGTTAATCTATAACCTTGCCCCCAACCCCGTGCTCTCTGAAACAGGTGCTGTGTCCACTCAGGGTTAAATGGATTAAGGGCGGTGCAAGATGTGCTTTGTTAAACAGATGCTTGAAGGCAGCATGCTGGTTAAGAGTCATCACCACTCCCTAATCTCAAGTACCCAGGGGCACAAACACTGCGGAAGGCGGCAGGGCCCTCTGCCTAGGAAAACCAGAGACCTTTGTTCACATGTTTATCTGCTGACCTTCCCTCCACTATTGTCCTATGACCCTGCCAAATCCCCCTCTCCGAGAAACACCCAAGAATGATCAATAAATACTAAAAAAAAAAAAAAAAAAAAAAAAGAAGAAATAGAATAGAATAATATAAGTAAGTTACATGTGTTCCTCTAATTTGTGTTCATCCAGGGGAGGCAAAGGATGGCAACAGGCCAAATCCAGCCTGCCACATGGTTTTATAAATACAGTTTTATTGAACACAGCCTCGCCCATTCATTTACTTATGGTCTATGGCTGCTTTTTTGCTTCACAATGGCAGTGTTGAGTAACTGCAGCAGAGACCACACGGACTGCAAAACCTAAAATATTTACTATTTGACCTTTTACTGAAAAAAGTTTGCTGACCCCTGATCTATTCATCATAAACTTCTTTTTGATAAATGGATTCTAACAGAGACAAAGAACTTAGGGCTTACCATCAAAACCTTTGAAGTTCTGCCTGGTTCTGTATGTGGAGGCTCTCATGGTGTTATCATTGCACTCTTTTACCAATCCCACTGCTTCTGTCCCCAGTAACATTCTAATCTTGGAGGCACCAACAAGATATAAGTTCTGATTTTCTAGTGTTTCTTGTTCATATTTATTTAACAATGGTCTAAACAACAACTGGGCACCTTCAAAAACAAAAGATAAGCACAATCTTAGACAAACATTAAAGTTTCAAAAATAAAAACTTTCTAAATAAATAAAAAAAAAAGCTTTATGCTAAGTTAAAGAAACCAGACATAAAATACCACCTGTTGTATGATTCTTTTTATATTGAACATCCAGAATAGGTAAATTTGTAGTCAGAAAGTAGACTAGTGTTTACGAGGGGATGAGGAGAAGTGGAGAACGACTGTTTAATAGGTATAGAATTTTCTCACAGTTAGTGTTGTTGCAAAGATAGTATGTTTAACCTTACCTGGAGCTGAGACAAATTTAAAGAGCCGAGCGAAATACAGGGGTGGAAGAAGCAGTGGGAAGAGCCCTGTGGGTAATCTCAGTCCCCAGGGAAGCCATTTGTGACTTTTTTCCACAGAGGTCCTTGGGGAGGGCTGCCAGAGGAACTGGGAAAAGACCACAGGGAGGAGGAAACATCCAGCTGAACTTTGTAACAGTTTTGACTGAACTCAAAGTTTCCTAGACAGAACTCAGGGGAGGGAGAAATTGAGAGCACAGACACAGCACAGAAGCCTAAGCAGGTGGGAAGGTATGAAACCTGAAAGCCCCGCTTGCTTTCTCAGCCAGGAGGCTGGTAGCCTGGGGCAAGTTCTCAGCTCTGCTCACCCTCTGCCTGGAAATAAACTTGGTCCTGCTAGCGGGGCACCAAAAGCAGTTGGTGCTGTTGGTGGGGGCACCAAAAGGCTG
The DNA here is from genome assembly GCF_000001405.40 of Homo sapiens. Classification (NCBI taxonomy): domain Eukaryota; kingdom Metazoa; phylum Chordata; class Mammalia; order Primates; family Hominidae; genus Homo; species Homo sapiens. Next base: position 21,699,888 of record NC_000014.9, read on the forward strand.
GGAGTTAGACCAGCCTTTTGGGCTTTGTGGGAGCTGGGTTAGGCCAGTAACTGCTGGCTTTCCCCCACTTCCCTGGTGACCTGTATGACCCAGTAGAGGCAGCCATAATCCCCCTGGGAACACAACTTCATTGCCCTCAGAACCACACTCCCATCTCCCACAGCAGCCTTAGCAAGCCTCGCGCAAGGACAGTCTGAGTTCAGACTTGCCTAACCCTGCCCCCACCTGATGGTCTTTCTCTACATGCCCTGGTAGCTGTAGACAAAGGACATATTCTCTCAGGAGCTCTAGGACCCTGCTCATTGCCTGACCCTCACAGAGTCCATTTCACCCCCCTACTGCTACCTCCACCGGAGCAGGTGCTGCTATCCATGGCTGAGACTCCAGACAATGGTTCACATCACAAGACTCTGTGCAGACACTCCCCTGCCCCTGCCCCAAGTACCAGCCCAGAGCCCAGTGGCACTACTGGGTGGTTAGACCCAGAAGAGAAATAATGATCACTACAGTTTGGTTCCCAGGAAGTGACATCCCCATGGGAAGGGAGATAGCACACATCAAGGGAGCATACCATGGGACAAATAAATCTGAATATCAGCCCTTGAGCTCCAGATTTTCTCTCTGACATAGTCTACCCAAATGAGAAGGAACCAGAAAAACAATTCTGGTAATACGACAAAAACAAGGTTAACACCCCCAAAAGATCACACTGGATCACTAGCAATGGATCCAAACCAAGATGAAATCCCTGAATTGCCAGAAAAATAATTCAGAAGGTTGATTATTAAGCTAATCAAGGAGGCGCCAGAGAAAGGTGAGGTCCAACTTAGTGAAATGAAAAAAAGATATAAGATATGAAAGAGAAAATATTCAGTGAAATAGATAACATAAATAAAGAACAATCACAACTTCTGGAAACGAAAAGGCACACTTAGAGAAATGCAAAATGCACTGGAAAGTCTCAGCAATGGAGTTGAACAGGCAGAGGAAAAAGCTTTGGAACTCAAAGACAAGGCTTTCAAATTAACACAATCCAACAAAGACAAAGAAAAAAGAATAAAAAAAATTTAACAAAGCCTCCAAGAAGTCTGGGATTATATTACATGACCAAACCTAAGAATAATTGGTGTTCGTGAGGAAGAAGAGAAATCAAAAGTTTGGAAAACATATTTGAGTGAATAATCAAGAAAAACTTCTACAGCCTTCCTAGAGATCTAGACATCCAAATACAAGAAGCTCAAAGAACACCTGCTAAATTTATTGCAAAAAAGATTATCTCCAGGCACATAGGCATCACATTATGTAAAGTTAAGATGAAGGAAAGAATCTTAAGAGTTGTGAGGCAAAAGCACCAGGTAACCTATAAAGGAAAACCTATCAGATTAATAATAGATTTCTCGCAGAAACCCTACAAGCTAGAAGAGATTGGGGCCCTATCTTCAGGGTCCTTAAACAAAACAATTATCAGCAAAGGATTTTTGTATCCAGTGAAACTAACTTTCATAAATAAAGGAAAGATACAGTCTTTTTCAGACAAATAAATGCTGAAAGAGTTTACCACTACCAAGCCAGCACTACAAGAACTGCTAAAAGGACCTCTAAATCTTGAAACGAATCCTTGAAATACACCAAAATAGAACCTCTTTAAAGCATAAATCTTACAGGACCTATAAAACAAAAACACAATAAAAAACCAAGGTATTCATGCAACAAATGGCATGATGAGTAGAATAGTACCTTATATCTCAATACTAACATTGAATGTAAATGGCCTAAGTGTTCCGCTTAAAAGATGCAGAATGGCAGAATGGATAAAAATTCACCAGCCAAGTATCTACTGTCTTCAAGACACTCACGTGACACAAAAAGACTCACATAAGCTTAAGGTAAAGGGGTGGAAAAAGATATTCCATGCAAATGATGCTAAAGCAGGAGTAGCTATTCTTATATCAAATAAAAAACTTTAAAGCAACAGCAGTTAAAAAAGACAAAGAGGGACATTATATAAAGATGAAAGAATTGTCCAATAGGAAAATATCACAATCCTAAATATATATGCACCTAACACTGGAGCTCCCAAATTTATGAAACAGTTACTACTAGACCTAAAAGATGAGACAGACAACAACACAGTAACAGCAGGGGACTTCAATCCTTCACTGACAGCACTAGACAGGTTATCAAGACAGAAAATCAACAAAGAAAAATGCATTTAAGCTATGTCCTAGAATAAATGGGCTTAACAGGTATTTACAGAATATTCTACCCAACAACTGCAGAATATACATTCTATTTATCAGTACATGGAGCATTGTCCAGGAGAGGCCATATGATAGGCCTCAAAAACAAGTCTCAATAAATTTAAGAAAACTGAAATTATATGAAGTATTTTTTATGTAATAATTACATAATTTTATGTAATTTTATGTCTTGGGTTTCCACACTTACTATCTTATGGAACCTGTTCCCTTGAAGGTCACCAGTGACCTCATAATGGTTATTTTAGAAAGCCTTTCCCCCCCCATAATGGCCTTTTTAGGGTATAGCTATCATGCAATAAATTGAATATATTTAAAGTACACAGTTTGATAAATTGTGACATATGTATACACCCATGACGCCATCACCACAATCAAATTGATTAACATAACCATCAATCACAAAAGTTTTTTTGTGCCCTCTCATGATCCTGTTTTTCTCTTTTTGCCCCCGTCTTCCTTTCCCAAGCAAACATGAATGCACTTTCTGTCACTGTAGATTAGTTTAAAATTTCCAGAATTTCTAGAATTTTATGTAAATGAACAATATATACTTCTTTTGGTCTATTTTTTATTTTTTTTTACTCAGCATAATCATTTTGAGATTCTTTTATGTCATGTCTTTTACCAATGGTTCACTCACCTTTATTCCTGAGTAGCATTCCATTGCATGGCTATATCACAGTTTGTTTTTCCAATGTATAAGCACATGGTTGTCAAAACAAAGTAAAGCATAGGGAACTAACTTAAAGGTGCATGGAACAACAACAATAGCACAGAAATAAATGCTGCTATGCCTAAGAATCTAATATGTGATAAAAAGGAGAGTATAAATCAATAAAGTAGGCAAATTTAAACCAAGTATTTTGAAGTTATTAAATGGATAAATGAGGCAAAAAATCTAAATAGGCCCCTCACTTCACTCAATATAGCAGGGGTAATTAAGAAGAACAATGACATTATTAAGATTATATAGTTTACATTTATTAAATCAGTTGTGACATGATCTCCTTTTAGAAAGATTATTTAGTCGTGGTGCGAAGGATAAACTAGAAATAGTAATCACTGAATTATGGATGCCAAAGTAAGGAGGTTATGGTAGCATTAGGATCATGAGTTAATAAAAACAAGGCAATGAGAATGGAGAGGAAAGGGAAACTATCAGAGATTTCAAAATTTCAGAGGAAGAAATGATAGGGGGAATCATATTTTTCTAACTGCAATTTAATAGAAGCAATCCCTTAACTTTTTTCCAGGCTTGTCTTCAGGTGATAGAGACTTGTAATTTCTCTTGGAAAAACATTTTACTAGGTGACTAGGATTCAAGCTGTAAATCTTGGTTAATCACAAACTTTATGAGTTTAGATTAGTTGTGTAACCTTCTGGACTGTTTGCTTTCTCTCCTGTAAAGGTCAACTCTAAGACTTCTTACAACTTCAGATTTCTTGGATAATAATTTATTATCTTGAACTGCATCTCCAATTGGGCCTAAGACAACAGACCAATTCAGTGGGAAATGAAAATAATAAATGAATTGTATGGGCTAACTACCACTCACAGGGCCTTAGTGAAGAAGGTGACTATAATCTAGATTAAAAGTCTTTCCACACGGTGTTTTCTCTTAATGATGAAGGAAGCTGTGCAGGCAGGAATAGGGTTACAGGGTACTAATTCGCTTCTGCTCTGCTGGGTTGAATGGCACTCAAGAGGTTGAGTGTTTGTAATGAAACACACACAAGTTCTGGAGGCAAGAAGACTAGAGTTTTGTTACTTTTGACAAGTTACAGGTCAATAGAGACTGCCTCTTAAGAAGACCTAGAGGAAAATGCAACTTTTTAATTAATCTCCTGTGTTTCTCTGGCTCATGCCATTATCATAGATAAGACCAAGGGATGCCTCTGGTGATTCATTAGAACTCTTAGGCTCACTGATTACTCTTTGGTCTCTAAATGCTTCTCTGTGGTAAGAAGAGTAGTTAACAAAGGAAGCTGGGTTTCCCCAGAGGACCTTATTAAAACTGTTGTGGTTTTGAAGTGATTAACATGTAAATGAATTAATGTGGTCAATGAACCAAGCTATGCACACAGAGCATATCTAGGAGGCAGAGAATCATACAGTCTAGTCATACTCAGGAGGAAACTGTTTAGCATTCAGAGGTGAATTCTGGAAGAAAGATGAAAAAGGAACTCAGAATTACTGCTTTAATTTCAGAAACACTAAACATGAAATGACAGAAGATTAGAAGATTTTTGTAGAGTTTGTACATGTTGCTTTAGAATAGATTCCTGGAGCAAAAGTAGAAATGGCTTACCATTAGAGCAAGCAGGTTAGCTCAAGAGGCTATACTAAGCTACTTTTGCACACCTGGTGGCACCACATCCTATTTGCAGTCTGCAAACATCATCACCTCCCTTAAATGTGACACTTGTTATATCTCAGAGGCAAGTTAATCTTACTCAACTGTATAGAATAGATTAGAGGGTGGAGAGAGCTAGCTGATTTAAACTCTAGGTGAATGTTAGAAACAAATACTGAAATTGAAAGTCAGAAAGAGAGGCAGGTTTTGTGTGAAAAGCAGTTAGATTTTGACTTGTGTAATAATAAGATCTCTTGAGTAAATAAAACAAAATTTCTCTTAGGAGTTCATCAGTTTCCTTTGCAGTCCTAACTCACTAGGGATGTCAGAGTTAGGGTCATTATAGCATTCTTTGTGAGTTACAGTTAGTTGTAGCCTGTTTGCATTTACTGATTTTTATGAGATAAAGTTGCTTTACTACCATTTGCCTACAAATTGTAATGGAAATTAAAATCTATGGGTCTGTGATGTGAATAGTTCTCCTGGGGTTGGACAGTGCACACCTGCATGACTATAGGCAAAACCATGTCAGATGAGATGTTTATTTAAAAATAAATGGCTCACCTACTTCCCTAAAATTTTTCTTTGAAATGACTACCAAAGATACAGGTAGGACTGATTGAGAAAAGGCAGAAATTGAAGGTCTGAAAAGAGAGAAAAGTCAAGAAAGAAGAATAAAAAGATGTAGTCTGGGAAGTATTAGGCAAATTAGGCTTGAGCAATATTATGAAAGTTTTCAGCATTGTTCCCTTATAATTGCAAAATGGGAAGTATTGTCACCTCTTTCATTTTTTGGAAGAGTTTGTGAAGGATTGGGGCTAATTCTTTAAACATTTGATGCAATTCACTAGTGAAGCTTCCTGGGCCTGGATTTAACTTTGTGGAATACTTTTTGTTTACTTAATTGATCTTGTTATAGATCTGTTCGGATTTTCTATTTCTTCTTGAGTCAGTTCTGGTAGTTTACGTCTTTCTAGGCATTTGTCTTTCTCATCTAGGTTATCCAATTTGTTGGCATATGCCATTGTTGTTCATAGCATTCCCTTATAATCATTTTTATTTCTGTAAAATTTGTAATGTTTCTATTCCTGATTTTAGTCATTTCAGTGTTTTCTCTTTTTTTTTTTCTTGGTCAATTTAGCATAACAAAAAGTTTGTCAATTTTCTTGATCTTTTCAAAGAAGACATTTTTGGTTTAATTTGTTTTTCTCTATTGCTTTTATAATCTCTATTTCATTTATTTCCACTCTAGTCTTTATTATTTCCTTCCTTCTTCTTGCTTTAGGTTTAGTTTGTTCCTTTATTTCTAGTTTAAGGTAAACAGATGATTAATTTAATATTTTTTCTTTTTATAATTTGGTGTTTATAAATTTCCCTTTAAGCACTGCTTTAGCTGCATATCATAAGTTTTGTTATGGATTTTTTGGGTGTGTTTTTGTTTCCTTTAATCTCAAATTATTTTCATATTTCCCTTATGATTTCTTCTTTGATTCATTGTTTATTTAGGAGTGTGTTGTTTAATTTTCACATATTTGTGAATTTCCCAAATTTCCTTTTTAACTTTTAGTTTAATTTCATTATGGTAGAAGAAAATTATATAGTTTTAATCCTTTTAAATTTATTATTTTTTCCTTTTGGTTCTTTTGTTCTAATTTCTATCTCTTCATTGATATTCTATAGTTAGTGAGCCATAATTCTTATAGTCTCTTAGTTCCTTATTTGTGATTTTTTAAAGTTCTTTGAACATGTTTGAAATAGCTGATTTAAAGTCTTTGCCTCATAATTTCAATATCTAGCTTCCTCAAACTTTCCTTTTCTTTGTTTGACTTTTCTGTAGACCATATCTTCTTGTTTCTTTGCATGTTTTGTCTTTTTTTTTCATGGAAAACTTGTTATGGACATTTTATTTTACTTTTGCCTTGAAACATTTTATTTATTTATCTTTAAAATTTTATCATTTTTTGGGAGATATTTAACATTTTAAATAATATGGCAACTCTGGAAATGTCACTCACCCCCTCGGGGTTTGTTGCTGCTGCTTGTTATTGTGTTTGCTATCAGTTTGTTTACTGACTTTCCTGAATGCATTTGTAAAACCTGTATTCTTTGTCATGTGTGGCCATTAAAATCTCTGCTTGTTTAGCTTAATGGTCAGCTAATGATTGGATAGAGATTTCCTTAAATGTCTGGAATCAGTAGGTCTCTTATCCTTCACTGATGGGCTTTGTGCATGTGTTTCACCAGACCTTCAATATTTAGCCTGGCAGTTTGCAACTCTGCCTTAGCCTTCACTTCTTGCTCTCACAGAGCTTCAAGGTCAGTCTTAGGTGAGATATTAGGTACTTCTTAGATCTTTCCTAGGTCTTCAAGTGGCCTTTGGCGTGTATACAGCCTTCTGTGTGCTTCTGCATGGCTTTCTAGAGTTTCAGGAATATGTTGGAGTTTTTCAGAGCCCCCTATTGACATTTCGTTATTCAGCTTTTCCTTTAAGTGTATTGGTCAGTTTCTTGTTTGTTCCACCATTATCATCTCCTCAGGCAGTGGCAATGTTAAATAATTGGTGCTTATTGTTTTCCACCTCCTCCCCTCCAAAAAGGTTGTTTGCAATGAGCAAGTTCTGAATAAGATCAAATACAGGCAAGTCTTGCCAATGGAGGTTGCAGGAATATGCCAGACAGGTCAAATAATGACAGTGCTCTGAGAATAGTGTTTTTGGGGAGCTCCAAACCAGCTTTGCCCTGTCTAGTAGCTTCAAGGCTGCTGTTTCTCACCATTATGGCAGTGCTGTTGGTTTTCAAGGCTATTGGAGAGCTGGGGAGAAGAAGACGAGAACAGGACAAATTAAAACACCACAAAGTTGCTGCTCACTGTTCTTATCTAGATACAGCCAGTTTTCATGAGTAAATGCTTCTTGAATTATTGCAAGTCTTTTGTTAATTTCCAGAGTTCAGAAAAAAAATATTTATTTATTTATTCATTGTTTTTGAGATAGAGTCTCACTCTGTCACCCAGGCTGGAGTGCAGTGGCACGATCTCAGCTCACTGCAAACTCTATCTCCTGGGTTCAGGTGATTCTCATGCCTCAGCCTCCTGAGTAGCTGAAATTACAGGCGTGTGCCACCACGCCCGGCTAAATTTTGTATTTTTAGTAGAGACAGGGTTTCACCATGTTGCGAGGCTGGTCCCAAATTCCTGACCTTAAGTGATCTGCCTGCCTCAGCCTCCCAAAGTGCAGGGTTTATAGGCATGAGCCACTGTGCTCGGCCAGAATAAGTTATTTTGACAATTTTTTTGGCCAGTGTTTTCATTGCCTTTGTGAAGAGGTGGTTTTTGATTGTTATGCTGCTATTCTCACTGACTTCACTCATGCTATTCTGTCATGCCTCAATCAATCTTCATCACAGAGCACAGTCTCTTCATCATTTCCCACAAAATCCAGTTACAGCAAGTAATTATTTTTCAATAGACTTTATTGGAGTCTATTTGAATAATTGGCAGATAAAGTCCCATTTTTGTTGTATGTTACTTTTTGCCATCTTGGAGGGTTTTACCATTTTTTCCTTTACTTATCTCCCACCCTATCCCCAGATGCCTCTCCCTGTAATATTAAACCTATTCTTTCTTCTTTGATCCTACTTGGTGTTATTTTCTTCTCTAATCATTGTCCAAAACCAATGAAGTTCTCTTAGAACTTTGGAAGAATTCAAATGAATTAGAATTATATTTTGTTATAAATATTAAAGTCCCAGGTAAGTTGCATATAGATCATTTCAAAATGTCTTTTCAAGCTATCCAATGACATTTTGGCTGGCTGCTGCTTGTGAAACCACCAAGATCTCCATCCTCCTTCTTTCTTTCTTTGTCTCTCTCCACCTGAATTAATTTTTGTCCTTTCATAGATGAGACCTATTTTTTTTTGTAACTTGGAGAGAGGTGAGAAAATTTGGATCAGTAAAAAGGCTAAGGTGAAGAGATGAGAAAATATTGGAGGAGGAAGGCATACCATCTGTTCTCCACTTGTCTCCTCATACTGATTTTGAGCCCCCTGTAGAGACAGAATTTTAGAGATAGAAGTGGATTGAAATATGTTCAAAAGGAGCTTTGTGAGATGTACAGAAAATACACTCTCTTTTCCAGCACTAATGGACATTCTAAAAAATTGGGCATGTATTAGGCTACAAAGGAAGCTTCAATAATGGAGACATTGTAGCTGCATTCTCTTTTTGGTCAGAAGCAAGACAGGGATAACCACTATCAGTGCTACTCTTTGTTATTTTCCTCCAGTAGTATGTTTGCAGAAATATTCTTTAGTGTATACATCAGATGATATCGTTTGGATATTTCTCCCCACTCAAATGTTGAAATTTAATCCCCAGTGCTGGAGGTGGGGCCTGATGGGATGTGTTTGGATCATGGCAGCAGATCCCTCATGGCTTAGTGCTGTCTTTGTGATAATGAGCTCTTGTGAGGTCTGGTTATTTAAAAGTGTGTGACACTTTCCAACCCCAATTTGCTCCTTCTTTCGCCATGTTACATGCATGCTGCTTCTTTGCCTTCTACCATGACTGTAAGCTTCTTGAGGCCTCCCCAGAAGCTGATCAGATGCCAACACCATACTTCCTGTAAAGCCTGCAGAACTGTGAGCCAGTCAAACCTCTTTTCTTTATAAGTTATCCAGTCTCAGGTATTTCTTTATAGCAATGAATGAATAGCTAATACAGTAGGGACTATGCCTAGCACTTTCTAGGCAGCAATGGAAGGGCTTTGTATATTCAGTAGTGAGTGTTCTTGTTGTTGGTTGAGTGAATTTGTAGTGTTAGGGTGAGTAGTGTGAGATTTGATTGATTAGAGAATTCCCTGTGCTGTGTTTAAACATTGTTTTTGGCTGTATAGCATTGAATTCTCACTGCCTATCTCTGCTGGAGAGTCTGTGATCTATTTAATATATCTTAATATCTTTCTTTTCTACTTAAATTAGCTTAGTAGATTTTATTAAGTTACATCTGAATATTTGACTGACAAAAAGAGGATCTTGCTAAAGCTAAGATAGTAAAAATAGTATAGTAGTATTGCAGAGAAACAACAAGATGAATATAAAACTCAGGAAGTTCAATAGGTACATTTGTGAATCAAGTTCATAGGTGAGTCTAATATGATAACGATGATGCCACAAATCTTTAGGGAATGGTGGATTATTTAGTAGATTGTGCTATTAAAACTGTCCTGCTCTATGGAGAAAAATAAAGTAGTTGGGTCTTCTACAGATGTAAATTTTAGATGAATTAAAACCTAAATGTAAAAAACAAATCTATAAAGATAATAAACACAGTGTGGGAAAATGTATTTGTGGCTTTGGGGTGAAGAATGATTTCTAAATCAAAATCCCTAAAGCCCAATAAGGTGAAAAAAATGATAATGTTGATTCCTTCAAAATTAAGGATTTCCATTAAAAAAAAAGGACACCATAGACAAAGCTAATAGACTGGGACCATATTAGAAAAAGATACTTGTGATTTTGGATACAGCAAAAAATTAATATATGAGAAACTCTTATGATTTACTGAGAAAAACTAGAGGTCTAATTTTAAAGTGAGAAATCATGTATATGGATAACATGGGAAAGGGAAATACAAATGGCTCAATAGACTAATAATCAGGGTAATGCAAGTTGACATTCCATACTCAGTAGATTGGTAAAAGTAGACAGTTTTATAATACTAAGTGTTGTTGAGGTTATGGAAAGACTGGAATGCTCATGCACTGCTCGTAGAAGTGTAAGTGGCTGTAGCTACTTTCAATCATTACCGTCGTGAAATTGAGTATGTGTATGTACTATGATTGAACAATCCTTGCTGGGGACATATCCTAGAGAAATTCTCACATAGTTAATAGGTGAAATGTAAAAAAAAAATGTTAATTGCTGTGTTTGCAGGAGTTACAGGCAGCCTATAATTCCATCACTAGGGGATTGCCTAAGTAAGTGTGGTGCATGCTGAAATACTGTGCAGTAGTTACTTTGAACCAAAAGTACATAACCAGTATCTAAAAAGAGTTTTAAGTTATCTGTAGCTCTGTACTAATTGGCTTCAGTAAGAAGCTGCTTAAAGCCTTAATCAGCTTACTTGTCAAATTGTATTCCTTTTGTGTTCCCCTCTGTGTTTTGGTTGTCAGAAATTTCAGAGCTCAAATTAATCATAGTAGCGATCTTAGTCCTTCCACTAAATATATCTGTCCACTTCCCTTTGATTTTTCTATCCTCATTTTAGAGGCATTTTTGAATTCTGTATTTTATTTGGAAGCTTTTTGAGGTCGTATATATAAATAAAAGGTTTCTGTTGGACCTAAATGATCATCTTATCATTATTATTATTTTTATTTTTAGATGGAGTCTTGCTCTGTTGTCCAGGTTGGAGTGAAGTGGCGCAATCTCGGCTCACTGCAACCTCTGCCTCCCGGGTTCAAGTGATTCTCCTGCCTCAGCCTCCCGAGTAGCTGGGATCACAGGAGACTGCCACCATGCCCAGGTAATTTATATATTTTTAGTAGAGACAGGGTTTCACCATGTTGGCCAGGCTGGTCTCGAAATCCTGACCTCAGGCAATCCACTTACCTTGGCCCCCCAAAATGCTGGGATTACAGGCTTGACCCACTGCTCCCGGCTCATCTTATCATTATTAAGGACTCTGTCATTAAGAAAAGAGAAAAGATTAGGAAAGAAATGGATTTCCTCTCACCTAGAAGACTATTAAAGAAAGGAAAGGGGATGCATAAAGCAACCATCTGAAGATGGAAAAAGAAGTGTGTTACTCCATGAAAGTATGTGTTTAATAGCCACTCACCTGAATGAAGAACATCTTTTAGTATTCAGAAGGCTTTTCCAAAAGGCAGTTATTTCCTCTGGATAGCCTTCATATTCCTATGGAAATTGAATAAGGATGAAAAATTTGAACAAAAGCAAAGGACATGAAATCTCTTGAAGATATGAGAAGCTGTGAACACTTGTCTTAGAGGGTGCATGGAGAAATTATTTTTCATGAGTTCCCATGTAGTCCGCTAGGTGGCGGAGGTTACATAAAAACCCTACTGTATAAACACTGAATTGCTACACACTTGTGTTTCCTCTTCTTTTTCAAGTAAAATCCCAAGGAAACCTGTAGAGTATAATAAAAGCTGGAGATAGAACTTTGTAGTAAGCCCTATATTAATAACAATAACAGTGTCAGGTTGCAAAATGAGGATAGGTACCATACCAAAAGAGATGATCTCCAAATGCAGTTTTTGTTTCTTTTGTTTACAGAAAAATTACAACTGATTTTTTTTTCCATATTTGTTCCAAAGATCACCTTGAATGCAAGGAATCAAATTTTGATCAGTATATTTACACAGTAACTTTTGTACCTTAAAAAATTCATTTCTTATCTACTGCAGCTACTAATATCTCACGCTAATTATTTTAAACACATTAGCAGGTCATCATGTCATATGTGACGGGACTTAGCATACTTTTTGTGTGACTATATCACTTTAATTTGTGTGATGAAGCAGTGCCCCATTAATTATGTGACTCCTTCTAATACCCTTAGAGAAGAAAGGAAGCTCCTTGAATACTAAATTTGCACAACCACAGTGACCTTATAAAGGATGCATTCCCTTTTAAGATTAATTTCTCAGAACAAAGCACAGTGACGTCATTACTAAGCAGCCTCACAACTGTAGCAACCCTTCTAAAGGTTGTAGATTCTGGCTGATGATGTCACTGACACAAAGGAAAAAATGCAAAACAGGTAGTCTTAAATAAGCATTCTGGTGAGACCAACTGCATTTTGGCCATGGCTTTGCAGAGCACTCTGGGGGCGGTGTGGCTAGGGCTTCTCCTCAACTCTCTCTGGAAGGGTGAGTAGCCTCCTTCACTATTTGGTTTTGTAAAAGTGTATGAAATTGTTTTAAAATTTGGACTCATTTTTAATACAAAAACAAGAGAAGTCAGATCTAACATTCACTGTACCTAAGGGGCAATCAACAAGCCAAATAGTACTATTAAAGTGACAGCCCTTTTTGTTTTCTGTAGTTGCAGAAAGCAAGGACCAAGTGTTTCAGCCTTCCACAGTGGCATCTTCAGAGGGAGCTGTGGTGGAAATCTTCTGTAATCACTCTGTGTCCAATGCTTACAACTTCTTCTGGTACCTTCACTTCCCGGGATGTGCACCAAGACTCCTTGTTAAAGGCTCAAAGCCTTCTCAGCAGGGACGATACAACATGACCTATGAACGGTTCTCTTCATCGCTGCTCATCCTCCAGGTGCGGGAGGCAGATGCTGCTGTTTACTACTGTGCTGTGGAGGACACAGAGGCAGGGAACCCATGAAGAGCTGAACAGAAACAGAGATCACAGCCTTTGCAGGAGGCAAAACAGAGATGAGCAATAACTTTTTCCTCCTTAATTCAGTATTACCCAAGCTTTTTCATTTGGTACTGCTATTAGGAAAAAAAATTGAGTCCAGACATACTATATATTAACAAATGTCTATAAAAATATGCTTTTAATTTTTTTTTGAGACACAGTCTTGCTCTGTCATACAAGTTGGAGTGCGGTGGCATGAGCATAGCTCATTGTAACCTCAAACTCCAGGGCTCAAGGGTAGCTGGGACTCAGCCTTCTGACTAGGTGAGACTATAGGCATGTACCACCATGCCTAGTGAATTTTCCTCCTTTTTGTAGACACGAGTTCTCTCTGTGTCATCCAGACTGGTCTCAAACTCCTGGCTTCAAGTGATTCTCCTGCTTTGGCCTCCAAAAGTGTTGGGATTACAGGTGTGAGCCAATGCACCTGGACCAGAAAATATGTTTTTAAAGGGTGATTATTTCAAATAGTCTTCCTGATATCTGAAACACTTTTGACTCATTTTCTTGAGATCTGATTAGATTATTTTTGTTTTTCCCTCATAAAATGGCTGATGATGAACTTGTGATAGTAGTAAGAGGCATGTCCACTCTTCCATTTTCTTCTCTTTTTTAAAAATTCAGACAGGCTGGAGTGCAGTGGCATGATCATAGCTCACTGCGGCCTTGAACTTCTGGCCTCCAGTGATCCTCCTGCCTTGACCTCCCAAAGCACTGGGATTATAGGTGTGAGCCACCAAGGCCAGTCAACTCTTTCATTTTCTTATTGCTGTCTGTGCTTACCTTTTAAATACTATCTGCTAACTTCAGTCTTTTTGCAGCAATATTTTCAAAACATGTCAATTTGTAAAGGATGGTTTAGTTAACATTGGGTAATGTAATAAGAAGTGAGAAAGGAAGGAATAAATGAGTGGCTGATACCTACAGCCCTGCATTTGAAATCTCAATCCATGCCTCAGTATACTTTGCTTATAATCTAGCATACAGTCCTGTTGAGGGTGCCAGTCAATGAGTATATGAAATATTAGTCAAACTGAATCTCCTTCATAATATTTAAACTAAAAACAAATGCAAATGGAAGTATTTGTACTCATTGCAATGCATTCTTCCCACACTCCTGTTAATTAGCTTGGTCCTCCCACCCCAGATGTGTCCCTCCCACTTTAGAGACCAATGCCTTAGGGTAGCCCAGTGGTTCTTAATATATTTTATCCTCCTAGATCGGAAGTTTTGTGAAAATTGGATTTGTTTTCTTGGGGGGCCATATTCTAGATAAACTCAATCAGAGTTTGCAGGGGTGGGACCCAGAAGTCTATATTTTCCATAAAGCTCTGCTGGTGATTGTTTTGCTCAGCCAGGGTTGATCTGTGAATTTCAGATTTTGGACCCCAGGTGTATTACTCCATTCTCACGCTGCAATAAAGAAATACCCAAGACTGGGTAATTTATAAAGAAAAGAGGTTTAATTGACTTACAGTTCTGCATGGCTGGGAAGGTCTCAGGATACTTACAATCATGATGGAAGGCAAAGGGGAAGAAAGGCACCTTCTTCACAGGGCAGCAGGAAGGAGAAGTGCCAGCAGGGGAAGTGCCAGACACGTATAAAACCATCAGATCTCGCAAGAACTCATTCACTATCATGAGAACAGCATGGGGGATGCCATCTCCATGATTCAATTACCTCCCACCGGGTCCCTCCCACAACATGTGGGGATTATTACAATTCAAGGTGAGATGTGGATGGGGACACACAGCCAAACCATATTACCAGGTCTTGAGGCTTTAACCACTATTCTCTACTTCCTTTTAGGTAGAATTTTAGTAACAGAGAAGGGCTTCAGGAAGTGAACTGTACAGTGCTATTGCTTGCTTACACAGTAGACTTTCAGCAAATGCTGACATTTGGAATAAAAAGTGAAGGGCAAGATGGGCACGATGGGTTATACCTGTAATCCCAACATTTGGGAGGCGGAGGTGAGAGGATCCCTTGAGCCCAGGAGTTCGAGACCAGCCTAGTCAACATAGTGAGACCCTGTCTTTACAAAAAATAGGAAAAATTAGCCTGGTGTGTTGGCATGTGCCTGTAGTCTCAGCTACTTGGGAGGCTAAGGTGGGAGGATTGATTGAGCCAGGGAGGTTAAGGCTGCAGTGAGCCATGAGGGCACCATTGCACTCCAGCCTGGGTAACAGCAAAACCCTGTCTCAATTAAAAATAAAAGTGGCCAGGTGTGGTGGATCATGCCTATAATCCCAGCACTTTGAGAGGCTAAGGCAGGTGGATCGCTTGAGCTCATGAGTTTGACACCAGCCTGGTCGGTACTCAAAATACCAAAAATTACCTAGGAGTGGTGTGCACCTGCAGTCCCAGCTACTTGGGAGGCTGAGGCAGGAGGATGGCTTGAGCCCGGGTGGCAGAGGTTGTAGTGAGCCAAGATGGCACCACTGCACTCCAGCCAGGGCATCAGAGTGAGACCCTGTTAAAAAAAAAAAAAGAAAAAAAGTGAAGAGCAGATTGCTGATGACAGAAGAAAAAAGGTATTTTAGTAATATCAATTGTCATGAAACTTTGCCAAAATGTCATAAGATTGATTCTTAAATGCAAATTTTTAATAACACCCAAATATTTCCATTGGATATAAGTGTAAATTGGTATGTTTGTGCTTGTATTACTTCTTTAGGCATATTATATTTTGGGTTGTTGCTTGCTTAAAAGTGTGTTAATCTTATTTTTTAAATTTTATTTATTTATTTTTTCTAAGATGGAGTCTCGCTCTTGTCACCCAGGCTGGAGGGCAGTGGCGCAATCTGGGCTCACTGCAACCTCCGCCTCCCGGCTTCAAGCGATTCTCCTGCATCAGCCTCCCAAGTAGCTGGGATTACAGGCACATGCCACCATGCCCAGCTAATTTGTATTTTTAGTAGAGACAGGGTTTAACCACGTTGGCCAGGCTGGTCTCGAATTCCTGATCTCAAGTGATCTGCCCGCCTCAGCCTCCCACAGTGTTGGGATTACAGGCGTGAGCCACCACGCCTGGCCTAATCTTACTTTTTAATCAAATGAAATTCTTGAGAAGAGGAAGCATATGTGATCCTTCTTTCAGGTTGTCCTGCATAGTTCTGTGTGCACTGTAGTGGCTCAATAAATCATGAACACAGGTGTGACCTCATTGCTTTGGCAAGAGAGACCAGAGACAGAAAATTCCCTTTGGTTACATTAGGAAGTTCTTTCCAGTTCACAGAGGAGTCTGTACATGTGGTATACTGAAAACCCTACCTTTTACCCTGGTGTTTTGATTCTATAATTCAAACTGTCAACAACTAGTCTTCTACCAGATTTTTTCCAGCTTACATGAAGAACACTAAAGGCATTATTATCCAAAGGGGAAAATGGAAAAAGAGAGTGAAATAAGAGGAAAATGCAGTTGATGCATTTTTCTTACAACGAAGAGAGCAGCCATGAAGTCCCACTCTTAAAGTTATAACATTATGAAGCTCCCAGTTCAGTGGTGACAAGGACAGAAACATCCACAGGAGAATAAATTTTTTTTTTTTACTCCCAATCCTGGGAGTTCATATATATGAATCGAAAGGTAACTGTGTCTGTCACTGGCTCCATGAGAAATCTGAAAGACTTGCCATGCCTTGCTACTGTATCCTACGTCCTCTGACTTCACTGCTAGTTTTCTTTTCTTTTTTTTTTTTTTGACGGGGCCATGAAAACCACCTACGGTAATCTTCTGTACCTTCTGAAAATCATGGCGCCACAGAGAATGGGGGGTATTTGGAAGGCTGTGTTGCTTTCATTTTCTTCCTAGGATTAGTGTTATGGGTTGAATTATGTTCCCTACCCCTTGCCCCGCAAAAGGATTTTTTTTTGAGTAGGTGACACGGGTAAGTCCTAGCCGTCAGCACCTCAGAATGCAAACTTATTTGGAAATAGAATCTTTATAGTGGTGATAAAATTAAAGTGAAGTCAAAAGGATGAACCTTAAGCCAATAATGACTGGCGTCCTTATAAAAAAGGGAGATCTGAACACAGAGACAGACATGCACAGAGGGCAGACAATGTGAAGAGGCACAGGGAGAAGATATAAAAAATGTAGTATTTTTCAGAGGTTTGAGATAGCATGGATATAGCTGGGACCAGAACACAGCAATAAACTGTGTGGGGAGATTGAAAGTCAGATGTGAATTAAAATATTTTGCAGATGCTTGTGTAGATAGATAATGATCTCAAGGTCCAGTTTACATTTATTTTCCCTGTGATACCTTGGAACTACATAAATTGCCTAGAAATTAGGCGTAATCTCAGGAAAAGGTAGGAAAACTCTGATTTGACTGAGATTTGGTTTCTGATACCTGGTAGACTATAGCTTTAAATAGAAATTAAATATAGTTATGAAAAAAGTTTTTTTCCCTCCTTCAGCATCTACTTTTGTGTATTGAAATTATACTTACAGATGATTTAAAACTTTGCTTTCTTGGAAATGTATGAAATGATGATGATTTTGGTAAAAGGGATAATACTGTCTTAAACCACATAAGGGGAAGACACTGTCAATAGGACTCTCATGGATGAATAGTATTCCCTTTGGACTCATTTTTGAAAACCTGAACAATAAAATAGAAGATTTAAAAGCTACACATAAACTCTCACAAATTCATCTGTGACATCTTTTGCATGATCTTTGTTCTAGTATTTAACTGAATTTTTCCATAATCTTCTATAGCCATTTTCTGTCCTGCTGTTCTACATTCTTTTACCAGATTATCTCAAAATGTATCCTTGATTTTGTTATTCCATAAATAAAATCCTTCAGGCTTTTTAATTTTATATATAAGAAAGAAACAAAAAGAAAAACAGCAAATCTAAATAGAAGTACCCTCTGCTTAGTAAAGCTGTCATATTATGAACCCAATGAAACTTTGCTGCTTTACTTTCTGCTGCTACATCCCCTATCCCCTTGGGTCACCAAATAAGTTTATTCTCTAGCCTTTAAGACCTGTTGGCATTATCTCCTGTATGAGTTGTATCAGATTATTTTCTCTGCCTGAAATGCCCTCTTTCTCCCTTTATTCAGATTGTAGCCCAACCTCTATAACTTCTTCAGCTGAGGACTCTCTCCCTTGTTTGTGCTGCTATAGTATAATGATCCCCAAAGTGTTTGACTGTGTGCTATTATCAGTAAAGTATGTTACTCCTCCAACATATGCATATTTATATGCTCATAGATTATGATCGTGTGTGCAACAAACAAAAATAGAAATTAGGAAAGTTTGAGATAAATTTAATACTAAATGTTGTGATTTTCTTCTCGCACGCAGGGGGATCATCTTGTGTAGCACATCCGTGTCCCTTCTACAAGATGAACTAACTAGACTAACTTGGTCTTTAACTAGTTGGCTAAATTTCTTAAACTTTGTGAAACTCTTTCTTCTCTCATTTGCAAGAAATATCTGTAATGATTTTTCTATTGATATAATTCTTGCACATTTTACTTCAGATAGTTAACTGTTCTTCCCCTAAGTGTTCATCTACCAAAATGGATGGTAAGTTTCTGGAGGGCAAGGATTATGTCTTGTTCCTCTGTTTATTTCTCAATGCAAATGGTATCTTACATTTAACAGGTACTGAAAAGTGATTTGTGAGGATCAATGGATTCACAGGGTTTTCTCCTGGAATTGTCAGAATGCCAAGGCAGTTCTTAAGTAGATTCCTGGATGAGGAACCCTCTCTGCAAAGGACAACCATTTGTGATGAATGAACGGAAACAGAGCTCTTAGATCATTGCGTATAAGATGGCCTCTCATTACATGGATTTCTGCTAGCTCTGTGTACTTATTTAAAGTTTCAATCATCTGACAGTTATTTATTGGGTGCCCATAATTTGCCAATCACATGTTTTTTTTCTTTATATCTGTCCCATAAAACAAAACAAAACAAAACAAAACAAAACAAAACACCCATCCTCAGAGCTTCTCTACAATAGACACACACCAAACTAAAAATAAAAATGCATGAATCTCAGGAAGAGAAGTTCTAAAAAACAATCTAGACCATCTGCCCATGGGATGCTTGATTTTCTCAACAGCATCACATCAAGGGAATTGCCAATATTTTCACAACAGCTTCTTGCAGGAGGGTTCTTGCTGCTCCCATACTGTCCATTCAAACTCCAGGCGGCTGTGAGTTGAAAATCTATTATTCTTTATGTTGAGGAAACATCTGTGT
Organism: Homo sapiens; assembly: GCF_000001405.40. Classification (NCBI taxonomy): domain Eukaryota; kingdom Metazoa; phylum Chordata; class Mammalia; order Primates; family Hominidae; genus Homo; species Homo sapiens. The sequence goes on from NC_000014.9 coordinate 21,719,134, forward strand.
TCCTGTGGCTTCTACACCTTTGGGAATCTAAAAGAGTTCACATCTCTCCTTTACACATTTTGAACCAGATACAACATTTCCACAGAGCAGTTTTTTTCCATATTAAATATTTGTAAGTTTCCTAACCATTATATATATATATATATACACACACATACATATGCGCTACAATTTTGATTTCCCTCTTTGTTGTACATTTTAAACCGTTTCCAGTTGGCTTGTATTTCTTTTAATATAGAATTCTTAGAACTTAATAAAACACTTCAGATGTGGCTTGACCTATTTTAAACTACAAGGAAAGAAGGAGGAAACTGGATGAAGGTGAGGCAAGGTAAATATATTAAACCCAGAGACACTACACAAATCTTTTCATTCCACTGAGACATGGATGGCCACTGATTCTTGATCTCCTTTGTTTGGAGGTAGGAGGGCAGAAGTTCAAATTACAGATTTGCCCCCACCTTTCTTTTGAGAGTTCCCTAACTTATGTGAAGTATGATTTGCTTAGTTGGACTGTATATTTTGTCAGTTTCATGGAAAAAGCACTGATTTCTTTGTTCTAACAACTTTATTTTGTGCTGATTTTTCTTTGATACTTCTAAAATAAATGTAATGTACATTTCAGAGTCTAATATTTGCAAAGGGATTTGTCATTAGTTTACATGAGCCATTTCTTGTCTCTTGTGAAATCAATGATATTTACAGAGTTCTGATTTTTTTTTTTTTTTTTTTTTAAAGAAACAAGGTCTTGTTATGTTGCTCAGGCTTGCCTTGAACTCCTGGTCTCAAGGGATCCCGCCCCCACCCCCGCCCTGTCTCAGCCTCCCAAGTGGCTGTGACTATAGTCATGTGCCACCGTGACAAGCTAAGAGTTCTGATGTTTGCAAGTAGTTTCTTGAGAAAGGCATTGGCAGCCTTGGTGAGGCATCTGGAGTCTCAGACTGATACTCCTTGACACTGCTCTGTGCTACTCTAATTGCCCTTGTGTTGTGATGTGCATGTTTCAGTGGTAGTTAAATTAAGGAGTAAAGGAAACTACCCTGAGGGGAGCACAGACATCTACCTGCAGCATTTTGGGCACATTCCCCATTGGCCCACCCATCTCATATTTGACTGACCTCTAAATGGATAGCACTACACCCAGTTTACTATGGTTTGGAGAAACAGTTCATGTCAACTTTCTGTGAATGTCATGGTTCTTTCAATAGAAATCGGAGAGTTGGACAGAATAGCTAAAAGGTGGTCCAGACTGGGTGCATATGGCAAATTGATAAGAAAGAGTCAAGTTTTCATCAAACTTTCTGTACATAAACCTGTACCAGCATAGCAGTGAGCAAGAGGTGCAGGAGAAGGTGGATGACCTTTGAGTGCTGGTGATTTAGAATTAATTATCCAGGAGTTGTTTTGGTTCAGTGGCACATACATGTGGGATCGGCATTTGGTATAATGCACTCAATGGACAATATGACCTCTAAAGTTCTATTTAACTTATTCAAGCTTGATTCTGTAATTTTATTATGATAAGGAAGCTGCTTTCCAATATTATATTGTCTTTAATAGAAAGCAAATTACCAAAATTGATATTCCCCCTATATGATTTAAAGGAATATGCCTTTGAAGTCGGTAAAATATGGGTTAAAAATCTTTGTTCTTTTTCTTAAGGATGATGAGCAAATTATTCAATTTTCCTCAACTGTGGTCCCCTCATCTCTAAAATGGGGCATCTTAGGAAGAGTAAATGTGACAAAGAATGTAAAGGGTTTAATGTTATGCTCACGGCGACATTTGATGAATAATTTCTTAATTAATCTCAGAAATCAAAGCAGATAAGCTGAATAGCTACTGAGGCTATGTTGTTCAATTTTGAAATTTCAGTCTAGGCCCATGGAATTCTTTGGGTGCTGCTGGTTACTTTGTGTGCAGTGCATTATGTGGAGGTCCCTGAATCCTTCTCTATCTGCTGAGCAGTTAAAAGGCAGTTCTTTAACTGGAAGCAAACACGAAGACTAAACTGTCCTAGTTTTGAGGAAGAATAAGAAGGAGGAGGAGGAGGAGGAGAAGGAGAAAATGAAGATGAAGAAGACGAGAAGAAGAAGAAGATTAAGAAGAAGATGATTAAGGATTCTGCAACAGTTCTGTCATTGCAAATGACTACCCATTTCTAACCACGACATAAATTCAGAGGAAAACTTTCCTCTTTCTATAGCTGAACATGCTTAATTAATAAATATGGTTAGTTCCTTCCATAAGTATCCTTTAGGGGGAGACCACTAAACAATCAACCATTTCTAGCACAAAATTAAAAATATCAGTCTCCTAAATATTTAGTTCACTTGAGGCTCTTGGCATTAATTATTAAATGGATGAAGGCAAACAATATCTCAGCCACTTGCACGATCTAGGCATAATCTTGTGTGCTGTATCTGTAGAGGTCAGAGGAAGTAGGGATTGGAAAAATAATCAAGGCACTGAAGTCTACACTAGACTACTGTTTTAGTTAAACTTATTTTATTTGCTTTTTTATGTTGATCATATCATATGTTGATATATGCCCATATATGCGTTTATAGGGCAGCAATAAACTCCAGTGTCAGGAGGCTGGACAGTCTCTGTTTTCCTCTTCAGGTCTATTCTATCCTGCTCTGTACTAAAGTCTATATTAGACTATTGTTTTAAACTTATTTTATTTGTCTTTTTATGTTTGTCAAAATGCAGTATAGCTATGCCCGTATATGCATTTGTAGGGCAGCAATAAACTCCAGCATCAGAGGGCTGGACATTTCTCCATTTTCCTCTTCAGGTCTATTATATCCTGCTCTGTACCCCAGGAGGCTGACTTCTATACGTTATGTGGACTGGTCTCCCATGTCCATTGGCATCTGGTTGGGTTTACCCCAGTGGGAGGTATTAGCAGGAGAGAGTGGTCAAGATATTTGCATTTTAGGATCCTTTCTTTCCTCTACTGAAGTTTACAGCTCCTGTTGGGTCTACCCAGAATATGGTCAAGAAGAGGTATTTAGACTGTAAAGGGTCATGTCGCCTTTGGCCTGTGATTAGTTACAGGTGTCCTGAGATTAGGGTAATTTCATCTTCTCCCGTCCCTTTGGGCCTAGGAGTGGTGAAATCTTCTGGCTGTTATTAGCCCCAGGTGCTTCACCTTCCCTTGTAGTTTTCCCTAAATTTTGCACATACACTTAAAAATATTCTTTTTGTTAAGCTTTTTTTCAATGATTTTCTCGAGGCGATTGCCAGGACCCTCAAAAAGACAACACTAACACTCATTTTAGGCTTGAGGCAGAGAGAGAAGAAAGAGAAGAAATTCACTATATGTTTCCATTTATGACAAGTCTCTCTGGAACTTGAAGATTATTGTTTAAAGACAGTTTACCAATTCCAAAGAAAAACATTATTATATGGCTAAGTTTTCAATGATTAAATATGAGATCTTTAGCAAAGCTTTTAGAAAGAATTATGTTCCACTTTTTTTCTGATTCAAAGCAAAGAGATTTTTCATCCTTTCCTCAGAATATATAGTGAACATTATTTGGACACTATTCAAAAGAAACAGAAGGCAAATCAGAGGAACAACTTCTTTATATTGATACATGCTTTTTACATTAAAATTAAAATCTATCAAAGAATCACTCAGTTGCTATTGTTGCCTTTTTTTAGTATAAAACTTTAGCATGCCATCCCTTTCCAATGAACCCCTTTTCCCCATCATAATACATCAAGTTTCGTTAACCATACATTTTTTGCTGAATACGTACTTCATTTGAAGTCTGTTTTAAGTAGGCTCTGCATGTGGAAAGTACCTGTTTTGCAACCCCTTCTCAGAGTTTCATTTTTTTGTTTTATATGTACTGTTTAATATGACAAATGCTCCAAAAATATTTATAACACCTATTCGTACTTTTCTCACTCTAAAAATGTTTAAAGAGAAGATTCAAGTTTCTTTTTGCCCTAAAGATCATTATGGGATGGGCTCCTAATAGGCCCAACGTGGAGAAAATTCTGAGTTATTTTTGGTCAAAGAGGTTTACACAGAAGCCAGCTCTGAATTACTTCTAACGAGAAGAGCAAGGCTCCTGTTTTCGCCTGTCATTTATCTTCTCTTGCCTTACTCTTTTCTCCTATTTTGCTTTTTCTTATCTCTCACTTTAAATTTTTCTCTCCCTCTTGATGCAAAGCTATATTTTCCTTTCTTTTTCTGTGCATTTTCCCATCCTATTTCCCTTCTTTCTGTCTCTACATTATCTTAAGAGAGCACAAATCATTTACAGCTTGATCCACTCAGCCTGAATCTTTTCCACTTTGATTCACAAACTTCTATTTCTTCTCCTTTGAACCCCTAATTTGCTCCCTATGTCCCTCATGGAGCGTGTAACCATCCAAAGGTTGGCCCAGGGATAAGGCCAGGAAGCACCAGCTGCTTGACAGTAAAGTCGCTGGTCCTACGTGTGGGCTCTAGGGGGCGATGCAGTGTAAGGTCTGTCCTGGGCATAGGCGGAGCGGCAGTCTTGCTCCTCACAGAGCTTTGAGGAGCTGGATCAAAATTGTGCTCCACAGAGAGAAGATACCGGTGTCGGGAAGCACCAGTGCCCTGAGGAAGGGCCATTTCCAAAAGCCCTGTGCTGACACAGGGTTGCTGGTTCCTCTTCAAGAGCCCACTCTCTGGGGTGGGGCCATATCTCCAGCAGAGGTGGGCTGGAAAGGACCCCCCCAATCCCGCCCGCCGTGAGCTTAGCTGGAGCCATGGCCTCTGCACCCATCTCGATGCTTGCGATGCTCTTCACATTGAGTGAGTAATATCCCCTTCCCATTTTCCACTCGCATGATCCACTTACATGCTCTCCAGCAGCTTCACTGATGCAGCATGATTAATTTACAGGTGGGCTGAGAGCTCAGTCAGTGGCTCAGCCGGAAGATCAGGTCAACGTTGCTGAAGGGAATCCTCTGACTGTGAAATGCACCTATTCAGTCTCTGGAAACCCTTATCTTTTTTGGTATGTTCAATACCCCAACCGAGGCCTCCAGTTCCTTCTGAAATACATCACAGGGGATAACCTGGTTAAAGGCAGCTATGGCTTTGAAGCTGAATTTAACAAGAGCCAAACCTCCTTCCACCTGAAGAAACCATCTGCCCTTGTGAGCGACTCCGCTTTGTACTTCTGTGCTGTGAGAGACACACACTGATAGGGGCTGCAGGGGGAGCAGAACACAAACTCTTGAGTCTGGTAAAGCCCATTTTCTTGAAGTCTTTGTTCCTTCACATGAGAACGGTGTGCTTCCAGGATATGTCACTTATTATGTTAAACTACAATTTAAAACCATAGAATTTGCTCATTCAGCAAGTGTTTATTGAGTCCTGATGTGCCAGGTACTGGGCAAAGCACCGGTCATAAAAAGGTGAAAGAAGTGTAAAACAAATAGAAAAAAACATAGGGGAAAATTACCATGACATTGGTCTGGGCAAGAAGTTCCTTCCTTCCTTCCTTCCTTCCTTCCTTCCTTCCTTCCTTCCTTCCTTCCTCCCTCCTTCCCTCCCTGCCTCTCTCTCTTTCTTTCTTTCTGAAAAGGGGTTTATTTTCAACAGACATTTCTTTTTATACCGAGGTGAAATGTCATCATCATAATAATTTTGCAATGTTACATACCCTGTTGAGACCATTAAAAAATTAGGTTCATGGTATACACGTCCAAGTTTGTTACAAAAGCATATTGTGTGATGCTGTGGTTTGGGCATCTATTGATCCTGCCACCCGAAGAGTGAACATAGTACCCAGGAGAAAGCTTTTCATCTCTTGTGAGCAAGGAATTTTTGGATATGACCCCAAAAGCACAGGCAACAAAAGCAAAAATAGACAAATGGGGCTATATTAAACTAAAAAGCTTCTGCACAGCAAAAGAAACAATAAATAGAGTGAAGGGAAAGCCTATGGAATGGGAGGAAATATTTGCAAACTCTACATCTGATAAGGGGTTAATATTCAAAATGTTTAAGAAGCTCACATACCAAAAACATCCAAATAACCTGATTAAAAAATAGGCCAAGGAACTGAATAGTCGTTTCTCAAATGAAGGCATAAAAATGGCCAAGAGGTATATAAAAAATGCTCAACATCATTAATTATCAGGAACGTGCAATTAAGACCACCATTAGATATCACCTCACAACCTATTAGGTTGGCTATTATCAAAAAGACAAAAGATAACAACCATTGTTGAGAAGGTGAAGAGAAGGGAACTCTTCCACACTGCTGGCAAGAACGTAAATTCCATAATGTGCAACCATTATGGAAAACAGTAGGGAGGTTTCTCAAAACACCAAAAATAGAACTACTGTATGATCCAGCAGTCTCACTATTGGGCATATATCCAAAGAAAATGAAATCAGTATGTTAAAGAGATATCTGCACTCTCATGTTTATTGCAGCACTATTCACAATAACCAAGATATGGAATCAATCTAAGTATCTATACTTAGATGAATGGATAAAGAAAACATGGCATATAAACACAATAAAATACTATTCAGTCTTATAAAAGGAAGAAATCCTGCCATTTGTGACAACACAATTGAGCCTGGAGGACATTATGTCAAGTGAAATAAGCCAGGCACAGAAAGACAAATACCACATAATCTCACTTATTTGTGTAATAAAAAGGTTGAATTTATCGAAGCAGAATAGAATTGTGGTTACCAGAGGCTTGTGAGGGGAATGGAAAGGGATTGGAGAGATGTTGGTTAAAGGACACAAAATTTTAATTAGATAGGAAGAATAAGTTCAAGATATCTACTGCAATGGTGACTATAGCTAATAATAATGTATTTGCAACAGAATTTTTTTTTTTTTTTTGAGACAGAGTCTCACTCTGTTGCCCAGGCTGGAGTGCAGTGGAGTGATCTCGGCTCACTGCAACCTCCACATCCCAGGTTCAAGCTATTCTCCTGCCTCAGCCTCCCAAGTAGCTGAGATTACAGGAGCCCGTCACTAACCCTGGCTATTTTTTTGTATTTTTAGTAAAGACGGGGTTTTACCATGTTGGCCAGGCTGGTCTCGAACTCCTAACCTTGTGATTCGCCTGCCTCAGCCTCCCAAAGTGCTGGGATTACAGGCGTGAGCCACCGCGCCCAGCTGCAACAGAAATTTCTAAAAATTGCTGAAAGTAGATTTTAAGTGTTCTTACCACAAAAAGGATATGTATGTGAGGTAATGCAGACGTTAATTAGCTTGATTTAGCCATTCCACAATGTACACATATTTCAAAACATTATGTTGTATACCATACATATATACAATTTTATTTGTCAGTTTAAAAAAGAATTGAAAGAAGCTATCTTTGATCTCTATGTGCCAGGTGTGTTTCCAAACATTAATGAACGCATTTAATTCTCACAAGTATTATCATCAGCTTCACTTTACAGATGAAGAAGCAAAGTCACAGAGAATTTAAGTATCTTGCTCAAGTCACAAAGTTAATAACTGGTAAATTGCAACCCAGGCAGTGTGTCTGTAGGGCACATGGTCCAACTACTCCACTCCTCTGCCAGTCTATAGGCTTCTTGGGGCAAGAGACTGATTTTGGTGATGGTGTAGCCCTAACTCCAGAAAGGGTCGCTGTCGGAAAAGTGTTGGTTATATGAATGAACAATACACTGACACTCTAAACAGTTTGGTGTGTGCCAAGATAGAGAATTCAAAAAATGCTCTATGAGATGAGGATATAGGAATAGCTTAGCTGTGAAAGAAGACAGAAGCAGTCTGTAATGGGAGGAGAGTTTGAATCAAGGAAGGGTATAAACGTGTAGTTCTTATAAGGATAGTTGCTTACGGTTCCTATGTTCACATCTTCCTTATGCTCTTGAGAGGAACTGGACTTAATGCACTTTTCTCTCTTTATCTTTTCCCAAATTTGAGTGTCGTGGGAAGGGCTCTGTTTGACTCAGTGTGAGTTAGGTGGCTTTTCCTTGGACTAATCAGTGGTGGCCATGGGTACAGGCTGCTTGGATTAGCCCAGCTTGGCTTCCACCTTTGGTGGCTGGGGGTGGGAGTGAGGATTCTGCAAGTTAGCAGCTCTATTTTGAACTGCCTGGTTAAAAGGAGTATGTCCCCAAATAAGTTAATTTTTACACAGGGATCTACATCTGTTTATTTTTTCCCCCAAATGGATAGCCAGTAGTTCTTACACCACCTCCTGAAAAATTCACTTTTGCCCCATAGATTTGAAATACCATATTTATAGTACATTAAATTCCTAGATATACTCAGATCTACTTTTGAACTCTTGATTTTTATAGTTTTGTGCTAGAATGTGCTGCTTTAGGGAGATTCACCCTGCAGCCTTTGGTTTGTACCTTGTGATTTACCAGCCTTCTTTTCCTATCCTTCAATCCATCACATACCTTGAGAAGCCTTATACACAAGGATGTGGACACCTTAGCCCACATGTCTACAGTCCAGGCAAACAGTGATCTTTTGGCCACCCATTGGGCCTAGAGTTGTGTACACAGGTGGGATATCTGCTTCTGGGAAGATAATCCTTGAGATAGGCCCATGCAGATCTTAAAAGTGTGTTTGGGGATGTTTGTGCAGGGAATTCTGAAATCCTAGTACCCAGAATATGGTCAAGAAGAGGTATTTAGACTCTAAAGGGCTATGTCTCCTTTGTCCTGTGATTTTCTCACAGGGAAAGGGATAAGAATAGCTGAATAATAGCTGGGGTGGAGGCACAGAACTCTGAGCAGGGACGTCACTTGCTCAGGTCTAAGGGTGGCAGTGTTCTGTACCATTACTGCCAGAATACATTTGTATTCATGAAACCATGGTATCTGTTTTAGATTTAAGTATACAGTTGCCATAACTCTAGGTAAGCTCTCAGCCACCATCACTGTTTTCACTCCAAAGGAAGTTCATGTCCACAGGGATATTTTTATCACATTACACCATTGACCTGGCTGTGTGGCCTGTTTCTGCCTTTGATACTTATAAATACAATTTATGCAAGTCCTGCAAAGGAAAGAAGTCTTTCTATACAATTATGATGTATTTATTCATTTAGCTATTCACTTATTCACTCAATGATTATTTGTGGAGTTTTGACTATGTGCTTGGCATTGTTATCATCCCTGCAGATGCAGTGGTGAACAAATCTTTCCCTCCAGTCATTCCCCAGGCTGCACACGTGTTCATATCACTTCCCTACCCAAACAGAACTACTTCTTAGTCAAAGAGATACAACTCTCAAGATGATTTCCTTCTCAGGAAAATTCTCCAAGGTTAAGCTAAGCCTTAGATATTAATCTTTTGTCATGTGGTAGTGATTGGTGGTGGTGGTGATGGGAGGGGAGTTATGTAGGGAAATGAGAATCTATATTTTCCCCCTTTTTTAAGGTGGCTCAGAGGGAACAACTATGTCTTTTTAGAAGTTCTGTTTTGACTTAAAGAAAAGTTAGTCTAGCATTCCTTTTTCCTGTTTGTTGGGAAATACTCCTTATAAACAGATAAACTTCAGGAAAAATGAGAAATTCTGGAAAACTTATCTTCATAAGGTTTATTTTTCTCCCCCCTTTTATATCACTTCAAGAACTTTGTGGAAAGAGAACTGAATTAAGAATTAGGGAGCATAGGTTGTTTCTGATTCTTCCTCTAAGTAACTATGTGACATTGGACATGCCATTTCTACTCTATGTGCCTCATCTCTTAATTAATGAAATTGAGATAACTGGAAGGATTGTTGTGAGGATTGCTTTATGTGTGACATATGTCTTGGACCCCAAATAAGAGTGGGTATTTAGGTGGGCAGAGCAATCAGATACCTAAGACACCAACACTGTGGAGCCCTTATAACTGCCCTGAACTGCTGACATTTGAACTGTATCATGATAAATTACTTTATTTTGGCCTTTGTTACATCAGTTGGCCCTGTATTCTAATTTAATCTTCGATACCTGAAAACTGCTTTCAGAAAAGGAGCTAATATTATCTGTGTACATTGTAGTTAAGTTGCGTTTAAGCACCAACTTAAAAAAGCTATTTGTGGAATCACAGCTTTTGTCCTTGAAATACACTTTTAAGCATTTTAGAGAAAGTAAAGGTAGGGAAACACGTTTTGGGGAAGAAAAGTTGTCCTGGTTTTGCTGAGAACACTATGTAGACAGTCATCTTCTCATCCATGTGAGAATCTGTCTCTGCCTGGATACAAGGGAGACACCTCTCCCTGCAGTCTTCCCATGCTACATTCAGTCCTCCCTCCTCTCATCTTTCCCTGATTGTGTAGTGAGTTTCACTGGGTTCTCTGAAAGAATCTTTGAATTCCATTCTAATTCTCAAAAATTGTGCTTCTGTGATATGCAAGAGTTGGTGGGGTTCCACCATGAATTCCAGGAGAGGCCATAGGTAAGCTGTGGTCACTTGCTGTCATCAGCACTGCAGGGATCCCACACATATCCTGCAAAATGCCTCCTTCTGCAGTATAAGTAATGAACAAGTATTAAGTAAAGTGATATTTCATTTAACTATTAAATTAGCAATTGTAAACTGTATAAACAATATTGACAAAGAGTAAATGGGTACTGAAGTGTACTATTGATGGCATAAACTCATATGATGCTTTTGGGAGGCAATCTGGCAATCTTCACTGTGTCTCTTTTCTCACTTTTTACTTGCTCTTTTACCCACTGAAGTGTGGTTTTAACTTCCACCATTGGCCCAAACTATTCTTGCCAGGGTTAACAACAGTTTCTTGGGTTACATCCAATGAATGATTGATTATTCCCTCTTTGAAACCTGGTCCTCTTTCGGTTTCTGGTATACCACTTTCCCTTTAAAAAAAAAATTTGAGAGCTGATTTTCAATAGATCACAGTGAGGGAGCTGCTCTGCTATGTGTGAAACCCCAGCCTACCTCTTTCTTTTTGATGTTCTTATATCTTTGGCTGAACCTGCACTGTCTTTTTTCATGGGCTTTTCTTCTGCTCACTCTTTTATCGGGAACCTGCCCTGATATTCACGTAGGTTCCTTTCTATTTTTCCCAAGCGTCAGCCGGCTTGAGAAATAAAGGGACAGAATACAAAAGAGAGAAATTTTAAAACTGGGTGTCTGGGGGAGACATCACGTGTCAGTAGGTTCCGTGATGCCCCACAAGCCACAGAAACCAGGAAGTTTTTATTAGGGAGTTTCAAAAGGGGAGGGAGTGTGCGAATAGGTGTGGGTCACAGACATCAAGTACTTTACAAGGTAATAGAATATCACAAGGCAAGTGGAGGCAGGGTGAGATCACAGGACCACAGGACCGAGGTGAAATTAAAATTGCTGATGAAGTTTCGGGCACCATTGTCATTGATAACATCTTATCAGGAGACAGGGTTTTGAGATCAACCGGTCTGACCAAAATTTATTAGGCGGGAATTTCCTCTTCCTAATAAGCCTGGGAGCGCTATGGGAGACTGGAGTCTATTTCACCTCTGCAGTCTCGACCATAAAAGACAGGTGCACTTAGGGGGCTGTTTATAAGCCTATACCTCCAGGCGCGTATTCTCTTTCTCAGGGATGTTCCATGCTGAGAAAAAGAATTCAGTGATATTTCTCCCATTTGCTTTTGAAAGAAGAGAAATATGGCTCAGTTCCCCCCGGCTCACCGCGGTCAGTTTAAGGTTATCTCTCTTATTCCCTGAACAATTGCTGTTATCCTGTTCTTTTTTCAAGGTGCCCACATTTCATATTGCTCAAACACACATGCTGTACAATTTGTGCAGTTAATGCAATACTTACAGGGTCCTGAGGTGACATACATCCTCCTCAGCTGACAGGATTAAGAGATTAAAGTAAAGACAGGCATAGGAAAGCACAGGGGTATTGATTGGGGAAGTGATAAGCGTCCATGAAATCTTTACAATTTATGTTTAGAGATTGCAGTAAAGACAGGCATAAGAAATTATACAAGTATTAATTTGGGGAATGAGTAAATGTCCATGAAATCTTCACAATCCACATTCTTCTGCCATGGCTTCAGCCAGTCCCTCCGTTTGGGGTCCCTGACTTCCCGCAACACTCTTTAAAGTTGGTGTTCTTTTTTTTTTTTTTTTTTTTTTGAGACAGTCTCGCTCTTGTCGCCCAGGCTGGAGTGCAGTGGTGCGATCTCGGCTCACTGCAACCTCTGCCTCCCAGGTTCAAGCGATTTTCCTTCCTCAGCCTCCTGAGTAGCTGGGATTACGGGTGCCTGCCACCACCACACCCAGCTAATTTTTGTACTTTTAGTAGAGATGGGGTTTCGCCATGTTGGCCAGGCTGGTCTCGAACTCCTGGCCTCAGGGGTCCGCCAGTTGGTGTTCTTTAGGATTCTTCCCTTGACCTATTTATTTTCTCAGTCAAAAATTCTTTCTGGGTAATATTATCCATGCTCATGCTTCCACTATTATTTGCTGATTATTTTCAGCTCATATATCTCTTCTGAGCTTCAGTTTAATATATCAAACTGGGTTTTTGACCTGTGTGAATTTTCCAGAAGCACCTTAAATCAAATGGTGCAAAGCTTAGCTCTTTATCTTTCTTCCTTTCTCCCCCACTTCACCATATGAAACAAAACAAAACAAGATAAATTTGCTCCTTCTTTTGTGTTTTTCATATCAAACAACAGGACCATCATCTACCCAAGTGCCATCCACTCTCTTGCTCCAAGCCTGTCCAGATGCTGTGCCTTCTGCCTCTTTCTATTCAGCTCAGTCTTCATCATGCTCATTCTTCCTCTTCTCTTAGGTTTTAGTTTAGGTGAGTGTCACTCCTTCTGGGAAGTCTTCCTGCAGTCCTACAACCAAAACCATTTCACTTCCTTGTGTTGCTATAGTACTCTATGCTTTCCCTACTATGGCTGTTATCATGAGGACTATCATTGCTTTTAAAATCCTCTTCCTTCTCACTAGACCACTGGGTCTTTCTTGTCATTGAATGGCCAGTGTCTACCTCAGTGCCTGACTGTAAAAGGGGCTCCACAAATATTTGTTTATTGAATAAATGGATACTTCCCAAGACTCTTAAAATGTTCTTACACGAATCCAGGAAATCCTCTTTGCAGAAGCTAGTCTAAATAAATAATTGGAAGTTTAGACAAAGATTTATGTACAAAGGTTTTTATGATAGTATTCTTTCTAAAATCCAAATGTCTAATACTAAAGAAATTGGTAAATAAGTTATAGCACATTTGTACCATGGACTATGTTGAGGCTATTAAAATTGGATTTTTATGTATACTTGTTGACAAAAAAAAAGTTTGGAAAAGAATATTAAGTTGAAAAAACCTCCAGCATGTGCAAATGTGTGTGTGTTCATGTGCACACAATTCAATTGTGCTAACAATAGTCATGCAAAAACAAAGGATTAAAAAGCGGTATGCCTCAATATTATCAATGATTTTTTTCTGGGATATGGTATTACACGTGATTTTAAAACACTTTCCTATATTTTCCAAATTCTGTATTTAGAATTCATTATTCTTCTAACCAGAAAAAAAATCCCACTTAAAAAGAATTTAAAATATCCCTCTTGTAGTTGGCTATTGCTATAGGGCGTGGTTTTCTTCCATAACCTTAGGAACTTTCTAAAATTTGCTTTAACAATGGTCTAAATTTTTTATTACAATATACATAAAAAACAACATTAATGTATGTGATATGCTCCTATGTGTTCACCCAAACACTTTTGAACACCAAAAAATGTTTTGCAAAGGAGTATATATATATTAGTTAAGGTTCTCCAGAGAAGCAGAACTAATAGGATGTCTATCTATCTATCTATCATCTATCTATCTATCTATCTATCTATCTATCTATCTATCTATCTATACATAAATATTTATTGGAATATGTATATTTATTGGAATATACGTGTAATTATTGGTTATATATAAATCTTGGTCCAAGTCTAAAGGCTCAAGAATCAGAAGCACTGATGTTAGAGGGCAGGGAAGATGGATGTCCCAGCTCAAGGAGAGAGAGAAAAGTTGTCCTTCCTCTGCCTTTTTGTTCTATTCAGGCCCTCAGTGAATCGGATGATGCCCACCTGCATTGATTAGGGTAGTCTTTACTCAGTCTACCAGTTGAAACGTGAATCTTTTCTGAAAACACCCTCACAGACACACCCCACAATAACATTTTACCAGCCACCTGGGTATCCTTTAGCCTAGCCAGGTTGACACATAAAGTCAACCATCACAACCTACTTAACATATAATATATAATATAATTATTAGCACCATATATTAGTTTGCTAAGGCCGTGGTAACAAGAGGCCACAAACTGGGTGGCTTAAGCAACAGAAATGTATTGTTTCACAGTTCTGGAGGACAGGAGTTCAAAATCAAGGTGTTGGCATGGTTGTTTCCTTCTGAGGGCTGTGATGGAAGGACCTGTTCTACGCCTCTGTTCTTGGCTTGTAGATGGCCATCTTCTCCCTGTACCTCTTCAAATTTTTCTTCTGTTTTTGTCCATTTCGGTGTCCATATTCCCCCTTTTTGTAAGGACACCAGTCATCGTTCACCAGTTTGGATTCGAGCCCACCCAAATACCACATTTTAACTTGATTTCCTGTAAAAACTGTTTCCAAATAAGGTCACCTTCTGAAGTACTAGGGATTTGAACTCCAATATGCATATATATTTTTTGGGTGGGAGGAAAACACAATTCAACCCACAACACACCACTACCATCAGTAATTACTTTCATTCCATAGGCTGAGGGATAGAAAAACTTCCAGTGTTTCTACCTCCAGTTGCCTGGTATCCAGTAATATTCTCCAAAGTGAGGTAACAGGTGGCAACACGGAAACTTCAAGTTCCGTTTTTTGGCCTGAAAAAGGAAGACCATTTTGGCTTGGTGATATTTCCTGCATTAAACATAGTTTGTATTTCTTTTTTTTTTTTTGAGACAAAGTCTGGCTCTGTTAACCAGCCTGGAGTGCAGTGGCGCCATCTCAGCTCACTGCAACCTCCGCCTCTCGGGTTCAAGCGGTTCTCCTGCCTCAGCCTCCCGAGTAGCTGGGACTACAGGCGCGTGCCACCACCACGACCAGCTAATTTTGTATTTTTAGTAGAGACGGGGTTTCACCGTGTTAGCCAGGATGGTCTCGATCTCCTGATCTCGTGATCTGCCCGCCTCGGCCTCCCAAAGTGCCGGGATTACAGGCGTGAGCCACAGCGCCCGGCCCATAGTTTGTATTTTTATAGAACACTCTCGTTTAGAAATAACTTACTTATGTTCATTTAATCCTTATAATCTCTGTTGCCGAGATGAAGAAATTGTGCCTCTCAAATGGTGATTTGAACAAAATCTCACAGCTATCAAATCCAAAGGATTGTTTCAATTCAGTGTGTCTAACTTATCACTCAGTGTTTTCTTCCATAACTGAAAATAGACTTCATAGTCCAAACCAAGCTCTCTGCTATTGCGTTTACAAAGAAATGTGACGTTCCATAAATTGTGCCGATCTGAGACCTACTGACTTGTGTGAAACATTTTTTCTGAGTATAGTTACCACAAGAGGTCGCTGTTGCAACGAGTTGCGTTTAAAGGGTAACCCATTTATTTTCATTTCTGTACAAGGTGTTCTAGTATCTTCAGGTCCCTCATAAAAACATCTTTGCTCCTTCACTTGTTACTGAGGAAAGCCTGGTTATTTATTTCATGACCTGTGATAGCTCCTCTGTCAAAATGTTACTAGAAGCCATCAACACTCACTGATTTTTTTTTGCATGGGAAAATGGAAAAATTGCTGATTCAGAATGCTTTCGGCAATTCTAGACCTAGAAGAGGCACCTCCCAAATATTTTCCAGTGATTTTTTTCATTCCTATATTATAAGAGAAAAGAACTCAAACAACATACCACTATCTTTTCCATATTAATGTGAGTATGTAACAGGTTTTGTTTCTAGCATTTGGCTGATTCAATGAGTACTACTGTGTCTTTTGGATTCAATGAATACTACTGTGTCTTTCGGCTCTTTTCCTGAATGGCTTTATTTTTCTTTTCAGTTTTTGTGCTTCTGTTATAGGATTTATACTAATTATTTCCTGAAGGAAGTGTGTACAGTAACTACAAAAAATTAGATATATAATCCTACACGACTGCCTTCTACTAGCCATGGTACTCTGCGCTCTGAATCAGATGAGAAGAAAGGGAAAGGAACTATAATTTACTGTTGACTACGTGCCACAGATTGAAACCCTGAAATACATATTATTGTTCCCATTTTACAGATGAAGAAACCAAGACTCAGAGGAGTGAGCTGCCTGAGGTCACAAGGTGGCAGAGTTGAGATTTAGATTTAGATCTGTCTGACACAGCCTGTGCCTTTTCTTCTTGTTCACCTTACCTCCTCCTTGGTTAAGTGAGTGATTCCAGACCAAATGTCCTATCCTAGCTGGTCAGCAGGGACTAATGAGAGGTTTGTTCCTCTGTTTAATATCTGTTACACAGGGTCTGAGAAGAAGGTATTAGTTGTGGACTTAGTGGGATTATAAATGATCCCAGGGAATCAGGAGATGGAATGTCCAGTCCAGACTGCCTCATTTGCTCTTTCTTGGAATAGGATTAGGAATCCCTGTTTCTTCTTGGCTAAATAGGGGTCAGTGGAGCACTGCAGGGCATAAAGTAACAAGTCAGGCAGGTTACACTTAGACCATGACTGTCAATGAGTCCATGAGTGTCAGACCGACTACAGTACATGACCACCCTCTCGGGCTGTGGAAAGTAATGTAATGGGGAATAGGAGCCCAATGTAATCTACCTTCTCATAGCTTTGCCTCATTTGGACCAAATCTTTAAGGGATTAGACCTCTGCAAAGATCTAAAATGAAATTCAGGCTGCTGTGCTTCAGTACCAGCAGTTTTCACTCCCTACTCTTCTTGGGGCTTTAGCTGAACTTTGAGGGGAGCCCTGCTCTGAGGAGCTGCTGCCCTGCTATTGGCTGCTGTACTGGGGCAGCCTGAGTGACAGCTGCTGGTGTGGGCCCTGGCAGTTGCTGCTGGGCTCATTGCAGCTCAGACACAGCAAAAGAGCCTAGAACCTGGGTCCTAGTTTGCACCTAGAATATGAGGCAAGTGGCGAGAGTGATCGTGTTCCTGACCCTGAGTGAGTTATTTTGGGATGAAGAGGAATGGGATCTGGGCCTGATGATGCTGGAAAGGAATCTGGAACTTTGCCTGCTAGCAGTTGCTCTTTATCCAAGATGTAGAGGGATAGCTTCAGGGTTCCATTTTTCTCCAGGCAGCTCCTGAGCATTTATGTGAGATGTGTCTCAGGGCAGCAAAGATTTTCGGGGTTTCTAATCCCTAGGGTCTATCCATGGGAGGGAGATAGTAAACCTGACACTTCTGTGTATGCCTGGGATAAATATTTTTGTACTGAAACATAAATGAGAAGTAAATTGTATGTACATGTATATGGCAGGGAAGTAGAGCGTGGGGATGGATTTGACTGTGAGAGGGAACCGTGGGGCTACTGAGTGGGACCGTCTAACTTACCTTGCTTTCAGGATAGGGGCTAGGATTGTGTTTTACTCCCATAGGTACTTTGAGCCTTGCTAAGACCACCCAGCCCATCTCCATGGACTCATATGAAGGACAAGAAGTGAACATAACCTGTAGCCACAACAACATTGCTACAAATGATTATATCACGTGGTACCAACAGTTTCCCAGCCAAGGACCACGATTTATTATTCAAGGATACAAGACAAAAGTTACAAACGAAGTGGCCTCCCTGTTTATCCCTGCCGACAGAAAGTCCAGCACTCTGAGCCTGCCCCGGGTTTCCCTGAGCGACACTGCTGTGTACTACTGCCTCGTGGGTGACACACAGTGAGACAGATGGGCCTGCACCTGTGCCGTTTTCCTCTGTGGGGTGGGAGTCACAGCCTAGAAAGAAGTCCAAAAGTGCTTTCTAAAATTTTTATTTTCAAAAGGTATTAGCAAATTTATGTATTCTTCTACTATTTGCAAAATCAATCTTATTTATTTTTTAAATAGGTATTTCACTTATGTGATCTAAAATTAAAAAAGTATAAAAGGGCATACAGCATGATGTCTTCCTTCCACCATGGTCCCTGAGTACTCAATTATCAAAGTGAGGTATCTGTGGTATTTATACTATTGTTGCTAAGTTCACTGGTACTCCTCAGTTTGTGTGTATAGATAGACACACACTACATATACTTTATATGCATACCACGCACAGTCAACATGGGCAATATGCTTCTTAGCTTTTGAAACATTTAGCCTAAGTATCAGGTTATTATTTATAGCTGCACACATTTTGAACATTTCTGTGGCCATTTCCAAGTATCTACATGCTGGTTTCCATGCGTCCCCTGAGATTAGATCTCTCACTCTCTCTGTTGCCTGTCTTTCTCTTTTCTTTTGTCCCACTTCCCTATTGTGGATGGTATGTAATGGAAAATGGAGGTGATGGTAGAGGAGGAGATGGGAGAGAATTTGTTTCTGATTTGCATTGTAGACTATTTTTGAAACATTTAAATCAGAAATGGATTCTGGATCATTATTAGTTTTTAAAGTTGGGTTCTTTGAGGCTCCAAAGAGAGAAGAATAACAGAAAATTTGCTGAAAATCCTGCTTGGGCTCCTGAGGCTTCATTAGGATCATGGGGTATGTTTTTGTTTGTTTGTTTTTTGTGGGATGTTGTCTCTGATTTTGATCACAAGGAAAGCAATATTTGATAATTTTTTTATTGAGAATGAGAGGATCAGGCTATGTGGCAGGAGGAGGTTTCCATCTAGTTCATCTGAGGGTTTGGTGGGGGAGTAGTATTGTGGAAAGAAAACAAACATTTGTAGAGTATTCGAGCCTATACACTCATCTCCTTTGTCTGACTTCTCTACACAGTGACGAGGAGCTGGCAGAAAGTGGGAGTCCTGGTCCCCAAATGTCCAGGATGCAGCCAACTCTTCTCTGAAGTGCTCCACTATTTCCAGTACTTCATGTGGCACAGACAATATCCTCAAAAAAGCCTAGGGTTTCTGATTTTCATATTCTCAATGGAGAAAATGAGGAAGGAATATTTACAGTTCATTTGAATAAAGACAATGAATACACCCCTTTGCACAAAACAGACCCAAAGGCTGGCGACTCTGACACCTACATCTTTGTGAGAAGCTCAGAGTGATTCCAAAGTCCCTGGAGAGCCTCTGCCCAAAGCCGCACTCCAGTCATAAGAGTTGAGAGAGTGGGATAGAGGGACATCTCTGTAATGTTCCTGCCTACTTATGAAAATCAATACCCACGTATGAGAGGCTGTGTGGGATTATCTAAAGAAGATACTATACTATTCTGTAGATAATTGATCTGGAAAAGGTGGAATATTGGATTGGAAAATTTCAAAATGTTTTCTACCCACTTGGAGTTCATCCCATGCCTGCTCTTGGGATCTTGGTTGGATGATGCCTTTGGGGTAGTCCAGAGGAAAAGAGCTGTGCTGTGGAGATGGGGAGCCGGGTTACGGTCCAGGTTGTTTCAAGGAGGAACTGACTGTGAGGAAACAACACAACTAGCTTTTGTTTCAAGGTCTGCTTTTATGAACAGGTATCTGTATGTTAGCCATTTTGGAAGAAAGAGTTGAACAGCCACTGAGGGATGGTAGAAGGGGCACTCTAATTCTAGTTGTACTTTATTTTTACTACATGCTCTGGGCAGCAAAACAGACTGGAAAAATAATCAGCTCTAAAGCCAGGCATTCCTGGGTTTGAATCTGAGATCTCCTGCTGTAAAGAGTTTGACCTTAGTCAAATACTTTTGGCATTTGAGCTTTAATACTTTGTCTATAAAATGAGGGTCATAATACTATTTTTCCAGGGTTCTTCTGTGGTTAAAAGACTATCACTAAGAATGTCCTGGTTTAATCAGCACTCATCAGATTAATGCTATCTATATCCTGCATTATCATTGCTATTAAACCTCACCTGCCAACCCAAAAAGCTGTTTGGAGGATGACATCACATACTGGGTGTTCAGACTCTTCAGAAACTGAAAAAGACCTGAGCCAATACAAGAACATTTTTTTGGGAGTTAAAACTCTTGGTCTGTGACAAAAAGATCAATAAATTGATCAATAAATTGATCTGCTATTTCTCTGTAGAAAGATCACATGATTTTTTTAAACAAAATGATGTCCCCTCAGAAGGGGAGATGTTGGGAGGGGAAAGGGAGATGCAAAATTACTTGTTGGGTACAATGTACACTACTTGGGTGATGGGTGCACTAAAATCCTTGAACTCACCACTATAGAATTCATCTATGTAACCAAAAACCACGTTTACCCCTAAAGCTGTGAAATAGAAAAAAATTTTAAAAATGAGGCCAGGGTCATACCATTATTTTTTTCTCTGAGAGAGAAACAGCCAAAATTATTTCATTTGGAACTCATTAGTACATTTACTCAGCAAATGTTTATTTTGTATTATGATGTGATAGGCAATGATGTAATGGAGGAAGTACCTTATTCTCCAATATAGATAAGTTTTCTGCACAAACGGAGGTTTTATTCTTCTGTGGGCAGACAACACAAACAAAGAAAAAAATGATTTCCAAATATAAGTGACATTTGGAAAACAAAATAGGGTAATGTGAAGGAGAATCATGGTGGTTATGGAGGTCATTTAGTGGTGACATTTGAGCTGAATCTTGAATGACAGAAAAATGACAAAACCATTTAAGACCTGGGGTAAGAAAGAGTTTTCAAATGCAACAATGGTCCTTAGGCAGAGCATGTTTGCTGCATTTATGACAGAAGCTGGTGTTCCCTGAATATAGTGAGAAGGAGAGTGGTAGGAAATAATGTCAAAAAGGTAGTTATGGACTTGAAAATACAAAGCCTTGTAAATCATGGTTAGATTCAGATTTTATTCTACATGTATTGGGAAGTATTTGACTACCTAATTTATATTTTAGAAGGATCACTCTTCGTGCTCTGGGGAATGGCTCATAGGGTTGGCATGGGGAGAGACTAGGGCACAAAGACAGTTAGAATTTGCAGGGGACCCAGTGAGACCTGATGGAGGTATAGACTAGGTGGTAGAAGTGGGAATGAAGAAACATGGATGAATTAACTTATATTTTGGAGGTAAAAAATAGATCTTAATGATGATTTGTATATGGCAGATGGGGAAAAAAAGAGAGTCGATGATGACTTTTAAGTTTTTGGCTTATGTAGTTACATGGAAGATGAGATAGGGAATTCTGAGAGAGGAAATATTTTTGATTATAGTAGGCAGGTAAAAGTGTCATTTCAGATATGTTAAGTTAGAGATGTCTATAAGGCATTCAACTGTAGTTGTTGACCAGGGAGTTCCATATTGAGCCTGGAGCTAACAGAGGACATAGCTGGCCTATGGGATAGTGTTCAAGCCACGCATTGAATGAGATCACTTAGGGAAAGAGTGTGGATGGAGAAGAGGTTCTTAACCTGAGCACTTGGACTGTCAGTTGAGGTTTAATAGCGAAGGAAAAATCAGCAAAGGAGATCGAAGTCTATTAGTGAATTGGAAGGGAAGCCAATAGAATGTGCTGTCACAGAAGGCAAAACAAGAAAATGTTTCAAGGAGTGGTCAATTGTGTCTACTATACTACTTCTGGGTTTGGGTGGGAGCTTATAGTGTGAAAAGAAGAATTAGTCAGAAGAGACAGATGGAAAATAACTTCAACTGGAAAGGATTAATGATATAATCCATTAGTGTTCTTATTCCTGCATTTAAAATTTTCATGAAATTTTATATATTGACTTTTTTTCTTAATGGCTTCTGGCGTTGGTATCACTTAAAAAGGCCTTTGTTGCCTTGCTATTATAAATAACCTTCAATTTATATTTCTTCTATAATTATGTTAGTAGCTTTGTTTTCATACATGGAAACTTTGTGGACAATCATAAACTTATTTTTAGAATATGGAGTGGAGCAGCGACCCAGTTTTATTTTTCCCCAATATTTATTGAGCGACGCATCCTGTCTTCACTAATCTGAAATTGCGTATTTCTCTAAGAATTTGGGTCTCTGTCTTGCCTCTATCTGTCCTCTCATTGCTATTTGTGCACATATTCCATACTCATTTAATTACTTGACAAATTATTTGATAAATTATTTCAGTAGTATTGGACCCAGTTTATGTACTTTCCTGCTTTAATTTGGCCATTGTTTTCTGCTCAGTGTTACCGCTAATCCTCCGGGAAAACTGCCTAGTACAAACTGCATTCTCTAATCTGGAGAGAGAAAGTTAAACTTCTGTAGGAAAAAGTTGCCTCAAGTCATAGTTGCGTTTGCTGAGGGGCAGGGACCACTGAAGTGGCTCTCCTGATCTCTCATGTTACTTGCAGGCAAAGGAGAATTTACCATGAAACTCCTCATTTCAGAGGCATTTTCCAAAATTTCTTTAGTGGGAGGTCCTGTAATGCTGCAGTTCCCAACCTTTTTCGCACCAGGGACTAGTTTCATGGGAGACAATTTTTCCACAGACCAAGGGAGTGAGGATGATTTCGGGATGAAACCATTAGCTCATCAGGAATTAGTTAGGTTCTCATAAGAACTAGGCAACCTAGATCCCTCTCATGCACAGTTCACCGTAGGGTTTGCGCTTCTATGAGAATCTAATGCCATTGCTGCTCTGACAGGAGGCAGAGCTCAGGTAGGTTTTATGATCAGAAAAATATTAAACAAAATTTAACAGCCTTGGAAAAGTTATTTATAAACATTGCATTTTATTTAAGAGGTTGAATATATACATTGTTTTGCCATTTTGAATTTATTAGCAGTGTGGCAAAGTTAGCTTAATTTGCTATTAGTAAAACTGAAAACCATTTGATAAGCTCTTAGAATTATGCTAATTTGTCTGAACGGTAGTAGAAGCTATTTTAATTAAAAACTGTAGCTATATAGTTTAATCTATATAGTTTAACCCTCATAATTTGATAGAATTGAGATCATAGGTGTTGTGAAGTATGACTAATGCCCTAATATAAATAAACAAGTAATAAACTGTCATAAACAGTCTCAATATACTCTGAATTCTTTCTTCCAACAGATTTAATTTGTATAGACAATAGTAATACATTCGGATAAAAATTCCAAATTTGATTTCACTTATACTTGTTGATGTTTGTAATGAGAGAGTCTTTCTGCGTATGTTAAAATTCATATGTTAATAGGTGTTTTAAGGAGCTTGTAAAAAGAGATGACTATGGAAACACATAATTACCCTAAATTTTCATCTTTCATTTGAAAACAAATTTCTCTTAAATTTAGGATTTTTAAACAACCTATTATCTGTCTTTGATCAAATGGAAATTTAATATATGTAAATAGGCACCGATGTTTGCAAGTAAACGGCATAAAGAGTGGTAAAGTAAGTTATGTGAGGGATGTTTTTTAAGTAACAAGAAGAAAAAATGTTATGATTTGTCGGTAATATGTATAAAATAACACTGTGAATATTTGGGAAATACACAAATGAGAAAAAAATTTAAAAATGCTGTTTGAAGGTTCCAAACAGTGACAAAATATAAGAATATACTGCGGGAGATATGTCACTTGGACAGAAACACACTGAGTGAAGTCCCTGTATGGTGTATGGCACATGGAAATGAAGCTCAAGCAGAAAGCAGCTGTCTTATTGGATTTAGGAGTCAGAGTTTGGAGTTCGGTGCTGACAGAGTAGCTGAAATTCAAGGGGGGATCCAGGAAAAGAAGGATTCACAGTGTGAGGAGTTACAAAATCTTACAAAGCCACACTTAGTTAGGAACTCGGCAAAAATAACAAAAAACAAATAACCCGGCTGGGTGCAGTGGCTCATGCCTGCAATCCCAGCACTTCGGGAGAACCAGGCAGGTGGATTGGTTGAGCCCAGGAGTTCGAGACCAGTCTGGGCAA
This sequence comes from Homo sapiens, assembly GCF_000001405.40. NCBI lineage: Eukaryota > Metazoa > Chordata > Mammalia > Primates > Hominidae > Homo > Homo sapiens. The sequence goes on from NC_000014.9 coordinate 21,743,056, forward strand.
CATGGTAACACCCTGCCTCTACTAAACATACAAAAATTAGCCAGGCATGGTGGTGTGTGCCTGTATTCCCAGCTACTCAGGAGGCTGAGGCAGAAAGTACAACTGAGCCTGGGAGGTCCAGGCTGCAGTGAGCCATGATGGTGCCATTGCATTTCAGCCTGGTGATATAAGAAACCCTGTCTCCAAAAAAAAAAAAAAACAAAAACCAAATATATATATATATAAAATTTATTCACATTATATATATTTTATATATAAATAAATTATTCATGTCCTTTACTCACTTTTTAAACCCCATAAAAAAAGTGAGTAAAGGACATGAATAATTGTTTAAAAGAAGACATAGAAATGGCAACAAGCATATGAAAAAAGGCACAGCATCAATAATCGTTAGAGAAATGCAAATTAAAAGTAATGAGATACCATCTTACACCAGTCAGAATGGCTATTATTAAAAAGTCAAAAAAATAACAGACATTGGCAAGGATGCAGAGAAAAGGGAATGCTTATATAATGTTGGTGGGAATGTAAATTAGGATGACCTCTGTGGAAAACAGTATGGAGATATCTCAAAGCAATAAGAATATAGCTACTATTTGATCCAGCAATCTCACTACTGAGTGTTATTCAAAGAAAAGGAAATCATATCAAAAAGATACATACATTCATATGTTTATCACAGAAGTATTCACAATAGCAAAGATATGGAATCAACCTAATTGTGGGATAAAGAAAATATAGTATATAGACACAATGGAATACTATTCAGCCATACAAAGAATGAAATCATGTCTTTTGCAGCAACATAGATAGAACTGGAAGCCATTATCTTAAGTGAAACAACTCAGAAACAGAAAATACTGTATGTTCTTACTTATAAGTGGGAACTAAATAACGTTTACACATGGACACAGAGAGTGCATAATAGACACTGGAGAGTCTGAAGGGTGGGAGAGTGGGAGGGGGGTAAGAGATGAGAAATTACTTAATAGGTACAATGTACATTATTCAGGTGATGGCTATACTAAAAGCCTAGACTTTATATTCATGTATAAGAAATGCACTTGTAGCTCCTAAATTTATACAAGTTAAAAAAAATAAAACTATCCCTTGGTTGATTCTTGAGCTGTGCAGGCATAAGACAAGACTCTAAGAAAGTAAGTAGAAAACAGCAGCCAGATGGCTGAGAGAAAAGATTTTAGCAGTTACCCTCAACTAGGGCAATAGAATTTTAAATGCAAGTGCTGCCAAGTGAAAGAGGTTGGGTAAAAACTTAGGCTTTCTAATGAAAACCCAGAAGGACCACGCCCTAAAAATAAGAACAATACTCTGGGACTAAAGGGTATACCCTACAAATAGGTCTATACCCTAGAACAAGGACATTTAACAATAAATTAATGCTGTGAGTGTATGTTATCAGCAGAGTCATACTTCAAAAATTATAAAGTATTTTTGTTAGGTGGTTTGTTGACTGAAGGGAAATGATATCAGATGGAATTTATGACCCAAGGAAGTAATAAAGAACATTAAAAATAGTAACTATGTGGAAACATTAAAAAGAGATTACTTTTCTAAGTTTTTCAAAATACAGTTGACAAATGCAAAAATAATAACAATGTATTACACCGTTAATAACATATATAAATAAAATCAACAGCAATAACACAAAAAACTGAAGGGGCATAGGATTAAACTGTTGTAAGATTCTTGCATTATGTATGAAGCTGTATAATATTAATTCAAGAGAGAATCTGATGAACTGAGGATGCATATGATAATCTGTAGATAAACAATTAAAAAACCAAAGCAAAAAGGTTTAGCTAATAGCCAATGGGGGAAATAGAATGAACGAGTATAGAAACTTCTCAAATAAATCAAAAGAAGGGAGAATAAAGGGCATATTAACAAAGACTAGAGGAAAAACATAGAAAATGGATTATCATTGTAGATTCAAACCAAATAAAAATAATTACATTAAATGTAAATAGCATAAACATTCCAAATAAAAGGGAGATTTTCTCAAACTAGACAAAAAGACACAATTGTATGTCATTCACAAAAAATGTACTTTAAAGACAAAGATGAGTTGAAAGTAAGAGGCAACCTATGCCATGCAAATAGCAACCATAAGAAAGCTATGTGTCTTTATTAATATTAAATAATATTTGAAAATGAGGGGTGTTATGAGATAAAAGCGTTATTTAATAATAAACAGAGGGTCACTTGATCAAGAAGAGATAATATTCTCTAAATGTTTATGTACTGATAGTAGAGTTATAAAATATATGAAACCAAATTAACAGAATTAAAGGAGAAATAGGCAAATCTGTAATCAGAGTTGGAGACTGTAAGGCTCCTCTCTAGTAATTGATAGAACAAGAAGACAGAAAGTCAGTAAAAATATACAAGGCTGGAACAATCAACTAGATCTAATTGACATTTATAGAGCACTATACCCACCAAGTGCACTATATACATTCTTTTCAAGTACACACAGAACGTTCATCAAACAGACCATATTTTTAGATGTAAAACAGTCTCAATAGATTTGAAAGGATTAGAATCCTACAGTTTTCTCACCACAATATAATTAATTTAGAAGTCAGTAACAAGGTATACAGTAGAAAATCCCCAAATATTTGCAAATTAAGCAATATACTTCTAAGTCACCCATTGAGAAAAGAAGAAATTGCAAGGAAAGTTAGAAGATATTTTGAAGTAAAAAATGATAAAATATAGCCCGGGCGCGGTGGCTCATGCTTGTAATCCTGGCACTTTGGGAGGCTGAGTTGGGCGGATCACCTGAGGTTGGGAGTTTGAGACCAGCCTGACCAACATGGAGAAACCCCGTTTCTACTAAAAATGCAAAATTAGCCGGGTGTGGTGGCACATGCCTGTAATCCCAACTACTCGGGAGGCTGAGGCAGGAGAATCGCTTGAATCTGGGAGGTGAAGGTTGCAGGTGAGCCGAGATTGTACCATTGCACTCCAGCCTGGGCAACAAGAGTGAAACTGTCTCAAAAACAAACAACCAATCAAAACAAACAAAAAACCCCTTAAAATTTCACAGAAAAATTCTAGGCTCAGGTAGCTTCAAAGGTGAGTTGAATAGAACATTTAATGAAGAATTAATTCTAACCCAACACAAAACAGAAAATAGAAGGAGGGCAGTCCGGCCCCATCTGTAGTCATCCACATTGAATCATCAGCATCAGCATCACCTTGGAATTTGTTAGAAATGCAGAGTCTTAGGCCAAACTCCAGTTCTGGTGATTCAGGATTCTCATTGTAGCACAGTTCCTGAATTTGTACATTTTGTTAAGCAATGTGGTCCTGAAGTGAGGAAGTAAACAGAATGATGAAGGGAGGTGGGAAAAATATTTTTTTCAAGTTCTAGTTTTTTTTTAAAAACTAGTTAATTGTTTTATTTTGTTGAGACTCTAAACTTACCTTAGATTCAATTTTTTTAAATTTGTGAGTGAGATTGGGCTAGAACAGTGGTTCCCCTGTGGGAGCAATTTTATCCTTCAGGGGATATTTTGGAATATCTGGAGATATTTTTTATTGTCGTACAGAGAGTTGAAACTGGCATTTAGTGGAGAGAGGTCAGAGATGCTCTAAACATCCTAAAATGGACAGGAGAGCTTCCAACCAAGAATTATTTTGTACAAATGTTAGTGCTAATATTGACAAACTGTGGACTACAGAATCCTAAGGGTCCTAATAGCTCTGAAACTCTGGGATCCAATTTAACTGAAAAAACATTCACTGAATACTGTGTGCCAAGTTATTATGGTCTTACATTGGTGTGCCAGCGGGGAGACACTGTCCCATAGCATGGGCATACACTATCTGGCCCCTAACCATGTATAAGACCATTGATCTATGCCAACCAGACAATACATGTTCAGAATTTTGAAAAGAATAGGAAAGCTAGGGTCAGCCACTCTCATACTACAAGGAAATCAGTAATTCACTCTCTGACATAAGTAAGAGTAGGCCAAGGACTGTTTATAACTAACCTCATCACTCAGGTGTACTTTCTATTTCATATTATTAATAACAAATTATACTCATTATCCTGTATTTATAAATATAATGTGCATCACATACAGAGTGAAAGAAAAAATGACCAAGGGAAAGAAAAAGTAGATAAATTGGGAGCAAAATGAACATTGCTTATGCATATTGAAATCCATGTCAGTACTAGAAAATAAAGCTATTCCATGCCATTGTTTTTGACAATAAGGCAACATTTTATGAAAAAATCATAGGGGTAGAAATTTTTCCAGACCATAATTGTGAGTAGAGTTATAGTAAATAGGTGGAACAGAAGCAGACCACCTAACGACTAGTATTTTCAACTCTGCATGCTATATATCCGAAGGACAGATATTGACCTAAACTGTTAAGAAAAGTTCAAGGAAAATGCAACTAAGAAATATGATAAAGGATCTGGGAATTATATGATATGATGAATGAGTAAAAGGATAAAACAATTTAAATGAAAACTTTAAATAAATACATTTGATGTATATAAATCTAAATACATTTTGTAATATGTACATATCTTTGTATTTTAGGAAAGTGATTCTGTATAATCACACTTGAGATATATTAGTTATGCCATGCAGATGAGGAATTAGATTAATTTTCTACATTGCTTGGAGATCTACTAAGTCAAAGCACAGGGAAGGGACTCCAACTTGTGAAAAACAGTCAGACCAAGTTTCCCTGGACGGAGAGTAAATTTGCCATTGTCAGTTTCCTACATATATTATGCTACTAACAGGCATTGGTTTTATGCTTACTTATATTTATTATTACAGGAATGAATCAGAAAGACTAAAGAAATTAAAATAGATGATGTAGGGTTTGGATAGAAAATTTAAAATACTGAAGGACTTTATCACAGGGGAATATCCAAACAATGATTTTAGCAATAGACAATAAAATCGAGGGAAAAGTTTTTGGGTCTGAAATCTGAGTTAGCAGTGCCCAGGGTAACAGGAGGGGAAATTCCACTACAGATCATTCATTATTCAGTGATCACATTTGAGGACAAGCCACTCATTCTGACAATAGGAATAAGAATACACTTGGAAAAGGTGTACATTTGTTTACATTATCTCAATCTGTAGTCTGATGTTTCCTGAGATGTTTCCTCTTTTATGTCAATACTTTGCAATAAGTAAGCCACATATCCGTAATTTCAGATGATCTGTTCTTCCAGAGGAAAATATTTCAGAGTGCATGTCAGATTTTTCATCACAATCTATAGGCTAAACTCTTTCCTTTCATTAGACCAATATTATTAACTCATGGAAGCCTTTCTCCCTCCTTTTATCTTTTATTGTATAATTTAGTCATTTTGAAGAAAACAACACTCATGTTTTGACCTCTGGCACTGTCAATTTCCTGGGAATGGCAAGAACAGGAACAAGGCCAGGCTTGGAGGAGCAGAGCCTGAGATAGCATGCATCTGATATATTTAGTGAACCTGTCTTACTCCAATTTTTGTGCTTAAATGCTAGCTTCAGAAAGAGTTTTCCTCTGTGAGTGCTGAAACAGGATGGCTAATTTGGCTGATTGATTTTCTGGCCAATTCAAAAAATAGTAGAGGGATAAGGAGGAAACGTTTTATACCTCAGTAGCTTTGTAGACTGAATCATGGCATTTTCTTAATTTCAAGAAGACTGTCATTAATAAACACGAAAAACCTCTAACTTCTTCAAATATATTTAACGTGACTCAGTAGTGTGCCGAGAAGATGCAATGGAATTCTAAAACCTACGTTTGCACTTTTTCTGTCTGCTAATCCACATAATTTCTGACTGGAGGTACACTTGGAATTTACTTTATTTGGCCTTCTGCTGTTTGATGTGCCAGAATCTCCCACAGATACAGGATAATTGGTTTAGCGTTTGGGGATCTGGCCACAAGGTGGCAGAGCTTCTCTGCTCATGTAGAATGTACGAAAGGATCCTTTTGGTTGACTTCTGTGAGTAGGCTGACGGCAGAAGCAGATGCCTCTGTGGACAGTTTAAGAAACCACAGTGCTTTGGAGGAAAGGAAGAGATACTTGATAATATAGCTCTCTTGGCTGGAGATTGCAGGTCCCAGTGGGGAGAACAATGAAGACATTTGCTGGATTTTCGTTCCTGTTTTTGTGGCTGCAGCTGGACTGTGAGTCGAGAGCTTTTGGGGAACAGAGGGTTTAGTAAATACTCATTAGAAGTCTGAGGAGGAGACTCATCTGGTCTTTTCCAGAATGTCTGAAGTTACTACAGTGAAAAAAATAAAAAAGCAAACTCCAGAGAATGATGGCCTGATGATCTTGTCTGACTTTTCCTTTTGCACAGGTATGAGTAGAGGAGAGGATGTGGAGCAGAGTCTTTTCCTGAGTGTCCGAGAGGGAGACAGCTCCGTTATAAACTGCACTTACACAGACAGCTCCTCCACCTACTTATACTGGTATAAGCAAGAACCTGGAGCAGGTCTCCAGTTGCTGACGTATATTTTTTCAAATATGGACATGAAACAAGACCAAAGACTCACTGTTCTATTGAATAAAAAGGATAAACATCTGTCTCTGCGCATTGCAGACACCCAGACTGGGGACTCAGCTATCTACTTCTGTGCAGAGAGTACACATTGCTTCTCAGGCACCTGTATCCTGTACCCAAACCTGCACCTGGGACTAAAGCCACACTCTATTTCCTTTACCTTTAAGTCAGGGATTTTGCTGTAAGGTATTTTTAATGTACGGACATTACAAAACATCCTAAAAGGTCAGTTTCAAAATGACTTAATGATTTTCAGAACATTTTGATTAAACTCTTTTTGGGAGTTAATGATTTCTTAGTTGATATCCTGGTCTTAGGGTTGACTTTATGGGTGCCATAAAGTCATCTGAATGATTTCTCCCCTACCAAGGACATCTTGGTGTCAGAGAATCCTCTCCTTGATGGAGTCTTTTATCTTTTAACATTAGTATTTATTAACTTTTTCTAACTATAAATATATTAAGTGCACGGTATAGGAAAAAACAGGAAATTATAAAATAGAAAATCAAAATGTCTTATAATCCTATCATACACATAATTCATAGCTAACATTTAGTATTCCTTCTTCATTAAAAAAAAAATTAGGATCGCTTTTCCTGTGGCAGCAGCTGGGGTGAGAAGAGCAGTGGCTCTCTCCTCTCTCTGCCATGGCATGTGCTTGCCCACTGATGTCAGCGTACTCTGAGAAGGGAGAGTCATCTGGCAAAAATGTCACTTTGTCTGCCATATTCAAGGCTCCTATTCGACCAGATATTGTGAACTTTGTTCACGCCAACTTGTGCAAAAACAACAGACAGCCCTATGCTGTCAGTGAATCAGCAGGTCATCAAACCAGTGTTGAGTCTTGGAGTACTGGCAGAGCTGCAGCTTGAATTCCCAGAGTTCGAAGTGGTGGGACTCACCATTCTGGCCAGGGAGCTTTTGGAAACATGTGTCGTGGAGGCTGAATGTTTGCACCAACCAAAACCTGGCTCCATTGGCATAGTAGAGTGAATACAACCCCAAAACGATATGTCATCTCTTCTGCCCTGGCTGCCTCAGCCTTACCAGCACTGGTTATGTCTAAGGGTCATCGTATTGAGGAAGCTCCTGAACTTCCTTTGGTAGTCGAAGATAAAGTTGAAGGCTACAAGAAGACCAAGGAGGCTGTTTTGCTTCTTAAGAAACTTAAAGCCTGGAATGATATCGAGAAGGTCTATGTCTCTCAGCAAATGAGATCCAGCAAGAGCAAAACGAGAAACCATCACCGTATCCGGCGCAGGGGCGCCGCATCATCTGTAATGAGGATAATGGTATCGTCAAGGCCTTCAGAAACATCCCTGGAATTACTATGCTTAATATAAGCAAACTGAACATTTTGAAACTTGCTCCTGGTGGGCATGTGGGACATTTCTGCATTTGGACTCAAAGTGCTTTCTGGAAGTTAGATGAATTTTCTGGCACTTGGCATAAAGCTGCTTCCCTCAAGAGTAACTACAATCTTCCCATGCACAAGATGATCAATACAGACCTTAGCAGCATCTTAAAAAGCCCAGAGATCCAGTGAGCCCTTCGAGCACCTTGCAAGAAGATTCATCGCAGAGTCCTAAAGAACCCACTGAAAAATCTGAGAATGATGTTGAAGCTAAACCCATACACACAGATCATGCGCCGGAACACCATTCTTCGCTAGGCCAGGAATCACAAACTCTGGGTGGATAAGGCAGCAGCCGGCAGCAGCAGCACTAGAAGCCAGATCAGATGAGAAGGGGGTTGTAGGCAAGAAGCCTGTGGTATGTAAGAAAGGAAAGAAGGCCATTGTTGATGTTAAGAAGCAGAAGAAGCCTCTGGTGGGAGAAAAGGCAGCAGCTACCAAGAAACCAGCAGCTGAAAAGAAGCCGGCAAAAAAGAAATCTACTACGGAGGAAAAGGAGCCTGCTGCATAAACTCTTAAATTTGATTATTCCATAAAAGTCAAATCATTTTGAACAGCTTCTTTTGAATAAAGACCTAATCAAAGAGGCAGTGAGGAAAAAAAATTAGGATCACTCAGACTTGTATTTTAATTTAATAGTATATTCTAACCTTAATGTTTCACATTTCCCCAATCTTATAAAAATAAATTTTTAAATGATTTTGTGAGTGATTTTATAAGCCAGCATTTTATTTCCACTATAATCGTCCCATATATCTGTGGTGAAAGACAGTATTTTTCTGAACTCAGGTGTTACCCTTTAAATAGTTTCTTACATGTAGGAAGTTTTAAATTTTCTAGAAATTTATTTTTTCTTCTGTTCTAGAAATAATTTGTTTCTTCAATCACTTATGCTCTTTTCCTCTTGTTCTTTCTTCCTCCTTGAAGTGCTGAATGTTTTCATTTGTCCCATTTTTTTTCTATTTTTCACAGCATTTTAAAGGGAAAGTTATATGTTTCTAACATTGTATGTTAAGGTTTCTTTCAGCACTGATGATACTGGGATTTATTAAATCTTCCAGGAGCAGATAAGGAGGTCAGGGTTGATTTAGAATTATTTGCCAAGCCAGAAGTCAGGATGTCTTTTGCTAGTACGAATGGTACATCACTTATATTTAGATGCCAGTTGGAGAACTTGCTGGAGAGGTCCATAGTGATATCCACTTCTGTGCCTGAATTGCTTTTATATTACCATCTCTTTGTATGATTGTATCATTCTAACAGGGAGAGTAGTTTGGTGACCTATGTTCAGTGGTTTGGTTCCTTAAAAATGACAACGATGCTATTTGGTATTCCTCTAATGGCATGCAAACAAACCATAGTTTCTTTTTGTTTTTGTTTTTTTTTTTTTTGAGATGGAGTCTCGCTCTGTCGCTCAGTGGCACAATCTTGGCTCACTGCAAGCTCTGACTCTTGGGTTTATGCCATTCTCCTGCCTCAGCCTTCTGAGTAGCTGGGACTACAGGCGCCCACCATCAGGCCCGGCTAATTTTTTCTATTTTTTGGTAGAGACGGGGTTTCACCGTGTTAGCCAGGATGGTCGCGATCTCCTGACCTCATGATCCACCCGCCTCGGCCTCCCAAAGTGCTGGGATTACAGGCGTGAGCCACCGCGCCTGGCCGTTTGTTTCTAAGATTAAAAATTTTGTTTAAAAACAGATGTTTACTTTCTGAAATGCCTTATAGAGATAGTTGGTGTTTAGTTTTTCACTTTGTACTCGTTATCATCATCATCATCACCATCATCATCAAGTGGAAGCTAATTCTTCCTCATATAATTCATGATCAGAATTACCCTTTATTATTTTACTCTTTGATCTCTTTCTACTCCCCAGGACCCCTGCCACTGCTTTATAAGTGTTAGTCTAATTGCTCATTTGTCCTTAGAGCTGTCTCAGGTGAGCTTTTATCATGTAGGCAGTAACACATGGGTTGATTGGACTATCCTTCAAGTCTATCTTCTTTATAATATGTTTAAAAAGTTGCTCAGTTTTTAGGGCTATGACTTGTGCCACTCCTTGCATCTGGCACTTGTGTGTATTTCACCGTTTTTAATGTTTTACCAATGGACATTTAAGGAAAGGGGCTAGGTAAAATGCACTGAATACACAGATCCATCAATATGTTTGAAATAATGCATGTGAAGCACCTAGCATGATCCTGGCATGTACTCATCATTATTTAATACCAAATGGGTACTGACATATCAGCAGACTTCATCCTCAATATGGATGTAGCTAGATAAAAACCAACAGAATGTAGCTTTCTCTTATTTCTGGCTCGGTGTTTCACTTTTTCTGGTATCATGATGCCCACTAAATTGAACATGTCCAAAACTAGAATATGTCTTTTAAATTTTATTTATTTATTTACTTATTTATTTTGAGATGGAGTTTTGCTCTGTTGCCCAGGCTGCAGTGTAATGGTGTGATCTTGGCTCACTGCAACCTCCGCCTCCTGGGTTCAAGCGATTCTCCTTCCTCAGTCTTCTGAGTAGCTGGGATTGCAGGTGCCTGCCACCATGCCTGGCTAATTTTGTATTTTTGGTAGAGACAGGGTTTCTCCATGTTGGCCAGGCTGGTCTTGAACTCCTGACCTCAAGTGATTCACCTGCCTCGGCTTCCCAAAGTATTGGGATTACAGTTGTGAGCCACTTTGCCTGGCCAATATCTGTCTTTTTAAAAATAAGTTTTTTGATATAGACTTGGCAAGATGGCTGAATAGGAACAGCTGTGGTCTGTAGCTCCTAGCAAGATTGACACAGAAGGTGGGTGATTTCTGCATTTCCAACTGAGGTACCTGGTTCATCTCACTGGGACTGGTCAGACAGTGGGTGCAGCCCACAGAGGGCGAGCCAAAGCAGGGTGGGGTGTTGCCTCATCTGGGAAGCAGAAGGGGTCAGGGAACTCCTTTCCTTAGCCAAGATAGCCATGAGGGACTGTGCCGTGAGGAATGGTGCACTCCAGCCCAGATACTGCACTTTTCCCATGGTATTCACAACCCACAGACCCACAGGAGATTTCCTCCGGTGCCTATGCCACCAGAGCCCTGGGTTTCAAGCACAAAACTGGGTGGCTGTTTGGGCAGACACTGAGCTAGCTTCAGAATTTTTTTTCATACGCTAGTGGTGCCTGAAACGCCAGCAAGACAGAACCATTCACTCCCCTGGAAAGGGGGCTGAAGCCAGGGAGCCAAGTGGTCTGGCTTAGCGGGTCCCAACCCCACAGAGCCCAGCAAGCTAAGATTCACTGGCTTGAAATTCTCGCTGCTAGCACAGCAATCTGAGTTCGACCTGGGACACTCGAGCTTGGTGGGGAGACGGGCGTCTGCCATTGCTGAGGCTTGAGTAGGCGGTTTTACCCTTACAGTGTAAAGAAAGCCACTGGGAAGTTCAAACTTGGCAGAGCCCACCACAGCCCAGAAAGGCTGCTGTGGCCAGACTGCCTCTCTAGATTCCTCCTCTCTGGCAGACCATCTCTGAAAAAAAAAGCAGCAGCCCCAGTCAGGGGCTTATAGATAAAACCCCCATCTCCCTGGGACAGAGCACCTGGGGAAGGGGTGGATGTGGGGGCAGCTTCAGCAGACTTAAATGTCCCTGTCTGATAGCTCTGAAGAGAGCAGTGGATCTCCCAGCACAGTGTTCGAGCTCTGCAAAGGGTCAGGCTGTCTCCTCAAATGGGTCCCTGACCCCGTGTCTCCTGACTGGGAAAACCTCCCAGTTGGGGCCAACAGACACCTCATACAGGAGAGCTCTGGCTGGCATATGGCAGGTGCCCTCTGGGACAAAGCTTCCAGAGGAAGGAACAGGCAGCAATCTTTGCTGTTCTGCAGCCTCTGCTGGTGATACCCAGGCAAACAGGGTCAGGAGTGGACCTCCAGCAAACTCCAGCAGACCCGGAGCAGAGAAGCCTGAGTGTTAGAAGGAAAACTAATGAACAGAAGGGAATAGCATCAACATCAACAAAAAGGAAGTCCACTTACAGACCCCTATCTGAAGGTCACCAACATCAAAGACCAAAGGTAGATAAATACACAAAGATGGGGAGAAACTGGCATAAAAAGTCTGAAATTCAAAAAACCAGAACGCCTCTTGTCTTCCAAAGGATCCCAACTCCTTGCCAGCAAGGCAACAAAGCTGGACAATGAGTTTTACAAATTGACAGAAGTAGGCTTCAAAAGGTGGGTAAAAACAAACTCCTCTGAGCTAAAGGGGTATGTTATAACCCAATACAAAGAAGCTAAGAATGTTGAAAACACGTTAGGTGAATTGCTAAATAGAATAACCAGTTTAGAGAAGAACATAAATGACCTGATGGAGATGAAAAACACAGAATGAGAACTTCGTGAAGCAAACACAAGTATCAATAGCCAAATCAATCAAGGAGAAGAAAGGATATCAGAGATTGAAGATAAACTTAATGAAATAAAGTGAGAAGACAAAATTAGAGAAAAAAGAATGAAAAGGAACAAACAAAGCCTCCAAGAAATATGGGACTATGTGAAAAGACCAAATTTACGTTTGATTGGAATACCTGAAAGTGATGGGAAGAATGGAACCAAGTTGGAAAACTCTTCAGGATATTATCCAGGAGAACTTCCACAACCTAGAAAGACAGGCCAACATTCAAATTAAGGAAATACAGAGAACACCACAAACATACTCCTCGAGAAGAGCAACCCCAAGACACATAATCATGAGATTCACCAAGGTCAAAATGAAGGAAAAAATGTTAAGGGCAGCCAGAGAGAAAGGTCGGGTTACCCACAAAGGGAAGCCCATCAGACAAACAGCAGATCTCTCTGCAGAAACCCTACAAGCCAGAAGAGAGTGGGGCCAATATTCAACATTCTTTTTTTTTTTCATCATTTCAGCTTTATTTTATATTACATCAAAATTATGTTTTTGAAACTTTATGGAGACCATAAAACATTCGCTTTCAAAAAATTACCCTTGTTGCCTATAGTGTCTTCTCCATAGGCATATTCTACATGTGTTTTATGATTTTTTTTTATTTTATTATTATTATTTTTTATTATGCTTTAAGTTTTAGGGCACATGTGCACAACGTGCAGGTTTGTTACATATGTATACATGTGCCATGTTGGTGTGCTGCACCCATTAACTCATCATTTAGCATTAGGTATATCTCCTAATGCTATCCCTCCCCCCTCCCCCCACCCCACAACAGTCCCCGGTGTGTGATGTTCCCCTTCCTGTGTCCATGTGTTCTCATTGTTCAATTCCCACCTATGAGTGAGAACATGCAGTGTTTGGTTTTTTGTCCTTGCGATAGTTTGCTGAGAATGATGGTTTCCAGCTTCATCCATGTCCCTACAAAGGACATGAACTCATCATTTTTTATGGCTTTTTAATGATCACCATTCTAACTGGTGTGAGATGGTATCTCATTGTGGTTTTGATTTGCATTTCTCTGATGGCCAGTGATGATGAGCACTTTTTCATGTGTCTTTTGGCTGCATAAATGTCTTCTTTTGAGAAGTGTCTGTTCATATCCTTTGCCCACTTTTTGATGGAGTTGTTTGTTTTTTTCTTGTAAATTTGTTGGAGTTCATTGTAGATTCTGGATATTAGCCCTTTGTCAGATGAGTAGATTGCAAAAATTTTCTCCCATTCTGTAGGTTGCCGGTTCACTCTGATGGTAGTTTCTTTTGCTGTACAGAAGCTCTTTAGTTTAATTAGAATCCCATTTGTCAATTTTAGCTTTTGTTGCCATTGCTTTTGGTGTTTTAGACATGAAGTCCTTGCCCATGCCTATGGCCTGAATGGTATTGCCTAGGTTTTCTTCTAGGGTTTTTATGGTTTTAGGTCTAACATTTAAGTCTTTAATCCATCTTGAATTAATTTTTGTATAAGGTGTAAGGAAGGGATCCAGTTTCAGCTTTCTACATAGCTTTCTACAGCTAGCCAGTTTTCCCAGCCCCATTTATTAAACAGGGAATCCTTTCCCCATTTCTTGTTTTTGTCAGGTTTGTCAAAGATCAGATAGTTGTAGATATGTGGCATTATTTCTGAGGGCTCTGTTCTGTTCCATTGGTCTATATCTCTGTTTTGGTGCCAGTACTGTGCTGTTTTGGTTACTGTAACCTTGTAGTATAGTTTGAAGTCAGGTAGCCTGATGCCTCCAGTTTTGTTCTTTTGGCTTAGGATTGACTTGGCAATGCAGGCTCTTTTTTGGTTCCATATGAACTTTAAAGTAGTTTTTTCCAATTCTGTGAAGAAAATCATTGGTAGCTTGATGGGGATGGCATTGAATCTATAAATTACCTTGGGCAGTATGGCCATTTTCATGATATTGATTCTTCCTACCCATGAGCATGGAATGTTCTTCCATTTGTTTGTATCCTCTTTTATTTCATTGAGCAGTGGTTTGTAGTTCTCCTTGCAGAGGTCCTTCACATCCCTTGTAAGTTGGATTCCGAGGTATTTTATTCTCTTTGAAGCAATTGTGAATGGGAGTTCACTCATGATTTGGCTCTCTGTTTGTCTGTTATTGGTGTATAAGAATGGTTGTGTTTTTTGTACATTGATTTTGTATCCTGAGACTTTGCTGAAGTAGCTTATCAGCTTAAGGAGATCTTGGGCTGAGATGATGGGGTTTTCTAAATATACAATCATGTCATCTGCAAACAGGGACAATTTGACTTCCTCTTTTCCTAATTGAATACCCTTTATTTCCTTCTCCTGCCTGATTGCCCTGGCCAGAACTTCCAACACTATGTTGAATAGGAGTGGTGAGAGAGGGCATCCCTGTCTTGTGCCAGTTTTCAAAGGGAATGCTTCCAGTGTTTGCCCATTCAGTATGATATTGGCTGTGGGTTTGTCATAGATAGCTTTTATTATTTTGAGATCCATCCCATCAATACCTAATTTGTTGAGAGTTTTTAGCGTGAAGTGTTGTTGAATTTTGTCGAAGGCCTTTTCTGCATCTATTGAGTTAATCATGTGGTTTTTGTCATTGGTTCTGTTTATATGCTGGATTACGTTTATTGACTTGCATATGTTGAACCAGCCTTGCATCCCAGGGATGAAGCCCACTTGATCATGGTGGATAAGCTTTTTAATGTGCTGCTGGATTCAGTTTGCCAGTATTTTATTGAGGATTTTTGCATCGATGTTCATCAGGGATATTGGTCTAAAATTCTCTTTTTTTTGTTGTGTCTCTGCCAGGCTCTGGTATCAGGATGATACTAGCCTCATAAAATGAGTTAGGGAGGATTCCCTCTTTTTCTATTGATTGGAATAGTTTCAGAAGGAATGGTACCAGCTCCTGTTTGTACCTCTGGTAGAATTTGGCTGTGAATCCATCTGGTCCTGGACTTCTTTGGTTGGTAGGCTCTTAATTATTGCCTCAATTTGAGAGCCTGTTATTGGTCTATTCAGGGATTCAACTTCTTCCTGGTTTAGTCTTGGGAGGGTGTATATGTCGAGGAATTTATCCATTTCTTCTAGATTTTCTAGTTTATTTGCGTAGAGGTGTTTATAGTATTCTCTGATGGTAGTTTGTATCTCTGTGGGATGGAAGGTGATATCCCCTTTATCCTTTTTTATTGCCTCTATTTGATTCTTCTCTCTTTTCTTCTTTATTAGTCTTGCTAGCGGTCTATCAGTTGTGTTGATCTTTTCAAAAAAACAGCTCCTGGATTCATTGACTTTTTGAAGGGTTTTTTGTGTCTCTATCTCCTTCAGTTTTGCTCTGATCTTAGTTATTTCTTGCCTTCTGCTAGCTTTTGAATGTGTTTGCTCTTGCTTCTCTGGTTCTTTTAATTTTGATGTTAGGGTGTCAATTTTAGATCTTTCCTGCTTTCTCTTATGGGCATTTAGTGCTATAAATTTCCCTCTACACACTGCTTTAAATGTGTCCCAGAGATTCTGGTATGTTGTGTATTTGTTCTCGTTGGTTTCAAAGAACATCTTTATTTCTGCCTTCATTTCGTTATATAACCAGTAGTCATTCAGGAGCAGGTTGTTCAGTTTCCATGTAGTTGAGTGGTTTTGAGTGAGTTTCTTAATCCTGAGTTCTAGTTTGATTGCACTGTGGTCTGAGAGACAGTTTGTTATAATTTCTGTTCTTTTACATTTACTGAGGAGTGCTTTACTTCCAACTATGTGGTCAATTTTGGAATAGGTGTGGTGTGGTGCTGAGAAGAATGTCTCCTGTTGATTTGGGGTGGAGAGTTCTGTAGATGTCTATTAGGTCCACTTGGTGCAGAGCTGAGTTCAATTCCTGGATATCCTTGTTAACTTTCTGTCTCGTTGATCTGTCTAATGTTGACAGTGGGGTGTTAAAGTCTCCCATTATTATGGTGTGGGAGTC
The DNA here is from genome assembly GCF_000001405.40 of Homo sapiens. NCBI lineage: Eukaryota > Metazoa > Chordata > Mammalia > Primates > Hominidae > Homo > Homo sapiens. The sequence continues at coordinate 21,759,411 of NC_000014.9, forward strand.
TAAGTCTCTTTGTAGGTCTCAAGGACTTGCTTTATGAATCTGGGTGCTCCTGTATTGGCTGCATATATTTTTAGGATAGTTAGCTCTTCCTGTGGAATTGATCCCTTTACCATTATGTAATGGCCTTCTTTGTCTCTTTTGATCTTTGTTGGTTTAAAGTCTGTTTTATCAGAGTCTAGGATTGCAATCCCTGCATTTTCTTGTTTTCCATTTGCTTGGTAGATCTTCCTCCATCTCTTTATTTTGAGCCTATGTGTGTCTCTGCATGTGAGATGGGTTTCCTGAGTACAGCACACTGATGGGTCTTGACTCTTTATCCAATTTGCTAGTCTGTGTCTTTTAATTGGAGCATTTAGCACATTTACATTTAAGGTTAATATTGTTATGTGTGAATTTGATCCTGTCATTATGATGTTAGCTGGTTATTTTGCTCGTTAGTTGATGTAGCTTCTTCCTAGCCTTGATGATCTGGCAACAGAGCCAGACCCTGTCTCAAAAAAAAAAAAAAGTAAAACAGTAATAAATAAATAGATACATATACAGAAGATACAAGGAGACAACTTGCACGAGGAAAAGCCACATGGTTCACAAACATATGGGAAATGTTTAAACCTACTGGTATTCACAAAAGTGAAAGCAAATAACTTAAAAAACCTATCAAGGAAGAGGACCAAATAGGAACAGCTCTGGTCTACAGCTCCCAGCGAGATTGATGCAGAAGGTGGGTGATTTTTGCATTTCCAACTGAGGTACCTGGTTCATCTCACTGGGACTGGTTGGACAGTGGGTACAGCCCATGGAGAGTGAGCCAAAGCTGGATGAGGCATCGCCTCACCTGGGAAGTGCAAGGGGTCATGGGAGATTTCCCTTTCCTAGCCAAGGTAAGCTATGACAGACTGTACCTGGAGAAATGGTACACTCCTGACCAAATACTGCTCTTTTCCCACAGTCTTAGCAACCAGCAGACCAGGAGATACCCTCCCATGCCTGGCTCAGTGGGTCCCATGACCACAGAGCCTTGCTTACTGCTAGCATAGCAGTCTGAGATTGACCTGCGATGCTGCGGCTTGATGGGGGGACGGGAGTCTGCCCTTGCTGAGGCTTGAGTAGCTCACAGTGTAAACCAAGCTGCCGGGAAGCATGAACTGGGCAGAGCCCACCACAGCTCAGCAAGGCCTACTACCTCTACAGATTCTACCTCTAGGGGCGGGGCATAGTAGAACAAAAGGCAGCAGACAGCTTCTGCAGACTTAAACGTCCCTGTCTGACAGCTCTGAAGAGAGCAGTGGTTCTCTCAGCATGGCATTTGTGCTCCAAGAATGGACATATGGCCTCTTCAAGCAGGCCCCTGACCTCCATGTAGCCTGACTGGGAAACCCCTCACAGTAGGGGCTGAGAGAGTCCTCAAACAGGCTAATACCCCTCTGGGACGAAGCTTCCAGAGGAAGGATCAGGCAGCAATATTTGTTGTTCTGCAGCCTCTGCTGGTGATACCCAGGAAAACAGGATCTGGAGTGGACCTCCAGCAAACTCCAAAAGACCTGAAGCTGAAGGGTCTGACTGTTAGAAGGAAAACTAACAAACAGAAAGGAATAGCATCAACATCAACAAAAAGGACATCCACACCAAAACCCCATCTGTAGGTCACCAACATCAAAGACCAAAGGTAGATAAAACCACAAAGATGGGGAGAAACCAGAGCAGAAAAGCTGAAAATTCTAAAAAACAGAGCACCTCTTCTCCTCCAAAGGATTGTAGCTCCTCGCCAGCAAGGGAGCAAAACTGGACAGAGAATGAGTTTGACTAGATGACAGAAGCAGGCTTCAGAAGATCTGTAATAACAAACTTCTTTGAGTGAAAGGAGCATGTCCTAGTCCATCACAAGGAAGCTAAAAACCTTGAAAAAAGGTTTGATGAATGGCTAACTAGAATACACAGTGTAGAGAGGACCTTAAATGACCTGACGGAGCTCAAAACCATGGCACAAGAACTTCATGATGCACGCACAAGCTTCAATAGCCAATTCAATCAAGTGGAAGAAAGGATATCAGTGATTGAAGATCAAATTAATGAAATAAAGCAAGAAGATAAGGTTAGAGAAAAAAGAGTGAAAAGAAATGAAAAAAGGCTTCAAAAAATATGGACTCTGTGAAAAGACCAAATATATGTTTGACTGGGGTACCGGAAAGTGACAGGGAGAATGGAACCAAGTTAGAAAACACTCTTCAGGGTATTATCCGGCAGAACTTCCCCAACCTAGCAAGGCAGGCCAACATTCAAAGTCAAGAAATACAGAGAACACCACAAAGATACTCCTCGAGAAGAGCAACGCCAAGACACATAATTGTCAGATTCACCAAGGTTGAAATGAAGGAAAAAGTGTTAAGGGCAGCCAGAGAGAAAGTCTGGGTTACCCAAAAAGGGAAGCCCATCAAACTAACAGTGGATCTCTCTGCAGAAACCCTACAAGCCAGAAGAGAGTGGGGGCCAATATTCAGCATTCTTAAAGAAAAGAATTTTCAACCCAGAATCTCATATCCAGCCAACCTAATCTTCATAAGTGAAGGAGAAATAAAATCCTTTACAGACAAGCAAATTCTGAGAGATTTTATTACCACCAGGCCTGCCTTACAAGAGCTCCTGAAGGAAGCAATAAACATGGAAAGGAACAAGCAGTACAAGCCACTGCAGAAACATACTAAATGGTACAGATCATCGACACTATGAAGAAACTCCATCAATTAACGGGCAAAATAACCAGCTAACATCATAATGACAGGATCAAATTCAAACATAACAATAATAACCTTAAATGTAAATGGGCTAAATACCCCAGTTAACAGACACAGACTGGCAAATTGGATAGAGTCAATTCCAATCAGTGTGCTGTATTCAGGAGACCCATCTCACATGCAAAGATGCACATAGGCTCAAAATAAAGGAATGGAGGAAGATCTACCAAGAAAATGGAAGGCAAAAAAAAGCAGGGGTTGCAATCCTAGTCTCTGATAAAACAGACTTAAACCAACAAAGATCAAAAGAGACAAAGGAGGCCATTACATAACGGTAAAGGGATCCATGCAACAAGAAGAGCTAACTATCCTAAATATATATGCACCCAACACAGGAGCACCCAGATTCATAAAACAAATTCTTAGAGTCTACCAAGAGACGTAGACTCCCACACAGTAATAGTGGGAGACTTTAACACCTCACCGTCAATATTAGACAGATCAATGAGACAGAAAGTTAACAAAGATATCCAGGACTTGATCTCAGCTCTGGACCAAGTGGACCTCATAGACATCTACAGAACTCTACACCCCAAATCAACAGAATAGACATTCCTCTCAGCACCACATCACACTTATTCTAAAATTGACCACATAATTGGTAGTAAAACACTCCTCAGCAAATGTAAAAGAACAGAAATTATAACAAACTGTCTCTCAGACCACAACGCAATCAAATTAGAACTCAGGATTAAGAAACTCACTCAAAACTGCTCAACTACAAGGAAACTGAACAACCTGCTCCTGAGTGACTACTGGGTATATAACGAAATGAAGGCAGAAATAAAGATGTTCTTTGAAACCAACGAGAACAAAGACACAACATACCAGAATCTCTGGGACACATTTAAAGCAGTGTGTAGAGGGAAATTTATAGCACTAAATGCCCATAAGAGAAAACAGGAAAGATCTAAAATTGACACCCTAACATCACAACTAAAAGAACTAGAGAAGCAAGAGCAAACACATTCAAAAGCTAGCGGAAGGCAAGAAATAACTAAGATCAGAGCAAAACTGAAGGAGATAGAGACACAAAAAACCCTTGAAAAAGTCAATGAATCCAGGAGCTGGTTTTTTGAAAAGAACAACAAAATTGATAGACTGTTAGCAAGACTAATAAAGAAGAAGAGAGAGAGAAATCAAACAGACCCAATAAAAATGATAAAGGGGATGTCACCACTGATCCCACAGAAATACAAACTACCATCAGAGAATACTACAAACACCTCTACGCAAATAAATTAGAAAATCTAGAAGAAATGGATAAATTCCTGGACACATACACCCTCCCAAGACTAAACCAAGAAGAAGTTGAATCTCTGAATAGACCAATAAGAGGTTCTGAAATTGAGGTAATAATTAATAGCCTACAAACCAAAAAAAGTCCAGGACCAGATGGATTCATATCCAAATTCTACCAGAGGTACAAGGTGGAGCTGGTACCATTCCTTCTGAAACTATTTCAATCAATAGAAAAAGAGGGAATCCTCCCCAGCTCATTTTATGAGGCCAGCATCAACCTGACACCAAAGCCTGGTAGAGACATAACAAAAAAGAGAATTTTAGGCCAATATCCCTGATGAACATTGTGCAAAGATCCTCAAAAAAATACTGGCAAACCAAATCCAGCAGCACATCGAAAAGCGTATCCACCACGACCAAGTCAGCTTCATCCCAGGGATGCAAGACTGGTTCAACATACATAAATCAATAAACACAATCCATCAGATAAACAGAACCAAAGACAAAAACCACATGATTATCTCAATAGATGCAGAAAGGGCCTTCAACAAAATTCAACAGCCCTTCATGCTAAAAACTCTCAATAACTAGGTATTGATGGAATGTACCTCAAAATAATAAGAGCTATTTATGACAAACCCACAGCCAGTATCACACTGAATGGGCAAAAACTGGAAGCGTACACTTTGAAAACCAGCAGAAGACAAGGATGCCCTCTATTACCACTCCTATTCAACGTAGAACACTATGTTGGAAGTTCTGGCTAGGGCAATCAGGCAAGAGAAAGAAATAAAGGATATTCAAACAGGAAAAGAGGAAGTCAAATTGTCTCTGTTTGCAGATGACATGATTGTATATTTAGAAAACCCCATCATCTCAGCCCAAAATCTCCTTAAGCTGATAAGCTACTTCAGCAAAGTCTCAGGATACAAAATCAATGTTCAAAAATCACAAGCACTCCTATACACCAATAATAGACAAACAGAGAGTCAAATCATGAGTGAACCCCCATTCACAATTACTACAAAGAGAATAAAATACCTAGGAATCCAACTTATGAGGGATGTGAAGGACCTCTTCAAGGAGAACTACAAACCACTGCTCAAGGAAATAAAGGAGGACTCAAACAAATGGAAAAACATTCCATGCTCATGGATAGGAAGGATCAATATCGTGAAAATTGCTATACTGCCCAAAGTAATTTATAGATTCAGTGCTATCCCCATCAGGCTACTACTGACTTTTTTCACAGAATTGGAAAAAGCTACTTTAAATTTCATATGGAACCAAATAAGGGCCCTCATAGCCAAGACAATCCTAAGCAAAAAGAACAAAACTGGAGGCATCATGCTACCTGACTTCAAACTATATTACAAGCCTACTAAAACAGTAGTACTAAACTACAGTTTAGTAACTAAACAGTTAGTACAAGTAACTAAAACAGCATGGTACTGGTACCAAAACAGATATATAGAGCAATGGAACACAACAGAGGCCTCAGAAATAACACTATACATCTACAACCATCTGATCTTAGACAAACCTGAGAAAACCAAGCAATGGGGAAAGGATTCCTTATTTAATAAATGGCACTGGGAAAACTGGCTAGCCACATGTAGAAAGCTGAAACTGAATCCCTTCCTTACACCAGATATAAAAATTAACTCAAGATGGATTAAAGACTTAAATGTAAGACCTAACACCAAAAAAGCCCTAGAAGAAAACCTAGGCAATACCATTCAGGACATAGCATGTTGTACGTGTTGACATAGGACAAGACTTCATGACTAAAACACCAAAAGCAATGGCAACAAAAGCCAAAATTGACAAATGGGATCTAATTAAACTAAAGAGCTTCTGCACAGCAAAAGAAGCTATCATCAGAGTGAATAGGCAAACTACAGAATAGGAGAAAAACTTTGCAATCTATCCATCTGACAAAGGACTAATATCCAGAATCTACAAGGAACTTAAAGAAGTTTACAAGAAGAAAACAAACAACCCCATCAAAAAGTGGGCAAGGGATATGAACAGACACTTCTCAAAAGAAGACGTTTATGCAGCCAACAGATGCATGAAAAAATGCACATCATCACTGGCCATCACAGCAATGCAAATCAAAACCATAATGAGATACCATCTCACGCCAGTTAGAATGGTGATCATTAAAAAGTCAGGAAACATCAGATGCTGGAGAGGATGTGGAGGAATAGGTACGTTTTTACACTATTGGTGGGAGTGTAAATTAGTTCAACCATTGTGGAAGACAGTGTGGCGATTCCTCAAGGATCTAAAACTAGAAATACCATTTGACCCAGCGATCCCATTACTGGGTATATACCCAAAGGATTGTAAATCATGCTGCTATAAAGACACATGCACACGTATGTTTATTGCGGCACTGTTCACAATGGCAAAGATTTGGAACCAACCTAAATGCCCATCAATGATAGACTGGATTAAGAAAATGTGGCACATATACACCATGGAATACTATGGAGCCATAAAAAAGGATGAGTTCATGTCCTTTGCAAGGACATGGATGAAGCTGGAAACCATCATTCTCAGCAAACTACCACAAGGACAGAAAACCAAACACCGCGTGTTCTCACTCATAGGTGGGAGTTGAACAACGAGAATACGTGAACACAGGGCAGGGAACATCAGACACTGGGGCCTGTTGTGGGGTGGGGGTCTGGGGGAGGGATAGCATTAGGAGAAATACCTAATGTAAATGACGAGTTGATGGGTGCAGCAAACCAACATGGCACATATATACCTATGTAACAAACCTGCACGTTGTGCACATGTACCCTAGAACCTAAAGTATAATTAAAAAAAGGATCAAAAGCTTTTTTAAAAAAAGAAAGAAATACTTGTATTTGTATGCAGTGTTAAAAAAAAAACAAAAAAAATTAGGAAATTATAGAAATAGCAAATCGAAAGGGAGATAATTTGGAAAAAATGCAGTGAAACATACTGCTCTGGTGGGAGAGTAAACTTGTAAGCCATTTTAAAAAGTAATTTAAAAACATGACAATAATCTAAAAAATATTCATTTTCTTCATTGTAATGATTTTCTCTAGAGAATCTGTCTTCAGGAAAACTCTAAATGCATATAATAATTATTTACAAAGGTATTTGGAAAGTTATGTACACTACCCCAAAATGGAAAACCAAAATGTCTCATCTTTAAGGGAAAGGCTTAATGACACAAATGGAATATTATGCACCAAATAAATGGTGTTTACAAAGATAATCTACAATGATTATTGAATAGTAATGATTATTGAATAGTAATAATTAAAAAGAATCAAGATATCGTTGCCACTTAATAAAAATCTGAATAGTGCAAATGTTGGGAAAAACGCACTGAGATATTGATAATGCATATCTTTGCTTGATAAGGTAAGTAGTGATTTTCTCTTTCATCCTATTTTTATCAGTTTTCCAAAATATGCCTTAGTTGATTAAAAGTCTTTCCAATCCACCATTTTCTGTAAATTTTGTAAAATTACTCTTAGCTCTGAAGTTCAATGACCCTGGTTCAGTCACCTATACCTCACAATGAGAAAGCAGCAATAACCTCCTGACTGGTTTTGCAGCCACTATTGGATTCCTTTTCTTATATTAATAGTTCATATTTATTCAGTTCTTACTGTGTCTGATGCATTATATAAAGCATTTTATATACATTAGCCAATGCATTCTAGTGATATCCCCCATTTTACAGATAAGGAAATTCATACTTAGAGACATTAAGTAGCTTGCTCTAGCTCACTCAGAGATTAAATGGAGGAGTTTCAAAGCCAGGTTTGTTTGAGGCTGGAATACAAACTCTTAACTATTCTTTCATGATGTCTATCAACATACTTCTCCAAATTATTCTTGTAGATAAGCAGCCTAATTAATAGAATGTTAACAGAATAGAATGTCCAGTATATGGACTTCCATTTTCATAATATTACCTCCTCTAAAGCCTCAAAAGTTCCTTGTTTGCTAACAAATAACCTACAAATGAATCCTGGCATTCAAAATCTTTTGTTTTCTAGACCTGAATTCTCCTTCCAACTTGATTTTCTGCTACATTCTAGCCCATTCTCTCTTTCTTCTATCTGTCCATCCATCTGTTCAGCTGTCATTGATCTCTCCATGGAATGGCATAAATGCATCTAAGGAAGTGACTACAATACATCCATCCTGGCATTAAAAAGTAGAAAAGAAAGGATTTCTGATATATATAATCAGAGGGCTGCTGTATTTTAAAAATAATTTTAAACACCCTCTCAGAGGGTATTCTAGGGGTAAAAAACCCTTCACTCGTTTGAATTCTCGCTGAATTTAAACTGAATGTCTACTTATTATAGCCCAACAAGATAAAGAAAAAAGGCCTTTTGAAGTCAAAGCAATACTTTTTTTTCACCTGTGGGAAGGCCTATTCCCTAGATCTGGGAAAGTTTCCTAGAATTCAGCCATACATTTTCTGTGTTTTACATTATCTAGAGCACATGACATCTGCAACTGTGGCAAGAAGGACAGAGTAGTTCAACTGGGCAATGAAATGGAGAACTTGGAAAACTTGATCATTTGACCTGTATCCAGAATTAATATTGTCAATTCCATGTTATGTACTGAGACTCAATTAGCATTCTTCTGGACTTGTTACTTACAAGTGTGGTCTGAGAACCAACTGTATCAGCATCACCAGTAAACTTGTTAAAATGTGGAATATCCAGCCCCACCTCAGACCTAATGAAACAGAATTCACAGCTTAACAAAATCCCCAGGTGATTTGCATACATAATTAAGTTTTAGAAGCCCTGACCTGGGAGCACGTTCCATTATTATAACAACTTTCTGAACACAAGAGGGCAGTATTTCCTACCCCCTCAGAGCCTGTCTCAGATGTGAACCGAAGTTCACTGCATAGCTGGATTAGGCCAGTATGTGTAAGGGGCTGAACAGGCTTGCCATTGATTGGCTGGATAGGAAGGCCAGAACTTCCTTCTAGGGGTAGAAGAACCCCAGTAACACCTATCAAACTAAACAGAATGGCTTTTTGGCTGAGAAGCCTGGGTCTACATTTCAGGCCACATTTGGGGAGACGAATGGAGTCATTCCTGGGAGGTGTTTTGCTGATTTTGTGGCTTCAAGTGGACTGTGAGTTGGAGATTTCCTGTTGATGGAGACAGAGAGATCCAGGGCTGCAGTGCACAGGATGAAGGGGAGGGGCTAGGATCCATTCTTCCCCATCTTTGGTTATATCTGGGGTTGTGGGAGGAAAATAGACTCAACAGTGTCAGTGTAGTGACTAACCCTCCTACTTTTGGTGTTGTGTTTCTGCCTAGGGGTGAAGAGCCAAAAGATAGAACAGAATTCCGAGGCTCTGAACATTCAGGAGGGTAAAACGGCCACCCTGACCTGCAACTATACAAACTATTCTCCAGCATACTTACAGTGGTACCGACAAGATCCAGGAAGAGGCCCTGTTTTCTTGCTACTCATACGTGAAAATGAGAAAGAAAAAAGGAAAGAAAGACTGAAGGTCACCTTTGATACCACCCTTAAACAGAGTTTGTTTCATATCACAGCCTCCCAGCCTGCAGACTCAGCTACCTACCTCTGTGCTCTAGACACACAGTAGTGCCCTGGCAGCTGCTTCCTGCACCCAAACTCTGCTAACTCTCACAATCAGAGCTCATGGCTGTGCTGTCTCCCAAAGGCTAATCACAGCTCCTGACAGAATGGGGGGGTGTTAGTTGAAAGGGCAATTTTCAAAACAAACAAACAAATGCTCTGAAGAATTCCTCAGAGAAAGGAGGGAGGACTTGCTTTTAAAAAATGCATAAATTCTGCTTAGTTTTTGTGACTAGCCTAGAGCAGCGTGATAAATTTATGGAGTTAAACACATTACACTTAAGCATTAAAACATGGATTCTTCTAGATGAAAAAATAATCCAAACATTTTTGAGTCCCTTCCCAAACTGAACACTGAATAATGATGATGATGATGATAATGATAAAAAATTGACCTTTTTAAAAATTGTTCATCTTATGAATGGATAACCATGCTATATTGGAAAACATGCCATAAGTCATGGCATTGCAGAGATAAATTTAGAGCCGTTGTTTACTATGTATGTGGTATCAGTGAGTAGGTCAATATACAAGTCTTCTTTTTCATTTGTTTCTTAAGAGACAGGGTCACACTCTGTCACCCAGGCTGGAGGCTGGAGTGCAATAGCACAATCACAGCTCACTGCAGACCACAACTCCTGGGCTTAAGTGATCCTCCTGCCTCAGCCTCCTGAGTAGCTGGAATTACAAGCACACACCACCATGCCTGGGTTGTACAACTCTTTTAAGAAAGAGAACTTACACCTTCTCATGTTAGGCATGGGTTCTGAGTTGAGGACTTCTCCGTTATTATTGCCTGCATTGCCATTTCTATCAATTTCTGTCATCTATGTATTACCTTATTTCTTGATCTATTTTTAGATTATTGCCAAAACAGACAGATCCCATAGGTCATGCATGTTCAGTTACTAACATGGCAGAATCTGTGGGTTTTGACTAACTCTGTTTTAGGCTAGGGCTGATATTTCTGTCTGCTTTGGGCCACATACAGTCACTGCCAAAATGATATGATCATGAAGCTGTTTGTGTTTGAGTGTAGGAAGAGGTGCAGAGAGAATATATGTAGGATAATAGGGGAAGAAAACAATACACCTAGAAAAACAGAATTTGAGGACAAGAAGTCCCTTCTTTTAATCACCATTAATAAAATAGAGGCAGCTAGGAATAAGAAAATAATGGGCTCTGAGTCACTGGCATCTGGGATTTGATAGTCAGAGAGAAGGAGAGTTCAATGCAGAGATTGTTAACCATAGTTGGACATCTTGAAGGTTCATAAACTCCCTGAAATTGAGAATAGATGAAATATTATTATGACATAATTATTGTTTGGGAGGAGTTTTCCTCCCATTTCTGGCAATGAACAAGAAAAGATTCATATAATTTGAATATGGATAAGAGTTATGTCAGAACAGGGGGCTGAGAGAAGGATGAGGGATTGTTCAACAGCTCAGGCCAGAGATGAGGACAGACCTAAGAAATGATTGAATGTAGGAGAATTTAGAAGGGAGTAAATAATTTTCTCCAACAGGAATTGGAATGTCTTTCCCTTTGTAATAAATGGAGGGTATAAATTACAACTGGCAGTACAGCATTCAAAAGTATGGGCGTGGGAGTGCAACATATCGGTGGAAAATTCTGACCCAGTCAATGACTGGGCTGTGTTGTCTTGGGGAAGTGTTTCTAGATCTCTGAGTACCAAATTCCTCTCCTGTGAAATGCTAGTAATAGAATTACCTCATAGGATTATTGTTAATATGTTTATACATATTAACATAAACATATGTATATGTTTATACATAAAAGTATAAAAATATATATAAGGCAACTATTGTGGTGGCAGGTACACCAGTGCACTAGAAATTCAACAGACACTTGTTTATAGTTCATTTCTTTCAGGAAGTTAAAACTCAAATTTTCTGCTCTAAGCATTAAATATATCTTTTTCATGTTCTATTTCTGTAATCTTTTTACTAATCACCTCAAAATCTATTTGAAATGATTTGGTATGTAAATATATAAATGATCTGTGTTTCACAAACCAGAGACATTAACAAATATTATTGAGTACCTGCTATGTGCCAGACACTGCTATATACAGCAGGGATGCATCAATGAATAAAATAGACAGAAGTTTTGGCTCTCCTGGAGCTTATATTTTATTGAAAAAACAGAGTGAACAAAAAATGTGATAAGTAATATAGTATGTTAGAAGACAGTAAGTACTATGGGAAAAGTAGACCAGGGTAATGGGGATGGGAAATGTGGAGGTGGAGCTGTCTGCAGTTGGAATTTTAAATGTGGGGAGGGAGTCATGGTAGTTCTTATTGAATAAGTATGTGAAGAAAGTGGGGGAGGAAGTAATACAGTTATCTAGGAGAGCATGAACCACCTTGGCAAAATTGTGACGGTAAGAGAAATCTGACATAGCTGACTCCATTTTGCTTCTAACCTCCAAGCTGTCCTGTTCATTCCTGGGTGTAGGCCAAGCTGACTTTGGGAGAAATTTAGTTTATAGTTTAACCTTAAAGCAAAGATGATAATAGTCCTTCCCCAAACAACCCCTTCCTTGGTTGGGGGACCAAAACTGCCTTTGTAAAACTAACAAATTAGCCGTAAGATTAGAAATTATGACTCAGGAGTTATGCAGGCAGAGGTCAAAACATTAGTAACCTCCCCACTTGCTCCTATGGATATCAACTCTATCATAGGACCTAAGATTGGTGTTCAAGGTATTTTTCAGATTCTAAATCCTGCTGGACCAGCTGGTGCCACCTGGACTGGTAAACTGGCTCAACTGGTTTTGTGATCCCATCCAGGAACTGACTCAGCACAAGAAGATATCTTCAACTCCCTGTGATGTCATCCCCAACCCAACCAACCAGCATTTGTCAATCACTAGCCCCCTGCCCACCAAATTATCCATAAAAACCCAAATTTTTGGGTCTCCAAATTTTTGAGTGCTGTGGGTGGGGGTCTGGATTCTTGATTTTGGGCTTTGAGTCTATTCCTGATGACTTTTGGCTTGGTAAAAAGTCTTGATTTAGAGCCAGCTCTTTTACATGGTTTAATAAAATAATCCACGCATTATTATTAATGCAAAGATTAATTATTAATTAATAATACATATTATTAATGCATAGATTATTATTAGTGTACTTCTCTGTATGGAAAAGAAGTCTGATCTCTTTAGGGTACTGTTTTAACTCAACCGTGGGTCCTTCTTACTGGAAAGATTTCTTTCTTTAGTACACCATAATTTATTCATTGTTTTCATAAGCATCATTGCAGAGGAAACAGAGATTTTTGTTTTTTAGGAAAGCTGATCCAAAATTTAGAGATTATGAGTTTATTGGAGGTCTATGATTAAAATAGGATTACCATACAAAATATTTTTTAAGGCAAAACAATCTTTCATTTTATTTGTTTGCACAGGTGACACCATTATCCACATGGAACCACAAGGATTTATGAAAATTCTGGCATGTCTTGCCAGTTGTTCCAACTGAAAACTATCCTATGCGTGGAAATTTGCTTCTACCTCAGAGTCTAAAATTTAAGCTAAGAATCTTGAGTATGCTGTGGTAAAATAGAAAGAATAACTACATTTAAGTAAATATCGAGCAACTATTTGCTTTCCTTATTTTCCTCCCAACTCTTCTGGTTTTAATAAGATTTTCTAGTTATTTAAATTGAACTATTTAGTTGATTTAAGTTGAACCAACCCAAGAAACAGGAAACTAGTTAAGTCACCACTTGAGCAAAAGAGAAAGACGAGAATTAAGTTAGGTTGACAAGTGTGAGAAGAAAAAAGAGAAAAAGTTTTGTTGATCTTTTTAACCTCTTAAATATCTCATATTTGTCTATTTTCCACCGTCACCACCACCTGGAGGAATGCAGTAGCCTCCTAATTGTTATGTCTGTATTTACTTTAGCTTTTGCATTTCTGATCTATTTAATACATTAGCCTGCCAAGATATTTTAAAAAATGTGAATTTAATCCTATCATCTCCCTGCTTAAAATACTCTTAAGCCTTCCTGTTGTGTTTATCAAAGGCCGAAATCCTTACCAAAACCCCTCCATGGTTTGCTCCCTACTTCTTCTCTAGTTAATTTTTACTGCAATGCCCTTTTCATTCTTTTATGCTCCCATCCCATAGGTCAGTTTTTATTTCCTTGAAAGTGCCAGATATCCCTTACCTTGGAGTCTTCCAAGATACCATTTTCCCTGCCTGGAATTTTCCCTCATTCTTTCCGTGAGATCCCAATTCAATTGTCTTTTGGAAAAACCTTCTTTGACACTTCACCCAGTTTTCAAATAGATAAAATTTCTTTATGTAAGTTCTCAAAACACCTTCCTATTAGCTATTATTAGATGAGTTTGTGTTCCATGAAAGCAGGAACTATGTTTATCGTTTTCTTAGCATTCTATTACTAGAAAACTATGACCTATGGCTCATCTAGACAATGGAGTCACTGTGTCTAAAACTAATACTAAGATAAAGATGGTGGAAGGTCATGAATGTTCTTTTTCTAAATAAAGACCTGTTTTTGATCTCCACCCTTGGACTTTTCCAGTTTTGTTTTCATAGCTCTTCATATTGCCAGGCTGTACTACTTTTTGAGGAGACGGTTTCCATGTCGAATTAGCTCCCCTGTGAAATGGGTTTCTTTCCCTTTATTCTAACCTGGTCTTCCTGAAGTTCTATAGGGAGGCTGTGTCTAACCATCATGAAATTTGATGAGCCTGTACTCTGATGATTTTACAGGTCCATCCTGTGCTTCTCATGATTTTACAGGTTCCTGTCCCAGCTGGTCTATCTTTTTATTACAGATGTGAGTGTCTTGATGTAGAAATCTCTCTTCTCTGCTGTATGCTTCCTACCCAGCAACTTTTATTTTTATTAACTGGAATGTGTCTCACTATGTTGCTGTTTTCTAAATCTGTTAGGAGATAAGACATTCTGCTTCAGTTGGATGTTGTTTATCATGTATTGTATTACAATAAAAACGTATGAAACTTTATTATAGTATATAATGTTATTCTGGACTACATGCATCTATCAATAAATAATTGTTAGGCATATTCTGTGCTCCAGGCATCTTACTACATGCTGTTAAAATACAGCTCCTGCCTTGAAGCCCTTACTGGTCACACATCAGAAACTCTTCTTGTTCCTAAAATGACAAATCAAACAAACAAGAATAAAACAAACCTCTTTTTTGTATTTCTGTCTTCACATTGCTATGTATTTGTTTCAAAGAATGAAAATTGGTTTCTATCTGAAACTAGTAATTATTAACATTTGTTTAGTACTGACTACATGTAAAGTATGGGGTTAAAATTTTTACAAAACATTGTTACTTAACTTTCATAGCAATATCTGAGAAGATTTCTTTATCATGATGATGAAACTATTACTGGCACTATATAAAATATTCATAATAAGAGCCACTGACTTAGCCAGCACAAAAGTTAGATTTGAACCGTGTCTACCAGATGCCCAACGCCAATATTTAAGCACTATTTACTGCTACTAGCCTAGAGATCTCTGTTTTCTGATGATGCAGCTTGGACATGTATCATTCCTGTATTCATTTGAGGAAAAGAAACAAAGTGGAAGCTCAATAGTAAGTAAGCCAATTATTTGCAGCTGCCTGTACCTCAGCACACAGAAGCCAGTCAATCAGTGAAAGTGTTCTTTGATATTGAGTTATATAATTACTGAAGAGTCCTGCTTAAACAGATGTTGCTGTGTAGGCGCTCCAGCCATAGCCTGGATTTTAGTAGATCCTGGAGATACCTGCAACAATAGATCATGGAGACACCTGTTATGTACTTAATAAGCATATTTTCCAAATTAGAAAATGGAACATATGATGTGATAATTGTAAGTAAACACAATAGACATATGCAGGACACTATATACAGATAGGTATTTCCCAGCATGTATTTGTATTTTTAACAAACAATGTTTTGTTGCTGCTGCTTGGCATCAATATAGGCAACTGGGCAGATGTTGGCAGTGAGGGGGAGAAGGGTAAGTTTACCAGATTCTTCTTAGTTGGTTATTAGAAATGAATGCACTAGTTAGTGTAAACAACTTTGCTTTCTTATCATGAGCTGAAAAATTTTCACCTTAGGAACTGACTAGAGAATGTACAACATTCAGAAGCCTGAAGGTACGTAACTATTAGTTCTCAGGCAGTCTTCAAAGCCCATCATAAATAGCATTTGTCATCAAATCCTCCCATACATTATAATGTGCTGTAGCTGAATACAGTTACTGGTTGAATTATTGATCTTGCTAAAAATTAAACTTTACCTATTTGTATTTCCAAGTGTCATTGTTACTCAAATAAGGAAGAGTTAGTAAAAAAAAGTTTTGACAAATGGCACTCAAACAATTTGGTATGCTTACATATAGAAAAATAAACCATTATCCTTATCTTACATTGTACACCAAAATAAAGTCAAAATGGGTCATAGATCTAAAGGTAAAGGAAAAGCTGTAGACCTAGAAGAAAACATTGGAGAAGTTATTCACAACTTTTGGGTAATAAAAATTTCATAGGTATGACACCAAAATCATAAACCACAATGAGGAAAAATCATGTCTTGGACTTCATCAAAATTAAAAACTTCTGCTCTTTCATTAATAAAATGAAAAGACAAGCTTTAGACTGGGAGAAATATTCTCATGCTCTTGATGCCCATATCTGACAAAGGACTTGTTTTCAGATATCTAAAGAAGCCCTACACCTTAATAATAAAAAGAAAAAAAGATATAAGTAGTCAAAAGATCTGAATAAACAGTTCACAAAAGAAGATATGTAAATGGCAAATGAGTACATGAAAAGATGCTCACATCACTGGTTATCAGATGAATGCAAATCAAAAGCATGAGATACACTACATACTCACCCAAATGGTGAAAATTAAAAAAACCTATAATTCTAAGTATTGGCTGGGATGTGGGGTAACGAACTCTCATACTTCTCTGTGATGGTTGGGGGACACAGCAGTGTATTTCTCTGCACTTATTGAAGCCACTGAGAGAGAAATGATGAAGATGGGTCTAGGAGAGGCATGTCTAACCCCAGGACTCTGCTTGAAATGCCCAGCTGCTTCTGGAGCCAACAGGAAAATCACTACACAGACAAGAAGTGGCTAGGGGTGTGGCAACACAGATGTGGAGGTTACAGAGAAAACATTCATTGTAAGAAAAACACCTCCTGTCTGAGCCCAAAGAGCGCATCTACCAGATGTATCATTTACCAGAAACATCTTTACCTGTGAATCTTGACTTGAAGGTGAGTTTAAAATCACTATCAATTAACAATTAAGGTTAACAATTACAACAATTGGCTGTGTCTTAATTAAACTAAACTGGCTAATGAATTGGCTAATGAGACTCAGAAATACGTGTCTGAAAATAAGTAAAATAGCTGTGAATTGTTGGATGTTCAAATTCACTCATTCAACAAATATTTTGAGTGTCTACCATGTTCCAGAAATTGTTCTAAATATTAATGCATCTCTTTGTTTCTTAAAAATAAATACTGTTTCACAAATAATTTGGTTATAGGCCAGTGTGTTAAGTCACAGGGCTTTCCCCCATGGAGACCTAAATGTCTGCATTTGTGTCAGAACAATACTTTCCAAATGATCTAGTTCCCTGGAGTGTGCAGATGACTTGTGTTAATGGCTTGTGATGGTGACCCCATCTATCAGAGGTGTTTGAACCAGAGCAACTCCATCTTGAATGGGGGCTGGGTAAAATGAGGCTGAGACTTACTGGGCTGCATTCTCAGACAGTTAGGCATTCTAAGTCACAGGAGGTCAGCACAAGATACAGGTCATAAAGACCTTGCTGATAAAACAGTTTGAAATAAAGAAGCTGGCCAAAACCCACCAAAACCAAGATAGCTAAGAGAGTGACCTCTGGTCATCCTCACTGCTGTGCTCCCACCGAACCATGACAGGTTAGAAATGCCATGACAACATCAGGAAGTTACCCTATACGGTCTAAAAAGGGGAGGCATGAATAATCCACTCCTTGTTTAGCATATACTCAAGAAATAACCATAAAAATGGGCCACCAGCAGTCCTCAGGGCTGCTCTGTCTATGGAGTAGCCGTTCTTTTATTTCTTTACTTTCTTGATAAACTTGCTTTCACTTTATTCTATGGACTCACCCTGAATTCTTTCTTGTGCAAGATCCAAGAACCCTCTCTTAGGGGTCTGGATCGGGACCCCTTTCTGGTAGCACATCTGCACTAAAATCCGAGTGTGCATCAGGTTAGAATGAGGATTGGAATATGTGGGCTATGTTGTATGCAGAGTTTAAATTTTACTAAAGACTCTCAAACTGTGTTGTTTTTTTTTTTTTTTTGCGACTGAGTCTCGCTGTGTCGCCCAGGCTGGAGTGCATGTGCAGTGGGGCGATCTCGGCTCACTGCAAACTCCGCCTCCCAGGTTCACGCCATTCTCCAGCCTCAGGCTCCCTAGTAGCTGGGACTACAGGGGCCACAACGCCCGGCTATTTTATTTTTTATTTTTTAGTAGAGATGGGGTTTCACCGTGTTAGCCAGGATGGTCTCGATTTCCTGACCTCGTGATCCACCCACCTCGGCCTCCCAAAGTGCTGGGATTTCAGGCGTGACCCACCGCCCCTGGCCTCCAAACTGGTTTTTGAAGTGTTATAACTTTGTGATTTGACTCTCGAGAGTGGTTTCTGAGAGTCCGTTTCACCACTTCCTTGACAGCCTTGGTATTGTCAAACTTAAATTTTGTTCGTCAACCTGATAAGTGTAAATGCTTTAATTTGCATTTGATTACTAGTGAAGGGTATCATCTTTTTATATACTTATTAGTCAAATGAGTTCCTTCTTTTCTGAATTCGCTGCTCTTCTATGGAGCTTTCACTATTCTCTACATGATTTATGGGCATTTATTATAGGTTCTTGAAAATAATCTAGTGTAACCTGTCTTGATAAATGTCTTCCATATATGGCTTGCTTCTTCGTTTTACCTATGGTTATTTTGTATGCAGATAGTTAAAATTTTAATGTAGTCAAATTACTAGTCTTTTCTTTTATAGTTTAGTGTTTAGTATCAAAGATAACAATCTTTCTTACTATGAGGCCTTAATACAGTGTTTTCCAATGTTTTCTTCTAATTATTTTAAATTTAATTTTTCTCATTTGGGTATAGTAATGTTGTTTTTGAACAAAGCTTGAGGAAAAGTTATATTTTATCTCTCCCCACACCAATAAATAATACTAGGTATTCAACAGTTTAATCTTTCTCCCATATTGGTTCTTCCGTCTGTTTCCCAGCTAATTATCTTCCACTACTGAAACAAGATCTTCCTGAGAACTCTACCTAATAATCCGTGAATTAGGAGTTTTTCCAGTTTGACTGCTGGGAACAGGCAGGATTCTTGTTCCCAAGGGAGCACCAAGTGGGCAGTGCTCCTTGTAATCCTCTTGGATGTTTTTTTCCGCTGGCCTCAGGTAGTTGTCTCCCATGCATGTGCTGGCCAGTATTCTGCTGGGTACTCAAGGGAGACCCTACGCAGATCTCTGCAGTTTTTTCTCGGTGCATCTCTTTTCCATTGGGTGCCCTATGATGTGAATTCTATCTGCCTTGATCTCCCAGATCTGAACTCTGTTTCAACTCACAGAACTGAAAAAGAAGTTAACCCGAGCCCCTTCCCCATTTATTATGAAAGACAGGAATTTTTCATAGAAACATTTCAAAGCGAATGTTAAATTAGCATTTTAAAAGTTATATTTTAGGCAAATTTCCAGATAAACAAACTGGTTAAGACACAATTTTTTCACTTCTAATTTTGCATCAAAATTAGGTTCTCTTTTCAAAAAAATTATTTTATTTTATTAATTTTTTTGAGACAGACTCTCACTCTGTCACCCAGGCTCGAGTGCAGTGGCAGGATTTTTGCTCACTGCAACCTCCACCTCCTGGGTTCTGGTGATTCTTGTGCCTCAGCTTCCCAAGTGGCTGGGATTACATGCATGTGCCACCACGCCCAGCTGATTTTTGTATTTTTAGTAGAGATGGGTTTCATCATGTTGCCCAGGCTGGTCTTGAACTCCTGGCCTCAAGTGATCCGCCTGCCTTGCCCTCCCAAACTGCTGGAATTAGAGGTGTGAGCTACTGCATCTGAATAAAAGTAGATTCTCTAGTCTTCCCAGGACGTAATGGATCTGATTGGCCCTGTCCAATCAGTGCTGCTGGTTTCCTTCCAGTCTGCTCTTAGCTTTGTATTTACGTTCTCCATTATTTTCTGGAGAAAGACTATCCAAAAGCCATATCTAAAGAACTGCCTTTTGGGGAGATTTGTAAAAGCTACAGTGTTGCTAATCTAAATCAAATGTAACTATTTTATAATTACACATAAAGTAGATTAAATGAATTATAGGCAAAAGGAAAATTATTTGATTCTTAGTGGATAAATGGTATGCAAAAGGATTTATATTCTTAGTACACGGTACTATTCACAGATCTGTACTGTTACTATAAACACAGCTACACATGCTTATCTTTCTGCTATTTAGAAGAAATTAAAGAGGAAAGCTGGAAGCATCAAATCTGCATGATGTTTTTGGGGGATGGAGTAGGGAGGTTGTGGCTATCATGGGTGCAAAGTTGAGTTGGCAAGAGTCAAAGGGGACTTCTAGTTTTAATTTTAATTGATGTTTTTTCAAAGCATGCCATTGATGTCATTCACATAATATTATTTAAAATGATGTGGATAGGCTGGGTGTGGTGAGCCCATGCCTGTAATCCCAGAATTTTGGGAGGCCGAAGTGGGCAGATCACTTGAGGCCAGGAGTTCAAGACCAGCCTGGGCAACATAGTGAAACTCCGTCAACCCTGTCTCTACTAAAAATACAAAAATTAGCCAGGAGTACTGGCACACGCCTATAATTCCAGGTTCTTGGGAGGCTGAGGCACAACAATTGCTTAAACCCTGGAGGTGGAGATTGCTGTGAGCTGAGATTGCACCCCTGGACTCCAGCCTGGTGGAGTGACACAGTGAGACTCTGTCTCCAAAAAAAAAAAAAAAAAAAAAAAGATCTGGATAAAATCAAATGGATTTTGATTTTGTCAATAGTGGTATGATCTGGGTTACTCTCTATAATATAATTTGTTATAGTTAAAAAAAATTTGTGCTTGAAATCAAGATACGGTTGAGGCTGGGGATATGAAGCCACTTATCTTTTGATTAATTCGAAGTTTACAGCTCTATGATACAATCATATGCTGTTGCCTAAAAATATAATACTGACATCTTAAATGTAAGTTTTCCTCCAAGATATTTCTTTCTCACACTGCATTCTTGACTGAGTGACTAAGGTTTGTCATCACATTCTCTTACCTCTCTCTAAGGATTCTGCCATATTTGCTCCCAGCACCCATGTATCTGATCCTGATGGCAGTGGTGGCCTGTCTGGAGCAGCTGTTGCGGGGATGCCCGCTGCAGTGGGGGAGGTGCGGCCAGGGCTTTGCACTCTACAGAGCTGAAGGGAGCCGGGAACAGGCAGGAATTCCCTGCCTCCTACCGAGTTGGTAGACGGGGAGCGCTGTGCTCCTGGGTGCAACTGCAGCTGCCCAGCTGTGGCTCCAGACCCAGGAATCCTTGTGCTTTTGGGGGCCTGGGAAGCCTCCCTGCCCCCACAGGCTCAGAAGTGCCTGCTCCCATTCCCTGGCCTCTCCTCACTCCTGGCACCCACTCCGAGTTTGGAGCAAAGTTGTGGCCGAGTCTGGGTGCTGTCGCAACCCGGCCGGTTGTACACGTGCTTGGAGAAGTACTGTCACACCAGCCCCTTACTGCTGCCTTGGCCCCCTCTGGACTTTGGGTACTGTTGAACATGGGAAGGAGGCTTGGAGTAGGGGCCAAGGGAAGCTTGGTGTGGGCCTACAGGCACACCTCTGCGATGGCCTGAAGCCTGGGGGCTGGGCTGCCAGTTCTGGGTGGAGTCCACCGCCCAGAGTGGGAACTTACCGTGCTTTTTCTGGGTCCACACATGGACCAATCAGCACACACTTTTGAACCCATAAAAATAGGTTTCGAACCCATAAAATGTCTTTTGAAAAATGTCTTTTGAACCCATAAAAAATGTCTTTTGAACCCATAAAAATCTTGAACTCGGCCAGATTCACACAGATGTCGGGACTATCAACTGCAGAAAGGAGCTACCCACTTTGGGTCTCCCTGACTTGTCAGGACAACCTGCCTGTGGAAAGGAGCTACCCATTTCAGGTCTCCTGAGCGCTGTTCTGTCACTCAATGAAGCTCCTCTCTGCCTTACTCACCCTCCATTTGTCCACGTATCTCATTCTTCCTGGACGTGGGATAAGACCTCGGGACCTGCTGAATGATGGGACTGAAAGAACTGTAACGCAAACAGGGCTGAACACCACCCCAACCCCAACATCGCACCCCCTATGCTCACCACGTTGTGGGAAATGAGGAGAGAGCTGTGGCCCTTTAAGGAGCCCAGACCTGGGAGCTCCCTGAGCCAGGGCTGTGACACCCAGTTTGGGGCTCTGCAGTTCCAGGCATCTCCAAGCTTCTGGGTGCCACTGCATTCCCTGGTGCCCATTGTGGAAGCTGCTTGTGGTATGCCTGGTCCAGCTTCAGCCTGGCAGGGAGCCAGGGCCTGTGCTGGCACCTGGAGCTGCCCACCCCACCACAGCCGGCATACCTGGCTGTGCGCAATGGCCGGACCCTTCACTAACTCACATACCCCTTTCCACTCCGTGCCTGGCTTACCCTTGGCAGCTGTGGTATCTGGGCCAGTAGCATGAGCTGAATGTAGCCTGCTGGGCTGAGTAGGTGGAACGAGCCCAGTGGGCCCAAGCAAAACTTGGGCAAAGATGCCACTGGACACAGAGGTTTCGAGCTGGAAAAGTGACACCCTAAGTGTCCTGTGACAATCCTACAGAAAAGTTGTATTGCTTTCTAGAGTACATTTCCAAATACGTATTCCTAACATTCACTTTGATATGGCTACGGGAGGCCTTGCATTGTGTGTTATTTTCTTTTTCTTTTTTTTTTTTTTTTAAGATGGAGTTTCGCTCTGTCATCCAGGATGGAGTGCAGTGGCACGATCTCAGCTTACTGCAACCTTCGCCTCCCGGGTTCAAGCAATTCTCCTGCCTCAGCCTCCTGAGTAGCTGGGACTACAGGTGCATGCTGCCATACCCAGCTAAGTGTTGTATTTTTAGTAGAGACGGGGTTTCGCTATGTTGGCCTGGCTTGTCTTGAACTTCTGACCTCATGATCCACCTGCCTCGGCCTCCCAAAGTGCTGGGATTACAGGCGTGAGCCACCACGTCTGGCCACTGTGTGTTATTTGGAACCTCCGTGTACCTATGTTAGCTTTCCTTGGCTTTATCAGTTGAG
Organism: Homo sapiens; assembly: GCF_000001405.40. Classification (NCBI taxonomy): domain Eukaryota; kingdom Metazoa; phylum Chordata; class Mammalia; order Primates; family Hominidae; genus Homo; species Homo sapiens. The sequence goes on from NC_000014.9 coordinate 21,782,518, forward strand.
ATTGTTGCATTTTGAAGAGAACATATATCCAGTTCTTCTGTTTTGCCCATCTGCTCCATAATCACTGGTGATAGTTTTGCTCTGAGATAGATCAGGCCTCAATGAACAGATTAGTAAAAGAAAAACACAGGAGAAAGTCATGATGATCACATTATAGAGGCTTATAAAATAAGAACAATTCCTCCAATTTAGAAGTTGGAGGAATTTTTGCACGTGGTGTTAGCAGATGTGCACAGCGTTAACATTTCTTTAATAATTTTGCTTATAGCCACAAGGTGACAGGGGTTCTCTTTCATTTGTAAACTATGTCTTTCTTATACCTAGGAAGTATGTTTACGTTAGAAGAGCATATTGCTGATTGGTTGACAGACAGACAGGCTGTTTCATTTATTAGATTAAAAGAAACAAACAATAAAAGCTTTGTTTGGCTACATAATTTTATGCAGCATTTTTGGTATCAAGACAAAGTATCAGGATGGAGAAGATGCGGAGACCTGTCCTAATTATATTTTGTCTATGTCTTGGCTGTAAGTTGAGGGTTCTAAGAACTGGGGACCCCAGGAGACATTTATTCAAGTCCTTTTGGGGAGATGGGGATGTAGTCTGGACTTACTTGTCATTGCTTGTTTGAGATTAAGAAATAAAATTATGAAAGGTCTAAATTAAAATGTACATATTGTACCTGATGTCTTTCTGAATAGGGGCAAATGGAGAAAACCAGGTGGAGCACAGCCCTCATTTTCTGGGACCCCAGCAGGGAGACGTTGCCTCCATGAGCTGCACGTACTCTGTCAGTCGTTTTAACAATTTGCAGTGGTACAGGCAAAATACAGGGATGGGTCCCAAACACCTATTATCCATGTATTCAGCTGGATATGAGAAGCAGAAAGGAAGACTAAATGCTACATTACTGAAGAATGGAAGCAGCTTGTACATTACAGCCGTGCAGCCTGAAGATTCAGCCACCTATTTCTGTGCTGTAGATGCACAGTACTCCCTAGGCACCTGCAACCTGTATCCAAACATGCAGCTGGGTAGAAGTACCATAACAGAAGCATCAGCAATAGGGGCCCTGAGCCTGAGTAGACGTGAAGAACTAAGGCATGAGTATGACCAGAGAGGGGAGGAGATAAAGGGTGCTGTTCATTTGACTCATGTATCTTTTATCAGGCCACCCTTCACAAAGACCGTCTTTGTGCCTTATTTGAATTGATCAATCCTGACCCTTCCTATCTTCAGCAGAATCCTTTAGTGCCCAGGTCAGTCTTCTAGCATAGAGAGCACTTGTTCTCTTCTCAGGCCTGGTGGAAACACATGTCAAAGAAATTTGAAGACTGTTGTTTTTCTACTGTAAAATCTGACAAAGGAACTACAATGGTTGGAATCATATGTGAAAAATGCTGTAGCAGTGGTTTTCATTTACTCACCCACTGAACAAGTATCTCTCAGCTCCTGATATGTGCCAGGTACTCTTTAGTCATTGGGATGCATTGGTATTGAACATAGCAGATAAGCCATCATAGAGCTCATGTTTCCTAAGTTTCTGGGATACACAAAGGGGAAACCAAGTCTGCCTAGGATTTAGAGGTTCCCGAGAAATTGCAGCAAGAGTTTAGTTTCATCTTCATCAATCATTTTTCTCATGGAAACATGGTTAAAGATTGGGGACAGCTGAATGCTGCTTGAATCTGTGGGTCAAGAATTGGCTTCACATGTTGAGGTATTGTCTGCCAGAGTTGAGGAGAAATGCCAGGTGGTTTTCGGTATCATCTGGCCATTTCCAAACAAGTCTGGAAAGTGAAGTGCTACAGGCTGTCATAAATAAAACAAATCTATAAAGCCTGACCCTTTATTTAATGGAATTGTGGAGTTCAAATAAAATATCAAATACGATGCTATTGATGAATAGCACTAAACATTGGACATTATTTTAAATAATTTGTAGAGTAGCTTTCTGTTACTGTAGATTCTAGATGCTCTTTTGGGGACCCAGCTCAGGACAGGCTAAGTGGAATTTGTGAAACCATCAGAAAGGAGAAAGGAGAAGCTCAGTCCACTGAGCCAATGCTGTAGGAGTTCTTTATATCCAGAATACATAACGAATGGCTCCAACTTTATAGTGCCAATTAAAAATATGTAAAAGACTTGAACAGGCATTTTACAAGGAAGATAAAGGAATAGCCAATAAACACATGGAAATTTGTTCTATGTCTTAAGTCATAAAAGAAATGTAAATTAAAACCACGATGAAATATTACTTTATACCTATGTCTAAAATTAAAAAGACTGACAACATCAAACCCTAGGTTTCCAGTGGCCTTGCTGTCCTGAACAGGTGCAAACAGCCCAGAGCTGGGGAAGTCTACAGGCCCTGAATATCCAGGAGGAATAGCCATTGCCATAAATTGAAATGAATATGATTCTGGGATCTTGTTAAAAGTATACATTAACTTAGGGTAAAATATATGAATTAACTTAGATAAAATGACGGCAGTATTATGGCAAGTCTTCCTATCCAAAAGTGTGGTAGGTTTTTAATTCTTTTGTGATCTCCAGGAGAGTTGCAATATATCCAGAATATAGAAAGAACGACTACAACTTTATAGTAACGATAAAAAACATGCAAAAGACTTGAATACGCATTTTACAAGGAAGACAAAGGAACAGTCAATAAACAAATGGAAGTTTGTTCTATGTCTTAAGTCATAAAAGAAATGTGGCCACGCACGGTGGCTCATGCCTGTAATCCCAGCACTTTGGGAGGCCAAGGCGGGCAGATCATGTGGTCAAGAGATTGAGACCATCCTGGCCAACATGGTGAAACCCTGTCTCTACTGAAAATACAACAATCAGTTAGGTGTGGTGGCGCACACCTGTAGTCCCAGCTACTCAGGAGGCTAAGGCAGGAGAATCACTTGAACCTGGGAGGCGGAGGTTGCAGTGAGCCGAGATTGCGCCACTGCACTCCAGCCTGGTGATAGAGTGAGACTCCATCTCAAAAAAAAAAAAAAAGTAAATTAAATGAGATATCACTTCATACTCATGGCTAAAATTAAAAAGACTGACAACACCAAATTTTGGTGAGAATGTAGAGTCCCTAGAACATGCCTTACTCATATAGGTTTAAATGGATACAGCCACATTGGAAAATACTCACCCTATGATCCAGCAAGTATCTTTTGAGGCATTTACCCAAGGGAAATGTAAAAAAAAAAAAAATCCACTTTCCTGTACAGGAATATTTATAGAAGCTTTATTCATAATAGTTCCAAGTTGGAAACAACTCGAATGTTCATCAATAAGAAAATGGAGCACCAAATTGTAATTTATTCATACTCAGCAGTAAAAAATAGACTACTGACATATACCACATTGTAAACGAATTTAAAAATTTTAGTTGATTGAAATAAGACAAACATGGAACAATAAAAAGTGTATGGTTCTTTAAATATAAAGTTCAAGAACATGTAAAACTAATATATGTGAATAGAAATTTTAAAAAGTGCTTGTCTGTGCAGGGTGGAGATCCAGTAGAAGGTGGTGTAGCATTTTCTGGGGGGTAATGAAAGTGTTCTATTACTCTATTGGGGTGTTGATTTCAAGAGTATATACATTTGTCAAAACTTCAGTGTACATTTGAGATCAGTGCATTTCCCTGTGTGTAAACTCTACCTCAATAAAAATTATTTAACTAAAAAACCTTATTTTGCAAGGATTTAAAACAATCAATAAATTGTATCCTTACATTAGCAATGAATAAGTAAAAAATTAGCAATGAGAGGCACACACTCATTCAATAACTGTTTTGGATAGACAGCAAAGTCACTGACAGTGGCTTTTCTTTTTGATTCCTGGGATCCTTCAGAGACTCCATCTCTTTGATGCTGCAGAAAACTGGGGTCACTGGTGGCAGGTTTCTTGTGGTAGGTAGATTTCCCATGAGCACCTGTTTTGATCTGTGTTTCCCTGCCCTTCCAATGGTTGAGAAGCTTCTGATGCTGTATGTTAAATGCCAAGAGAGAATTCAGTTTCCCTGACTTTACCCTATTTAATCTAAATCCTTGGATTACAATTGTTGGGTGCTAGAAATCAGATGTTCCTAATAAAGCCCACTGTTACTTGGGAAAATAAGCAATTTGTGTCCTTGATCATATGGTTCTGACATATTTCACTCAAACCTACTGGTATAATTCCTAAGATATATTCTCTACATAAACTCATAGAGAAGAACAGGATTTCCCCCACAGAAAGAGACAGTGTGGACATCAAAGGAAACTATGTTAACTCAAAAAGGTGAAGCCATTATGAAAATAGAGTCTCTTCACCTTATAGGTGTGCTGTTCATATAAGCTAAACGGATTACAGACAAAGGTCCAAGGAACAGGGGAAGAGGGACACACTGGTTCTGACCTTCATGAAGATAAGGCACAAAGGAGGAGGGAGAAGGAAAAGAGTCTCGATGCTTCGACCTAAACAAATCCAGGAGAGTGGATTCTGCAGGAAATATACTACTTTCTTGTCTAAGGATAAAACTTTACATGGCTTTTCAGAGCAATGATCTCTCTCTCTCTCTCTTCAGCATTTACCATTTTTTAAAAATTTTATTTTATTATTATGATACTTTAAGTTTTAGGGTACATGTGCACATTGTGCAGGTTTGTTATGTATGTATACATGTGCCATGTTGGTGTGCTGCACCCATTAACTCGTCATTTAGCATTAGGTATATCTCCTAATGCTATCCCTCCCTCCTCCCCCCACTCCACAACAGTCCCTGGAGTGTGATGTTCCCCTTCCTGTGTCCATGTGTTCTCATTGTTCAATTCCCACCTATGAGTGAGAACATGCAGTGTTTGGTTTTTTGCCCTTGCGATAGTTTGCTGAGAATGATGGTTTCCAGTTTCATCCATGTCCCTACAAAGGATATGAACTTATCATTTTTTATGGCTGCATAGTATTCCATTTTTTTCATAAGCACAAAAGGCAAGAAGAAGGAACTAAATAGTGTTTATTTATTTTACCATGAGCTGAGAGTTTAGCAGCTTGGGAGCATTTTTCCACAATGCCAGAACCTTGTCTTTGAATCTTTGATGCTCCTCTAGCTCACTGTTCCAAAATGGCATTTTAAAAACCATTGCTGATACTGCCTAAAGCAATTTACAGATTCAATGCTACTCCTCTCAATCTACCAAAGACATTCCTCAGAGAATTAGAAAAAACAATTTTAAAACTCATACGGTGCTGGGCATGGTGGCTTATGCCTGTAATCCCAGCACTTTGGGAGGCTGAGGCTGGCAGATCACCTGAGGTCAGGAGTTCGAGACCAGCCTGGCCAACATGGTGAAACCCCATTGCTACTAAAATTACAAAAATTAGCCAGGTGTGCCAGTGGGGTCCTGTAATCCCAGCTACTCGGGAGGCTGAGGCAGGAGAATCGCTTGAACCCAGGAGGCGGAGGTTGCAGTGAGCCGAGGTCATGCCATTGCACTCCTGCCTGGGTGACAAAGTGAAACTCCATTAAAAAAAAAAAACTCATATGGAACCAAAAATAGAGCCCAAATAGCCAAGGCAGTCCTAAGCCCCAAAATAATGCCACATATCTACAATCATCTGATCTTTGACAAAATCGACAAAAATAAGCAATGGGGAAAGTACTGCCTGTTCAATAAATGGTGTTGGGATAACTGATTAGCCATATGAAGAAGATTGAAACTAGACCCCTTCCTTATGCCATGCACAAAAATCAACTCAAGATGGATTAAAGACTTAAATGCAAAATTTAAAACTATAAAAACTCTGAAAGATAACCTAGAAAATACCATTCTGGACATAGGACCTGGCAAATATTTCATCACAAAGACACCAAAAGCATTTGCAACAAAAACAAAAAATTGACAAAATGGATCTAATTAAACTAAAGAGCCTCTTCACAGCAAAAGAAACTATCAACAGAATAAACAGACAACTTACAAAATGGAATAAAATTTTTGCAAACTAGGCATCCAACAAATGTCTAATATCCAGAACCTATAAGGAACTTAAACAAATTTATAAGCAAAAAACAAGAAACCCCATTAAAAGGTGGGCAAAGGGTACAAACAGACACTTCTCAAAAGAAGACATACATACAAGTGGCCAACAAGGATATGAAAAAATGTTCAACATCACTAATCATTAGAGAAATGCAAATCAAAACCACAGTGAGATGCCATCTCACACCAGTCAGAATGGCAACTATGAAAAAGTAAAAAAATGACAGATGCTGGTGAGGTTGTGGAGAAAAGATTATGCCCTGCTGGTGGGAATGTATATTGGTTCAGCCATCGTGAAAAGTGATGTGATGATTCCTCAAAGAACTTAAAACAGAATTACCATTTGAGTCAGCAATTTTGTTATTGGGTATATGCCCAAAGGAATATAAATTGTTCTATCATAAAAACACATGCATGAATATGTTAATTGCATTACTATTCATAATAGCAAAGACATGGAATCAACCTAAATGTCCATCAATGATAGACTGGATAAAGAAAATGTGGTACATATCCACTATGGAATACTATGTAGCCATAAAAAAGAATGAGATCGTGTCTTTTGCAGCAATGTGGGTGGAGCTGGAGGCCATTATCCTAAGCAAACTAAGGCAGGAACAGAAAAAATAAATACCACATGCTCTCACTTACAAGTTGGAGCTAAACAACAAGAAAACACAGACAAATAAGAGGTGGACAACAGACACTAGGAATTACTTGAGGCTGGATGGTGGGAGAAGGGAGAGGATCAAAAAACTATCTTTTGGGTACTATGCCTATGATATGGTTTGGCTGTGTCCCCAACCAAATCTCATCTTGATTTTAGCTCCCATAATTCCCACTGTGTCATGGGAGGAACTTGGTGGGAGGTAATTGACTAATGAAAAGTGTGGGTTTTTCCTGTGCTATTCTTGTAACAGTGATACGAACAGGAGGCAGGGAAATACTGGGTAGAAGAAGGTGCTTCCCTGGTAAAGGCCCCACCCTCTAGACTGGAAACCGTGGCCCTAAATGAGAACAGTTATCTCAGTTTTTTCACCGAAATGTTGCCTTTTGGGCCCAACCTGCCCCCCTATCCTGTGCCCCATATAAACCTCAGACGTCAGCTGGCAAAGGGACAAGCAGCTGAACATTGAGAGGAGAAGAAGCAACTGAGTGTCGGAGACTATGGATAGACATGGCTTAACTTCAGACGGCATGACTTCAGAGGGGAGCCTGGCCAGAGATGGCTGGGCTTCAGGGAAAAAGATCACCTTCTTCCCACACCCATCTCCTTTCCAGCTCCCCTTCCACTGAGCGCCACTTCCATTGCTTAATAAAATCCTCCACATTCATCACCTTTCAAACCATTAGAGTGACCTGATTCTTCCTCGACGCCGGACGAGAATTCGAGATGCACTAGGTGCAGGAACCCAAAAAGGCTGTCACTCTGACTCTTCACTGAGATGTTTAACACTTAAGCTGTCCGAAGATGGCAAAGCTAAAAGAGCATTAACTGTAACAAACCCCTAAATGCTGCCGTGGGGCCAGAGCCCAAAAGCACTCACCTCAGCCCTGGCACCCACTTGCCTACGTGCTCATTTCTGTGAGGGGTTCAGCACAGCAGGTTTGAGCAAGCGAAGTTCATCCCTGCAGGCGCTGAAGTGGCTGGCTGGACCCAGAGCTGGTGCACTCCAGTTCCTGCCCACCAAAGGGTCAAGGGAACTATCCCATCTCAGTAGCGAATAAGTCTCACGAGATCTGATGGCTTCATAAAGGAGAATTCCCCTGCACAGACTCTTTTGCCTGCCACCACGTAAGATGGGACTTTGCTCCTCCTTTGCCTTCTGCCATGGTTGTGAGGGCTCCCTAGTCACGTGGTACTGTGAGTTCATTAAACCTCTTTTTCTTTATAAATCACTCAGTCTTGAGTATGTCTTTATTAGCAGCACGAAAACGGACTAATATAGCTCATCACCTTGGTGACGAAACAATCTGCACACCAAATTCTGAGACATGCAGTTTACCTATATAGCAAATCTGCACATATACCCCTGAAACTCAAATAAAAGTTTTAAAAAGTCATGACTACAACATAAATCACCTGAGGGAACTTTTTAAAAACACAGCTTCCCCAGGACAGTCTCATAGAGGTTATGTCAGTATGAATAAGGTGGATCACAGAATCTGCATTTTTACTATGCTCCCTTGCTGATTGTGATGCAAAGCTAGGTTCAAGAACCCATGCTGTAAGATGCTTCTGAACATCAGCTACCATGTCTCCATGTGGTAGAAGAGTGTTTGAACTTGCTTTCCAGTCTTTGGAAGCAAATCAACATCACCCATATGTTTAATCCCCTATGTGAAAATAATTTATGTATGTACATGTTTTTATATGCCATCTATACTAAATGCTATCTACCAATCATCTATTTATCTACCAATCATCTATCTATCTATTATCTATCTATCTATCACCTATCTATCTATCTGTCTGTCTGTCTATCTATCTATCTATCTATCTATCTATCTATCTATCTATCTATCACCTATCTATCCATCCTATTGGTTCTGTTTCTCTGGAGAACCCTGACTAATACAGACAGTGTCCTGGGAATAAAATAAGCCTCTGAATAAATAGCAACAGGTGTTCTTCAGATTTGAAAATGGTCACCTGGCAGCTGAATGTGACTTGAAAATGAGGTCCAAGGTAAGCATGTGGCACTATCTTTCAGGAGAAAACGTTCCTTGCAGTGTAGTCCCTTGCCTGTGAGGGGGCACAGCTTCTGAAAACAAATACATCTCCTGCTAAAATCTTAGGTTCATGTTCAGCATTTTATTGAGATGACAATATTTTTTATGCTATGCAGTTAAGAATTGAGGATGCCAGAGGTTTTAAAGATGGAATTTTCACCAGGTCCAGCGATTACAACACTCGTAATGTTTGGTAAGTTTGGGGAAAATAATATGCCTGTTAAAATTTGGATTTTTAAAATTTGTTATGTCAGTATAATAACCACAATTTTGTCCAATTCAAACTCAGGGTGATATGCAGCTTTTTATTTCTGAGGAGGAAGCAGTAGAGACTCAGGGACCTGGATAGAAAGTTAGTGGCCTTCTCAGAAGGAGCTCTCCCTATTGTAAACTCTTCCTATGCCACCATGGTGAACCTACCCTTTTCTGGTTATGTTCAATATCCTGGTGAAAGTCTGCAGCTCCTCTTGAGAACTGCAAAGGAAAATGAGAATGGAAGCAACAAAGACTTTGAAGTCACATATCACGAAGAAAAAAAAAACACCTTTCAGTGGGAGAAACTTTGAGCTTAAGTGTCAGATGTGGCTGCTTCATGCTGTGCTGTGAGCCAAACACACCGAGTGGGGCTGCAGGCGAGCTGAGACAAGGTTCAGTGGCCCAGGCAGGACCTTGCTGCTGAGGAGCTGCTGCATGACTCTTGCTGGTTTAAGGAAAACGTACTGTGGTTTGACCTTCAGACACTCTAGCAGATGTAAAGATCACCTACATCGACTCTAAGGACACAGCAGAAGAACGGGAAGTGAATATGGCCTGAGCATAACTCTCCTTGTAGAAAGAAGAAACAGGGTCTGACATCCTTTTCCAGAGATCAGTGAAGTAAGCTCTGTCTTCTTCTTACTAAGTTCAGCCCTGTGGCTTTGACCAAGGGCACCTAAAGAAATAGTGATGTATAGTATATTGTTTTCTCTTTAGAGATGCAACATGAAATATGTAAGGTTGCATCTGCATAATGTCTCCCTGGAAGAGGGAGGGTTATTTCCTAGAGCACATAAGGAAGAACCCCAACGCAACTAGTTGTTAAAAAAGGAGAAAATAGAAGGGAAGAAGGAGGAAAAAGAGAGTACCACATGTAAACAAAGAATGGACTGAGAGTGACATTTGTCATAGTTTGTTTTGTTACAAATCAAATAGCAGACATGAAATGGTGCCCTCAGAAAAGTGAAAACAAGCACATAATTTGTTTGTGGCTCAAGAAGACATGAAGAAGTGGCTCACGTCCAAATCCTACACACATTCCTTTCCCCCTTCTCTCCTTCTCACTATATATTGGTTAGCTGGCTTAGTAAAGCAAATCCTAAATTGAGACAGATGGGTGGTGCCGTAGAGCCTGATGAAGGAGAACACTCAAGCTCAAATTCTTCATGGCAGTATAGCTCAGGAATGGTGGATGGGGGAAATGCTATAGCTTCCTCAACTCCTTGTGAGCCTTTCCTTCTCCTCAAGGAGAAAGAAGTTTAAGGTAGCCATGTGGGTAGGGGAAGAAAATGGAGGAGAAAGAGTACGACTCTCTGAATTGCATTGCAGATATACCTGAGGTCTCTGTAAATATTGGAGTAACTTTTCTTGTCTAGTACAGGCATTTAATGAATATTCATTTTGATCCATAAAAATGAATTTTATTTTCAAGGAGAATGGTGCTTGTTAAGACAGGAGGATGATAGAGCCATTCATGGTGTCTCAATAGCTCAGGGACTGAAGTGAAGCAACTGTAAAAGTCCCTAAAAATGTTATTATCAGCGAAGGGTCCTTATCCTCAATCTTCCCCTTTTCTCTGTTTCCCTTCCTAAGTTTTTTCTAACATTTTCTTTTATCACTGACCCTCTCTCTGAGTCTTATGAATGAGCTGAAGTAATAACCCCTCTCTAATTTTATTTTCTACCTTTTTTTTTTTTTTACCAGTTCTGCCTTCTTAGTTTACATTTTTAAAATTCTCTTTTAATAAAATATTACATGTGCATGGGTAAATGCAAAACTTGAAAGAGAGAAAAACTGTACAATTTTAAAAAGTTCCAGATTTTTGGTTGAACATGGTTGATTAAATATTCATGTTTATTCTCTGCTCCCTCCTGAGGCCCTAGTGAAATGCTAATAAAGAAGTTCAAAGCCTGTATGAACATACAAACACAAAGTGAACTGAAAAGATGGTGACAGCACAAGAGAGATCAACATAACGTTGAAGGCGTTGAAAGCAAATGGAGAGGTGACAAACTGGTTTAACCAAGAGAGAAAACCTGTGCCTGTAGAGGGGAAAGCTGAGAGACAGCAGTCCTGTGCATTCTGCAGCATTCTGGAAATGCTCAAGAATTAGAAGCATCAATTTTGATGGGGAAAAAGGCATCAGGTGTGGAGGGTAGATGGGAAAGAAATAGGAAGATTAATGGAAAGACTAGCCTCAAGAAGGAGCAGTTGGAACCCAGTGTAACCCTCCTATGTCCTTTGCCACACTGTACCACAGGCTGCAAGCTACCTCAAATCTGGTGGAAGATTAAAGGTTGAATCTGATTATTTTGAACTAGACAGTCTCTGGATTAGAGAATACTAGAGATATCTGAGGATGAAATGAGGTGCCATAGGCAAAACAGGGGGATTAAGTGAAATTCTATATTTCTAGTGTTAAGTCCATCAGCTCCTGTGCCCAATTCAGTTTAAAATTCTAGTTTTCCAAATAATTTTTCATCAGAATCTAATATTTGTTGATGCTGATGAGAAATCTAATTCCAGTGGGTTACCCCAATTGGAGATTTTTTTACTTTTATCTCCATACACATCTGGAATTTTTTCCCAACTTATCCTTGGTGTTCTAGTTTTGCTAGAATACGTTTAAGTGTAAGTCTTTTTAATTCAGTGATAATCACACTTTGCGGGCTATTTTCATCTGAATATGCAATGTCCTTCAGTTGTGGGAAAATTTGTTCTATCACTTCTTTAGTAAATCTCTCTCTTCTGGTTCTTTTTTCTAGGACAAATATTATTTGCTTGTTTTATCTCCAAGATTGATTTTCTATGTAGTAGTATATTTCAGTGCATTTTTGACTCTTTTTCTTCTGTGTCCTGAGAGATTTTCTCAATTTTGTTTTTCAGACCATCTGCTGATTTTTATAAAGTTTTGGCAACAATAGTTTAGTTTTTAAAGAGCTCTTTGTGGTTGTTGAATTTTTGTTGTTGATTCTTTTAGGTTACATGTAACTAGATATTTTTGAACGTTCTCTTTTATTCTTAGAATTTTGTTTCCCTTTGCATCAGGGTTTCTGATTCTTTTCTTGATATTTATATTTTTTGCTTTATACTGAGGCCTAGTCCTCCCTGCTGTCCCTTCATATTATAAGAAGGAAGGACTATACAGCTACAGGTATTTCCTGTGTCATTGTTTATGTAGGTCTGTTTTCCAATAGGTTTCCTTGAAGATGTGATTTAGCTAAGGACCTTGAGATAGGAAAATTAGCCTGGATCATCCAGGTGGACTCAGTCTAATCACATGGGTTTTTAAAATTGGAGAAACATTCCCTGCTGTGGTCAGAGGGAGACGTGACTATGGTTGAATGATCAAAGAGATGAAACATTGCTGGCTTTGAAGATGGAGGGAGGGGTTGCAGACCAAGAAATATGTGCAGCCTCTAGAAGTTGGAAAACAGACTCACTCCTAGAGGCTTCAGAAAGTTATAATGCTGATAACTTGATTTTAACTCAAAAGAGACTCATGTTGAACTTCTAACCCACAGAGCTGTAAAAATAACTTTGTCTTGTTAAGACATCAAGTTTGTGATAACTTGTTATAGCAACCGTATGTCAATTTGCAGCTTTTTATTTAGAATATGTGAACAAGGGTTTGATGCTGCTTTCAACCTCCTCACTCTTGAACCCCTCAAACTCCTCCCCACTCTCCACCAGTGCACCAATGCCAGATTGAAGGGTTACTCATTACAATTTATATTGTAGTCTCTCATATTTGTGTTTTTTCCCCATGACTTCCACTTCTGTAGTTAAGTCATCATCTCCTTTACATTTTTATTCTTTTATCAGTGGGAATTTTGGAAAGATAGGCAGTGAGCAGGTATGGTCATCTGATATCTGGAATTAGAAGCATTATTCATGGACTTCTTATAAGTGAGAGACAATCTACAGGCAAAAAGAAGCAAGGCAATGAGAATCCCAAGGACAGATTTGATTTCCTGTTGCTAGAAACAATCACAGTCCCAGAAAAGATGCTTTCTAACTTTAGAAAAAGGTCCCTATTGCCCTGAGGAAAGGCAGCGTGTTTCTCTCTTCTCATTTTCCCTAAAATTGATCTCCTGGTGTGACAGTTACTCGTTTAGCCCCAGGGTCTACAGGCTGAAGTGGGAGGGAAGAAAAGGCCTCTTTCAGAAGAACAGGCTTCTTTCAGAAGGACAGCCTTGCTATTGCCACAATCAACACTATCTTGTTTTACAAGACTTGACTCATTTATGTAAAACTACTGGTTGCCTATCTATGTCAGATTTCATGATCAAACAGCTCACATATCTTTTTTTCTTTTAGATGTTTTTCTTAGCTCTGGTCTGCTGGTGGTACTCCTTCTTGGATTCCAGGGTAAATGCAAATGTATTTTTACTCTGTCCCTAGTTCCTTCAGAAATTATTTATATTTTACTTTGCAATGCCTTCATCAATCCTCTCAGTTTTTTCTGTAGATACTAAAGTCTATCAATGATGTCTTGATGATGTAGTACCCAGAATTGGGTGTAATACTCTGGTTATGTTCCCAGCAAATAGCAATGTTATTTTACTCTCTTATCTGAATATCATATTATAATTTTTGTTGATCTAAAGCCACTGTATCTTTGTAATTCTGCTTGAAGAAGACAAAGATAATCCTACTTTCTTTTCCTAGATGAGGGCTCATGTTCTAGGTGTCAGGCCTCTGAGCCTAAGCTAAGCCATCATAACCCCTGTGACCTGCACGTATACATCCAGATGGCCTGGAGCAACTGAAGCACCACAAAAGAAGTGAAATAGTCAGTTCCTGCCTTAACTGATGACATTCCACTATAGTGATTTGTTCCTGCCCCACCCTAACTGATCAATTGAACTTGTGACATTCCTTCTCCTGGACAATGAGTCTCAGGAGTTCCCCACCAGAACACCTTGTGACCCCCGCCCCTGCCCGCAAGAGAAAACCCCCTTTAACTGTAATTTTCCACTACCTACCCAAATCCTATAAAACTGCCCCACCCCATCTCCCTTTGCTGACTCCTTTTTAGGACTTAGTCTGCCTGCACCCAGGTGATTAAAAAGCTTTATTGCTCACACAAAACCTGTTTGGTGGTCTCTTCACAGATGCGCATAACACTAGACTTTTATTTTGTACATCTGATCTTATTTTTAATTTTACCAAAGTAGGTATCTCCACATCCTACCGCAACCTCCTCTCAACCTGATGCTCACTGCAACAAGACCATTTAAAGCTCAGTCAGAAGAGTTGATCTAACTATTTTTGCTTAAAGGATGTCTCCACAGCTTTTATACAAAGATACTGAGGGACTCCAAAATCTGCTAGATTCATTGTGAGATCTTTTTCTCTGTAAATTCCTCCTCTCTTTTACAGTCCTCATTTTTCATTGAGGCTAGGATTAATGTAATATACTACAGAGGGCAACACAGTACAGATTAGGGAAGAAAGAAATGTTCACTGGAAGTTTTTGACATGTCTCCAAACAAGGAAAGCACAGGTTCACTTCTTGTGGGGAGTCTGTATCCTCAGTCCTGAATCTGGCCTCCAGAGGGTGACGTTGCACAAGGGACAGATGGCTGTTTCCAATGATGATCAACAAACACTTTCTGCTCAGCCCCTTCTTCCTGCAGCTGGCTTACTGAAGCACCGTCACTGGAGTTCTTTGAAGATGGGACAAATGGAGAGAATCAAAGATTGAAAAGCACTTAAGATTATCTCAGCAGATTTTGTATTCTTACCAAAACAAGAGACTTGCCTAGCCCAACCTTCCTCACGCTCGCTATTCTCAAGACCTGGGTTCCAGCCACTTTCCTACTGGCCCCGAGGAGAATTTCCAAAGAGACGCCTGCAGTGTTTCCACAGCTCAGCCATGCTCCTGTTGCTCATACCAGTGCTGGGGATGATTTTTGCCCTGAGTGAGTAACATTCTATTATGGTCTCTAGTTCCACAGAAGTAACTGTTTTCTGATTCAAATCTTAGTAGAAATACTTTTCATAGACAAGTCTGCACTATTTTCACTGATACAACATTGATTTTTTCAGGAGATGCCAGAGCCCAGTCTGTGAGCCAGCATAACCACCACGTAATTCTCTCTGAAGCAGCCTCACTGGAGTTGGGATGCAACTATTCCTATGGTGGAACTGTTAATCTCTTCTGGTATGTCCAGTACCCTGGTCAACACCTTCAGCTTCTCCTCAAGTACTTTTCAGGGGATCCACTGGTTAAAGGCATCAAGGGCTTTGAGGCTGAATTTATAAAGAGTAAATTCTCCTTTAATCTGAGGAAACCCTCTGTGCAGTGGAGTGACACAGCTGAGTACTTCTGTGCCGTGAATGCCACAGTGTCTGGGACTGCAAAGGGAGCTGAACACAAACTTCCTAAGGTGCTAGGGAGAATAACTGCCTCTGAAAGATTTTGGATTCTGTCACAGTAGAAACCATGATGTTAGTATTTTTAAAAAAATTTATTTTTAATTTTTATGGATACATAGTAGGTGAATATGTTTATGGAGTACATGAGATATTTTGATACAGGCATTCAATGCATAACAATGACATCACGTAAAATGGGGTATCCATCCCCTGAAACATTTATCCTTTGTGTTACAAACAACCCAATTATACACTTTTAGTTATTTAAAAATGTACAATTAAATTATTATTGACTGTAGCTACCCTGTTGTGCTATCAAATACTAGGTCTTATTTATTCTTTCTATTTTTTTGTACCTGTTAAACATCCCTCCTCTCCCCGACCCTCCCACTATCGTTCCCAGCCTCTGGAAACCATCCTTATCTTCTACTCTCTATCACTATGAGTTCGATTGTTTTGATTTTTAAATCCCACAGATAAGTGAGAACATGCAATGTTTGTCTTTCTTGCCTGGCTTATTTCACTTAGTGTAATGATCTCCAGTTCCATCCATGCTGTTGCTCTAACCCAAAAGCATGTGAGACGGGTCTCAATCAATTTAGAAAGTTTATTTCCCAAGGTTAACAACATATCTGTGACACAGCCTCAGGAGGTCCTGACAACATGTGCCCAAGGTAGCTGGGGAACAGGTTGCTTATATACAGTTTAGGGAAACATAATACATCAATCAATACATGTAAGATTTACAGTGGTTTGATCTGGAATGGCAGTACAACTTGAAGGGGAGCTTCCAGATCATAGGTAGATTAAAAAATTTTCTGATTGGCAATTGTTTATCAATAGAAAGCAATATCTGGGGTATAATAAGGGGTTGTGGAGGCCAAAGTTTTATCATACAGATGAAGCCTCCACATAGCAGGCTTCAGAGAGAATAGATTGTAAATGTTTTTATCAGACTGAAAATATGTGTTGATGTTAATGCCAGTCAGCCCTTAAATTCCAAAAGGGAAATCCAAAAGGGAGGGGGGTATAAATGAGGCATGTCCAATCACCCCTTCCCATTGTGGCCCGAACTATTTTTTCAGGTTAACTTCGGAATGCCCTTGGCTGAGAGAAGGGGTCCATTCAGATGGTTGGAGGCCTGAGAATTTTGTTTTTGGTTTATATTACAAATGACAGGATCTCATTCTTTTTTGAAGCCATGATGTTCTTATTCCACAGTACAGAGATGCTCAGGGACTTGCCAGGTGAGTGTGAAGTTGCTATATTTTAAATGGTTGAGTATGGAAATTGTGACATGGCACAGAGTTTTGCTTTTCATTCACCATTTTATCTTTCAATATCCAGAACAAAAGGTGAACTTCCTTTTGTAAGCATATCTTCTTGCATACTTACTGTTCTTTCAACTTGGTAATTTTAAAGTAGTTTCCCTGGAGTCAGCACTCTGTGCTGATTATTTTCTCTCCTTTTTAAGTGCTTCATTTAGGAAGGAGGAGATTTATTAGGATGCTGGATGGCTTAGAACAATGGCATGCTCATGTACAGTCTAGTAACCTTGTCAGGAAAACTGAAGAAAGGAGAGTGAATAACTCAAATTCCTTAGTAGTTTTTACAGAACTATTTTTTTTTTGAGACAGAGTTTTGCTCTCGTTGCTGAGGCTGGAGTGCAATGGTGCGATCGTGGCTCACTGCAACCTCCGCCTCCCAGGTTCAAGCGATTCTCCTGCCTCAGCCTCCCAAGTAGCTGCAATTACAGTCATGTGCCACCTTGCCTGGCTATTTTTTTGTATTTTTAATAGAGAAGGGGTTTCTCCATGTTGGTCAGGATGGTCTCAAATTCCTGACCTCAGGTGATCCACCCGCCTTGGCTTCCCAAAGTGTTGGGATTACAGGCATAAGCCACCGCGCCTGGCCGTAAAGAACTATTAAGGAGGAACAAAATGCTAGGTCTACTTGGAAAGTCCTATTTATTTTTTGTTTTTCCCACTTATAAAGACCAATTCTTATTCTTTTGATTCTTAAATTCTGCAAATCCACATTATAAATCTTCAAAATTGATGAAATAGTAACTTTTGCCAATTCTTCCAAATGATGTTATTTTAGTTTTTACTCTTATTCCAGTTTCATATGGTTGTACAGTTGGAATATTAGAAACGAATTCTTATCTGTTTAACACTGCCATAATTAAGTGTGTGCAAAATTTAGCAATGTCTGGCCCCTGAAGACATTCTAATTAAGTATTGTAATGGGAATAAAAAGGTCGAAGGGCATGTGATAGATATATGACTTCTCCTGGTTAGGAAGAAAAAAAATGTACAAACACTTTTTAAGCTTCTTACTTGAAGCCTTTAAGGTTAATAATGACTTGAAGAAACGTAAAGAGAAAGAGGAGGAGGAGGGTTGGGCTTTTTTGTTGTGTACCTCCTGATGCTGTCATGAGTAAGAGGAATAGGAATTTGAAGATATAGATAATAATAGTGGATTGTTTCCAGTGATTTACCTAAGCCAAAGGGGACACCAGTAGGGATCAGCATTATTTTTCAGGTCATAGTGTTATGGCTATTTGTGGTATATACCTTTGGGGGATTTCTGGAAATGAAGTAAGATATATAAAATTATTGATAAGAAATATATACTTATTTAAAGTCTTGTTCTTCAGATTATATTCTCTACTGTCCCCAAGAGACTGATGATCTTCATAAGACTTAAAAACACAGCTAAGTCCTGTGTTCCAGAATGACTGCAAGCAGGTACTTTATACACTACATATGAGAAGGACAAATGGCAATTTCTTTCAATTCCAAACTGAAGCTCAGTACCGAGGAAATATAACTGCTGGCACCAAGAACCTCAAGCACCTGGAAATGCATTTTCTGCTCTCACACCAACAACCTTGTTTGAGATGTCAGAGTAGTTCTATTGATATGATTGTTTTATAAATGTAAATAACTTTATATAATATAGATATTAAGGAGAAGGTAGAAATATTTAACTTCTAACACAATTATATTTGCCATATGAGGAGACTGTAACATTTTAAACAATATTATATTATTTCTATCTCTTGATATCAATAAATACATAAATGTAAAGTTTCAAATTTTAAAAAATAAATAAAACATTACAGACAAAATTGCCATCTCTTTTATTTTTTTCCTCAGTTTTAATGCCTTCATCCCTCTCTCAAAATAAACCTATTATGAACTTTTTTCTCAACTCCATGTTTTCATATTTCCAAACATAGATTTTTTAAACAATCTGTGGTGCTGTGTTTTGTGTTTTTAAAATTTACATGAATGTAATCCAATTGTATGTGTAATTGTGAAACTTGATTTCTTCCCTCAAATATTTTTCAGATATAGAAAAATTTATATATGTAGTATATTTCATTTCTTTTAGCTGATACATACTATTCCATTTTATGGATATACTATATGTCCCTTTTGATGCACATTGGATTGTACATTTACAAAGCTCAATAGGCCACGTAAGTATTGGTTTCCCTCATACCCTGAGTGTTTTCAAGAGGAGTCCTTTCAGCTGTCTATACAGTTCACAGATTACTCTTTTTGCAATGCCTCCCTCCCCTCCTCCCACGTCAAGTGCTAAGGTGCGAGGGAATAAGACCGAACAGGCCATCCAGACTTAGAAACCCCATACCCCAAATAGAAACCGGTATCTCCTGTAACAGTTATAAAAGTCACTGCTCCAGAACTATGACATCTTAAAAAGTATTCACAGTCCATTCACAGTTCAGATGCAGTTTATCAGTCAGGATCATTTTTACCATAACCATCTTACTTGGTAATCCAGCTGACGTTCTACCTTTATTGGATTTCCAGAAAAATAGAGATTAGAAAGTTAATCTAATTTTTTTCATGTGGAAGGAGAAAAGATTTTGTTAATCCTTTATTCAATGAGTGTTTCTGATCTTTTATTATAAAAATTCTACAAGGAATACAATTATGTTTCCTTATACATAGATATAGAATGTTTTATGTTATACACCTGGAAGTGGCATTTGCTGGGTTATATGATTCACATCTTTAACAACGTACTTGCAATTGCCGAATTGCTCTTGAAATATTCTTACCTATTTTTCCCTCATTAGTAGCACAGAAGAATTCCTGTCTCTTTACACCCTTGCAAACACTTATTATTTCTTATATAACATCCTGCCCTCTCTATCTGTGTTTCCTGCATTTCTCAAGTAAAGTACGTATAGTCATTTTTTCAAGATTTGCTTCTGGAAGAACCCAATATAAGAGATCTGGTACAGAAGTGGTCATAGAGAACAAATACATAGAATGAGATTTTGGAATTAAATTATTCATGGCCAGAAGGGAACAAGGATCCCATTATTAGCAGTAGGTGCAGTGGTAATAGAGATGCTAAAAGATCATAGCATCACAATTATTAATTGTGGTGAATTGGCATGGGATTCATGTGTAAGTTGTTGCAGTAGCTTATGTGATATACTTAGCATTTGAGAAGTATTGTGATAATGGTAATTTTATGTGCTATGGAGCTGGCTATTTATTGTCAAGTGCCATCAGGGAAGAGCAATAACAAAATGGAACCAGCTAAGACCACTGCATATTTCAACATCTGTATTCAATGGTGATCTTTGGAAGACAATGGCTGCTGCTTCCCATCTGCCTTTCAAATCTTGTGTAAATGCTCTTTTGTATTCAGAAGGGGATTCTGGGCACTGTATTTTCCAGTGCAGCTACATCAACAATAGAACAATCCAACATAGAAAGCCAAGAGCCAAGTTCACTGGTGTGCTACTTAGTTCACCAGTGTGCTATGTTGCACATTGTCAACTGGGCTTCTTTCTCGTCCCCTTTAATATATTCCCTTGCTTTGCTAGGGAAGAAACCCAAACTACAATTCACACAATCCCTTTCATTCACTTAGTTTTAATTCTACAAATGAGAGGCATTTGGGAATAATATCAGGCAAGTAGAAAAGAAAGAGAAACCATTATTCTTCTGTAGGGACTGTATGCAGGCAGCTCAGATTACCAGCTGTGAGGACTTTGTTTGACTTCTGCGTTTCTTCCTAAGAATCACTCATTTTGGTGTCACAGGCAGCTGGATGATGCATCACACCTCAAAATTTCCTGTAATCAGTCTTTCTCATCTTTGTTCATTAGCCCCTCCAATGGTTGTATGTCTAATTTTGTGTATTAAATCTTACTTTTTAAAAGAGTTTTAAAAATAACTTTTACTTTAGAAAGTTAATATGTGCATTATAGAAAGCTGAGAAACACAATAAGCAAAGAACAAAGTCATTCACCATCACAAGCACTTTATAGTTTGATGTGTCCTTCTGGGTCCTGTGTATGTATATAGACAACATCCAATTTTATGTGTGATTGAGATCATACAGTATATATGATGTTTTTTCACACATCATGAATATTTACCAGTTCAAAATCCCAAGGCTATATGAGCATTTTGATAACAAGGAATATACCACATCAACTCAATCTGTTAGAAAAAAAGTAATCCTGCCTTTCTTGGGGACAAAAATTTCAAAGAAGACAAAAATGGAAACAGGCCTCTAGGTTAAAAGTACCGTCAGAGTTACAATTAAAATACCACATTCCCTTTAATGGTCAATTTAAAAAGAGATGTAAAGCAACAGAGTATACTAAGTATAATGTTTCTAAGAGAATTCTTTTTCTGATCTGTACTATTAAATATTAGCAAGAAGGTATGTTTTCATTGCATTACTTAGTGTATTCCTATAGTACAGCCAAAAGAGATGCACATACATCAATAGCTATTATCAAAATGTAAATATAAACATATCTGCTTACACCTGTCCCTTTATACTTCCTTCTGCCCTTCAGCTGCCAATCTACTGAACACATCCTGATACATACACTGCTCAGAGGTGGTTTAACAACAATTCCATGTCCAAGGTGCAGCTTTTCTATCAAGCATAAAAAATACATTTACAAAGTAGCTAATCCACCAGCTCTACTTTTTCTCATACGTTGTCACCTCAGGGCATCTATAAAGCTTAGATGTTGCAAAATAAAGACTGAACTTTATCCACAATAAACACAGGCAGGTTACAGAAAATGCATATATAAATCTATGGTTAAATCCAAAAAAGTCACCTAAGTATGGAGATATTAGCAAAGAGGCCTTCCCTCCATCCTTCCTCTTCTTTCACCATTCTAGTGACTAAGTACCTGATTACATCCAGCTCCAAAAGAAGGATTAACAAAGGTCACTGCCAGTAGATAGGCCTTCTTAAAAATGAACAAAAGGACTTTTAGAAAGGCGTTATTTTACTACCTCTACCTTTAACATACTTTGGGCATTAGGACTTGTTTATCTTTTAATACACAGCAATATTAACAAAAACACATACAGGGCCGGGTGCGGTGGCTCACGCCTGTAATCCCAGCACTTTGGGAGGCCGAGGCAGGCGGATCACAAGGTCAGGAGATTGAGACCATCCTGGCTAACACGGTGAAACCCCGTCTCCACTAAAAATACAAAAATTAGCGAGGCGTAGTGGTGGGCGCCTGTAGTCCCAGCTACTCAGAGAGGCTGAGGCAGGAGAATGGCGTGAACCCGGGAGGCGGAGATTGCAGTGAGCCGAGATCGCTCCAGTGCACTCCAGCCTGGGCGATAGAGCAAGACTCCGTCTCAAAAAACAAAAAACAAACAAACAAACAAACAAAAAACAAAAACCACATACAGAACAATGGTTAGACGATCTGAACTAATCTAACTTACAGGCACAAAGCTTCTCTCTGCATACTTCCTTTTCTCCCTATCTCCCAGCATACAATGAACAGTCAGCAACCTCTCTAAGACATCAAGTTTAACAGTTCCATTCCCCAAATGCAGCTAGTCCTGTGAAATCACAAAAAATACTCAAAGAGTGTCACTTTAGCTGTCTTAATGTACATACTTTAACATATGTTATGTACACTTTGAAATATCTAGAAAGACTAGATTTTCATATAAGAACTTAAGTTTTCCGTTATACACAGAGTAGCATTGAATTAACTACTAATGCTATAATGTGATAGAGTTAGTTTACTAACTCTATACCTTTGTCATACACTGGTAACCTCTTTAGCATCTAGAAAGACTAGATATAAATTAGGATTAATTTGTCCTTTATATACACTATATACACAGATAAGGAAAACAAAATGCACAGACGTAAGAGACAATGGCTAATGTTGCCTCATTGTAAGCACATTGCCACAGAACTCTTTACACTTCCTTCTCCTCCCAGGAGCCAGCACACAAACATAATGTGTATTACTCAAGAGGTGGTTTGGCCATTCCCCTCTCCAGCCCCCAGTCAACATTTCATATGAATTTTAAGAAACAGATATTTAAAAAATTTGTTATTTTCTACCTCTACTTTTGACAGCTATGAAGCACTTTAGAACATCAAGAAAGGCAAGATAGGGCAGGCGTGGTGGCTCACGCCTGTAATCCCAGCACACCACTGCACTCCAGTCTAGGTGACAGAGAGAGACTCCTTCTAAACAAACAAACAAACAACTACAAAAAAACCAAAACAATTAGCCGGGCATGGTGGTGGGTGCCTGTAATCCCAGCTGCTTGGGAAGCTCAGGCAGGAGAATCGCTTGAACCCAGGAGGTGGTGGTTGCAGTGAGCTGAAATCATTCCATTGCACTCTAGCCTGGGCTACAAGAGCGAGACTCTGTCTCAAAACAAAAACAAACAAACAACCCCCCCAAAAAAAACACACCAAAAAACAAAAAAAACTAGATCTATACAGAGCAGAGGCCTCAGAAATAACGCCACACATCTACAACCATCTGATCTTTGACAAACCTGAGAAAAACAAGAAATGGGGAAAGGATTCCTGATTTAATAAATGGTGTTGGGAAAACTGGCTGGCCACATGCAGAAAACTGAAACTGAACCCCTTCCTTACACCTTATACAAAAATTAACTCAAGATGGATTAAAGACTTAAACATAATACCTAAAACCATAAAAACCCTAGAAGAAGACCTAGGCAATACCATTCAGGACATAGGCATGGACAAAGACTTCACAATTAAAACACAAAACGCAATGGCAACAAAAGCCAAAATTGACAAATGGGATCTAATTAAACTAAAGAGCTTCTGCATAGCAAAAGAAACTATCACCAGAGTGAACAGGCAACCTACAGAATGGGAGAAAACCTTTGCAATCTACCCATCTGACAAAGGGCTAATATCCAGAATCTACAAAGAACTTAAACAAATTTACAAGAAAAAGGCAAACAACCTCATCAAAAAGTGGGCGAAGGGTATGAACAGGCATATCTCAAAAGAAGACATTTATGCAGCCAACAAACATGAAAAAAAAAGCTAATCATCACTGGTCATTAGAGAAATGCAAATCAAAACCACAATGAGATACCATCTCACGCAAGGTAGAATGGCCATCATTAAAAAGTCAGGAAACAACAGATGCTGGAGAGGATGTGGAGAAATAGGAACGCTTTTACACTGTTGGTGGGAGTGTAAATTAGTTCAACCATTGTGGAAGATGGTGTGGTGATTCGATCTAGAACCACCAATACCATTTGATCCAGCAATCCCATTACTGGGTATATACCCAAAGGATTAGAAATCATTCTGCTATAAAGACACATGCACACATATGTTTATTGCAGCACTGTTCACAATAGCAATGACTTGGAACCAACCCAAATGCCCATCAATGATAGACTGGATGAAGAAAATGTGGCACATATACACCATGGAATACCATGCAGCCAGAAAAAAGGATAAGTTCATGTCCTTTGCAGGGACATGGATGAAGCTGGAAACCATCATTCTCAGCAAACTAACACAGGAATAGAAATCCAAACACTGCATGTTCTCACTCATAAGTGGGAGTTGAACAATGAGAACACATGGACACAGGGAGGGGAATATCATACACCAGGGCCTGTCGGGGGAGGGGGAGTGGGGGAGGGATAGCATTAGGAGAAATACCTAATGTAGATGACGGGTTGATAGGTGCAGCAAACCACCATGGCACATGTATACCTATGTAACAAACCTGTACATTCTGCACATGTATCCCAGAACTTACAGTAAAAAATACATAAATAAAAATAAAAAGAAAGACAAGATATTTCAAAAAAATTCTTAGCATTGTCAACAATATATACAGTAGTGAGGAATAAAATGCGCACATAAAGCAGTGGTTATAATATGAAAATGTCTCCTAAGCATGACCAGTCTGGAAAAGAACCTTCTCTTCATTCTCACTGCCTTCTGCTCCATGGCCTCTAACCCACTGAATGAACGTGGTGGTGTGTTGCTCCTGGAGTCACTTCTACAGCTCGTCTAACAACTTTCGTTTCAAAGAGTCATTTCCAGAAGGCGTTTGCTTTCTACCATTTTTTAAAAGAACAAATGGGCATTTACAAGACGTGATTTTCTTTTTTCTTTATTTTATTTTATTTTTTTGAGATGGGCTTTCACTCTTGTTGCTCAGGCTGAAGTGCAATGGCGCCATCTCGGTTCACTGCAACCTCCGCCTCCCGGGTTCAAGCGATTCTCCTGGGATTACAAGCATGTGCCACCTCGCTCGGCTAATTTTGTATTTTTAGTAGAGATGGGGTTTCCCCATGTTGGTCAGGCTGGTCTCGAACTCTGGACCTCAGGTGATCTACCCGCCTCTGCCTCCCAAAGGGCTGGGATTACAGGTGTGAGCCACCGCGCTCGGCTGACGTGTGATTTTCTAACTATTATACGTCAGCAACCTTTTAAAATCTAGAATGGCTAGGTAGAGCAAAAATTTTCTTTTAAAAGGTTGAGGGAAAAGTTGAGAGCAGCTTTTTCATATTATTTACCTGGGCCTTCTATAAAGGCCAGTAAATCCTCCCAAATGGTGGGGGGCATTTCCAGTCCACCAAATGTGGCATGTGATTTCTCTCTTTGGGTATCAAGGTCTGGTAGAACAAACGGCAACCACGCAATGGCCTGCTAACCACTCCACCTGTCCTTGTGGGGGCTCTGCTCACCTTCTAGGCCCTTTTAGGCCTTTGTCCATCATTTCTGGCATTTTTGGGAGGAGGTAAGGTCTTGTCTAACTGGGACAAAGTGGTCAGCCCGGGACCCGCATCTGTGCAACTCCATGGCATAATGAAGTTCCTGAGCTTGTGTCTCTAGGCCCACCTTCTTGGGTTCTGCAAACTACTGCAGCCCTCAGCGCCTTCTGGCGGCCGCCATTCTTCTTCCTCTGCGACATCCATTTCCTCCCAAAGGCACGGTGTCCTCCGCAGCTCGGTGAGGGCTTCGCCAAGGCGCAGCAGGATTTCTAGATGTTCTAAAGTGCTTTATAGCCCAGCGAGGTCTGGGCCCAGAGAGGCTGCCGCCATCAGCTCACTGAAGTGGGGAGAGAAGGAGGTTTGCAGGGCCCCAGCTCACCTGCCTCTCAGTGCGCTGCTTCTCACCACATTGTCTGCCTGAACTCTAAATGTCTTTCTACTGAAAATATTTGGATTGTTTTATGAGGAGACCGAGGACCACCTCGTGGCCATCAAGCAGATCATCCAGAGGCAAAACTCCTTGTCTGAGGAATTCAGAAGTAATTATTAATCGACGTCCCTATTATCAAAAGCAGGCATCTAGTACCGGGCTTCTTTCCCAAAAATGTATAAGTAACTAGAATTTCTATACATCTCTGGAATGCATGTATGTTGAAACTTATTGTGCAGCCCTTGCTGACATCAAAGCACCAAAATGTCTACAAATGTAATCATTTATCCTGACCTAGGTGGCTAATATGGTCCAAATTACCCTTAAGCTCCTGCTTTAAGGTTCATAAATGCTCCTAAGGAAAAATCCACGGTGGCTTGCTCAGTCCGCTCTTGCTGAAGCGCCCTGCTGCACTCCTCTGCAGCACTGGTTCTAATAAAGCTTTCCTTTTCAAACCCACACTGTTGTGGGTAAATTCTTATTACCATGAGCCAATCACTTTCCGTTGCTGTGGCGCTGACACCTCGCCCAGCATTTCTGTTTGCCGGACTGCCTCTCGACTGACAACAGATCTGTATAAATTCAAGTCCTTGAAGCGGAGCTTCTGAGGCTTGCAGTCAGACCATTTGGATAAATCTAGTATCAGCTGGGAATTTGCTTAAGCATTTTTTCATTGATTACACAGTTCTACCGTATTTCACTCAAATCTACTGCTACAGTTCTTCTATGGTATTCATCTCCTTTTGAAATCATGGTGATATGGCTTGGACCTGTGTCCCCACCCAAATCTCATGTTCAATTGTAATTCCCAGTGTTGCAGGTGGGGCCTGGTGGGAGGCGGTTGGATTACTGGGGTGGGCCATTCATGAATGGTTTAACACCATTCCCTTGGTTCTGTTCTTGAAATAGTGAGTGAGTTCTTGTGAGATCTGGTTGTTTAAAAGTGTGTGGCACCTTCCTGCCCTCTCTCTCTTGCTCCTGTTTCTGCCATTTAAGATGCCGTGCTTCAGCTTTGCCTTTCACCATGATTGGAAGCTTCCCGAGGCTCCCAGAAGCAGAAGCCTCTATGCTTCCTGCACAGTCTGCAGAATCATGAGCCAATTAAACCTCTTTTCTTTATAAATTACTGAGTCTCAGGTATCTATAGCAATGCAAGAATAGACCAATACACCTGGTGTGGAAAATAGATTCCCTCAAAAGAATGGAGGGTTGTTACAATACTAAGGACAAGGTTTCCGTGGAAAAAGTAAAGAAAGTTAGGAACAGTGAAACTGCTTGCTCTATATTTCTGTTTAGACTTCAGGTAGAGTCAGTTAGATGAATGGGCCAAAAGAACCAGGAAAAGGAGGAAGATGCAGCTTGATCACAGAGATCTGACACAGGGTAAGAGGGAAAAGGAGGAGAGCCTTTGTATAGAGCCAAATAATATCCAGATCTAAATTTTCTTCCCAAGTTTAGAGTTTGTTAACATTTACACCTTGCTGCAGAACCATGTAGCTGCTGTCTCTGAATTCATGGAGAGTGAATATTCCAGGAAGCACAATGGAAGGCGTCCAGGTTCAAAGATAAATGGTAGTGGGGCTGACAGAAAAACAGCATCCTTCTTACCAAGTTTGTCCTGGGAACATCCAGAGATTTTTATTATAAGTCGACTAAACAAGAATAGTGAGAGTTAACAGCAATTGTTTTAGCTACTGTGACTTCAGTACTACCATGAAAGGAGAATCTGTGAGGATTGGAGTTTTTTCCTCATGCTCATCCCACAAGTGCTTCACTGATACCTTGTCTGTCTGCTTAGGTCAGTGTTCTCAAAGATTATTTTGTGAATGTGTATAACACTGGCTGTATGACAAACACCTGAGGAGATTTTTAACTTCCAGGATCTTGATTCTGAACATTTTGATTTTGTAAGTGAGGAGATCTCCAAATCTGTATTTTAAAGATGATCACCAACTAACTCTTACATGAAGAGAAGTGTCATCCTTGCTATGATTCTATACATCAGCAGACATGTCTCTACCAATCCTAGAAGCTGAGATGGGCTTTTTCTTTGGTCTTTTGAGGCAAATCCAAATTATTTAAGTATCTTATCCCGTGGTAAAAATAACTATTGGTCAATAGTATTGGTGGATGGACATATGTAGGGGGTATATAATCAAGGCTAAATTTCCATTAAAAGGTTAGTATCACAACACTTTGCCTCATGCACATAGGCCAGTCACATTATCTGGGAATCATTTCTTCTCCTACAGGAGAAGAAAGTGATGCCAGATAATTTTGTAGGGATTTAATGACTTTAGTTACTATATTTTTTCATTATAAGAGTTATATATTCTTTACTTTTTAATCAATATATACACAAGATATAATTTCCTTTTTTCTTTGAAAAGAATTTATTAATTGGAAATTACAATTAATTTATTTCTGTAATTGATGCCTTAAATGTGAAGCAATATGATATTTCAAGTAGTAACAATTCCTCAACCAAAGACCATTCATTTATTCATGCATTTGTGTATTTAAGAAGTGTTTCCTAACCACCTGCTGAGTGTTTGACATTGTACTAGGTATGGGAATACAGCAGTGAAAAAAAGCTTAAGTCTCTCTCATCTCAAATAATCTACTAATGTTTAAACATGTGCTACTGACATTCCTCTGGTTTTATCCTAAAAAAGTGCTAATACGGTATTTTAGTGGATCATGGGTTGGGCAAAGATGGCTAAATAAGAAAAGGTAAAATGAATTATTCTCAGAAATGCCATGGTATGAAAAGAACTTGCAAGTCAGACAGTGTGCTGTTAAAAAAAACAGAGTTATAAAAAAGACCAACTATTCTTTAGATATACAAAGAACTATCAGACAGCTAATAGGTGTCTTAGAAAAAAAAAAAAAGCCAGAAGTGAAGATACAGGATTGACTTTTGAAAGAACAGTCAACAATCCTTTGAGTTTAGGATCTTGCCCACAAAGGGGTGCATCTTCCTAACACATTCACATTTCCTGCTCACGCTCATTTCTTCAGTGTGACCTTAACTTTTCCTCACACTAAGAAGACAAGACCCAAGGGCACCAGAGGGTCTAAAAATGAATTCTTCTCCAGGACCAGCGATTGCACTATTCTTAATGTTTGGTAAGTAAAATGGCACTTAAAACTTAGAATCTTTTGTTCCATTATGTTGATGTAATCTGTAACCACAGTTTTCTCTAACGGGTACAGCTAAGATCACGTCTAAGGTAACTTGGTATAATTTGTTTATTTTTTTTTCAGGGGGAATCAATGGAGATTCAGTGGTCCAGACAGAAGGCCAAGTGCTCCCCTCTGAAGGGGATTCCCTGATTGTGAACTGCTCCTATGAAACCACACAGTACCCTTCCCTTTTTTGGTATGTCCAATATCCTGGAGAAGGTCCACAGCTCCACCTGAAAGCCATGAAGGCCAATGACAAGGGAAGGAACAAAGGTTTTGAAGCCATGTACCGTAAAGAAACCACTTCTTTCCACTTGGAGAAAGACTCAGTTCAAGAGTCAGACTCCGCTGTGTACTTCTGTGCTCTGAGTGACACAGTGACAGGGACTGCAGGGGAAGCTGAGCACAAACTCTGAGCAGCACGAGGGGCCTGGCTGCTGAGTGTAAGCCACTGTGATCCCCTCTGGTTAGGGACCAGGAACTACTCTACTATTGTTGCCCACCACCCACCCTAGGCACTCCTAGTGTGAAAGCCATCCAAATAAACTCTAAAACACTATAGAATAACTAAAAGTAAAAATACCTCACACCAGATGCTTTAACAATGAGAGTGAAAACAGAATGTCACCATAGTTCCTCAACCTTGTTTGAAATTTGTGATTTTAAAAGTATAAAACCTTGAGATAAATGAAATGGTCTAGCTGCTCATCCCTGTATAAAATGTAGCCTCCTGACCTTGTCTCAGGCCATCCAAGGAAATAGTATGCTTACAGACACAGCTGTGACAGATGAGGTTGCAAATGCTTAATGCATACCTGAGTGGGGTATACATTCAGCTGGGGCAAGATGGGGTGATTTCTTAGGAAAGCTTCTGCCCAAGAAATAATAGGTTCTTAAAGAAAAAAAGAATTATAAATGGAAGAAGTCAAATTTTCCTTGTTTGCAGATGATATGATTTTATATTTGGAAAAACATAGAGACTCCACAAAAAAACCTTAGAACTAAAAATTCAGTAAAGTTGCAAAATACAGAATCAACCTATAAAAATCAGTAGCATTTCTATATGTCAACAATAAACAACCCGAAAAAGAAATAAAAAAGTAATCGCATTTATGATAGCCATGAATAAAATTAAATAACTAGGGATTAACTTAACCGAAGAAGTGAAGATCTCTATAATGAAAAGTATAAAACATTGATGAAAGAAATCGAAGAAAACACCAAAAAAAATACTCCGTGTTCATGGATTGTAAGAATTAATATTGATAAAATGTCCATACTACCCCAAACAGTCTACAGATTCAGTACAATCCCTAAAAAAATACCAATGACATTCTTCACAGAAATAGAAAAAAAATCCTAAAATTTATATGGAACCACAAAAGACCCAGAATAGCCAAAGTTATCCTAAACAAAAAGAACAAAACTGGAAGAATAACTTTACCTGACTTTAAATTGTACTACAGAGCTATGGTACATGAAAACAGCATGGTACTGTCATAAAATCAGATACATAGACCAATGGAACAGAATAGAGAACCCAGAAACAAATTCACATATCTACAGTGAACTCATTTTTGACAAAGGTGCCAAGAACATACACTGGGGAAATGACAGTCTCTTCCATAAATGGTGCTGGGAAAACTGTATATCCATGTGCAGAAGGATGAAACTAGACCCCTGTCTTTCACCATATGCAAAAATAAAATCAAAATGGATTAAAGACTTAAATTTAGATCACAAACTCTGGAACTACTACAAGAAAACACTGGGGGAAATCTCCAGGACATTGGTCTGGGCAAACATTTCTTGAGCAATATCCCACAAGCACAGGCAACCAAAGTAAAAAGGGGCAAATGTTATCACATCAAGTTAAAATACCCTACACAGCGAAAGATACAATCAACAACGTGAAAAGACAATACACAGAGTGGTGAAAAATATTTGCAAACTACCCATCTTACAAGGGATTAATAACCAGAATATATGAGGAGCTCAAACAACTCTATAGGAAAAGATGAAATAATCTGATTAAAAAAACAGGTAAAGATTTACATAGACATTTCTCAAAAGAAGATGTACAAATTGTAAATGGGCATATGAAAGGGTTTTTGACATCATTGACCATCAGAGAAATGCAAATCAAAACTAAAACGAGATAGCATCTCATCCCAGTTAAAATGATTTACAAGAAAAAAACAAACAACCCCATCAAAAAGTGGGTGAAGGATATGAACAGACGCTTCTCAAAAGAAGACATTTATGCAGCCAAAAACACATGAAAAAATGCTCATCATCACTGGCCATCAGAGAAATGCAAATCAAAACTACAATGAGATACCATCTCACACCAGTTAGAATGGCAATCATTAAAAAGTCAGGAAACAACAGGTGCTGGAGAGGATGTGGAGAAATAGGAACACTTTTACACTGTTGGTGGGATTGTAAACTAGTTCAACCATTGGGGAAGTCAGTGTGGTGATTCCTCAGGGATCTAGAACTAGAAATACCATTTGACCCAGCCATCCCATTACTGGCTATATATCCAAAGGACTATAAATCATACTGCTATAAAGACACACACACACGTGTTTATTGTGGCACTATTCACAATAGCAAAGACTTGGAACTAAGCCAAATGTCCAACAATGATAGACTGGATTAAGAAAATGTGGCACATATACACCATGGAATATTTTGCAGCCATAAAAAATGATGAGTTCATGTCCTTTGTTGGGACATGGATGAAGCTGGAAACCATAATTCTCAGCAAACTATCGCAAAGACAAAAAGCCAAACACTGCATGTTCTCACTCATAGGTGGGAATTGAACAATGAGAACACATGGACACAGGAAGGGGAACATCACACACCGGAGACTGTTGTGGGTGGGGGAAGGGGGGAGGGATAGCATTAGGAGATATATCTAATGCTAAATGACGAGTTAATGGGTGCAGCACACCAACATGGCACATGTATACATATGTAACAAACCTGCACGTTGTGCACATGTACCCTAAAACTTAAAGTATAATAATAATAAAATAAAATTAAAAAATAAAATGTCTTATATCCAAAAGACAGGCAATAACAAATGCTGGCCAAGATGTGAGGAAAAGGGAACCCTCGTACACTATCGATTGGAATATAAAATAGTACAATCACTATGGAGAACAGTTTTAGTTTCCTCAAAAAACTAAAAATAGAGCTACTATGTGATCCAGCTGGGTATATACCCAAAGAAAGGAAATTAGTATATCAAGGAGATATCTGTACCCCCCGTTTGTTGCAGCACTGTTCACAATAGCTAAGATTTGGAAGCAACCTAAGTGTTCATCAACAGATGAATGGATAAAGAAAATGTGGTACATATATGCAATAGTACCATTCAGCCATAAAAAAGAATGAGATTCTGTCATTTGCAACTACGTGGATGAAACTGGAGATCATTATGCTAAGTAAAATAAGCCAGGCACAGAAAGACAAATATCACATGTTCTTACTTATTTGGGGGATCTAAAAATCAAAACAATTGAAATCAGGAACATAGAGAGTAGGAGGATGGTCTGAGGCTGCAAAGTAGTGGGGTGGGAGAGGGAGATGGGGATGGTTAATGGGTACCAAAAATTAGAAAGAATAAGACCCACCATTTGATAGCACAACAGGGTGACTATAGTCAACAATAATTGTACATTTAAAAATAACTAAAAGAGTGTAATTGAATTATTTGCAACACAAAGGATAAATGCTTGAGGAGAAGGACACCCTATTCTCCATGACGTGACTAGTTCACATTGCATGCCTGTATCAAAACATCTCATGTACTCCATGATATATACACCTAGCATGCACCTCCAAAAAGTAAAAATAAAAATAAGTAAAAATTTAAAAATCATTAATTAAAAAAGAAATATAAGAAATAATGGAGAAGGAGAGAGTAGAACATGTGATCACATATATGGAAAAAGAAGATGGAACATTTCTTAGTTTCTATTTTGGGAAATTACATGACATGCATAGACTGGTTTTGCCCAAAAGATGAAACTAATCCCTAAAAAATATGACTCATGGCCAGGCATGATGGCTCATGCCTGTAATCCCAGCATTTTGGCAGGCTGAGGTGGGTGGATTACCTGAGGTCAGGAGTTTGAGACCAGGGTGGTAAACCCCATCTCTACTACAAATACAAAAATTAGCTAGGTGTGGTGGTGGTTGCCTGTAATCCCAGCTACCTGGGAGGTTGAGGCAAGAGAATCACTTGAACTTGGGAGACAGAGATTGCAGTGAGCCAAGACTGTGCCACTGCACTCCAGCCTGGGCAATAGAGAGATACTCTGTCTCAAAAAAAAAAAAAAAAATGACTCATGCCTAAAAGATACCTTGCTGAGATATTATGACAGTAGAGAATTTTAGTTTGCATGATATCTCAGCAAGATGGCTTTCTCTCACTAAGACATTACTTAAGATATATAGGTAGTGTTCAGAGTCTGGAAGATGCAAACTATTGAGATGAAACTTTTTCTATGTAGATTGGTGTGAGAAAGGAATCTTATAGCTTCCCCAATGTCTTTCAAGCCATTTCTTCTACAGAAGGGGAGTAACAGATGAAGTGGTAGATGGCGGCCAGGGCTATGAGAAGATAAAGAATGGCAAAAAGAAGAATTTTTGGATTTAATTGCAGATATCTTGGCATCTTTGCTAACATTGGAGATTTTCTTTTGCTTGTCTATTGAAGGTGCTTAACTCATATCAATCAGTTTATTGACCCATAAGGAGTGCATTTTTGCTCATTATAAGGGTCCTTAAGCACAAAAAGTGAGAGTAAGAGGATGGTATGCAAGATCCCCTGTTTCACAGGCTACAAAGGAATGGAACTATTCAGATTAGTGATATAATAATTGACACTGAAGATGCCTTGACTTTGACTCTTTCATTTTTCATGATCACCCTGCTTTAGTTTCTCTCTTAGCTTTTAATTTTATTCCAAAGGCCTCAATTTAGATCTTATTAGTTAGTTGAGCTAATAACTACCTATACAAAATAAATAATTTATGTACATGGGAAAAATAACTTTAGATGGTTCAAATGACTATGCAAAATATCTCTGACTTTTGGCTACCACATGGCCAGGTTACAAATTTTCCAAACTTTTTTGGCCTGCTTTCCTTTTACATATAAGTTCCAATTTCAGATCCTTTCTTTGCTCACAGATATAAGCATAGGCTGTTACAAGCAGCCAGGCCACATCTTAAACACTTTGCTGCTTAGAAATCTCTTCTGCCAGATACCCTAAATCATCACTCTCAAGTTCAAAGTTCCACATATCCCTAGGGCAGAGACACAATGTGGCCAAGCTCTTTGCTAAAGCAAAACAAAAGTGACCTTTGCTCCAGTTCTCAATAAGTTCTTCACTTCCATCTGACATCTCATCTGCCTGGACTTTGCAGTCCATGTAACTATCAGCATTTTGGTCACAACCATTAGACAAGTATCTAGGAAGTTCCAAACTTTCCCCCATCTTCCTGTCTTCTTCTGACCCCTCCAAACTGTTCCAACCTCCAACTGTTACACAGTTCCAAAGTCGCTTCCACATTTTTGGTTATCCTTTCAGCAACACCTCACTCCTGGTACCAATTTACTGTATTAGTCTGTTTTCATGCTGCTGATAAAGACATACCCAAGACTGGGAAATTTACAAAAGAAAGAGGTTTAATTGGACTTACAGTTCCATGTGGCTGGAAAAGCCTCACAATCATGGCAGAAGGCAAGGAAGGGCAAGTTATGTCTTACATGGACGGCAGCACGCAAAGAGAACTTGTGCAGGAAAACTTCCCCTTATAATAGCCATCAGATCTCTTGAGACTTACTATCATGAGAACAGCATGGGAAAGACTTGCCCCCATAATTCAATTACTTTCCACTGGGCCCTCCCACAACATGTGAGAATTCAAGATGAGATTTTGGTGGGGACACAACCAAACCATATCAACTTCTTTACTTACTAATATGCATTTAAGGTTTCTAAGTGCTTTTCATGTCTTGATAGCTCATTTCTTTTTAGTAGTGAATAATATTCCATTGTCTGGATATACCATATTTTATTTATCCATTTACCTCCTGAAGGGCATCTTGGTTGGTTCTAAGTTTTGGCAATTATTAATATAGCTGGTATAAATATCTCTTTGCAGGTTTTGGTGTAGACATAAGTTTTAACTACTTTTGGTAATTACCAAGGAGCACAACTGCTGGACTGTATGGCAATGGTATGTTTAGTTTTGTAAGAAGCTGCCAAACTGTCTCTTAAAATGGCTGTACCATTTTGCATTCTCACCAGTAATAAATGAGATTTCCTGTTGTTCCACATGCTCATCAGCATTTGATGTTGTTGGAGGTCTGGAACTTGGGCATTGGAATAGAAGTGTCAGGGTATCTCATTGTTTTAATTTACGTTTTCCCAATGGCATATGATAAAAAGCATCTTTTCATATGTTCATTTGTCATTTGTGTATCTTCCTTGGTGAAGTGTCTGTCAAGGTCTTTGGCCCATTTTTTAATCAGGTCGTTTGTTTTCTTATTATTGAATTTTAAGTCTTCTTGTATATTTTGGATAACAATTCTTTTTTTTTTTTTTTTTTTGCAAATACTTTCTCCCACTCTCTGGTTTTTCTTCTCATTTTCTTGACATTGTTTTTTACAAGGTAGAAATTTAAATTTTTATGAAGCTCAGTTTATTATTGATTTCTTTCATGGACCATGCATATTGTGTTGCATTTAATGACTCATTCCCATGCTGAAAGTCATCTAGGTTTTCTTCTATATTATCTTTTGGAGTTTTACAGTTTTGCATTTTACATTTAGGTTTATAATACATTTTGAGTTAATTTTTGAAGACTGTAATGTCTGTGTCTATATTCATTTTCATATGTATATATATTTTTTGCCTGTGGATATCCAGTTGTTCCTGCATCATTTGTTAAAAAGACTATCTTTGCCCCACTGTATTCCCTTTGTTTCTTTATCAAAAATCAGTTGACTTTGTGTATGCAGGTATATTTATAGGTTCTCTATTCTGTTCCATTGATCTATTTGTCTCTTCTTTCATAAATGACACACTTTCTTAATTAATGTAGCTTTATGTTAGGCTTTGAAATTAGGTAATGTCAGTCCTTTGATTTGTTCATGTCTTTCAGAATTGTGTTTGTTATTCTGGTTTTTTGCCTTTCCATATATGCTGTAAAAAGAATTCATCAGAGTCCCTCCAAAAATCTTGCTGGACTTTTGATTGTTATTACACCGAACCTGTAGATCAAGCTGGGAAGGATAAACATTTTGACTATATTGAGTCTTCTTATTTATGAACATGGAATTCTTCATTTCTGTAGTTGTCCTTTGATTTCTTTCATCAGAGTTTTATAGTTTTCTTTATGTAGATCTTGTAAATATTTTGCTAGATTTATACCTACATATTTTACCTTTTGGGTGCCAATGTAATTGTTTTCTGTTTTTAGCTCAAATTCCACTTGTTTATTGCTGGTATATAAGAAAATGAATATGTATATAATGTATATAATAATAAATAATTACTTATATACAATATATCATATTTTATATGTTAACCTTGCATCCTGCAACGTTGATACTATTGCTTACTAGTTCCAGGAGTTTTCTTTTTGTCAATTCTTTTGGATTTTTTTATGTTGATGATCATGTCATCTGGGAAGAAAGTTTTATTTTTTCCTGCCCAATCTGTATAGCTTTTCTTTTCTTGTCTTGTCTTATTGCAGTAGCTAGGACTCCTGATATGATGCTGAAAAGGAGTAGAGAGAAGGGACATCCCTTTCCTGATCTTAGTGAGAAAACTTCAGTTTTCTCATTATCAGGTATGATGTTAGCTGTAGGTTTTGGTAGACACTGTTTACTGTATTGAGAAAGTTCTTCTCTATTCTTGTTTTACTGAGTTTTTTTTTTGTTATGATTAGGTGTTGAATTTTCCTAAATGCTTTTTCTGCATCATTGATAAGATCATGTGATTTTTCCTCTTTAGCCTGTTAATGTGATGAATTACATTAAATGACTTTCAAATCTGAACCAGTCTTGCTATTTGTTGCCCTTGTTCTTTGTTCTTATTCTGTCTTCCACTCTTTTTTTTTTTTTAATAATTCCTTTTCTGGTTTTTTTAAGGATTTTTTTTTTAATCTATGATTTTCTTTTTTCTTTTATTTTGGTGGTGGTGGAGGTGGGGACACAGTCTCACTGTGCCCAGGCTGGAGTATAGTGATGTGATCTTGGCTAACTACAGCCTCAACCTCTTGGGCTCAAGTGATCCTCCTGCCTCAGTCTCCAGAGTAGCTGGGACCACAGGCATGCACCACCACGTCCAGCTAATTTTTGTATTTTTTTTTTTTTTTTTTGTAGAGATGGGGTTTTGCCAAGTTGCCCTGGCTGGTCTCCAAATCCTGAGCTCAAGTGATTCACCCACCCTGGCCTCCTGAAGTGCTGGAATTACAGGCATGAACCACTGTGCCCAGCCTATCTATGATTTTCTATAATTTGAATAGGAAATATTTAGGTATTTTGTTTTGTTTTGGTATATATCTTGCTGTGTGTTCTCTGAGCTTCCTGGATCTGTGGTTTGGTGTCTGACATTATCTGGGGGGTAATTCTCAGTCATTGTCTAAAAAAAATCTTTTTTGATTAATTTCTCTCTTTCTTCTCTATCTGATATTCCCCGTATGTATATGTGATACTTTTTGCAACTGCCCTACAGTTTTTAGATTTTTTTCCATTTTTTCTTTTGTCTTTGTTTTCTTTGCTTTTCAGTTTTAGATGTTTCTACTGATCTGTCCTTAATCTCAGAAATTCTTTCCTTGGCTGTGTCCCGTCTACTAATAAGCTGATCAATGATATTCTTCATTTCTGTGACAGTATTTTGATCTCTAGAAATTTTTTGTTCTTTCTTAGGATTTCCATCTCTGTTACATTGCCCATCTGTTCTGGCATGCTGTCTACTTTATTATTAGAGCTCTTAGCATATTTGTTTTAAATTCCTGGTCTGATAATTCCAACACCCCCGATGTGTTTCTCTGATGCTTGCTCTGTCTCTTCAGATTGTTTTTGCCTTTTAATATGCCCTGTAATTTTTTTCTTGATAGCCAGACATGATGTACTGGGTAAAAGGAACTGCTGTAAATATGCTGTTAGTGCTGTGGTGGTAAGGTGTGTGGGGAGGGGAAGTGTTCTATAGGCCTACAATTTGTTCTCAGTCTTTGAGTGAGCCTCTGGGCTGTAAACTTCTCCAGTGTTTCTTAGTCTCCCTCACTCCTCACACACCCTTTAGCTGGGAAAGAACTCAAGGGTGGGCTGAAGTTGGGTATTTCTCTTCCACCAGGTCAGTTAACCTCTGATAAAACCCCAACAGGTTAGGCTTTGGTTAACTGGTTTCTCCTGAGGGCAGAACTTTGTTAAGGACAGAGTGCTGCAGTGTATTTCAGAATTATTCCTTTTCCTCTATCCATGCTGGAAGTGCAAGGGGATTTTTCTGTGATATTTACTGTGGAAGCCTGGTCAAGTTGCTGAAGATAAAACTTATAAAAGTGTGGCCCCAGCCTCCCCACCCCATGACTCAGCCTTCCTGGAGTTTTTGACTCTCAGACTTGTCCTTTCTGAGCCTAAAACAGTTTTCAAAATACAGTTGAGGTTTTCCTACCTCAGCAATGGTTCCCATAAATGCTTCTGCTTCTGAGTCTTTGTTCCAGTAAGCCACGACTCCCTGCATTCACCTAATTGTCCAATCCTGGGGGCAGTGGTATGCCCGATGTCCTCACCTTTATTATGGATCCAAGATGAATTGTTGAATTTTCAGTCTGTTCTGCTTTTTACTTATTAGGAGTGAGTGGCAACTTTAAAGCTCCTTACATGCAGAACCAGAAACTAGAAATCATCTGTTATTGTCTTTTTAATATAAATTTTGAAGAACATTCTCTATATTAAGAAAACTTGTCATATAACCATCATATAATGTATACCTATATCTTCTTAAAAAGTGTATTATCATTTTGACTTTACTTATGATCTTGTTTGTCATGCAGAATTTAAAAAATACTATATAGTCAAATTTATCAAAACTTTTTTCATGGACTGTGAGTTATAAGCCCTGCTTAAAAATCCATACCACTCCAAAATGGTAAAATTTTATACTGTATTTTCTTTAGTTTTTCAGACTTTTTTGTATTTAAATTTTTAATAAGAGTGTGTATGTAAAAAATGAGGTTGATGTCCAGGGATTTTTATTTTTCTTATTTTTTTGGTTCATTTTGAGGCTGCCACTCATGCTCAACATCCTTTTCTGAATAACTCATTTTTCTTCATTGATTTAAAATGTTATATTTGTCCATTTTCCACGTTTCTTATTTTTCGCTATTAAGGTTTTCAACTTAAGCATTAAAAAAATCCAAAATGGATTGTTTATTGTTAATGGTGCATAATACCAATAGCTTACTGAATATGAGAGTAATATGCAGCCAGTCATCACTGAGCTCATGCTAGAAATAAGTATGGGATTATGATGTGAATAGAAGGAATGTTACTAGAAATGGAGAAAGAGATAAACTGTGAGAGTGTGTAGTGAGGTGTCACCTAAGGCAATGTAAACTATATGCCTGTAATCTCAAACTTGTCAGTTGTTTCCAGTTGAGAGGACTCAGACAAAGCAGTAGAAAATCATGCTCATAAATTGTTCACTGAGTAAGAAGTAGACAACCAGCTTTGGAAAACAATGACAACTTGGTATCTTCTTTGTTCTTCTTGAAGAGGAGAAATTAAATAGTCAACACTTGGTTTTAGAGTTCTGACAAGTTCCAACTAGTTGAAATGCCTTGGAATTTGCAGCTACTTCAAGTTTGGGATGCTGTCATTGTTCTGGAAGAAGATTTTTGAATTTTTTCTGTTACCACATATGCTCCTTGATGATGTTTAGTTATATCCACTGTGGAAACTATCATAGCTCTCTGAGAATGTTGTTGAAAATTGATTATATTTCAAATATAGTGCCCCTAATTTAAGCCGAATGAGTATGGACAGGTCTTTTTTGCTGAGATTTCTTCTTCCTGCCTCTCCCTCTCCTTCACCCTCTTGTTCCTCTCTCTGTCCTCTGTCCTCTTTTCTTTCTCTTCCTTGACTTTGCTGGACTGATTCCATGATCCTTTCCTGAAGTAAGCATCTCTGGGGGATCAACCCTTACTTTGGACTACAATG
This sequence comes from Homo sapiens, assembly GCF_000001405.40. Lineage (NCBI taxonomy): Eukaryota > Metazoa > Chordata > Mammalia > Primates > Hominidae > Homo > Homo sapiens. Next base: position 21,822,858 of record NC_000014.9, read on the forward strand.
CCATTGCCATCAATATTTAAAAGTAATCTCACCATAAGATACCATCTCACACCAGATAGAATGGTGATTATTAAAAAGTCAGGAAACAACCGATGCCATTGAGGATGTGGAGAAATAGGAATGCTTTTACACTGTTGGTGGGAGTGTAAATTATTTCAATCATCGTGGAAGATGGTGTGGCGATTCCTCAAAGATCTAGAACCAGAAATACCATTTGACCCAGTAACCCCATTACTGGATATATACCCAAAGGATTAGAAATCATTCTACTATAAAGACACACAAACATATGTTTATTGCAGCACTATTTACAATCGCAAAGACTGGGAACCAACCCAAATGCCCATCAATGATAGACTGGATAAAGAAAATGTGGCACATGTACACCATGGAATACTATGCAGCCATAAAAAAGAATGAGTTCATGTCCTTTGCAGGGACATGGATGAAGCTGGAAGCTATCATTCTCAGCAAACTAACATAGGAATAGAAAATGAAAAACCAGCCAGTCACAGTGGCTCATGCCTATAATCCCAGCACTTTGGGAGGCCAAGGTGGGTGGATCACCTGAGGTCAGGAGTTCAAGACCAGCCTGGCCAACATGGTGAAACCCCATCTCTACTAAAAATACAAAAAATTAGCTGGGCGTGGTGGTGGGTGCCTGTAATCCTGGTTACTTGGGAGGCTGAGGTAGGAGAATCACTTGAACCTGGGAGGTGGAGGTTGCAGTGAGCCGAGGTCATGCCATTGCACTCCAGCCTGGGCAGCAAGAGCAAAACTCTGTTTAAAAAAAGAAAAAAAGAAAAGAAAACTGAACACCGCATTTTCTCATTCACAAGTGGGAGGTAAAAAATGAGAACACATGAACACAGGGAGGGAACATCACACACCGGAGCCAGTCGGGGGTTAGGGGGAGAGCAGAGGGAGAGCATTAGGACAAATACCTAATGCATGTGGGGCTTAAAACCTGGATGATGGGTTGATAAGTACGGCAAACCACCATGGCACATGTATACCTATGTAACAAACCTGCACGTTCTGCACAAGTATCCCAGAACTTAAAAAAAAAAAAAGTAATCTCATTGTAAAGGAAAGCAGCTGTTCACAAGAGCATATAAAACTAACAATGGATCTATATTATTTAGGTTCACGCAGATTTAAGACTGTGATGTCTACATGCAACTCTCTGTATATATCTATCTGTATTGATAGAGATATGTACATATCTATATCTGTATCTATCTATCTATATAGAGAGATTTATTTTAAGGAATAGTTTCACACAATTTTAGGGGCTGGGAAGTCCAACTTCTGCAGGGCAGGTCGTCAGGCTGGGCAACCTGGGAATCACTGATTTTGCAGTTTGAGTTTGAAGACAAGTCTGGAGGCATAATTTCTTCTTCTTTGGAGAGCCTAAGTGTTTTTCCCTTAAGACCTTCAACTGATTGAATGAGGTCCATTCACATTATGCAGAAAATCTGCATTACTCAAAGTCTACTGATTCAAATATTAATCTCATCTAAAAACACCTTCACAGTGACATCTAGACTGATGTTGGACCAAATATCTGGGTACTGGGGCCTATCTCAGTGGATGCATAAAATTAGCCATCACACGGTCTTTACCTCTAGCAAATCTTTTCCAAAAGCCTACTTTGCTTATACAACTATAATATACCAACTTTCTTTTTATTGTTTCTTGTATAACTATTTCCATTCTTTCAACTTCTCTGAGCTTTAAATTTCAAACTTAAAATAAATCCTCATATATCTACACTCTCAACTGTTCATAAGCTTCTTATTTCACTGAGAAAATAGAAACAATCAGAAGAGAATTTTCAAAAACTTCAACACTTACCAGTCACTTGCATCTATGCTCAAATACTCTGTCTTTCCTCTCATTAGAATGTCATCCCCTGTGTGCAGGGACTTTGCTTATTCTCAGCACTTATCATCATACCTGAAAATGTAGGCATTTGAAAAATAATTGTTGAATTAAAAATGAATAATAAAAATAACTCTGTCATTACCAGAACAAAACTATCATTTATTCATTCCCTCAATAAAAATTTATTATATGCCTATTTATTGACAGGCCTTATTCTAGCAACTGACAATGTAGCAGAGAATAGAACAGATAAAAGTCCCTATCCTAAGGGAGCTTATATTTCAGTTGAAGGCTAAGTTCATGTTAGCCACTACAATAAGCCTTTACATGAATCATCTCTTCAATCTTTCAAAAATTGTTAGGTAAGTGTTATCATACCTATTTTCAGATGAGAAAGCTAAGGCTCAACTCTCCTATTTAATATCACATAGAGCCAGAATGCAGAGCTTCAAATATATGTCTAAATTACTAATCTACTGTGCTGATATAGACATGAAGGGCTTTATCCTCTATATCATGCTGCAAATAGGAGGAAAAAAGCTTGATCAAAAGTTCTAAGCAATTGTAGCTCTGACCCCAAGAGGGCAGTATTTGCATTCGCCCCGCCTGCAGGTCTGAATGTGTAGTATGTGTAACATAGCGAAGCCTGGTCTCTGATTGGCTAGGGATACCCTCTGAGAAACCCTTTGGTTAGTGTTAAAAAAAAAGAGAAGATGTTGAATACACAAGTCAACTTCTGGGAGCAGATCTCTGCAGAATAAAAATGAAAAAGCATCTGACGACCTTCTTGGTGATTTTGTGGCTTTATTTTTATAGTAAGTTAGTGGAGAGTTTTAGCAAAGTTAACATAGTAAGTCAAGGGAATATTTTCTTAGGATTTGGGGTGAAGATGTAGTCCACTGGGATAGGAGGAAGGGAGAAAATGGGACCATTTTCTGTTTCACTTGGGATTCATTGTGGGGAGTAAGGAAGGGATGCAAATTAGACAGTATTAATACTGGATGATGGATCTCTTGAATCTCACTTTTCTTTCTGAATAGGGGGGAATGGCAAAAACCAAGTGGAGCAGAGTCCTCAGTCCCTGATCATCCTGGAGGGAAAGAACTGCACTCTTCAATGCAATTATACAGTGAGCCCCTTCAGCAACTTAAGGTGGTATAAGCAAGATACGGGGAGAGGTCCTGTTTCCCTGACAATCATGACTTTCAGTGAGAACACAAAGTCGAACGGAAGATATACAGCAACTCTGGATGCAGACACAAAGCAAAGCTCTCTGCACATCACAGCCTCCCAGCTCAGCGATTCAGCCTCCTACATCTGTGTGGTGAGCGCACTGTGCTCCACAGGCACTTGAAGCCAGTATGCAAACCTGCACCTGGAGGTTATCAAGGAGGCATAGGAGTTAGAGTAGACCGTTATTTTTTATGCAGAATATGATTTCACTAGTGAATATTTATCTCTCCGACATGATTTGATTTGAGCTTGAGCCTAAAGTTCTACTTAGGCTCAAGTAGAATACATGTCCTCAAGCGAGGATAAAGACATTCTCACTCAACACACAAAGTTAATTGCTACATCTGGGTGTTCCCAAGGGCAAGACAGTCTGTCATGCTGTGTTACTATTGCTGAAGTAGATGACAGTGTTGTTTGGAAGGGAGAGACTAGCTTGGTTTTTGATCTGGACACCTACCAGCAGAATGTCAACTAAGTGAAAGAGCAACAAGTTTATGTGGCTGATGGAAATTTTTTTTTTTTTTTTTTTTTTTTTTTGAGATGGAGTCTCACTCAGTCGCCCAGGCTGGAGTGCAGTGGCGTGATTTCGGCTCACTGCAAGCTCCACCTCCCGGGTTCATGCCATTCTCCTGCTTCAGCCTCCTGAGTAGCTGGGACTACAGGCGCCCACCACCACGCCCGGCTAATTTTTTTGTATTTTTAGTAGAGATGGGGTTTCACCGTGTTAGCCAGGATGGTCTCGATCTCCTGACCTCGTGATCCACCCATCTTGGCCTCCCAAAGTGCTGGGATTACAGGCGTGAGCCACTGCTCCTGGCCGGAAATATCTTGAGAAGTTTCCTTCCCCTGAAAGACATTCAGTTGTCATTTCATGGCTATTCAAGTTCTCAGAAAGCATCCTGTGAGAATAAATCTGCTCTTCCCATTTAGCTATGCTCCAGATCAAGGCTTTTGTCCAGGTGCTGCATCAACTCTTTATTATCTTCCATCACTGCTCCTTTAGAGGACACTGGAAGGCCAGGGGATCCTGGCAGACACAGTCACTCTCAGGCAGCAGAACAACTGTGCCAGGCTTTTCAACCATCAGTGTTCTAGAAAAGAGACTTAGGGACAGAATGCCTACCTGCAATTGTGAACTCTGGTTTTCACAACTTAGCTGTGAAGTTCTTTTTGGGACAATTAGAGAAATGTACATATAATTTGAGAATTAGATGAGAAAAGTACTTATTTAAAAGGCAGATATCAACTGTAAAAAAATGGGAAGAATATATACTAAGATATTAAAAATGGTAATCCTTGTATTGTGGGAATATAATGTTTTTACTTTTTATCTTTCCTTGTCTTCTGTACTTTTAATTTTCTATAGTTCTCGGATTTTTCTTCTGTCAAAATAAAGATTATTAAAAAATAACAAATGTCTTAAAAAATTTAAAGGAATGCATCTCATCTGTCACTATCAACTCACAGGAATTGATATTTAAAGATGATCACACATTTCAGGATATTGTTGAATAAGATTGATTTGTTATGCTTATGAGCACTGCAAGTAAGTTCATTTCCAAGTTCAGTGAATTGATAATTTGTGAATAAATGAAGCCAGGACCTGGACTGTTCTTTGTAACTAGTCTGGAGATAGCTCAAGTGTCAAGACATCAAAATGCCTTGACTTCTGGAGCAAAAAGTAAACCTAGATATATTCAGTAATCAGATATTTTTTCCTGTCCTGTATCTCCTTTCAAGTCTTTAGAGTGAAGAAATTAAAGTTCAGATTGCTGCTACAGCAGACTTGTGTGAGTAATCATAAACTAATTGAGGAAAAAGATAAAATACATGAAAATGGAATCAATAGGTAAAATTCCAAGTACGTGGACAAATAAGTTTTAAAGGTATTCTCAGGAGGAGATTACTGTGGGACAGAAAAGATAGGAGAAAGTATCATGGGGAATAGCAAATTTAGTTAGGTCTTGAAGGAGAGACACACATTGAATTTGTTCATTACACAATTATTTATTAAACAAATAATGAGGCCAGGTGCCGTGGCTCATGCTTGTAATCCCAGCACTTTGGGAGGCCAAGGTGGGCGAATCACTTGAAGTCAGGCATTCGAGACCAGCCTGGCCAACATGAAGAAACCCTGTCTCTACTAAAAATACAAAAATTAGCCAGGCATGGTGGCATGCACCTGTAATCCCAGCTACTAGGGAGGCTGAGGCAGGAGAATATCTTGAACCCAGGAGGCGGAGGTTGCAGTGAGCTGTGATTGCACATCTGCACTCCAGCCTGGGCGATGGAATGAGAGTCTGTCTCAAACAAAACAAAACGAAATAAAAAACAAATAATAAGTGACAGGTGTTTTTGTAGGTAGAAGGAGTAGGGTAATAAACAAAATAGATAAATGCAGACACAAAAGACCTTCCATTACGAGGCTTGAGTCTATGTTTGTCTATTGCGTTCACTTTCTTTTACAGGAATATCTTGGGAAGTTTGCATTCCAATATAGGCATTTCCTTGCTTGCTTTAGTTTAGTTTAGTTTGCAGGTTTCATATGGTGAGTAAAAGGCACAGGCATTGAAATGCTCTATCTATCACTTACTAAATTGCATTACTCTGGACAAAATTACATAACTTCAGAGCACCTACGCGCCATCAATGGTAATTACACGTACATCACATGGTCATAAGGATTGAATTAAGTTAAGTGAATTTAATTAAATGATTGAATTGCATTGGTAGAAAATAATTTTTCAACTAATGGTAGTTATTCTTGGACATAAATGATAAAACAAAGGTAATTTAAAATAAGACAATAAGAAACTTTAAGTATAGATTAAGGTTTGCCTTTCCACTCTTCTTCTGTTGATTATATTCTTTTACTACAGTTATGGCCGAGAGTCACCCTTTATTTCACATTGGCCTTATTCCATTCAATTATTTGAACTGACAGTATTGGCTTTCTTGTTTGTTTGTTTGTTTGTTTGTTTTTATCTCATAGGTTTTCTGCACAGAAAATGAAGCTTTCTTGCTTCCGGTGTAATTTAATGTAAATTCTATGATGAATCCACATGAGCTTTATGGAGCAGGACTCCGATATAACACCATTATACTGACCTACAGTGCCAATAACTAGATCCATACCCAGGAGCTCATTTAACAGAGCTCTGCATTGGAAAGGAGAGAAAGTAACCTTTCTAGGTTTGGGGGAGAAATCCTTTTTAGTTATTCAATTTATAACTTGTACATACATGGTAGATGCCCAGGAAGTATTACAGAAGAAAAAAGGAAAGAGAAAAATCTAAGGGACAAATGCTAGATGCAGCTGACTGAGAATCAGCACCTGGTTCTGCCAGGGTCCTTTTCCATGCTACCTCTTCAGAGATCAGGAGGAGCTGTGTGATCTGTGCACCGGGGAGTAAATCTTGTTTCTGGCTGGTTGGGGAGACTTTCAGCTTCCTGCAACAAAGAACTATGAATGTTAACTCAGAGAAACCAGAGATTTGGCTTGATAGTGTTTGAGGGCTCCCAGACCCCAGCCAGAGACCTCACTGAGTCTAAGTGATAAAAACGGAGAAGCCCTTGGGAGTTTCATTCTTGATTTCCTCCTGGCAGCTGTGCTGTGAGTTGCTGGGCTCTGGAAATATCATAAAAAAGAGCAGATTGTAGTTTCTTCTTTATAAGTCTGGAAGTTATAGAAGGGTGGTTAGGGTCTCAGTGCTCACCTGTGGGGGCTGTGAAAAGAGAGTATATCTTCCAAATGAATGAATTTCCGTGAATGAATGTCCTCTGTCTGTGGTTCTCTGTTTAAACAGGGGTGAATAGACTACATACACTGGAGCAGAGTCCTTCATTCCTGAATATTCAGGAGGGAATGCATGCCGTTCTTAATTGTACTTATCAGGAGAGAACACTCTTCAATTTCCACTGGTTCCGGCAGGATCCGGGGAGAAGACTTGTGTCTTTGACCTTAATTCAATCAAGCCAGAAGGAGCAGGGAGACAAATATTTTAAAGAACTGCTTGGAAAAGAAAAATTTTATAGTGTTTGGAATATCGCAGCCTCTCATCTGGGAGATTCAGCCACCTACTTCTGTGCTTTGCAGTAGTGTCTCCCCAGCACCTGCAGCCTGTACCATAACCTGCAGCCGGGACCCTTGACACAGGCTAGCCTTGCAGGTGGGAGTGAAGATTTTTTTTTTTTTTTGTATAGAGGGAACTTTCTTTATGACCCGCATCTCCAAAATAGAAGTGAAGGATAATGTATCTTTCTTATGTAATGAAACTGAATTTATATTAAATTAAATTTCCTTTTGTTATTATTTAAATTTCATTCCTTGATGCAGTTTGTACAGATTCTGAGCCTGTTTGCCCACAGATTCCTTCCACTGCTTTACTCTTTAAGAGGAAAGACCCCTTTGTGGTGCAGGCTCTGAGTCCATGAAGCAAGTTTTCTCCAGGCTATACCCTCATCAGGAACATTTTACCCATTTGATCATATCTTCATGATGTTTTTGTACCATCTATACCATTATTTACTTAATTTAATATTAAATTGATGTTTATGTTAAATAGACTTTAAAAATAACTGTAAAATTGTCTTCATTTTACCAGATACCATCTGTGAAACCATGTATATGATATAAATAATATATTTAAAGTGCTGCTTATATTTTTCCCAATATAAATTAAAATAGCATCATATATGTAACAATTGAAAAGGCTGTCTGTATACTGCCTAATAGGACCTCTTGTATCAATCACACTTTAAGAAATACTGATCCAGCCCATACCCCTCATTTCATAAATGAAAGAATTGAGATCCACAAGTATGGTATCATTTACTCAAGCACGACTTACAGTAAAATGAAAGCTATAAAAAGAGTCTAGGCTTTATGATCCCTTGTCAGTTGCTTCTTCCACCAATGATGCAAAGCAGGATCTAAAGTTTGAAGAAAAGAGTTGCGTGTTTTACATTTAAATTAAATTAAAAGTTTTATTTAATTGTGTATGTTCAACCTAGGTAAATTAGAAGATACGACTACCTATCAAAGTAGAGCATTCTCATAACTTCATCGCCTAGAAATAACAAGTATTTATTTTTCAAATTTTCTTGTATACATATACAACTACATTTCTCTATGAATGGGGCTGATAATGTCCCCAGTATTTATTAATGTGCTTGCTTCTCTCAACATTATAGATATTTCCATGCCAGGGATCTTATATTGAGGATATAATTTTAAATGACTGTCTAGTTTTCATTATATATTTTTTAAAAAGTGAATCACCTTTTGATAATATTTCTAATTATCCAGTATTATAGACAATGTTTTTATTAACATCATTCAAGTCACAGCTTTCACAGAATGGAGTTGGGTGAATAAGGGAAAACACATAACACTGCATATCTAATTTTCAGGAAGAAATTTTTCACCAAATTGTGATTCCAACAATAGCATGTAATGCTTTTTGTTTTCCATACTTTCTTTACCTGTTATGAACATTATTACTTGAAAGAAGTTTCCACTTTGCCAAGTAAAATTTTTAAATGTTTTGACTCTTTTACTCTATGAAGTTATACATTTGTTATTAAAAATAAATGAAACAGGATTAGAAAACATACAGAGTAAGAGTGTTTCACACAACATAAGTATCTTCATACAATAAGATATGTTAAAGAAGAACTTTGAAAAACACTCTCATGGTCCCATTTACCTTCCAATGTTCTCTTTCCTTTCAAGGCTATCTATTCTCCACGTCGTTCCTACTGTAAGTGTGGACCAGCACTATCTGAACTTGTGCGGAATCTCAGGCTGACTGAATTTGAATCTGCATTTTAACAGACCAACCGTGTCATTCTATCCTTCAAAGTTTGAGAAGCACCCCTTTCATGGGGTGCCAGAATGATTTTTTACAATATAAAGTAAAAGCTGTCTCTACTAGCCCAAAAATGCTTCAATGGCTTTCTATTGCTTCTAGAATAAAAATGCAAATTTCAGGCTGTGCTACACAAAGATATGTATCATGTGAACCTCCTTTTCAATCTCCCCTTTTAACTCTCCTAGCTCTCTATGTAGCAATAACACTATTCTCCTTTCAGTATTCTGAACTTGCCATGTTCTTTTCCACATTTAGTCAAACTCGTCCATTTGAAATGCTCTTCCTCCAAATATGGGCAAGCCCAATTCATTTTCACATTTCAGATCTCAGCTCAAGTACACACTATATAGATAAAGACTTCTGACTTCTGTTGATCTTCGTGACTAACGTAGCCATCCATGGCTCTCCCCACAGCTTTATCACAAAACCCTAGTTATTTCCCTTATGGTAATAATCATAACATCTAGTTATAATGTTGATTTACATGCCAATGTGTTCATTGCCTAAACTTCCAATTAGGATACAACTTCTATGAGGTCAGGGATATTGTTTGTTTAATCACACCTTTAACTTTAGTGCCTACCTTTAGTGACTGCCCCATAATAGTCAGTGAAAAAATATCTTCTGCATGTGGCTGGGCGTGGTGGCTCATGTTTGTAATTCCAGTACTTTGGGAGGCCGAGGTGGAAGGATCAGTTGAGGTCAGGAGTTAAGGACCAGCCTAGGCAACATAGTGAGACCCTCATCTCTACAAAAAACAAAAATAAAATATTAAATGAGTGTGGTGGCATGCGCCTGCAGTCCTAGCTACTCAAGACGTTCAGACAGAAGGATATCTTGAGCCCAAGAGTTGGAGGCTGCAGTGAGCTATGATGGTGCCACTGCACTTCAGCTCTGGGTGACAAAGCAAGACCTCATCTCTTAAAAAATAAAATAAAATAAAATAAAAAAGAACTATATACAGAATGAATAAATGAATGTTGCTTGGCCTTGCGTTCTTTTTTCCTTTCGCTTTCTTCTCACTCCCATCCTAGCAAATCTGAACTTCGTGTATGTGCTCCCTGCTCAGATATCTGGTAGAGTTCTTTAATGCTGGCACTTACCCCTTGTCTCCGGACCAGGCCTTCCTATGCTCAGTGAACTCTGTCAAATAACTAGATCAACTCAGGGTCTCAATCTGTCCTCACTCAATTGACATCAGGTGTAATCTGAATGAACCGAGCAAACTCTAAACATAATCCCACAGTAAAACATCTGAAAGAAAAAAAAGGTATACTTAAAAGATGTTGGAAAGTATGAAATCAACTTCCCAAATCAAATAAATGATAAGCACATGTCAAAGTTTAATCTCAAATTATTGCAAGAGAAAAATTGCATCAGGAAACACATTCAAATAATTGGACTAAGTAGAGACATTTTATAGAAACTAGGTTTTTTTTTAAAGTCAATTTAAAGATAATTATTATGGTCAAATTATTATTGGTTCATAATGACTGTACTCTGTGTAGTGGTTGTTAGACTCATCATGAGATTAATAGTCATCTGAGATTATAACACTAATATCTCAGAATGAGTCTTTATTTTAGTAAAGAATATCAGAAAATTGATCAAATATTTGATCAGGTATGATAGTTAATTCCCATATGGGGCTATACATTTTATCCTTCAAAAAAGTTTCATTCAAGACCAGTTTTGGGAAATTTATTGTTGTCAAAAGTAATTCAAACCAAGTGTGGTGATGTGTGCCTGCAGTCCCAGGTACTCAGGAAGCTGAGGTGGGAGGATCCCTTGAGCCCGGGAGTTCAAGTCCAACCTGGGCAATATAGTGAAACCTCTTCTGTCTTAAAAAAAAAAAAAAAGGTAATTCAAGTCTTTAGTCTTTACTATAATGGAGAGGAGGGATTTGTCAGGTTTTGGATGTTTTCCCTTCCTACAAGTTACTAATCTTGTTTGATTGAGGCTACAGTAAATATATGAAACTACTTAGAGACAAAGGATTTTGTTACTCATGACACAGCAAACAGCATAAACATTGTTATATTCACTTCAGTCGTTCTTTCCCTTAAATCTAAAAAAGATGATATGTATGCTGACGAATACTTTGTTTGAAGTGGTACTGTGTCATAACTGAGGAACTTTGAGCTCGGAGAATTCACTGCTTTTATAGTAAGGAGTAAACCAAATTGCTCTTTGTCTCAGAGGGAAACAGTACCTCACCCCTCAAGGTTTCTTGCTGCAAGCATAACTCTGGAAATTGGTCAGGTAGAGTGGTCATGGTCGTAAACCACTGGCATACCTAGCAAGACATTTATGAGTATAAGAGATTAAGGATGGTCTGGTTTTCAACAATATCCACTCCATATTCTTACATTGTGTTATTTTCTAGAAACTTTTCTCATGAGTGTGCCACTCCAGAAGCCGTTCTGATCAATTTGACAGACAGAGATTCCGAGACTAAATACATTGAATTTGCCTCAAACAATGTTTAAATAAGGCTACTATCAGCAGACCAATCTGCAACATTAACTTCACCCATTTAGTCAGCTGTGACAAAGTCCCAAAGTATAGATAACTAGGATATAATTTCTTATCCATTATACATGGAAGTTTAGATTGATACGCTAATCTTTGTTTTAATTCTCAAAAAGAGTCCAAAAAGTAGCCACCATTCCTAATGGAAAGATGTTCTGTCCCACCTATTCCCAGACATAAGCATAACCCAACAGGTTAATCCAGTTTGGAATTTATTGTTAAACTTGATTTGGATCAGCATTACATCACTTTTGTTGTAGGATCCTTGGGGTGTTGCTTTTCTGACCAGAAACCTCTGTGGTTGGTGGTGCCTTTACTCAAGTTTTGCATGGGCCCCCTGGACTCATTCCACTTACTTGGCCTGGAAGACTATGCTCAGCTCATGCTACCGGCCTGGATCTTATGCTTGCCAAGGGCGAGTCAGGCATGGAGCAGTAAGGGATGTGTGAGGAAGTGTGGGGTCTTGCCACTGCACAGTCAGACATGCTGGCTGCTGCAGTGAGGTGGGCAGTGCTGGCATGGGTGCCAGCTGTCTACAAGACTGAGGCTAGACCAGTTGCACTGCAAGCAGCATTGACTGCTGGCACTGGGGAACACGGTGGCACTCAAAAGCTTGGAGATGCCAGGAACCATAGGGTCCCAAAGAGGGGGGTCATAGCCCTGACTTGGGGAGCTCTCAGGTCTGGGCTTCCCACAGGGCCACAGCACTTCTCTCCTTTTTTTTACCCACAATGTGGCAAACACGGGACATGTTTCAGCCCTGTTTGTGGAACAGCTCTTTTAGCCCCACCATTTGATGGGTTCCAAGTTCTTGTCCTGCAACCAGGAAGAATGAGGTACACAGTCAAGTGGAGGGTGAGCAAGATGAAGTAGAGCTTTATTAAGTGATAGAACAGCTCAGAGGAGACCTGCATTGGGTAGCTTCTTTCCACAGCTAGGGTGTTCCAATGAGTGTTCAGCTCGTAGCAGAGAGGAGACCCTGGAGTGGGAAACTCCTCTCTGCAGGCAGGCTGTCCTGTTGTCTCTGTAGCTCTCAGCACAGAGGAGGCCCTGGGGTGGGTAGCTCCTCTCTGCAGCTGGTTGTCCCAGTGTCTGCAGCTCTCAATAGAGAGGAAGGCTTGTAGTGGTTAGCTCCTTTCTGCTGCTGGTCATCCTGAGGTCTGCTCAGCTCTGGCTGAGCCTGGGGCTTTTATGGGCCTCAGAAGGGAGGAAGTGCATGCCCAATTTATCCATGGGCAGCCATGGGCAGGCCCAGAAAAGGCACCACAAGTTCCCATTCCAGTCTGTGGGACTGGCAGCCTGACACCCAGCCTTCAGGCCCTCCTTGGCCTGAAGGTGTGACCTCACTGGGGACCCACCACTTCCACCCAGAAACCTGTCTGCCTCCTACTGTCATTCTTAGTGCCCAGATGGTAGGTGCCAAGGAGTGCCTTCAGGCCAGTGCCCCCTTGGCTTCCCTCTTATGCTTGTCAGTGCCCAAAATCTGGAGGGTGTCAAGGTGGCAGAGGGCTGGTGTGTGAACACTTCCCCTAGTGTGTGCACACTCTACTGTGCTGCAACAGTGCCTGGGCTTGGCCTCAACTTTGCTCTGAGATCAGAGTGGATGCTGACAACAAGGAGAAGCCAGGCAGTGAGAGTGGGTACTTCTGAGCCTGTGAAGGCAGGGAGGGCTTCCCAGGCCCTCAAGAGTACAGAGAAGCCTCGGTCCACAGCTGCAGTTTGGGAAGCTGTAGCTGCCCACAGAGGGAGGTTGAGGGGGCAATGCTCCTGCCTGCCCCATGGAGCAGAAGTCCTGGGTTTGCAGCCTTGACTTGGGTGGCTGCAGCTTCACTGAGAAGGGTGGGGCTCCTGCCTGCTCCTGGTTTCCCCAAGAGCATAGGGAGGCCTAGGTCTGCAGTCACGACTTGGGAAGCTGCAGCTGTGCCTGGAAGGGCAGGGTTCCCTCCTGCTCCTGGGCAGAGAAGACAGTGATGCCCCTGAAGCTGTGGCTTGGGCAGCTGCAGGGCACCTGGGGAGCTCCTGCTCCAACTCAGAAGGGGCAGGGCTCCTGCTTGTCCCTGGTTCCATGGAGTATGCAGCCCCAGCCATGCCTCCCTGCTGTGATAGTAGTGGCCACTCCAGATGGCCCGCTGCTGCCATCACTTTTGTTAAGCTATATGAGCAGTGCCATTGAGTATTTGCAACCTCTGTAGCCATTCATGGCATAACCCAAGACTTTTCAGACATCAGGAGAAGCATATACATTTGTATGAGTCAGATTGAGACAAAGTTGTACTGATTTCTATGTTTGTACACAGACAAGGATGAAGAATCTATGTTGGGAAGCTGCTATTGATGTATGTATTGCAGAAATTTTCAGGACAGGCCATATTCACAGGAGTTTTACTATTTCAAGGAATGTGGAAGAAGATGACAAACCAAGAGCAGATTGGATAGCCAGCTGCAGCTGCCGCTTGGCTCCAGCAGACCATATAATTGTCTTGCTAGGCTGTGGTGCTTGACCTAGAATACAAAGAGTGAATTAATTCTCCGCTCCTCCACCTCCCGGTCTAAGATTTTCCCTTCCTAGGTGCCAGTGTTATTGCTCTTTGTCCACCATCACAAAATCGGTTCATCCCATTCTAGTAGCTATAACTTTGCCTTTTTTTTGTAGTCAGTTCCTAGTCACACCAAAATCATTTGCCTAGAACAAATAGAAAGAGGAACAGGCATTTGTATGACATTTACAGAGATTCATCATAATTACCACCTTGGCCTTCCTGGAAAACTGAACGGGAACTTGTAAAGCTGTGCACTCAAATAAATGCTGGTTATCCTCATGATGTAAAATCATGTTTAACCAAGAAAAGAATATAGGTGGCTGAACTGGAATTCAATATTAATACCATTCTGACAATGTTGCTGCCTGGAGAGTGTACCAACCAGGCTGTTCTAAGGTCGCTGTTCGGAGAAAGAAAGAAGCATCATGCCTTTCACTTCTAGAATGTTAGAGGAGGTGTACTTTTTTCTATTACTGTTAGATACAGCTAAAAATTCTGGACATTATAGATGTTCCTTGAATTGAAATGAGATTACTTCCCAGTAAACTGATTGTAGTTTAAAATACCATAGGTATAAAATGCATTTAATACATCTTATATACTGGACATCATAAGATTTCCTATCCTATGTTAATCATGCTCAGAACACTTACATTAGCCTATGGTTGGGCAAAATCATCTAACACAAAGCCTATTTTATAACAAAGTGTTGAGTATCTCATCTAGTTTATTGAATAAAGTACCCAAAGAGAATAATAGAAAGGTTGTATTGGTACACAAAGTGCAGTTTGTTCTGATTGGGTATTGCTTTTGCACCATGAAAAAAATCATAAGTCAAGTCATCATTAAGTTAGGGACCATTTGTATATAAAATCAAAAGATAAAAAGTTTCTAAAAGATAGAGAGAAAAAGCCAGATTGTCTAAGAAATTTAGGACCTGAACAATGCTAGAACAGTGAGTTTCATGAGTTTCCTTTTGCCTCATACAAACCAGTGGCATCCAGGAGTAGCCAGTAACCTGGTAATGCCGGTGGGTACAGAAAAGAAATCCCAAAGAAATGCCGTTTTCTGTAGCCAAAGGACCAGGGAAAGGATTGACTATGAAGGCAGAAACTATAAGACCATAACCATTCTACTCTAGCCAAAGACCACAAAAAGTTTTATAGCAACCAAGCATACATTTAATCAACAAAAAGTTAACTGCAACGTAGCAGGAGAGATTTGTGATAGTGTAACTTTCTTTTGCTCCATCTTTCCATCACTGGCTTGAAAATAGTCTTTAAATGGCATCCGGCATTCCCAGTGTGGGTGTCTGGGGCTGGAGGAAGCAGAGTAGACCCGTTATCAAAGAATAGTGCCTGACTATGTTGACCTGTCAGGTGGTTTTCTGAAGGGCTAATTCAAAGGGCTTTCCTGTATTCATATAACTCAAAACCCTCTCAGAGTGGAGAAGAAGTGGCTATGCAGAGGAAATTTTAAAAAAAAATTGATAAAGGGACTCAGTAGCAGGAAGGAGAAAGAATCTGCAAATGTGAAGATAGGCCAATTGAAATTATTCAGTCTAAGAAGCGGAAGGGAAAAAAATTGAAGAGAGCTTAATAGACCTGCGGGACATTATAAAAAGTACAGCCATAAGGATAACAGGATTTCCAGAGTGAGAGGAAAGGAAAAAGCAGGGAGAATATTTGTAAAAATCATGACTCCAAGCTTCCCAAATTTGTTGGAAGACATGAACCTATACATCCAAGAAGTTCAACAAAGACCAAGTAGAAAAAAGGCAAAAAAAAAAAAATCTCATTGGGACACATTATAATCAAACTGTTTAAAGAAAAAGACAAATGGAGAATCTTGAAAGCTGCAAGAGATAAGTGATTAATCACATGGAAGAGATCTTCCAAAGATTAGCAGTCTATTGTTTATCAGAAACCATAGAAGCCAGAAGGCAGTGGGATGGCATATTTAAAGTGTTTAAAGAAAAAAAAATGTCAACCAACTATTTTGTATCAGGCAAAACTATTGTTCTAAAACAAAGGAGAAATTAAGACAGTTCCAGATAAACAAAAACTCAGAGTATTCATCACTTGCAGATTTGCCCTACAAGAAAATCTAAAGGGAATCTTTCAGGCAGAAAAGAAATGGCACTAGACAGCAACTTGGAGCCATGCAAAAATAATGAACAATGGTAAAGGTAGTTACATAGATAAGAATAAAGCCAATATTTTTGTAGTTTTTGTTTGTAACTCCCATTTTTTCCCTAACTTATTTAACAAACTAATACATAAACAATAATTATAATTATATTGTGGAAAATTATACAGAATAATCTCATTGTGTATAATGAGAACACAATGAGTCAAAGTGTGTTTTTCCATGTGTATAAAAATTTCCTTTGTCGCCGTTGTAATTTTTAACAGCACAACTTATGTATTTCAAATAGACACAAAATTAGTAGCATTTACAGTAGTATCTTAAGATAAATTGCCTTTGAATGAGATCTTGCTTTCAATACTTTGATGTCCACAAGGCATATCTAGAAAATTTTATGCTTTGGAAGATGAAGACTGCTTAATCCAACGGGGAAGGGGACTATGATTTCTCTTTGACTAGTTGCCATAACACTGTCCTTAAGGCATATGAAGGACTTTTATATGTTATTTAGACATCAGTAGGCACAGAAGCTTTGCAGTACAACTTTGACATATAAATTCTGTCATTTTTTTTTTACTTTAAAATAAATTTTTTTTTTAAATGTCACTTTGCTAGCATTGATAACGCTCTTAGGTCCACCACAACATTATATCTATTCACCCATACTATTTTTGTTACAAATGTTAAAAAGGTGATTTCTTCCTGAAAGGACTGTGCTTCAGGTCCCCATTCAATTTTAGATGTTATATTTGTTTTTTATAAATTTTCCAAGAATGTAGTGGCTGCATTCTTGGGTTGCTGTCACTCTTCCTTTGGTTTTTACACTTACTGAGAAGTGGCTGTTGTAATTTCTGTCATGTGCAATGTATTCCTGGAAAAAGGGATTTCAATATCAGCATGTTATTCTTCATTCTATTTCCTATGCAGTTGTTGGTGGGAATGGGAAGGGCCTGCCCAGGCCATCATTGATGTATACTGATTACAAGGCTCTTGAGTAGAAAAGAGCCTGCATCATTGCTGGCCTACAGCCACCAGCTTCTTCAAGGACACAGAGCAGATTATGGACTAGAGGAGGAACAGTGGTTGTTGTGCTTGTTACTCTGTAGACCCAGTTAAGTTTCTTGCATAGTTAACCCTCCATAGATCTGGTTTGCTTTTTAGGTTAGGATGAAAAGGCAAAGAGAAAGACCAAATTCATAAATTTTGGAGATTTATTCCTAGATATAAACTTAAAACAAGAAAAGAAATAAGAGGAATTAGACAAATGAACAGACATATAAAAGTCTAGATAGTGAAGGTAGGTCCATCTCTTTTGCAACAGCCCAAACAAATACTGTTTTGACATGACATGCACATGTCATTGGTGTAAGACAGAATGACGAATTCCAAGCTCCAGTCCTTGGCTTTGTTAAAAAATGTTGGCCAGGCTGTGAGCTCAAATCATATTTCTTTATCTAGATTTTAGGTCATTCTATTTTGAAAGAATTCTTTTGAATTATAGGAAATTTCTTTAAAAATTGGAGATAACAGAATGCTATGGGGATGTATGGCCTGACATGGAGAAGAGCTACGTAATGTGAAATGCTCCTTAAATTGCAAGAATCTCACTCAAAGTTTTGGAATAGAATGCTTCATGACTGATTGTTGTGTGCAGGAAAGTGGCTATTAGAAATAATTCCTCTTACTCATACAAGAGTTGCCATTTGATATCAAACACATGCATGCATAAACATCCCCCACAGACATTGACTTGGAGCATTTGCTTCTCAAATTTTTAATTTAACTAATATGTCAGATTTTTACATTTACCTGTTCACATAATACAGGTCTACATCTTGAGTACGTCTTTGATTACTATCATGATTCCACAAGATGGCAGTGTGTTCTTAGGGACCCTGAGGAAAGCTCTCAAGTGCTCGTGTGTGTGTGTGTCTGTGTGTGTGTGTGTGTGCTTGAGAGAGAGAGAAGGAGAGAAAGAGAGAGAATGGGAAGGGCGATAAGAGGAGGGGTTAGTGATATACCAGGGGTTGTGAAAATAACCTCTTTTTTCTAATTGGTAGGACAGATTCTTTTTACGATTCCTAAAGTGGAAGAAATAAAGTATCTCTGCTATGTTCATTTCTTTTTGGATTGAAAATTTTAATCCTCAGTGAACCAGGGCAGAAAAGAATGATGATATCCTTGAGAGTTTTACTGGTGATCCTGTGGCTTCAGTTAAGCTGTGAGTTGGGCATCTCTATAGGAACATAATGTACAATATTTTGAGATATTGTCTATCCTAGGCTGGGGGCTAGAAGCCTGAATTTTTTCTCTAACTAAGAGAGTAGAAAGCCTGTAAAAACATGATTTGAATTCTGGGGAGTAAGCATTTACCTCCCAATTTGTCTTCTCTGTCTGACCACTGTCTTTTTCACAGGGGTTTGGAGCCAACGGAAGGAGGTGGAGCAGGATCCTGGACCCTTCAATGTTCCAGAGGGAGCCACTGTCGCTTTCAACTGTACTTACAGCAACAGTGCTTCTCAGTCTTTCTTCTGGTACAGACAGGATTGCAGGAAAGAACCTAAGTTGCTGATGTCCGTATACTCCAGTGGTAATGAAGATGGAAGGTTTACAGCACAGCTCAATAGAGCCAGCCAGTATATTTCCCTGCTCATCAGAGACTCCAAGCTCAGTGATTCAGCCACCTACCTCTGTGTGGTGAACACACAGTGCTCCCCAGACACCTGCAGTCTGTACCCAAACCTGCTGGGCCCCAGGAATGCCTGATGTAGAGCTTAGACTGCAGGGCAGTAAAGTCCTCTTTGCTCTCTAGATTCAAGTGGAAATTAAGAGTACTAGTATGGAGGACTGATTGATTAGGGAAGTATTATTATAATTCTGAAAATAATTGAGACCCTGAAGAAAAATGAAAGATACAGTCTTGGTCTGGTTAAAATATTTTCCAGTATTCTCTTTCTACTTTAGTTTTAAAATATTTTTTATATTTCTTCTGGAGAGATTAAAAAAATAAATTTTTTTGAGATCATTGACAAACCAGAAGGTTTACATATTCATTTCATACATACATCACAATCTATGCCATAAGCATATCCATCATCTCTAAAAGTTTACTTCCTCCCTCCTTTTTTAAAAAATTTAGGTATGATTGATATACAGCAAGGTGCCTATATCACATAATGTATACATTTTAATGCTCACTCTAGTTTTATGCCACATCTATGCTTTATTAGATCGGTTTTATGATTCCTTTTATTTATATCAAGAAAACATTTTCATACAATAACAGATATTCTGTCTCTGTCTGTAGGACATCTTATTCTTTCCCCATTTAGTTACCCAAGAAGTTTGATAGACGTTGCTTTAGGAATGCAACAGAAAAACACAAATGCAAAATAAAAAAGATCAGCAAACTACTGTGAAAATCCTGTAAGTCATAAATTCTTTTAGTTATAGAACCCTCACCCCATCTCCAGCCTTAGCTGCAGCTCCACTCCTGAGTTATATAAGGGCACATTTGATGAGTAGATGGCAGAACTAGAGGGAGAGGGTGAGAACACGTTAAAAAAAAGCCTAGATATTTGCAGAGATTGAAGATTAGAGAGGGTCTATATTGCCATTTTGGGGTAAAGTCTGAATTGAACTCAAAACCTTGTGGAAGAGTATATTGATTTCTATGTAACTGAGTGTGGCTTGGAGATGGTAGGGAGTCTTAGCTCTAGTCACAGCATGTCATATACCCACAGCACCTGCTGGAATGACTTAAAATTTATTGAGAAGGATCTCTAAGTATCTAAAAGAAGTCTAGACACCAAGAGGCTTTGTTGTGATGAACAAAGACCTGTTTAAATCAGTGACCAGAGACCGTATGGTATTGAGCATATTTCAGCAAATGTTGGAGGAGAGTTGGAAACACTGAAGAGCATATAAATGCCTCCCTCCTCTGACTACCTAGCAATACATATTTGCCCTGCAATATATACTATGTTCGGGCAAAATATTTGTGCCTGATGAAAAGAATACTTTTTAGTAGCTATTAAGTTGAATTACAGGAAAAAACTTTGAACATCACTTTATTATAAAAGTGAAGTTGTAGTCTGTTGGACATGATATAGTTTATGTAGTCCTCAAAGTGGGAAAGTTTAGAAATGGAGAGTTAAGATTTCTGTCAAGGGTTGTTCCCATAGTCACTGATGAAAAGGATGAACTCAATCCAAATTTGCTTCAAATTCTTAATCTGAAGAATGAAAGACTGAATAAATCTTTCCAAGCCTTGGAAGAAAGATTTGAAAGGCAGTAAGGAAGAGCAGAAAGTTGCGCCAGAATCAAGACCCTTAAATTTTACTTCCACATTTGTTTTATACCTTTTGGCTTCCTGGCATTCTGGAAAGAACCTGGGTTGTGTTTTCTGTTTGAATATTTATGTTACTAATGGTCCATTTATTAGGCTACATACTATATATATTTCAGGATTTGTTTCAGTATTAAATGAGATAACATACTGCTTTGGGATGAGTTCCTTAAAAGTAGAGACTGCAGTTGGAATCTTTCTCTGTAATTGATTGAGGAAACCAGGTTGAGACAGGGGGAAAGGCTAAGCATGGACTTGGTCCAGTGGGAGTCTTGATCCCACCTGACCTCATAGGGAGCTCTGGAGAGTGAACTACATCACAGGGGTGATCCCTCCCACGCTGAGGCAAGGGAGCCAGACTGCTCTGACCTATTGTGGGTAAGAATAAAGTCATAATTGGCTGCAGTGTTTCTTGGGGTAGAGGTATATGCTACTGGACAATGGTGGCTCTCATTGGCAGAGGTCAACTTTCTAGGGAAAGGGGCAAATGTGAGCCAAGAGTAGCCAACACTCACAGTAGCGGGGGATGGCTACACTGTCCTGGGAAAGGAGATCTAGGCTGGGGGCCAGCAGTGTTCGTTATTACCAGGGAACTTGCCTGGTATGTGGGCAGCATTCAAGAAATAATAAACTTTAATCATATTCTGAATTTTAATTTCACTCTCCTTTTGAAGGTGTTTATACAGCTGGCCTTACCAATTTTGAGGAGTTGAAATAATGTAAGTTAAAGCACTTGTTAACAGAAACCATCTAAGTAAACATAAAAAGCAGATGAAAGGAAAAATTTTTTCAAAGCTAAAATTCAGAAATTTTTAAAAGAGTAGTGACCAGAGAACCAGTCTACTATCTTAGTTGCTTTTGGGAATGATGAGATAACATTCTATCCATCACTTTCTATCCAGGTAGCAATGATTCTGATGATTTACAGTTCATAACTCTGGGCTTCTATGTGTAGACAGAGATACCATCTATATTTATACATGATTAATGCTATTTTGTTATTAATTTGTATTTAAGAATGAAGGACTGGGTAGCAGGATGGACTCCTTATGTCTTTGTGTCCATGTTCCCCACAAAGTTTCTTCTTGAATGGGGTGCCTGGCCAGTAGTGTGGGTATGTGGGTCTGTCATGTGAATTGACAGGCTTCTTTCTAGGATGAATGAGGAGGGAACTGGTAATTAAGGTGCTTCTCTTTGTTCCCTGAACCTAATATCATTGGAAATGGCCTAATTATATTAATTACTCATAATAAAAACTGAAACCATCCCAGATGGCTCAAGTAAACTCTCATGAAGATTACATGCCCCAAGTTGGCTTCATATGCTTCTCACACACAAATACAGAAGCAGGTTGGTGAGAACAGAGAGAGGCTAGTGCAGCCATTCCACATGTGGACCTTCACTACGTTCTCTTGTGTTCTGTTCCTCTCACCCTTCATCACCTGCTCTCTTTCTCAGCCCAGAACCTCTCCAGGGTCCCACCCAGTAGGTTCCCTTCACTCACGTTTCCACTGTAATCTTCTCACAGTTCATTCTGGCCTGGACTTTTTCCCTCTCTGTTTTCTCCATCAGTGTATTTGCATCCACTTTTTATCTACCTCATGGGAATTGTGATAACTTTCATCTTTTTATTAGTTTTATTATTGATGGATTCAGGTCATTCTGTTTATAATTTTACATTTCATTTCAGTGGGAATTTTAGAGAGTTAAGAGGACAGCAAATATGTTTAGTTTGAAGTTTTGTTTCAGAACCCCACCCTAGTAACATTTAAATTTTTAAGCTGACTATATAATTTTGTCTTACATGTGATAAAAAATTTATAGGCAGAATCAAGAACTAGATCAGAAGCCCAAGGGAAAACTGATTTCAGGCTGGTACAATTCAATGGAGTATTCAGAAAGCAGTTTTTGTTCTGACCTTGTAAAATCCCATTTTACCTGAGATTTTTCTCCTTACTGGGTTATTTCATTTTTAGGATCCAATGATCTCTATGCTACAATAGATTGGGTGGGGAAGGCTTTTTGCTCAAAAGCTTCATTTTATTATTGGGGCACAGAGCAGTCTGTTCTTGTTCGCTATTGTCTCCCACCCACATGGCACTGCTGTTTGCTTTGCTCTGTTGAGCGTCACCGTCAATATCTCTCACCATTTCTACACCTCTCACAGGTTCCTCTCATTTCTGGTCTGCTGCTTGCACTCCTTCCACCTGTATTGAGTTCATGTAGGTTTACTTTTTAAAAATCTCTTTAACTATTTTGATAATCACTTATTTATATGTTATATTTTCTTCCATTTATCATTCTGTTCAAGTTTCTTTATAGATGGAGAAACTTAATTGTGGAGATAGAAAAACTGCATTAATTTTTTTTAGTGGCAGATTCTCATAATTTGGCACAATATATCAGTCTATTCTGAACACTGACAGTTGGAATAGTACTCTCACTTTCTCTTTTTAAATATAAGTTATCTAAATTATTTTCTCCTAGGTTCACAAATATTAAACTTGTTGACCTGAAATTAGGAAGTCTTTTCCACACTTTCCACTTGACAAAGAAAATTCTTGCCTTTAATCGTTTGCTTTGATTAATTAATGATATGTGATCCAGGCTGACTTTAAGTATGAGTCTCTGATCTAATTTATTTTTTAAAGAGTCAACTAAAGGAATAATCTCTTTCACCCACTGTAATGCTCACATCCAGCTGCACAGGGCCATATGAAGCTCAGCCCAGACTGAGACAACTGATCACCACCCCTCTTCTTGATGAACGACTTTACTAATATAGAGTGTCTCAATGGTTTTCCAAAGTCTACAACGTTGTCTTCTGTGACTAATTTCTCAGGGAAGTAAATTACTCTTCTATTTCTACATAATTCTCATTTCTCATGTATTTAAAATTAAAACCATATACTCTACGGAAGATGACGTCATCACAGATTCGGGAAGAAAGAAACACTTTCTGTTGGTTTTGATATCACATCTCTCAAATGAGAAGGAAACAGTTCACTTCCTTGGATCTGTGGTTCCACCTGTGCCCTCCAGGGGGCGACGTTGCACTAAGGAGGCATCTGTGTTCATTGCCGACCATCCTCATCCACTGAGCCTCCTCCCTGCAGCTGGCTGATGTAGCTCACTGATGTCTGTGTAGATAGGGAGCTGTGACGAGAGCAAGAGGTCAGAACACATCCAGACTCCTTAAGAGAAAGCCTTTCTGTTTTGGAAACTTTTCAAAGCCAGGGACTTGTCCAGCCCAACCTCCCCATTGCTCCTAGCTCCCGAGGCTCAGGACCCCTGGCTTCTGTCCTCCCTGCTCAGGGTCCTGCAGCGTTGCCTCTGCTCAGCCATGCTCCTGCTGCTCGTCCCAGTGCTCGAGGTGATTTTTACCCTGGGTGAGTAACATTCCATTCTTTTTCCTCCTTTTGTAAATGTGACTGTGTTGTAATTGCCTCTAAGTAGACTTCTTAGCGAAGTCAGCGCTGCTTTTGCTTACACAGCATTGGTGTTGCAGGAGGAACCAGAGCCCAGTCGGTGACCCAGCTTGACAGCCACGTCTCTGTCTCTGAAGGAACCCCGGTGCTGCTGAGGTGCAACTACTCATCTTCTTATTCACCGTCTCTCTTCTGGTATGTGCAACACCCCAACAAAGGACTCCAGCTTCTCCTGAAGTACACATCAGCGGCCACCCTGGTTAAAGGCATCAACGGTTTTGAGGCTGAATTTAAGAAGAGTGAAACCTCCTTCCACCTGACGAAACCCTCAGCCCATATGAGCGACGCGGCTGAGTACTTCTGTGTTGTGAGTGACACAGTGCTTGAGACTGCAGGAGAGCTGAACACAAGCCTCCTGAGATGCTGAGACTTTCTGTGACTCAAGAACTCGACCTTGAAGTCTGTTTTATAATATTAAATAGCAATTCCAAGTTTCTGATGCTTATTGATGTGTGCTGTATCTTTTTCATCTATTTATTTTTAAACTATCTATGACTTTAAATTTAAAGTGTGTTTCCTTTAGGTAGCTTTATATATAAGGTCTTTCTATCCACTATGTCAATCTCTGGTTTTGCACTGGCTAGTTTAGATAATTATAATTTAATGTATATTGATGAAATTGGATTTTAGTATACTATGTTATTATTGTGTTTCTGTTCCTCCCTTATTTTTTGTTGTTCTTTTTTTTTGCTGACACTTTTTGGATTATTTGAACATTTTTAACACTATTTTAATCTATGGACTTCTTTGGTTATATTTCCATATTTTTTGAGTGGTTGCTCTGGAGATTATAATACATATGACTAACTCTCCAGGGTCTTCTGTGATGTTGTACCTCTTTATGTAAAATGTAGAAATTTTTGTATAATATGTCTCTTTATTATACAATAATAATTGTCTCTTCAACAAACACTGAAGTTTGTTGTAGTCGTTCATGTATATCAAAGCTACCTATATTGGAAAGCTCACCATATAATGGTACAATTTTTGTTTTAAATAATTGTATGGACCGTATAAAACTCACTAGGAATAATAATATTTCGTATTTAACAGCTATTTACTAACTCTGGTATCCTTCCTTTGTTTCTAAAGTAAGTTTTCCTCTGACACCAGGAGATGTGTTTGAACTGATGTCATTCCCTTCAAACTTAAAAAACTCCCTTTAACATTTTTTCTAGAGTAGGTTTGCTGGTAATGGTATTTTTTAGTCATTTGTTATCTGAAGATGTCTTTATTCTTAATTTGCCCTTTATTTGTGGAAGATATTTTTACTGGGTCTGTAATTCTGTGCCAACCATTTTCCCCCCTCACTTTAAAGATACTGTTTCATTGTCTGCTGGTCTCCATGTTCTGGTTAGAAATCTATGGTCATTCAAGTAATTGTTCCCCAATGATATTAATATGTTGTTTTTCTCTAGCTGCTTCATATATATGCTATTTGTACACACACATACACGCAAGTAAAATCATATCATCTTTTGTTGTCCTCAGTATAATTATGATGTTTACATGTGGTTCCCTTTAATTTGTTCCTGTTTGGGGCTTAAATTCATAAGTTTGTCTTTCTTTGAATTTGGTAAGTTTTTGGCCATTCTTCTTTCAAATATGTTTTCTGGCGCAATCTCTTTCTCTTCTCCTTCTAGGACTCCATTAGTTACAACTTAGACTTTAGGACACTTTCCCACTAGCTCTCCATAGCTCTATTTTGTTTTCTTTCAATTTTTTTCTTGATTTTAAGGTCTGCCTCTACTCACTAGATCCCTGTAGCATTACATACCCCATGTTGTGACACCCAAATTTCTATCTAGATTTGTCAAATGTCTCCTGAGGGGAGCAAAGTCAAAATTAGTTAGGTTAGATAACCTATACTGGTCTATTTTCAAGTTTGTTATTCTTTTCTCTATCACTTTCATTTTGCTATTGAGCCCTTACTGTGACATTTTGATTTTGGATATTGTATTTCTCAGTTCTAAAATCTCCTTTTTTTTTTTTTTTTTTTTTTTTTTTGAGACGGAGTCTTGCCCTGTCACCCAGGCTGGAGTGCAATGGCATGATCTCGGCTCAGTGCAACCTCCGCTTCCCGGGTTCAAGCCATTTTCCTGTCTCAGCCTCTTGAGTACCTGGGATTACAGTTGCGTGCCACCACCCCTGGGTTTTTTTTTTTTTTTTTGGTATCTTTAGTACAGATGGGGTTTCAACGCGTTGGCCAGGCTGGTCTTGAACTCTTGGCCTCGTGATGCGCCTGCCTCGGCCTCCCAGAGTGCTGGGATTACCCATGAGCCACCATGCCTGGGCTAAATTTTCCCTTTTTTAACTTTGTGGTACATAATCAAAGAGCTACTTTAACGTCTTTTTCTATTACTTCTAGCATTTTAGTCATCTTGACCTTTCATCTGTTGATCTTTTACTTAAATATTAGTCCACTTTTCTGATCCTTTGTATGTCCAATAATTTTGAAATGCATATTAAACATTTTAAATATTAAGGGTGTAGACTCTGTTTTCTTCTTCTCCTTCTCATCCTTATTCTTCTTTACAAAGCATTCCTCTGAAGAATTTTGATGCTTTTGCTTTAGCAGGAAATCAACCTAGTTTGGTTCATACTGTAAATTTTCTCTTCCCTTTTGTGGAATTTGGTAGCTCAAAATCTCAGTTCAGTTCTCTAATCATTTGCAATGTTGGTTTGGATTTATCCAAGTCATGTGTAGCTTAGGGATTAGTGTGAAACCTGTTTGGGTGGCTCAAATATCAGGTCAGCCCTGAGCTCTCTGCTACATTGGTTTTTTTGTCCTGCATTGGTGCCACTCAGGAGGTAGTCTGAGACTGAAATAGTGGTTCAAATATCAGTTGAATAACCCAAGCTTTGTTGATCTGGTTTGAGTCAGTCCCAGGTACATGGAGCTTTGGGATTAGCCTGAGACTTGAGCTGTTTTCCATTTCTTCCTTGGGGTCTGTCTTTTCTAGCCTGGTCCACAGAGGCAGAAAGATTGTGTCTCTTTCTGCACAATCTTTTGGTCTCCTGCACAATCTTCCGCACCTCTTTTGGTCTCCTATACCATTGTTATTGCCACCCTACCATACACCAGGGGCCTTTCTAAGGGCAAAGACAAGAGAGAAAAACAGGAAAAAATATGAAATAAAAGGCTTGCACAAGTTGCTTCTCCAACGTTTGATTTTGTCTGCTTTGAGTAATTTCAGAGGCCACAGATAGTTATTTTTTTGTGTGTTTTGTTCAGTTTTCACTTGTAACCTGTAGGAGAGATGGGCTGTAGGCGTCTTAAAGCTGTCTCCTATTTTACTATGTTCCTGCATTAACTTATGGTCTACCATAATATGCATCAAGAATTGCTATTTGATATTTTCTTTTCCCACTTTTATTTTTTATTACTTCTTTCAGTCAATCTTATTCATTTTTTATATATGTACTTTTTTTTTTGTCATTAGGATTATAAGAATCATCTAATTACGGTCTTGATTCTTTGGATCTTTTTTCTCCAAACTCACGAAAGTCTTTCTTTGATGCTAGAAAATGAGCCTGTGCACTTGTTTTTAATATGAGCTTAAAGAACTATTTTCCCCAAAATATAAAATCTTCTGGATTCTGAACAATATCTGAACCCAAGAGCATAATAAGGTGTGATACGACTATCCAAAGACTATGCTTTTCCAGTACCTAAAGCAGAGCTATTTTATTTTCAATTTTCTGCTCTCTCTGTGTTTTTCATTTCTGAATTTTCACTTATTTTAAATGGACCATGCATTTTGTGATTTATTTATTTATTTATTTATTTATTTATTTTTTTGAGATGAAGTCTTGCTCTGTCGCTCGGGCTGGAGTGTAGTGGTGCGATCTCGGCTCACTGTAACCTCTGCACCCCAGGTTCAAGCAATTCTCTTGCTTCAGTCTCCCTATACTAGCTGGGATTACAGACATGCACTACCACGCCCAGCTAATTTTTGTATTTTTAGTAGAGATGGGATTTTGCCAAGTTGGTCAGGCTGGTCTGGAACTCCTGACCTTGGGTGATGCACCTGCCTCGGCCTCCTAAAGTGCTGGGATTACAGGTGTGAGCCACTGCGTCCAGCCTGGACCATGCATTTTGGTATTTTGGGGTGTGTTTGGAGACTATTCAATCTCCCTGACAATCAATGTATTTCTTCAAATGCTGTCAACATCCTCCGATGAGAGCATTCTATTTCTGATCCTATTCCTCTTCAACTATGAGATGTTGCCTCTAAATCAATAGAGAATTGAGAAATTCCTTTGCATTCTTTTAGTGCAGAGCAAAAGGCAGTATTCCAAGGCATCATACAATCCTGTCTTTTTCACTTTGAACACACTGGGATTTGCAAACACCCAGCAACTTTGAGAGACATTAAAATCATCACCAGCCTGAAAGTCAGCAGAAATTGCTCCTCATAGTTTATTTTGACTATGTTTTTCCTGCCCTGACTTTAAACTTCACTGTGATCCCATCTACTTTTGTCTTATGGAAACATGGATAAATCTATTCTTTCCAGATGATCTTTGTTTTTACTCTTTTGGATTTTGGTTTGTTCTCATTTATATTTCTATTTTTTTAGTTAGGAAGAAATTTGGTAGATATGGGATGTGAGTATATAGCATTAGGAATCTAAAGTCCACACTCAAAGTCTATGTATTTACAAAATGTCAGCCATACTCTTTCTACACAAAAAACAATCTGTACAGGCAGTAACAAATGAATCAAGAACCCAAGGAGAGAACTGGCCACATGCTCCTGGAATCAAAGAAAATAAGTATTCTGACTCTGTAAAAGATTCTCATTGGCCACAGAGAACCTGTCGAATTTCTCCTTTCTCTTGTTTTCAGAGATTGCTTGTTTGGTGTTGGTGTATTTCCTTCAGCCCTAGAGGTTTCTGTAGTTGCGTTTACCTTAGCTCTAGGGGCAAAGCCTTTCCATCCTGTGTTACACCTTGTCATTAGTCATATAGAGGCACTACTCCCATTTTAAGGGTCCCGTCTTTTACTCTATGGCCGCACAAGCATCTTCCAAGGGAAATATCTCTATCATCCTCCACCACCAACAAGGCAACTCTGAACCATCAAAAACTCATCCCGAAGCAGCTAGTCTGCGTCCAACGATTCTCAGAAACACAGCTTAATTCTGATATATTTTTAAAACCTGATTTCTCAATGAGGTAACGTATTACTCTATTTTTACATGACATCTTATTGCTAATGGACTATAGGCCTAAAACACCGTCATAGACTTGGGCAGGAAGAAACACATGGTGTGGATGTTTTGATACATCTCAGAAATTAGGAGAAACACACTAATGAGCTCTCTCTGCTAAACTGGTTCTGCACTTGGCCTCCAGAGGGCGATGCTGCACACACTGGAGCTTTTGTTTCTGTTGAAGATCAATCCACTGCTCAGTTTCTTCTTCCTGCAGCTGGTTGAGTTCTTTCCAGACAAAGACAAGTGACAAGAATTAGAGGTTTAAAAAGCAACCAGATTCATCTCAGCAGCTTTTGTAGTTTTAAATAAGCAAGGAGTTTCTCCAGCGAAACTTCCTCACACCTCTTGGTCTTGGTCTCTTCAGACACTTTCCTTCCTGTTCTCTGGAGATCTTGCAGAAAAGAGCCTGCAGTGTTTCCCTTGTTCAGCCATGCTCCTGGAGCTTATCCCACTGCTGGGGATACATTTTGTCCTGAGTGAGTAAAATTTCTTTATGGTCTCTAGTTCCACAGGTTCTGACTAGAAATGCTTGCTTTTTATACTGAGTCTGCACTGCTTTCACTGATAGTACATTGTTTTTCCAGGAACTGCCAGAGCCCAGTCAGTGACCCAGCCTGACATCCACATCACTGTCTCTGAAGGAGCCTCACTGGAGTTGAGATGTAACTATTCCTATGGGGCAACACCTTATCTCTTCTGGTATGTCCAGTCCCCCGGCCAAGGCCTCCAGCTGCTCCTGAAGTACTTTTCAGGAGACACTCTGGTTCAAGGCATTAAAGGCTTTGAGGCTGAATTTAAGAGGAGTCAATCTTCCTTCAATCTGAGGAAACCCTCTGTGCATTGGAGTGATGCTGCTGAGTACTTCTGTGCTGTGGGTGCCACAGTGCCTGGGTCTGCAGGGGGAGCTGAACACAAACTGCCTATGCTAGAGAAGTTTTCAGAGTTTCAGTATATCTCCCTGTGGTGTTTTCAAAGATCTCCTTTTTTATGATGGCGAATGAGGCAAAGAGGGCTAAGCCGACCCAGGCATTTCTATGTAATTCTGCAGTTCCTGTTATGCTCCATGTCCTGATAAATTTTGTTTCAGAAGCTTTTTGCTCATTGTAGAAACTATATAATAGGAAATAGTATTCTTGAATGATGGAAGAGATAGTATTCTTATAACAATCAAGTCCTCCATGACTTACCTTGATGTTGTCTGCATTAGGGGGTTGACCATGTGAGCTGTGACATGGCCTCAGAGAAAATTGGTTTTCATTTATAATTTCATCTGTCATCTAATCTGGAAAATAGAAGATGATTTTCTCATGTTTTTACCTTGCAAATTTGTTTTCAAGTTGGTCATTCATAGGTTATTTTTTTTAGAGTTTCTTTTTTTGCCTCTAACTGTGGTATTTATGTGTCTAAATATTTTGTCTGAGTTTAAATAACTCTATTTAGGAAGAACTGTGAGAAGTTATTAGTCAACAATAAAAGAGTCATTAGAATCATGAAGGACTTAGAAAAATGTCAGGTGATGTTAGTTCCGACAACTATTTAAGAATAGTGCAGAAGAAAAATGAAGATTAAAAATTCATCAGTGTTTCTCCAAATACTTTTTCACCGTGAGAAAAGTAGTTTCCTATTCTTTTAGTCTCAGAAATGCTGCAAATCTGTATCAGAAATTTGTGGCTATAATCCCTTTCATTTTTCTTCTAGCTACTGGCATTTCTATTCATTGCTTTCGCCCTGTTGTTATATGATTTCAGCTATTGGAATATTAAAGATGGATTCTTATAACATTTTGATAATCAATCATGTGATAAGTTTAGCAATGCCAAACTGTGCTGGAAACACTGATAAGAATTACAATGCATGGTAGAGAGTCACTGGACCCAGTATAAATTTATGACTTTCTTTTGTCTAGGATGGAAAGAACTGTTGAAGAAGCTTTTATACTTCTTGTTTGCTTGAAGCCTTGGAGGGTAGCAAGTAGTCTGGAGAAAAAGGAGAAGGAGGATGAATCTTTCCAGCTGCTACTTGGCTCACGCTATAATGTATTAGAGGGTAGGTACGTAGGAACCCTCAAATATAGAGAGAATAAGAAAATTGTGGCCAATGGTACACGTTAGCCAAATGGTGAACCAGCAGATCAGCAGTAGTTTTTAGGACCTAGTGAGATGATTATATGGGATAGATGTATTTCAATGATTGCTGGATGGGTATAAGGAAGGTAAATGGAACATTATAGATGTAAAATTATGAATAAGATATGTACTCGTGTAATGTCCCCTGCCTCAGTCCCTCCATTCTTTTCTATTTCTAAAGCACACTGTCTTCTACCTTTGATAAGATGGCTAACTTCAGGTGACTCACTGTTATCAGCTCAGCCACATTGCCCACAGGGACTGTGATGGGCACTTTATGCGAATCTTAAAGGAGGTAGGAACATAGAATTGTTTTGTTGTTGTATGTGTTTCAAATGTATGTAGAAAGTTGTATATAGAAGTCGAATAGTCCAAGGGGTGGATTGATTTATTGACTCTCAGCTCCAAATTCACCCCTTGCCTCTTCCGTGAATGTGGATCTGTACCCTTCAACTATGTTCCTTGCCAGTTGGCATAACGTTATGCTTTGCCAGTAGAGGATCAGGGAGAAAAGATTTTGATTTTTGCTTTCTGTGTGCACATGCCACAGGTTCCTGCAGCATGAGAGGCTTCTCCAGCGTCCGGCTCCTGCAGTGCACCCACACCAGGTTCCTGCGCTGTACAGTGGCCAGCAGTGTCCTCCAGCACTTCCATTTTTGCGTGGTACTGCAGAACAGAGCCTGCAGTGAGACACCTTCCTGTATCCAGCTTTCCCCATATTCATCCCTAGATTCATGAATCGGCACCCTAGATTATGGTTTTCTGGTAAGTATGAGAGGGTGAATTTCTCTGTAGAAAATTCACAGCACAACAGTGACTTCTGTGTCATCTAGTGAGACACAGTTGTGCCTTTCCCAATAAGATCTGGGTCTCACCCCTGGGGGGTGGGTCTAGGGGTCCCTTCTTGGGGTGTTGTACCCAGCCCTAGGAGTAGGGACTGCACCTTATATCTGCTATTCCTACAGGAATAGGAATAGCAGAGTTTTCTTTTCTTTGTATTACCTATTTCCTTGTTACTCTAAATCCTGTTATAATTAATAATTTTTTATATTAATATTAAATTTTCCTATAATTATAAAAAGCATTTTCTGTTCAAATTATTATATGGTCTATCTTTCCTGATTGGACCAGATTTATACATGCACCAAGGATCTCAAGCCACTGAAGAGCATCTCCCCACCCAGTCACCTGACAAATCTAGTTGCTTGCTTGTTTTATTTATTGCTCATTTGTTTTATTTATTTATGGTTTATTATTTTACTTATTTATTGTTTTACTTATATGATTACAAGAAACTTTATGCAATAAAGAATTACATTAAGAAGAATTTGGAAATATGTTTTTATATTAATGAAATTAATTTTGATTTTTCACATTTTGTGCATGTTTGACACAAAATTTTATTATACCATTGAGGCAAATTATAATTCCTTTTAAATGTATTTTAGCTTACAACACAAATTGTCTTTCATTCACTAATGAGACTGTGTCTGAAGATTTTAAATTCCAAGTCATTTTTCATTCATCTAACTCTGTTAATTATCCTTATTTTTGATTTCTTTAAAATGGAGGGAAAAGACCATGATAACTTTAAAACAATCTGAAGACAGAATACTTCTAACACCCAGAAAGTTTTTGTGTGTGCCTTTCCAGTCAACCCACCTTCTGGAGGCAACAGATGTTCATATTTCTAGTATTACAGAGACTTTAACCGTTTTAAAACTTCGAATCAATGGGATTATTCAGTAGGAACTCTCTTCTGCCTGGTTTCTTTCACTCGTCATGTTCTGGAGGTTAATCCGTGTTCATTACCGTAATTGTTGAGAAGTTTCCTATTATATGAATAAAGCACAATTTATTTATTCATTTGGCTGTGCACACCATTGGCTGATTACAGAATCTTTTAGGGATTAAAGCTTTGGTAGCATTCTTTTTTTTTTAATTAGATTCAGGGGTTACATGAGCAAGTTTGTTACATGGGTTCACTGCGTGATGTTGAGGTTTGGGCTTCTAATGATCTTGTAGTGAACGTAGTAACCTATAGATAGTTTTGCAACACTTTACCCTCCCCCCATCTCCTCCCTTTTGGAATCCCCAGTGCTTATTGTTCTCATCTTTGTGTCCTTGTGTACTCAATGTTTAACTCCCACTTATAAGTGAGAACATTGTGTATTTGGTTTTCTGTTTCTGTGTTAATTCCCTTAGGATAATGGCCTCCAGCTTCATCCATGTTGCTGCAAAGGACATGATCTCATGCTTTTTATGGCTGTGTAGTATTTTGTGGTGTACATTTACCACATTTTCTTCATCCAGTCCACCACTGGTTGGAATTTGGTAGCATTCTTGGTGCAAGGTATAGGCTGTCCTAGATTTTTATATGCCGTTCAGGCAATGGTAGGGTGTGTCTCTGAAGTTCTATAGTTGAAATCCATATCTTAAATACTTTTATTTAAAAACCAATTCCTAAATTTCATTATGCTATTTAACATGTCACTAATTTTTCTAATAAAAACCCAATATCTGATATTTCCTGTGCTACTTATAAAAGCTTCAGGTATCATTCAAGCTGTGGGTAGCTGAACTGTAGTTTCCTCTGTTGTGGCCTTACGTGTTGATAACAACAGTAGCTGACCGCCTTGGAGTTTGCTTTCTTGACTAAGTGAATTGACTCTCCTTAGAGTTGAGACTTAAGTTAACCAGCTCATGCTTGATATTCTGTGGTTTCTGTTGAAAAGATTTAATGTAAATTATATAACCTAGCACTTTAGTATATTTATTCTTACTTGGTAACATATATATATATATATATATAAAATGAACAATATTTTGATAAGTGTTCCTGCAAATCCTGAAGATCTATAAGTCATGTAATTATAATCCTTGCTCAACAGTCATTCCAGAGAACTCATTTAATATTTAGAGGCATTTTGCTATATACAGTACATATGAAAATATTTTAAAGCTTGTTAGGTAACTTATAAAGGAAATTTCGCTGTTATTTAATATCACATATGCAGCACATCCAATACAAATTTCCAATCGTTTAAGCACAATAATAAAGTTGTCAAGATAATTAGAGGTCTGTACAGAATTCTCATGGGGATATCTAAGACAAGGGAGCACTTTTATTCAGGAAACAAGTGCACCAAAACATGAGTGTAAAAGGTAGAATGTTAAGATGCTGAAGATACTTTATATGTATATTTATGACTTCAAGTTGCTCTGTGTGATATATTTCATATAACTGGATATTAAAAATTTACCTTCACATTAATTTTCTAGAGCTGCCATGACAAATACCACAGACGGGGTGGCATAAGCAACAGAATCTGTTTTTCTCTCAATTCTGGAGATAGAAATCCAAGATTAAGGCATTGGCAGGGCAGGTTGTTATTGAGGCTTGCAGATGGTTGCCTTCTCACCGTGCCTTCAGGTGGTCTCTCCTCTCATGGTGCACATGTCTGTATCTGGATTTCCTTTCTTACAAGAACACCAATTATGTTGAGTTAGAGCCCAGCTATATAACCTCATTTTACCTTAATGACCTCTTTAAAGATCCTGTTTTCAAATACAGTTTCATTCTGATGTACTGGGGATAAGGGCTTCAACATGTAAATTTTGGATGAGACACGGTTTATTCTGTGGCAACCCTCCAGGGAAATAAATATCAAATTAATGAAGAAGACAATTAAAGCCTCTCTTGACACAACACTTTGCTAATTGCTGGCGCACACAATGATCATATATAATTTTGATGATGAATTTTCCCTGCTTTCTTTTGTGATTCTAGAGCAATTAGAAATGTGCAATAACAGATGCAGATACTTCCTAAATATTTCAAATTGTAAAGGAAGTAGAGAGTACAATGATAAAAATGTAAAAGCTATTATTTAGACTTGCCTTCTTTCTCTCTGCTACATTAGGATATGGAATTTTCTCATGTTAGGTTTGTCCTTTTCTGCAGCTAAATCTTAATTTCTTTTTGGTTTTCCATCTCAGATAGTTTTCCTTTCTTTCTCTACTCTTTTCTGTATGAATGTTGAGTTTTTTACCTTGTCTTTTTTTTCCTCTCTCTTGTCTCTGATCTCAACTTTGCCAGAGCTATTTTAGCAGACTAACTTGCTATTCTTATCTTGCACTACTCTTTTACTACCTAATCAGCAGAAGTGACATTTAAAAGAAGCGAAAAGGATTGAAATTCTTTTGGAAGTTGTTTATGGCAGGTGCAGTGGGTTAAGTAGATGAGGGAGGGGTGCTATAGTCCTTGAATACAGAGGCAGCAGGAAGAATCCCATCCTATATGCTCAGCTTTCTTGGGGCTTGTTGTCTGTTTTTTCAAGCAGTATGTGGCAAGATTTTTAATTTTGATTGAATCATAGTCTTTTTAAAAATATGTTTCGATTACTGATACATTTGGATTCATTTTAACGTTTTGGCTCTGCTCAGCATGCTCTTGATTTGTTCTTTCGTGTTTTAGTCTGTCTTCTGTTGCAGTGATAGTTTTCTTTTTTCTTTCTATTGTTTTAGAAAGTGTAAATTGTATTTTTTGTTCCTAAAAGTATCCTTATATTATATATGTATACATATATATAATTTTTAAATACCCAAAGTTGTTATTATTTTTTCCTGAAGTTATTCCGTAACATTTTTTCCTTGTATGTCCCCCTCTTTCTCCTTGGGTATATTTTTTTCTCCTTTTGACTTACTGTCTTTAGAATTACTTCTGTAGCTAATTGGAAGAAACTATACACATACTATATATATGAAGACAGTAATTTTAGAGTTTATCAAATTAGCCAATAAACTAGAGCTCCAATGCACACTAACAAAAGTAATAAAAAAGAAAACCATTCAACACAATAATGGGAACATGAATTCATTCCCTTCTTCCTCAGAGCCTTTGCCCGATCTTCCCTCTGCCCGGAGTGCTTTTCACTACTAGCCACACTGATGGTTCTTTCACTAGTTCCTAGTCTCTGCTCCTGAAGAAACATGAGCACATGTGAATAAAAAGAGGAATTCTTTAAAAGCTTTATTGCCATTTTACATTTTATGGTTAAAAAACAACATTTTAAGTGTTGATCAATAGGAGAAAGGCTGTATAAACTGAAGTATATCCCTAATATGATGCAGTATAGCAGAAGGCCCCATATGAATTAATACAATAAGACCTAAAGATTTATTATTGAGTTTATAAAGTGAGTTACAAAAAGGTATGCACAAGATGTATCATTTTTATTACGTTTTAAACCTATAAATGAAATGCCGTATATTTCAGCTGTTTCATATATTTTGTATATGGATGTAGATAGAGCATCAACTCCAAATTGATTAGATGAAACAATAAAGGTAATAAGGGATGAACGGACTAGAACTGGGAGTAGTGGTCGAAGGAGATTTTAGTCTATCTGGAATGCTGTATTACTTTAAATTATTTCATATATTTGTGAATTCTTTCTAGTATTAAACCAAAAAAAGTCATAAAAGCCATCACAAAGGTTTATCTACATTTTTTCCTTGTCTACTCATAGAAAAAGGGAGAGAGGAGAAAACGATCACCTTCTTCATTAGCTTTTGTTCAGCCTTCCTACGTATTTTTTTTCTGCCTCTGGGATCATACAGCTTCTAGTTTACACTCCTCTTAGGTTCCTACTATGTGATTTATATTATAGATATGTATTTTTGTCCACTCCAGTAGACCATAAAACTAATATTACATCTGCTTTTAAGTATTCTTAAAACCTAATAAATTATTCACTTAGAGTAAAACTTTAATACATGTTTTTGGACTTACTTTGAACTAAATTAAAGGAATTAAGTGAAGAGTACAAAAAGAGAATTGCCAAATTAAGATACTGATTTCCACGAAATGACATTTTAAAGTGGTAATTGGTTCATTCTTAATCCCCATCCAATCTAGGCAGTTGTATTGTTTTCTGACCACCTCCATTTCCTTCATAGGAAACAGTAAATGGGGCTGTGTGTGTGACTACTGAGGAATTAGTTGGTCCGTAGTGGTTTTTGTTGATGGGTTCAGTCCACTAGGGGGCACTCTAGGATTTCCAGAAATGAAGACTTTTTCTGATGGTCCCAAAGGGTGGAACAATTAAAAGAGAAGACAAGGGGGCATGTGAGTCAGTCAAGTCACAGATAACAAGGAATTGCAGTGGAATGGGGGGCAGTGTGTGTGTAAAGTTCATCTTCGGTTTTCAGCTCTGACATTCTATATAGAACCTCAGAAAGCTGGAGTTCATAGGTCTACGAATCCATTGTGAGGATGATTCTATAAGCAGAGGTAAGGGAATTGGAGTTTTACTGGGAATTGGGAGGATGGACACTCAATAGAAAACATCTCTATTACATATTTTCAGTTTTTAAATTTTTATGACTAAAATTCCTGAAATTCACTGGCATGGAAATTATTCCAAAATACCCCTGATATCTGATTTCTTCATATATCTTCTCTGAGACCAAAAGGAACAAGAATAAGCAGAAAAGAAGAAAATAGGAAGGAAATAAGGACCAAAACCAGAAAGAGAATAGAGAGGAGAATATTTAATTTGGCCAGCAGTATGTGGTCTGATCGTAACAGCTGTGTGGGCCTGCAGGGTGTGTAGGGAAAGGGTTGGACAGAGTGGGAGAGGTAGAAATTAAATCAGGGTGGATATCATACACACATCCTATTTTTCTTTTAACCAAACAAACTCTAGTTGGAAACATTTTCTATGCAGACAATCTCCTGATTTCAAGAAATTGTATTTATTTCTAAATCCACCATACATGCTACCAGAAAGTTTTCCTTATTAAAATTTTCATATAATTGAATTTTGCAATTTTCTGTCCAGCTATGTAATTTGGGCTTCCCATGATTCTTTAAGGCTCTACTTTCCCCAGCTGAGACACGGATTCTTCTCAGACGTATCATCCTCTTTCTTCACATACTATTCTACAATTTCTCTTATATAAAGTACTTTAAGGAAAAAAAAACCCTGTAACTTCATACACTGGAAATATTGACTCTTCCCCCCTTGCACTATTCACACCCAGAGTTTTGGAGAGATTACTGTGCGGTCTCAAAGGCCACTGCTGGTGGAGTTTCCTATTCAGATGAATGACAGAGCTCAGGTGTGATTGGTGCTCAGGGAGTCTGGTGCAAACTATTGACTGTAAGAACAAGTTTGTCTGGACCCAAGACTTGACCCCTTCCAGAGCAGCGGCAAAGGCACCCCAGCAACCAGGCAAGGAGCCATGGAGAGGAGACTGGGAGCTCTCTTGGGGCTTTTGTGGGTCCAGGTTTGCTATGAGTTGGGCCGTCCTAGATGGGGGCTGACAGGGGAAGGGAGGGAAGGGAGAGCTGACACAAATCTCCTGGACTGTCCTACAGCCTCATAAGTGTTTCTAGGGATATTTTACAGGCTTGGAAACTGCATCAGTGATTCCTTAGTGACATAATACATATTTGCTTTTCTCTTTCCAAGCAGGGGTGAGACGAGTGAAGGTGGAGCAGAGTCCTTCAGTTCCGAGTCTCCAGGAGAGAACCAGCTCTACTCTGAGATGCAGTTTTTCTACCTCTGTGAACAACGTGCAGTGGTTCCAACAGAATCCTGGGTTGGCCTCATCAATCTGTTTTTCATGGCTTCATGGATGAAGCACAGTGGAAAGTTATGGTCAAAAAGAAACTCTGAGGAGCTCTGTGGTACCCTACACATCACAGCCGCCCAACTGAAAGACTCAGGCACGTACTTCTGTGCAGTTGAGGCACAGTTCTCCCAGGAAATCTGCAGCCTGGATCCGAACTGCAGCTGGGCCTGCAGCCCCAACCCCTTCCGTGAGAGAGGCATGTTGCCCCCACAGTATCACTTGCACAGCTTCGGGTTTTCTGATTGACGTTGCGCTTTTATCTCTGCTAAAATTAGACACTTCAGGATTGCCATTTAACTTTTTTATCCTACCCTTTTGCTCTCAGAAATCTCTTTGCAGGAAAAAGCTTTGATATGGAACCACTGGAGCAACTTTTAAAGATATCAGGACCCAATGTACTGTTAAAACAGATCCTCTAGCAAAGAGCATATAAATTACATATAAATTACTGTGATAAAAAAGATTTGAAAAAATATATCCTGGTCAAGAAATAGCAAAGAGCATATAAATTACATATAAATTACTGTGATAAAAAAGATTTGAAAAAATATATCCTGGTCAAGAAATAGCAAAGAGATGACTCAATGTTTCATCCAAATGCATGTTGTTCACTTTTCTAGTAAAAGGGAAGAGAGCATGTGTGATGTATATTATATATAATTTTTTACTCCTGGAACCCATAAAAGATAAAATTTTAAAGCACGTAACGTCATTGGATGTCAGACATTCTCTGAATTTACATATATTATCTGGGTGCTGACAATACCTCTTTACTCTACACATGAATAAACTGAGGATTATAGGGCACACATGTCTTGCCTGAGCTCAGATGGTTATGAAACTAGCAATGAAGCTGGGCTGGGATTCTCCTTCTCGATGTTTGAAAGCAGAGTGTGTACTCTAAGCTACACACAATAGAAGACCCTTGAGAATCACAAAATACCAATTATTTCAATTGATAAATTTGTGCAATGTGCTCACATACATCACTGGCAAATATATCCGTTGGGATAATTTCTAAATTGCATCTAGTAAGAAAGAGTTCATTAAACTTTTCATTTTGTTACATTAAAATCCATTTGTCTTCCTTGCATTACTCATGATTTTGTAACATCATTCAAGGTCTCGAAAAGAGAACAGAAACTTCTAGGGTTGCCCCCCAAAACTTACCTGCTGTAGCCGCAGTCCAAGACTTCTGAGAAGCAAAGCCAAAGTTTAAACCTAAATGTGGATCAGTTACAACACATGTAGAATTTCAGCCTTACAAGGTCTGTTATATGAATGTAAGAGAATGGACTAGGAAGGACTGGGGCCCTGAGAACCAAGATGAAGACAAGCTGGCAGTCTCCGGTGAAGCTGGGAGCAGGGCCAGCTTCCTGGGTATGTGATCTGTTGCAGCCCACAGGACCCTAGTTAATGCTCTGCTATCACTGCCTTGACATTTTTAATAGTTTTGTTTTTAAACTTGTGTGAGTAAATGAAGTTCAATGAGAGGACAGAGCATGTAGGTGAGCAGAGGAGATACACAGGACAGCAGGACACAGGACAGAATCATATGCAGGCTCAGGTTCATGGGCACAGTGGGCAGCATGTGAGCCGAGCAGTTGGATGGGCTATTTTGAGTGCATGAGCACACAGGGCTCTCTGGTGTTTTGCGGCTCTCCAAAGTGAGTGGCAGTAAACTTTTCAGTAAATTATTACACAATAAAAGCATATACATGGACAAGGCAATAAGGTATATTGGAGAGTTATTAGAATCCTTCAAAAAGTTTAGAGACTGTGGTTTTGAAAGTTGATATAACATTACAATTTGGATATCTGCTGGTTTAGAAATAGAAATTACATGTAAGGATAGCAGCTTAATGGAAAAGAGCATCATTTTCTCACCTTTTAATGCTATCTTCTTTTGTTTTTTTCCTTAACATCTTTTTTTTCAACTTTTATTTTAGAATTGGGGGTTCATTTGCAGGTTTGTTACAATAGTATATTATGTGATGCTAGAGTTTGGAGTTATAATGAATCCATTACCCAGGTAGGGAGCATAGTACTGAAAAGGTGATTTTTTTCAATCTTTAACCCCCTCCCTCTGTCCCCTCTCTTGTATTCTCCAGGGTCTACTGTTCTCATTTCTATGACCTTGTGTGCCTAATGTTTAGCCCCTACTTATAAGTGAGGGCATGTCATATTTGGCTTTATGTTTCAGTGCTAGTTCACTTAGTTATCCTAAGTTATCCTAATGGTTTCCAGCCACATCCATGGCTGCATAGTAGTCCATGTTGTATATGTACCGTGTTTTCCTTATCAAATCCACTGCTGATGGGCACCTGGGTTGATTCCATGTCTTTGCTATTGTGAATAGTGCTGTGATGAACATATGGGCACACATGTCTTTTGGTAGGATGGTTCATTATCCTTTGGGTATGTAGCCAGTAGTGGGATTGCTGGGTGGAATGGTAGTTGAACTCTCAGTTCTTTGAGAAATCTCCAAACTGCTCTCTATAGTTGCTGAACTGATTTACATTCCCAGCAACAGTGTATAAGTGTTGCCTTTTCTCCACAGCTTCATCAACATCTGCTATTTTTTTTGGCTTTTTAACAAAAGCCAAACATTGTGGTTTTGGTTTGCATTTCTATGATGATTAGTGATGAGCATTTTTTTTCATGTTTCCACTTGTATGCTTTTTTTTTTTTTTTGAGAAGTATCTGAAGAGCATTATTTTCATGTGAAGTTTTGAACAGCCACGTTTTAACATAGAGGATAATATTGAAATTAATTAACTTTTTTTTTTTTTTTGAGACGGAGTCTCACTCTGTCGCCCAGGCTGGAGTGCAGTGGTGCGATCTCAGCTGACTGCAACCTCCGCCTCCTGGGTTCAAGTGATTCTCCTGCCTCAGCCTCCTGAGTAGCTGGGATTACAGGCCCCTGCCACCATGCCTGGCTAATTTTAGTAGAGATGGGGTTTCACCAAGTTGGCCAGGCTGGTCTCGAACTCCTGACCCGTGATCCGCCTGCTTCAGCCTCCCAAAGTGCTGGGATTACAGGCGTGACCCACCGTGCCTGGCCTGAAATTAATTTTTTAATAATTGAAGATACAGTGATAAAATTAATAAACAAGGATTTTGAATTATATCTATATCATTAAGCCATTTCTAGTTTCTTATACAGCTTCCACAAGTTACTAAAAATTTCAGAGGAAACATTAAAACAGCACTGTGTAAATTTACATTGAAAACTGAGTTCAGACGTACATAAAACTGATTTGTGGTAAGAAATAAATTGTTTTAGAAAAATTGTTTCACAGGGACCATCAACCACTGATTTACTAAAATTTATATTTCAGTTAATCCATCAGATAAGTATGCTAATGTTGTCACAGTATATAAAATACTTTTAAGAGCTCCAGTATCAGTTGCATCAGCAGAAATATCCTTCTCGCAGTTAGAAATGAAAAATTCTAGTTAAGATTTTGCATTTAATAAGAGCACTTGATATTGCTTTCATTTATATGCTTGAAAATGAAGTTGCTCCAGGCATGAATTTTGCTAACCTCATAAATTAATTTGCAGCAAAGTGATCCATAAAATTTTATTAATCAAGATATCATATTAAAGTATTATTATATTAATTTATGACACCAAATTTTTAAACCAATTTTATGTTTTTTCTTATGTATCATTATAAACCCTATTGCATTTTATAAGTAATAAAATATTTTAAGAAAAAAACTTTACAGTTTATTACCTAATGGCTATTTTTCCTGCCTTTTGAATAAGAAATCCTAAATTTTCGTTTTGCACTGAGTCCCACAAATTGTACAGCCAGCCCAGCTGGGAATCTTGAATCCCCAAACTAAATTTTGAAGGAGAGATTTTGAAGTCTGAAAGCAATCAGGATGTTTGAGAAAGTGCCTTTTGCTTTACATATTAGTAAACTCCTATACTTCTTCCATGTTCTCCAAGTTGCTGAGGTGTGTGTGTGTGTGTGTGTGTTTCCTTTAAGACAGACATGATACGCTATAAAGATAAGAAATCGATATCCAGAAGGGAGAATCCTGCCTCCCTATAGCCCAGCCATGGTGTCCACCCTCATATCACTGCTTGTGATGGCCTTTATACTTAGCGAGTAAAGTCTCATTTGATTTCATTTTACTATGGATTTAGGCTTCCGTTGATCTACCATCTATCACTAATGTTGTAGGAGGAATGAAAACTCACATAGGAACTCATCTGGAGGACCTTGTCTTTTCTTCTGAAGGGGCCCAAGGATTGGTTAGGGTAACCTCAGACCCACTAGATTGCATATTGATGTGAAAATGGTTTTGGGGTTCCATGATGCAAGACAATTTCTCCTTGCATTCCCATACTTTACACTGTACACAACTAGTCCTTAATAAATATTTGCTCTGTTAAATAGAATAAAATAATTTTACAGCTAGAAAAGCACTTAGAAATCTTTTAGTCCAATTTCACTTTACAAAGAGAGAAACCATATCCAAGATGCCAGTATGGAACCATTAGATGAGCCGGGAGTAGAAAGAAACTGGATTTCCTCCCTTCCTCCTTCGTATTGTTTCCTCTGCCTCATTCCTGCAGGACCACATTGCTGAGCAAAGAGAAACTGAGGAAAATCCAGCCACTTTGACCTCTGCAGTTTGGGTCTGGGAAAGACTTGGTCCAATCAGTTTGACCATGAGAATGGAGAGTTCCAACTTGTGTAAGTAAACATTTGCCACTTTGGGCCACAGAGATACTCATGAGGCTGAGCCATTGTTATTCTACCAGCAAATCAGTCCATGACTCACTGGCTTCTGTAGGAGTGAGCCAAAAGTGATGGTGCCATCCTCAACCCCTGGATGTATTTCTGAGAATTTTCCTAAAAATAGCAAGATGTGTACCTTATGGTGGGTGGATATTCCTTGAAAGAAGGATGTGAACATAAGGAGCATCACTCTACATTGTTTAAAAATGATCACTGAAATTGGGAAGCTAAGGGGAACATTGCCCCTGTGTAGCTGGCAGTTCATGAAAGTGCTGGAAAAGCTTTTCCGGGCCAACCCTTTGATAATGAGTCTGGCAAAAAACGAAATAATCACCAGGCTGGGAATTTTGTCCAGGGCACGGCTATATTCAAGGTACAGTTAATATACGGAACGCTGTGCTCCATGTGAGTGGTCATATTCAGACCATTACATTCAGTTCTGGATGTCGTAACTCAAAAGGACAAATATTAACCTATGTATCTGTCTCCAAGAAGAAAGTAATTTGCTCAATGAAGGATTTGATAATTGTATGAGGAATGGGTGAGATAACTGAAGATCCTTAGAATGGAGAAATTTCATATATGTAAAAGCACACATTATATATATACATATATTTATGTATTGAGTTGAGATTCTTAATCATAGCTGTCTGTAAATATTTAAGGGTGTGAGATGTGAATAAATAATTAGATTTAGTCTCTATAACTCCAGCAGACTAGTGAGTACAAATCACAGGAAAGGGGCTTTCCTCCTGGAAATGAGAAAGTCTTGGTTTCCCAGGTACCATTTCTCATGATCAGTATTTTACTGTCAGTTTTCTATTTGTACTATTCTGCTAACAGGCACAGGAAATATTTAGCCTTCCATTAATTTATTCTTACAGAAGTAATTTTAAAATTTCAAAAGTTAAAGTAGATTAGAAAGTT
Organism: Homo sapiens; assembly: GCF_000001405.40. Taxonomy (NCBI): domain Eukaryota; kingdom Metazoa; phylum Chordata; class Mammalia; order Primates; family Hominidae; genus Homo; species Homo sapiens. Next base: position 21,867,581 of record NC_000014.9, read on the forward strand.
TTTTTTTTTTTTGGCAGAAACAGATAAACCTGGAAACATACAGGACTGAAGGACTTTCTCAATATCTTGGAGAAAAACATTATGGTGGAGTTTGGGAGAAAAATGATAGATATGGAATCTGTGCCAGCAATGGCTGAGACAACAGCAGTTCATGACAGAAGAGTTGACTCATACTTTAGAGGAAATTCCACTAAAGATATGAGTCAGTCACTGTGTTTAAGCACATATCATATTGATATCATCCACTTTGATATCAAAAAATAAAATTATCTCAATAATAAAGTTACATATGCTTACATTTTTTGAATCTGCAGCCTGATGTTTTCTGAGAATTTCTTCTTGTTTTTTCAACACTTTGCAGAAAGCAAGCCACATAGCCATAGGAAAAGACTTCTTAAAACATGCCAGATTTCTCCTTGCAAACCAGCCCAGTCTATGGGTCAAACTATTCCTATTGTTGGAGTATTAATAACTCATGGAACTTGTCCCCCTCCTCCTTTATCATTGTACTTTAATTCTTTACCTTTTATTAAAGCCATCTTTACTGAAGAAATATTCAACATTTTGATTGTCGGTACCGTCAATTCTCTGGGAATAGCAAGGTCATGGCCCAGGCTTGAGAAGCAGAACCTGAGATAATACGCACTCGAAATATTGAGTGGTCCTCTCTCTCTTGCTCTGATCTTTGGCTTACATATTGCCTAAAGAAAGAGTTTTCTTCATAACAAACGAGTCATGATAGTAGACTTAACCTAAAAGGAAGGCATTATTTTTTCTTGTTTATGAGAGCGAATTATGGTATTTTCTTAATTTCAAACATAAACTCAGCCCATCATTGAATAAATATCAACAGCATCTACTTCTTTATAATTTATGAATAATGACTCAGTAGTGTGCATAATTATAGAGTTAGATCTCTACATTCTTACTGTGCATTTAATCTCTGATTGAACACCCAGTCTGTTTGACTCATTGCTGCTTTTGTGCACCTGAGTGCCTCATAGGGTTAGAGAAAAACATTCAACCAGCAAGTTCAGTAGTTAGGGATGTGGCCACAAGATGGCAGTGCTCCTCTGCTGAGGCAGAATACAGGGTTCACTTTAGTGTGTCCTGAATGAATAGGTTTATGGTAGCAGCAGAGCCTTTTTCTTATTGGTTGGCTACACAGTGTGAGAAACCCCTATGGCTGCCAGAGGAGAGAAGAGACAACCTGATGATAGAAGTAACTCTTATAACTGGAGGTTGCAGGTCAATGACTGATCTTAATTGGGAAGAACAAGGATGACATCCATTCGAGCTGTATTTATATTCCTGTGGCTGCAGCTGGACTGTGAGTTGAGGGTATTTGGGTAACAGAGTATATTAGTGAATATTCTTCAGCAGTTCAAAGAGGAGACTTGCTTTATTCAGGTTTCCTCTCGTTACTATGAAAAATAATTCTAGAGAGTAATGACCTAACAATCCCTCTTCTTTCTCTGATTTTTTCTTTCTGCATAGTGGTGAATGGAGAGAATGTGGAGCAGCATCCTTCAACCCTGAGTGTCCAGGAGGGAGACAGCGCTGTTATCAAGTGTACTTATTCAGACAGTGCCTCAAACTACTTCCCTTGGTATAAGCAAGAACTTGGAAAAGGACCTCAGCTTATTATAGACATTCGTTCAAATGTGGGCGAAAAGAAAGACCAACGAATTGCTGTTACATTGAACAAGACAGCCAAACATTTCTCCCTGCACATCACAGAGACCCAACCTGAAGACTCGGCTGTCTACTTCTGTGCAGCAAGTACACATTGCTTCCCAGGCACCTGCTACCCGTACACAAACCTGAGACTGGAGCTGAAGCTGCACCCCCTTTCCTTTGTCATAGATCGTCAATTATAGCATTTGTCATATTGTTTGTTTGCAAGTTGAAACTAACATATTGACATTTAAAGCATATAATAAAAAGGTTAGGTTCAATGTTTTTGTATTTTTAGTAGAGACTGGGTTTCACATGCTCAGCTAATTTTTTCTATTTTTAGTAGAGATGGGGTTTCACCATGTTGGCTAGGATGGTCTTGATCTCCTGACCTCGTGATCCTCCCGCCTCGGCCCCCGAAAGTGCTGGGATTACAGGCCTAAGCCACTGCGCCCAGCCTAATTTTTGTATTTTTAGTAGAGACGGGATTTCACTATGTTAGCCAGGCTGGTCTCAAACTCCTGACCTCAAGTGATCCACCCGCCTCGGCCTCCCAAAATGCTGGGATTACAGGCGCGAGCCACCGCAACCGGCCCTATCTTACACATTCTATTAGTAGATTACAACAGGACTTTGGACCAATGGTTAATTTACAGACAGCTTGCTAAAAATCTCCCTGCCTCATTTTCATGTTTTGACTGAATTAAACATTACTACCACAATTTCTTTTAAAAGAGTTATATCTTTTAGTGTTGTAGATAAATCAGTGGAAATAAAGAAGGTGCATAAATAATTAATTCCCTATTTCTCCCACCTGTGGTCAAGAGTAGGCTAATTTCAAGATCTCTTGTATTCTTCCTAAGGATGGATCTAATCAGCAGTTGGAATGGGAGAACAATTCCTCCTGGCTGAGTTTTGGCTGTTATGGCTTGTTCTTATAGGGAAAGTAGTTAGATTAAATTAGGGTTAAAACAGCTGGACAAGAAAGGTCAGCTGTTCCTTGTCTCTTCCGGCTCTGAGGGCTGCCTGCATTTCTTGGCTTGTGGCTCCATCACTCTGATCTCTGCCTCTATGGTTGCACTGCTTCTCTTCTTCTGTCATCTCCCTCTGCCTCCCTATTATAAGCACACACGTGATTATATTTAAGGCCCATATAACATAGGATAACTTCTCATCCCAAGATCCTTAACTTAATCATATCTGCAGTGTCTTTTTTCCCTTGGCTATATAAGATAACTTTCATGGATTCCAGGGACTGGGGCCTAACTTTTTTGGAGCCCTTATTTTGCCTACCACAGTTGGCATGCCTGGTGCTATCTTTTTCAGAAGTTGAGAAAGAAAATCAGAGTTCCAGATAGAAAAATAGAAACCACATCAATTGCTTTATTTTATTTTCTCAGTTTTTACAATTTTCAGTTTTTAAATTATCACTTAAAAAGGAACACATTTTGATATGCAGTTCAATGTGTGAAATTTGAATTTTGATATATTGCATAGTTTGATGTAACCATTACATAACTATGATACGAAACAGATTGCTCATCCCAAAAACTCCCTTGTGTGATCTGTGTGAAATCACACCTCCATCTCAAACTCCTTGCAAACCTTGGTCTGTTCTTTTATATTTTTATTTTTTTCTGGAGGTCACATGGGTGGAATTATACAATATATAATCTTTTGAAAAGTCTGAATCTTGGTTACAGAAAGCACACACCATTGGGCACATACATGATCATCATCTCTGCTACCACTCTTTTTTTTCTATACCTGAATGTTTTAAACTTTTGTCATTTTACAGGAATAACTCAACATTTCAAATGTTTGAATTTCTTTGGAGGTTTGATTTACAGTTTAAAGAAACACTATGGCAAGTATAGTGTTTAAGGAAACGGTATGGCAATTGATAATGGAGAGGTTCAGTTGAGGATTGAACCAACTCCTAGAATCAGAGTTAAACACATCAAGTTTAGTTGTACCAACACTACCCTAAATTTTTATCAATAGATATTTCTCTAACATTTTAAGGCTAAGTGTATTGACCGAAATGTATTTTAGTCATATTAATTGGGTATGGTTAATACTTGGATTTTCCCAGGAGTTAGCATAGAATGACATATCTCACAATTATTTAAATTTTTTGCACTAGCTGTGGCTTTGTAGAGGTGAAAAGTGTTAGGATGGTTATTACCTCAAGTAAAGCCTGTACCTAAGCAAATTGTTTTATTAACAAAATAACAAAGTGGAAAAAAATTACAAATATATGCAACGTTGTACCATTAGAGTTGAAAAATACCACCAAATGGATGAAAAAGAAAAGAATGCAAAGATAGTATAACAACCACTGGTTCCAGTCATCTAGATAATACTGTTCGATTATACTTGCATGGAGCTGTCTACTTTATCCACTTATACATGTGTTTCAAGGACCTCGAGTCTGCACTCATTTTCTGAAAAGCCCCTAAATAGTCTCTGAAGAAATTCAGTTTAATATCTGTAATATGAATAACTTCTCAATTCTTGCCATTTAAGGATGGATAATGTCAAACTAATTGGTACAAAGTAACCACAGATCAATTCCTCGTACTTTAACTGTTGAACTGGTAATAAACAGTACCTAATAAGGTCATTTTCACAAGGTTGAAAGGCAGTCTTTCTCTGGAATTTTTTTCCAAATACCAACTCATCCAGGCTTAGGTCATGTAAAGGCTGATTAAATGAAAGGCCAGGAAAGAAAACTGTACCTGTTGGTATAAGGACTGAGTATAATGGGTTTATTTATCTAGATAAGTTTGTGAAAGAATGAACTATATAGGATTCCAGATACTAGGAGTAATATGGACCTACAAGTCACCAGTTGATAGTAAGACAACCTATGATGGCAGAGTGAACAACTCAGGGCCATGAAAGTGAAGGGTAATAATATATTAGATCATGGAAATTCAAGGATGTCTGATACCGTAATTAATTTTAGTTTTAATATTTCTCATGTGTTGTGTCTTCATTTATAGAGGATAAGGAGGTGATAAGAAAAGAGAAGTTCTGAGTGAGGGCAAAGCATTATATAACTTCCCGGAAAATTGTGTTCCCCTATATATAGATAATTTGAAGTGTCACATATTCAACTGTTTCCTTAGGACAGTATTCCAGTTCATATTCCATTTTTACACTTTTCATGGAATCTTATAGGTTTCAAAAAAGGCATGAACTTGCCACTTTCTGTGTTCTCCTAGAAAAGTTTTCCCCAACTATTTGTATAATATTGCAGCCAGTACATCCCTACTGTGATGGGCTGTCTCTGGAAGGTTGCTAAAACAAGTATTCACTGGAGATCATTTGGTCCCACCAGGCAGCCTTTCTGGCCTTGATATATCTTATCCTCACTGATCAAACAAATCAATAATTGATCCAAGATGTAGTTACTAAAATTTTCCATAGATTTTTCTGCATGTTCTGTAAGAGGTACTTGCATGAGGACGTTAGTCAGAAAGGCATGTTTAGCATGATTCTCTGCTCATGTATTTCTTCCTGGCTTCTATAGTGTCTTTCCTACTTTGGAACTTTGTCTTTCTTTGAGTAGTATCAATAATTCAAATAATTTTCGTATTTGGTGTCTATTTTATAGCGATACATGAGATGTATGAAAAGGTTAAGAAGGTTAAGAAATCTCATCATCTCCATAGTATTTGAGAGTTGTGAACTATGTTAAAACATATAGGCTATCACTGTATATATTTTTCATAATTGGACATAGCAAAGAGAGAGCCACAAATTCAGTTACTTTAATTTGTTTTGCTTCTTCTAAGGAATTAGATTTTATAATGGAGTCTGGAGCAGTAAATGCATTATAAACCTTGTGTTATTTCTTTTCAGTTTTGAAGATAAGACATTAAAAACAAAATTAATTCAGAATTAGGTATGAGACTGTCCAAAATATCTGTTCTGGGATGGACACTTCTTGAGTTACAGAAATGCAATCATAAGATTCATTGATTGAGAAGTGTAATGGAGTTAGACGCTATGAGGAGAAATTAATAATATTGTATAGTTAGTCCACCAACTGGTAAAAAAATGGTTGTTTTTACAGAGTAGATCATTTGTGCTGTATGTGGCATCATAAGATTTAATGGTGATTTCAGTGAAAGATCTGGAGATGCTTCAACAAATTTAGACATAGCTGAAATCATTTTAAGACAAGGAGGATAGGTTGTAATCATTATATTAAGAAATAGGCTATAATAGGCAATGGGTCTTTGTTGTTTTTAATGTAATTGAGTAATATCCCTAGGACATGGCCTTACTGCTAATATTCACAAAACGAAAGCCTTATCACAATCAATTTTCCTATAATAGTTTTTCCTTGGGAGACGTATGGAGACACCTAGGATTCATACCTTTCAGCAGTGGATGTACAGAATGTAATGGCTTGTTATGGCTCATTTGGGGTCCCAGATGACATAATAAAAATGCATAAATTCAAAGGTTTGATAACTTAATGATCAGAGTCTGGTGTCTAATATGGCCTGTATAAACAGAGCTGGGCTGTCTAAACTAACTTGAAAAAAGAAGAAAACTTTTAAGATAGGACTCAATGTCTGAGGGCTTCATTCTAAACTCTCAGAAAAAAGAGATTAGTTTTTTTCTGCGTAGAAAAGAGAAAGAGAGATTAGTTTTTTTCTACCGTTTGTTCCCCAGATAAGCAACTGGACAGACTTTGGGAATAGGACAAATATTGCTATATTAACATGTAGGTCCGATGATCTGCAGTGATTAGTGCAAACAGCTTTTCCTTCTTAGCATAATGTGATTAATTTCTACCTTAGGAGAAACAACAACATACATAGATGTGAGGATACATAATTGTTACATCTTCCGTTGCCTTCATTATTCATTACATGTAGTATTTTAAAGTAAGTGCCAACCTCTCAACCTCATTGCTCAGTTCCATCACAGATGCAATGACTGAACATAGCAATTGGCCGAATTATCAATTTCCCTTCTAACCTGACCATGTTTATTTTCATATTTAAGTTATTTATTATCAAATTAAGGGTGGGTAAGTGCAAAGGAAGTTTGCATTGGGTGAGGTTCTTAGCCAGTACATAGAGAAGTGTTAGATAACACAAACTAGCTTGCTACACCGGAAAACCTCCGTTTCCTATTCCAGGGCAGCAGCAGCAGCAGCAGCACATAGTCCAGTAATTCTTCTCTTACTTCATCAGACTCACCTCACAATGCAGAGCCCTGAATTTTAAGAAGAACAAAATATATTCTCTCTAGAGAAAGAACCAAACATGTTGCTCTCCAGCTGCCTGAGGGTGGTCACAGCTTCAATGTGGCTAGGTAGGGATGCCCCTGGTGGGAATGGTCTTCCTCTAAGACCCAAGGACTGGGAAATGTCTCATCAAAACTTTGGGACAGAAGAAGTAACAGGGTGTAAAAATAGAATTTCTTTGTTCCACATCACTCATCCCTAAACCTTTTGGTTCTTTGTTTTCTCCTTCAGAATCTGGTTTTGCTGAGAAGTAACTCAAATTAAACCATCAGTATTGGTGCATGAGAAGGAGGCTGTGACTCTGGACTGCAATTATGACACCAGTGCTGGAAGTTATAGTCCTTTCTGGCACAAGTAGCCCAGGAGTGGGGAGATGATTTTCCTTATTCATCAGGACTCACGATCAGCAATAAGCAATAGGTCACTACTCATTGCATTTGCAGAAGGCAAGCAAATCCATCAACTTGTCATCTCCACTTCACAACTGGAGAACTCAGTGATGTGTTTCTGTGCACTGAAAGAGGCTACAGTGAGAGAACTGTTGGAGTGAGGTACACAAAATCCCCAAGGGTCTGCTTGAGACATCCACTTGCTGGAGAGACCAAAGAAAGGATTCACCATCACAGACAGGAAGTGGCTATGGTTGTGACAGCACAGGTGTAGCATCGGGGGAAAACACTGTAAGAAAATACCTCTCTAGGCTTATAGACCATTTCCAGAATTATCATTCATCAAAAACATCCTAATCCCTGAGTCTTTGGTTTGAAGTTAGACACACCAAAATTTTGACCAATGATTGAGAGAAAGAACTGCCACAATAAGCAATTTGCCATCTGGCCACTAGATTGAGCTGGAAGAATTGGCTAAGGTAATTCAGAAACATATGACTGAAAGATGAATAAAAACAAATTCAACACTCTTTGTGAATTGTTGGATTTTCAGATCAGTTTATTCAATAAATGCTAGGTGTCTTCAAAAAGTTTATGGAAAAAAGAAATTGCGTATTATGAAAAACGGTGCATGGATTTCAAATTTTCTGGCACCAAAATAAACTTATACTAAGTTGTTATAACATATCTGAACAGGATTTAGTTTGAGGCACTAAGAAGGATAAGACATCAGTTTGAAAGGAGCCCCTATCAGAGCAACATGAATTCTGTTAAACTTGAGGCAAGAACAAACATCAAATTTATGGTGAAACTTGGGTGGAAGAATGGTGAAATCACTGATGCTTTATGAAAAATTTATAGGCTCAACACTCCAATAAAATCAGCCATCCTCTTGTCTGTCTGTTCTTAAACAAAATGGATAATTTGTTTAAGAATAGACAAGAGGATGCCGATGAAGCCCACAGTGGCAGACATTCCATAACAATTTGTGAAGAAAAAATTAACCATAAGTGCCCTAATCAAAAAGGACGGATGATTAACAGTGGAAACAATAGCCAACACTATAAATGTCTCAACTGGTTTAGCTCACACAATTCTGACTGAAAAGTTCAAGTTGAGCAAACTTTGTACTTGATGGGTGCCAAAACCACTATGCTCAGATCAGCTCCAGAAAAGAGCAGAGCTTTCAATGAAATTTTGAATAAGTGGGATAATGATCTTGAACCATTTCTTCAAATAATTGGAACAGGAGATGAAACATGGCTTTATCCTTTTGATTCTGAAGATAAAGCACAATCAAAGCAATGATTAGCAAGAGGTGGAGGTCCAGTCAAAGCAAAAGTGGCCCAGTCAAGAGCAAAAGTCATGGCAACAGTTTTTTGCGATGCTCAAGGCATTTTGTTTATTGAGTTTCTGGAGGGCCAAAGAATGACAGCATCTGCTTATTATAAGAATGTTTAGAGAAAGTTAGCCAGAGCTTTAGCAGAAAAATGCCTGGGAAATCTTCACCAGAGAATCCCTTTCCACCACGACAATGCTCCAACTTATTCCTCTCATCAAGCGAGGAGAATTTAGGTTTCTGTGGGAAATCATTAGGCATCCCCCTCACAGTGCTGATTTGGCTCCTTCTGACTTCTTTTTGTTTCTTAATCTTAAGAACGTCTTTAAAGGGCACCACTTTTCTTCAGTTAATAATGTAAAAAAGACTGCATTGACTTGGTTAAATTGGTGGCTAATCATCCAGTAAGTAAGCAAGAAGAATACATATTCACCGAGAATAAATATGTATCCCCTATGTGTACAACGTACTGTATTAGGACCTTTGACTATACCGACAGTAGTATAAAATGTTACTCTTAAGCAGAATGAACTTACCAGAAAAATCTTGCAAATCAATTGAGGAATAAGATGAAATGCATGAAAACTTAACCAATAGATAAAATTCCAAGTATGTGGGCAATTAAGTTTTAGGGGTATTTTTAGGAGAATAGTGTGGCACCGAAAAGACACAAGTAAGCATCATGGAGAGATAGAAAACTTAGGCATTAAACGACAGACACACATTGAATTCATTCATTATACACTTACTTATGAAACACACAATAAGCAACAATTGTTTTTGTAGGTATGAAGAGTAGAATAATGAATAAAACAGACACATGCAGACAACAAAGACCTTCCCTCATGAGGTTTAGATCTACAATTGTCTATAGTGTTCCCTTCTTTTACAGGAATATCCAATATAGGTATTTCCAATATATCTGTTTCACTATAGGCATTTGTCTTGCCTATTCTAGTGATTGGCAGGTTCCATGTGACCATTACAAGGCATAGTCACTGAAGTACTATTAATATACCTGTCATTTACTAAATTATTTGACCATTGACAAAATTACTTAAACTCAGGCCACCTAGACATCATCAATTGTAATAACAATAACAATCACCTCTCCACATAGTTGTAAGGATTGAATTAAATTTCATGAATTTAATTAAATGATTGAATTGTAGTGGTAGGGAACAATTTCTCACCAATGGTAGCTATACTTGGATATAAATGAGATATTGCAACAAAGACAATTTGAAATAAAATAACAAGAAAATTTAAGGATAGATAAGGCTTAACCCTCTACTCTCCTGCTATTGGTTATATTATTATATTTTACTATATTTAGGACTGAGAGTCACTATTTCACACTGGCCTGATTCCATCCAATTATTTGAACTATTTCTTTATCTCATAGGCCTTACGGGTAGAGAATGAAGCTTTCTTGCTTCAGGTATAACTTAGTGTAAATTCTATGATGGATTCACATGAGCGTTATGGAGCAGGAGTCAGATATACACCATTTTATACTGAGCTACAGTGCCAATAACTAGATCCATAACTGGGAGCTTATTTAACAGAGCTCTGCTCTGGGAGAAAATAACTTTTCTAGGTCATCCTTGGGGGAGGAATCCTTTTTAGTTATTCAATTTACAACTTGTACATACATGGTAGATGCCCAGGAAGTATTACAGAAGAAAAAAGGAAAGAGAAAAATCTAAGGGACAAATGCTAGATGCAGCTGACTGAGAATCAGCACCTGGTTCTGCCAGGGTCCTTTCCCATGCTACCTCTTCAGAGATCAGAGACAGCTGTGCGATCTGTGCATGGGGGAGTAAATCTTGTTTCTGGCTGGATGGGGAGACTCTCAGCTTCCTGCAACAAAACTATGAATATTCACTCAGAGAAACAAGAGATTTGGCTTGGTAGTGTTTGAGGGCTCCCAGGCCCCAGCCAGAGTCCTCCGTGAGTCTGAGGGATAAAAATGAAGAAGGCTTTGGGAGTTTCATTCTTGATTTTCTCTTGGGAGCTGTGCTGTGAGTTGCTGGGCTCTGGAAATATGAAAAAGAGCGAGTGTAGTATCTTATTTAAAAGTCTGGAAGTTATAGAAGGGTGGTTAAGGCCTCAGTGCTCACCTGTGGGGGCTGTGAAAAGAGAGCATATCTTCTAAAAGCTGTCAGCCATGAATGAATGTCATCTGTCTGTGCTTCTCTGTTTAAACAGGGGTGAACAGACTACATACGCCGGAGCAGAGTCCTTCATTCCTGAGTATCCAGGAGGGAATGCATGCCATTCTTAACTGTTTATGTGTAGGGGGAACTTTCTTTATAACCTCTGTCTCCAAACAGAAGTGAAGAATAATGCACCATCTCTCATATGTGAAGAAGCTGAATTTATATGGAATTATGTTTCCTTTTGTCATTATTGAAATTTCATTCCTCAATGTAGACCATACAGATCCTGGGCCTGCTTGCCCAGAGTCCTTCCACTCCTTTACTGTTTGCTCTGAGAGGTCACAGTCTCTGAGTCCATGGAGCAAAGTTTCCCCTGGTTGTACACTTAGCAGCATTTAACTTATATTTTCATAATCTTTAAATGATGTTTGCTGTATCTGTGTATCATCTACTCCATAATTTACTTAATTTAACATTAAATTGATTTCTCTATTAAATAGATGCCAAAAATATGTAAAATATTGTCCTTACTTTAATAGATACTATCAGTGGGACCACATATATGTTATAAAATGTGCATTTGATGTGCAAGATATTTTTTCCTAATACAAATTAAAATAATGTTACATATATAACAGTCAGAAAGACCATCTGTGTTCTGCCTAATATGACCTCCTGTATCAATCGCACTTTAGAAAATACATTTCCAGCTCATGCCCCTCATTTGATAGATGAAAAAAAGCAGGCTCCACAGGCATGGCTTCACTTTACTCAAAGCATGTGTTGCAGTGAAATGGAAGCCTGGAGTAGAAGCCAGGCATTCTGGCCCCTTGTCAGTTGCTTTTTCCATGAAAGATGAAAAGCGGGATTCGGTGTTTGAGAAAAGGAGTTGTGTGTTGTAATTTTGAACTAAATTACATTTTTATTACTTATATGTATATATAAAGATATAAAATGATATATAAAGACATAAAACACCCAGAAAAATAGAACACACCTATAATTTCATAATCAAGAAATTATAACTATTATCCTGTAAAAAATTTTGGTATACATATGTAGCTATTTTTTCTATAAAAGTGGTTTGCAATATATCCAGTATTTATTACCATGCTTGTTTTTCTCAACATTATGTTTAGGTGTTTTCATCCCAGGAAGCTTATATTGAAGGCACAGTTTTATTTTATTTTCTTTTATTTTCAACCTTTATTTTAGATTCAGGGGGTAGTACATGTGCAGATTTGTTACCTGAGCATATTGCATGATGCTGAGGTTTGGTGTATAAATGATCCCATCACCCAGGTACTGAGCATAATACCAACAGTTATTTTCTCAGTCCTTGCCCCTTTTCTCCTTCCCCCTCTAGTAATGCTCAGTATCTACATGTAGTCTTTATGTCCATGTGCACTCAATGTTTAGCTCCCACGTATCAATGAGAATATATGGTATTTGGCTTTCTGTTTCTGCATTGATTTGCTTAGGAAAATGATCTCTAGCTGCATCCATGCTGTTGCAAAGGATATGATTTCATTCCTTTTTATGGCTGCATAGTATTCCACGGTATTTATGTGTCACATTTTCTTTATCCAATCCACTTTTGATGTGCACCCAGAGGGCATAATTTTAAGTGATTGCCTAGTTTCCATTATATAGATATATTTTAAAAAATTTATCACTTTTGGTATTATTTCCTCTTATACAGTGTTATAGATAATGCTTCTTAAAAACATAATTAAATTTGTAATTTTAATGGAAATAGAGTTGCTTGAATAAGGGAGAACATATAACACTAAATGCCTAATGTTCCTGAAGATATATTTCACCAAAGTGTAATTTCAACAGCAGCACATGGTGATGCTGATTTTTCAATACTTTATCAATTATGACCATTATTATCTTAAAGTAGCTTCCATTTTATTAATAAACACTTTAGCAATGTTTTAGTTTTCTTTTAAAGTGTGAGTTTATATATTTTATTATTAAAAATGTGATTTAAAAACAGAGTCCATCACATAGAATATTCTTTCATACAATAAGATTTTTTAAAAGGTTTGAAGAATACTGTTCTGGCCCACATTACCTTCTATTAGGCTGGTGCAAATGTAATTGTGGCTTTGCCATTACTTTCAATGGCAAAAACCGCGATTATTTTTGCACCAACCTACTAACTGGTCTCTTTTTCCTCAAGGCAATCTATTCTCCATGCTTTTGCTACTCAGAGTCGGGGCCAGCACTGTCTGGACTTGTGCAGATGCTCAGCCTCCACCCAAGGCTGACTGAATTTGAATCTGCATTTCGTTAACATTCCCAGGTGATTCTATCACTTCAAAGTTTGAGAAGCACCCATCTGATGGGTTCCCAGAACGATTTTTTAAAGTATAAATAAAGAGATGTCTCTAATTGGCAAACATGCTTCAATGGCTTTCTATTGCTCCTGGAATAAAATGCAAATTTAGGCTGTGGCATACAAAGATCTGTATCATTCAAACCTCCCCTGTCCCTTCAGCTTTAAACTCTTTTTTCCTGGCTTTCTATGCAGCAAAAACACTGACCTCCTTTCAGATTTCTGAACTTGCCATGTCCTTTCCACATTTAGTCTAACTCTCTCAATCATCTGCAGTGCTCTTACCCTAAATCTTGGTGAGCCTGACTCATTTTCATTCCTCAGGTCTCAGCTCAAATACCACTGCTATAGAGAAAACCTGCTGACTTCTGCTGATCATCCTGACTAATGTGGCCATCATGGCTTTTCCCCTAACTCTATTACAACACCCTTGTTATATTTCATTACGGTAATAATCATAATGTGCAGTTATATTGTTGGTCTACGTGTTTATTGTCAATGTGTTTATTGTCTATATCTCCACCTAGGATACAGGCTTTACGAGGTCAGAGGTATTGTTTGTTTAGTGGACAGCTTTATTCTTAGTGCTTAGAATAATGACTGGCCTATAATAGTCAGTCAAAAAAATATTCACTAAATGATAAATGGATGGATGTTATTTGGCCCTCCTCTTTCCTTTTTTCCTTCCTCTCAGTCTCACCCTAGCAACTTTGACCTCTTTTTGTGTTCTCTCTGCTTCATTATGTGGGGCAGCTCAGTTCTTTCTCACCCTTGCTCCCAGACTCAAAACCCAGCCTTTCTGTGCTCAGTGAACTCTGGTCAAATAGTTAGATCCATTCAGGGTCTCAGCCTTTCCTCACTAAAGTGACCTCACTTTATCAGATGTGATCTGAAGCACTTAGTCAACTCTAAAGGCTAGTAACACATGATGAAATATCTAAATGAAGAAAAAAACACTTAAAACATTTTAGAAAGTATAAAAGTAACTTCTCAAGTCCAATAATTATGAGCTGAAGTCAAAGTTATAATTCAAATTACTGTAAGAGTAAATGCCCCTCAGGAAACAAATTCAAATAAATAGCCTTGGTAGACGTGTTGTAGATCAGATTTTTAAAAGATCTGGTTTAAAGATATTTACGTTCAAAGGACTGGTTCATAATTACCCTGCTTTTGACCATCTGTGTAGTGGCTATTAGGCTTCTCAAAAGATTAATAGTCATTTGAGTTGGTAACACTAATTTCCCAGAAGGAGTCTTTATTTCATTAAAGTATATTATAAAATTGCTCAAGCATTTTATTGGAAGTGATGGTTAATTACCTATGGGGCTATATACATTACATCCTTCAAAAAAAGGTCTCTTCCAGACTAGTTTGGAGAAACTTATCTTTCTCACATGTAGTTCAAGCCTTTACTATAGTAGAGAAGGGTGTTATCAGTTCTTGGTTTTTTTTCCCTCTTCCTGCAAGCTAATAAGTGTGTTGTTTCATCCAGGTTTTCAGTAAAGACATGAGACTCCTTAGTCAGAGACAAAGGATTTTGTTACTTATGGCACAGCAAACAGCCTAAACATTAGTAAGTTCACTTCAGTTACTCTTTCCTTAAGTCCCCAAAAGATGATACAGTGAGTGCTGATGAGTAGTTTGCATGCAGTGGTGCTGTGTCATAGATGAGGAACTCTGAGCCTGGGAAATTTATAGCAACAGTAAACAGTAAGCCAGCTTGCTCTTTGTCGTACAGGGAGTCATTAACTCATCCCTTAAGGTTGATTGCTGCAAGCCTAACTCTGAAAAGTGGTCCTGGTAGGGAGGTCATGGCTTTACACTATTGGCATACCCAGCAGGTCATGTAGGGGTACAAGAGACTCATAGTGGACTGTCTTTCAACACTATCCACTCCATGGTCTTATGTCATGTTAGCTGCTGGAAATTTTTCTTATGA
This sequence comes from Homo sapiens, assembly GCF_000001405.40. NCBI lineage: Eukaryota > Metazoa > Chordata > Mammalia > Primates > Hominidae > Homo > Homo sapiens. Next base: position 21,882,703 of record NC_000014.9, read on the forward strand.
GTATTCCACTCCATCAGTCATTCTGATTAATTTGACTAGAGAGGTAGAGAGTAAACGCATAGAATTTGTCTTACACAAGATTTAATTAAGGCTACTGTCAGTAGAACTCTAAGCATGAAGAGGAGACCAACCTGCAATAGCAACCTCAATCATGCCTCATAGGATCCTAGATTCTCCCAGCTGTGAATAAGTCCCAAAGTACAGACAGCTAGGATATAGTGTATTATTTAATATGACCTACACATGGAAATTTAGACTGACATGCTGATCTTTGTTTTAATTGCCAAAAAGTTAACTATTATTCCCAATATAGAGATCTCCTATGGTCCCTATTCCCCAGACATAAACATAACCAAAGGTGCCGAAATTAATCCAGTTTGAAATTTATTGCTACACTTTATTTGGGTCAGCATTAGTTCACTTTGGTTAGGCTATATGAGCAGGGTCAGTGAGTATTTGAAACTTCTGTAGGCATTCATGGTATAACCCAAGACAGTCCAGACACCAGGGGAAAAATACACGTTTGTATGAATCAGATTGAGAAAATGTTGTGCTGATTCCTGTGTTTTCACACTTAAGAGGATGGGGAATCTGTATTGGGAAGCTGCCATTCATGTTGTAGAAATGTTCAGGAGAGGCCATATTCACAGGAGTTTTTCTGTTTTCATGGAATGTGGAAGGAGATGACAAACCAACACACAACCAAACTATATGGTTGCCTTGCCAGGCTGTGTGCTTCATCTAGCATACAAAGAGAGCATTAATCCTCACTCGCTTCACCTCCAGTGGTCCAAGATTTTCCCTTCCTAGGTGTCAGTGTTGTTGCTCTTTTTATCCACAATCACAAAATTTGTTCATCCCATTCTAGTAGCTAAAGCTTTGCCTTTATTGTGGTCGGTTCCTAGTCATACTCAAACTTTTTGTCTAGAACAATAAATAGAGGAAAAAGGTATTTTATGACATTTATATATACCCATTTTATTTATTACCTGGGCCCTCGTGGACCATTGTACAATAATTCCTAGAGCAGAACACTCAAATTAATGATAGTTAACCTCATAATATATGACCATGTTTGTCCAACAAAAGAATCCAGGTGGCTGAACCAGAATTCAGTTTTAATACCATTCTGACCATGTTGCTACCAGGACAGTAAACCTACCAGGCTGTTCTAAGGTTGCTGTTAGGAGAAAAAAAGAAGCATCATGCCTTCCACTTCTAGAAAGTTAGAGAAGGTATACTTTTTTTCCATTCATCTCGTTACATACAGCTAATGATTCTGGATATTACAGATGTTCCTTGACTTACAATGGGATTGCTTCCCCCTAAATGCATTATAAGTTGAAAACACTGTAAGTAAAAAGTACATTTAATACACCTAGTATGCTGAACAACATAACTTAGCCTAGCCTATCTTAGATGTGCTCAGAACACTTACAGTAGCCTATGGTTGGGCAAAATCATCCCTAACAAAGCCTATTTTATAATGAAGTGTTGAATATCTCATGTAATTTATTGAATACTGTACCAAAAGGGAAAAACAGAATAGTTGTATATGTACATAAAGTTCAGTTTCTACTGATTGTGTACTGCTTTCATACCACTGAAAAATTATAATTCAAACCATCATAATCTGTGCATAAGATAAAAAAATTAAAAGATTCTAAAAAGTGGGGAGAAAAAGCCCAACTGGTTAAGAAATTTCAGAAACGCTAAAGCAGTGAGTTCCATGAGTTTCCTTTTGCCTCATACAATCAGGAGTAGCCACTGACCTGGAAATGTTAGTGAATATGTACAAAAAAGCCCAAAGACCAGGCTTTTGCTTTCTTTAGCCAAAAAACCAGGAGAATAACAGACTGTCAAGACACAAAACTGAAAGACTATAACCAGTTTACTCCAGCCAAATACCACAGAAAGATTTACAGCTACCAAGCACATCTTTAGTCAATAAAAAAGTAGTTGCAACCTGGTAGGAGAATTTGTGTTATTTTTAACTTACCTTTGCTCCATCTCCTCATCACTGGCTTTAAGACAGTCTTTAAATTACATCCTCCATTCCAAGTATGGGTTCCTGGTGCTAGAAGAAGCAGAGTGGACCTTGTTATATCAAAGTAGTGCTTGATTACTTTGACCTCTCCAGTGGCTCATTGAAGGGCTAATTCAAAGGGCTTGCCTGTGTTTCACACAACTCAAAATCCCCTCAGGGTGGAGAATTGGCTACAGAGAAAAGTTTTTTTCTAAAAAACAATTTGCTAAAGGGACTTAACAGCAGGTAGGAGAAAGAATCTACAAATGTGAAGATAAGCCAAATAAAATTATTCAGTCTAAGAAGCAGAAGGAAAAAAGAATGAAAAAATATATACCTAAGAGCTTAAATGACCTGTGGGACATTAACAATAGCACAGACATAAGTATAACAGAATTCCCAGAATGGGAGGAGTGACAGAAAGATTCAGGAAAAATATTTGTGATATGATGACCCTAAACTCCCCAAATTTGATAGAAGACATGGATCTACACATCCAAGAAGTTCAAAAAGGACTAAGTAGAATGAAGGCAAAAAAATTCACAGTGAGACATATTATGATCAAATTGTTTAAAGAAAAAGACAAATTGAGAACTTGAAAGCTGCAAGAGAGAAGTGAGTAGCCACATGCAAGAGATCCTTAATAAGATTAGCAGTCAATTGTTCATCAGAAACCATGGAAGCCAGAAGGCAGTAGGATGGTATAAAGTGTTTAAAGAAAAAAGTTGTCAACCACCAATTTATATCTGGTAAAACTATTGTTCTAAAACAAAGGAGAAATTAAAACAGCCCCAGATAAACAAAAACTGAGTGTATTCATCACTTGCAGACCTGCTCTATGAGAAAATCTAAAGGGAATCTTTCAGACAGAAAAGAAATGACACTAGACACTTGGAGCCATACAAAATAATGAACAATGATGAAGGTAATTACATAAATAAGAATAAATGCCAATATTTTTGTAGTTTTTGTTTATAACTCCCATTTTCCCCTAAATTATTTAACAAACTAGTGGATAAATAATAATTATAGATACATATTAATAGGAGCACAATGGGTAAAGATGCTTGTGTTTTTGCAGGTGTATAAAAATCTCCTTTGTTGTTTTTCATAGTACAACTTCTGTATTTCAAATGAACACAAAATTAGTAGCATTTGCAGTAGTATCTTAAAATAAATTGCCTTTGAATAAAATCTTGCTTTCCAATACTTTGAGGTCCACGAGACATTTCTAGAAAATTTTATGCCATGGAAAATGAAGACCACTTAATCCAGTGGAGAAGGGGAGTGTGATTTCTCTTTGATTGATTGCCATAACACTGTCCTTAAGGCATATGAAGGAGAGTTCTATATGTCATCTAGACATTATTAGGCACAGAAGCTTTTTCAGTACAACTTTGATGTTATGTAAAGTGTGTCATCTTGCTAGCACTGATATCGCTCTTGGGTACAACATTAGATCTATTGACCCATACTATTTTTGTTACAAATATTCAAAAGGTGATTTTTTTCTACAAGGACTGTGCTTCAACTCCACATTCAATTTTAAAAGTTATATATTTTTTTAAATAAATTTTCCAAGACTGTGGCGACTGCCATCTTGGGTTGCTCCTTCTTTGGTTTTTACAGTTACTGAGAAATGGCTTTTGTGATTTCTGCCACTTGCAACGTACTCTTAGAGAAAGGGATTTCGATATTAGTATATTCTCTTTCATTCTATTTCCTATGAAGTTGTTGGTGGGAATAGAAAAGACCTGCCCAAGCCATCATTGATGGATACTGGCTACATGGTCCTTGAGTAGAAAAGAGCCTGCATCCTTCATGGCCTCCAGCCACAAGCTTCTGCAAGGAAACAAAGCATGTTATGAACAAGAGGAGGAACAGTAGTTGTTTGTGCTTCTTTCTCTGTAGACACAATTAAGTTTCTTGCATAGATAACCCTTCATAGATCTGATTTTCTGTTTAGGTTGAGATGGAAAGGCAGAAAGAGACACCAAATTTATAACTTTTGGAAATTAATTTGAAGATATGAGCTTTTTACAAGAAAGGCAACGAGAGAAACTAGAAAAATAAACAGTCACACAAGATGTCATTGAAAGTCTATGTACTACTTCCTAAACATACTTTGTGTACTCACTTCCCAAGGGTAAGATGGGTACTGCACACAGAGGCAGCCCACCCTAAGGGAAGGATCATGGGAAAGGGGAAAGCCTATAAAGCTCTAGGGTCAAGGTTAAACACTGCGCTTTACCTCAGTGCCGGGCTTGGCTCTCTTCCAAGTGTACCTTCCTTTCTTTCCTATTCTAAAGCCTTTTAAAATAAATTTCCACCCTTGCTCTGAAAAAAAAAAAAAAAGAAAGGCTATGTACTGAAGGCAGGTTTATCTCTATTATACCAACCCATGTAAGTACTGTTTTGACATGCATGTGTCATTGGTGCAAGATGCAATGGCTATTCCCAAGCCCCTCTATTCCCTGGTCTTGTTAAAAAATGTTGCTAAGGCTGTGAGCTAGAACCATGCTTGTTAAGCTAGATTTTAGGTCATTCTGTTTTGAAAGAATTATTTTGAATTACAAGAAACTTCTTTAAAAATTGGAGATAACAGAATGGTATAGGGATGTGTGGCCTGACATGAAGAGCTATGCAATGTGAAATGCTCCTTGAATTGCAAGAATCTCACCTAAATTTTTATAATAGAATACTTCATGACTGTTATTTCAGTGTAGGAAAGTGGCTATTAGAAACAACTGCTCTTACTCATACAACAATTGCCATTTGATATCATACACATACACACATAAACATCCCCACAGACATTAACTTGGAGCATTTGCTTCTCAAATTTTTAACTGATGTGTCAGATTTTTAAAGTGACTTGTTTACATAATAAGGCTCTACATTTTGAGTATATGTTTGATCACTATCATGATTCCACAAGATGGCAGTGTGTTCTTAGGGACCTTGAGGACAGCTCTCAAGTGCTCGTGTGTGTGTGTGTGTGTGTGTGTGTGTGTGTGTGTGTGTGAGAGAGAGAGAGAGAGGAGGAGGAGGAGGAGGAGGAAGGATGAGGGGAGGGGCTTAGTGGTGAATTAGGGGTGTTAAAAAGAGCATCATTTTTTTGAACTGGTAAAGCAGATTCTTTTTATGATTTTTAAAGTAGAAATATCCATTCTAGGTGCATTTTTTAAGGGTTTAAAATTTGAATCCTCAGTGAACCAGGGCAGAGAAGAATGATGAAATCCTTGAGAGTTTTACTAGTGATCCTGTGGCTTCAGTTGAGCTGTGAGTTTGGGGCATCTTTATATAGGAAAATAATGTACAGTATCTGGAGTTACTGTCTATTCTAGATCTATAGGTAGAAGCATGATTTTTTTTCTAACTAAGGGAAAGTAGGGGCACCAGTGAAAAGAGGATTTAAATTCTGGGGAGTAAGCATCTATTACCCAGCCAGTCTTCTCTGTCTGACCACTGTCTTTTTCACAGGGGTTTGGAGCCAACAGAAGGAGGTGGAGCAGAATTCTGGACCCCTCAGTGTTCCAGAGGGAGCCATTGCCTCTCTCAACTGCACTTACAGTGACCGAGGTTCCCAGTCCTTCTTCTGGTACAGACAATATTCTGGGAAAAGCCCTGAGTTGATAATGTTCATATACTCCAATGGTGACAAAGAAGATGGAAGGTTTACAGCACAGCTCAATAAAGCCAGCCAGTATGTTTCTCTGCTCATCAGAGACTCCCAGCCCAGTGATTCAGCCACCTACCTCTGTGCCGTGAACACACAGTGCTCCCCAGACACCTGCAGTCTGTACCCAAACCTGCCATGCCCCAGGAATGCCTGATGTAGAGCTTAGACTGCAGGGTAGTGAAACTCCCCTTGCTCTCTAGTTTCAAGTGGAAATTATAAGAACCAGTATGGAGGATTAATTAATTAGGGAAGTATTTTCATAATTCTGAAAATAATTGAAACCCTGAAAAAAATAAAAACAAAAATCTTGGTCTGGTTGACATATTTTTTAGTCCTGTTTTTCCACTATAGTTTTAAATATTTTTTTAATTGAGGTCTGACTGATAAACAAAAAAGTATGTGTATTTACTTTATACATACAGCACAAACTATGCCATAACATATCCATAATTTCTAAAAGTTTACTTCCTCCCTCCTTTTTTAAAAATTGAGGTATGATTGCTATATAAAAAGGCACACATATTTAATGTATACATCCCGATGCTCAGTCTAGTTTTATGCCACCTCTTTATGAGATTGGTTTTATGGTTTTTAAATTACATAACAAGAAAATATTTTCACACAATGACAGATATTCTCTCATAGTTCCCAGGACACCTTCGTCTTTCCTTCTTTAGTTACTCAAAGTGTTTGAAAGTCATTAATTTGGGAATGCAACAGCAAAACAGGAATGCAAAGCAGAGAAAAACTCACAAACAAATGACTTCAAAAATTCTACAAGTCAAAAATTCTTTTTTTTTTTTTTTTTGAGATGGAGTCTGGCTCTGTCGCCCAGGCTGGAGTGCAGTGGCGCGATCTGGGCTCACTGTAAGCTCCGCCTTCCAGGTTCACGCCATTCTCCTGTCCCAGCCTCCCGAGTAGCTGGGAATACAGGCGCCTGCCACCACACCGGCCACCATGCCCGGCTAATGTTTTGTATTTTTTTTTTTAGTAGAAACGTGGTTTCACCGTGTTAGCCAGGATGGTCTCGATCTCTTGACCTCGTGATCTGCCCGCCTCAGCCTCCCAAAGTGCTGGGATTACAGGTGTGAGCCACCACCCCCAGCCAAAAATTCTTTTAATTATAGAAACCTCACCTCATCTCCAGCCTCAGCCACAGCACTACTCCTGATTTATGTAAGGGTATATTTCATGGATAGATGGAAGAACTACAGTCAGAGGGTAAGACCTGGTTAAAACTAGAAGTCTAGATAGTTGCAGTGACTAAATATTAGAAAAGGTCTATGTTGCCATTTTGGGGTAAAGTCTGAACTGAACTCAAAACTCCTGGCTTGAGCCTTGTAAAAGAATATATTAATACCTTTGTACTTAAGTGTGGCTTGGAGATGATAGGGAGCATTAGCCCTAGCCACAGCATGCCATATCTCCAGTCAGGGCATGGGAGCATGGAACAATCTAAAATTCATTGAGAAGGATCTCTGAGTAAGTATCTTAAAGAGGTCCAGACACTAAGGGGTTTTAGTATAATGAGCAAAGACCTGTGTGAATCAATTCCCAAAGACTATATGGTATTGAGAATGTTTCAGCAAATTTTCGTCAGGAGAGTTGGAAATGCTGAACAGCATATAAATGCCTCCCTCCGCTGACTACCTGGCATTATAGATTTGTCCTGCAATGTATGCCAAGTCCACGAAAAATATTTACTTCCTAATGAAAATAATGCCATTTAATATTTAGTACATTGAGTTATAGGAAAAAGCTTGAAAAGTGACATTTATTGTAAAACCGAATTTGTGGACTGTTAGTCATGACATTGTTTAGGTAGTACAGGAGGTGGAAAAATTTTGGAAATGAAGAATCAAGATTTCTATTCAGTTAGTTCACGTAGTTACTGATGAAAGATGCAAGCCAATCAACAGTTGCTTCAAACTGTTAATTTACAGAACTGAAGATTTAAGAAATTTTTCCAAGTCATGTAAGATTTGTAAGGCAGTGAGGATGATCAGAAAGTTGTACTGAAATAAAAATACTTAAATTTTAGTGCCACTTTTATCATATGCCTTCAGGCACCCTGGCACTCTGGAAAGACCCTGGGCTGCCATGCTCGTTTGAATATCAATTATGTTGCTAACAGGCCGTTTATATTAAGCTGTACTATTATATATATTTCAGGTTTGGATTTAGGATTAAATGAGATGAAATATTGTCTTGGGATAAGTTCATTAGAAGCAGAGCCTGAATTGGAAATTCTTTATCCATAATTGATTGAGAAAACCGGGTCGAGATGGGAAAAGGCTAAGCATAAACGTGCCAGCTAGTGGAGTCTTTATCCACCCTGACCTCATGGGAGCTCTGGAGCATGAATTGCATCACAGGATTGATCCTTTCCACACTGAGGCAAGGGGGCCAGAATGCTGACCTATTGTACGTAAGAATAAAGTCGTCATTGGCTGTGGTGTTTCTTGGGGTAGAGGTATACTCTACTGGACAATGATGACTCTCATTGGCAGAGGTCGATTTTCTAGGGAAAGGGGCAACTGTGAGCTGAGAGTAGCCAACATTCCCAACAGTAATAGCGACAGGAGACAGACAAATTCCTACGCAGACATGGACAGATCCCCGGTGAAACCCGGCCTTCAAGCCAAGGACAGTTCAAAGCCTTAAAACCGATCTGCCAGTTCTGGATAGAATACATAGCCAGAGTGAGAACTTGAATCCCCACTCTTGCCCACTCTCTCGATTGGTTCCTTCTGGATGATGCCTTTTAACCAATCAAATGGTGCTTTTTCCAAGACCACCTATGGACCAATCAGCATGCACTCCCCCATTCTAAGCCCATAAAAACACTCGGCCTTAGCCTCACAGAGGGCTACACACTTTGGGTCCCGTCTTGCTTACCAGAGGTTTCCTGTCACTCAGTAAAATTCTCCTCTGCCTTGCTCACTCTTTGGTGTCTGTGTACCTCATTCCTCTTGGCCAGTGGGACAAGAATCTGGAATCCACCGAACTGTGGGAGTGAAAAGAGCTGTAACACCCTCTCCCACTCGCTGAACTACGGGAGTGGAAAAGCCTCTGGATGCCATTTCCTCCTGCTCTCCGAACTACAGGAAGAAAAAAGCCATGACAGTAGCTGGGGATGGCGACACTGTCCTGGGAAAGGGGATCTTGGCTGGGCACAAGCAGTGTTCACTATTAACATGGAACTCACCTGGCATATGGGCAGCATTCAAGAAATAATAGACTTTGTAATTATATTCTGAATTTTAATTTCATTCTCCATTTGAAGGAGTTTATATAGCTGGCTTTCCCGATCTTGAAGAGTTGAAATAATGTTAGGTTAAAGCACTTCTTCTTCTTCTTTTTTTTTTTTTTTTTTGCACTAATCACATGTAGTGATTTTATTTTTTATATATTTTTATTTTTTTCTTTATTTCTTCTAAAAAAAAACAGGATACATGTGCAGAACATGCAGTTTGTTACATATGTATACATGTGTCATGGTGGTTTCCTGCACCTATTGACCGGTCTTCTATGTTCCCTCAGGCTAAAGCACTTCTTAACAGAAAGCATCTAAATAAAGGTAAAGAAATATTATTCAAAGCTAAAACTCAAGATATTTTAAGAATAATGACTAAGGAACCACTATGTTATCTTACTTCCTTTTGAGAATGATTACATGACATTCTGTTCATCACTTTGTATTGAGGTAGAAATGACTCTGATGATTCACAGTTCATGACTCTGGGCTTCCATGTATAGAGACAACAACAGAAAGAGATCCCATCTATACTTATACATGATTAATGCTATTTTGTTATTAATTTGTATTTAAGAATGGAGGACTGGGTAACAGGATGGACTCTTCATGTCACTGTGCCCATGTTCCCCACAAGGTTTCTTCTGGAATGGGGTGCCTGGCCAGTAGTGTGGGTATGTGGGCATATCATGTGATTTGGCAGGCTTCTTTTTAGGATGAATGAACAGGGAAGTGGTAATTAAGTTGCTCCTCTTTGTTCCTTGCACCTAATATCATTGAAGATGGCCTAATTCTGTCAACCACTCATAATAAAACTGCAGTAATCCCAGCGGTTCATTTAAACTCTTGTGAAAATTAAATACCCAAGTAAAAGTTGGCTTACTATGCCTATCACACACAAGTACAGAAGCAGGATGGTGAGAACGGAGGGAGGCTAGTGTAGCTATTCCATGTGTGGACCTTCAGTATGTTCTCTTGTGTTCTGTTCTTCCCACTCTCCATCACCTACTTTCTTTCTCAACCCGGAACCTCTCCAGGGTCTCACCCAGTAGGTTCCCTTCACTTGCATTTCCACTGCAATCTTCTCATAGTTCATTCTGGGCTGGACTTCTCCCCCTTCTCTGTTTCATCCATCAGTGTGCTCACATCTACTTTTCATTTCATGGGAATTGTGATAGCTTTCATCTTTTCATTATTACTTTTACCATTATGGATTCAAGTCATTCTTTTTATACTTCTAAATTTTATTTCAGTGGGAATATTGGAAAGATAAGACGAGAATACATATGCTTCTTAGGAATTTTGAATCAGAAGCACATCCTAGTAACATTTAAATGTTCAAACTGGCTATATGATTTTGTCTTACACATAAAAAATCTATAGGCAGAATCAAGGAATAGATCAGAAGTGCAAGGGAGAACTGATTTCAGGCTGGCGTGAGTGAACAGAGTACACAGAAAGGAGGGATTTTGTTCTGACCTTGTGAAAAGAATCCTTGTTGGCCAGGTTCTCATTTCACCTGAGATTTCTCTCCTCATTTGGTTTTTTAAGTTTTAGGGTCCAATGATCTCTATGCTAAAATAAGTTGGATGAAGATGGCTTCTTATTCAAGAGTTTCATCTTTTTAGGCCAGAGGCGACCGCTCCAGTTCAATACAGCCTATCTCCCACTCACAGGGGACTACTGCTTGCCTAGCTCTGTTGAGTATCACTGTCAATCTCTCCCAGATTTTCTATACCTCCCACAAGGTCCTCTCATTTCTTGTCTGCTGGTTGCATTCCTCCCAATTTTCTGAGTTAACACAGGTTTATTTTACTTTTCTTTTCCTAACTCTTCCCAGGATTATTTATTTGTTATATTTTCTTACACTCATCATTCCACTCAAGTTTTTCCATAGATGGGCCTCTGTTAATGTTCTTTTTAGTGTGAGATATAATTTGGCATGATGTATCAGACTGTAGGAGCTTTGACAATTGGAACATGATTCTTTTTAAACATGAAGTACCTAAGTTGTTTTTTCCTAGAGTTACAAATATCGAAGTTATTGACCTGAAACCAAGGGGCCTCTTTAACATTTTTGCTTAACAAAAAAAATTTTGCTTTATTTGTTTGCTTTGATTAATTAATTAGTGACATGTGATCCATGCTGATTTTAAGTATGAGACTCAGGTCTAGTTTGTTTATTTTTTTAAGAATCAAATAAGGAATAATCTCTTTCACCCACCGTAATGCTGACATTCAGAAACACAGGGCCATATGAAACTCAGCCCAGACTGAGGCAACTGATCACCTCCCTTCTCCTTGATGAATGGTTTTACAAAATAATATAGAGTGTCTCAATGGTATTCCAAAGTCTAGAATGTTGTCTTCTGTGACTAGTTGCTCAGTAAAGTAAATTAGTCTTCTATTTTTACATTACTCTCATTTCTCATGTATTTAGGATTAAAACCATGTACTCTACAGAAGGTGACGTCATCACAGATTTGGGAAGAAAGAAACACTTTCTGTTGGTTTTGATACCACATTTCTCAAATGAGAAGCAAACAGTTCACTTCCTTGGATCCGTGGTTTCGCCTGTGGCCTTCAGGGGGCGACGTTGCACTAAGGAGGCATCTGTGTTCATTGCCGACCATCCTCATCCACTGAGCCTCCTCCCTGCAGCTGGCTGATGTAGCTCACTGGTGTCTGTGTAGATAGGGAGCTGTGATGAGAACAAGAGGTCAGAACACATCCAGGCTCCTTAAGAGAAAGCCTTTCTTTAACCATTTTTGAAACCCTTCAAAGGCAGAGACTTGTCCAGCCTAACCTGCCTGCTGCTCCTAGCTCCTGAGGCTCAGGGCCCTTGGCTTCTGTCCGCTCTGCTCAGGGCCCTCCAGCGTGGCCACTGCTCAGCCATGCTCCTGCTGCTCGTCCCAGTGCTCGAGGTGATTTTTACCCTGGGTTAGTAACATTCCATTACCTTTCTTCCTTTTGTAAATGTGACTGTGTTGTAATTTTTTCTGAATAGAGACATCTTTTCTTCATAGCAAAGTCTGTGCTGCCTTTACTTACACAGCATTGGTGTTGCAGGAGGAACCAGAGCCCAGTCGGTGACCCAGCTTGGCAGCCACGTCTCTGTCTCTGAAGGAGCCCTGGTTCTGCTGAGGTGCAACTACTCATCGTCTGTTCCACCATATCTCTTCTGGTATGTGCAATACCCCAACCAAGGACTCCAGCTTCTCCTGAAGTACACATCAGCGGCCACCCTGGTTAAAGGCATCAACGGTTTTGAGGCTGAATTTAAGAAGAGTGAAACCTCCTTCCACCTGACGAAACCCTCAGCCCATATGAGCGACGCGGCTGAGTACTTCTGTGCTGTGAGTGACACAGTGCTTGAGACTGCAGGAGAGGTGAACATAAACCTCCTGAGATGCTGAGACTTTCTGTGACTCAAGAACTCAACCTTGAAGTCTGTTTTATAATATTAAATAGCATTTCCAAGTTTCTGATGCTTATTGATGTATGCTGTATCTTTTTCATCTATTTATTTTTAAACTATCTGTGACTTTAAAGTGTGTTTCCTGTAGGTAGCATAAAAGACCATCTTTTCTTTTTATCTACTTTGTTAATCTCTGTTTTTGCATTGTGAAGTTTAGATAATTAAAATGGAATATAAATATCAATCAGGTTGGATTTAAGTATACTTCATTATTGTGTTTCACCCATGTTCCTTTTTTTGTTCTTTTTTTCTGACTCCTTTTGGATTATTTAAATACTTTTCAATTTACATTTTAATTTATTTATGAACTTTTTGGCTATAACTCTGTACTTTTTGAGTAGTTGCTCTGAAGATGGCAATGTACATGCCTAAATATCCAGGGTCTTATGTGAGCAAATACTGTACCTCCTTATGTGAAATGTCAAAATCTTACACAACGTCTCTTTATCTACCAACACTAAAGTTTGTTATTGTTGTTCATATATATTAGTCACATACATTGAAAACTTCACCAGGCCTGGCACAGTGGCTCATGTTTGTAATCCCAACACTTTGGGAGGCAGAGATGGGAGGATTGCTTGAACTCAGGGGTTTCAGACCATCCTGAAACAAAGTGAGACCCCCATCTCTATGAAATATAAAAAAAATAGCTGGGTATGATGGCACTCATCTGTAGCCTCAACTACTCGGCAGGTTGAAGCATTATGATAGCTTGAGCCCAGGAGTTCGAGGCTGCAGTTAGCTACCATCATGCCACTGTATTCCAGCTTAAGCAATAGAGCGAGATCCTTGTCTCAATTTTTTTTTTTAAAAATCACAATATATAGAAAACTTCACCATATAATGTTATAATTTTTGCTTTCAACAATTATATGCACTTTATAAAATTTAAGGGGAAGAATAAGAACTATTTTATACTTAACAGCTATTTATCATTTCTGGTATCCTTCCTTTGTTCCTGAAGATCTGGATTTTCTCTGATACCAGGGGATATAACTGAAATTCCCTTCAAACTTAAAAACTCCCTTTAGCATTTCTTCTAGAGCAGATTTGCTGGGAAACATATTTTTCATTTGTTCATTACCTGAAAATGTATTTTTAACTTGCCTTTTATTTCTGGAAGATAGTTTTTACTGGGTCTGTAATTCTGTGTCAACCCTTCCACCCCTCCCGCTTTAAAGATACCATTTCATTGTCTTTTGGCCTCCATGCTTTCTAATAGAAATCCATTGCCATTCAAGTAATTGTCCTTCAATGATGTAATATATTGTTTTTCTCTAGCTGCTTCATATATAAGCTATGTACACACATACACACACACACACACACACAAACACATGAAAAATTATACAATCTTTTGTTGTCAGTGGTTTAATCATAATGTGTTTAGGTGTGGTTCTCTTTGATTTTACCTTGTTTGGGGCTTGAATTGATAAATGTATGTCTTTCGAGAGAAGAATCAAATAGACACAATAAAAAATGATAAAGGGGATATCACCACCGATCCCACAGAAATACAAACTACCATCAGAGAATACTACAAACACCTCTACGCAAATAAACTAGAAAATCTAGAAGAAATGGATAAATTCCTCGACACATACACTCTCCCAAGACTAAACCAGGAAGAAGTTGAATCTCTGAATAGACCAATAACAGGAGCTGAAATTGTGGCAATAATCAATAGTTTACCAACTAAAAAGAGTCCAGGACCAGATGGATTCACAGCCGAATTCTACCAGAGGTACAAGGAGGAACTGGTACCATTCCTTCTGAAACTATTCCAATCAATAGAAAAAGAGGGAATCCTCCCTAAATCATTTTATGAGGCCAGCATCATTCTGATACCAAAGCCGGGCAGAGACACAACCAAAAAAGAGAATTTTAGACCAATATCCTTGATGAACATTGATGCAAAAATCCTCGATAAAATACTGGCAAAACGAATCCAGCAGCACATCAAAAAGCTTATCCACCATGATCAAGTGGGCTTCATCCCTGGGATGCAAGGCTGGTTCAATATACGCAAATCAATAAGTGTAATCCAGCATATAAACAGAGCCAAAGACAAAAACCACATGATTATCTCAATAGATGCAGAAAAAGCCTTTGACAAAATTCAATAACGCTTCATGCTAAAAACTCTCAATAAATTAGGTATTGATGGGACGTATTTCAAAATAATAAGAGCTATCTATGACAAACCCACAGCCAATATCATACTGAATGGGCAAAAACTGGAAGCATTCCCTTTGAAAACTGGCACAAGACAGGGATGCCCTCTCTCGCCACTCCTATTCAACATAGTGTTGGAAGTTCTGGCCAGGGCAATCAGGCAGGAGAAGGAAATAAAGGGTATTCAATTAGGAAAAGAGGAAGTCAAATTGTCCCTGTTTGCAGACGACATGATTGTATATCTAGAAAACCCCATCGTCTCAGCCCAAAATCTCCTTAAGCTGATAAGCTACTTCAGCAAAGTCTCAGGATACAAAATCAATGTACAAAAATCACAAGCATTCTTATACACCAATAACAGACAAACAGAGAGCCAAATCATGAGTGAACTCCCATTCACAATTGCTTCAAAGAGAATAAAATACCTAGGACTCCAACTTACAAGGGATGTGAAGGACCTCTTCAAGGAGAACTACAAACCACTGCTCAAGGAAATAAAAGAGGATACAAACAAATGGAAGAACATTCCGTGCTCATGGATAGGAAGAATCAATATTGTGAAAATGGCCATACTGCCCAAGGTAATTTATAGATTCAATGCCATCCCCATCAAGCTACCAATGACTTTCTTCACAGAATTGGAAAAAACTACTTTAAAGTTCATATGGAACCAAAAAAGAGCCCGCATCGCCAAGGCAATCCTAAGCCAAAAGAACAAAGCTGGAGGCATCACACTACCTGACTTCAAACTATACTACAAGGCTACAGTAACCAAAACAGCATGGTACTGGTACCAAAACAGAGATATAGATCAATGGAACAGAACAGAGCCCTCAGAAATAATGCCGCATATCTACAACTATCTAATCTTTGACAAACCTGAGAAAAACAAGCAATGGGGAAAGGATTCCCTATTTAATAAATGGTGCTGGGAAAACTGGCTAGCCATATGTAGAAAGCTGAAACTGGATCCCTTCCTTACACCTTATACAAAAATCAATTCAAGATGGATTAAAGACTTAAACGTTAGTTCTAAAACCATAAAAACCCTAGAAGAAAACCTAGGCAGTACCATTCAGGACATAGGCATGGGCAAGGACTTCATGTCTAAAACACCAAAAGCAATGGCAACAAAAGCCAGAATTGACAAATGGGATCTAATGAAACTAAAGAGCTTCTGCACAGCAAAATAAACTGTCATCAGAGTGAACAGGCAACCTAAAAAATGGGAGAAAATTTTCGCAACCTACTCGTCTGACAAAGGGCTAATATCCAGAATCTATAATGAACTCAAACAAATTTACAGGAAAAAAACAAACAACCCCATCAAAAAGTGGGCGAAGGACATGAACAGACACTTCTCAAAAGAAGATATTTATGCAGCCAAAAAACACATGAAAAAATGCTCATCATCACTGGCCATCAGAGAAATGCAAATCAAAACCACAATGAGATACCATCTCACACCAGTTAGAATGGCAATCATTAAAAAGTCAGGAAACAACAGGTGCTGGAGAGGATGTGGAGAAATAGGAACACTTTTACACTGTTGGTGGGACTGTAAACTAGTTCAACCGTTGTGGAAGTCAGTGTGGTGATTCCTCAGGGATCTAGAACTAGAAATACCATTTGACCCAGCCATCCCATTACTGGGTATATATCCAAAGGACTATAAATCATGCTGCTATAAAGACACATGCACACATATGTTTATTGCGGCATTATTCACAATAGCAAAGACTTGGAACCAACCCAAATGTCCAACAATGATAGACTGGATTAAGAAAATGTGGCACATATACACCATAGAATACTATGCAGCCATAAAAAAGGATGAGTTCATGTCCTTTGTAGGGACATGGATGAAATTGGAAATCATCATTCTCAGTAAACTATCACAAGAACAAAAAACCAAACACCACATATTCTCACTCATAGGTGGGAACTGAACAATGAGATCACATGGTCACAGGAAGGGGAATATCACACTCTGGGAACTGTGGTGGGGTGGGGGGAGGGGGGAGGGATAGCATTGGGAGAGATACCTAATGTTAGATGACAAGTTAGTGGGTGCAGTACACCAGCATGGCACGTGTATACATATGTGACTAACCTGCACAATGTGCACATGTACCCTAAAACTTAAAGTATAATAATAAAAAAAAGATAAATGTATGTCTTTCACTGAATTTGGCAAGCTTTTGGCCATTCTTTCTTCAAATATGTTTTCTGACCCAATATCTTTCTTCTCTCCCTCTAGGACTCCAGTTAGATATAACTTAGACTTTCGAATATTTTCCCACAGGTCTCCAGGGCTCTGCCTTTTTTTCTTTCAATTTTCAAATTGATTTTAAGGTTTGTCAGTGTTTCCTGACCTTGGCACTACTGACATTTTGGTCCTCATAATTTTTTATTGGGGTGTGGGGCTGCCCTGTGTGTTGTAGAATTTTTAACAACACCACTGGCTTCTCCACACTAGATGCCTGTAGCACTACATACCCCAAGTTGTGAAGGCCAAAATTGTGTCCAGATTTGCCAAATGTCTCCTGGGGGAAGACAAAGTCAAAATTAATTGGATTAAATAATCTGTATTGATCTTTTTCAATTTTGCATATGCTTTCCTCTATCATTTTGCTACTGAGCCCTTACTGTAAGATTTTTATTTTTGATATTGTATTTTTCTGTTCAATTTCTATTTTTTTCTTTACTTTGTGGAACATAATCAAAAGAGCTACTTTGACATCTTTTTCTATGAGTTTTAGTATCTTAGTCATCTTGGTATTTGAATTTGTTGATCTTTTACTTAAATATTAGTTCATTTTTCTGGCCCTTTGTCAAATAATTTTGAAGTACATCTTAAACATTTCAAATATTATGTGTGTACACTCTGTTTTCTCCTCCTCTTCCTTCTTCTTCTTTAAAAAACAATCATCTAAAGAATGTTAATGTTTTTATTTGAGGAGAAAATCAACCTAGTTTGGTTTATACTACTAGTTGTGTCTCCCCTTTTGTGGAATTTGGTAGCTCAAAATCACAGTTCAGTTCTCTAATCATTTGCCATGTTGGTTTGGGTTTATACCTGTCGTGTGTAGCTCAGGGATTAGTGAAACCAGTTTGCATGGCTCAAATCTCAGGTCAGTTCCTGAACTCTCTGCTACATTGGTTTTAGTTTGTCCTGCATGGGTGCCACTTGGGGGTAGTCTGAGACTGGAATAGTGGTTCAAATATCAGTTAAGTAACCTAAAATTTGTTGTTCTGGTTTGAGTCAGTTTCACGTATGTAGAGCCTTGGGATTAGCCTGAGACTTAAACTATTTTCCATCTCTTCCCTAGGGTCTCCCTTTTCTAGCCTGACCCACAGAGGCAGAAAATTGTGTTTCTTGCAGAGTTTTGACTTCCTACACCATTATCATATTGCTGTGTGCATTGGGGCCTCCCTCAGGGCAAAGCCAAGAGAAAGAAACAGAAAAAATATGAAATTCACCCTTGTGCAGGTTGTTTCTCCAATTTTTGACTTCCCTACACAATCTGCTAGCTTTTGGGTAATTTCAGAGTCCACAGGTAGTTTCTTTTTTTAAATTTTTTTATTGTTTATTTATTTTTTATTTTGTTCAGTTTTTACTTACAATCCATGGCAGAGATTGGCCGTAGGTATCTTAAAGTTATCTCCTATTCTACTGTGGTCCTGCATTAATTTGTGGTTCTCGATAATATTAATCAAGAATGGCTATTTGGCGTGTGCTTTTACCACCATCTTTAGTTGTATTACCCTTTTTAGTTAATCTAATTCATTTTTTATATTTGCAAATTTTTCTCATCAAGATTATAAGACCATTTAATTAAGCTCTTAAATTTTTTTGATATTTCATTTCTTATTTTCCAAATTTATGAAGGTCTTTCTTTGGTGCAAAAGAATTGAGAATGCATACTTGTTTTTATAAATAATTCAAGTACTATATTTTTTCCTAAAGTCTAAAAATTTTTGTATTCTGAATTATATCTGGATTTAAGAGTATGTTAAGGCATAGTAGGACTATTCAAACACTATTTTTTTTAGTACATAAAACAGAGCTGATTAGTTTTTAATTTTCTCTATTTTTTTCATTTCTGACTTTTTGCTTCTTTTAAATGAAACATGTATTTTGGTATTTGGGGCTGTGTTTGGAGACCCTTAAATCTTCCGGGAAATCATGTATTTCTTAGAATGCTGCCAACACCCTTAAGTGAGAATATTCTATTTATGATCTTATTCTTATTTAACTAAGAGGTGTTGCTTCTACTACTATAGAGGATTGAAGAATTCCTTTACATTCTTCCAGTGCAGAGCAAAAGGCAATGTTCCAAGACATCACACAATCCTATGGCCTTTGACTTTGAACATACTGGGCTTTGCAAATGCTCAGCAACTTTGAGAAAAGTTAAAATGACCACCATTCTGAAATTCAGAAGGAGTTGCTCCTTATAGCTTATTTTCCAATTTTTTTTCTGCTCTGACTTTAATCTTCAATATGATCCCACCTACTTTCTGTGTCCTAGAAATATGTGTCACCCTTTCCTCACCAGATGACCTTCATTTTTTTTTTACTCTTGTGAATTTTAGTCTATTTCCATTTTATTTCTATTCTTTAATTTAGGAAGAAATATTCAAGAGAAGGGAAATGAGCATATAGCATTAGGATTAGAAGTTCACACTCAAAGGCTACACTTTTACAAAATGACAGCATTACTCAATTTTCTTCATTCAAGAAAATCTTTTCCAACAGGAACAAATGAATCAAGAACCCAAGGAGAGAACTGGGCTTATGCTTTCAAATCAAAGGAAAGAAGTATTCTGACTTTGTCAAGGGTCCCATTAGCCACAGAGAAAGCAGTGACTTTCTGCATTCTCGTGTTTTCAGAGTTTTATTTTTTTCCCCATGCACTATCTACATTTATTATTATTTGTTTTTATTTTTAAATTTCAACTTTTATTTCTCGCTTGGTGTGGTTGTATTTCCTTCAGCCCCACAGGTGTCTGTAGTTTTATTTTCTTTACCCCTAGAGGCAAAGCCTTCCCATCATGAGTTACGCCTTGTCATTAGTTGCATGGAGGCACTACTCTCCTTATGTGAAATCTTTTCCTCTATGGCTGCACAAGCATCATCCGAGGGAAATATCTCTACCATCCTCCATCAGCACTGTGGCAACACTGAACCATCCAAAACTCAGTCCAGGGCAATTGGTCTGAACCCAAACTCTCATGGACTCATATCTAAATTCTGATATGCTTTTCAATAACGATTCCTCTTGATGTATTACTCCATCTTTACATGAAATCTTATTGCTAATGGACTCTAGGACTAAAACACCATCATAGATTTGGTCAGGAAGAAACACGTCTTGTGGAAGTTTTGATACATCTCAGAAAACAGGAAGAACACACTAATGAACAGTCTGTGCTAAACTCTGGTTCTGCACTTGGCCTCCAGAGAGCGATGCTGCACACACTGGAGCTTTTGTTTCTGTTGAAGATCAGTCCACTGCTCAGTTTCTTCTTCCTGCAGCTGGTTGAGTTCTTTCCAGACAAAGACAAGTGACAAGAATCAGAGTTTTAAAAGCAACCAGATTCATCTCTGCAGCTTTTGTAGTTTTATATAAACAAAGAGCTTGTCCAGCAAACCTTCCCCACACTTCTTGTTCTTGGTCTCTTCAGCCGCTTTCCTTCCTGTTCTCTGGAGATCTTGCAGAAAAGAGCCTGCAGTGTTTCCATTGCTCAGCCATGCTCCTGGTGCTCATCCCACTGCTGGGGATACATTTTGTCCTGAGTGAGTAAAATTTCTTTATCATCTCTAGTTCCACAGGTTCTGACTAGAAATGCTTGCTTTTTATACTGAGTCTGCACTGCTTTCACTGATAGTACATTACTTTTTCAGGAACTGTCAGAGCCCAGTCAGTGACCCAGCCTGACATCCGCATCACTGTCTCTGAAGGAGCCTCACTGGAGTTGAGATGTAACTATTCCTATGGGGCGATGTTGTGGGAAGTCAGGGACCCCAAACGGAGGGACCGGCTGAAGCCATGGCAGAAGAATGTGGATTGTGAAGATTTCATGGACATTTATTAGTTCCCCAAATTAATACTTTTATAATTTCTTATGCCTCTCTTTACTGCAATCTCTAAACATAAATTGTAAAGATTTCATGGACACTTATCACTTCCCCAATCAATACCCCTGTGATTTCCTATGCCTGTCTTTACTTTAATCTCTTAATCCTGTCAGCTGAGGAGGATGTATGTCACCTCAGGACCCTGTGATAATTGTGTTAACTGCACAAATTATAGAGCATGTGTGTTCAAACAATATGAAATCTGGGCACCTTGAAAAAAGAACAGGATAACAGCAATGTTCAGGGAATAAGAGAGATAACCTTAAACTCTGACTGCCAGTGAGCCAGGCGGAACAGAGCCATATTTCTCTTCTTTCAAAAGCAAATGGGAGAAATATGGCTGAATTCTTTTTCTCAGCAAGGAACATCCCTGGGGAAGAGAATACGTGCCTGGGGGTGGGTCTATAGACGGCCCCCTTGGGTGTGGCCATCTTCTATAGTCAAAACTGTAGGGGTGAAATAAATCCCAGTCTCCCATAGCACTCCCAGGCTTATTAGGAAGAGGAAATTCCCACCTAATAAATTTTGGTCAGACTGGCTGCTCTCAAAACCCTGTCTCCTGATAAGATGTTATCAATGACAATGGTGCCCGAAACTTCATTAGCAATTTTAATTTCGCCCCAGTCCTGTGGTCCTGTGATCTCGCCCTGCCTCCATTTGCCTTGTGATATTCTATTACCTTGTGAAGTACATGATCTCTGTGACCCACACCTATTCATACACTCCCTCCCCTTTTGAAAATCAGTAATAAAAACTTGCTGGTTTTGCGGCTTGTGGGGCATCACGGAACCTACCGACATGTGATTTCTCCCCCGGACTCCCAGCTTTAAAATTTCTCTCTTTTGTACTCTGTCCCTTTATTTCTCAAGCCAGCCAAAACTTAGGGAAAATAGAAAAGAACCTATGTGACTATCGGGGCAGGTTCCCCAATACGGCAACACCTTCTCTCTTCTGGCATGTCCAGTCCCCCGGCCAAGGCCTCCAGCTGCTCCTAAAGTACTTTTCAGGAGACACTCTGGTTCAAGGCATTGAAGGCTTTGAAGCTGAATTTAAGAGGAGTCAATCTTCCTTCAACCTGAGGAGACCCTCTGTGCATTGGAGTGATGCTGCTGAGTACTTCTGTGCTGCAGGTACCACAGTGCCTGGGTCTGCAGGGGAGCTGAACACAAACTGCCTATGCTAGAGAAGTTTTCAGAGACTCAATGTATCTTCCTGTGGCATTTTCAAAGATCTCTTATTTTTATGATGGTGAGTGAGGCAAAGAGAGCTGAGCACATCCAGCCATTTCTATATAATTCTGCAATTCCTGCTATGTCCCATGTCAGATAAACTTTGTTTTAGAAGCTTTTTGTTAATTGAAGAAACTGCATAATAGGAAATAGTATTCTAGAATGATGGAGGAGACATACTTCTTATCACCTAACAATCAGGTTCTCAAGGACCTTTCCTTGACTGTGACTGCATTAAGTGGTTGACTATGGGAATTTTGATATGGTCTAGGAGAACCTTGGTTTTCATTTATCATTTAATCTCTCAACTAACCCAGAAAACAAAACATAAGTTTCTCATGTTCTTACCTTGCAAGTTGCATCCTTGAGCTGGTCATTCACAGGATATTTTCTTAGAATTTATTTTTCTGGCTCTAACTGCGCAATTCAGATTTCAGGATATTTTGTCTCATACCTCTATTTAGGAGGAATTATGAGAAATTGTTAGCTAACAGTGAAAGTTTCATTAGAATCACGAAGGACTTAGAAAATTGTCACAGTGATGTGAGTTCTGGCAACTAGGAATAGCACACAAGGAGAATGAAGATTTAGAATTCATCAGTGTTTCTCCAAAGACTTTTTCAGTTATAAAAATAGCTTCTATTCTATTGGTATATTAATTATGCAAATCTACATTGTAAGTTTGTCTATGGAATTCCATTCATCTCTTCTAGCTACTGACACTTTTACTTGTTGCTTTCACTCTGTTGTTACATGGTTTCACTATTGAAATATTAAAGATTGATTCTCTTTTTTGAGATAGAGTTTTACTCTTTCACCTAGGCTGGAATGCAGTGGCATGATCATAGCTCACTGCAGCCTTGACCCATGCCCCCAGGCTCAAGCAATTCTCCCACCTCAGTCAGCTTCCTGAGTAGCTGAGACTACAGGTGTGCACCACCATGCCTGGCTAATTTTTTTTTTAATTTTTATTTTTAGTGGAGACAAGATCTCACTATGTTGCCCAGGCTGGTTTCAAACTCCTGAGCTCAAGCAATCCTGCAACCTCAGCCCCCCAAAGTACTAGGATTACAAGCATGAGCCACTGTACCTGGCCAAAGATTGATTCTTATATAGTAACATTTTGATAATCTGTCATGTGGTAAGTTTTGCAATGCCAAGCTCTGCTAGAAATACGGATAAGAGTTACAATGGTACTGGATTCCAGGCGGCTGCTGGAAAGTATAAATATGTGACTTTCTTATGTCTAGAATGGAAAGAACTGTATAAGAAGATTTTATACTCCTTGTCTGCTTGCTGCCTCGGAGGATAACCAGTGCTTCGGAGGAAAAGTAGAAGGAGAAGGAGAGAGCTCTTTAGCTGCCATTTAGCTCACACTATAAATGTCTAAGAGGGTAGGTGCATAGGGACCCTGAAAATATAGATCGAATAAGTAAATTGTGGCCAATGGCACTCCTTAGCCAAATAGTGAACCAAGATATCAACAGTATTTTTTAGGATGTAGTGTTATGAGTACATGTGATAAATATGTTTAAGCGATTTCTGGAATGCTGTGAGGAAGGTGAATGGAGTGTCAGATATATAAAATTATGAAAAAGAAATGTATGCTCATTTAATGTTCCTGCCTCAGTCCCTTCCTTCTTTTCTGTTTTTGGACCACACTCTCATCTACCACTGATAAGGCAAATAATTTCAAGTGACTCATTGTCATCAGCTCAGCCACACTGCCCAAAGGTACTTGTCATAGTATCATGAGCACTTCATGCAGATCGATTTGAGAAAGAACTGCCCGTTTCTTTTGATTCTGATCTCAAACTGAATATTAAAGAAAAATAAATTCCATACCAAGGACCCTGAGCAGCTGGGAGAGCATTCCCCATCTCCCCTACCTCACCTCTGCCTGAAAAATCAAAGTAATCTTCCTTCCTTCTATTAATAATTTGTTGCTTTTATATGAGTACGTGATTTGTAGGAGAAACTTTCCAAAATAAGGAATTATATTAAGAAAGTGGAGATTCTGAGTTATTTTATCAATGATATCAATCATTCTGACTTTTCAGAAAGAATTCTGACTTTTCATGAAATTAACTGATCTTACCACATATTCCATCACCGAGAAGCAGCTGCCCTAATTGAAAGGCGGAACACTTTACTGAAGACCAAGCTAGAGCCCTGACTGGGAGACAACAGCATGTATGCTAAACATTTTCTTCTCTCCCTACATCGTATTTTTTATCTGATATACAAGCTGTTGGAAACAAACTTTATAATTTAGTGTAAAGGTAACAGAATTTTCAGGCTGGGTGAGGTGGCTCACAGCTGTAATTTCAGCACGGTGGGAGGTTTAGGTAGGAGGATCACTTGAGGCAAGGATTTCAAGACCAGCCTGGGCAACATAGCAAGACCACATCTCTACAAACAATTAAAAAAATTAGCCAGGCATGGTGGTGCCCACCTGTAGTCCTAGCTACTCAGGAGGATTGCGTGGGCCCAGGAGTTCAAAGTTACACTGAGCTGTGATCATGACACTGCCCTCTAGCCTGGATGCCAGAGCAAGATCCTGCTTTTAAAAAAAACTTAGGAAGGACTGTCACTGAATTTGAAGAATTATTAATATAATCAGTGATGAAGTCAATGACTTTTGGGATTGTGCATCTTCTCATTTTGGAGAAAGGATGAAAAGTTCTTCAGTTGCAAGATGGAGTTCTGTATCTTGAAGGAGATAGAGGAATAGAATTATTTTGTTGTTGTACATGTTTCAAATGTTTGTAGAAGAATGTGTGTGTTGCATAGGGAAGCTTGAAGTAGTTGAAGGTATCGATTTATTGACTCTCAGCTCCAAATTCACTCCTTGCCTCTTCTGTGAAGGTGAATCTGGAACCTTCGACCATTTTTCTTTGCCAGTTGACACAATGTTAAGCTTTGTAGTAGAGAGTCAGGAAGAAAAAGTTTTGCTTTCTGCTTTCCATGTGCTCACTCATCAGGATCCTGCACCATGGGAGGCACCTGCAGTGCACAGTGCCCTGCAGTTTCCTCCAGAACCCCCCCATTTTAGGGCGATTCTGTGAAAGAGATCCTGCAGTGAGACACCTCCCTGTGAACAGCTTTCCCCAGTGTCCTAGAGGATGATTTTCTGCCATGTTCTAGAGGGTGAATTTCTAGCAAGTTCTGCTGGGACAGCACCACAGCAACTTCCCTTTCATCCAGTGAGCCACAGCTGTTTCTTTTCAATAAGATCTGGGTCTCAGCCCTGAGGGTGGGGCTACAGGCCTCTTCCCTGGTTATCCTACCCTGCCCTAGGAGTAGAGGCTGCACCTTATGTCTGCTATTCCTACAGGAATAGGAATAGCAGAATTTCTTTTCTTCATATTATTCATTCTCTTGTTACTCTAATACTCTGTTTATTAATCCTTAAATTTTTTCTGTTGAAATTCTATGGTTTCTCTTTCCTGATTGGACTCGACTTAGACATGCACCAAGGACTTCAAGCAACTGGAGAGCATCTTCCATCTCCCCGCCCACTCCTGCCTGAGATATCAAAGTAGTTTTCTTGTTTTATTTCTCTATTGATTTGTTTTGCCTGCTTATTGTTTTATTTACATTGTTGTTATATAATTATGAGAAAATTTTACAATAATTTTATTAAGAATTTGGAAATATTGTTAATATATTAATAAAATTAATTTTACTATTAAAATTTTTGTGCACATTATACACAGAATGTTATTATACCATTGGTGCAAATTGAAATCAATTTTAAAAGGTTTAGCATACTGCACAAATAGGCATTAATTCACCTATGAGGATGTGTCTGGAGATCGTAATTCTAAGTCATTTTTCTTGCATGTAACTCTCTCAATACATCATTATTTTTTGATTTTCTATTTCCTTCAGATGGAGGAAGAAGACAATGATAATTGCAAAACTATCTGTAGACAGAATATTTCTGTCACCCCAGAAGGTTTTATGTGTGCCTTTCTAGTCAACTCACCTTCTGGAGGCAATAGATGTTCTTATTTCTATCACCTTAGATTTACTTTACCCATTGTAGACTTCAAATCAATGGAATCATACAGTAGTTACTCTTTTGTGCCTGGTTTCTTTCATTCATCGTGTTTTTTAGATTCCCCCATGTTCTCATGTATATCAGTCATTCATTATTGCTATTGCTGAGTAGTATCTTATTATATGAATAAAGCACAATTTGTTTATCCATTCAGCTGCGCACACCACTGACTGGACATAGAATCTTTCAGGGATTAAATCTTTGGTATCATTCTTAAGAGTGCAAGGTACAGTTGTTCTAGATTTTTCTATCCTGTCTTTCAAGGGTAGGGCGTGTCTCTAAAATACTTCAGTTGAAACATGTATCTTAAATACCTTTATTTAAAAACCAATTTCTATCATTCATTATGGTACCTACTGTATCATTAGTTTTGCAAATAAAAACCCAACATCTAATATTCCCTATGCTATTTAGCAAAGCTTTGGGTATTATCCAAGCTGTGGGTAGCTGAACTGTAGTTTCCTCTGTTGTGGCCTTACGTATTAATAACAACAGTAGCTGACCACCCTGGAATTTGCTTTCCTGACTAAGTCAATTGACTCTCCTTAGAGTTGAGACTTAACTAGTACATATCCAATATTCTCTGGCTTTTGTCGAAAAGATTTAATGTAAATTATACATCCTAACACTGTGATATATTTATTTTTACTTGGTAACTGATAGATATTATGAACAAAATTTAGATCATTGTTCCTGCAGGTCCTGAAGATCTGTAAGTCATGTAATTATAATCCTTGCTCAACAGTTATTCTAGAGAACTTATTTAATATTTAGAGGCACTTTGCCCTTTACAGTACATACTAAAACCTTTTAAAGCTTGTTAGGTAACTTATGAAGAAAATTTCACTAATCTATTATTTAATACCAAATATACAGCATATACAATACACATTTTCAATCTTTTAAGCACATTAACAAAGTTCTCAGGATAGTTGGATCTCTGTACACAGTTTTTTACAGGAATATCTAAGACAAGGGAATACCTTTATTTAGGACACAAATGCGCCAAAACATGGGTATAAAAGTAGAATGTGGCCAGGCACGGTGGATTATGCCTGTAATCCCAACACTTTGAGAGGCTGAAGCGAGAGAATCTCTTGAGTCCAGGAGATTGAAACCAGCCTGAGCAACAGAATGAAATCCCATCTCTACAAAAAGTAAAAAAACATCAGCTGGGCATGGTGACACATGTCTGTGATCCCAGTTACATAGGAGGCTGAGGCAGGGAGTATTGCTTAAGCCTGGGAGGTCAAGGCTGCAGTGAGCCGCAATTGCACCACTGCCCTCCAGTCTGGGAAACAGAGTGAGACCCTGTCTCAAAAAAATAAATAAATAAAAATAAAAATAAAAGGTAGAATGTTAAAATGTTGAAGATAGTTTATATGTATATTTATAACTTCATATTGTTTTTTGTGATATGTCTTATATAATAGGAAAATAAAATTGACCTTTATATTAATATTCTAAGGCTGGCATAACAAAATATCACAGACTAGGTGACATAAACAACATAATTTATTATCTCACAGTTCCACAGGCTAGAAGCCCAAGATCAAGTTGTCAGCAGGGTTAATTTCTTCTGAAGTTTGCAGATCATGTTGCCTTTTCATTGTGTCCTTACACGGTCTTGCCCCTGAGGGTACGCATGTCTGTGTCCAAATTTACTTTTCTTATAAGAAGAGCAGTCATATTGAATTAGAGTCCACTTATGTGATGTCATTTTACATTAATTATTTCTTTAAAGAGCCTATTTTCAAGCACCATTACGTTCTGAGGTACTGGGGGTAAGGGCTTCAACATGTAAATTTTGGGTTGGATAGAGCTCAGTCCATAACAACTCTCCAAGTAAATATTACGTTCACAAACAAGACAGTTGAAACCTTTCTTTGTGCAATGCTTTACTAACTTCTCGTGCACACAATGATCGTGTATAACTTTGATGGAGATTTTCCTGTATTGAGTTTCTTTCTAGAGGAAGGAGAAATGTGCAATTACAAATACAGATAGCTTATAAGATATTCTACATTGCAAAAGACCAGTGATAAAAATTAAAAGCTGTTTTTCAGACTTGCCTTCTTTTTCCTCTGCTCCACTGGGGTGCAGAATTCTCTCATGTTTAGATTTGTTCTTTTCTGAAGATAAATCTTAATTTCTCCTTGGTATTTTATCTCTGACAGTTTTCCTTTCTTTCCCCATTCCGTTTTCTGTCTGCATGTTACTTTTTTTTACCTCTGTCTTATCGTTTGTCTAATATTAGATTCTACCTGTGCAGAAGCCAATTTAGCTAACTTGCTGTTTTTCTCCTGCACTCCTCCTTTACCACCTCATCAGCAGAACTGACATTTAAAAAAGAAAAAAGAATTGAAATTCTTTTGAAGTTGTTTAGGGCAAGTGAAGCGGGTTAAGTGGATGAGGAAGGTGGCTACAGTCCTTAAACACAGGGGCAGCAGGAAGAATTCCATCCTATATGCTCAGCTTTCTTGAGGATTGTTTTCTGTTTTTTTTTTCAAGTAGTATGTATCAATATTTTAAATTTTGATTCAACCAGATAATCTTTTTTAAAAAATATATGCTTTGGTTGCTGACATGCTTGGATTCATTTTAAATATATTTGTTTTATGCAGCATTCTCTTGATTTTTTTCTTATTTCTTTTTAGCCTGGCTTCTCTTGCATTGATAAAGTTTGATTTTTCTTCATACTGCTTTGAAAATGTAATGTGTATTTCTGTTATGATAAGTACCCTTGTTATATAAATGTATGTATAGAAATATAAAATACATATGAATGTATGTATATATGTGTATGCATATATAAATCTAATTTTTATGCCCAATGTTATTCTTTTTTTTCCCTCAGTGTTATTCTGTAACATTTTGCTTGTATATCCCAGTCCTTCTCCTTTACCTCCTGCTGACTTATGAATTTTAGAATTACCTTCGTGGCTGATTGGAAGAAACTACACATAAGCTATATACATCAGGACAATAATTTCAGTAAGATATTATGAAATGAACAATAAACTATAGCTCCAATGTACATTAAGAAAAGTAATAAAAAAGAAAAGCATCCGACACAATAATTGCAACATGAATTTGCTCCCTTCATCCTCAGAGCCATTGTCCCTGATCTTCCTTCTGCCTGGAGTGTTTTTCACCATTAGCCACATAGATCCCTTCACTGGCTCATAGTCTTTGCTCCTGGAGAAACATGGGAACATGTGAATAAAGTAGAATGCTCAAAAAGTTTATTGCAGCATTGTATTTCATAGTTAAAGAAAAATCATTGTATTAGTCCATTCTCCCACTGTTATAAAAATGCTGAGACATGATAATTTATAAAGAAAAGAGATTTAAGTGGCTCACAGTTCCACAGACCATACAGGAAGCACAGTAGCATCTGTTTCTGGGGAGGCTTCAGGGAGCTTTTACTCAAGATGGAAGGTAAAGAGGGAGAGGCCGTCTTACATGGCAAAAGCAGAACCTAGAGAGAAAGGGAAGGTGCTACACACTTTTAAACAACCAGATCTCAGGAGAACTCAGGACTGTAGCAAGTGGGAAATCCACCCCCATGACCCAATCACCTCCTACCAGGCCTGACCTCCAGCATTGGGTATGGAATCCTGATTAGGGAAAAGGAGTCAGGCTAGCAGGACCAGGGGAAAGCAAAGGGATAAAGAAAATAAGCTATAGGTCTGCCTTTTTTTCATGGTCCAGGACATATAAACAGAAAGAGGAAGCAGATAAGCTATAGGTCTTTCTTTATGGCTCAGGACCTATAGCTCTCCTGAGCAAATAACGTACATAACTCACAGACTTCCTGCTTATCATCAAACACCTCTATCTATCATCAAAAACCTCAGTTGACAGAAGAATGCAAGTTAGTTCCTTGCTACCTTGGCATTACCAGTACTGCATGCAGCACTCGGCAACCCAAAAACATCCTATAAAATCTCCAGCAGGCCTTTGTTTCCTTGCCATCAGCTCCTCTTCGGCTGATTGCTCCCTGGCAACTACTTTCATACTTTCTTTAATAGATCTGCCTTTCTTTATCTACAACAGTCTTGGTAAATTATTTTATCCCCACACCACCAGCCCAGGTAGTCATCACTCACCTGGGACATTGGGGATTACATTTCAACATGAGATTTGGGCAGGGACACAGATCCAAACTATATCACACATCATCTTAAGTCTTCATCAATAGGGAGAGGACTATATAAACTGAAGTATATCTCTAATAGGGTGCAATGTAGCAGAAGTTCCCGTATGTGTTAATATAATAAGCTCTGCAAGATATATTATTGAATTTATAGTGTGAGTTACAAAAAGGTATACATGAGATGCATCATTTGGTATTAAATTTTAAAATTATAAATGAAATACTATTTATTTTCAGCATTTTTTGTATTTAGTACATGTATATAATGCTATAGTAAAACATTTGGAAGTATCAACTCCAAATTGATAAGATGAAGGGAGAATTAGGGTAACGAGTGATGAAAGAATCAGAACTGGGAGTGGTAGTAAAAGTGGATTTTCGTCTACCTGGTATGTTGTATTACTTTTAATAATTTCAAATGTTCATGAATTCTTTATAATATTAAACCAATAAAAAGTCATAAAAGCCATCATAAAGGTTTATCCATATTCTATTCTATTATCCTCATGAAAAAGGAGAGAAAGAGGGAAATGACCACCCTTTTTATAAGGTCTTGTCCAACCTTCCTAAGTATTTCTCCCACCTCTGGGATCATATAGCTTTTAGTTCACATTCTGCTTAGGATCCCACTCTTTGATTCTATTATAGACATGTGTAGTTTTGTACTCTTCAGTAGATTATGAACTAATGTCTCATCACTTTTTACATACTCTTAAAACCTAATAAATTAATCACTTATGGTAATACTTCAAAAAATCTTTTTGGATTTTCTAAAACAAAATCAGAGAATTCAAATAAATAGCGCAAGATGGGAATTGTCAAATTATTTTAAGATATTAATTTCCATGAAGTGGCATTTTAAAAGTGGTAATTGGTTCACTGTTAATCCCCATTCAGTCTAGGCAGCTATATTGTTTTCTGACCGCCTCCATTTCCTTCATAGGAAACATGAAGTGAATGGGGCTGTGTGTGTGACTACTGAGGAGTTAAGTTGGTGCAAAGTGGTCTTTGTTGATGGTTTCAGTCCACTAGGGGGCACTCTAGGACTTCCGAAATGAAGACTTTTTCTGATGGTCTCAGCGGACGGAACAGGATACAAAAGGGCATGTGAGTCAGTCAAATCACAGATAACAGGGAGCTGGGGCGGGGTGGAGCGTGATGTGTGTGTAAGGTTCATCTTAGGTTTTCAGCTCTGACATTCTATATAAAACCTCAGAAAGCT
Organism: Homo sapiens; assembly: GCF_000001405.40. Taxonomy (NCBI): domain Eukaryota; kingdom Metazoa; phylum Chordata; class Mammalia; order Primates; family Hominidae; genus Homo; species Homo sapiens. Next base: position 21,914,141 of record NC_000014.9, read on the forward strand.
GGAGTTCATAGGTCTATAAATCCATTGTGAGGATGATTCTGTAAGCAGAGGTAAGGGAATTGGAGTTTTACTGGGCATTGCGAGCATGGATGTTCATTAGAAAACATCTTCATTCCATGTTTTCAGTTTCTAAATTTTTATGATTAAAATTCATGAAATTCACTGACTTGGAAATTATTCTAAATACCCCTGATATCTGATCTTTTCATATATCTTCTCTGAGACTAGAAGGAAAAAGAATAAACAGAAGAGAAGAAAATAGGAATAAAATAAGGATGAAGAACAGAAAGAGAATAGGGAGGGGACAATATTTAATTTGACCAGCAATATGTGGCCTGATGAGAACAGCTGTGAGGGCCTGCAGGGTGTGTGGGGAAAGGTCTGGGAAGAGGAAGGGGAGAGGTAGAAATGCAATTAGAGTGGATATCATACGCACATCCTATTTTTCCTCTAACCAACCAACCTCTAGTTGGAAACATTTTCTAATGCCCTGATTTCAAGAAACTATTTATTTCTAAATTTGCAATGCATGCTATCAAATAGTTTTCCTTTATTAGAATTTTCATATATTTGAATTCTCCAATTTTCTGTCAAACTGTGTAATTTGGGAAATGGGATCTCTCTTCCCATGACTCTTTAAAGCTCTATTTAACCTAGCTGAGACACAGATTCTTCTGAGAGGTATCATCCCCCTTCCTCACATACTATCCATAAACTAGTCTTACATAAAGTGCTTCTTTTTTTTAAAAAAAACCTATATCTTCATACATTAGAAATATTGCCTCTTCCTCTCGTGAACTATTCACACCCATGAATTTGGAGAGATTGCTGTGCAGTCTCACTGGGCCACTGTGGGTGGTTTCCTCTTCAGATGATTTTTAAAACTTATGTTTTTAAACTTAAAAACTTTTAAATAAAAGACTGATCATGAACATTGCAATAAGGCAAGTTGAAGAGTACCTGAATCCTTCAAAAAGTTTAGAAACTCTAGTATTGAAAATTAATACATTACAATTTGAATATCTGCAGGTTTCAAAATAGAAATTAAATCTAAGTGTAGCAGCTTGATAGAAAGGAACATTATTTTCATGCAAAGTTTTGAATGACCCAGTTATCGACATAGAGGCTAATTTTCAAATCAATTTTTCTTATAATTGAAGATACAATGGTAGGATGCACAAACAAACATAGTGAATCATATACATATCATGAAGCCACTTTGTTACTTTTTTAAACAAATTTTTTTTTAAGAGAAGTGGTCTTGCTCTGTTGCCCAAGCTCAAGTGCAGTGGCACAATTATAGTTTGCTTTAGCCTTGAACTCCTGGGCCCAAGTGATCTTCCTGTCTAGGTCTCCCAAAGTGCTGAGATCACAGAAGACCCTGTCTCTGCTTCTGAAGGAGCCCAAGGATTGGTTAGGGTAAGCTCAGACCCACTAGATTGCCTGTGGGTGTGAAAATGGTCTTGGGAGTTCCTTGATGCAGGATAACTTCTGCCTACTCCCATGCTCTATGCTGTACACAATCAGTCCTCAGTAAATATTTGCCTTGTTAAATAGTATAAAAGAATTTTAGACCTATAAAAGCATTTAGAAACCTTTTAGTTCAACTTCATTTTATAAACACAGAAACTATATCCAAGATGCCAGTATGAAACCATTAGATAGTAAATGATCTAGCAGTAGAAAGAAACTGGATTTCCTCCCTTCCTCCTTAGCTTCTTGCTCTTGCCTATTCCTGCAGGCACATATTGTTGAACAAAGAGAAACTATCTAATGGCAGCCCTGCCAGGTTGACCTCTGCATTTTGGTTCCGGGAAAGGCTTGGTTCAATCACTTTGACCATGAGAACGGAGAGTTCCAGTTTGTGTAAACATTTACCACTTTGGGCAAGAAAGATATTCAGGCTGAGCCACTGTTATTCTACCAGGAAATCCAGTCCATGACTCACTGGCTGCTGTAGGAGTGAGCCAAACATGGTGGTGCCACCCTCAACCCCCAGAGGTATTTCTAAGGACTTTCCTAAAAATAGTAAGATATATTCATTATGCTGGGTGGATATTCCTTGAAGGAAGGATGTGGACATAGTGAGCATTACTCTACATTGTCAAAAAATAATAATTAGAATAGGGAAGCTAAGGGTAACATGTCCTCAAGTGGTTGATAGTTCATAAAGGTGTGAGAAAATCTTTTCTGGACCAACACATTGACAATGAGTTAGGTAATATTCAATGAAATAATCATAGGGTTGGGAATTTTGTCCAGGGGATGGCCATACCTAAGGCATAGTTAATATGTGGAATACTATGATCCATATGAGTGGTCATATTTAGACCATTACATTCAGTTCTTAATGCTATACTCAAAAGGCCAAATATTGACCTAAATTATCTGTCACCAAAAGGAGGGAAACTCATCCAATAAAGGATTTGAGAATTATATTGTATGAGGAATGAGTGAGAAAAGAGAAAATCCTTAGAATGGAGAAGTTTTACATATGTAAAAACACACATTTTATGTATACATATCTATATTTATATGTTTTAGTTGCTATTTTTCATCATAACTGTCCTTACATACTTAAGGGTGCAAGATGTGAATAAGAAATTATATTCAGTCTTTATAATTCCAGGGGCCTAGTGAGTACAAGTCACAGGAAATGCACTTTTCTTCTGGAAACCAGATAGTCTTGGTATCTGAGGAACCATTTCCCATGGTCACTTATTTAGTTTTGCACTCTCCCTCCTAGCAGACACAGGCAATATTTTGGCTTCCATAGATTTAGTTTTATGGAAGTAATCAGAACGTATCAAAAATTAAAGTAGATAAGCAATTTTTTTTGCAAGAAGAGATAAACCCAGAAATGTACAAGACTGAAGGACTTTATCAATATCTTAGGGAAGAACACTGTAGTGGAGTTTGGGAGAAAAACGGCAGATATGGAACCTGAGCTAGCAATGGCTAAGGCAAGAGCAGTCCATGCCAGAGGAGTTGGCTCATATTTTAGAGGCAAGTTCCACTGAAGATATGAGTCAATCATTGTATTTAAGGACATGCCATATTGATATCATTCATTTTGGTATCAGAAAATAAAAGCACCTTAATAGAAATTTACATGTGGTTTCATTTTTGGAGCCTGCAGCCTGATGTTTTCTGAGAATTTCTCCTTGTTTTTTCTGCACTTTGCAGAATACAAGCCACATAGCAATAGGAAAAGGTTTCTTAAAACATGCCAGATTTCTCCTTGCAAACCAGCCCAATCTATGGGTCAAACTTTCCTATTGTTGGAGTATTTAATAACTCATGGAACTTGTTCCCTTCCTCCTTTATCATTGTACTTTAATTCTTTACCTTTTATTAAAGCCATCCTTACCAAAGAAAGATTCCACATTTCGACTGTTGGTACTGTCAAGTCTCTGGGAATAGAAAGTCATGGGGAAGACCAGTCTTGGAGAAGCAGAGCCTGAGATAATATGCACGTGAAATATTGAGTAGTCCTCTCTCTCTTACTCTTATCTTTGGCTTACATATTCCTTTAAGAAAGAGTCTTTCTCCATAACAAACAAATCATGATGACCGATTTGACTGCAAGGGAATGTATTACTTTTGTTTGTCCAGGACAGTGAATCATGGTGTTTTCCTGATTTCAAACATGTAAACTTGGTGCATCATTGTATAAACACCTGCAACATCTACCTCTTTCTAACTTTTTAACAATGACTCATTAGTTTGCATAAATATCAATCTTGATATCTACATTCTTACTGTGAACTTCATCTCAGAGTGAAGACTTTATTTGTTTGACCTATTGCTCCTTTTGTGCATCTGAGTCCCTCCTAGGGTTATAGAAAAACATTCAAACTGCAAGTTTAGTAGCTACGAATGTGACCACAAGATGGCAGTGCTTCTCTGCTGATGCAGAACACACAGAGGTTTCATTTTAGTGGATTCTGATTAAATAGGTTTATGGCAGAAGTAGAGCCTTTTTCTATTGGCTGAGTAGACAATGTGAGAAACCACTATGATTGTTAGAGGAAAGAAAGGAATACCCGATGATGGAAGTAGCTCTTATGGCTGGAGATTGCAGGTTTATGACTGATCCTATTTGGGAAGAACAATGATGGCAGGCATTCGAGCTTTATTTATGTACTTGTGGCTGCAGCTGGACTGTAAGTTTAGAGTTTTGGGTAACACAGTATATTAGTTGATGATTTTGAGACATCCAGGGGGAAGTCTTGCTTTATTTAGGCTTCCTCTAGTTACTATAGAAAAAGAAAATTCTGGAGAATAATAACTTGATAAACCTTTCTCTTTTTCTTTCTGCACAGGGGTGAGCAGAGGAGAGAGTGTGGGGCTGCATCTTCCTACCCTGAGTGTCCAGGAGGGTGACAACTCTATTATCAACTGTGCTTATTCAAACAGCGCCTCAGACTACTTCATTTGGTACAAGCAAGAATCTGGAAAAGGTCCTCAATTCATTATAGACATTCGTTCAAATATGGACAAAAGGCAAGGCCAAAGAGTCACCGTTTTATTGAATAAGACAGTGAAACATCTCTCTCTGCAAATTGCAGCTACTCAACCTGGAGACTCAGCTGTCTACTTTTGTGCAGAGAATACACATTGCTTTCCAGGCATCTGTAACCATCACCCAAACCTGAGATGGGAGGTGAAGCAGCATCCCTTTCCTTTGCAATAAATTTTAGTTATAGCACTTGTCATTTTGTTTGTTCATAAGTGGAAACTAACATATAGATATTAAAACCATGTAATGAGGTTAGATTCAAAGTGACCCAGAAAGGTTTAGAGCATTTTGTTGGCCAGTTGATGCTTAATGGATTCCGTTTTTCAAAAAAATATATGGTACGCATTTAAGTTAACAACATGAAGTTTTGACACACATGTACATAGTAAAGTAAAGAGTCAGCTAAAGAGACGCATAGGGCAAGGTATGGGAAAAATGGCCCTGAGCTTCCATGCCTTCTCTGGCTCTGCCACCCACCACATGTTCAGCAATCAGGAGGTTCTGCTCAAGGGATCCTTACAGAGATTTAGTGATGTTGGATTTTGTAATCTAGTCTTCAAAGGTGACTTTACATTTGCTATTCAGACTTCTCTCCTATGAATAACCCCTTAGTGTCAATATTGCAATCCCTATTATGGATAAATTTTAACTTTTAGTTTTCAAAAATTGCTTTTGTTATCTTTTTCTTATTGTAAAACATTACATGCCAAAACCAGATAGTGTAAAATATAAAAAATACAAAATTGATAATTCTGTACCCAGATAGGTTTTGCTAATATTAGGTTGGTGCAAAAGTAAGTGCTGTTTTTGCCATTAAAAGTCATGGCAAAAATAACAATTACTTTTGCACCAACCTAATATTTAGATTTGTTTCTTGATAGAGTCCTATTATAATTAGGATCATGATTTTTTCACCTATTCTTATATCTCGAATTGAGCTTTTCTCACTTCGTCCTCTCCTCAAACACATGCTTTTTAATAGCTCCGTGAGAAATTTTCACCAGTCACAGTTATTTTTATTTTCTTACTCTCTGTATCTGTGGTAAAATTTGGCAGTCCCTTCTACCTGCTGTTTCTTGTTGGGAAAACGTGATGAGTTTTCCTTTAGAGTCTAGTTTGGACATATACTCTGTGTGTGCGAGGGAAATTAAAACAGGAAGTGATTTTAAAATGTGAGCTTCAGATTAGAGTCATCAGTATATTCTTCAAAATCTTATTGGTATCTCTTCATATTTACTCTCTCACATAATTGAGAAGAGTTATGTTTTTTAATCACTCTGTTTCTGCAGAACCTAGCATAAGCTTTTTCACATTGTTAATAATCAATAGATGTTTGTTAAAGAAAGAAAAAATGGATTAAACTATTGTATATTCAAAATTTTAACTTAGGCTTTGTGGTTGAATTAAACGTATAATTTTATGTGTGAATAATTAAACTCCTGAAAATGTATATTTGAATAAGTTGAATATTTGAGAGCATATTTCTTTCCATTTATCTATGTCATTCTTTTCCATAAAACTTTATCGTTTTAAGATAATTAAATTTTTTTCTAGACATTTCATTTTTATTGCTACCTTTATCTTTCTTTCTGAGGTATGTGGCAATGTTTTTAATAAATATTTTTCAGCTACATTATTCAATTCTTATTAGTAAATTGCAGGAGGCATTTGGATAGTTAATTTATGCTAGGTTGTTCCAAATACCCCGCCTCACTTTCGTGTTTTGACTGCTTTAAACATTACGAGTGCAGTTTCCTTTTCAAAAGTTGTATCTTTTCGTGTTGTTGATAAAAATAATGGAAATAAAGAAGTTGCATAAATAATTAATTCCCTAATTCTCCCACCTGTGGTCAAGAGTAGGCTAATTTCAAGATCCCTCATATTATTCCTAAGGATGGATATAACCGGCGATTGGTAGGGTGAGAATGATCCCTTCTGGCTGAGTTATGGCTGTTAGTTATTAGCTAGGTCTTATAGGAAAAGTCATTAGATTAAATTGGGGTTTAAAAACAACTGAACAAGGAAGGTCAGTATTGTAGCCCAGTAACTCAACTGGCTTTTGTTATTTCCCTGTCTATACCACTAGCTCCTCTCCGGAGAAGCAAGCTGACTCTTGATCAGTCCATTTCCTCCAAGAATGAAATGGAGTGATTGGGAATCATGGCTTATAGTCTATTTATTTTTTGCTTGTTTAGAAGAAAGAGTGTAATTGCTATTGGCTTAATTGCTGTATCTTACTTGGTTGTCAATTTTTCCAATGTAAGAAAAAAAATTATCCAGCTAGAGTGTGCAAAGTCAGTACCCAGCTTAGATCCAGACACATTCAAGCATTAAACTTTAAATGGAAAAGAGTACTGATGAGGAGAGACATTAGCAGGTAATAAAATTTACTATAAAATTACCTTCTGAGGTTGGCATACAATGAAACAGATCAAAGGAGCTAAATAAAACACATTGAACAAATAAACCAAGGTTTATGTATTTTTTTGTTGCCTCTGTACAAACTTGCTGTCTTAAAACAATAGATACATATTTTTTTAAATCATCTTCACTGGGCTGAAATCAAGGAGTCAGTAAGGCCCGCTTCAGAGGCTGCAGAGAAGAATCTGTTCCTTGCCTCTTCTAGCTTTGCCAGCATTTCTTGGCTTGTGGTGCCATCACCCCAATCCCTGTTGCTATGGTCACATTGGCTTTTCTTCTTATGTTGTCAAGAACACATTTCCACAAGTTCAAAGGCAATATTTCTTTGAAAATTTTTTTGAATACCAAGTCACCCAGGTTTAGGTAAAGTAAAAGCTGATTAAATGAAAGGCCAGGAAGGAAAACCTGTACCTGTTGGTTAAAGGACTGAATATAATGAGTTTATTTATCTATTAATAGTTAAGTGTGTCAGAATGGAATATGTGTGGTTCAGAACATTCTGAGTAATATGGGCCTACTAGTGACCAGTTCATAGTGAGATGACACATGACTTTGGGATGGGGAAGAATGCAGGGCCACTAGAGCTAAGGGTAATAATGCTTTAGGCCACGGGAGTTCACAGATGTCTGATAGGGTAACTAATTTTATTCTTAATAGTCATACATTGTTTCAACATTTTCAGAGGACCAGGAGGTGATAAGAAAAGCAGTTTCTGAGTGAGAGCAAAACCTTACATAACTGTCCTAGAAAAACATGTTCCTCTACATATAGATAATTTGATTGGCACAGATAAAAAATGGAAATCAATTGATTTAGCTATTGTGAGTGCTGTATCTTTATGACGGGTGAGTGCTTCAACCCATGTAGAAAATAAAACAACTCTTACTAGTGCATACTCACAACCCCTTAGGGAGTAGAACTGTCTGAAACATACTCAACTGTTCCCTTAGGACAGTATTCCAGTTCATATTCCACTTTTACAGTTTTCATGGAATTTTGGAGCTTCCAAAAAAGACATGAACTGTCTGCATTCCCTAGTATTCTAGAAAAGTCTCCCCACAAATGTTTAATATTGCAGTCAACATGTCCCTACTGCGATGGGTGGTCCCTGGAGGGTATTAACAAGTGTTCATTGGCAATCATCTGGTTCCACCAAACAGCCTTTCTGGCTTTGATATATCTTATCCTCACTGATCAAACAAATCAATAATTCATCTAAGGTGGAGTTATTGACATTTTCCATGGTTGCATCTTTAAGTTCCATAAGAGGTGCTTGCATAAGGACTTTAGTCAGAAAGCCATGTTTAGCATGATCCCCTGCTCACGTATTTTTTTCTAGCTTCTAAAGTGCCTTTCATACATGGAACTTTGTCTTCATTAGGAAATTTATTTCAATAGCGTCAAGACATCAAATAATTTATGTATTTGGTGTCCATTTTTATAAAGATACATGAAATATATGAGAAGGTTAAGAAGAGGTAAAGGAGGTTAAGGAACCTCATCGGCTCCATTATATTTGGAAGTTGTGACCTGTGTTAAAGCATTGACTATCACTGTTTATATTTATCATAATTTGGCATGCAAAAATGAGAGTCACAATTTCAGCCACTTGCATTAATTTTACTTCTAAGAGATTGAATTTTATAATAGAGTCGGGTAGTTATTACATAAAAAGTTTTGCGTTATTCCTTTTCAACTTTGAGTTTAATACATTAAAACAATTAATTCAGAAGTTGATACGAGACTGTTCAAAATATCTGTTTGAGTGTGGACACTTCTTAAATGACAAAAGCACAGTTAAAAGATTTATTGATTGAGAAGTGTAATGGAGTTGAACACTATGAAGATAAATTTGTAATATTTCATAATTACTCCACCAACTGGTAGAACAAATAATGGATGCTTTTACAAAATAGATAACTTGTACTGTACGTGATATCATAAGATATCTGAAGACGCTTCAACCAATTTTGACAAGAAAGATCTGAAGACGCTTCAACCAATTTTGACAAGGCTAAGATAAGCTATTTTAAGACAAGAGCGATAAGCTATGGCTACTATATTAATAAATAAATTATGGTAGGCAAGGCAATGACCTGAGTTGTTTGCAGTGTTGTTGAGTAGTATCACTAGGGCATGGTCTTTAATGTTTACACAGAAAGAAAATTTGTCACAATCGGTGATCCTGTAATCAGTTGTCCTGTATATGGGATCGTCCAGAACACATTCTCTTCAGAGCGGGGCATACAGAACGGCGTGGCTTGCTGGGGCTTATTTGGAGTCTGAATTGAAGTCATGGAAAAAATATAAATTCGAAGGTTTGATAACCTAATAACCAAACTCTGTAATCTAATATGATCTGTATGAACAGAGCTGGCTGTTGAAACTGAATAGAAAAGAGAATGGGACCTTTAAAACACAACTTGATATCTGAGGGGTTAATTCTAAACTCTTCGTCAAAGAGAGATTCGTTTTTCTGCTGTTTGGCCCCAAGATTGGCAACTGGATAGGCATTGGAATTGAGGAGGAATACTGTTATATCAATAGATAAGTCAAAAGATCTGCAGAGATTTGTACAAACCTTCTTATCATAACATGATGTATTTGTACTTTAGGAGAAACAACAACATACATAGATGTGAGGCTAGAGGATTATTGTATCTTACATTGTCTGTATAATTCATTACAGGTATCAAATATGTGTCAATCTCCCAGTTCCATCACAGGTGCAATGATAAAATACAGTAGTTGGTCAAATGATCATTTTTCCTCTCAATGTGACCATGTTTATTTTCAGATTTGTTAACAAATTAAGAGTTGGTTGATCCAAAAGAAAGTCTGCATTGGGTGAGCTTCTCAGCCAGTACATAGAGAAGTGTGAGATGACACACACTAGTTTGCTATACCAGGAAACCTCTGTTTCCTGTTCTAGGGCAGCAGTAGCAGCAGCACATGGCCCAGTAATTCTTCTCTCACCATGCCAGGTTCACTTCACAGTACAGAGTCCTGAAAATAAAGAAGAAAATTTTTTTTTATCTAGAAAAAGAACCAAACATGTCACTTTCTAGCCTGCTGAAGGTGGTCACAGCTTCACTGTGGCTAGGTATGGGTGGCCCAGTGGGAATGGACTTTCTGTATGAACTAAGGACTTTGGAAGTATCTTTATGGAAACTTTGGGAAGGAGGGGTAATGGGGTACAAAAATTGAATTTCTTTGTCCCAATCCACTTTATCCTTAAACCTTCAAATTCTATCTTTTTTCCTTCAGGACCTGGCATTGCCCAGAAGATAACTCAAACCCAACCAGGAATGTTCGTGCAGGAAAAGGAGGCTGTGACTCTGGACTGCACATATGACACCAGTGATCCAAGTTATGGTCTATTCTGGTACAAGCAGCCCAGCAGTGGGGAAATGATTTTTCTTATTTATCAGGGGTCTTATGACCAGCAAAATGCAACAGAAGGTCGCTACTCATTGAATTTCCAGAAGGCAAGAAAATCCGCCAACCTTGTCATCTCCGCTTCACAACTGGGGGACTCAGCAATGTACTTCTGTGCAATGAGAGAGGGCACAGTGACAGAACTGTCGGAGGGAGGTGTACAAAAGCCCTGGGGACCTGCTTGAGACCTCCACCTGCTGGAGAACCAAGGCGGGAAATCAACATCACAGACAGGAAGTGGCTACAGCTGTGGCAGCCCAGATGCAGTGTTGTAGGAAATACACTTAACTCTAAGAAAATACCTCTTTAAGTTCATAGACCATGATCAAAGTTATCATTAACTAAAAACTTTCTTATCCCTGAATCTTTGGTTTAAAGTTTAGACATACCAAATTTGTGACTGAAGATTGAAGAGAAAAAACTGCCACAATAAACAATTTGCCATTTGGCTACTAAATTGAACTGGATTCAAAAACATGTGACTGAAAAATCATTTAAAATATCTGTGAATTTTCATATCAATTTGTTCAGTAAATACTGGAGATCTAAAAAAAGTTCATGAAAAATACGTATTATAAAAACTATTTTTGGATTTCAATTTTTTTTTGCACCAAAATAAACTTACACTTAAATTGCTATAACATATGTAGACAGGATCTACTTTGAGGCACTAAGAAAAATAGGACAGCAATTTGAAAAGAACCCCTATTAGAGCAACAGATTCTGCTAAAATGAAGCAAAGGAAAGCTTCACATTTATGGTGAAGGTTGGGTAGTAGAATGGTGAAATCATCAATTCTCTATGAAACTTTACGAAGTCAGTGCTCCAAATAAATCAGCAGTTAGCAAGTGGATAACTCATTTTAAGAAGGGATGAGACAATGTTGAAGGTAAATCCTGCAGTGGTAGACCATCCACACCAATTTGTTTGGAAAAAGTTAACCTTATTTGTGCCCTAATTGAAATGGACTGATGATTAACAGCAGAAACAATAGCCAACACCACAGACACCTCAATCGGCCCAGCTTACACAATTTTGACTGAAAATTAAAGTTGAGCAAACTTTCCATTCCATGGGTGCCAAAACTATTGGACCTAGATCAGTTGCAGACAAGATCAGAGCTTTCAATAAAAATTTTAAGCAAGTGGGATCAAGCCCCTGAAGCATTTCTTTGAAGAGCTGTAACAAGAGATAAAGCATGGCTTTACCAGTATAATTCTGAAGGCAATGCACAATCAAAACAATGGCTACCAAGAGGTGGAAGTGGTCCAGTCAAAGCAAAAGTGGACCAGTAAAGTGCAAAAATTATGGCAATAGTTTTTTGGGATGCTCAAGGAATTTTGCTTGTTAGCTTTCTGGAGGGCCAAAGAGCAAAAACATTTGCTTATTATGAGCATGTTTTGAGATATGTAGCCAAAACTTTAGGAGATAAATGCCTAGGAAAGCTCCACCAGAGATTTCTTCTTCACCATGACAATGATCCTGCTCACTCCTCTCATCAAACAAGGGCAATTTTGTAAGAGTATTGATGGAAAATCGTTAGGCATCTACATAGCCTTGATTTGGCTCCTTGGACCTCTTTTTGTTTCTTAATGTTAAAAAAATCTTTAAAAGGCACCCATTTTCTTCAGTTAGTAATGTAAAAATGAACTCATTGACATAATTAAATTCCCAGGACCCTCAATTATGCAGCAATGGACCAAATGGCTAGTATCACTGCTTACAAAAGTGTTTTGAGCTCAATGGAGCTTATTTCAGGAATAAGGTTTATATTTTTTATTTTGATTTTACTTTACACGAACCTTTTGAAATGTCCTTGTATTTATTGTGTTATAGACATTATTTTAAATAGGAAAGGCATTGAAATCTTTTATATTTCCCTTCTAAATATATTATGTTGTTTATATTGTTTAATGGATTAATTTGATTTAGGTTTGTTTGCTGTGAGTAAATGGTACTTAAACATTTATTTTCTAAAGGTGTCTACTATGTGCTAAGAGCTCCTTTCATCTTATTAACACCTTGAATGTGGAAGAAATCAGTCTCCATACTACAGATTTACCTGCCTCTCAACATTCCTATCCACGAAGTGATCATTATTTAGTGGCTTCCAGAAGGACATGTGGAGAATGTTCCTCACAGAGGCACAAACCTTTTCATTTATATATTAATAAGACATCTTTTCTTCTAAAATGAATCACCATTTTTGAAATATATGAAATTTCCCTTTCCCTATAATGTTTCCACATGGTTTATTTCGTTCCACTGATCTATTTGTTTCACTCTATGACAATCTCAGAATGTAGTTTTATAGTAAATTTTATAATCTCTTAGGGTAAATCACTTTTCACCAAAAATCTTTTTCAAGATTTTAAAAAATAATTCTTGCACATTTACTTTTCAGTATGTTAAAAGTTCTGTCACATTTTCCTCATGTTCAATACCCTTCTATTAAACTGACAAAACAAAAATGTCTAAAAACCAGACAGTTGAAATTGCATTTAATGAATATGTTAACAAATATCAACTTGTTTTCGTATGTTTTTATTCAGTAAAATGATATTTTTTCTAATTGTAAAGGATCTTTTATGTTCTCTATTACATTGTGAAGTTTCTTACTTTTATCTTCATATGGATTTGTATATAACTGTTCCCACACATCCATCTATATATATGCATTTTAAATGAAATTATCTTTTATATATTCATTTTTACTGATATTCCCAGTACAAACAAATGCTATTTAAAAATCATCTTGGTTATATAGCTAAGAGTTTCTAACTTTAAAGTACAGATAATTTGCAATATATTCATACTACTTGAACCATTAAAGTTTATTTTATGAACCTAGACTAACCTCAACCCAACACCTAAAAAATAGCATGATAAAAATATTTACTCTCCAATTTTTTTTTTTAAGACAGAGTCTCGCTCTGTTGCTCAGACTGGAGTGCAGTGCCACTATCTCGGCTTACTGCATCCTTTGCCTCCTGGGTTCAAGCGATTCTCCTGCCTCAGCTTCCTGAGTAGCTGGGATTACAGGCGTGCACCACCACCACACCCGGCTAGTTTTTGTATTTTTAGTAGAGATGGGGTTTCACCCTGTTGGTCAGGCTGGTCTCAAACTTCTGACCTTGTGATCTACCCGCCTCAGCCTCCCAAAGTTCTGGGATTACAGGCTTGAGCCACCAAGCCCAGCCTACTCTCCTATTAAAAAGTCAAGAAACAACAGATGCTGGCGAGGCTGCGGAGAAATAGGAATGCTTTTACACTCTTGGTGGGAACGCAAATTAGTTCAACCATTGTGGAAGACAATGTGGAGATTCCTCAAAGACCTACAGCCAGAAATACCATTTGACCCAGCAATCTCATTACTGGGTATATACCCAAAGGAATATAAATCATTCTATTATAAAGATACCTGTACCTGCATGTTCATTGGAGCACTATTCACAATAGCAAAGATGTACAATCAACCCAAAAGCCCATCGATGATAGACTGGATGAAGAAAATGTGGTTCATATACACCATGGATACTATGCAGCAATAAAAATAAATGAGATCATGTCCTTTGCAGGGACATGGATGGGGGTAGAAGCCATTATCCTCAGCCAACTAACACAGGAACAGAAAATCAAGCACCTCATGTTCTCACTTATAAGTGGGAGCTGAACAGTGAGAACACACGGACACAGGAAGGGGAACAACACACACTGGGGCCTGTTGGGGAGGGAGGCGGAGGGAAAGCATCAAGATAAATAGCTAATGCGTGTGAGGCTTAATACCTAGATAATGGGTTGATAGGTGCAGCAAACCACCATGGTACACGTTTACCTATGTAGCAAATCTGCATATTCTGAATATGTATCCAAGAACTTAAAAGAACATATTTAAAATTCATTGAAGAAATTGAACATATATTTGCAAGTGTCCCATGCCAATATAAAACACATTATAATAAGCATGTATACATCTTATTAAATCAGAATGAATATCCATATATTCATATTCATATAACTTGATAAAAAATAGCAGTTGGATACATAGTATTAATTTAAAAATTCTAGTTTTAAAATTTATAATTTTAGATTTTTAATTTAAATTTTAAATTTCAAATTTTTAAAATACCTCATTTTATTTCTGATGTCTGGAATCTTATTTAGTTGAAAATGTCTCTTTGAATTCTCTGAGTACCATGAGCTTGTATAGCTTATGCTGCTGCCTCTAATGTAGCTGCTATTGTTTTCAATATGGAATGAACAAGGTGATTGGATTTCTTGAACCACTTACTATAATAGAACCTCTAGATATTTCTACCAAATAAAGAGTAGAGAACAAATTAAAATACGCCAAATGTATTTTTACAGCTACTTTCACATCTATTAGATGGAGTCTTTCATAGACATTTTATGAAAGAGTTTCATAATCCTCACACTTGTTACAACGTACAGTCTAAACAGGCAAGATCTATTCACTCTAACATAATATCTAAGGGATGGTGTGAAGGATATTGCAAGCATATACACACACACGCACACACACTCACATCTCACCACAAGTTAGAGTTTACAGATAGCGGTTTACCTTTGAGGTAGTTAGAGAGAACCAGTAAAGAAGTCACACATATTCAGCCTAATAAGTAATTAGTTCAAATCTAATAGAAATGACATCTAAAATTGGAATCTTAGAAACAAGACTCTACTAAAAGATAACTTTGGAATGCACCAAAAATCAGTTTTTTAATTGAGAAATATTGCCTTTCACTAACTCTTCAGTCATTATCATTGTATTTCTTGGCATCTACATCTGGGAAAACCTTTGTAACCACAGGTAAAATGTAATATGGAAATGGTCACTCTACCTTAGTTTAATAAATGTATTCAATTGTTTTAGTGACAGAAAATTTACTCTTGAATAGAGATGCAAATATTTAAATTAAGTAATTAAAACCCAGAAGGCAGTGTATTAACAAAATAATGCAGCTTGATTTTTAAAAAGTTATTATTATTATTATTTTTTTTATTATTATACTTTAAGTTTTAGGGTACATGTGCACATTGTGCAGGTTAGTTACATATGTATACATGTGCCATGCTGGTGCGCTGCACCCACTAACTTGTCATCTAGCATTAGGTATATCTCCCAGTGCTATCCCTCCCCCCTTCCCCCACCCCACCACAGTCCCTAGAGTGTGATATTCCCCTTCCTGTAAAGTTATTTATTCACTTATATATCCATTTATTTTTAAAAAATCATTCAGCACCTACAGAGTGACAAACTTTGTGCTGAGAACTCAGTCCATTTAACAATCTTATTGCAATCTCTAGCATGTAATAGCTCAATTTCTATACTGTAGGTTTACCTGCCCCATACCAGATTTATCCATAAAATGATTAATAAATTAGTGGCTCTTAGAGGGACATTGTAGAGAGGCAGAATTTGAAGTCTTTCTTTTCTCTGCTTTTGTGCTTCATTTTACCCCTCTTTCAAAAACATTTAATGCCATCATGTGGATCAACTTTGCACACCCCCAGACCTGTTCCACCATCCAAAATCCTCATTCTTTTCAATCTTCTCCTTCTACCTCCAACACCATTTTCTCCTTCCCTAAGCTTTGAATGGTAATGGTTGGTTGGTAAGTGATCTTGTATTGTAACATCCTCTTGTATTTGCATTTGAAAAGTAGATGTGTATAGTATAAATCTTAAAGAGAAATATGTTTAAAAATTTTTAAAATTATTTTTAATTGTGGAAAAATATATATAACATAAATTTTGCCATGTTAACCATTTACAAATGGACACTTCAGTAGTGTTAAGTACATTCCTTTGTTGTGCAACCATCACTACCATCCATCTTGAGAACTCTTTTCATTTTGGAAACCTGAAACTCTGTGACTACTAAACAATAGCTCTCTATTTTCTTCTCCACCTAATCCCTAGAAACCAGCCTTCCTTTCTGTCTTTATAAGTTTGACTACTCTAGGTACTTTGTATAACTAGAGTCATACAATTTTTTTTTGTGACTGCCTTATTTCACTTAGCGTAATGTCCTCAAAGTTCATTCATGTCATAGTATGAAGCAGGCTTTCAGAATTTCCTTCCTTTATAAGGCTGCATATTATTCAATTGTGTGTACATACCCTATTTTGTTAAACTATTTATCTATCAATGGAAATTTGAGCTGTTTCTATCTTTTGGCTATTGTGAATAAGCTGCTCTCAACAAGAGTATGCAAACGTCTCAATATTTGGGGTATATCCCCCAATTCTTTCAACTTTAGAAGTGATATACCCAGAAGTGCAATTGCTGAATCACATAATAATTCTATTTTTAATTTTTTAAAGAACTGCCAAACTGGTTTCCACAGTGGCTGCTGTACCATTTTACATTTTCACCAACAGGACACAGGTGTTTTGATTTCTCCACATTTCATCAGCACTTCTTTTACTATCATTATTTTTGATATGAATAGTAGCCATCCTAATGGGCATGAAGTAGTATGTCATTATGATTTTTATTTGCATTTCCCTAATAATTCGTGATGATGAGTATCTTTTCCTGTGCTTATTGGCCAATTGTATATCTTCCTTGGAAAAATGCCTATTCAACTACTTTGCCCATTTTGAAATGGGGTGTCTGTCTTTCTCTCTCTCTCTTTCTCTCTTTCTTTCTTTCAAGATGGTGTTTCACCATGTTGCCCAGGCTGGTTTTGAACTCCCGAGCTAAAGCAATTCACCTACCTCGGCCTCCAAAGTCCTGGGATTACAGATGTGAGCCACCGCGCCTGGCCTGGGTTGTCTTTTTTTTCTGCTGAGTTGTAAGAGTTCTTTATATATTCTGGATATTGATCTTTTGTCGGATATATGATTTGATATTTTTTTTTCCATTCCATGGGTTGTTTATCCACTCTGTCACTCCATTAATTGTGCCCTTTGATGCACAGTAGTTTTTAATTTTGATGTAGTCAAGTTTATCTAAGTTTTCTTTTGCATCCTATGCTTTTGGTATTATAGCCAAGAAATTATTGCCAATTCCATGCTTTCTGAAGGCTGAAAAAAAAGAAAAAAAGAAAAAGAAATTATTGCCAAATCTAAATCGCGATGCTTTTCCTGTAAGATAAGAGTGCAGTTTCACTCTTTTGCATGTGGATATCCAGTTTTTCCCAACACTGTTTGTTGAAAAGACTTTCCTTTCACCCTTAAACAGTCTTAGGACCCTTTCCTAAAATAATTTGGTTGTAAATGTGAAGGTTTAATTTTGGGCTCTCTATTGTATTGCATTGGTCTATATGACTGTCATTATGCAAGCACCACACAGCTTTTGCTATATTACTGTAGCTTTGTAATCAGCTTTGAAATCAGGAAGTGTTAGACCTTCCAAACTTGTTCCTTTTCAAGATTATTTTGGCTATTTGGGGTTTCACAAGCTGCCATATGAACTTTTGGATGGATTTTTCTATTACTGCAAAAACACTATTGGGATTTTGATAGGGATTGAATTGAATCTGTAGATTGCTTTTGGTAGCATCGACATTTTAATGATGTTAAATTCTCCAATCCATAAATATCAGATGTCTTTCAACTTATTTGTGCCTTATTTAATTTATTTCAGCAACATTTTTGTTTTCATTGTGCAAGTCTTTAGCATTGTTGTTTAAGTTTATTCCTAAGTATTTTATTCTTTTTGATGCTATTGCAAATGGAATTATTTTCTTAATTTCCAAAGTGTTCATTGTTAGTTTATAGAAATGCAATTGATTTTTGTGTGCTGTTTCTGTATCCTTCAAGTTTGTTGAATTCATTTATTAGTTCTAACTACAAGCATATTTAATGGTGGAATTTCAGGTGTTGTGACAGCAGATTGGAGAACAGGACATTTGTCTCATGTCCCTCAGGATAACTCATGTAGGCTGCAAAACTTCAAGCATACATAGAAGCATCAACTTCATAATGTAATCATTTTATATCTTTAATACATCAGGCCCTTCAAAATTTAGTTTAAATGTTGAGAAGTCAAAGAATGATGTCCTTCTAAGAATAAATATTCTAACACATGATGATGTGCTGAACAAGATGAAGAATTTGTATTTGGATACATATTTTTAAAGCAATGTTTAGTTAGTAATTGAAAATACTAAACCAGGAGAAAATAATGTGCACTCTGGTTTCCATACTAGAGAGATATAGAAGCAGAAAGTTTTACCTCAGTCCACAGATCTAGTAAATAAACATCCAACACTTAAACTTGGGTCATTTGACTCCAATTGATGAATTTTCAGCAAACAATGAAATATAAAAGTAAGCCAATTCAATATACAACTCCAGAAGTTATAAAATTAACAGTAAAATAAAATGGTTGAGAGTAGATTGAAGGAATTAAAAATAAAAGCAAGAAATTAATGGCTCAAAGGAAAATAACAAAATCAATGATAAAACCACAACATGATATTTTGAAAATAATTACAATACTAACATGATCCAGAAAAAAAAAGTGAGAAGGGACAAATGCATGCACAAAAAAAAACAACATAATTAAGTTGAATTTATTTTGGGAATGTAAAGATGATTTAATACTTGAAAATCTATTAATATAATGCTTGAAATTAACAAACTTTAAGAAGGCCAAAGATGTTCTAATGCCTGGTTTGGTGGATTGTTTCATTTGGATCTAGGATGATTCACTGTACCTGTGCATTTGTGCAAGCTCATTTAATTTGGTTGGCTCTTAAAAATATTCGGATTCTTTCTCTTAATTTGACCCCAATTATAGATATAGTGTTATTGTTCTTAAATTTCTTGTTGCATTTAGATTATTTCTATGAAGAAAGGGGAAAATGATAAATTTATTCAATCATATTTATGACAAAGTTTTGGCTTCCATATTATTGTTTTTGTATTTTTCTTTTATTGTGAAGTGTACCAAGTTTTATTTTAGAAATTGCTGGACCAGTAAATATTGTTCAAGTTGATGGGTTGTATAGACTTCAGATTTTTGGAATGTTCTTGAAAATTATTCCCATTTATGTCCTTAAACCTTGCATAATCTTGTGAAATAATGCTTCATAACAATGACTGACTGTGCACAGATTAAACAATGCTTTAAATAATGTTAGTCATTAGGAAGAATTAAGCTATGATCCTGTATGTGAGAAATTTTCATACTGGTTAATTTGAACAACTATGCTTTAGACTCCTTTATCACAAGCAAGTTTCCAGGAACAGAAAGAGAGTGGTCACTGGCCATGAATAAAGTTCCAGTACTCTGGTGGTTCACAGAAGTTTAGGAACTTTTTCAGCCTTGCTACCATGCATTGCTCATCAGGTGTTTAATAATTGGTCTGAAAGGAATGCTTATGCCACTACCTGGTGGTCAGCTCCTAAACTGCAGTTTATTCATCCTTTAAAATATGTTTTCTTTCCTCTTTTAGTCAAAGAATGAGACCTGAAATTATTTAATTATTTTAAAAAATTTCATTTGGATAAATAGAGCACCTATTAACTTGCTGTCTTAAAATATTTCAAGGGCTTGGGAAAAAGTCACGTTGGTGTCTTCTAACTTCTCTCTGAAATTTCTCTGAAAGCAATTTATACTGGAAAAAATAGGGAACACATGTTTTGCTATTAATGAGATTTATGTTCAAAACTATTAACTTTGCCATGTACTTACTTGCTGAATACTTTTGTGTTTTGTTACATTTTTTTTGTAAAGTGTGATAGTGATAGCTTCTTTAGTATTTGTTGTGAGAATTCATCAATAATGTATCAAAGAAGATTAACAAGTAGCAGATGATCTAACAATGAGAATATTCTCAATAGACCCAGAAAAGGCATGTGACAAAATCCAGCATCCATTCCTGATTAAAAACTCTCTCTAAATGAGAAATTAAAAGGAACTTTCTCAACTTAATATAGGAAACTTACAACAACCTATGTCAAGTGTCATACTTGGTGAAAAACTAAAGGCTTCTCCCTAAGATCACACATAAGAAAAAAGTTATTGCTCTCACTGTTTCTGTTTAATATTGTACTAGAATGTCTATCCAGTGCAATAAGGCAAGAGACAGAAACAAAAGGCATACAGTTTGGAAAGGAAGAAATAAATCAAGCTTTATTTGCAGACAACATAATTGTTTAAGTAGAAAATCCAAAGAATCTGCAGAAAATATACCAGAACAAATAAGTAAGATTGTAAAGGTTGCAGGATAAATGATCAGTTTGCAAAGATTAATTGTATTTATATATTTTCACATGCGACAATCAGAAATTAAAAATAAAAACACAATACCATTTACAATAGCATCAAAAATATTAAATGCTTACAGATAAATCTTACAAAGTATAGAAGACTTGGTAACTTAAAGCCACAAAACCTCATGAGAGAAATTAAGACCTAAGGAATGGAGAGATAAACTATGTTCATAGATTGATAGACTCAATATTGTTAAAAAGTCAGTTCTGTTTCAATTATTCTACAGATTCAATATAACCACAATAAAAGTTCTGTCATTTTTTTGGTTAAAATTAGCAGGCTCATTATAAAATTTACTCAGAAATATAAGGCACCTAGAGTAGCCAAAACAGGGTTGGAAAAGAAAAAATTTGGAGGGATAATATTATCTTACTTCAAGTTGTTTTCCACAGTAATCAAAACAGTGTGGCATTTGTATACAGATAGACTAACAGATTAATAGAACAGAATAGAGCCCAGGAATAGACCCATATATACATGAACAACTACTTTTTGACAAAGGTGCAAAGGCAATTCAATGTGGAAAGGATAGTCTTTTCAACAAATAGTGCTTAAATAATTGAATATCCATATACAAAAAAATGAACTTTGACACTCTCATACCATATACAAAAAGTTACTTAAAGTGATCATAAACATAAATGTAAAACCCCAAATCATAACACTTCAAGAAGAAAATAGGAGGAAATTTTTGTGACCTTGGCCTATGCAAACATTTCTTAGATATGATAGCAAAACATGACCCATAAAAGACAAAAAGTTGATAAATTGAAAAATTGGTTTTCATTACAACTTAAAACTGCCTCTGGAAACAATTCTGTCAACAGAATTAATAGATGAGCTATAGACTGGAAAAATACTTGCAAATTGGGTATCTGAGAAAGTCATTTATTTGAGTTATGCAAAGAACCCACAGAACCCATTAACAAAAAAAAATAGAAAAGTAAATAAAATGGGCAAAAGATTTGAACAAACACTTCAGCAAAGAAACTATATGAATGGCAAATAGGCATATGAAAACATGCTTAGCATCATTAGTCATTAGGGATATGCAAATTAAAATCACAATTAGGTACTACTGCATACCTATTAGAGTGGGGTTGACAAGGATGTGGAGCAACTGCAACTCTCAGGTACTACTGGTGGAAATACAAAGTAATATAATAACTTTGGAAAATAATTGGGCAGGTTTTAAATAAGTCAAATATACACCTGATATCAGATGCAGCCATTCTACTCCAAGTTATTTGCTCTAAGAGAAATGACAGAATACACCTATACAAAATCTTGAATACACGTTTGTAGTAACTTTATTTGTAACAGCCTCAAACTGGGACTAACTGAAATGTACATCAACAGATAAATAACAAACACATTGTTTTATATCTATATAATGTAATAGTACTACTCAGCAATAAAAAGAAATAAACCATTGTTTCAAATGACACCATGAAAGAATCTCAAAATAATTATGCTAAGTGAAAGAAGATAAACCAAAAAAATTGTATATGATTTAATTTGTATAAATTATAAAATACACAAACTAATATATAGTGACAGAGAATTGCTTGGAAATGGGCATGGGAGATAGGAAGGTTAAGAGAAAAAGTACAAAGAAATATGAGAAACTTTTGGGGTGATGTAAATATTCATCATGTTGATTGCCATAATAGCATCACAAGCCTATATGTATGTCAAATCTTATAAAAATGTTCACTTTACTTTGGTGCAGTTAATTTTTATGTCAATTATACATCAATAAAACCATTTAAAAATCCAATTTAAAAGTACATGTCTTCAACATCACAGAAGTATTCTGATATGGTCCAAGATGCAAACTGTTCTCACTGGGTTTAAACTATTTTTCTTAAGTATGGATGACAACAGTCTACACCCATGTGCTCTACTGTTTATTTTCAACCCAGCATCATTCCAGCTTATTTTGCATTCCCCTTTGTATATCAGAATAGAAATTTGTAGCTGATTTTCCAGAATTCATTTTCAACATAGTTCTAGGCTTGTTTCTGACAAAGTGATTTGGAAGGTGGAGGAGAAGGAGAAGAGATTTGCAAACCCAAACAATATCTGGGCCTGAATTTCTTAATGAAGTCTGTATCTGAGAAACTATTCATATGCTGACTCTGGACGCATTCTTTATCTGAATCTGGGGAGAGTGAACTCCAGGAAACAGACTGAACTAAGTGTCTGTTCTTAGCTATGTGTCTAGGTATAAATGTTTACAGGTCCTTGCAGAAAGTTAGATCCTTCTCCCAAATTTTACTCTGATAACACTTCTGGAGGTTTTTTCTTTTCTTTTTCATTTTATTTTTAGATTTACATGCGGAGGTTTGTAACAAGAGTATGCTGCGTGATGCTGAGGTTTGGGCTCCTAGTTGGTCACCCAGATAGTGAACATAGTACGCAACAGGCAGTCACCTGGATAGTGAACATGGTACCCAATAGGATGTTTTTCAGCCCCTCCCCCCTCCATCTCTCCCTCCTTTTGGAGTCCACGATGTCTATTATTCCCATCTTTATGTCTGTGTGTGCCCACAGTCTGGCTTCCACTTACAATGAGAACATATGATATTTTGTTTTCTGTTTCTGCACTAATTCTGCACTTAAGATAATGGCCTCTAGCTGCATACATGTTTCTGCAAAGGATATAATTTCATTCGTTTTATGGCTGCATAGAATTCCATGGTGTATATGTACCAAATTTTCCATAGTCTATCACAATTGATGGGCACCTAGGTTGTTTCCATGTCTTTGCTATTGTAAATAGTGCTGTGATAAATATATGAGTGCATGTGTCTTTTGGTAGAATGATTTATATTCCTTTGGATATATAGCCAGGTATGGGATTGCTGGCTTGAATCATAAATGTTTTTTTAGTTTTCTGAGAAATCTCCACACTGCTTTCCACAGGGCTGAACTAATTTGCATTCTCAGCAACAGTGTATAAGCATTCCATTTTCCCTGCAAACTCTCCAGCATCTGTTATTTTTTGAATTTTAATAATAGCTATTCTGACCGGTATGAGATGGTATCTCATTGTGATTTTGATTTGCATTTCTTTGATGATTAGTGATATGAAAGATTTTTTCATATGCTTGTTGGCCACTTGTATGTCTTCTGCTGACGGGTGTCTGTTCAAGTTCTTTGTCCGTTGTTTAATGGAATTATTTGTTTATTTCCTGTTGATTTCTTAAAGTTCACTACAGATTCTGGATATTAGTCCTATGTAGGACGTATAGTTTGCAAATAATTTCTCCCATTTTGTAAGTTGTCTTTTAACTATGTTGATAGTTTCTTTTGCTGTGCAGAAGCCTTTTAGATTAAATAAGTCCCACTTGCCAATTTTTGTTTTTGTTGCAATTGCTTTTGAGAACTTAGCCAAAAATTCTTTGCCTAGGCTGATATCCAGAAGTGCGTTTCCTAGGTTTTCTTTTAGGATTTCTATGAGGTGTTACATTTAAGCCTTCAATCCCTCTTGAATTAATTTTTGTATATGGTGACAGATAGGGGTCCAGTTTTATTCATCTGCATATGTCTAGGCAGTTATCCCAGCACCATTTGTTGAATGAGTCCTTTCCCCATTGCTTATTTTTGTTGGCTTTGTCAAAGATCAGATGATCATAAGTGTATGGCTTTATTTCTCGGTTCTCTATTCTGTTCCATGGGTCTTTGTGTCCGTTTCTGGACCATTACTAAGGCCAAGTTTTAGTTACTTAGCCTTGTACTACAATTTGAATTTGGGTAATGTGATGTCTCTAGTTTTGTTCTTTCTTTTTGTTAAGGATTGCTTTGGCTATTCAGGCTCTTTTTTGGTTCCATATGAATTCTAGAATGGTTTCTACTAATTCTGTGAAAAATGACTTTGACAATTTGATAGGAATAGTTTTGAATTTGTAGATTGCTTTGGGCAGTATGGACATTTTGACGACATTGATTCTTCCAATCCATAAGCATGGAATGTTTTTCCATTTGTTCGTGTGGTCTATGATTTCTTTCAGCTGTGTTTTACAGTTCTTCTTTCACCTCTTTGGTTAGCTGTATTCCTAGGTATTTGGGGGCATGTGGCTATTGTAAATTGGATTGCATTCTTGAACTGACTCTCAGTATGATCACTATTGGTTTATAGAAATGCTCCTGATTTTTTAATGTTGATTTTGTACCTTGAAACTTCGCTGAAGTCATTCATTAGTTCTGGAGTCTTTTGGTGGAGTCTTTAGTGTTTTCTAGGTATAGAATCATATTGTCAGTGAAGAGAGATAATGTAACTTCTTCTTTCCCTATTTGGAGGCCTTTTACTTCTTTCTTTTGCCTGCTTGCTCTGGGTAAGACTTCTAGTACTATGCTGAATGGGAGTACAGAGAGTAGGCATTCTTGTCTTGTTCCCGTTCTCAAGGTGAACGCTTCCAGCTTTTGCCCATTAAGTATGATATTGGCTATGGGTTTGTCATAGACCACTCTTATTATTTTGAGGTATATTCCTTCAATACTTAGTTTGTTGAGGGTTTTTATCGTGAAGAGTTATTGGATTTTATGGAGTGCTTTTTCTGTATCTATTGAGATGATCACATGGGTTTTGGTTTTAATTCTGCTTATGTGGTGAATCGCATTTACTGATTTGTGTGTGTTGAAACAACTTTGGATCCCAGGAATGAAGCCTACTTGATCCCAGGAATGAAGATTAGCTTTTTGCTGTGCTGCTGGATTCAGGATGCTAGTTTTTGTTGAGAATTTTTGTGTCTATGTGCATCAGGGATTTGATCTTTAGTTTTCTTTTATCATTGTGTCTTTAACAGATTTTTGGTATCAGGATAATACTGGATTTGTAGAACAATTTAGGGAAGAATCTCTTCTTGATTTTTTGGAATAGTTTCAGCATGATTGGTATCAGTTCTTTGTATGTCTGGTAGAAGTCGGCTGTGAATCCGTCTGGTATGTGGCTTTTTTATTGGTACATTTTTTATTACTGATAAGCTGCACTTCACTAAAATTTAAAAGTTACGCTCTTATGAAATGCAATGTCAAGAAAATGGGAGACAAAATGCAAACTGAGTAATCCATTGCACTTGAACAAATCTTTCTTGATATTTTAGTTTCTCTCCATGTAAGAGACATATTTCAGCTGCATTTAGTCTGCCATCTTACCAAAAACAGGTTTTTGTTTTCTTTTGTTATGTTATAAAATGAAAACTCACAGGAAGTAAGCATAATGAAGTGTTTGTTTTTACTGCAGACACTTCATAGGAAAAGACCAGCTTTAATAATCTGTGTAATCATGGGGACATTTTTTTGTGATGACCTCAGAGTGTTATCTCTGATAGTTGATAACCGTCTTGGTATAGGACAGTGTTCACAAATAAAATCTTGTAAACAACTATCAGGCTGGCAGCAACAAAACCATCAGGGAAGTTTTTAAAAAATGAAACCCTTTGAATCTTGGAAATTGTGGTTTGAAATGTTGGAAATCGTGATTCCTAAAGTTAGTAGTCTTGTCCCAACATCTGTAATTTTAAATGACTCACAAGTTAATTCAGTTCTCACACAACCAGGTTTTAGAACCTCGATTATCAGCCGATGTATCTTTATCAATTTGTAAAGCAAGAGAAGAGGAAAGTTCTAACTCATGCTTCAGTCTGTTGATGCAAATCTACATGTGGATTCCCTACATCATCAGAGGAAATTGATTAAACTTTGGCAATAAAATGTTGGCATATGACCACAGTAGAAAGCGTCCTTGAGGCCAGATCTCCAGATTATAGGGTTAACACTTGTTGCCTGATTGTCATAAGCAAGCAACTTGTCTTGGAGTCATTGAAATCGTGAGGGAATAAGCTATTAATCTGAGGTCATATCTTATCAGTAAATGTCAGTCACTGCTCTACATGTTAGGATACAGTGCTGAAAAACATAGACTCAGTAACAGCAAGACTTCTTAACATTCCCTCTGATTTCAACTCAAAACCCTTGTCTGACATCCCATTGAATTATACCACTGGCCTGCAATGGATACGTAAAAATATTGGCCTGTATTAAAATATCCAAGAAAATGGAACTCTCACCTACAGAAATACTCTAGGATGCTTTGCTAAAGATCTTTTGTTTCAGGTAGTGTCCAAAGAACAAAATTGACAAAATAGACCATAGAGATGACAACATCTGCCCTTCATATTTACAAGGACCACCTGAGACTGGCATGGGCCTTATAAATGAGGTCAGGGTTGAGGACCTATTTCTGACTTTTGGAAGGAGTCCAGGAAAACATTCATCCCAGTTCAGCCCCTGTCCACCAGAGGGAGTGGCTTCCTAACACAAACTCATTTCCTGCTATCACTGTAGGTTTCACTGTGATTTCTTCATGTTAAGGATCAAGACCATTATTTGGGTAACACACTAAAGATGAACTATTCTCCAGGCTTAGTATCTCTGATACTCTTACTGCTTGGTTAGTGAGATGCCTTTTAAAATTTGGTCTCTGTCTTCTATCAAGCCAAAAAAATCTTTAACCATAATTTGACCTAAGAGCATTATGCTCAAGGCTAAACAGATCTCTCTCTCTCTCTTTTTTTTTTTTTCCCTAGGAAGAACCCGTGGAGATTCAGTGACCCAGATGGAAGGGCCAGTGACTCTCTCAGAAGAGGCCTTCCTGACTATAAACTGCACGTACACAGCCACAGGATACCCTTCCCTTTTCTGGTATGTCCAATATCCTGGAGAAGGTCTACAGCTCCTCCTGAAAGCCACGAAGGCTGATGACAAGGGAAGCAACAAAGGTTTTGAAGCCACATACCGTAAAGAAACCACTTCTTTCCACTTGGAGAAAGGCTCAGTTCAAGTGTCAGACTCAGCGGTGTACTTCTGTGCTCTGAGTGACACAGTGACAGGGACTGCAGGGGGAGCTGAGCACAAACTCTGAGCAGCACGGGGGGCCCGGCTGCTGAGTGTCAGCCACTGTGATCCACTCTGGTTCTAGCACAGTCTGTGGTTGTTTGTGCCTCAGTTTCTCTGATTGATGCAGTAATCATACACATGGCCAGAGGAGAAAAACAAGAAATGAACATCCCCAAACCCAGCTCTTGGTTAGTGAAATTAAAAACAGACATTGACACCAAATAGTTCCTCATCCAGTGCCAAAGTAATTTCAAGGTTAAACCACAGAAACAATGAAGCTGTCTCTGTGATCATCCTTGCAGACAAAGTTCAACCCCCACCTCTTGTTCCAGGTCACTCTGGTAGATATTGGAGGTGGATGTGTTCTATTACATTTTTACAGAGCCAAATATGCCAGAGAAGGTGGCGTCTGTACAATGTCTCTGTAACAGAGTACAGCAGGAGAGATGACGTGAGAGCCACAGCTCCTCAATTCAGTTCAAATGTCTATGCAGGATTCTTAATAGAGAAAGAAGGGAAGAGAAGAAAGGAGGAGGGACAGAATGTCACATGTAAAAAAATAATACGGAGAAGAAAGCAACAATTGTCAGAGAGAGGGAAGTTTTCTTTTTTGGTAAGCCAGATGGTAGACAAAGGCTGATGTTCCAAAAAGAAAGGGAAGGATCAAAATCATTATTGAAGAAATGACTCATTTGTAAATCATAAGTATTCCTTGCTTGTTACATTGATCAATTGGCTTTCTAACAACAAGTCCTTAAGTGAGTTAGTTTTGCAGTGC
This sequence comes from Homo sapiens, assembly GCF_000001405.40. Taxonomy (NCBI): domain Eukaryota; kingdom Metazoa; phylum Chordata; class Mammalia; order Primates; family Hominidae; genus Homo; species Homo sapiens. The sequence goes on from NC_000014.9 coordinate 21,942,454, forward strand.
CAATGGAAGATTAAGCATACAGATTTATATTTGTATCCCTGTGAAATCCTATTAAAGACACAGTAAAGAAATTGAAAAGGGCATAAAACCACAAAAAGAATAGAAAAGGAGGTGACAGCAGATGGTGATACCAATACAATTTTAGAAGGCAGGAGTGTATGGAGAAATGAAAACTTGCATAGCAGACCAGATAAAGAAGAAACCTGGGCCCAGTGAAAGAAGACAACAAGGAACACCAATGTGTGTTGAGCCTTTGTGGAAAGGTTTAGAAATCAGAAGTACCAATGACCTTTGAATAATTGGTGAAGATAATGCTTTGTGTGTGTGTTTCTATTTTGAGGGTATTTGAAAAGAGGGTATGAAAAGAGGAGGAGAAAGTGAGAAAATGTATAATTAATTGACCACCCATGCTCTCCACCACTGCATGTATAACAAGCAATGCTCACTTCCCAAACCCAGAAGAAAGCTGGAATTTAATATTTCATGAATTGAAGTGCAGAACACAATAACACAAGAAAGCAGAATAAAATTAAAATGTAAAAATATAATAGTCAATTATTTAATATAAGAAATATAAAATATTGTTTATGAAATATTCTCGTAGTAGTCTATGTGTTTCAACCCAATTGTCTTCTAGATAAGTTTCACTAATTTATACTATCAGTAGTGGTGATTTGGCAGGATACCTATTTTCCTTAAACCTTATGTATTACTAAACTTTTTGACATTGGCTTATGAGTTAGAATTTCATTTAAAGAATATTTCATTTATTTATGAATTAGATGGAGCGTCATTTAATATACTTAAAAGCTATTTACATTTTTTGATATATTGCCATTTATATATCTGCCCCCCCTTTTTTTTTTACCATTTATTGTCTTTATTTTCCACATCTACCATTGTTCCAACTATGAGATACTGGCAAACCCTCACCCTTTGAAAAATTCTTTATTTTTTAAGAGCAGTTTTAGTTTACAGCAAGATTGAGAGAAGGGTACAGAGATTTGCCACACACCCTCTATCCCTTCCCAGATATATATCCTCTCCCATTATCAACATCCACCACCAGAGTGGTACATTTGTTACAAATGATGCACTTACATTGACATGTCATAGTCACTCAAAGTTCATAGTTTACATTAGGGTTCACGCTTAGTGTTGCATAATATATAGATGTGGACAAATGTGTAATGCCATACATCTATCATTGTAGTATCAGACAGAGTAATTTCACTGTCCTAAAAGTCCCTTGTGCTCTGGTATTCATTCATTTCCCAATATAACCCCTGGCTACCTCTGATCTTTTAGTGTTTCCATGATTTTGCCTTTTCCAGAATGTCATATACTTGGCATCATACAGTATGTAGACTTTCCACACTGACTTCTTTCACTTAGTAACATGGATTTAAGGTTTCTGTTTCTTTCATGTCTTGATAGCTCATTTTTTTTTAGTATTGAATAATATTCTATTTTCTGGATACATCATAGTTTATTTATCCATTCTTCTTCTGAAGGGTATTTTGGTTGCTTCGAAGTTTTGGCAATTATGAATAAAGCTGCCACAAATATCCCTTTGGAGGTTTTTGTGTAGACGTGTTTTCCACTACTTGGATAAATACCAATGAGGAAAACTGCTGGATCATATGGAAAGAATTTTTTTTTTTTTTAAAAGCTGCCAAACTGTGCTCAAAGTGGCTGTTCCATTTTGCATTCCCACCAACAATGAATGAGAGTTCTTTTTTGTTTATATCCTTGCTAGCATTTGGTGTTGTCAGAGGTCTGGATGTTGGCCATTCAAATAGGTGTATCATGGTATCTCATTGTTGTTTTAATTTTCATTTCCCTGATGCCATATGATATAGAACAACTTTTCATGTGCTTATTTGCTATTTATATATTTTCTTTGCTGAAATATGTGTTAAAGTCTTTTATCCATTTTTTTTTGGTCAGACTGTTTTCTTATTGTTGAATTTTAAGATGTTTTGCATAACAGTTCTTGATCAGATATGCCTTTTGCAAATATTTTCTCCTCGTCTGTGTTTTGTCTCCCATTTTCTTGACATTGCATTTCATAAGAGCATAACTGTTAAATTTTGGTGAAGTGCAGCTTATCAATAATTTTTTTTCCAGAGAACATACCTTTGTCTTTGTATAAGTCGTTGCCAAACCCAAGGTCATCTAGATTTTCTCCTACATTGCCTTCTTGGAGTTGAGTTTTGTTTTGCATTTTACATTTACATCTATGGTTGCTTTTTGAGTTAATTTTTGTGAATAGTATAAGGTCTGTGTCTAGAGTCTAGATTAATTTTCTTTTCTTTTTCTTTTTCTTTTTTTTTTTGCCTGTGAATGTCCAGTTGTTCCAGCACCATTTATTGACAAAACTGTCTTTACTTCATTGTATTGCCTGTGCTCCTTTGTCAAAGATTAGTTAACTACATTTATGTGCGTCTAGTTCTGGGTTCTCTATTTTGTTCCATTGATCTATTTGTTTATTCTTTTGCCAATGTCACAGTGTCTTGATTATTCTAGCTTTACAGTAAGTCTTAAAATCAGGTATTGTCATTCATCTGACTTTATTCTCCTGTAAAACCTTTTTTTGTTTTGATAATTCTGGGTCCTTTGCACCTCCATATAACCTTTAGAATGAGTTTATCAATATTCACAAAAAATTGCTGGGATTTTAATTGAGATTGCATTGAACCTACAGATTAAACTGTGAGGAATGAACATTTTGACAATATTGAGTCTTCCTACTCATGCACATGTCATCTGGGAACAAAGTTATACTTCTTTTTTTCCTAATCTGTATACTTTTTTTTTTTTTACTTGTCTTGTTGCATTAGCTAGGACTCGCAATATGACGCTGAAAAGGAGTGGAGAGAGGCCCATCTTTGCCTTGTTCCTGATGTTAGTAGGAAAGCATCAGTTTCTCATAATTATGATGTTAGCTATAGATTTTGGAACATATTACTTATGAAGTTGAAGGAATTCCACTCTATTTCTAGTTCACCGAGAGTTTTTATCATGAATGGGTGATGAATTTTGTTAAATGCTTTTTCTGCATTTATTGATAAAATCATGTGATTTTTCTAGAGACTTGAAAAGTTGAGAAGTTTATAGCCGATAGACACAGACTCATTAAAAGACTGAGAACAAATTGTGGGCCTATAGAACACTTCCTCTCCCCTCACACCTTACCACCATAGCACTAACAGCCTATTTACAGCGGTTCCTTTTACCAAGTATGTCATGTCTGGCTATCAAATAAAAAATTACAGGGCGTATTAAAAGGGAAAATACAATTGAAAGAGACAGAAAAATCATCAGAAAAACACATCAGGGTTGTTGGAACTATCAGACCCAGGAATTTGAAACAAATATGCCAACGGCTCTAGTAATGAAGTAGAGAGCATGCCAGAACAGATGGGCAATGTAACAGAGAGACCGACCTTCTAAGAAAGAACCAAGAGAAAAAAAAAGCTAGAGATCAAAATACAGCAACAGAAATGAAGAATGTCGTTGGCTGACTTATTAATAAACTGGACGTAGCTGAGGAAAGAATTTCTGAACTTAAGGATATATCAGCAGAAACATCCAAAACTGAAAAAGTAGAGAAAACAAAGACTAAAAAACACCCAGGAAAGAGTATCTAAAAATATTCAAAAACTGTGGAACAACTATAGAAGTATACTATACATGTAATGGGAATGTCACAGGGAGAAGAAAGAGAGAAATTAACAGAAAACATATTTAAAACAATGATGGAGAATTTCTCCCAAAATAATGCCAGATGCCAAACCACAGATCTAAGAAGCTCAGAGAACACTTGGTAGCATAAATGCCAACCCCCTCCAAATCCTAAGCATATCATTTTCAAACTAGAAAATCATAGACAAAGAAAACATCCTGAAAGAAGCTGGCAAGGGGTGGAGTGGGGGAAGTGCCTTACCTATACAGGAACAAACACAAGAATTACATCCAACTTCTCTTCAGAAATCATGCAAGGAGGAGAAAGTATAGTGAAATATTTAAGGTATTAACAGAACAAACCACCAACCTAGAATTGTGTACCCAGAGAAATTATCCCTCAAAAGTGCAAGAGAAATAAAGACATTTTCAGACAAAAATTGGGGATACGTGTTGCCAACTAGCCCTGCCTTGCAAGAAATGTTAAAAGTTCTTTAAAGATAAATTAAAAGTTCAGGTTTCTTCTATGGCAGAGTTGTGTAAATATGAATACATTCAAAATATAAATGTATAAATAAAGATAAACCTCAAGTAAGTCTCAGTTCAACTACAGAAAAATAAGAAAGTGCTTTTATGAGATATTTAGCTAAAAGTGCAATTCCTGTTTGTCTTTTGCACACTAGTGGAGACTGTCCCATAACCAGAGAACCCACTTGCAAATTTGAAAACCTAATTAGCTTCCTTCTCAGAAACACTCTGCTTATTCTTACATTTATCAGCTTCTGAGAACATGACAGCAGGTGTAAGAAGCTTCTCCATCAGTAATCCAAACTCGGTGCCTGTCATTGTAAGGAATATGCAACTGATGCTGGAGACCAGGGATTTCATTCCTGCTTTTGCAGGGACGAAGTGAGCTTGTGTAGACCATGATCTCTCTCCTGAATCTACGACAAGAATTCTGCTACTGCTTGATGAAAAGGGGGTCACTGAGAACTCTGGATTTTTTAATGCTTATTTGATTCCAATGAGGGGGCAAGTAAAGGCCTGATGGTTGCTCTCTCTGAACTCGGTAAAACATTGTAAAAATAGTACATGAAAATAAAATAATACAATTTTATTATTGTCTTGTAAGTGTGCAGAAAATGATACTCTGTCTTAGTTTTCCCTTAGTCGTATCAAAGTCTTGAAAATTTAGCCTTTACCAAAGCATTTCCTTTTCCATCTAGGCATAACACTTCTGCTCTAAACTCATATAAACTATTAGAACATTCCTCAATTACCACAAAAAATCCTTCAATTTCCTAGTAATTAGTCACAGAAGAAAGCTATTATGATAAAAACAGATGGTATTTGTTCTAGCATATAAGTGAATAATTTATGTTTCATGAGAGTAGAAGTCAAGCATCAAATGATCAAAGCTGAATAGAATTTTTAGCAGTAGGTTTTTCGTATCCTCCTCTCCAAATTTCATCCTCTCCTTTCTTGAAGGGGTTGACAAAGACAAAGTGTGGCCTGCCTGTGTTCTCTCTCAGCTCAGTCACTTTCACGTCTTTGAAACCAAATAATGCCATGGGGCTGAGTCCTTCTCAGCTGAATCCATGAAAAATAGTTCATCTTTTCACAAACTGGTAAACAAGTGAAGCATTTCAATTCACACATTGGGAATGTCACCATTTACCATGTGATTTGTTGATTAGGGAACAAAAAGGAGAGGTGGTGAAGTGAGCAGTTAAGAGTAAGAATTTAGGAGCCTGTTTGCCTGGGTTTGAATCTGATCTTGAATGCTTATAACTGTAAAATCTTGGCTAAGTTGCTTAACTTTCTGACTACCATTTGTTGTGGGGATTAAATGAATATATATATTTGAAATTCTGGCCCATGATAAGTGCTCAGTAATTGTTAGCTGATTATAAAAGCTGCTATAAAATCTTCTATAATATTGAGAAACTAAGAAGTCACTTGTGTTCAGGGAGAGAAAAATTACCATTTCGGTAGTTAATTATTTAGTAAATAAGCAAGAAAAGAAGAATACATGTTGACCTAAAATAATAATGAAGCCCTTATATGTACAATGTGCTGTATCAGGACATTTGTCTACTGATAGCAGTATAAATTATTGCTTTTACCTGGAAAGAACTTATCAGAAAAAATTTATTCCATAAATTGAGGAACAAGATAAAATACATAAAAACTTAACCAATTGTTAAAATTATAAGTATGTGGACAATTAAGTTTTAAAGGTATTTTCAGGAGGAGATCACTGTGTTACAGAAAAGTCAAGGAGAGGCATCATGGGGAAATAGAAAATTTAATCAGGCTTTAAAGGACAGACACACATCAAATTTGTTCATTATACAATTATTTCTTAAATAGGCAACAGGGGTTTTTGTAGGTTTGATGAATAGAATAATAAACAAAATAGACAAAGTCAGACACCAGAAGAGCTTACCTCATGAGGCTCGAGTCTAGCTTTGTCTACAGTGTTCAACTTTCTCTTACAGAAATATCCTATGAAGTTTTCGTTCTAACATAGATATTGCTCTTGCTTACCATAATAATTGGCCTGTTTTATGTGATGATTAAAAGGTAAGGTTTTTTTGTTTTGTTTTTGGAAACAGGTATCACTACGTTGCCAAGGCTGGTCACAAACTCCTGGGCTCAAGCGATCCACCTGTCTCAGCCAACTGAGTAGCTGGGACTATAGGCCCACACTACCACACCTGGCCAAGGTCTAAGTATTTAAGTGCTGTATCTGTCACTTACTAAATTATGTGGCCATGGACAAGTACTTAATTTAGAGCATCTACACATCATCAATTTTAATAACATACAACTTACCACATGATTGTAAAGATTGAATTAAATTAAATGAATTTAATTACATGATTGAATTTAGTCAAAAATAATTTTTCAGCTGATGATAGTTATTCTGGAATGTGGATGAAATGTTGATAAAACAGAACATAAGATAAAATAACTAAAAAATTTAAGTATAGATTAAGGTTTAGCTTTCCACTCTCCTGCTATTGATTATATTATTTTACTATGGTTAAGGCTGAGTCACCCTTTATTTCATATTGACCTTATTCCATCCAATTATTTGAACTGACTGTAATGGCTTTCTTGTTTGGTTTCTTTAGTTCACAGGTTTTATGCACAGAATGAAACATTCTTGCCCCTGGTGTAACTTAATGTAAATTCTAAGATGAATTCACATGAGCCTTATGGAGCAGGTGTCAGATATAATACTATTATATTGAGCTATGGTGCCAATAATTAGATCCGTATCTGGGGGCTCATTTAACAGGTTTCTGCATTGAAAGGAGAGAAAATAACCTTTCTAGGCTTTCCTTGGGGAGGAATGCTTTTTGGATATTCAATTTATGACTTGTACATACATGGTAGATGCTCAGGAAGGATTATAGAAGAAAAAAAGGAAGGACAACAATCTGGCAGACAAACAAGCATCACTCTCCAACAAATCAGCACCTGGTCCTACCAAGGTCCTTTTCCATGTTACCTCTTCAGACATCAGGAGGAGCTGTGTTATCTGTGCATGGGGGAATGGATCTTGTTTGTGGTTGGCTGGGAGGACTCTCAGCTTCCTGTAATAACAGAACTATGAATATTCACTCAGAGAAACAAGCTATTGGCTTGGTAGTGTTTGAGGGCTCCCAGACCCCAACCAGAGTCCGCAGTAAGTCTCATGGATAAAGTGGAGAAGCCCTTGGGAGTTTGTGGAGAAGCCCTTGGGAGTTTTGTTCTTGATTTTCTCTTGGCAGCTGTGCTGTGAGTTTTGGGGCTCTGGAAATATCATTGAAAAGAGCAGTTTGTAGTATCTTCTTTAAAAGTCTGCACTTGGACACAGGAAGGGGAGCATAACACACCGGGGCCTGTTGTGGGGTGGGGGGACGGGGTAGGGATAGCATTAGGAGATATACCTAATGTAAATGACTAGTTAATGGGTGCAGACACCAACATGGCGCATGTATACGTATGTAACAAACCTGCGCGTTGTGCACATGTACCCTAGAACGTAAAGTATAATAAAAATAAATAAATAAATAAATAAATAAATAAATAAAATAAAAGTCTGGAAGTTATAGAAGGGTGGTTAGGGCCTCTGTGCTCACCTGTGGGGACTTGAAAGGAGAGTATATCTTCCAAAAGTAGTCAGCCATGAATGAATGTCCTCTGTCTGTGGTTCTCTGTTTAAACAGGGGTGAACAGCCTCCATATTCTGGAGTAGAGTCCTTCATTCATTCCTGAGTATCCGGGAGGGAATGCACAACATTCTTAATTGCACTTATGAGGAGAGAACGTTCTCTTAACTTCTACTGGTTCTGGCAGGGTCTGGAAAAGGACTTGTGTCTTTGACCTTAATTCAATCAAGCCAGATGGAGGAGGGAGACAAACATTTTAAAGAAGCGCTTGGAAAAGAGAAGTTTTATAGTGTTTTGAATATGCTGGTCTCTCATCCTGGAGATTCAGGCACCTACTTCTGTGCTTTGAGGCACAGGGTCCCCAAGCACCTGCAGCCTGTACCACAACCTGCATCCGGGACCCTTGACACAGCCTTGCCTTGCAGGTGGGAGTGAAGGTGTTGTCTTTATATGTAGAGAGAACTTCTTTATAAACTCTGTCTCCAAACAGAAGCGAAGGGTAGTGCAGAATCTTTCTTATGTGATGAAGCTGAATTTATATTAAATTAAATTGCATTTTGTTATTATTGAAATTTCATTCTTCAATGTAGATTGTGCTGTGCTGGTTCTGGGCCTGTTTGCCCACCGATCCCTTCCACAGCTCTGTCCTTTACTCTAAAGTCGCAGACCACTGTGGCACAGGCTCTGAGGCCAAGAGGCAAGTTTTCTCCGTGCTATACTCTCACCAACAGTATTTTACCCATTTGCTTGTAAATTCATGATGTTTCTTGTATTTGTATCATCTATACTATTATTTACTTAATTAAATGTTAAATTAACTTTTATGTTGAGTAGACTTCAAAACTGTGTAAAATATTGTTCTTATTTTAATGGATACTATCAGTGAAATTATATTTTATATAAACTATACATCTGATGTGCAGGCTATGTTTGTTCCTGATACAAACTAAAATAACATTACATGTATAACAATTAAAAAGACCATCTGTGTACTGCCTAACATGACCTCCTATGTTAACCACAATTTAGAAAATACTGATTCAGCTCATGTCCCTCATTTAATAGATGAAAAAAGTAGAATCAACAGGGACAGCATCACTTACTCAAAGCATGAATTACAGCAAAATGGAAGCTAGGAATGGAACACAGACATTGTGGCCCCTTGTCACTTGCTTTTTCCATGAAGGATGTAAAGTAGGATTCAGTGTTTGAAAAAAGGAGTGGTATGTTGTAATTTTAAACTAAATTATACTTTTATTACTTAATTATATGTTCATTAGAATAAATTAGGAGATATAAACACCCAGAAAACATAGAACACTCCTATAATTTCATAACCTAGAAATGATAGCTATTCACATGCAATAAAATTTTTGGTGCACATGTAAAGCTATATTTTTGTATAAATGTGGTTTATAATACATCAAGTATTTATTAGCACACTTTTCTTTCAACTTTATATTTAGGTATTTTCAACTCAGGAAGCAAATATTGAAGAATAATTTTAAATTATTGCCTAGTTTCCATTACATAAATATGCTTTTTTAAAAACTCTTTTTTTTGGTATTGTTTCTACTTATACAGTATTACAGATAATGTTTTTATTAACATCATTAAAGGTGTAGTTTTAATGGAAGTGAAGTTGCTGGAATAAAGAAAAACACATGATACTGAATCCCTTATTTCCATGGAGCTATTTCTCACCAAACTGTAATTTCAACAGTAGCACATGATGATGCTAATTTTCCAATATTTTACCAATTGTAAACATTATTATTTTAGATTAGCTTCCATTTTGTTAAGTAAAATATTGTTTTTTATTATTCTTTTCTTTTAATTTGTGATTTTATACCTTTGATTATTAAAATAAATAAATAAAATGAGATGAGAAAACATCAGATGCCATCACACAGAACAGGTATCCTTTCATACAGTAACATGTGTTTTTTGAAAGTGTGAAAAATACTGCTTTGGTCCAAGCTACCTTCTAACTGGTCTCTCTTTTCTCAAGGCAATCAATTCTCTATGTCCTTGCTACTTGAAGTGTGAGCCAGCATTGTCTGAACTTGTACTGATTCTCAGGCTCTACCCTAGGCTGATTGAATTTGAATCTGCATTTTATCAAGATTTCCAGGCGATTCTATCACATCAAAGTTTAAGAAGCACCCATCTGATGAGTTGCCAGAATGATTTTTTAAAGTATAAATAAAGAGCTTTCTCCACTTGTCAAACGTGCTTCAATGGCTTTCTACTGCTCCTGGAATAAAGTGTGGTGGCTTTCAGGCTGTGATATAAAAGGATCTATATAATTGGAACCTCCCTTGGCCCTTTGGCTTTAAATTCTCTTTTCCTGGCTCTCTGTGCAGCAAAACTTCTGATTCTCTTTCCCACATGTAGGCTCTCTTTCATCCATCTGAAATGCTCTTTCCCTAAATCTTGTTGAGCCTGACTCAACAAGAGTCATCCTTCAGGTCTCAGCTCAAATGTTACTACTGTAGAAGAAAAACCTACTGACCTCTGCTACTCTTCCTGACTAATATATCTGTCTGTAATCCTCCCCCTAACTCTGTCAGAACACTCTAGTTATTTCTCCTATGTTATTTATCGTAACTTACAGTTACATTTTTGGTTTATTTGCCAGTATGTTCATTGGCCATACCTTCTATTAGAATGCAATCTTTATGATATCAGGGGTATTGTTGGTTTAGTTCATGGCTTGATTCTTTTTGTTTGTTTTTCTTTTTTTTTTTCCAATTTTTATTTTAGGTTCTGAGGGTACATGAAAAGGTTTGTTATATTGGTAAATTGCATGTCACAGGGACTTGGTGGAGAGATTATTCCATCACCCAGGTAATGAGCATAGTACTTGATAGGTAGTTTTTGGATCTTCACCCTCTTCCTACTCTCCACCTCCAAGTAGGCCCCAGTGTCTGTTGGTTCCTTCTTTGTCTTCATGTATAATCAACGTTTAGCTCCCACTTATAAGTGAGAACATGCAGTGTTTCATTTTCTGTTCCTGTATTAATTTGCTTAGGATAATGCCCTTTAACTGTATCGATGTTGGTGCATAGGACATGATTTCATTCATTTTTATGGCTGCATAGCATTCCATGGTATATATGTACCACATTTTTTTCCAGTACACCACTGATACGCATCTAGATTGTTTCCATATCTTTGCTATTGTGAATAGTGCTGCAATGAACATGTGTGTGCGAGTGTCTTTATGGTAGAATGATTTATATTTCTTTGAGTATATACCCAGTAATAGGATTGATATGTCTGATAGTATTTGTTTTATGTTATTTGATAAATCTCCAAATGGCTTTCCACAGTGGCTGAACTAAGTTACATTCTCACCAGTGGTATAAAAGCATTCCCTTTTCTCCCCAACCTTGCCAGCATCTGTTATTTTTTTTACTTTTTAGTAATAGCCTTTCTGATTGGTATGAGATGGTATCTCATTGTGGTTTTGATTTGCATTTATCTAATGATTAATGATGTTGAGCATTTTTTATATGCTTGGTGGTTGTATTGATGTCTTCTTTTGAGAAGTATCTGTTCATGTCGTTTTCCCATTTTGTCTGTTCATGTTGTTTGTTTTTTGCTTGTTAATTTGCTTAAGTTTCTTATAGATTCTGGATATTACACCTTTGTCTGATACATAGTTTGCAAATATTTTCTCACATTCTGTAGGTTGCCTGTTTACTCTGTTGATAGTTTCCTTTGCTGTGTAAAAGTTCTTTAGTGTAATTAGGTCGCATTTGTCAATGTTTGGGTCTTTTTGCAATTGCTTTTGGAGTCTTTGTCATGAAATCTTTGCAAGGCCTCCAGAATATAATTTCATAAGTTTTCATCTAGGGTTTTTATAGTTTTAAGTTTTACATTTAAATCTTTATTTAGTCCATCTTGAATTTATTTTTGTATATGGTAAAACAAAGAGATCCAGTTTCAGTCTTCTGCATATGGCTAGACAGTTACACCAGTACCATTTATTGAATAAGGAGTCCTTTACTCATTGGTTGTCTTTGTTGGCTGTGTCGAAGATCAGGTGATCATAGGTGTGTGGCTTTGTTTATCGGTTCTCTATTCTGTTCCATTGGTTTATGTGTCGATTTTTGGATTATTACCAAGGCTAAGTTTTGGTTACTTAGCTTTGTACTAGAATTTCAAGTTGGGTAATGTGATGTCTCCAGTTTTGTTCCTTCTTTTGTTAAGGATTGCTTTGGCTGTTCAGGCTCTTTTCTTGGTTCCATTTGAATTTTAGAATGGTTTCTACTAATTCGGTGAGAAATGACAATGATAATTTGATAGGAATAGTGTTGAATCTGTAGATTGCTCCGGGCTGTATGGACATTTTGATGACACTGATTCTTCCAATCTATGAGCATGAAATGTGTTTCCATTTGTTTTTGTGGTCTATGATTTCTTTCAGCTGTGTTTTGTAATTCCTATTTTAGGTATCTTTCACCTCCCTGGTTAGCTGTATTCCTAGATAACTTTTTTTGTGTGGCTATAGCGAACAGGATTGTATTCTTGATTTTGCTCTCAGTTTGGAGGTTTTCAGTTTATAGAAATGCTACTTATTCTTGTACGTTGATTTTATATCCTAAAACTTTGCTGAAGTTGTTTATTAGGAGCCTTTTAGCAGAGGCCATGGGTTTTCTAGGTAAAAAGTCATATAGTCTGTGAGGATAGAGATTTTGACTTCCTCTCTTCCTATTTGGATGCCATTTATTTCTTTCTCTTGCTTGAATGTTCTGGCTAGGATATCCAGTACTATGTTGAATAGGAGTGGTGAGAGTGAGCATCTTTGTCATGTTTTTGTTCTCAAAGGGAATGCTTCCAGCTTTTGCTTGCTCACTATAATATTGGCTGTGGATTTGTCATAGACGGCTCTTATTATTTTGAGTTATGTTTCCTCAATGCCTACTTTGTTGAGGAGTTTTAACCTGAAAGGATTTTGAATTTCATCAAATGTTTTTTATGTCTATTGAGGTGATAATGTAGTTTTTTTTTTTTAGTTCAGTTCATGTAATGAATCACATTTATTGATTTGTATATTTAAACAACCTTGCATTTCAGAAATAAAGACTACTTGATTGTGCTGGATTAGCTGCAGGATTTGGTTTGGTAGTATTTTGATTAGGATTTTTGCATGTGTATTCATCAGGGATATTGGCCTAAAGTTTTCTTCTTTTGTTGTGTCTCTTCTAGGCTTTGGTATCAGAATAATGCTGGCCTCATAGAATGAGGTAAGGAGGAGCTCCTATTCCTCAATATTTTGGAATAGTTTCAAAAAGTACCAGCTCTTCTTTATATGTCTGGTAGATTTTGGCTATGAATCTTTCTAGTCCAGGGCTTTTTTCTTGTTGTAGGTTTTTATTACTAACTCAATTTCAGAACTCCTTATTGGTCAGTTCAGAATATTGATTTCTTCCTGAGTCAATCTTGGGAGGTTGTATTTTTCCAGGAATTTATCCATTTCTTCTAGGTTTTCTGGTTTATCTGCATAGAGGTGTTCAAAATAGTCTCTGAGGGTTTTTTGTACTGCTCCTGTGACATTTCTGATTGTATTTATTTGGATCTTCTCTGTTTTTTTCTTTATTAGTCTAGCTATCAGTCTAGCAATCATTTTTATTCTCTCAAATAAAAACCATTTGGTTTTATTCATCTTTTGTATGGTTTTTCATCTCCATTTCATTCAGTTCAGCTCTAAGTTTGTTATGTCTCTTCTTCTGCCAGCTTTGGGGTGGGTTTACTCTTGGGTTTTTTTAGTTACTCTAGATGTGATGTTAGGTTGGTAATTTGGGATCTTTCTAACTTTTTGATGTGGATGTTTAGCACTATGAACTTTCTTTTCAACACTATTTTAGCTGTGTCTCAGTGATTCTGTTATGTTGTATCTTTTTTTTCATTAGTTTCAATGAATCCCTTGCTTTTTCCTTAGTTTCACTGTTTACTGAAAAGTCATTGAAGAGCAGGTTGTTTAATTTCCACATAATTGTATGGCCTTGAGAGATCCTCTTGGTATTGATTTCTATTTTTATTGCAGTATAGTCCAAGAGAGTGGTTGATATAATTTGGAGTTTTTTTGAATTTTTTGAGAATTGCTTTATAGTCAAGCATGTGGTTGATTTTAGAGTGCAGATAAGAAGAGTGTGTATTCTGAGGTTGTTGGGTGGAGTGTCCTATAGATGTCTGTTAGGTCCATTTGGTCATGTGTCGAGTTTACAACCCAAATATCTTTGTTATGTTTCTGCTTCAATAATCTGTCTAACACTGTCAGTGGGGAGTTTAAGTCTACCAGTATTATTGCATGGTTATCTAGGTCTCTTCATAGGTCTCTAAGAATTTGCTTTATGAATCTGGGTGCTCCAGTGTTGGATACATACTTATTTAAGATAGTTAGGTCATCTTGTTAAATTGAACACTTATCATTATTCATTATTTAATGCCCTTCCTTGTGCTTTTTCATCATTGTATTTAGAAAGTCTGTTCTAACTGAAATTAGAAAAAGTAACCTCTGCTCTTTTTGGTTTTCTATTTACTTTGCAGATTTTTCACTGTCTCTTTACTTTGAGCCTATGTGTGTCACTGCTTGTGAAATGGGTCTCTAGGAGACAGCATACAGTTGGGTCTTGCCTCTTTATCCAAATTGCTACCCTCTGCCTTTTAAAGTGGGTCATTTACTCTGTTCATGTTTAAGTTTAATATTTATATGTGTGGATTTGACCCTGTCTTCGAGTTGTTAGCTGGTTGTTATGTAGACCTGATTGTGCAGTTTCACCAGGTGTGGTGGGTGATGCCTGTAATTCCAACACTTTGGCAGGACAAGGTGGGCAAATTGCATGAGCCCAGTAGTTTGAGACCAGCCTGGGTAATATGGCAAAACCCTGTCTCTACAAAAAAATAAAAAAATTTAGCTGAGTGTGATGCTGTGTGCTTATAGTCCCAGCAGGCTGAGGCAGGAAGATTGATTGAGCCTGACCAGTCAATGCTGCAGTGAGCCATGATTGTACCACTGCACTCCAGCCTGGGTGACAGAATGAGACCCTGACTCAAGAAGAAAGAAAGAAAGAAGGAGAGAAGGAGAGAAACAGAGAAAGAAAGAAAGAAGGAGAGAAGGAGAGAAACAGAGAAAGAAAGAAAGAAGGAAGAAAGAAAGAAAGATAGATAGATGGTGGAGCTGTTTTACAGTGTCAATGGTCTGTCTTAATTGTGTTTTTGTGGTGGCTTGTAGCAGTCTTTTTTCCCCATGTTTAAGCATTCCTTTAGGGACCTCTTATAAGGCAGGCCTGGAGGTTACAAATTTATTTAGCATTTGCTTGTCTGAAAAGAATTTTGTATTTCCTTTGCTGATAAAGCTTAGTGTGGTTGGCTATGAAATTCTTGTTTGGAATTTATTTTCTTTAAGGATGCTGAATATAAGCCCTTAATCTCCTCTGGTTTATGAGGTTTCTACTGAAAAGTTCACTGTTATCTTGATGGGGTTTCCTTAGTAGATGACCAGCCCCTTCCCTCTAGTGGCCTTTAATATTTTTTCTTTCCCGTTAACCTTGGAGAATCTAATGACGATGTGTCTTGGAGATGGTTGTCTTGTACAATGTCTTGCTGGGGCTCCCTGAGTATCCTGAATTTGAATGTTGACCTTCCTAGTGAGGTTGGGAAAATTTTTATGGGCAATATTCTCAAATATGTTTCCCAAGTTCCTTTCTCTTTCTCTCTCTCTTTCAGGGATGCCAGTGAATTATAAATTTGGTGTCTTTACATAATCCCATATTTTTCAGAAATTTTTGTTCATTATTTTTTATTCTTTTTTCTTTATTTTTGTCTGACTGAGTTGATTCCAAGAACTATTCTTTGACCTCTGAGATTCTTTCCTCAGCTTGTTGTATTCTCCTGTTAATACTTAACAATTGTATTATAAAGTTCTTGTAATGAGTTTTTCAGCTCTATCAGAACAGTTTGGTTCTTTCTTAAAATGGCTATTTTGTCTTTCAGATCTCATATTATTTTATTTCTTTACATTGTTTAGATTCCTTGGATTGGGTTTCAATTTTCTTATGAATCTCAATGTTCTTACATCCAAATTGTGACTGCTCTGTGTGTCATTTCAGCCATTTCAGCCTGGTTAACAACCATTGCCTGGGAGCTAGTGTGGTTGTTTGGAAGTAAGAAGACACTCTAGCTTCTTGAGGTGCCAAAGTTGTCGTGTTGGTTATTTATCATCTGTGTAGGCTGATGATCCTTTAATATTTGAAGTTCTTGTCCTTTGAATTTTTTTTTTACTTTTATATTATTTTATGCCCTTGAGGGATTTGACTGTGGAATAAGTTGCGTTCAGTCAACTGGCTTCATTTCTGGATGATTTCAGGGGTCCCGGGTTCAGATGAGCATTCCTGCACTGCATGCTCTAACCCTATGGGGTTGGGACCAGGCCCACTTCTTTGTTCTCTGGCCCCTTTAGGTTAAGTACCGACTGAACTGGAGGGGCTGAGGTGTTACTGGTTTGCTGACATCAACACTCCACTTGGGGGTGCTGGCAAAAGCACTTCATTGAACTTGTGGCAGCAGGATCAGGGCTCATGTACACCTGTGCCAGGGGCAATGGCGGGAGGGTGTGGATATGTGTCAGCAGTGGCCTGTCTGCAGAAGCTCTCTGATGGTTAGGCAGAGTTTGCTGGTGAAGTAGCTATGACACCAGTCACCAGGAAGTGCCCTGGTTGGACACCTAACGCAGAGTTGCAAGTAGGCATGGTCAGGTAGGGACCCTGGGAGAGGTCGGCAGACAAGGGGGTGCTCAGATCAGACTAGTCCTGACCCATGGGCAAGACACCTCTACTCTGTCCAGGTCTGACAGTCAACAAAGGCTAGAGCCACGTAGAGGAGCATGGTGCACCTTGGGGAATAGGCATCCCTACTGGGCTCACTGCCTCTATTCCCATGCTAAACACTCTGGGCTTCACACAGGCTAGAGTCCTGTCACTGCCAGCACTCCAAGTAGCTCTCCCTGCCAGCTCAAATTTCTATGGGCATCATGGGGTCTCCTGCAGTTAGGATTCGAGAGGTCCATGGGAGGAGTTAGCAAATGCTCACCTATCTAATTCAGCCTTTCCTCTGGAGACATTGAGCGTCATGAATGAGTCCCAGTGCTTGGCAGCCCTGTGCAGGGTTCCCGGGTTCCTCTCACTTTGGTCCAGGGTCTGAGTCTTGTCTCCATCCATTCTCAATGCATTCTTTCTGACGATACCCTCAGAGAATGCAAGTCTTCCTGATGGTCTGATCTCTTGGTAGGAGAAGCTCTTTCTAGCTGTGTCTAATTGACGATCTTGGAGCTCCTCTTCCTGGCTTTATTCTTAGTGTCTAGAATAATGACTAGCCCATAGTAATCGGTCAAAAATTCTACTGAGTGAATGAAGAATGAAATTTGTTTGGCCCTCCCCTCTTTCTCCCTTTTCCCTTCCTCTCATTCCCACTCTAGCAACTTTGACCTTTGTGTATGTTGTCTCTACTTCACTATGTGGGGCAGCTCAATTTTCTCTGGCCCTCACCCCCAGACTCAGAACCCAGTCTTTTTGTACTTAGTGGCTTCTGTCAAATAGATTCACTCAGGGCCTCAACCTTTCCTCACTTAATTGACCTCACCTTATCAGATGTGATGTGAAGGACTGAGTCAACTCTTAAGGCTAGTAACCCATAGCGAAATATCTAAAAGAAAAACGACATACTTAAAAGATGTTTGGAAAGTATAAAAGTAACTTCTCAAGCCTAATAATTATGAGCACATATCAAAGTTTTATTTCAAATTACTGCAAGAGAAAAAGCTCCTCAAGAAACAAATTCAAATAATTAGCCTTGGTATATTGTTACAGGAATCCAGATTTTTAAAAATCTGGTTAAAGATCATTATTGCATTCAAATGACGGTTGCATAATTACCCTGCTTTTGACTGCCTGTGTAGTGACTATTAGGCTTCTCACAAGATTAATGGTCATTTGAGTTTGTAACACTAATTTCCCAGAAGGAATCTTTATTTCATTAAAGGATATTAGAAAATTGCTCAAGCGTTTTATTAGAAGTGATGGTTAATTACCACATGGGGCTATGTATATTATATCCTCCGAAAAATGCCTGCTTCATACCAGTTTGGAGAAACTTACCTTTCTCAGCTATGTATGTTATATCCTTCATAAAAGGCCTGTTTCATACCAGTTTGGAGAAACTTACCTTTCTCATGTGTAATTTAAATCTTTACTTTACAAATCTTTACAACTCCTTTAGTGAGGATTTGTCAGGTCTTGGATTTTGTCCCTTCTTACAAGCTAATAAGCTTGTTTCATTGAGGCTGTCAATAAAAACACAGGGCTCCTTAGTAAGAGACAAAGGATTTTTATTACTTATGGCACAACAAACAGCATGAACACTGATATATTTCCATCAGTTTCTCCTTCCTTTAAGTCCTCAAAAGATGATGTAATGGGTAGTAAGGGATGCTACCCATGAAGTGGTATTATGTCACAGGTGAGGAACTCTGAGCTTAGGAAGTTCATTGCTTTTATAACAAGCACTCAGCCAGCTTGCTCTTTGTCTCAGAGGGAGACATTACCTCATCTCCCAAGGTTGCTTGCTGGCATAACTCTGAGAAGTGATCCAGGTAGAATGCTCATGTCATTACACTGTTGGCACACTCATCAAGTCACGTTTGAGTACAAGAGACTCATGGTGGACTGCCTTTCAATAATATCCACTCCATGGTCTTACACTGGGTTAGTTGCTAGAAATTTATTTTATGAGTATGCCACTTTGTCAGTCATTCTGATTTGTGTAACTGAGAGATGTCATGACTAAATGCATTACATTTGTCTCAAGTAGCATTTAATTAAGGCTACTATCAGCAGAACTCTAAGAAGCAGAATGAGACCAACATGCAGTATTAACCTTAATTATGCTTGATCCAGCCAAATGTGAGTAAGTTCCAAAGTACAGACAGCTAGCATGTAGTATTTTATCTATTATAACCCATACATGAAAGTTCAGACTGAAATGTTGGTCTTTCTTTGAATTACCACAAAGAAAAAACCCTACCATTCCCAATATAGAGATGTTATATGGCCCCTTTCCCCCGGGCATAACCCAAAATGCACAAGTTAATCAAATTTGGGATTTATTATTAAACTTGATTTGGATAAGCATTGCATCACTTTGGTTAAACTACGTGAGCAGTGTCAGTGAGTATTTGCAATATTTGCAACCTCTGTAGCCATTCATGACATAACCCAACTGTCAAGATATCAGGGGAAGCATATACATTTGTGTCAGTCAATTTGAGACAAGGTTGTGCTGATTCTTGTGTTTGTATACTTATGAAGATGGGGAATCTATATTGGAAAGCTGCCACTGATAAAATAGTCTGGGAGCCACATTCACAAGAGTTTTCCTGTTTTCTTGGGATGTGGGAGGAGATAACAAACCAATAGCAGGACACAGAGTTGCTGCTTGGCTCCAGAAGACAATATGTTTGTTTTTCTATACTTGTTCTAGCATACAAAGAGAGCATTAGACCCTCACTTCTCCCCACTGGCCAGGGTCTAAGAGTTTCTCTTGCTATGTGCTCATCATCACTAATCATCAGAGAGATATCCATCAAAACCACAGTGAGATATCATCTCACACCAGTCAGAATGGCTATTATTAAAAAATTATAAAACAACAGATACTGTTGAGACTGCAGAGAAAAGGGAACACTTATATGCTATTGATGGGAATGTAAATTAGTTCAGTGCCTGTGGATAGCAGTTTGGAGATACCCCAAAGAACATAAAACGAAGCTATCATTTTACCCAGCATTCCCATTGTTGGATATATATGCAAAGGAAAATAGATTGTTGTACCAAAAGGATACATGGCTTCTTATTATTATTGCCATGGTATTCACAATAGCAAATATGTGGAATAAAACTCTGTGCCCATTGATGGTGGATTGGATAAAGAAAATGTGGTACATATATACCATGGAATACTATGTTGCCACAGAAAAGAATGAAATAATTTCTTTGCAGCAACATGAATGGATCTGGAGGCCATTATACTAAGTGAATTAATGCAGAAATGTTAAACCAAATATCACATGTTCTTACTTATAAGTGGGAGCCAAACACAGAACCTACGTAAACATGGCAACAACTATGGATTACCAAAGGGAGCAGGAACTGGGGGGTGCATTAAATAGTACCTATCGAGTACTATGCTCACCACCTGGGTGTAATATACACATGTAACAAACCTGCACATGTACCTCTTGTACCTAAAATATAAACTAAAATATTTAAAAATAGACTCAAAATTAGCACCATTTTCAGAAGCGTTTATTTTAAGATAAATTGCTTTTAAATGAAATCTTGTTTTGCAATACTCTGAGGTTCACAAGACATATCTAGAAAATGTACTATTGCGGAAGGTGAAGACGGTGTAAAACCAGTGGGGGAGAGGTCAGTGGTTTTTCTTATTGGTTGATTATCAGAACACTGTCCTTTGGGGATATGAAAGAGTTTTATATATTCTTTAGACATAATTAGACAAACAATGGTCCATAGGGCAGGTTTGATGCTGTACAAAGTCTGTCATTTTGCTAGCACTGATATGGTTCTTGGGTCCACCACAGCATTAGATCTGTTGATGCATTTATATTATGCTTTGTTACAAATCTTGAAAAGAGGGGTGCTTCTTACAGACTTTGCTTCAGATATTAGATTTTGTTTTAGTAAATTTTCCAAGACTGTAGTGGCTGCCAGCTTGTGTTACTTTCACTTTTCCTCTGGTTTTTGTATTTACCGAGAAATGGTCATGGTTTCTGTCAAGTGCAATGTACCCTTGGAGAAAGGAATTTCAATATTAGCATCTATTCCCTCATTCTATTTCCTAGGTAGTTGTTGGTGGGAATGGGAAAGGTTAGCCTCAGCCATCTTTGGTGAATACCGATTACATGGCTCTTGAGTGGAAAAAAGCCTGCTTCATTGTTGGCCTCTTCAAGGACATGAAACACGTTGTGGAACAGAAGAGAACAGTAGTTGTCTGTCCTTGTTTATCTATAGACTCAATTGAGTTTCTTGCATAGATAGCTCCCTGATAGATTTGGTTTGCTGGTTATGTCAGGATGAACAAAACCTATAACTTTTAGAGATTGATTCCTAGGTATCAGCTTTATACAAGAAAGGCAATAAGAGGGACAGGACAAATGAACAGGCACATTGGGTTTTATTGACAGTCTAGGTACTAAAGGCAGGTTCATCTCAATTGCACCAACCCAAGCAAGAGCTGTTTTGGCACAGATGCATCATTGGTGCAAAATGGAATGACAAAGTCCAAGCTCCTCCAGTTCCTGGCCTTGTTAAAAAATATTGCTTAGGCTATGGGCTGCAACCATGTTTGTTTTGTTCAGCTAGATTTTAGGCCATTTCATCTTGGAAGACTTATTTTGAGTTATAAGAAATTTCTTTAAAAGTTGTATATAACAGAGTAGTATAGGAATATGTGGCCTGACATTAAGAAGAGCTATACAGTGTGAAATTCTCCCTGAATTGCAAGAATCTCACTCAGATTTCTATAATAGAATCTGTTATGTCTGATTTTTTAGTTCAGGAAAGTGGCTATTAGAAATAAGTGGTCTTACTGACCCAAGAGTTGCCATTTGATGGAAACTCATACACACATATATACCCCTCTGCCTTTCTCACACATACATTGACTTTGACTTTTAATATAGCTTAAAAGCTTTATTAAAAGTTTTTATTTTTAATTGATTCATAATATTTGTACATATTTATGTGGTCCATGTGATATTTTGTTAGGTGCATAGAATATACAATAATCAAGGCAGGGTGTTTAGAATATCTATTACCAAGAGCACTTATCATTTCTGTATTGAGAATATTTCAAGTCCTCACTTCTAGCTATTTTGAAAGTACAATGTGTTGTTGTTAACTTTAGTCATTCTACTCTGCTATTGAAAATTAGAACTTATTCCTTCTGTTTCTACCCACTAACCAACCTCCTTTTATTCCCCCAACCACATCCATTTCCTTCCCAGTCTCTGATAACCATCATTCTAGTCTCTGTCTCCCTGAGATCAACTCTTTTTTTTTAGCTTCCACCTATGAGTGAATTCATGCAATATTTATCTTCTTGTGCCTGGCTTATTTCATTTAACATAATGACTTCCAGTTCCATCCATGTTGCTGCAAAGGACACGATTTCATTTATTTTTATACCTGAATAGTATTCCATTGTGTAACTATACAACATTTTCTTTATCCATTCACCAGTAGATAGACACTTTGTTGATTTAATATCTTTACTATTGAGAATAGTGCTACAATAAACATGAGGAGGCAGGTATGCCTTCAAAACACTTCTTTCCTTTGGATAAATACTCAGTAGTTGGATTGCTGGATTGTATGGTAGTTCTATTACTACATTTTTGAGAAATTTCCCTACTGTTTTCCAGAGTGGCTGTACTAATTTACATTCCTACCAACAATGTTTGAGAGTTCCATTTTCTATGAATCCTCATCACATCTATTATTTTCTATATTTTTAATAATAGCGATTCTAACTGGGATAGGATGATATCTCATTGTGGTTTTGATTCGCATTTCCTTGATGATTAGTGATGTTGAGCATGTTTTAAATACCTATTGGCTATTTGTCTTCTTTTGAGAAATGTCAATTTAGATCTTCTGCCCATTTTTAAATGGGATTGTTTGACTTTTTTTTTTGCTGTTGAGTTGTTTGAGTTCCTTGTATATTCTGAATTTAACTAAAGTGTCATATTTTCACTTTTAGCAGTTCACATAACACAGGTCTGTAGTTGGAATACATCTTTGATCACTTTCATGAGTCCTCAAGATGGCAGTGTCTTCTCAGGGACCTTGAGGCAAGCTCTCATGTGCTCCTGCGGTGGGGAGGGGAGGGGATGCATGTGCACTTGCAAGTGCACACACACACATGAATAAGAGCAAGACAGAGGGAGAGATGAGGGAGGAGCTTAATGATGGAGCAGAGGTGTTAAAAAGAACATCCTTTTTCTAATTGGTAGGACAGATTTCTTTTATGATTCCTACAGCAGAAAAATGAGAAACGTTTGTTATTATTTTTTTTTCGTGTTTAAGGTTTGAATCCTCAGTGAACCAGGGCAGAAAAGAATGATGAAATCCTTGAGAGTTTTACTGGTGATCCTGTGGCTTCAGTTAAGCTGTGAGTTTTGGGCATCTCTGTAGAAACATAATGTATATTGTTTGCAATTATTGTGTATTCTAGGCCTGTGGGTAGAAACATGAGTGGTTTTTTCTCTAACAAAGGGAGACTGGGGAGAGTGGGGGGCCCATGAAAAGATGATTTAAATTCTGGGTACGAAGTGTCCCCTACCCAATCTGTCTTCTCTGTCTGACTGCTGTCTTTTTTCACAGGGGTTTGGAGCCAACAGAAGGAGGTGGAGCAGGATCCTGGACCACTCAGTGTTCCAGAGGGAGCCATTGTTTCTCTCAACTGCACTTACAGCAACAGTGCTTTTCAATACTTCATGTGGTACAGACAGTATTCCAGAAAAGGCCCTGAGTTGCTGATGTACACATACTCCAGTGGTAACAAAGAAGATGGAAGGTTTACAGCACAGGTCGATAAATCCAGCAAGTATATCTCCTTGTTCATCAGAGACTCACAGCCCAGTGATTCAGCCACCTACCTCTGTGCAATGAGCGCACAGTGCTCCCCAGACACTTGCAGTCTGTACCCAAACCTGCTGGGCCCCAGGAATGCCTGATGTAGAGCTTAGACTGCAAGGCAATGAAGTTCTATTTGTTCTCTAGATGCAAATGAAAACTAAAAGCAGTAGTATTGAAGGTTTGATTAATTTGGGACATATTTTCATAATTCTGAAAATTATTGAGACCCCAAAGGAAAATAAAAGACACCATTTGGTCTACTTGAAATATTTTCTAGTCTTCTCTTTCCACTTTAGTTTTGAAATTTTTTTTTTGCTGACTTTGTGGCTCATGTCTGTAATCTCAACACTTTTGGAGGCATAGGGAAGAGGATCACTTAAACCCAAGAATTTGAGACTAGCCTGGGCAACACAGGGAGACCTTGTCTCAAAAAAAGAAAAAAAATCGCCAAGAGTGGTGACATGCACCTGTAGTCCCAGCAACTTGGGAGGGAAGAGGTGGGAGGATTTCTTGAGTCGGAGAGGTGGAGGCTGCAATGAGCTGTGATCACAGGACTGCACTCCAGCCTGGACAATGGAGTGATACCCTGTCTCAAAAAACAAGCAAAAACAAAACACAAAACAACAACAAAACACAAATAAAATATTTTTATTGAGGTGTTATTGACACACAAAAAGGTGCACATATTCACTTTATACAGACAATATAATCGTGCCATAAACATATGTACCATTTCTAAAAATTTGCTTCCTCCCTGGTTTCTTTTTATTAAGTTATTATTGCTATACAAAAAGGTACATTTATTTAATCCATGCCCAGTCTACTTTTATGCCACATCTTTACTTTATGAGATTGGTTTTATGATTCTTTTTATCAAAGACAAGAAAATATTTCCATACAATAACAGATATGCTCTCATGGTTCCTAAGACATTTTGCTCTTTCCCCAAGGCATTTGATAGACATTGCTTTAAGAATGAAACAGCAAAGCAGAAATGCAAAGAGAAGAAAAATCATAAGCAGACTAATTTGAAAATCCGGTAAGTCATAAATTTTTTAAGTTACAGAACCCTAACTCCATCTCCAGCCTCAACTACAACATCACTCCTGAGTTATATAAGGGTACACCTGATGGACAGCTGGAAGAACTAGAGTGAGAGAGTGAGAACTGGTTGAGAAAAAGCCTAATTAGTTGCACAAACTAAAGATTAGAGAGGGTCTATGTTGCCATTTTGGGGTAAAGTTTTAATCAAATTCAAAACTCCCAGCTTGAGCCTGATGGGATAGTTTTTTGATTCCTATGTACTTGAGTGTGGCCTGGAGATGGGAAGGAGCATTGGCTGTAGTTGTAGAGTGCCTCATCTCCCCAGCAGGGCATGACAGCACAGAAGGACTTAAAATTTTTTTGAGAAGGGTCTCTAAGTATCTTAAAGAGATCCAGACACCAAGGTCCTTTGTTATGATGAGTAAAGACCTGTATGAATAAGATACCAAAGACCGTATGGAATTGAGAATGCTTCAGGAAATGTTTGTCTGGAGAGTTGGAAACACTAAACATCATATGAATATCTCCATCCCCTGACTACAAGGCACCACAGATTTGCCCTGCAGTGTATGTCAAGTATGGGGAAAGCATTTGTGGCCTGACGAAATAAGGCCTTTTAGTAGACATTACTTTGAATTACAGGCAAAATATTTGAGAATCATATTTACTGTAAAAATGAAGTTGTGGTCTGATAGGCATAACATTATTTATGTAGCCCAGAAGGTGGGAAAAGCTTGGAAATGAAGAATAAATGTTTCTGTCCAGTTTTATTGACAGTCACTGATGAAAATGATGAAGCCAAGTCAGAATTTGCTGCAACTTCTTACTCTGCAGAAGTGAAGACTCTGAACAAATATTTCCCAGTCATAGAAGAAAGATTTAAAAAGCAAGGAGGAAGAGCAAACAGTTGTGCTGGAATCAAGGTACTTAAATTTTTATTCCACTTTTATGATTTGCCTTCTGGCATCATGGCACTCTGGAAAGAACTCAGGCTGTGGTGCTGGTTTGAACATCGATTATATTACTTATGGCCTTTTTCATATTAAGCTCTACAATTATATATATTTCAGGACTGGTTTCAGGATTCCGTGAGACAAAATATTGTCTTGGGATGAGTTCCTTAAAAGCAGAGACTGCATTTGGAATTCTCTGTCTGTAATTTATTTGGGAAACCAGGTTGAGATGGGGGAAAGGCTGGACATGAGGGGGAAAGGTTGAGATGCTGGACATGGTCCAGCAGAGGTCTTGATCCAGCCTGACCTCATGGGGAGCTCTGGAGCTTGAACTGTATCACAGGGTTGATTCCTCCCACCCTGAGGCAAGGAGGCCAGACTGCTCGGACCTATTGTGGGTAAGAATAAAGTCATCATTGGTTGTGGTGTTTCTTGGGGTAGAGGTATATGCTACTGGACAATGGTGACTCTCATTGGCTAAGGTCAATTTTCTAGGGAAAGAGGCAACTGTGAGCCAAGAGTAGCCAACATTCACAGTAGCTGGGGATGGCTACACTGTCCTAGGAAAGGGGATCTAGCTTGGGGACCAGCAGTGCTCATTATTAACATGGAACTTGCCTGGTATGTGGGTAGCATTTGAGAAATAATAGACTTTGAGCAGAATAAATGATATCAGAGATTGAAGATCAACTTACTGAAATAAGGTGTGAAGACAAGATTAGAGAAAAAAGAATGAAAAGGAACGAACAATGTCTCCAAGATATATGGGACTCTGTGAAAAGACCAAACCTACGTTTGATTGGTGTACCTGAAAGTGACAGGAAGAACAGAACCAAGTTGGAAAACACACTTCAGGATATTATTCAGGAGAACGTCCCCAACTTAGCAAGACAGGCCAATATTCAAATTTAGGAAATACAGAGAACACCATTAAGACACTCCTCAAGAAGAGCAACCCCAAGACACATAATCGTCAGGTTCTCCAAGATTGAAATGAAGGAAAAAATGTTAAGGGCAGTGAAACAGAAAGGTCAGGTAACCTACAAAGGGAAGCCCATCAGACTAACAGCGGATCTCTCTGCAGATACCCTACAAGCCAGAAGATAGTGAGGGCCAATATTCGACATTCATAAAGAAAAGAATTTTTGACACAGAATTTCACATCCAGCCAAACTACGCTTCATAAGTGAGGGAGAAATAAAATCCTTTACACAGAAGTAAATGCTGAGGGATTTTGTCTCCACCAGGCCTGCCTTGCAAGAGCTTCTGGAGGAAGCACTAAATACGGAAAGGAAAAACTGGTACCAACCACTGCAAAAACACACCAAAATATAAAGACCAATGACACTATGAAGAAACTGCATCAACTAATGTGCAAAATAACCACCTAGCATCATGATGACAGGATCAAATTCACACATAACAATATTAACCTTAAGTGTAAATGGGCTAAATGCCCCAAGTAAGAGTCACAGACTGGCAAATTGGATAGAGTCAAGACCCATCGGTGTGCTGTATTCAGCAGACCCATCTCATGTGCAAAGACACACATAGGCTCAAAATAAAGGGATGAAGGAATATTTACCAAACAAATGGAAATATTTTTTAAAAAGCAGGGGTTGCAATCCTAGTTTCTGATAAAACAGACTTTAAACCAACAAAGATCAAAAAAGACAAAGAAGGGCATTACATAATGGTAAAGGGATCAATGCAACAAGAAGAGCGAAGTATCCTAAATATATATGCAACCAATACAGGAGTACCCAGATTCATAAAGCAAGTTCTTAGAGACCTACAAAGAGACTTAGACTCCCACACAATAATAGTGGCAGACTTTAACACCCCACTGTCAATATTAGACAGACCAAGAAGACAGAAAATTAACAAGTATATTAGGGACTTGAACTCAGCTCTAGACCAAGTGGACCTAATAGACATTTACAGAACTCTCCACCCCACATCAACATTCTTCTCAGCACCACATAGCATGTATTCTAAAATCAACCACATAATGGGAAGTAAACCACTCCTCAGCAAGTGCAAAAGAACAGAAATCATAACAAACAGTCTTTCAGGCCACAGTGCAATCAAATTAGAACTCAGGATTAAGAAACTCACTCAAAACCACACAACTACATGGAAATTGAACAACCTGCTCCTGAATGACTACTGGGTAAATAACAAAATTAAGGCAAAAATAAATAAGTTCTTTGAAACTAATGAGAACAAGGAGACAATATACCAGAATCTCTGGGACACAGCTAAAACAGTGGTGAGAGGGAAATTTATAGCAGTAAATGCCCACATCAGGAAGTGGGAAAGATCTAAAATCGACACTCTAACATCGCAATTAAAATAACTAGAGAAGCAAGAGCAAACAAATTCAAAAGCTAGCAGAAGACAAGAAATAACTAAGATCAGAGCAGAAATGAAGTAGATAGGGACCCAAAAAACCCTTCAAAAAATCAATGAATCCAGGAGCTGTTTTTTTTTGTAAAGATCAACAAAATAGGTGGATGACTAGCCAGACTAATAAAGAAGAAAAGAGAGAAGAATCAAATAGACATAACATGAAATGATAAAGGGGATATCACCACTGATCCCACAGAAATACAAACTACCATCAGAGAATACTATGAACACTTCTACACACAAAACAATAGGAAATCTAGAAGAAATGGATAAATGTGTGGACACATATACCCTCCGAAGACTAAACCAGGAAGAAGTAGACCAATAACACATTCTGAAATTGAGGCAGTAATTAATAGCCTACTAACCAAAAAAAGCCTATGACCACATGGATTCACAGCCAAATTCTACCAGAGGTACAAAGAAGAGCTGGTACCATTCCTTCTGAAAGTATTCCAAACAATAGAAAAAGAGGGAATACTCCCAAACTCATTTTATGAGGCCAGCATCATTCTGATATCAAAACCTGACAGAGACACAACAAAAAAAGAAATTTTCAGGCCAATATCCCTGATGAACATCCATGCAAACATCTTCAATAAAATATTGGCAAACTGAATCCAACGGCCCATCAAAAAGCTTATCCACTACGATCAAGTTGGCTTTATCCCTGGGATGCAAGGCTGGTTCAACATACACAAATCAATAAACGTAATCCATCACATAAACAGAACCAATGACAAAAACCACATGATTATCTCAATAGATGCAGAAAAGACCTTTGATAAAATTCAACATCCCTTCATGCTAAAAACTCTCAATAAGCTAGGTATTAATGGAACATATCTCAAAATAATAAGAGCTATTTATAGCAAACCCATAGCCAATATCATACTGAATGGGTGAAACCTGGAAGCATTCCCTTTGAAAACCGGCACAAGACAAGGATGGCCTCTCTTACCACTCCTATTCAATATAGTATTGGAAGTTCTGGCCAGAGCAATCAGGAAAGAGAAAGAAATAGAGAGTATTCAAATAGGAAGAGAGGAAGTCAAATTGTCTCTATTTGCAGATGACATGATTGTATATTTAGAAAACCCCATAGTCTCAGTCCCAAAACTCCTTGAGCTGATAAGCAACTTCAGCAAAGTCTCAGGATACAAAATCAATGTGCAAAAATCACAAGCATTCCTGTATACTAACAATAGACAAGCAGAGAGCCAAAGCATGAGTGAACTCCCATTCACAATTGCTACAAAGGGAATAAAATATCTAGGAATACAACTTACAAGGGATGTGAAGGATCTCTTCAAGGAGAACTACAAACCACTGCTCAAGGAAATAAGAGAGGGCACACACACACAAAAAGAAAAAAACTCCATGTTCATGGATAGGAAGAATCAATATCATTAAAATGGCCATAGTGCCCAAAGTAATTTATAGATTCAATGCTATTCCATGAAGTTACCAGTGACTTTCTTTACTGAATTAGAAAAAACTACTTTAAATTTCATACAGAACCAAAAAAGAGCCCGTATAGTCAAGACAATCCTAAGCAAAATGAATGAAGCTGGAGGCATCATGCTACTTGACTTCAAACTATGCTACAAGTCTACAGTAACCAAAACAGCACGGTACTGGTACCAAAACAGATATATAGACCAATAGAACAGAACAGAGACCTCAGAAAGAACACCACACATCTACAACCATCTGGTTTTTGACAAAGCTGACAAAAACAAGCAATATGAAAAGGGGAAAGAATTACCTATTTAATAAATCGTGTTGGGAAAACTAGCTAGCCATATGCAGAAAACAGAAACCGGATCCCTTCCTTATACCTTATACAAAAATTAACTCAAGATGGATTAAAGACTAAAATGTAAAACCCCAAACCATAAAACCTCTAGCAGAATACTTAGGCAATACCATTCAGGACATAGGCATTGGCAAAGTCTTCATGACTAAAACACTAAAAGCAATTGCAACAAAAGCCAAAATAGACAAATGGGATCTAATAAAACTAAAAAGCTTCTGCACAGCAAAAGAAACTATCATCAGAATCAACAGGCAACCTACAGAATGGGAGAAAATTTCTGCAATCTATCCATCTGTCAAAGGTTTAATATCCAGAATCTACAAGGAACTTAAACAAATTTACAAGAAAAAAAACCAAACAACCCCATCAAAAAGTGGGAGAAAGATATGGACACTTCTCAAAAGAAGACATGTATGTGACCAAAAAACATATGAAAAAAAGCTCGTCATCACTGGTCATTAGAGAAAGGCAAATCAAAACCACAGCGAGATACCATCTCATGCCAGTTAGAATGGCGATTATTAAAAAGCCAGGAAACAACAGACGCCGGTGAGGATGTAGAGAAATAGGAACACTTTTACACTGTTGGTGGGAGTGTAAATTAGTTCAACCATTGTGGAAGACAGTGTGGTGATTCCTCAAGGATCTAGAACCAGAAATACCATTTGATCCAGCGAACCCATTACTGGATATATACTCAAAGGATTATAAATCATTCTACTATAAAGACACATGCACACGTATGTTTATTGAAGCACTATTTATAATAGCAATAGCCTACCGTAGTAAATAGCAATAGCCTACCCTAGTAAAGTTTAATATTTTGAATGAAATATATTATGTTGTCTTACATATGAAAAGAAAATCTACAGGCAGAATCAAGGAATAGGTCAGAAGTGCAAGGGAGAACTGATTTCCCACTGGCATGAGTCAACAGAGTACACAGAAAGGAAGGAGTTTGTTTTGACCTTTGAAAAGAATTCTTGTTAGCCGGTTCTTATTTCACCTGAGTTTTTTTCTTTATTTGATTTTTTCAATTTTAGGATCCAATGATCTCTATGCTAAAATAAGTTGGGTGAGGAAGTCTTTTCATTCAAGAATTTCATCTTCTTAGGCCATAGAGTTGACTGCTCTGGTTCAATGCATCCTGTCTCCCACCCACAGGGGACTGCTTCTTGCCTAGCTCTGTTGAGTATCACTGTCAACCTATCCTAAGTCTTCTATACCTCCCATTTTCTTGGTCATCTCATTTCTTGTCTGCTGGTTGCACTCCTCCCAGCTTTACTGAGTTCACGTAGGCTTACTTTTCTTTCTGTATCTTTAATTCTTCCCATAATTACTTATTTATATGTTATATTTTATTACCTTCATTATTCTGCTCAAATTTCTCCATAAATGGGCTTCTGTTGATGTTCTTTTTAAGGCGAGATACCATAATTTGGCATAATGTATCAGTCTATTCTGAGCGTTGATAATTCAAATGGGACTTTTCTCTAAGTTTTTTCTCCTAGCCTTACAAACATCAAACTTGATTTGAAACCAAGAAGTCTTTTTCACAATTTCTGCTTCACAAAGAAAATTATTACCTATTAGTTTGCATTGACTAATTAGCTAATGACACGTGATCCAGGCTGATTTTAAGTATGAGTCTCTAGTCATTTTTTTTTTCCTTTAGCACCTAATAAAAGAGAAATCTCTTCCATCCACTCTAATGCTCATGTGAATCCACTAGCACAGTGCCACACGAAGCTTAGCTAAGCCTGAGGCAATTGATCTTCTCCCCTCTCCTTGATGAGTGCCTCTAAAAAATAACATAGAGCATCTTAATGGTATTCCAAAATCTGGAATATTGCCTTCTGTGACTAATTTCTCAGTGAAGTAAATTACTTTTCTAGTTTTACATAACTCCAATTTCTTATCTATTTTTTGAGGGGAAAAACATTTTTATTTTCTAATTTTTAAATTTTATTTCTTTCAACTGTTATTTTAGAATCAGGAGTACATGTGCAGGTTTGTAACAGAGGCATATTGCATGATGCTGAAGTTTGGACTATGAATGCATTGTCGCTCAGGTTGTGAGCATAGTTCCTAATAGTTTTCAGTCCTTTTCTCCTTCCCTCTCTTCCCACTCTAGTAGTACCCAGTGTCTATTGTGACTATCTTTATGTTCATGTGTAGCTAGTGTTTAGCCCCCACCTATAAGTGAGAACATGCAGTATTTAGTTTTCTGCTTCTGCATTAATTCCTTTCAGATAATGGCCTCTAGCTGCATACTTGTTGCTGCAAAGGACAGGATTTCATTTTTCTATGGTTGCATAGAAGTCCATGGTGTATATGTGCCACATTTTCTTCATCCAATCCACCACCGATTGGCACCTGAGTTGATTCCATTTCTTTGCTATTGTGAATAATGCTGTGATGAATGTATGGGTGAATGTGTCTTTTTGGTAGAAAATTTTATTTGCCTTTGGGTATATACCCAGTAATGGGATTGCTGGGTTGAATGTTAGCTCTGTTTTAAGTTCTTTGAGAAATCTCAAAACTAATCTCCACAGTAGCTGGACTAATTTATATTTCCACCAACAGTATGTAAGTGTTCCCTTTTCTACACAGCCTAGCCAACATCTATTATTCTTTGACTTTTTAAAAAAAGCCATTCTGATTGGTGTGAGATGGTATCTCATTGTGGTTTTGATTTACATTTCTCTGATGTTAAGTGATGATGAGCATTTTTTCATGTTTGTTGGCTGTATGTATGTCTTCTTTTAAGAAGTCTCTGTTCATGTCCTTTGCCTACATTTTAATGCGGTTGCTTTTTGCTTGTCGATTTGTTGAAGTTACTTTTGTTTCTTTCTTTTTTGGAAAGACAGGGTCTCACTCTGTTGCCCAGACTGGAGTGCAGTAGCATGATCCTAGCTCACTCTATCCTTAAACTCCAGGGCTCAAGGGATCCTCCTGCTTTAGCTGGGACTACAGGCACATGCCACTATGGCCAGCTGATGTTTTTCTTTTCCTTCCTTCCTTCCTCCCTTCCTTCCTTCCTTCCTTCTTCCCTCCCTCCCTCCCTTCCTTCCTCTCTTTCTCTCCTTCTCTTTCTCTTTCCTTCCTTCCTTCTTTCCTTCCTTCCTTCCTTCCTTCCTTCCTTCCTTCCTTCCTTCCTTCCTTCCTTCTTTCCTTTCTTCCTTCTTTCCTTCTTTCCTTCTTTCTCTCACTTTTTTTTTTTGAGTCAGATTCTTGCTATGCTGCCCGGGCTGGTCTTGAACCCCTGGCTTCAAGCAGTCTTCCAGCTTCAGCCACACAAAGTGTGGGGATTACAGGTATGAGCCGTCACACCCAGCTTGTTACTTATAGATTCTGGATATAAGACTTTTGTCAGATACATAGTTTGCAAATAATTTCACCCATTCTGTAGGTTGTCTGTTTACTATATTGATAGTTTATTTTCCTGTGCACAAACTACGTAGGTCACACTTTTCAAGTTTTGTTTTGGTTGCAATTGCTTTCCAGGACTTAACCATAAATTCTTTGCCAATGCCGATGGCAAAAGGGTATTTTTCTGTTTTTTTCCCCCTAAGATTTTTATAGTTTTGGGTATTACAATTAAGTCTTTAATCCATCTGGAATTAATTTTTGTGTATAGTGATGGGTTGGGGTCCAGCTTCATTCACATACACTGGTATGTGGCTAGCCAGTTATCCCCAGCACCATTTATTGACTAGAGAGTTTTTCCCAATTTCTTATTTTTGTTGACTTTGTCAAAGATCAGATGGTTGTAGGTGTGTTACTTTATTTCAGAATTTGCTATTCTGTTCCATTGGTTTATGTGCCCATTTTTATACCAGTACTATGCTGTTTTGGTTACTGTAGACTTGTAGTGTAGCTTGAAGTTGGGTAGTGTGATGCCTCCGGCTTTGTGCTTGTTGCTTAGATTGCTTTCACTATTTAGGCTCTTTTGGTTCCATATGAATTTTAGAATAGTTTTTTCCTAATTCTGTGAAAAATGGCATTAGTAGTTTGATAGGAATAGCGTTGAATCTGTAAATTGCTTTGAGTAGTATGGACATTTTAAAGATATGGATTCTCCTAATCCAGGGTATGCAATGTTTTTCCTTTTTTGTGTGCCATCTCTGATTTCTCTCAGCAGTGTTTTGTAGTTCTCTTTGTAGAGATCTTTCACATCCTTGGTTAGCTGTATTCCTAGGTATCTATTCTTTTTGTGTCTATTGCAAATGTAATTTTGTTCTTTAGTCTTTAGGACCCTGCTCAAGGTCCTGCAGCATTGCCACTGCTGAGCCATGCTCCTGCTGCTCGGCCCAGCACTCCAGTGTCCCAGCTGTCAGCTTGAACAGACAGCTCGAACATTATTGGTGTATAGCAATGCTACTGATTTTTGCAAATTTGTTTTGCATCCTGAAACTTCACTGAAATCTTTTATCAAGTCTAGGAGCCTTTCGGCAGAACCTTGAGGGTTTTTCTAGATATCAAATCATACTGTCAGCAAAGACGGATAATTTGACTGCTTCTTTCCCTGTTTGGGTACACTTTATTTTTTTCTCTTTCTTGAGTGCTCTGGCTAGGACTTCCAATACTATACTGAATAGGAGTACTGAGAGTATACATTATTTTCTTGTTCCAGTTCTCAAGGGGAATGGTTCCAGCTTTTTCCCATTGAGTATGATGTTGGCTGTTTGTCATAGGTGGCTCTTATTATTTTGTGGTATATTCCTTCCATGCTTAGTTTGTTGAGGGTTTTTATCATAAAGTGATGTTGGACTTTATTGAAAGCTGACTGCATCTATTGACATGATCATATGGTTTTGCTTTTAATTCTGTTTCTGTGGTGAATCACATTTATTGATTCGTCTATGTTGAACAAACCTTGCACCCCAGGAATGAAGCCTACTTGACCTTGAATTAACTTTTTGATGTACTGCTGGATTCAGTTTGCTAGTATTTTTGTTGAGGATTTTTACGTTTAAGTTTGTCAGGGATATTGACTGATATTTTCTTTTTTCATTGTGTCTCTGCTGGATTTTACTATCAGAATGATGCAGACTACATTGAGTGAGTTAGGAAGGAACCCTTCTCCTCAATGTTTTGGGAATAGCTTCAGTAGGATTGGTACCAGTTCTTCTTTGTACAACTGGCTGAATTCTGTTGTGAATCCATCCAGTCCAGGGGTTATTTTTGGTTGGCAGGTTTTAAAAAATTATTATTACTAACTCATTTCCAGAACTCATTATTAGTCTGTTCAGGTTTTCAATTTCTTCTTGGTTGAATATATAGAGGTTATTTTCTTCCAGGAATTTATTCGTTTTCTCCAGGTTTTCTAATTTTTATGAATAGTGGTGTTCCTAGTATTCTCTTAGGGTCTTTTGTATTTCTATGGGATCAATTGTAATGTCTCCTTTGTCATTTCTGATTGTGCTTATTTGGAACTTCTCTCTTATTTTCTTCATTAACCTACTTAGTGGTGTATCAATCTTGTTTATTCTTCCTGAAAGACAACTTTTGGTTTTATTGATCCTCTGTATGGATTTTCAAGTCTCAATTTTGTTCAGTTCTTTTCTGATTTTGTTTATTTATTTTCTTCTGCTAGCTTTTGGCTTTGTTTGTTCTTCTTTTTCTAGTCCTTCTAATTGTGATGCTAGAATGCTCACTTGAGATCTTTCTAATTTCTTGATATAAGTATTTAGCAGTATAAACTTTCCTATTAACACCTTTAGCTGCAAACCAAAGACTCTGGAATTTTGTCTTTCTGTTTTCATTAATTTTTGCTCTACTTTGTTGTTTACCCAAAAGTCATTGAGGAGCAAGTTGTTTAATTTCCGTGTAACTGTGTGGTTTTGAGAGATCTCCTTGGTAATGATTTCCATTTTTATTACACTGTGGTCCAAGATTATGCTTGGTATGATTTTGGTATTTTTGAATTTATTGCAATTTGCTTTATGGCTTCAATTTCTCAATAATTTTGAGATTAATATCATGTACTATACAGAAGGTAACATCATCACAGATTCAGGAGGAAAGAAACGCTTTCTGTTGAAGTTTTGATATCATGTCTGAAATGAGAAGGAAACAGCTTGCTCCCTTGGATCCGTGGTTCCTCCTGTTGCCTCTAGAGGGCGATGTTGCATCAAGTAGGCATCTGTTTTCATCGCAGACCATCCTCATCCATTGAGCCTCCTCCCTGTAGCTGGCTGATGTAGCTCGTTGATGTCTGTGTGGATAGGGAGCTGTGACGAGAGCAAGAGGTCAGAACACATCCAGGCTCCTTAAGGGAAAGCCTCTTTCTGTTTCTGAAACTTTTCAAAGCCAGGGACTTGTCCAATCCAACCTCCTCACAGTTCCTAGCTCCTGAGGCTCAGCGCCCTTGGCTTCTGTCCGCCCAGCTTAAGGTCCTGCAGCATTGCCACTGCTCAGCCATGCTCCTGCTGCTCGTCCCAGCGTTCCAGGTGATTTTTACCCTGGGTGAGTAACATTCCATTCTTTTTCCTTCCACAGAAGTGACTGTGTTGTAACTGAATCTAAATTGAGACACATTTTTTACTCAAACAGCATTGATGTTGCAGGAGGAACCAGAGCCCAGTCTGTGACCCAGCTTGACAGCCAAGTCCCTGTCTTTGAAGAAGCCCCTGTGGAGCTGAGGTGCAACTACTCATCGTCTGTTTCAGTGTATCTCTTCTGGTATGTGCAATACCCCAACCAAGGACTCCAGCTTCTCCTGAAGTATTTATCAGGATCCACCCTGGTTGAAAGCATCAACGGTTTTGAGGCTGAATTTAACAAGAGTCAAACTTCCTTCCACTTGAGGAAACCCTCAGTCCATATAAGCGACACGGCTGAGTACTTCTGTGCTGTGAGTGACACAGTGCCTGAGACTGCAGGAGAGCTGAACACAAACCTCCTGAGATGCTGAGACTTTCTGTGACTCAAGAACTCAACCTGTGGAGCTTTCAAGAGGGTCCCTTTTTTCTGTGCCCGTTTTGAAGGCACATAGGGCAGGGTGGGCTGAGCCCTTGGTAGGGTTTGTCTCCGGAATAATTGCTCCAATGTCAATGTCATGCCACATTCAGATATGCTTTGTCCCACATGGAGGTTTCCTGATGAATTTCTTCAGTGGGGACCTCCTCCACACTCTGAAGAAAGCACATCATAAGGTGTCAGAACTCCGAAATAAAAGGCAACAACATTTTTATACAAAATTATTTCTAGCAACCATTATGATTAGTATTGCCTCAGGTGTTAACTTGTGAATAACCGATGTAATTGATTAGAATGTTAGCTAAAAGCTGTGCAGGATGGATTCTCAATTAGGGTAACCCATACAGCACAGATTCTCAATCAGTGTGCTGTAGATTCTCAACCTAGATTTGAAGCTTAACTTCTAGCACATACATAATATCCCACTGTGTGGTATTGACATATTTAAAGTAAATTAGACATAATATCAAGATTTTTAATCTTGTGAGCATTATGCAAAACAGGAAATTAAACATAAATCTTAATACAATATTGAAAAACTAAGCTGTCAAGTTGTGATCTTTTTTAAAACAGCTATTCCAGTGATTTCCAAGTTACAAACTTGAGGGATAAAAATGTAACCAATATAAAGATATCAAATACCCTAGATTCAACTACTTTAAAAACTACTTTAAAACTCCGAGGCATTTTATTTTAAGAGATTACACAGATTTATTATATAAAATTACACAACAAAAAATTCCAGTTGCATTATCAGAGAGTATATGAATTCTAATGGGCATATCCAAGACCAGGGTACCCTATTACTTACTCTGAAATAATTATATCGAAAAACCAACATGTTAAGATATTTTATGTACATGATTATTACTCCAAATTTTTATTTGTAGTTTGATCACATGGTAGAATTAAAAAATGCCTCTCAAAGTATTATAAAATGTTCACACATACAGAAGTTGTCTTCCTTAATTCAACATTTTGTAATTTTTGATGACAAAAATTATGAAATGAATCATCTCACTTCTTAAAAATATTTACAATTGCCTAAATCTCCTCTTTTAAAATGAGATGAAGTTGTATTCTTCCCTTATTATAAAACATGTGTTTAAAGTAGTTTAAAAATATTCCTATGAATTGAGCTAAAAGAGGGTAGAGGGTTTATAATAAAAAATATTTAGACTTGGCTTCTTCTCTTGCACCAAAGACTCAGGTTCTTGCTTATGGTTTCTTTGGCTGCTGACATTCTTTAGTTACTTCTTAGCGTGCCACCTCTTCCAGTTTTACTTTCGTCCTCATTTCATTTTCGTTTGTAGTTTTTCTTACAGATTTGTCTTTTCATTGTGCCTTTTATGGCCTGTTATTTTGATTATGTTCAGATTTTACAGGCCAAGAACACTTAACATGATGTCTATTTTAACAAATTTTTGAAGTGTACAACTCAGTTAACTATTGGCCCAATGTTGAATAGCAGATCTCTAGTAATTCTTCATCTTATCTGATAGAAACTTTGTACCCCTTCATCAACACCTCCCCACTTCTTCTTCCCCCAGCCCCAAGAATGGTAACCACCATTCTACTCTCTACTTCTATTAGTTTGACAGTTTTAGATATCTCATGCAGGCCTTCTATGACTGGCTTATTTCACTTAGCATAATGTCCTTAGGGTTCATCCATGTTTTTGCATGTGGCAGAATCTCCTTTTTTAAAGGTTGAAGAATATTCCATTTTATGCATATATCACATTTTCTTCATTCATCCATCAGTAGATATTTAGGTTGTTCCCATATCTTGGCTAATGTGAATAATGCGGCAGTGACCATGGGAGAGAAAATGTTTCTTCAATATCCTGAATTTAATTTTTTTGATAAATAACCAGTAGTGGGATTGCTGAATCATATGGTACATTTTTAATTCCAGGGGGAAACTCCTTACTGTTTTTCATAATTGCTGCACCATTTTGCAGCAAGGGTTCCAACTTCTCCACATTCTTATCAACATTGTTGTTGTTGTTTTATAATAGCCAACCTAAAAGGTGAGAGGTAATAACTCATTGCGATATCTAATTTATCTGGTGATTAATGATGTTGAGCAGATTTTCATATAACTTCAGCCATTTGTATGTCTTCTCTGGAGAAATATCTACTCAAATCCTTTGCCAATGTTTTAATCAAGTTATTAAAACATTGATAGTTATAGGAGTTCCCTATATATTTTGAAGATTAGCCCCTTATCAGACATATAGTTTGCAAATATTTCTTTCACTCTACATGTTGGCTTTTTTTCCTATTGATTATTTTCTTTGATGGGCAGAATCTTTTAAATTTTATAAAGTCCTGCTTATCTACGTTTGGTTTTGTTGCCAGTGCCTGTGGTGTCACATACAAGAATTGGCTGTTGCTTAGACCACATGTCATGGAGAGTTTCCCATATATTTTTCCAATAGTTTTACAGTTTTGGGTTTTACGTTTTTAATTAATATTGAGTTGATTTATGTGTATTATGTTAGCTAGAAGTCCAATTTCATTCTTTTGCAAGTGGATATTCAGTTTCCACAGCACAATTTGTTGAAGAACTACTCTTTCCCCATTATGTATCCTTGATGCCCTTGTCAAACATCAGCTGAGTGCGTATGTGTGGGTCTATTTTTCAGCTCTCTATTCTGTTCCATTGGTTCGTATGTTTGTCTTTATGATAGAACTATGATGTTTTAATTACTGTAGCTTTGTAATATATTCTGAAACCAAGAAGTGGGGTGCTTTTAGCTTTGTTTTTCTTTCTCAGGATTGTTTGAGCTATTCTGGGCCTTTTGTGTTTCCAGAGAAATTTTAGAATTAAAATTTTAGTTTTTTCTATTTCCATAAAAATTTCATTGGGATTTTGATAGGGATAGCATTGTAGATTGCTTTGGGTTGTATAAACACCTTAACAATATTAAATCTTCCAATTCATGAACATAGACTATCTTTCATTTATTTGTGCCTTCTTTAATTTTTCTTATGAATGTTTTGTTGTTTTCTGTGTACAAGCCTTTAGACTAATTAGTTAAGTTTACTTCTAAACATTTTAATCTTTTGTAGCTATAATAAATGGATTGTTTTCTGGATTTTTTTTCAGATAGTTTATTGTTAATGTGTAGAAATGGCACTGATGGGCCTGGTGTGGTGGCTTATGCCTGTAATCCCAGCACTTTGGGAGGCCAAGGCAGGCGAATCACGAGATCAGGAGTTCGAGACCAGCCTGGCCAACATGGTGAAACCCTGTCTCTACTAAAATGTAAAAAATTAGCTGGGCATGGTGGCAGGAACCTATAATCCCAGCTACTCGGGGGGCTGAGGCAGGAGAATCACTTAAACTCGGGAAGCGGAGGTTGCAGTGAGCCGAGATTGCGCCACTGCTTTCCAGCCCAGGCGACAGTGTGAGACTCTGTCTCAAAAAAAAAAAAAAAAGAAACGGCACTAATTTTTGTGTGTTGATTTTTATACCCTACAACTTTACTGGATTCATTTATTATTTCTAATAGGCTTTTTTGGTGGCGTCTTCAGGGTTTTTAATGAATTTATGTCATCTACGAACAGAAATAATTTTACTTCTTTTCTGATTTGAGTACTTTTAATTTCTTTTTCCTGTCTATTTACTCTGGCTAGGATTTCTAGTATTATCCTGAATGGAAGTGGTGAGGGTGGTTACCCTTATCTTGTTCTGATCTTAGAGGAAAAGCTTTTTTGTGTTTCACACACCACTGAGTGTGATGTTAGCTGTGGGCTTTTTATATATGGCCTTTATTATGTTGGGGGTAATTTCCCAATTTGTTGAATATTTTTATCATAAAATGTGAAGCAGGTTCACTGTGTACTGGTTACCAAGTTGTCTGAGTCCAGTGAGACAGAATACACATGCATACAACAAGGTACATGAAACAGGTTTATTGATTACAGATAAGCAAGGGACAACAGAAGCTTAGGTTTCATTGCAAACAGGTCCCCCAGGGCTCAGGAAAGCTGTCTAGGGTGGATAGGGTGTCATCTGCATGTGGCCCAGTTGTACCACACCTGAGGGACCCCAGAAATTAGCATGCCCTAGGTTTTAGACCCCTGGGTAATATGATACCCTGGGCCAAAAAGTACTGAAGGACACTGTTTCTAGGGGGTATCTGAAATACAGCCAGCCTGTTCCAGCCATTTCATTCCTGTCTGAAGATGTTACATTCCCAGTACATTCTATAGTTATTCTTATTTATTTATTTATTTATTTTTGAGACAGAGTCTCGCTCTGTCGTCCAGGCTGGAGTGCAGTGGCGCGATCTCGGCTCACTGCAAGCTCCGCCTCCCGGGTTCACACCATTCTCCTGCCTCAGCCTCCCCAGTAGCTGGGACTACAGGCGCCCGCCACCACACCCGGCTAATTTTTTTTGTATTTTCTAGTGGAGACGGGACTTCACCGTGTTAGCCAGGATGGTCTGGATCTCCTGACCTCGTGATCCACCCGCCTCGGCCTCCCAAAGTGCTGGAATTACAGGCATGAGCCACCGCGCCCAGCCCATTCTACAGTTATTCTTGAGAACCACAAACAAGAAAGTGGAGAGAACTGGGTTGGTCCAAGACCACCCAGAGAACCATCCTGCATGAAAGGATGTTGAATGTTGTCAGATTCTTTTTCTGCATCTATTGAGATGATCATGTAATTTTTATCCCTCATTGTGTTATGTAGTGTGTCACATTCATTCATTTTTATATGTTAAAACATCCTTGCATCCCAGGGATAACTTCCACTTGGTTATTGTATGTGATCCTATTAGTGAGCTATTGAATTTGGTTTGCTAGTATTTCACTGAGGATTTTTGCATCTATGTTCATCGGGAATATTGGTCTGTATACCTTCTTGTAGTGTCTTTGTCTGGCTTTGATATCAGGGTAATAATGGCTTCATAAAATAAGTTTAGAGGTATTCCCCTTTGAATTTTTTGGAAGAATTTAAGAAGGATTAGAGTTAATTCTTCTTTAAATGGTTGATAGAACTCACTAATGAAGCTGTCAGGTCTTTTGTCTTCTTTGTTAGGAGGTTTTGGATTACTGAATCAATTTCCTTACCAGTTATAAATCTGTTTAGATTTTTTTATTTCTTCATGATTCAGTCTTGGTAGGTTATATGTTTGTATAAATTTATGCATTTCTTCTAGGTTTTCCAATTTGTTGGTGTATAATTGTTTGTAATAGTCTCTTAAGATTCTTCTTATTTCTGTGGCATCCATTGTAATGTCTTCTCTTACATTTTTGGTTTATTTGAATCTTCTCTCTTCTTTTTCAGTCTAATTAAAAGATTGTCAATTTAGCTTATGTTTTCAAAACTTAGTTTTGCTTATTTTTATGTTATTTTCTACTCTATGTTTTATTTATTTCTGCTCTAATATTTATTATTTCCTTCTTTCTACTAAATTTGGACTTCACTTGTTCTTTTTTTCTAGTTCTTTGAGATGTAAAGTTATGTTTTTTGTTTGAGATCTTCCTTTTGAATTCAGGTATTTATTTCTATAAACTTCCCTATTAGTACAGCTTTTGCTCACTCTATAAATTTTGATATGTTGTGTTTTTGTGTTTGTATCTCAAAACATTTTCTAATGTGCCTTTTGATTTCTTTGACCAATTTGTTGCTCAAGAATATGATGTTTAATTTCCATATATTTTGGAATTTTCTAGTTTTGCATCTGCTATTTATTTCTAGTGTTATTCCATTCTCATTAGAAAAAATACGTGGTATGATTTCACTTTCTTAAATTTGTTGAGACTTGTTTTGCGGCTGGGCATGGTGGCTCCCACCTGTAATCTCAGCACTTTAGGAGGCTGAGGTGGGAATGCTTGAGGCCAAGAGTTTGAGACCAGTCTGGGTAACAGTGAGACTCCTTCTACACAAAAAATAGAAATATTGACCTAGTGGGGTAGTGTGCAGATACCTGTAGTCTCAGCTACTCAGGAGGCTGAGATGGGATGATCACTTGAGTCCAGGAGTTTGAGGCTGCAGTGAGTCATGATGCTGTCATTGCACTCCAGCTTGGACAACACAGTGACATCCTGCCTCAAAAAATGAAACAACGAAAACTGCCCTCTTTGTTTTCAGTGACCCTATGCATCGGGAATACACTGGGTCCTATCAGTGCTCCTTGACAGGTGTGATGGAAGCCAGTCTCTCAGGCAGCCTGTGGCAA
The DNA here is from genome assembly GCF_000001405.40 of Homo sapiens. Classification (NCBI taxonomy): domain Eukaryota; kingdom Metazoa; phylum Chordata; class Mammalia; order Primates; family Hominidae; genus Homo; species Homo sapiens. The sequence goes on from NC_000014.9 coordinate 21,985,437, forward strand.
AGCTAGAATGTTGGATGTAATGTCCAAGTCTTTCCCTCCCCAGGGAGAGGCTGAAACTGGGGCTTTCCTCTTATTTATGGGACACAGTACAGGGGGTAGGAAAATGTCAGAAACCCTCCTGTCATCTTTGATGTGGTTGGTTGCTTGCTCATTCAAGGTACTGGAGACTCTGAACTAGTTACTGGATTTTTCACAAGTGAATTGATTTATTTATTGCTATTGAATTGGTGTGTCCATCGGGGAAAAGAGGGTCCAGGGATTTCTTTTTTGCCATCTTTCTGATGTTACACCTTTCACGGACAGAATTCTTCCTGTTCTCATGGGCTTCTTTATTTGCCCTTCACCAGAACTGACCTCCTCTTGGGCATCTAGTTGAATGTGGTTTTCACTGTGGGCATGGTGGTCCTGCCTGAGTGCCAGCAGGCCACCCTGCAATGAGAGCTCCATCATACACTTTAAACTTTCCTTGATATTTCTTTTAGCTGTGCCTCTTAAGCAGTAGAAGGCTGGATATGAAAACCATTCAGATAATTTCTATATCTTAATAGAAAAATTTAGCCTTTTAAACTTATATATGCATGCATTTATGGCTACAACTAATATTTTTGAGTTATCTTACATGGCATAGTGACATTTGACATTGTAGAACACTTCCTTCCTGGAATGCTTTCTTTATTGGTTTTTAGAAATCCCACTCTTTTTTCCCTCTGCTTCAGTATTGTCAGTTGTTCCTTCTCAGTCTTTTTTGCTGTTTTTTCCCCACATTTAACTAATCTTTAAACATTGGCAAGCCTTAGAAATTTATCCTTGAAAATCTTTTTCCTCTATAAATACTTTATTCACAGCTGGTTTTATTCAGTCTCTTGGCTTTAAATCCCATTTAAATATCCAAACTTATAACTGAATCCCAGATAACTCATCTGGATTCTGGATTTGAGTATCAAATAATCTATTTGACATCTTCTTTTTGACATCCTCCACTTAATATATCTGAAAATAGTCTACTGAATTTGACCTCTATACTCACTAAGCCTTCCTTACATCCCACTCGCTTCTTGTGAACATTTCTTCATTTTGGTAAAAGACAACTCCATTTACCAAATCTTCTAATCCCCTTAGCCAAAAACTTTGAAATCATCATTGTCTTATCACTTTTCTCACATCCCCACTTGATCCACTAGGAATTCCTATCAGCCATTTCTTCAAAATATCCCCATAATCAACCAGTTCTCATGACCTTTACTGCTACCACTCTGATCCAAGCCACAGTAATCTCTTGCCTAGTTGATTGAAAGAAACCTAACTGAACTTCTTTCTTTTGCCATTGTTCCTCTTCTGTCTGTTCTCCATGCAGCAGGAGAAGCAATCTCTTTAAAACATAATTCAGATAATTTCATTTCTGTGCTCACAACTATGAAATGTCTTACCATCTCACTCAAAGGAAAACCAAATGCTTTACTATAATATACAAGTCCATTTAGCTCCCTGCCATATCTTTGACATTTGACATCAGCTACCACCTTCCTACTTACTCCCACTCTCCAGCCTCAATGCACTTATTGTTGCTCTAACATACCAATTATTTTCCTGCCTCAAGGTCTTTGCAGCTGCTCATTTCTCTGCCTTGTGTACTAGTACTCCAGGTAACCACATGGCTTATTTCTACACTTTATTCCACCAAATAGCCATGCACAAAATATTTACTGCAGATTATTTTTGTAATAGTGAAAATTAAAACACAAGATGTTTCTCAGAGAATGGCTACAGAAACTGTAATAAATCTTTACTATGGAATATTAGGAAGCAAACATGTTAACATCAATAGGTTATCAGGACATATAATTGGGTACCAAACACATTGCAAACTGCTGTGTGCTTGAAAGTTATAGTCAGACAAAAATTTAAACTGTATAAATATTGAGTATGTATTCATCCACGTGTTCTGCAATAATTTTAAATTAATAATAAAAAAATAGGCTCCAATTTCTTTCTACATCTTTGTAGAAATAGGCTCCAACTCCAATTTCTTTCTACATCTTTGTCCATTTGCTCTTCTTTCATTTTCATTTAGTAAGGGCCTCTATTCAACTCACAAGCTTATTTAGCTTCTTGATTGCATTCTGTTTTATCTTTTCTAGGAACAGACAACAATGATCATATTCTTAAATCTTTGTCTAACCATCCTTTGTTTTAAGAAATGGCTCCTTATTTCTGGGTTCATTTTGTACTTTTTGAGGTGTTACTTGATATATATGAAAACACACACATGTGCATGTTTGTCTTTCCCACTAAACTGCAATGTCTTGTGAGTAGAGAAAATGTCTTACTAATTTTTTAATTTCGTAAGACCTAGCACAAGATCTAGCTTACAGTAGACCTCAATAAATTACTAAAGACTTACTTTGAAATAAATTGGAGAAATCACATTAAACCTTGAGGAAGCAATTTGATAAAATATTTTAATATGGTAATCTCTTGTACATGGAATTTGGAGGAAGAAACCAGTTTCCTTTTTTTAAAAAAAAAAAATCACCATAAGCCTGACAGTTTTTTTGCTCTTGACAATCTGGGTGGTTCCTCAGGAAAGAATTGGGATGAAGGCTCTGGGACTCCACAGATGAGTTAGTGGGCCTGATGGTTTCAGACCACTAGGAGGCTCTCTAGGCTTTACTCTAAATGAGGAAATTTTCCCTCAAGTTCTGAGATAGCTGACTCAGCGAAAAACTGAGAGTTAGCATCAGTTAGCAAAGCATCTGAACTAGTCATATATGAAACGGACAGGGGGAGTCTCCATTTATTCATCTGCAAAGATGTTCTGTGGCTGTGATGGGTGTCACAGAGACGGTCTCCCAAGAAGACTGATCTTAGAAATCAACAAGGGAAATGATAAAGCTGGAAGCCTTACAGCTTTAATTTTTATGACTAAAACTTCTAAAATATGAGTCTCCATTCTGACTTTGAAATTATTTCAATAATTTCCACCTTCTTTTATACCTCCTTTGAAACTAGAAAAACAAGAAAAAGGAAATGAGAAGAAATGAGAAAAAAATAATGAAAATATTCAGAGAGAGGATAAAAGAGAGTAAAAGAAATAAGAGGTTGGGGGAAAAAAAGATGACACATTTAACTGAATTTCAAAATGTGGTCTATGCCTCATATAGTTTCTGTGTTGCAAGGTTAAAAAGTTCTAGAGATCTGATGCACGACAATGTGAAGATACTTACCACTACTGAATTGTACATGTTAAAATAGTCAAGATGGTAAATTTAATGTTATGTGTTTTTTTACCACAATAAAAAATGTGACCTCTACCTCTTGTTCACAGAGCAGAATTGACCAGGTGGGGCTGCAAAGTGAATGGAGAAGTGTTGGATAGAAGAAGAGAGATGGAAATAAGCTGGGGTGGCCATCATATACACGTGCTATTTCTCTATCAACCAAAGTCTCACTGGAGACATTTTATATGTTCATGATGACTATATGTCCTATGTTAACAGAATTCTCTTAATTTAATTGTATTGTATTTACTCCTTTAAGGGTGATTAAATAAACGATGCATTCGATGAGATATTCTTTCTTTGTGAGAGCTTTCTTATAAATAAAATCACAATCACTTTTCAAATCACATGTCCTGATTTTTTGGCTAAGGAAATTGGGCCACTGACCCTGATAATTTTTTCAGGCTGTACTTGATCCAGATGAGGCTCCCATTTGTCTCTGAGATATCTTTTCCCTTTCTTCACTCCCCTCCTGACTTGTCCGATTACTGGGTACTTTAAGTGGAGGCAATCCTGAGAGCATAAAAACCTAGACATTTCTGTGTCTCTAGTCAGCAGTGCGGCACTCAGCAGGGTACTGACGTCAGCAATTACGCCCGTACACTGCAGGAAAACTAGAGGAAAATCTCTTTGCTCCCTGATCTCATTGTATTCCACCTCATTTAAGTAACAGCATATCTCTTACTTTTTTCTCAGCTATTTGGAGGCCAGAGGAGAGACTTTCTCAAGAGAATTAGTTTTCTTTTTTAGAAAAAAATATATCTGCCGGAGACGCTATCTCCATGACCCATAGTTTTCTGCTCTTAATCCCGGAGCTTCTGTCTACTTGACCCCAGATTTATATCTGACCCCAAAATGGGACACCTCACTTGAGCTCTCTCAACACAGCTTGACTGGGAGCTGGAGAAAATCTTTGGTTAAGGACCAGGGATTGGGGACTCTTTCAATCTACCATTTTTCTAGAATTTCCGTCTTTCTGAGCCAAATGATTGTTCCTTTTTTTATGGCCTTCTTTTCTTTTCTTTTTTCTTTTTTTTTTTTTAAAGTGTATAGAACTAAAATCCCAAAGGGCCATTTCCTGTGTGGGGAAGGTCAGAATCAATGATGGTGGACGGAAAATAAAATAACTTGATCTGGCAATGTTTAAACATTTCACTAAAATATCTGTGTAGAAATTTAAATTTCTATGAAGTGTAATCGATCAATATTTTTTCTTATGTTTTTTGACTGTTATGCTTAGAAAATCCATCACCATTCTAAATTTATTTTAAAAATTTTTTATTTTACTTAAAATATTAAATGTTACGTCCTTTGAACTTTATTTGATAACAGGTATTAAGGTAGGCATCCTAACTTATCTGTTAACTTCCAAATGATTGTTAGGATTGCACATTTTCCCCCATTTTAACTAAGTTTCCAAATGTATTTGTATATTTGAACTTTGTATTCTACTTCATTAAGCCCTATATGTGGATTTTAAAAATAACATTCTATTGCAATTAGTATAGCATCACACTTTTACTGAGGAGGAAATTCTCATTCTCTGAATTTGAAGGCTTCCTGAAGCCTGAGTTAGCTGCAGTATTGTATTTGGCCTCTAGAGAGAGATGTTACACAAATTGAATTTGATAGCCAAAAACAACCTGATCTTTTTGAAGAATAGCTTTTGGCTATACATGCCGGGTAAACTCATCCACCTCTCTGTCAGAGTGTCTATGTGGCTGAATCGTTTCCAGAAAAGACCTCCAGAAAATAGCTTCCTGTTTCTCCACAGGTCAGACATGAAGCCCACCCTCATCTCAGTGCTTGTGATAATATTTATACTCAGTAAGTAAAGCCTCTTTTTGTTCTATTTTTCTATGGTATTCTGATTTAGAATAACTTTAATGAATATTATCCCCAGTCTGTAAGACTTTTCCTGATCCAGAATTGGTGTTATAGGAGGAACAAGAGCCCAGAGAGTGACTCAGCCCGAGAAGCTCCTCTCTGTCTTTAAAGGGGCCCCAGTGGAGCTGAAGTGCAACTATTCCTATTCTGGGAGTCCTGAACTCTTCTGGTATGTCCAGTACTCCAGACAACGCCTCCAGTTACTCTTGAGACACATCTCTAGAGAGAGCATCAAAGGCTTCACTGCTGACCTTAACAAAGGCGAGACATCTTTCCACCTGAAGAAACCATTTGCTCAAGAGGAAGACTCAGCCATGTATTACTGTGCTCTAAGTGGCACAGTAGCTGGTTTTGCAAGGAAGCAGAACACAAACCCTTTAAATACAGGAAATATTTCTTTGCAAACTCTCTGTATGGCCACAGCAGGGCATTCTTTCTCCAGAAATTAATATTGAGTTTATCTCGTAGATATTATATCATCAGTCATCAGTTAGCTATAGATTAACCTCATAATTTTGTCCAAAAAATTCTCATTATTTACCCTGCTTAAATTAAATTTAAAAATAGTAAATGTATTTATTTTGTCTAGTAGTACTGGAAACATACTTTCGAAATAAAAACTATATTGCACTGCATAAAAAGTATTCTTTTCTTTGTTCAGAGGTACTGTCCAGGCTTCCATGGTGCAGTCCTACCTCTTCAACTCCTCTGCTGCCCCACGTGATCCCCACATGTGGTTGTCACCACATACCTGAGCATAGTTCCTCAAAGTGCTCTGCTGTTTCATGGCTTATGATTGTTCATCTTTCTATATCTATTACCCTTCTTTCCATGAGTTTCATAGACTCCTCCTATCTCAATTGGTGTCCAGCCAGGAAAAAAGAAGCCCAGTGAAGTTTAATATAAAGATTTATTAAATAATAATAAGTAATTAACTACTAATGGGTAAAAAAACCTCTAAGGAATATAGGAATGCACATGTAAGCAGAAGTTCCTGTCTCTAGGACTAAGGTAGAATCCCAGGAAAGGAACAGATTGGCATAAGCATGACCCCTCCTGCCAAGGCTATGATTCAGATCTCATTGAGAGTGTGTAGCTGGAGCTTGCTGCATAGTGGAGTAGTTTGCTGAGGTGCCAGAGAAAAATACTGACAAGCAGAAAAATACCTACCAGGATTACAACACAATTCATGGGAAGCCCGCAAACGAGTGCTGCTGAACTTGCTTGTGGTGGCTGTGAAACTTGCCAAGAAACCACCTGTCGGGCTTGCTGGAGGGGAGTGCCACTGGTGTCCTACAGGCCAACGAAGCATAGTGGACAAGAAGTGTGGAAAACATACCAGAACCAGGAAGAGAAGCGTCATCCTTCTGCGGGGTCCTTCCAGCCCCCTCTACTGACAAAGCTTAATATCAAATATTTAGAGGGTCCAGATCCAGTTCACAAATAGGGTAATTAGGGTGGATTTGGAGCTGAGAGGTAATACATTGATAACTGTCACACCCTATCCCTTGGGCTACTGATCTTTCATATGCATTCCTTTTTTTCTTTCTTCTTTCTTTTTTTGAGACGGAGTCTCATTCTGTCACCCAGGCTGGAGTGCAGTGGCGCAATCTCCGCTCACTGCAATCTCTACCTCCCAGGTTCAAGTGATTTTTCTGCCTCAGCCTCTCGAGTAGCTAGGACTACAGGTGCCTGCCACCATGCCTGGCTAATTTTTATATTTTTAGTGGAGACGGAGTTTCACCATTTTGGCCAGGCTGGCCTTGAACTCCTGACCTCAGGTGATCCACCCGCTTCAGCCTCCCGAAGTGCTGGTATTACAGGCATGAGCCACTGCACCTGGTCCATATGCATTCCTATATGCACATTTCAACTTCCAAACAATAGTGAAATGACACTATGTTGCTACCTAATAAGCTGAAGCTGTCCTTGAACAAGTGGAGTTTTCATTCTTTCTCCCAAATGAGATGATCCATAGTCCCAACAACCACTGTATGAATCCCTGACTGTATCAGCCACATCTCAAGTTCAGAGGAAGTTCTACTGAATATGCTGTTATATACAGACTAAATTATAAAGCTAATCTCCAATAATTTACATATAAAATAATTATGATAAGAAAGAGAGAATAAAATGGCAGCATATACAAAGAAACACTTACATATAATGAGCAAAGATAAAATACAGAAAGCTACCACATTCCTTGATTCCAGACTTGGTCCTGGGCTTCAATTGACATAGACAGCTTCCTTCTCTTGTTACGTATTTTATATTCTTCTGCCCTCATCCACGTCATCGGTGGATTGGAGTTATTTACCTGGTGGAATGACAAAAATCTTCATTCTCGAAGAGTCTGAGTTCTCAATAGTCATGGCTTTTAATTTGTTGCTGCAGGTTTCCCTTAACTTTTACTATTGGGCACGAAAGTGCCATTAGGCTCCTCAAAAAAATCCCCCGGGTTTTAGATGTAGCTCTCTCTACATGTGTTGTATGGCTTCTGGAGCTACTCGCCCCCTTCCTAACAACTTTGCAACATGTTCTGGTAACCATCACGGTATATTAAAACTTTATCGTATCTCCTCTTCCTGTTGAGCTGAATGTTCCAGAGAAGGGCCGTTATGTTCTCTCTGGCTTTAATCTAACCTTCTAACACAGTATGGAGCACACAATATGTACACAGTGAAGGAATGTTAAATAAATTCATTTAAACAAATAGAAAAATCAGCAATCCTCTCCTGTGAGCATGTGAGTCAACCTCCACTAATGTGATTTCACTGGTTTCTTCAGGGAACCGTGTCAAACCAATTAATACAGGCAAACAATATGTTCATCTGGGCAAACAGATGCCTAATCAGGTTAAGAGTTTTCTTAATTGGAAAAATAGCTTGCTTATGAAGACAATAGTTTTATCAATAAAACTCACCTCAAGACCTTCGGCACATCATTGTACCAATCCTAAACTCGTATATCATGAACTAGAGAAAATAGCTGAGAACTAGAGCTAGATAGTGAGTTCTTGGACATGCACACAAAAAGTGCAGTCTATAAAAGAAAAAAACGATAAATTAGCCTTAAATAAAATTAAAACCTTTGGCATTGTAGAAAGACCTTGTTAATAGAATAAAAGGCAACCTATAGACAGAGAGAAAATGTTTATAAATCACACATCAGACAGAAGTCTTATATCTACGATGAATAAAGAGCACGCAAATCTCAATGTAAAAAAGAAACAAATAAATAATCCAATTAGAAATAGAATAGATATTTCACCAAAGTAGAAATATGGGTGAAAAATAAGCAAATAAAAAGATATTCAATATCATTCTTCACTAGCAAAATGAAAATAAAAATCACAATGAGATATCACTATAAACATATTAGAACAGCTAAAATACAAAACAGTAATAATACTAAATGTTGGTGAGTATGTAGAGAAATGGACACTTTTATACATTGCTGGTGGGATTGTAAAATAGTACAGCCATTCTGGAAAATAATCTGGCAGTTTTTTTATAAAACTAAGCATGCACTTATCATATGATCACACCATTGTGCATTGGACATCTATCCCAGTAACATTCACATAAAGTCTTATACAACATTCATAGTAGCTTTATTCATAATTGCCAAAAACTGGAATCAACCTAGATATTTTTCAACGGGTAAATGGTTAAATAAACTATCATAGTTCATACCATGGAATAATATGAAAAAAAAAGAACAAACTGTTGATACATGGAACAACCTGTATGGGTCAATTCCCAAAGGTTACATACAGTTTGATTCCATATATATAACATTCTCAAAATAACAGAACTATAAGAGATGGTTGCTAGGGGACAGAGATTGGGCATGGGAGGGTGTTTGTGCATATAGAGGGTTAGGATGAGAGAATTCTATGTTGATGGAACAGTCTGAATCTTGATTATGTTGGTGGTTATATGAGATAAAATCAAGAACCACACACAAGTATGCATGCACACACGTGGAGAAAAGCAAGAAAATAGTGACAATTGAATACTACCTGTAGTCTAGTTAGTGGTATTTGAACAATGTCAATTTCCTGGTATTTATATTGAATTTCAGTTATATACGATGTCACCACTGGAAGAGGCTATGTGAAGAGTACATAGGGTTCTATAAACTATTTTGGCAACTTGCCATGGATTTATAATAATTTCAAAACAAATACAGTACTATAGTTTCAAAAATTGCATTCTTTACTCTCACCACCAATTTTATCAGTAAAACCGCTAAGAGTTGGGAAGGTGTGAAGCCGATGGTAGTGGATGCAAATTTTCCAAAATTCTAATTTTCACTTGGAAGCTCAAATATTATCATGGGTGACAACCACTATTAGTTGTTTTCCTCAAAATGGCAGGCTCACATTTTATCATTTTCAAGAACATACCTTCCAACTACCCAAATCTGCTGTTCTGTCACTCATGCCTTCAAGTAAAAAAAAAAAAAAAAAAAAAAAGTTCTATGAGAAACAGCTAGTTTAGCTCACAACTCAAACAATACTCCAGTGTCTTTCTCTCTTGAGGCACCACCGTGTTAGTACACCACAGATGAACTTTATGCATACGTCCTATGTCATCACACAGAATATTTAAACGGTGTACTCTCAAGGGTCAAGATTTAATTTAAAAAATTTTGCTTCTACATCTAGGACATTGTTGAGTAAAATCTTTTTCTCTTGCCAGTGTGGTGGTAATGATTATGTACAATGACTACTAGAATATTTTGGGTTCATTTATTTTACCTGTGTTAAAACATCAGCAATTGCATTTGCTTCATCAGTGTAAATGTCAACACAGTGAAAGACTCAAGTAATATCAGCACTATTATAAAAATAGTTTTATTCTACCTCACAGTTTTAACTCTATCTCACAGTTTTCCCAAGAGGTCAGCAATATTTCTGGTTACTTTTTGCAGATACAGCTAAATACATACAAATATTAAAAGTACTATATTCTTGACCTCCTCATTGTGAGACATTAGACACATCATTTAATTTCTTTGAACCAGGGTACATCTTTTAACTACTATTCTAAATTTGCTCACAGACTGTTTCAAAATTATCTGGAAGAGAGCAGACAGATTAAAATTTCAGTTTGTTAAATAACACTGGTTCTTTGCTCAAAAAGCTTTCATATGTCTTTATTTCGCACTGAAAAACATAAAGATTTATTTTGGCAGTCATCTGACCCAGACCCTTCCTCTAGACTTATGTCTTGGAACCCTCCAATCTACATATTGCTCTAGCCAGCAATCTCTTCTTCTCATTTCTTTTTTTCCTTTCTCTGTTCTCCTGTCTTCTCATCTTTCCCATCTCTCTCTCTGTTTTACACACAAAATACCTTAAAATCAATTTTTGGGAACATTTATAAAATACTCTAGAAGATTCTTGCTATTCTTTTTGACTGCTCTGCATCAGGACCCATTTTCTTATAACAATAATAATTTTTCAGTCACTAATGAATGTCAGGCACTGTGCTAAATGACATTTTATGATCTCATCGTTAACCTTCAACAGCTCTGAAAAGGTAGTATTATTATTTACTCATGATCCATGTTCTACAGCCAAGATAATGTAGGCACAGAAGACAGAAACAGCTACTGAACTGATAGATGTAAACCTGACTTCGATGGCCTGACTATAAAACTTCCTCTCTTCCTGGACCCGCCTGCCTCCTGCCATAGAAACTAAAACTTCTAGGTATTCACTGCTATGGGCTGAACTGTGTTTCCACAAAATGTGGACGTAGAAGCGCTAACCCCCAGTACCTCAGAACATGACTCTATTTGGAGACAGAACTTTTAAAGGTAAAGTTAAAAGGTGGTCTTGAGGGTAACCACTAATTTAATAAGACTGGCATCCTTAAGAGGAGATTGGGACAGATAGCACAGGCAAAGGGATGACCATGTGAAGACACAACAAGAAGGCAACCATTTATGAGTCATGGAGAAAGGCCTCAAAAGAAACTAAACCTGCCAGCACTTTGACCTTGAAATTGTAGTCCCTAAAATCATGAGAAAATAAATGTTTGTTGTTTAAGCCATGCAGTCTGTGATACTTTGTTATGGGAGCCCTGGTAAACTAATACAGCCTACTGGTTAGGCTTGATGTGGGCACATGGCTTGGGCTCCAACAATTAGATGAATTGTTCCCTAACTTTCACTCAGGAGTTACTTTTGCAAAAAAACAAAAACAAAAAACAAACAAAAAATGAGTAAGAGTTTCCTTTTTGAGAGTGGTGGTAATTGCAACAAGGTGGACATGAGAGTTTACAGGCTACAAGGCAGTGGAATTGTAGCTGCATACATTGTCCTGCGTGAACAGTCTTGCATAAACTACGGGCAGTATCTGGAGCTCAGGAAAGGAGCCAGTGGGATACTCAGAGGAGTGCTTCTCCAGAGTGATTTTCTGTACTGCTGCTGACTTCATAGCTTTTGAGTTCAGTTCTCTGACCCTACTGGAGATTCTGAGGTAAATCCAGTATTCATTAATTTATTCCTTTTCTACTTAATTTAGGCAGAGTCCATTTCTGTTGCCCATCAGTAAAAACCTTGACTTGTATATAATCTCATTCCAGGGAAAATTTTTTAAAAGGAAGCTCGTAGGTACATGATCAGAGGTCATAGTAACTACAGGGAATTTAACAGTGCTTCTCAGAGGTAGTCTGAAAATATTGAGCACCAACTGTCTTTCGTAGTTGAGTTCTTACCTGAATTGAAATGTATCTGTTCCTATTCTAAGTTAGAATTAGATTTCAATAAAGGCAGAGACTGGAATAGCTTTGTAATTTCTTCTGAGTCAGCTCTGAACACACGTCCTGATGGCAGCAGGATGATGTTACGATCACAAGAGGGCAGTGCCTCCCTCTCCTCAGACTAACTTGGCTTTAAATCAGCCTATCTGCATTGAAAGGAAAGGACTGAGCTTGCCTGTGACTGGCTAGGGAGGAACCTGAGACTAGGGGACAGAAAGACTAGGGATTCACCCAGTAAAGAGAGCTCATCTGTGACTGAGGAGCCTTGCTCCATTTCAGGTCTTCTGTGATTTCAATAAGGAAGAAGAATGGAAACTCTCCTGGGAGTGTCTTTGGTGATTCTATGGCTTCAACTGGCTAGTGAGTTGGGGATTTTGGTGATGGGAATGGCAAGACCAAATTTTAGAGCCCACAGGGCTGAGGGGTGAAGTGTTCTTATTAATTTGGAAATGTAATTTGAAAATGTAATGACTGACTCCTGGTCCCGGACCTGTGTTTCTGCCTAGGGGTGAACAGTCAACAGGGAGAAGAGGATCCTCAGGCCTTGAGCATCCAGGAGGGTGAAAATGCCACCATGAACTGCAGTTACAAAACTAGTATAAACAATTTACAGTGGTATAGACAAAATTCAGGTAGAGGCCTTGTCCACCTAATTTTAATACGTTCAAATGAAAGAGAGAAACACAGTGGAAGATTAAGAGTCACGCTTGACACTTCCAAGAAAAGCAGTTCCTTGTTGATCACGGCTTCCCGGGCAGCAGACACTGCTTCTTACTTCTGTGCTACGGACGCACAGTGTTCCCCAGGAACCTGCAGCCTCTACGCAAACCCTGCCAAAGCAGCTTCTTAGAAGCCCTAATAGTGGGTAGAATTAGTGGTTATGTCTTTCAGTCAAGAAGAGTCTACAAACAGCTGGCAAAGTAAAAGGGGAACTCTTTCAAATTCGTGATTTTTTAAAAAGCATCTTGGACTAGGGGAAAAGGCATGAAATTTGGAACAGGAAATGGAAATGCCAGGCTCAGTTCTGCTAATCCTGGCTACATAGGGACATTGTCAGTGTAGCAGCCTTCAATTTCCTCACTTGAAATAAAGGATATGGATCAATGAGCCCAAAATATTACTTAATCCCTAATTTTATTAGGGAAAAAAATCACTGGGCACTTGTGGAAGAGGAGGAAGGCTGCACAGTTTTAGAAGGTCTCATTTGTCCTATGTGCAGCCCTCCCAAGACATCAGTGGGTCTTTAAGGTGCATGAGGTGGCTCTTAGGTTCCTCTAATTCTTGTATAAGAAGCAGTAGATTCATTAAGCATTAGAATTGGAAGAGGTCCTAGGACTCTCAACCAAGCTTTTCATTTTAGAGCTGAGGAGTAAAACCATTGCATAATAAGACAGACAATTTTCTGAATCTTTGGAGTGATAGTGACAAATATCTGGATCTGATTTCACCATTTATTAGTTGTATGATTCCCAAGCTTCAATGTCTCTATTAGGCAAAATGGGAATTTATAAGAAAGTAACAACTTTTCCCCATCCAAAGGAGAGATAGGTGTTTGACACTACCAGGTCCTAAAACGCTGTGTTTTGAAAGCAGGCATTTTTAGTACCAAATACATAACAGTTTTTCAGCTATTTATTCTTGCTCCTACTGAGAAATAAATACTGACTATAGTTTTCTTGACACAGTTTAGATACTACTGAAAATGTGTTTGTGGAGAAAATTAGAGCATTTGTATTTAGGTTCATGCTTTGGTGAGAAAAGTGGGGGAGGGCAGGGAAAGGTTGTGTCAGACCTTGACCCATTAATATTAGCTGTACCAGAATCACTAGAGTATCTTTGAAGATCTGGACTATTAAGCTCAATTCTGGCTTACTCAATCAGCCTCTGATAAAGTGATGAATTTCAATTGTAATGAATATCTTCTATATATGTAAGAGATTGGCTCAGGTTCACATTTAAAAAACCCAAACAATAATGTTTGTAACAAGATTGACGAGTTTTTTTCCACATAAAGGAGCTCTGTAATATTCAGGGCTGGTGCTGTAGCTTCATCATGTTACAAAGGAACTAGGGTCTTTCTAGCTTACTGTTTTTCACTCTTAATGTGTCACTCTTTTTTTTACACTTTCAAGAGACTGATAGAGATCCTTCCACTTTATACACCTTCCAGACTGAAAGAAGGAGAAAGTCAAGGGCACATGTACATGCTGGCTGAGTCAGTCTTTTCCAGAAGCTCCGCCCAATGGCTTCTGCTTACACTCATTTGCTAGAGTGGTATTCGATGTTTCCACCTCCTCCTATCTGCAAGGGAGGCTAGAATATCAGGATTATTATCTAAGTATATTTCTATTCACAGCAAAATTTGGGTTCTATTAGTAAAAAAAATAGGTGATGATGGACATTTTACAGACAATTAGAAGTTTCTGCCAGACCCTCAGTTTAGGACATATTAGGACTCATAATATTTTTGGTTCATAGTTATTTTTGAATTACCATATCCAATGTATTTTCAAGTTCTATTGAGTGTACCACCTACTAAGTTTTCCAGAAGACATTACAACCTCTATAACCTAATTCACCTCCACACCCAAATTTAAAATTCTCCCTAATCGCTTACTCCTCTGCCCCCAGCAAGCTTGACAGACCCCATCACTTCTCAGTATAGTGCTTTGTACACAGTGAGGGTGACCTTTTCAGAGTGCAAATTTGACCATGTCAACCACCTGGGTCCTCACTGGTTCTTAGAGTAGAAAAAAAATTGCTTCATGTGATTTACAAAACCCTCCATGATTTAGACTCTTAATACCTCTCCAGTATCTTTCCACAATAAGCTCCTAATTTATCTTTTTCTTCAATACTGGTCCTATCTACGTTTCTTGAATGCACTTTGTTTATCTTATATAACCCCCTCAAAGCAATTTTAGGATACATTCTTACTCTTTTTAAAAAATTATTTTCTCTTCCCTTGAGAGTAGAGCCCAGTAAATGCCTACTTGTTCTCATACGTCTGTTCAAGAGTCAGTAATAGAAGAAAGCTCAATACGCTTTCTTAGAATTGTGGACCACTGCCTTTTTAAATGGGCAGTTTCTCCTTTTATTTCTTTATTTAATTAATAATTGTCTCTATTATTACTCTATGTGCTCCTTAAGGGCAGGGACCATTATCTGTGCTGCTCAGCCTTGAATCTGTAACACCAAAGTAACTTAAGCACTAAGATAATCAATTTTTCCTCTTCTTTCTTCCTATTAATTTATTTAATATAATATCTTTATTTTAAGCCTCCTCTAAGAGTTAAAATAATGTTGTAGTAAAAGAACACACAAGAGGTCGGGCGCAATGGCTCACGCCTGTAATCCCAGCACTTTGGGAGGCCGAGGAGGGCGGATCACGAGGTCAGGAGATCGAGACCACCCTGGCTAACATTGTGAAACCCCGTCTCTACTAAAAATAAAAAAAAATTGGCAGGGCATGGTGGCGGGCACCTGTAGTCCCAGCTATTCGGGAGGCTGAGTCAGGAGAATGGCGTGAACCCGGGAGGCAGAGCTTGCAGTGAGCCGAGATCGCGCCACTGCACTCCAGCCTGGGTGACAGAGCGAGACTCCGTCTCAAAAAAAAAAAAAAAAAAAGAAAGAACACACAAGACAATAGGGCTGAGTTTTTCAAACTATAGTCCATGGGTATTTGGAATTGTATGAATAAATTGTTGGTGTATAATGGGGGTCAGAAAACTATGGCCTAGTGTTCAAAACAACCTGCCACCTATTTTTGTAAAGTTTTATTGCAAAATAGCCATGCTCATCTATTTACACATTGCTTATGATGGCTTCCATGCTATAACAGCAGAGTTTAGTACTTGCAACAGAGAGTGTATGATTTCAAATATATACTATTTGTCCTTTTATAGAGAAAAGTTTACCAATCCCTGAGGTATAGAAATTAAATGAGAATTATTAGATCTGTGTGCTTAGGACAATGTAAAATAATGAAGGTACATTTCTAATAATCTAGATGACTAATAGAATAATCCCCTTGAATTTGATTTTTTTGTCACTTTTACCAAATTAAGGGTAAATGGGATAATAATACTCTACAAATGAAGACATTGCAGCTGTTTAAATGGTGAAAAGTTTTTGGAAAATTTTGGTTATGATATAGAACATAGCACATAGCACTACAGATGTATCACATAGTACTACAGATAGGGCACACTCCCAAGAGCCTGCATCTTTCCATTGAAAGAGGATGTGTTGCAAACCTTCATTGTTTGTATGCATCAACGTGCAATTCAATAGACATAAAAGTAGCAGTAAATAAAAAACATTTTTTTCAGTGCTGAATTCTTGGGTGTTTCATTAAATAATAAAATTGTATAATGGTGACTGACATGAGTATTTCTAAATAGGAAAAGTGAAGAAAAAATCCTAGTAATCACTAATCACAATAACTCAGACAATAGCACATCAAGCTCCAAATAACTTTAATCAAATCAGTTATTCAACTGTACACATCCATAGCTTTCTTTTAATAAGTCTACACTAACCGTTGAGTTTCAGTGAAAAATCATTTCTTACACTAATGTTTTAATTTGAATTTTATCGATTTTATATTTTGTTTGAAGTTTTTGTCTGATTTGGTAATTGTATAAAACCTGTGAGCCTAAAAAGTTGATACCCAATTTTATTGTTGGGTATATGAAACACCGTAATATTAAAAAAAATGGTTAGTATGAGAGTGGCTCCTTATAAGAAGACCTGCACCTTACTCAATTTTGAAGAACACGGAATGCACCTGCTACCAGGCCCTGGATCTACTCCTAAATGAAGCCAGTCACACCAGGGGCCTAAGACACTAGACACATCTTCCCACAGACTGTCCTTCATCAAAGATAATTTTGCCCACCAGATACAGCCATTCATTCATTTTTTCCACCAATTTTTAGGGGTTTTTTTTGAGCATTTCCTATGAGCTAAGGTTCTAGGAAAAGGGCTGCTGATAGTAATAGGATTCAACTTCTGATGCAGGAGCACTAAGTGCAGCTTGAGAAACAGGACAGAAATGATTCTAATATGATGTGATAAGGACAGAAAATATGGTGGGAAAAAGGAGAGCACTAACTCAGCTCGAGAGATGGCAGAATGTTTTCACATGGAGGTGATGCACTGGTTTTCAAAGAATGAACAGGAGTCATCCAAGTGAAAGGGAGTGGGGAGAAGGAAGGGCATTCTAAGCAGAAGTGCTCACCCCCCGGTTTTGGGGGACCAGTGGGAAATATGTCGAGAAAAAAATCTCACATTTTCTTTTTTTTATATTCTCAGGATATCCTGAGATGCCTAAAACTAAATTAACACTTGTTGTGAACACATTAGATGCAGGGAATGGGGAGATTCAAGGGAATCATATTGCTCTGCGCCTTGAAGAAGGCGACAGGAATCACCCACACGATGAAGTCAGCAGAGTGTTTGATGCTCCTTCCTTGAGTCCCACCCTTCACCTCGGACACCGTTTTCTTTCTGAGTCTGCAGGTTAAGCCGCACCCCAGGGTGAAAATGAACATCATTCTGAGACTCAGAGCAGGCGTCAGGGACAGAGAGGAGCCTCAAGAGGGCGCTGCTGCCTTCAGCTTGTGGTTTGACACAAATTTCATCTTTCCTTCCTTCGCACGTCTCTTTGTTCCAGCCTGTGGCCTGATCTTGTAGGGCAGTTTACTCTGCTTAATACGTGAGTCAAGATTTTGTAGAAGATTCCGCCAAAGACTCAACAACATAAAGAAATATATATACCTTTCGGTTTGGATATCTCTCAACAAAACCTTCTACTGCTTCTCAGCCAGCCATGCTGTCTGCTTCCTGCTCAGGACTTGTGATCTTGTTGATATTCAGTGAGTAATGTTTACTCAAAACTTCTGAGATGTTCTATTCCTTAGCTTTAGGATGACCTTTAACCCCTTCCAAACTGGAGACCATGCCTCTTCTATTGCCACTATAATAAAGTCTTTCCCTTTTTTAGGAAGGACCAGTGGAGACTCGGTTACCCAGACAGAAGGCCCAGTTACCCTCCCTGAGAGGGCAGCTCTGACATTAAACTGCACTTATCAGTCCAGCTATTCAACTTTTCTATTCTGGTATGTCCAGTATCTAAACAAAGAGCCTGAGCTCCTCCTGAAAAGTTCAGAAAACCAGGAGACGGACAGCAGAGGTTTTCAGGCCAGTCCTATCAAGAGTGACAGTTCCTTCCACCTGGAGAAGCCCTCGGTGCAGCTGTCGGACTCTGCCGTGTACTACTGCGCTCTGAGAGACAGAGTGGGAGGGACTGCAGCGAGAGCCCAGCACAAACCCTGGGGAACGCAGGTGGGGCCTGGGTGTGAGCCGCTTTGGGAGATGAATGAATATGGACTCTTGTTCGCTGGGACCCCAAATGGAGAAAATAATCTCATATTTCTCTGCATCAAAGAGCACAAAACAGAAATGTGGGCCCCTCACACATGGGATGTAGCTCACCACGAGAAACTTTTCCTAATATTCTGGAGTTCTGTGAGCCTTGTTTGTCCTTTGTCTCTCCTGCATGATTCTGTGAGTTTTACACATAAAAATGCAGGTTTTGCAGGGCCTGATGCTTCTTTGATTTCTGGGGCTCTCTTTAAGAAAAAGAAAATTAAATTATAAATTTAAGTTTCTAGGTTATGCGGTAGAAAGGGGCCTTAAAATCAAAGCCGAATATACTTCATAGTAAATCTGCATTTGAGGTTACATAGAGATGATCTTCTTTAAGACTGAAATATTATAATAGTCTTAGTTTGTCCTGATACTGGGAGGTTCCCTAACTCCAAGTCCTCTTTCCCACGGCAGCACTAGAATCACTTTAGCTATCATTAATATGAGTATTTTCACTTCTATCTTTAAAGAAATAACAGCTTTATTGAGATATAATTTGCATACCTTAAACTTCATTCTTTTAAGTCTACAATTCAGTGGTTTTAGTATATTCACAGTTATCCAATCATTATTGTGATCTAATTCCAGAACATTTTCACCACCTCATAAGGAAACTCTGTGCCTACTAGCACTCACCCCCATTCTTTTCTTACCCTAGCCATAAATCAAATAAAAATATTGATTTATGAGGAATAATAACACAAAATTTTGATGTACCCAGTCTTATTGTAAATACAGGACCTCTTATGAACCTGTATCTAGAGGGATGAAACATAAGTCCCAACATTTAAGACTGCAAAGAGTTTAATGACTGTGATGCAGGGGACAAAAGCCAGTGGAGATTGAACTCTGCTGGTATTTTAACAGGATTTCTCTTGTTTTTGGTAATGCTTTGGTTACAAATTATATATTTTTGGGTGTTTCCCATCCTAATCTCCACCATAATTAATATGCATGGATTGGAATAGCAAGGGGATTTTCAAGAACACACATATTGAGTTATAACAGAAACTCCTGTCTTTGAGCAGTGAGTAGAATTTCTGGAATTTATTTTTGTTTACACACACACACAAAATATGTGTGCAAATAAACATGTAGGTATTTTTCTCTGGTGTTACTCGACATGGCAAACACTGAACAGATTTGGTGACTCAGGAGGTATGTTGTGAAATCATTTATTAACAATAAAACTATTTCTTTTTTTATTATAGTTTAAGTTTTACGGTACATGTGCACAACGTGCAGGTTTGTTACATATGTATACATGTGCCATGTTGGTGTGCTGCACCCATTAACTCATCACTTAACATTAGGTATACCTCCTAATGCTACCCCTCCCCCCTCCTCCCACCCACAACAGGCCCTGGTGTGTGATGTTCCCCTTCCTGTGTCCATGTGTTCTCATTGTTCAATTCCTGCCTATGAGTTAGAACATGCGGTGTTTGGTTTTTTGTCCTTGTGATAGTTTGCTGAGAATGATGGTTTCTAGCTTCATCCATGTCCCTGCAAAGGATATGAACTCATCATTTTTTATGGCTGCATAGTATTCCATGGTGTATATGTGCCACATTTTCTTAATCCAGTCTACCATTGTTGGACATTTGGGTTGGTTCCAAGTGTTTGCTATTGTGAATAGTGCCGCAATAAACATATGTGTGCATATGTCTTCATAGCAGCATGTTTTATAATCCTTTGGGTATATACCCAGTAATGGGATGGCTGGGTCAAATGGTATTTCTAGTTCTAGATCCCTGAGGAATCGCCACACTGACTTCCACAATGGTTGAACTAGTTTACAGTCCCACCAACAGTGTAAAAGTGTTCCTATTTCTCCGCATCCTCTCCAGCACCTGTTGTTTCCTGACTTTTTAATGATCGCCATTCTAACTGGTGTGAGATGGTATCTCACTGTGGTTTTGATTTGCATTTCTCTGATGGCCAGTGATGATGAGCATTTTTTCATGTCTTTTGGCTGCATAAATGTCTTGTTTTGAGAAGTGTCTGTTCATATACTTTGCCCACTTTTTGATGGGGTTTTTTGTTTTTTTCTTGTAAATTTGTTTGAGTTCATTGTAGATTCTGGATATTAGCCCTTTGTCAGATGAGTAGATTGCAAAAATTTTCTCCCATTCTGTAGGTTGCCTGTTCACTCTGATGGTAGTTTCTTTTGCTGTGCAGAAGCTCTTTAGTTTAATTAGATCTCATTTGTCAATTTTGTCTTTTGTTGCCATTGCTTTTGGTGTTTTAGACATGAAGTCCTTGCCCATGCCTATGTCCTGAATGGTATTGCCTAGGTTTTCTTCTAGGGAGTTTATGGTTTTAGGTCTAACATGTAAGTCTTTAATCCATCTGGAATTAATTTTCGTATAAGGTGTAAGGAAGGGATCCAGTTTCAGCTTTCTACATATGGCTATCCAGTTTTCCCAGCACCATTTATTAAATAGGGAATCCTTTCCCCATTTCTTGTTTTTGTCAGGTTTGTCAAAGATCAGATAGTTGTAGATGTGTGGCATTATTTCTGAGGGCTCTGTTCTGTTCCATTGATCTATATCTCTGTTTTGGTACCAGTACCATGCTGTTTTGGTTACTGTAGCCTTGTAGTATAGTTTGAAGTCAAGTACCATGATGCCTCCAGCTTTATTCTTTTGGCTTAGGATTGACTTGGCAATGCAGGCTCTTTTTTGGTTTCATATGAACTTTAAAGTAGTTTTTTCCAATTCTGTGAAGAAAGTCATTGGTAGCTTGATGGGGATGGCATTGAATCTATAAATTACCTTGGGCAGTATGGCCATTTTCACAATATTGATTCTTCCTATCCATGAGCATGGAATGTTCTTCCATTTGTTTGTATCCTCTTTGATTTCATTGAGCAGTGGTTTGTAGTTCTCCTTGAAGAGGTCCTTCACGTCCCTTGTAAGTTGGGTTCCTAGGTATTTTATTCTCTTTGAAGCTGTTGTGAATGGGAGTTCGCTCACAATTTGGCTCTCTGTCTGTTATTGGTGTATAAGAATGCTTGTGATTTTTGCACACTGATTTTGTATCCTGAGACTTTGCTGAAATTGCCTATCAGCTTAAGGAGATTTTGGGCTGAGACGATGGGGTTTTCTAGATGTACAATCATGTCATCTGCAAACAGGGACAATTTGACTTGCGTAATAAGAGCTATCTATGACAAACCCACAGCCAGTATCATACTGAATGGGCAAAAACTAGAAGCATTCCCTTTGAAAACTGGCACAAGACAGGGATACCCTCTCTCACCACCCCTATTCAACATAGTGTTGGAAGTTCTGGCCACGGCAATCAGGCAGGAGAAGGAAATAAACCACGACTGGCAAAGTAGTAACAAAGATTGAGACTAAAAGTTTTGCCTTCCTGCTAGAAAGTGAAAACTCCGTATGGTTAGTTTGTACCTTGATTCTATCTGGAGAAAAAGACATATGTAAGACCAAAAGGTGCATAACTGTATCATCCCATGTATTCACTATAGCTCATAATAAATTGTAAGTCTCACATTTTCCACCAAAGATGAATTAACTAACCGTGATTCAATTTTACCACTGTATATTTACAGTCCAGTAAGTTATATTGAGACAAAATTGGTACTTAGGACAGTCTAGCATCTTCCATCTCTACAGGAAGTATGTGACATGACACAGTCAAACTCATCATATATCTGTTAACTATACTTCCTGTAAAAGGCAGAAGCCTCACACAGCCCAGTAACTTTGCTAGTACCTCTTGAGTGCAAGGTGGAGAATTAAGATCTGGATTTGAGACGGAGCACGGAACATTTCACTCAGGGGAAGAGCTATGAACATGCTGACTGCCAGCCTGTTGAGGGCAGTCATAGCCTCCATCTGTGTTGGTAAGCGTGACCACTAGCACAGGACTTAGGCTCCTGTTAGTTCAGAAGGATGTGGAGAGAGGCAGATCTTTTTAGTCTAATGAGGCTTAGAAAGAAGGGGTAAAGGGCAATGAAATCAGAGCACTAGGTCTGAAGCCACTTAATCTATTTTATCCCCAGAGTTACAAATAAGGGATCAGTCTATTTTTTCCTCTTTTTCACAGTATCCAGCATGGCTCAGAAGGTAACTCAAGCGCAGACTGAAATTTCTGTGGTGGAGAAGGAGGATGTGACCTTGGACTGTGTGTATGAAACCCGTGATACTACTTATTACTTATTCTGGTACAAGCAACCACCAAGTGGAGAATTGGTTTTCCTTATTCGTCGGAACTCTTTTGATGAGCAAAATGAAATAAGTGGTCGGTATTCTTGGAACTTCCAGAAATCCACCAGTTCCTTCAACTTCACCATCACAGCCTCACAAGTCGTGGACTCAGCAGTATACTTCTGTGCTCTGAGTGAGGCCACAGTGAGATGGGTGCCTGTGGGAGCCCTACAAAAACCTCAACAAGAGGCAGGGCTCCTGGGGAGAGACTCTGTCACAGACAGGAAGAAGCAAGGAGGGTCTGTGTCAGCACAGGTGGTTTGGCAAGGAAACCTGAGTTCAATTCATGTACAATGTCTAGATATAACATTTATTAGAAGCATGTGTATCTTCTATTCTTTAGAATAGATTAAGACAGAATGTATAGCACATATTTTTATATCACATATAGAATTATGCAACAAAAAGTGCAATAACAAAATATATTAATCTTGTGTTGGTTTTATTGAGGGTGGGAAACTATCCAATTATCTTCAGACCAAATGGATGATTCCATTCATAAGCTGTTAAGTTTTTAGAATCACTTATACATTTATGCATTAATTACTATGTAGAATGCTTTAATCCAAGAGTAATAGAAATGCCTTTCATCGATTTTTCTTAAGAATGGTATCAGTACTCAATGAGGTAAAAAAATTAAATTTAAACTTCTTTCCATAATCATGCCAGCAACCTCTTGTATATCAGAATAGATGCGAAATGTTTCTCAAATTTCCTTTCTCTGGCTCCTCTGTTTTTGTGACATGATTATGATATTTTAAAAGTATCTAAATATTTTGCTGTCATTTAGAGGCTGCCTACTAAGAGAGATGTCTAAGGTGGAAATTTGTCCTAACGGATTGAATATCTTGCTTTCACCCTTTCCCCTTTGAGTTCTGGCCAGTTTGAAGCTGAGAAGTGGTTAGGGCCAGAATTACAGCTGCCATGGCAACCAGAACCCACATGGTGTGTCCAGTGTCTACTTCCTGTCTAAACACATATTTCTCCTTGGATGTTACAACAGGTGCTCAGGAACAAGGATTTTTATTTCTTTTGCTCCACACAAGTTTTTAGAAACCTGAGTTTTTAACATTAAAAGAAAACAGACATCACATTAAAAACCAGATTTCTAGCTTACCTATAAACATGGGAAGAGCTGGGAAACACTACACTCCCTGGGGTAGAAGTCAAAAGTTCTGTTTGGACACATAATGGTTTTGATGTATATGTATTTTATTTTTAAAATTTATGCAAATTTACCATTCATTTCACAGTATGAATTAATTTAAAAGTAAAAATTTAAATTATTAGTTACAAGACAAGCTAATCTGCAAGACAAACAAATCTGAATTACCATTTCATGAAACTATACCTGGTTTTCCCCCCATGATTTCATGTATCATGGGTGTGTCCCAGCTTGAGAACCTTAAGTATAGTTTATTCTTAATTCAGGAGACATTTGTAGCTATAGTAAGCATTGGAGAAACATTAGTTAATAAGACAGACATGGCTCCTGCCTTTATGGAGGTCATGTTCTAGGGGGCTATATCCACTATAGAATGGTAGGCAGAGGGAACTAAAGTTTTACACAAACAACCTATGTGACCTTAAGAAAGTTATAACTCCCCTGAACATGTTCTCTCATTTGTAAAATGTAGAGATTTAATTAGGCAGTTGCTATTGAATAATATTTTCCAAAATTTTACTAGCCTCACAAGAGCACATAGTCCACTGCCTTTTTGAGTTCCTAACACTTACTAGCTGCCCTTCTTTTTTGGGAAAGGACAATTAGTTGTTATAGACATATTCATACTGTTCCACATGTTGCATGATAATGTAACAGTAATAACAAGAAGCCAAAGGAAGCAGGCAGAGAGGAGAGTGGCTTGGGAGGTCATCTGCTTTCCATACACAGAAGCTACTGTTCTATGTAGCCGGGCAGCAGAGGAAGAGGGAGAGGAAGAAGGCGAGAGGGAGGGAGAGGAGAAAAGAAAGAAGGATGAGGAGGAGAAGGAGGAAGGGGACAGGAGGAAGGCAGAATGAGGGATAGAGAAGAGATGAAGGGAGGAAGAAAGAAGGAGGAAAGCACAGAACAGGTACTAATTCGAAAGTAAATATGTTTATTTGAATTCGAAGTTTTTGTTTCTTTCACAAGGCATTAGACACACTTTCTTTCCTCAGCATGAGAGAATGAGAAAAATTAGAAGATTCCTATTTGACAAGCATGAGGTCACACTGAACTTGGACTAGCTGGCTGAAACTCCAGAGGACACAGCTCCTCCAGTTAAGCTCTAAGGCAGGTTGAGAGACAGATTTTCTAGTAATTCTGGTTGTCCCTTGTAAAATTAATATAATTCATCTGTTCCTAAAGGAACTAAGAACATTGTAACTGGGAAAGGTTCCTTCAATATTAGAGTTCTCTCTAGAGCTAAGTAGCAAATGCAAATGCTCATAGGTGCCTAGAGTAGAATGAAATGAGTGTGGTTGTCCAAGTGTTTAAAAAGGTACAGGCCTGATAATGTGTCACTAGGCACTGGGCCTTGGCATCAGATGATAAACAAAAATGATGCAGTAAACCCTCCCATTCTTCTCCTAAGCAGAGTGGGTGTCCTGAAAGGTTATCCAGAGATTGAAGCTGCGTTGTTTGTTCCTGAGTCCTGTCAAAGTCAGGCTACAAGCTGTTAGATGTAGACAGGCCATTGCACAAGAGCTTTTATACAGGAAGCTTCTGGATGAGGGGCTGGGGAGATGAAGCCATCACAGTCTGCAAGGCAGCTGAGGCTTATTCCAGCCTCTGTGAATAAAGTCAATGATAATGACCATTAGGCTCCAGCCCCTGCTATTTCCTAATGATCCTTATCAGGGAACCTCTTCAGGTGTTCCCTGAAATTAGTCACCCTCATACCCCACATCTCAGAGCCTATGATCTTGCATACGATGGATGTCTTCACTGCAGAATTGTTCCAGTATCCCTGGGCTAAAGTTTGACTGAGTTCAAATAAAGCATATCACACACAGAGAGAGCTGGTTAAGCTAATGAGCTGTCCAGGGTTATGTAATCACTTGGCTTACATAACTTCTGGACATGATCCATTGTCATAAGCATTTTTTTTTAAAAGAATGAAAGCATATATTAGGCACATATTATGTGTGATACAAAGAATCTCTGAACCTTACTTCTTATCCCTCTTTATTACATGTAGTAGTTGCCTTCTCCATGACCCCTAGTACAACCTGCTTACCATCTACATCCTTTGTGTGTTTGCCCTCATTTCCATCTTCTACGACACAATAAGACACAAGTTCAACAGCTCAGTGCTGTTCCAACCCCAGATGGTAGCATTAGGAGCCTTTCCACCTGATTTCATAATTAAAGTTTCCTTTTCTTTGGAAAAGAGGAAATTTCCCCATCAGAATTGGACACCCTTGGGAGTGAACAGTAAATTGTCAAATATGTACTCTCCCAGAAGTAGAGTGGAATTCTTGATGTTTCCCACCATCGTTATTACACAACCTCCAGTCTCTTTCAGAATTTCCAAACAGAGGGAAAAACTAGGTGGACTTGAAATAGTAACTCAATCCAACAGATTTCCCACATTAGTGAAAAATAGCTTTGTTTTCTGTTCACTGTATTAAACAAAATACTGCCCTCTAGACCCAATCGCCAATTTATAGTAAGTACAAAGGACAGCAGAACATATTAAACCCATCACAAATATACAGTAAGCAAAATCTATAGTGTGAAAAACTCTGCAAGACAAACACCCTGGGTCTTTTTTTCTTCCCACAATAAACTACAAAGAATGAGTAAGGGGATCTATGGATTAGAAGAGCCTTTAAAAAACATATCGCCAGAACTTTGGCTTTCCCAGTGCCCCATGCTTGCACCATGTAGAAGTGCAAGCAGACGAAACCTCAGCATGCCAACTTGGAGGAGGACCAGGGTGAGCAGCAACTGAATCCAGAGTTCGCAGATGCAGCCTGAATGGCGCCAGTGGTGGGGGCCCAGGGTGCTCCAATGGATCACCAAGGGAATGATGATGAAGCGAATGAGGACAAAGCCATGTGGTAAAATGGCTTCATCAGGAGGAGATGGACACCTGTGAGAAATACTGTGCAGAGTTCTTTAGCGTCTCTGAGTTCTTGAAACATAAGAAAAATTGCACTGAAAATCCCCCTGTCCTCTCCAGGAATGACA
This sequence comes from Homo sapiens, assembly GCF_000001405.40. Classification (NCBI taxonomy): domain Eukaryota; kingdom Metazoa; phylum Chordata; class Mammalia; order Primates; family Hominidae; genus Homo; species Homo sapiens. Next base: position 22,012,219 of record NC_000014.9, read on the forward strand.
GTGAGAGGCCATGACAGCTCTCTGGAGCCAGACTGAGCCATACCAGCCACCCAGTCCAAGTAATAAAGATGGCCACAAGGAGAACAGTGGCAGCTCAGGGGACATGAAAGAGAAGCTGGGTGTGGAGTCTGTGGTGCACTTACAGACAGAGATGGCCCTGCCACCCACACCTAAGGACATAGGCTATTTACCCACACGCAAAGTAGCCAACGCTAATGTGCCCATGCAGGCTCTCTGGGGCACCAAGGTGGCAGTGAATCTGTGGAGTGCAGGTGCACTGCCAGCCTGTGCCCAGTGCCCACAGCATCCCATGGGTCCTCGAGCAGATCTTGTATCTGCAACAGCAGCTACAGCAGATCCAGCTCACCAAGCAGATCTACATTGAGATGAACGTGTGGGCCTCCCACATCCTCCACTGTGGCAGGGCAGGGGCTGACACCCTGAAGACTTTGGGCAGCCACATGTCCCTGCAGGTTTCTGCAGCTGTGGTTTTGCTTAGCCAGAAGGCTGGAAGCCAAGGTCCGTCTCTGGATGCCTTGAAACAAGCCAAGATACTGCACACCAACATCCCTTCTACCTTCAGCACTCTGCCCCAGGACTGATGCCTTTTGTTCTGAAGCCAGATGGGAAAAGGGTACTCTCTTCCCTTTCCCTGTTTGGGAAAACATCATGTGTCCCATACTGAGTGCTTTGCTCCCTCAGGCTCTGGGCTTGGTGCTCTTCCAGGGTACTTTCTCCACTATGGCATTAGACCCGTCCAAGAAAGGGAAAGGAAGGCTATGGAACATCTCCAAGCACAAGTGTAAGTGCTCTAGCAAGGTTTTTGGGACTGATAGCTTCTCATGGATCCACCTCTGCTCCCACACTGGAGAGAGACCCTTCGTGTGCTATGTCTGTAGTCATCACTTCACCACCAAGGGAAACCTCAGGGTACAGTTTCACAAACATCTCCAAGAGAAGGTGAACCCCCAGTTGTTTGCTGAGTTCCAGGAAAAAATGGCAACAGGCAATGGCAACCCATATGCACTCTGTACCTGCCCCCATCAATGAATCGAGCCTCTCTTTAAACAGCAAACTTGTCCTTGTAACTTCCTCTCTAAGGCTACCTCAGAATCTCTCTTCAGAGACTAACCCGAAGAACCTCATGGATGGCCTGTTGCCCAATTACCTGTAGCCCAGTCCTTCTGCAGAAAGTGAGGGCAGGCCTACACTCCTTGAGGTAAGGACAAACAATAATTCACCAAGTACTGGTGGCTTCTAAGTGAGTGGGACCCCCGGCCAGGACCAGAGACCCTAAAATTGCTGTAGCTGTTTGAGAACATCCACAATGCCGCCACTGGCTTCATTTTCTACTGATTCCTAAGCTATCTCAAAATGTATTACTGCACATGCACCCACACACCAGGGAGAGACTATTCCAGTATAAGATTTGTGGCTGAGCTTTTTCTACCAAAGGCAACTTGCAGACTCACCTTGGGGTTCACTGAACCAACACACCCATAAAGAGGCAGCATTCATGCCTCATCTGCCAGAGTTACCAATGCCGTGATATTGCAACAGCATATTCAGATGCACACGGGCAGTCAGATTCCCAATATTCCCTTGCCAGAGGATCCCTGTGACCTTATGATCCTGATCCAATGATGGTCAGTGAGGATGGCAGTACAAGTGCCATCTGCTATGATGATGTCCCCAAAAGCACCGATGTAGAAGTCAGCTCCCAGGAGGGCCCAAGCAGCTCCTCAAAGATCCCCGTATCTCCTTCCATGACGGCTTCCTTAGATGCCCCAGGTAGGGGGAGTGGGTCCTATCCCTTTTGGCCTGCAGTGCCAGAGCAGCCAAAAAATGGTTCAGTGGAGAGCAATGGCTTGACCAACCACTCATCCTCACTGAAATGAGACTAGGAGTGTGAGAGCCAAAGTCCAGACACCATGGAAACTAGGTCCTTCCAGGTACTCTCTGGCCAATAGTGAGGCACAAATCATCAAGTCAATGTCTCCTGATGCTGGGGGCAAATCAGAGAGCTTTGAGAACAGATGCAGGGATGGAAGGTTGGAGCAGGCTCCCTTCAACGTTTATCTGAGCCCAGCCAACCTATGTCAAACTTGAAGTTCCAGGTATATTTGTAGGACCCTCAATCTTGTCTCCAGGGATGACCCCTTTGTTAGAGGCCCAGCTACACTGACAGGTCAAGCAACACGGCTGCACCCAGTGTGGGAAGAACTTCCTGTCCACTAGTCTTTTCAGATTCACAGACAGACTCACACTGGAGAGAAGCCTTTTGTATGCAACATTTGTGGGACAGCTTTTACCACCAAAGGCAACTTGAGGGTCTACTATATGACACATGGGGTGAACAATAACTCAGCACACCATGGGAGGAAGCTGGTCCTGGAGAACACCATGTCTCTGTTAGGTACAAAAGGAAAAAGAGTCTCAGAAATGTTTCCTAAGGAAATCCCAGCCCCTTTAGTGAATGTGGACACTGTTGTAAGGAATCAGTATACCCCCACACTTGACTGTGGTCTGGCAGTGAAAACCAGTGAGCTCTCTCTGATCCAGTGTAGCTGTATTCCTACCCTCCTGGTTTCCTTGGAGGCTGTCTCCATCATGAATAACACCACCATCTCCAAGATGATGGCTCCCAATCAGGTGTCATTGCGGATGTGGAAAAACCAGGTGCTATTGACAGCATTCCCAAACATCAGTTCCTTTACTTCCTGGAAGAAAACAAGGTTGCAGTCTTCTTTTTTTTTCTTTTCTTTTTCTTTTTCTTTTTTTTTTCCAGCTTAGCTTAACTTGCATGGAAGGATAAATGCAGACAGAGTTAAATCTCTAGAATCTGCTTTTTTTTTTTTTTGTAAAGGCCCATCTCCTCCTGTTTTCTTTCTTTTTTATTTTTATTTTTTTCGAGATGGAGTCTTGCTCTGGAGGCTGGAGTGCAGTGGCGTGATCTCAGCTCACTGCAATCTCCACCTCCCAGGTTCAAGCAATTCTTCTGCTTCAGCCTCCTGAGTAGCTGGGACTACAGGCATGTGCCACTGCATGCAGCTAATTTTTGTATTTTTAGTAGAGACAGGGTTTCATCATGTTGGCCAGGCTGATCTCGAATTCCTGACCTTGTGATCCACCCACCTCGGCCTCCCAAAGTGCTGGAGTTACAGGTATGAGCCACCCGCGCTCGGCCTTCTTTTTCTTACTGGTATGCAAATGACGTTTATGAAGGTTGTGACCATCACCTCAAGCACAATTGAAATGAAAATGAAAAAAATGAATAAAAAATTATACCAAAACAAATATACACTGGATTTTTTTTTTTAAGCAGCAGGTGTTGCAAAGTAGCCTTGTTACTTGTGACAAACTATATACATAGGACTTTCGTAAAACCTATGGTGACTTTTTCTAAGACCATTATCTACTTCAAGGTGGAATCATTGGAACTTATTGAACCACAGTGGAAGAGACAACTACTTAGCCTAATTGGGGTGAAGGGTATTGGTAACCGTATGCAGGTAAACGGACAAGATCTGTCATCTATTTAGGGAACTGTTTTATATTCCCCCAATCCTGTTAACATCTTTCTTTTTCTTTCTAAAAATATACTTTTAAAAGAACAAAAAACTAAGGTTGTACAATTATAAAATTGCTTCAACCTTAGAACCTTAAGTAGGATGCCCTCAGATGGACTTATGTTAGTGCTTAGGGATTCATTGTGTGTGTTGCTGTTTATTCAAATGCAGTTCAGTCAGAACCGCAAGAGTGCCAATGTCCTCCTCATACTTCCCAAATGCCTTTTTCTTCCTGAACCTGAGGTGGACACCTGAATGGGGAATCTCAGGTGACTTAATTTAGTTTGTCGGTGCCTACCCTATTGAAAAACCGGGTTTTCATTCTTGAGAAGAAACTCATGGAAGGGTGTGTTTCCTGCCATAGGTTCACACACTATTTTTTTGTTTTGTTTAATTTATTTGGTGCAACTTAGGAAGATTATTTTTTCTTGAGGATTTTATGAAGGCTGTGAAGTTGGAACAGGTGAGTCCTGGGTAGGAAAGCTTTTATTTATCTCCCTTATTTATTTATTTATTTGTTTTTTAGCCATAGTCTCTATTTTCCTATTTTAAGACTACTGAAGTATTCCCAGGTTCTGTCTTAAACCTAAAAGTCAGTGTATTGGTGGAAAGAGTTGGATGTTCAAGGTGTTTTGTGATTCCTTTATTTGTAATCTCCTTTTGTATATGTAATAATATTGAGCAAAGGAAACATCTCTCTAATGGTTTAACAAGAAAGGAGAAAGAAAAACCCTAACTTCTGGGAGAAGTCTATCCCTTCTATGTGGAAGGCCCTGAATGAAATGTAGATCAAGACTGTTAGCTAATGTTTTGCCTCTTGGTTATTGCACCTGATTTTAGGCCTTTTTATTTTTTTGCCATTTGTGCCTTTCCTTCTGGAATTGTAAGTGAACACAATAATGGTATCTGCTTATACTGTGAAGTGTGTATTGTTACAGAGACCACACCAGTGGCTTTTTCACTGTTGAGCTAATAATGCCTTGTGAATGTATGATCTTTGGAGAAACTCCTGTAGCTGTGCTGCTAATGCTGTCTGTCTGTTGGAAAATAAATTTTGAATGTTTTCTCTTTGGAAAACATGTCCACAAATCACAATATGTGACTCTTAGGTGAATTCTGAATCAGATAAGCTGTAAAATAATTGAAAATGTAAACACATTTACCAATTTGGTTGTGTTTTAAAAAAGTCAAAATTTAGTGATAGTACTAAAATAAGCAAAAGCAAAATAATATGATATTTTACAAATATATGAATGGCTTTAAAAAAATAAATGAATGAGTAAATGTAGTTGGGGCATAAATAAAACAAGATTGACCAAGAATCAATATTTGATGAACATGGGTGATGGGTACATGGGGTTTCATTGTTCCATACTGTATACTTTTCTATATGTTTGAGAAATTTTCTTTAAAAAAATTAAAAATAGAAATTGGCTAGATTCAAATCCTGTCATCTCCATTGCAGCATGACTTTTGATTCTTTAACCTGTTGATGTCTCAGTTTCCTCATCCATTAAATGGTGATAATAGAATTTACCTCGCGAAGTCGAGTTGAGAATTAAAATTATACATATTTACATACACCTATATGTTTAAATTAAACTATACATGATTTTATACAGACAGTTTTCGCACGGTACATAGCATGGCATGTCGACGCAGTAGAGACTCAATCTGTGACAGCCAATGTTAATGGAAAGGGTGGAATTTGTTCAGGGCCTAAATCAGATTTTCAATCATGTGCTAGTTTCATAACACCACACTGCTCCTTGACACGTTTTTCAAAGGAAAGAGCCAAAACTCATTGATAAGGAAAGGACATCTTGGCACTGCTTGAAAATCACCCCAACAGGTCCCTAAATCCCCATTTGCAGCTCCAGTAAATATCCCCATTTGCAGCTGCTCCCCCACCAGTACCTACCCTGCTGCTAAGGCCCAGGCCCTGTCAGAGAAGCAGCACATGACGGATGTTTAACATAAAAGTGTTTTCAGGGGGCAGGCAGGGCTGCTTTAATTCCCCTAACTAGGTAATTTAAGGTATATTTTCTCATATTTGCCAACAGACCAAAGAAGAAATGCTCTAAGATGTAATCAATATTCACATCAGCCTTCAAACCAATTTGATTTCAGTCTTTCACACTGTTGAAATAAACAACCCTGTGAAGTCCCACACATCAAGATAAAAGCCAACAAAGAAATGGCATTTTTCCCTTGAGCAACTATACACCTAAAAGATGACTTGTGAAGCAATAAATATAGGTTATGGAGATTTTCCCCTCTTACTCTAAGAGTACATAAACACTTTAAAATGTATTTGAGATATTATTGATTGCTGAATTAATATATTTTGTAAGATGAGGTAATTATTGACAAAGAAGATATTCTCATCCTGTATTCAGTTTAAATGCAAGCTGTCATACAAAAAAGAGATTTAAGAGGAGATTTATAACCTGCTCCAGGAAGCTAGGAGAAGGTTTCATCCACCCCCAAAGCGCAGACACCTCCTCACTCTTCTGCTTGTTCACAGTAATATGGATGCCACTGTGTCTGGTCACAGATCTATGTCTCTGCTTAAATTGTCCCCATTGCACAAAATGTCCTTTCTCCATCTCCACAGACTAAACTTCTGTCTCAACCTCCTATGACTGTACTTTTGGAAAGGAAAGTGGGGAACACAGTAGGTGAGAAAAGACATCTGTTTTGCTGGTTGATAATCTAGAAGATGTGGTCTAGACATTGAATTATTCTCATTTCATAATTTATAAGAACAACTATTAAAATGCCCAGTGGTCCTGGATAATGTATAGTCACCATTCTTATCTTACAAGACATAGCTGTCCTGATGTAAAGATACAACGTGTGTAATCTTTCCTTCTCTAAACTTCTCAATCACTCTTTAATCTTTGTTGCTACTTACCACTTGATATGTTGCATTTTGTTTCTGAAAATTCATGTCTATAACTATACCATGATCAGAATGGCTAAAGTGAAAAAGACTACACTAAATATTGACAAGAACATGGAGCAACAGAAATTCACATATTCGGCTGGAAGGAATGTCAACTGGTACAATTTCAAAAACATTTGGCAATATTTACTATAGCTGAACATGTGCATTCCCTGTGATGCAGAAATTCAATTTCTACCTATATGCCCAATAAGAAGTTACATATATTCATTTGTAAAACATGTACAAGAATAAGAACATGTATTACATCAGTGATTATAATATCCTAAAACTGGAAAGCAACTCAGATGCACATAGCAGTTTCAAAGATAAATAAAGTACGATAATGAAATACTACCCAGCAATGAGAATGAATAAACTTGCCATATGCTCAAGGCAGATTGAATCACACAAATATTACTGAGTGAAAAATGAAAGCAAAAGAAATTCAAGAAAAGGCAAGACTAAGCTATGAAGTTGTAAGTCAGGAGAGTGAAGATAGGGGCTATCTTTACAAGGAGATAGTGACTCAGAAAGAGTACAAGGGAGGCTTCTGGATGCTGGCAATGCTGTTTCTCAATTTGGGTGCTGGTTACATAGGCGATTTCACTGCCTATGTATGAAAATTCACCAAGCTCTACATTTAAGTTTTGTGCACTATTCTGAATCTATATTATACTTTAAAAGTTTTTAAAAGAAACCTTATCCATCCCATTGACTAAATTTTGAGAACATACTTCTTATTCAATCCATCTTCATAGCCCCACTGCCCTTCACATTAGCCTTCATTTAAAACATGCTTCATAATTGTTTTCTCAATAAAGGACTGAGCTACATGTTTAAAAAGATGCTCCGGTCCCAGGTCCTAGGATCTAGTATGTTATCAGATGGACTTGAACTTCCCTGTGTAGCTTGCTAATTACTGCTTTGAGTTTAGACCTTTGGTATTGATGTGGTTTTTCTCTGTCTCCACTCAAATCTAATGCTGAATTGTAATTCCTAGTGTTGGAGGAGAAGTCTGGTGGGAGGTGATTGGATCATGGAGGTGGCTTCTAATGGTTTAGCACCATCCACCTAGTGCTCTCTCGTGATAGAGTTCTCAAGAGATCTGGTTGTTTGAAGGTGTGTGGCACCTCCCCCTTTGCTCTCTCTCTCTCTCTCTCCTGCTGGGCATGTGAAAGTGTACTTGCTTCTCCTTCACCTTCTGCCATGAATTTCTTAGTTTCCTGAGGCCTCCCAGCCATGCCTCCAGTATAGCCTACAGAACTGTGAGTCTATTAAACATCTTTTCTTCATAATACCCAATCTCAAATAGTTCTTTATAGCAATGTGAGAATGGTCTAATACAAGTATGTTACACATGGTTTTCTGTAACAGGCTTTTAACTGGCCTCCCTCCTTCCAGCATTTCCTCCCCATAATCCACTCCCATACCCTACAAATGACTTATTCTTTTAAGAAACACAGCATCAATCACATCAGTCCTCTGTTTAACAACCTTCAATGACCATCCTTTTCCTGTAGGAGTAAGGTTAGTTAAAACTCATGGTGTAGCTCTCGATGGCCTCTACAGTAGTCATGAACTTTCTGCTTCATCAGATTAAGTCTAACTTGTGAATGAGGCTGGGAAACATTTACTGTCCTCCATTAACAGCTCTGCTCATAGTCCTTTGCTCCCATGATTACACCTGTCTGAATGCTTACCATCATTCTTTCTCCTGATCCTAGAGACTATCTCAGACCATTATTACCTTGTGAAGAATTTTCTGGTCACCCCAGCTCACAGTGATCTCTTCCTTCTGATAAATTACCCCAAATTTTTAAAAAATATATTTCAAAAAATCTTTTTTTCAAAAAATATTTTTGAAATGTATTTTTATATATTTTATGTATGTTTTTAAAATATAGTTCACTTAATTTTACAGTGCACTTTTATAAGCATTATCTCATTCACTGTTTATAATAACATTGTGAACAAGGCAAGGTACAAAGAATTAATCTCATTTTGTAGCTTAAAAACTGAGATTCAGAGAAGTGAAGGGGCCTAAGCCAGTGTGCTCAGCCAAGGGTAAAGCTCACTCTTCTCACCCGAGCTCTCTATACCAAATTACCTTATTATGAGTATATACGTTATCTCCTCCCAAATATACATTTTTTTCTAAATGTTCTTACACGTTTGTATGTCTCATAATACTGGACAAGACATTTACGGGGCTATGTAGAGCTGAGTGATTTTATTTCAATATTGTTCCCAGCAAGCTCAAGGACTGACAAAGCTGTACCACCTCTGCTCTATGGGACTACTGTAGCAAAAACTGAATTGTAGAAAAAAACAATCACTGCATCTCCAAAAAATCTGCTTTTGGAAGTAAGAAAGAGACAAGAAAAATAATCTTTTAAAGGTCAGGGCAGCCTTAATTTTACCTTTATATCCTAGGCTCCAATATTGAAAAGTTTCAAAGAAGGCTATCAGAGGTAATGACAATGGGCTTCAAGAACTACAAATGAATCACAATGAAATAAGTTTCAAATTGATCAAATTCCAGAAACCACTCCTCAGATAATTTAACTAGTAAGCAAAATGGAGAACTTTTTGATTTTGAAGCCCAGTTTAACAGAATTTAAACTATATTAATATAAAACTTAATTTTCTTTATTCCAAAGGCTATATTATACTAAATCTTTCTGGAAGCTAACCACAGGACTAATGTGATGAAATTGAAAGAATGGGGAACAAACTAGGTGGATGTCTGGACACCCCAAACTGAAGGTAAATGCTACCTTCTACCCTAACATTCTTGACTTCCACAAACTCAGGTGTTAGACACCTGAGCACTGGAAGTTAAACAGGTAGATATGAAGACTAAGAAAAGAAGAGGGAGATAGAGGGACCAAAATAAATCTGAATATTGTAAAGAAGGTATTCACACAGTCTTTATTTGCCTAGTGCTAAATACATCCAGTGTCTACTTCTAGTCTGACCCTTCATTCCAAATGCCTGTGTCTGGGCTAACGGGAGCATAGACAGCGAATAGAATTTGCTTTACTGTCTGATCTTCACTCAAGTGAAAGCAATTTGAGGCAGGAATCATGTTTTGTTTTGGTTTATGTGTTTTTTTGCAGAGCTTTACATGTCATGTAAGTCGGAATTTCTGGAATGAGTACTTAAGCTTAGGGATTCCTGAGCATGCATAAACATTTAAGAGCGGCTAGGTGATCTGTCTAGCCAGAGAATCTTGTCAGCATGTAACTGTACTCAAGACCACAATTTTACTAAGAGTTGAAGTGTGTAGGTAATTTTAACTGGTGAGAAAATTCATTTAGGATAAATATTTATTATTTGAAGATTATTTTTATGTTCACTTTATTTTTGCCATAGCTATTGTTACTATACTGACAGCACTTCCAATAAGAACCTGTGTAAAAAAAACAATATAGTGGTCCTCAGTAAAAAAGTCCCAATGCTTTAAAATGGTTTATGTAGGCAGAGAACTATGCTTTAACTTCTTACTATAATACAACCATAACTTGCATAAAGTAAATCCAATCCTAGAGCAATTATGAGCTATGAATTCTGCTGGTCTTATTTCATTAGCACAAATAATTTTAAAAGGGCTAGACAAACAGGCCAACAGATGTCGAGCAAACAGAAACTTTAACTGAGATTCCTGAAATCCCTAATAAAACAAATAAACAGGAGACAGCCATAATAAAATAAATGCCTCTGTAATGAAGAGAAGTGTGTAATAGTAAGCATCTAAACCTGGCATTATAAAAGAAACAAAAAGTAAAAAGATGGTGTTTCGAAAACCAAGTTACTAAAGTAAGGTTACCTATTTATCATAAGGCTAAAGGTGTAAGGCTGCTGTCATCCAAGTATGATCCAGGGAACCCTAGACAGACCTTTTAGGGAGTCTGGCATTCCAAAACTATTTTTATAATGATAATAAGACATTATTTGCCTTTTTTACTTTCAAAGTCTCGCAGGTGTATATGCAAGGTTTCCAGTCTACATGGTATGTGATAAGGTCATCACTCTGATGGTTAATGGAATATATCTCTACCTCTATCTCTATGCCACATAAACACAACCTCTTTAGAGTCTTCTTGGAATCTCTCAGTGAAACTATAAAGGGATCCTGAGACCAACAAGTTTGAGAACTGATGGTTTACAGGCTACAAATTCAATTTATCACAATATGACTTTGAATAATATTTTACCACTTCACACACAGTGTAATAAATTTACAGCATTTCACCTCCATTCTTTGTGCTATTGTTGTCAACACATTTTTATTCTACATAAGTTAAAAGCCCCACAATGCAGTTTTATGGTTTTTCCTTTAAAAAATTATCTTTTAAAGTTTTTTTTTTAGCACTTCAAAGTTTGGTTCTGACATACATTGTTTCTGATGAAAAGCTGGCTGTTATTCTTAGCTTTGACTCCCCATACCTAAAGTGTCTTTCCTCATTTTTCTATCCTGTCACCCCAACTGCTGTTAAAATTTTCCTTTTTATTACTGGTTCTCAGAAATTTGATTACAATGAGCCTTGGGGTAATTTTCTCTATATTTCTTCTCTGTATCTACGAAAAACTTTCAGCCATTATTTCTTTAAGTATCTTTCTTTCTCTCCCTCTCTTCTTCTGAGGCCTCAGGTACACCTATTTTAGATTATTTGATTTTGTAGAGTTCAGGAGCACTATTTCTTTTTTTAAAATCTTTTTTCTTTGCTTCAGTTTAGATCATTTCTACTGCTTTTTCTTCAAGTTCTCTAAGCTTTTTTTCCTGTGATTTCTAATCTGCTGTTAATCTTGTCCAACTTATTTTTCATTTTATTTAATTGTTTTTTATTTCTACAAGTTCCACTTGGATCTTTTTACGCCTTCCATTTTTCTCCTCCTTATGTTTCTATATTTTTTTACATCCTTGAATTCATTTTTATTGTATGTATGTAGTTTATATGCACTGTTTTAAAGTCCTTTTATAATAATCACATAATCTGTGTCATTTTAAATTCTGTTTCTGTTTATCTTTCTCCCGGTTATAGACTTTATTTTCCTGGTTCTTCACCAGCTTGATAATTTTGATTGGGTGCTAGATATTATGTATTTTACATTGTTGGATGCACAATTTTTTTATATTACTTTAAACACCATTGGACATTGTACTGATTATTAAATAATTTGCTTATCATTTTGATTTTTTGAGACTTCTTTTAATTTTTATCTGAACAGCCTCTATTCTGGGACTAATTAAAGTCACTACTAATTTATCACCTTTCTGAGGATTCTAGTGCCTGCCCTGTGCATTACAATGTCTCTTGAATCCTGGATGCTAGTAATACAAACTATGCCCAGCACTATGTGAACTCTGGAAATTATTTGGCCTGTTGCTTCTCTTTGCCTGAGTTTCCTCTCATGTATGTACAGATCAGCCAAAGACAAAGAGTGACCCCTCCAGAGCCAGAGTTCTCTTCTGAATCTCTCTCTCCCCCTCTTTCTCTTTGTCTCTCTCTCTTTTTCTCTCTCCCCAAATCCCTCCTCTCTGGTACACTTATTCATACATTCTAGATGCTTTAGGATCCCCAATCTCCTATTCTATTCCTCAACACAACGAGGCAGCTGTGCTGTGTTGTGGTTAATCCTCCCTGTGCTGTTGCCTAGAAACTGCCTCCAGGAAATAAGTGGAAGAAATGTTAGGACTCACTTCATTTATTTTCATTATCTCTGTATTATCTGTAGTCCAAGGTCTGAAAATTTCCTTTATTTTGTCCAGCTTTTTAATTTGAAGATCAATTTCTGTAGCAGTGTACATTTATCAAGGAAACAAAAGTCAAAGTAATTTATTTGTGTTGTATTTTACAGTTGTAGTGGTCCATGATAAATTGGTGAAAACACTGATTCTTTATCATAGATTATTTGAAAAGAGCCACATTAGATAATGTTTCTAACATGCATTATCATGTTTATAAGATGACATGCTGATTGTGTCTTGGGGACTTAATAGAACTGATTCAGATAAAGGAATAAAGGAGAGTAGAGAGGACTTTCTAGGCAGATGTTCTCTGTCCCATGAGAACCATAAAGACATGTGCAAGGAGGAGGCCTCAGATTTTTCTACTTAAAAGTTGTGCCTGGAATTATTTGGGATTATTATCTGTACCCAAGGAGAAAATGATGCGAGTAATAATTGAACATTGCCCCAATTATTGCTGTGAATCTATAAAAAATGAATGTTTAGTGCTTTCTTCTTAGAGTCCTATTCCATTCTTCTTAGGTATCTACCTTCCCTTCAAGCTATTTTATTAAAAACAGGGTCAAGGTTCTTTTTGGTTTTTATTTTCTCCAAGATGGTGGATTGGAGGCATCGTCAACATGCTTCTCCCACTTGGGAAGACAAAATAGTGTGTAGAGACTCACACTGTGAACTTTCTTCCAAGAAGCAACACAGGAACTTAACAAGAAAATGGAAAGAAACCACATACCCTTTGAATGAAGCAGCAAGTTGGCTGGGCACAGCGGCTCACGCCTGTAATCCCAGCACTTTGGGAGGCCGAGGTGGGCGGATCATGAGATCAAGAGATCGAGACCATCCTGGCCAACATGGTGAAACCCCATCTCTACTAAAAATACACAAATTAGCTGGGCGTTGTGGTGCGTGCTTGTAGTCCCAGCTACTAGGGAGGCTGAGGCAGGAGAATTGCTTGAACGCGGGAGGTGGAGGTTGCAGTGAGCTGAGATTGCGCCACTGCACTCCAGCCTGGTGACAGAGCAAGACTCCATCTCAAACAAACAAACAACAACAAAAAGCAGCAGCAGGTTGCAGCCTGCACTGTGAGCTAGTTGGAACACTCTAAGTCCCCAGAGTGTGAGAGGGTTAGAAACTGCTTCTGGGATATACATGCCCACTGGGGAACCTGGCAATCCAGGCTACGGGGAAAGACTTAATCCTACCAAGCCCTAGAGCTGATTTAGTGAGCCGCACGGGGTACATGAGAAGGAGCAGCATTGGGATGTGCTTTGCATGCATTCCCAGTCTCCAGTGGGGACAGAGAGAAGCCATTTCTGATCCTCACAGGGGACCTCGCAGACATCTGCCAGCTAGCTCAGGTGGTGGTTGAGAGAAGCTCCCAACTGAGATTTGCAATATAATCTCGAGTGGGGATAAACTCCTTTAGCCCAAACTCAGGGACAAGCAGAAAGTGTACTATAACCATGAGCACAGGAGCTAAATGCCCCTGCCTTGCAGGTGGATCAGGAGGGGCATGGCCTGAAAACCACAGTTTCTGTCTCTATGGGGAAGCCTTGTGGCCTGGAGAAGCTTTGAGTTCTGAGGGCAGACTGCTTGGAATCTAGCTAGCTGCTGATAGTGAAACACTGCAGGTGTGAGACCTGCCTTGCCAAGTGTGTAGGGGCTGAGGGAGGCTTACTGCTGCCTGCTACTCCCCACTCCCTATGTGGAAGAGTCCACATGGGGAAGTGCCTTCTGTGCAATAGAGGCAGCTGTACTCCTCTGCTTATGCCAGCTTGTGCCTCCACTTGTGCCAGCACGCAGAACACGGACTTCCCTGACCCAGCCCCACCTAGCTTTGCCCCTCCACCAGCTCCGGTTGCTTAACACAAAGGTCTGAGTCTTTTAGGAGCTATATCGCCCTTCCCATTGCCTGAGACACCAAAGTACCTCTCCCAGTAACATAAGGCAAGCACAAATCCCACCATTATTACCACAGTTGGTAGTCCTTTGCAAGCACTATCTCCTGGCTGGAGGCCAACCAACACAGTCCTTCACAGCATTTGTAGACAGAATAAAACAGCACCAAGAAAGAGGAAACTTGAGTGTGATCTCAACTATCACCATTGCCTGCAGCACCCTGGCTAACCAGGAGGTCCTCAGCATGTCCACATGATCAGTTCGTTTACTAGTATAACTGGCATTTGAGGAAGCCAACACACTAAAGCTATTCATAACTAAGCAATCTCTCAGAGTCTAAGTCACTCTCCTGCCACTCCCATCAGAGCTAGTGCTGGTAGCCACTTCCGGGAGACTTGAGAACAGGTCACATCACTAGATCCCTTGCAGACATTCTGCAGCAACAGCCTGGAGGTATCAGTCCCACTGGGTGGCCAGATCCAGAGGAGTAGCAGCATTCACAGCAGTCTGGCTCTCAGGGACTCCTACTTCTAGGGGTAAAGGGGGTGCACTATATCAAGGGAGCACCCTGTGGGACAAAAGAACCCAGATGGCCGGTCTTGAGTCCCAGAATTTTCTGCTTTGCGGAAGTTTCTTTCAACAGAGTCACAGGTGCAGTGCTGAGCTCAGCAGGGAAAGCTTGTGGCTCTAACTAAACAGTCAGTCAGCCCTGGTGCTAGTGAAGGGTCTTGAAAAGTAGAATTCTTTTTCCCCCTCATCCACCACTGCAGACACAGCTGGAACTTCTCCCACGGAAGCTCAGTGTGGGTGCATCTGTAGACAACCTTTCCAGAACACTTCAAGGTAATTGCATCCCCACAGGAAAAATGCCTTCCAGGTTTAGTCTTACACAAGGGGGAGAGTCACAATCCCTGTCTACATGGAACATCAGCACTCATGCAGGTGAGAAGAGGTGCCTATACGATCTGTATAGCTGGAACACTGGGCCAGCAGTATGACTGGGAGGTGGATCACTTTCCTGCTGGACTGGCAGGGTAGCTGAGGAGGCTCTCTCCTTCCCCTTGAAGAGGACTCAGTGCATTTCACTGAGAGTTCCCCCAGCTGCTTCTGTCAAGGCTGGGACCTCTGCCCACCTCTAAATATTGCATTTACCCATCTGCTTTAGCCACAGTTGTTTTTTTGTTCCCCTTGGACATCTCTTACTGGTCTGAAGCCTGAACTGTTCCACCCAGTGAATAAAATACTGGGGAAAAAAAGTAAATAAATAAAAGGGTGCACACCACTGGAGAATGAGACAAGCGTCAAGACGCCTCTGCCATTCAAGCCCCACAGGAGACAATGAACCTGCTCACATACTGGGAACATTGCTACTACAACCAGCATCCAAGAAAGCTGTCATACAACGGCTTTCTATAACCAAGGAGCTCATACAGAATTCATCTCTGAAAGCACCCAGAGCCAAACCAGATTATAATAAACTATAATCAAAGTCACATCCTCAAGGGGGCAAAAAAGAAATTAAAAAACCCACAAGTGAGTAAAAAATAAGTTAAAAAATAATTAGAAGAAATGGTCTATCCAAATACAAGAAGTGCAAAGAACCACTGGGAGATTCAACCATACACACAAAAATGTGACCCATGGTCGAAAGAGAAAACTGTTAATAAACCCAAAAAGAGATGACCCAGGTGTTGGATTTATTGGATGTACTTTAAGATAAATATAATAAAATACAAATGGATCTAATAGAAATTGTAGACAATATGCATGCTGAGATATGTAAGTTTCGGAGAGAGAAGAACAAACATATGTATAGGGAATAGGTTAACCAGTATATTTAAAAATATGTATACAAAATATGCTAACCAAAAAGAAAGATTGACAAATAGGACACGAATACAATTTTAAAATGGTGCTCATCCAACGACAGTATTAAGAAAGTCAATTAGCAACCTAAATTCTGAAAAAATATTCAAGAAGATACAGCTGAAAAAATATTACTTCCAGAATATATTTAAAACCTCCCATAAATTAACAATTAAAAATTACACAATAATAAAATACATAAATGGTGTAACGAGTGAGTACTGCTATAGACTGAATGTTTGTGTCCCCCCAAATTCATATGTTGAAATCTGTTGTGATTTTAATTTATGTCTTTTTTTTTTTTGACGGAGTCTTGCTCTGCTGCCATGCTAGAGTGCGGTGACACAATCTCAGCTCACTGCATCCTCTCCCTCCCGGGTTCAAGCGATTCCCCTACCTCAGCCTCCAAGTAGTTGGGACTACAGGTGTGCGCCACCATGCCCAGCTAATTTTTTGTATTTTAGTAGAGACGGTTTCATCATGTTGGCCAGGATGATCTCGATCTCCTGACCTCGTGGTCCACCTGCCTCAGCCTTCCAAAGTGCTGGGATTACAGGTTTGAGCCACCTCACGTGGCCAATTTGTTATGTCTTCTTAATTTGGACTTGAAGTCTCTCTCCTGAGAATGACCATAAGCCAAGATAACCACTGCCTAGGACAGCCTTGACTAGGGGAAAAATTAGGTTTAGGTGTGTGGGTCAGGTAAAATGGAATGGATCTTTAAAACTTCATGTTGAGCAATAGAAACCAGGCCCTCCTCCCAACATGCTATATAAGGACGTGAAGCGAAAAGGCATAAAATAGAAGGAATTTATTTCTCCCAGGTCCCAGAGAGGTTATAGGTGCCAGTGGGAGGCTGATGGGAAGTTCAGAGGCAGCAGGGAGCTCAACCAGTAGGTGAAGAGAGAGAGAAACAGAGGGAGAGAGAGGCCTGTGGGATTATACGTTTATTAAGGTTCATGGGTATTATCCCTTAGGCTTATCCATGGGTACTGAGGACTGTCTAGTTCAAAGAAAACACATAAAAAGGGGAGAAATTATGTACACGACTCTGGCGTTGGCCATTAGATTTATCATGGTTAGCAGCTGTGGAAAGTGTTGGATTTTGGGTCAGTGAGATGAAGAACAACCATACAGGGAGTGGAAGTTCTAACTAGGCCAAGGGAGATGAAGTATGACTTATGTCAGGCCTGAAAATGGACGCCAAGGCAGCAACCACATTAAACAAACTTATGACAGAACTGAATTACCAGTGTGGTCGTATTTGGAGGTGCGGCCTTTAAGAGGTGATTAGGTAATGAGAATAATGTCCATATAAAAGAGGTCACAGAGAGCTTCCTTGCTTTTTTGGCAATGTGAGGACACCGCAAAGATGACTACCAACCCGAAAACACGCCCTCACTAGGCACTGAATCTTCTGGGAGCTTGATCTTGGACTATACTTCCTCCAGAACTTTGAGTTTCTGTTTTTATAAGCCACCTATCTATGATATTTTGTTACAGTGGCCCAAATAGACTAAGACAAATCTATAAAATATGTTAAACATCATAAGTCATTAGGGGGATGCAAATAAAATCTACATTCCGGTGCCATTCATCCCCACTAGAAGCACTAAAAACAAGCCATCTGACAACCCCAATATTGGCAAATATGTGGAACAACTAGACAGTTCATGCAGTGCTGGCGAGAATGTAAAATGGCACCGCACAATCACTTTGGGGTCTTGCAATGGCCCAGCAAGAACACTCACAGATATTTAGCAAAGATAAGTGAAAACATAGGCCCATAAATGATCCATACAAAAAATTTTGTATGCACCTCATTTATATTTGTTGTAACTGGAAACAATTTAAATGTCCATCAACAGGAGATAAAAAAGAACTACGGACTGATACACACAACAATATTAATGGATCTCTAAAGCCTTGTGTTGAGCAATGGAAACCAGGCCCTTCCCTCAAAATACTGCATGATACCTTTTATATAAAATACAAGAACAAAAACTAAACTATGGTGATACAAGTAAAAATGTGGTTTCCTCTGGGAAGGAGAGTTTGACTAAAAAGGGGCACAAAGGGATTTTTCTGCGATCATGGAAATGCTCTACATATTGTTTTAGGTGATAGTTACACAGGTGTATAAAATTCTCAAACTCATTGAAATGAATACATTGTATCTGTGCATTTTATTATGTCAATCATACTTCAATACAAAAGAAACCAAAATAAAATAAAATAACCTATATAGAAAGAAATGTGCCCCTGCACAATTGTAGGGCTAGGTAAGTTTTCACAATTTGGAAAAGCCCATGTAACCAGCACCCATATCAAGAAAAAGGGCATTACCCACATGGCAGGCCACTCTTGTACCTGCTTCCTGTCTCTACCAGCCCAAGTAACCATTATCCCGACATCTAACTGCACAGACTAGTTTTGCACTTTAATTAAATGGGATCATTTAGTATGTACTCTGGTTTCTAGCTAATTTTACACAATCATAACTTTATGAGATGTATTTGTATTATTATGTGTAGCCATAAATCTTCATTCTCAGAACTTTGGGGCATTTTATTGTCTTTGGTCATTTCATTTGTGTATATTTAGCTTCCCAGGGCAAATTAATGACCAGCTAGTCTTTGTTGATTCCAAGTCTCAGACAGCTATCAGAGTAGACTATAATCACGACAGACCACAGCTGCTCTAGCAATTGGAAAAGTATAGACAAATTCCTGCAAAAACTGTAGAAAGCTAAAAATATTAATTTTTCTCTGTGTATATATTATTTTATTTTGGTTCTTTTTTATGAGGTATAATTTTTTCTACAATGAAATGCACTTACATGTTTAGTTTAATGTGTTTTGAGAACCATATACACCCATGTAACAAGATAATATATAGAACATTCCCTACATCCCTGAAGTCTCCTTTCCAGTCTAATTTTTCCTCCTACAGACAACCACTTTCTGATAATTTTATCACTAGTTAAATCATCCTGGACTTAAAAAAAATTAATTTTCTCATAAGAGGGACTTTAGGTCATTATATTATATTCAATTATATTCACTCAAAGAAGAGAGCATAAACAGACAATTAAAAGCTGCAGTCAACTGAATCACACTCACATATCTGCACATTGACACCACACAAATCAGTCACCAACTTTCATGCTGCTGAAAGGTAAAACTATAGAGTTGCCCCCAGTGAAAAAAGTCTTTCAGCCACATCTGCCGCAGCAGTGGGCTGACAGAGGGATTTGCAATGTTCCAATTGCTTTATTTATGATATAAGAGAATAAGAATGCATGCTCTGATGAGTTTGGCTGCACTCATTTAGACTATCGGGTGCAATGTTTGAAAGCCAGATTTTTCCTAGCACAGACTTACTATTGATTGCTATTGGGCACATGCAACGGGACAAATTTTGTCAATCAAGAAACTTGCTGTAATGCCATTAAGCAAACAAGAAACTTTATCTAATATAAATTTTCCCAGAATCCAATGGCTTGGTGCACAGGAAGAAAGAGTTATAATGATTGAGAGTGAAAAGTTTTATCTCCCTGTCTGGAAGAAAAATCTGGGAATATATTTCACTGTAGATTTCAGCCAGAGACCAAAAAGCATACACCATGCAAAAAGATGGATGATAACTTGTTCTCAGTAGTCATCATAACCCATAATAAATTGTTATTTCTTATGAAACTTATGAGTCTATCTCTGATGCATTGGCTGAATGTAGCAAATGGTTGAATCATTAAAACCTTCAATTTAATTTAACTCATGTACATGTACAGATATAATTTCTGTCTATTAAATTAAAATAAGACCAAATAGGCAGGTTAGAATCTCCAACTGTGTCAAAAAGCTATGGCTTAACACAGGCAAACTGATATCAGCAGATCACATTTTCTCTTCTGGCAGAGGAGCACCTTACAGCTCGGCACTCAGAAGAACTTGCAACATTCTGCTCCCCTGCCTACTGAGGATAGTCATAGCCTCTTTCTGACAAAGGATGGTAAAGATGGCCACAAATGCAGGACTCCGGCTTTTCTCAGCTTTAAAATCTGGGGGCAGCAGCAGGTTGTTATTTTCTCCTAAACCTGATGGGGTTTAGGGGAAAGAGGTAATGGACAGGGAGTCACAGCCCCGTCCTACATTATTTCC
This sequence comes from Homo sapiens, assembly GCF_000001405.40. Classification (NCBI taxonomy): domain Eukaryota; kingdom Metazoa; phylum Chordata; class Mammalia; order Primates; family Hominidae; genus Homo; species Homo sapiens. Next base: position 22,032,412 of record NC_000014.9, read on the forward strand.
TTACAACCTCATGGGTACCCCCAGGAGAATCAGCATAATTCTCTCTCCCTTCCCCCTCTCTCATCTCTTTTCTCTCTCTTTTTCAGGATCTAGCTAGTTCCAGAGGGTAACTCAAGCCCTGACCGAAATTTATTTTTATGCTTTAAGTTCTGGGTTACATGTGCAGAACTTGCAGTTTTGTTACATAGGTATACACGTGCCCTGGTTGTTTGCTGCACCCATCAACCTGTCACTCTTCTAATGTTATCCCTCCCCTACCCACCCAACCCCAACAGGCCCCAGTGTGTGATGTTCCCCTCCCTGTGTCCATGTGTTCTTATAGTTCAACTCCCACCTATGAGTGAGAACATGCAGTGTTTGGTTTTCTGATCTTGTGATAGTTTGCTGAGAATGATGGTTTCCAGCTTCATCCATGTCCCTGCAAAGGACATTAACTCATCCTTTTTTATGGCTGCATAGCATTCCATGGTGTATAAGTGCCACATTTTCTGAATTCAGTCTATCATTGATGGACATTTGGGTTGGTTCCAAGTCTTTGCTATTGTGAATAGTGCCACAATAAACATACGTGTGCATGTGTCTTTATAGTAGCATGATTTATAATCCTCTGGGTATATGCCCAGTAATGGGATTACTGGGCCAAATGGTATTTCTAGTTCTAGATCCTTGAGGAATCGCCACACTGCCTTCCACAATGGTTGAACTATTTTATAGTCCCACCAACAGTGTAAAAGCATTCCTACTTTTCCACAACCTCTCCAGCATCTGTTGTTTCCTGACTTTTTAATGATCACCATTCCAACTGGTGTGAGATGGTATCTCATTGTGGTTTTGATTTGCATTTCTCTAATGACCAGTGATGATGAGCATTTTTTCATATGTCTGTTGGCTGCATAAATGTCTTCTTTGGAGAAGTGTCTGTTCATATCCTTTGCCTAATTATTTGATGGGGTTGTTTGCTTTTTTCTTGTAAATTTGTTTAAGTTCTTTGTAGATTCTGGATATTAGCCCTTTGTCAGATGGATAGATTGCAAAAATTTTCTCCCATTCTGTAGGTTGCCTGTTTACTCTGATGATAGTTTCTTTTGCTGTGCAGAAGCTTTTTAGTTTAATTAAATCCCATTTGTCAGTTTTGGCTTTTGTTGCCATTGCTTTTGGTGTTTTAGTCATGAAATCTTTGCCCATGCCTATGTCCTGAATGGTATTGCTCAGGTTTTCTTCTAGGATTTTTACGGTCCTAGGTCTTAGGTTTAAGTCTTTGAGCCATCTTGAGCTGATTTTTGTATAAGGTGTACGGAAAGGGTCCAGTTTCAGTTTTCTGCCTATGGCTAGCCAGTTTTCCCAACACCATTTGTTAAATAGGGAATCGTTTCCCCATTGCTTGTGTGTCTTGATGGGAATTTCTATACTACCAGGAGAATCACTATAATTTTCTCACTCTTCTTCTCCTCTCCTCTCTCCTCTCCTCTCATCTCCTCTCCTCTCTTTTCTCTCTTTTTCAAGATCTAGCCAATCCCAGAAGGTAACTCAAACCCAGGCTGCAATTTCTATGCTGCAGAAGGAGGCTGTGACCTTGGATTGTGTATAAGAAGCTAAAACTTAATTATTATTTACTCTGGTACAGACATCCACCAAGTGGGAGAATTATTTTCCTTATAGATCAGGAGTCTTTTAATGAGCAGAATGGAACAAAGGGTTGGTATTCTCTGAACTTGCAGAAACCAGCCAGTTCCATCAGCTGTATTTTCACAGCCTCACAGCTTGAGGTTTTGGCAATGTTCTTTCATCCCCTGAGTGAAACTACAGTGAAATATTCACCTGAGGGGGGCCTAAAAAATTCATATCTCAATGTCCCCCGATATAAACACCTGGGCAAGAGTCACAGTGTGAACAGGAAGAGGCAGGGAGGCACTGTCAATGGAGATGGAGATTTAGGAGAAACTTCACTCTAAGGAAAATGTTCTCTCTGGCTCAGAGAACATATCTTAAATTGTCATTAATCAAAAGCGTGTTTATCTTCAGTTCTTTATCTTGAAGTAGATTATTCGGCAAAAGATATATATATATGTGTGTGTGTGTGTGTGTGTGTGTGTGTGTGTGTATATATATATATATATATATTTTTTTTTTTCCAAGATGGAGTTTCACTCTTGTCGCCCAGGCTGGAGTGCAATGGCACTATCTCGGCTCACTGCAACCTCCACCTCCCGGGTTCAAGCAATTCTCCTGCTTCAGCCTCCCAAGTAGCTGGGATACAGGTGCACACCACCATGCCCGGCTAATTTTTGTATTTTTTTGTTAAGTAGAGGTGGGGTTTCACCATGTTGGCCAGGCTGGTCTCGAACTCCTGACCTCAGGTGATCTGCCAGCCTCAGCCTCCCAAAGTTCTGGGATTACAAGCGTGAGCCACCGTGCCCAGCCAACAAAAGATTTTTTTTAGAAATTTGTGGTGACTACATTAAAGTGTGAAACTGACTCTTAAAAAGTTAAGAAACACTTGGCCAAATCCATATGCGAATTGTTAGATGATTTGTCTGTATATTGCCATGACTTGCTCTTCTTCTTTTTATATTTTTTTCTTTCCCGTTGAGTGACCTACTTGATTTACTTAATTTCTGGGTGGATATTCCTTCCATTACAAGTCCTAGCCTAAGACTTAAGGAAAATGAGCTTGCTTTTCTACTTTCCTGACTCTGGTTCCAAAGGCCGAATTATTTCCATTGGAATAAAAACTTCTTGATTCTTAACCCTTAAGGAGACTTTTAGAAAGTATTATCCTCAATTGTAATATTGGTCTTTTCAAAATTCACCCATGAGAGCAAAATCAGGACCCTGTTCTGGGAAGAAGCATGACTACGTCCCAGGGAGCCAGGCCATTTGGCCATGAAACTGTGATTGTGAAAAGACGTAGATGAAAGCATATGACTTTCACAAAAAGTAATGACAAGAAGAGGGATTTCTTATTCTTGGGACAATTTGGAGAGAATTAGTCTTTTCTTCAGGAAACATGTGCCTAAATATCAGAAAAGAAGTCATAGAAGAAGAAAGAAAATCTCGTTTTCAGTTCATTTTGATGACTTAAAGATGGATGGGCAATTTTCCTGGGGAATATTAAGGTTTAAAAGAACATAAATTTTAGGAAAAGTTTCCAGTTATTCTCAATAATAAGACAGATATAAAACTATTTTCCAAATCTATAATACAAAATTGCCCTGTGATAAATGACAGGAAATTTCCGAAGGTGATGGGTTGAAAACGGTGTGATGTGGTCCCTATATTTCTAAATTAAATTTTCAGGTAGAATAATCATAGTGAGATAAAAAGGAAATTTTTCAGCCTCAAAATATAAAAGGTTTTAAAGTCATCTATTAAAAGTCTTTGATATACATTTTGGTTATTCAAAGCAGAATAACCACTGTACAATTCCATTTATATAACATTCATGAAATAACAAAATTGTAGGGATTAATAACAGATTAGTGATTGTCAGGGGTTATGACTGGGGAGAAGGAATAGCTGTGGCTATTAAGATAAAAATAATGAACTATTCCTCCTATCCAAAAAATCTATTTATAAATAAACATCATAAAAAATAAACTCAAAGTGAATCATGAAATTAAATGTAAAATGTAAAACTGTGAAACTTTTGGAAAAAATAAAATCTTCAAGATGCAGAGCCAAGCGAAGAGTTCTTAGGTTTGACACCAAAAGCACAATACACACACACATATACACACACAAATTGGATTTCATCAAAATTTAAAACTTTTGCTCTGTAAAAGATCCTGTTAAGAAGATCAAATGATAAACTACAGACTGGGAGTAAATATTTAAAAACCAGGTATCTGACACAGAGTTGTAGCTAGAATATATAAAGAATTCCCAAAATGAAACAGTAAAAAAAAAAAAAGTTAGAAAATGAGCAAAAAGCATTAAACAGATTTCACTTTGAGGATATACATATTGCAAATAAGCATATGAGAAGATGATCAACATTATCAGCTATCAGTGAAATGCAAATTAAAACCACGATGAGATATTATTATATACCTATCAGAATGGCTGAAATAAAAAATAAAGATAACATCAAATGCTGTTGAAAATTTAGGGAAACTGGATCACTAGTATGTTGTTGGTAGGGATATAAAATGATACAGGCACTCCGGAAAATAGTTTAGCAATTTCTTATAAAATTATGCATGCCTTACCCCATGACCCAGCAATTACACTCTTTGGGACTTATCCTAGAGAAACAAAAGCTTATATTCACACCAAAACCTGTACATGAATATTAATAGCAGCTTTATTCATCACAGCCCAAATCTGGAAACAACCCAGATGTCTTCCAGTGGGTGAATGGTTAAGCAAACAGTGGCACATTCATAACATAGTCTATTATATAGCAATACAGAGGAACAAAAGCATTTATACACATAATAACTTGCATAGATATCATGCTTTTATCCCTCATGCAGAGTGAGAAAAGCCAATTTTAAAAGGTTACTACTGTACAATTCCATTTATATGACATTATTGCAATAACAAAATAGTAGGAGTAAGTAACAGATTAGTGATTGTCAGGGATTAATGATGTGGGGAGGGGATGGGTGTGGCTGTGTGAAGGAGTAGCATGAGGAAAGCTGTGATTGTGAAACCATTGTGAGTCTTGATTGTGGCAATGGTTACATGAATCTATACATACGATAAAATTGCATAGAACCATACACATACAAATTAGTGCATGTACAACTTCAGAAACCTAAATAAGCTCTACAGATTATACCAATGTGAATGTCTTGGTTTAGAAACTGTTCTATAGCTACACAAGTTGTTATCATTGGGGATGCTAAGTGAAGAATACGTGAGACCTCTATATACATTTTTTGAAATTATAATACTATAATTATTTCAAATAAAAAATAAAAATATTTTTAAAAATTAAACAAAACTTTGCATAAAACTCACAATTCTAAATCACCTTCTGTGGCTCTGTTACCCATCTATCACACATTCAGTCTAGGTTCTCTTAGTTCCTGCACTAATAAATATAAATATAAATTGTCCCTGCATTATAAATAACCCTGCCCCAATCTTGCGTTTATCTTTCGTCTTTTTCGCCTTTTTTCTTAGGTACATATATTCAGAAACAGAGAAAAACTGCCTATTGAAAATGATTTGTAAGAGTCAGAGTTTGCTAATGTGGGTAAAATAAATCAAATCAGTCAATGATAAATTATATGCAAGCTAGTGTAATGATTTGTAGATAACTGAGAAATTATCTTATTCTCAAAAAAAGTCAATGAACAACGTGTTTATACTGTTAGTACAGTATATGCTCGGTAACTTTTTTTTCTGCTGAATGGAAGAAGGGTTGGAGGAGCATCAAAGTTAATGGGGACTAGGAGCAGACTGCTATTGGCACAAATCCAAAGAGAATTCGTGTAAGTGATAGATAATTCAACGAGATGAGCACATATTTAATGGCAAAATTTACCTACAAAATTATTGGCATATGATAAACACATCTCAATTATAAAGTCCAGTGGTGTGTCATAGAATCAAACTAATTAGGCAATACTAGTTTTGCCATGATATCTTAGCCTAGTATTGCTAATTTCAATGTTCTTGGAAAAACAGTTTAGGAGTTATGTCAGAATATTATTGAGGTTAATTTTCATTAGGTACCTACTCTTTTAATTCAGCAACTCTTATTTTTATAGTAGTGGGTATTGTCTAAATTATGATTACCTTGAAATTTTTATACATTTATTTGAAACTAGACATGCTCACTCAAAAATTTCAATGAAGACTAAACATGTAGAAAACGAGAAACAGTCTTAAAACAGAAGGGCAATAGGGTGGAGACAAGTTCGATCATACATTAAATAATATTATTAAGCTGAAATAATTAAAAATAGTTGGCAATAGTGAAAGTATAACTAGATAGATTGATAGAAGACAGAAACAAATTACATAGAGAAAATTACTGTACTGCAAAGATATTACTAATCAGGGAGAAAATAATAGATTTTTGAGCGCATAATGTTGAGTCAATTGTCTAGCCACTTGAAAAAAATTAACCCCTTACCTTATTCCTTAGATCAAAATAACTCCAAATGATAGGCTTAAAAGATTAAATATAAAACATACCAGAAATTTTCAGGATTTAAAAAAGTAAGCTTAGAGTGGGTCAGGTTTTCTAAGCAAGACCAAAATTTCAGGAGACATTATAAAGATGAATGCATTTGAATATACCATAAGGAAGAGATATATGAAAGCAAATATTTCTACGTGGCAAAAATACAATAAAACAGCAAAAACTAAACGCCAAAATGGAATAAAAAGCTTCAAAATATAAAGTCACATAAAACGTGACTTTAATATATAAAGAGCTTTAGTAAACCAACAAAAAATTAACTCTCCAAAAGAAAATTGTGCTAATACTATAATAGCTAATGTTACTTATTTGTTACGTGGTAGCCACTATTTTAATTTTTATCTAGGTAGTGTGTAATCTACCTGTCTACCTATGCATCTATCATTATCAATCAATATATATCTGTTGGTTTCAATACATATTTCAAGTGATTCTCACAGTAATTCTTTAAGGTTTGTACTGTTCTTTCTCCACCATCCAATGATAAAACTAAGCTCAAAGATAAAACTAAGTCACAGAAAATCTCTGAGCAATTTTTTCATAGAAAATAAATCATAGAGCTAGAGTTTGATCACTGGTATTCTGTCTCCAAAATGAACACTTAAACATAATTTTCAATAGACTATTCAAAGAGAGACATACAAATGGATTTTAAAATTATTTTTTCAACCCAGGCTTCAGTAATAATAGAGAAAATTTTGAAATGGTATTCTGAATTAGCATTTTTCACCTATTAACTTCAGAAAGATAAAAATGTTTAATAATACATTGTGTTGGCAAGGAAGTGAAGCAATATTTATTAAATGAAAAATGCATGGGTTCTCTGTTATCATTTACATATTTTCAATAATTTTTATAAATATATTTGTTCATGTTGGCAAACATCTTTTTATGGGGATAACCATTTCAGCATAATCTTTGGTAGTAAAAGACTGGAAATGAAAATACAAAAATGCAAAACTGTTTAAATATAATATAGTACAGCCAAACAATGGAATACTACGTGGCCATTTTGCATGGACAAAAAACAAGGCACAGAATGATATGTATGTTTGTCTGAAAATAATGAGTATGTACGTGTATGAGAGTGTTTGAAAGAACAGATGCATAGATGCCTCTATAATGAGAACTGTGATACTGAAGGACAGATGAGGAGGAAAGACTTACTTTTGCTGTGTATTATTTATATTGTGTAAAATATTTATAATTTGCATGGAATAATCTCCCTCGCCACACACACACACACACACACACACACACACACACACACACACAGTGACTTTCAGGTCTCTCTGAGGTCCAGAAATGGAGACCTCTTTTTTCTCTCTGTTATGCTTTTTCAAAACTTCCTTCCTTCTAATATCTACCAATTTTGTGACCCTGAATTTTGGTCACAGTTGGTCTCAATCCTGTAGTCACACAGAAAATTATTTGAAGACATGGATTTCTTAATTTATGTTCCAAATTCTCTGCACATTGCATCAGAGAGGTTTCTAGACACATCCACAAGCTATTTGATCCCCTCAACTCCATCTTTTATTTTCAGAGCTCTAGTCTTTTTAAGGTTTCACCTGCTGAGGTTTTGAGGTTTTAAGGTTTTAAGGTTTCACCTGCTGAGGTTCTTGTGCATTCTAGTGAAAAATATATTTTAGTGAGAAATATAATTACAGCTACCAGTCGGATTCAACTCCTTTGTAACTTCTGGTTGCAGCTTAGCTTTAAAAACCATTCAAAAAACAATCTAGAGAATTAAGAGTCCAAGTAAAATAAGGCTTTTCTCATTGCCACTTTAAACCTCATATGCACTATGCCCACCAAATATGAAGAATATTTTTCTTTGTAGGTGGCATAAAGTGGGTACCGTGGGACAGTACTGTGGCCACGAGGTGGCAGTGGTTCAATTTACTCTCATTCTACAACTGCCTTTAATTTCAAAAGCATGAAAATTACTAGAGGACTTGCATTTGATTGGTTGAGCAGCCAACAGAAAGGCTCTTTCCTGCATTACAGAATATGAACTAAGATACAGAAGTGGCGCCTCTGAGAAAAGAAGGTTGGAATTATCGTAATTTGTTTCTAGGCTGAGATACCAGCATGGAGAAAATGTTGGAGTGTGCATTCATAGTCTTGTGGCTTCAGCTTGGCTGTAAGTTGGAGGTTAAGAAATGAGAACCATTCGTGCAAAGCTGAGGAAGAGAGATGAAGATTTAATCTCAGCTCATTCAGTTTTCCTGTTGGAATTTTTCAAAGCTGCTAAACTAAAAGCTTTGTATAATTTCTGATTTTGTTTTCCTGAACAGGGTTGAGTGGAGAAGACCAGGTGACGCAGAGTCCCGAGGCCCTGAGACTCCAGGAGGGAGAGAGTAGCAGTCTCAACTGCAGTTACACAGTCAGCGGTTTAAGAGGGCTGTTCTGGTATAGGCAAGATCCTGGGAAAGGCCCTGAATTCCTCTTCACCCTGTATTCAGCTGGGGAAGAAAAGGAGAAAGAAAGGCTAAAAGCCACATTAACAAAGAAGGAAAGCTTTCTGCACATCACAGCCCCTAAACCTGAAGACTCAGCCACTTATCTCTGTGCTGTGCAGGCACAGCGTTCCCCAGGCACCTGCAACTTGTATCAAAACCCTGCAGCTGAGGATCTGAAATGATGGCAGAGGTATCTCTGCTGTTCTTCCTCTTGAAGGAGTATTTATTTAATGCCCAGGACCTTTTTCCAAATGGTCCTTTGGAGAATGAAGTCATGAGACAAAGCCAGAGGGCAGGGACTACTGTTCATTCTGTCCAGGCATCCTAGACAGTCCCTTGTGCATGTTCATGGGTCAGTCTACTCTTAATAACATCCCAGAACTTCCCTCACATAAATTCAGAAGGGCCAGATGTAATATGAAGAGTCCTGGTTTCCAGTTGCGGACTACTTGGAAAAAGACTGCACAGGTGCATACACTCCCTGCCGAAAAAAAAAAAATGTGTGTATGTGTCTGTGTTGTCTCACAATAATCTGGTCACGTTAATATAAGTAAATCTTTTTCATTTTAATATAGTCTTCTTGAAACCCACATCTCCACCAGCCACATCTCTATATTTCTCATCCCTTCATCATCAAATTACTTGAAAGAATTGTCTGGACTCATTCTCTTAATTTCCATTCTTCAGTCTCATTCAAACCTGGCCCCTGTTAGCATTACTCCAAGGGAAGTTCTCACTTTAACACCAGCGGTTTTGGTATTGATAAGGCTATCAGATATTTTTCAGTACTCATCTTGTCTAAGATTTGCAGCAGTCTTTCCTCCCTTCTCATTAAAATAAATGTTACTTTAATCAAAATAATACTCACATATATTTACAAAACTCAACAGCACTGTCTCACACCCCAGTCATGTCTCTCCATTCTCAGGTGATGGTACTCACATTTATCTGAACATTTAAAGATGCTGTTTCTTCGCTTTCTTCTCTTTCTTTTTGAAATTGAGGTACAACACATAATAAGGTGAATAAAACTTTAGCTTACAGCTCAATAGAATTTTACACTTCTTTGTATCTGGGTAACACCATCCAGACCTACATATTGAAATTTTCCATTACTCCAGAAGATTTCCACATGCCCCTTCCAATTCAACGGCCCTTCCCCAACTCTCCACCTGGAGTAACCATGATTCTGCCTTTCATCACTTGGTCTTACACTTTGTGTGACTGGAATTATATTGTGCAGCCTATATTCTACTGTCTCAATTTCTTCTCTCAATATCATATCTTTGAAATTCATTAATGTTTCTGTATGCATGTTATTTTAAAATTTATATGTAAAATTCCCCTGTATAAATATGTAATAATTTATTTTTCCATTCTTCTTGAAATAGACTTTTGGGTTTTTTAGACTGTTTACAGTTTTGTGCCATTATGGAAAAGGTTGCTATAAACATTTACTTAAATTTTATTTGGTGGACATATAAACTCACTATTCTTGGGTAATTCCACTGGAATGGACTTGAATGGACTTAACTAGGCCATAAAATAGGCATGTATTTAGCTTTAGTGGTTATTATCAAATGTATTTCGAAAGGCTACCAAGTTGTATGCTCTTATGAACAATGTATGGGAGTTTTAGTTATTCCATGTCTTCACCAAAAAATGGTATCAGGTTTCTTTTTGTTTGTTTTTTAATTTAAGCCATTATGGTGACATGCAGTGGTATCTCATAAAATTGTGGTTTTAATTTGCTTTTCCTGAAGAATAATGATCCTGAGCACCTTTTCATATGCTCATTGTCCATCTGGATATTCCTTTCTGTCTAGTACCTGTTCAAGTCGTTTGCTTATTTGTTTATTGTTCATATGTAGGCATTCTTCATAGATTCTGGCTATAAGCCCCTGTCAAAACCATCTATTGTGAATTCTCCACTAATCCATTACTTGACTCTTCACTTTCATAATGATTTTCTTTGAGATACAGAAATTCCTAGTTTTGGTAAAGTCCAAATAACTATTTATTTTTCTTTATTGGTTAGTAGTTTTTGTGCCCTATTGAGAAATCTTTGCCTACCTCAAGTAACAGACACACTTTTTTTCATGTAGGTCCATTTGCCACCTCAAATCAATTTTCGTGATGCTATGCAAAAGGTGTCCAGGTTCCTATTGCCCCATGACCATTTAATGAAAAGATCTTCCTTTCCCCCACTGAATTGCAGTGGTGTTTGGGTCACAAATCAGGTGATCCTACGTGTATAGCTCTATTTCTGCACTCTATTTTGTTTCTTCTGTTAGTTCAGCCTCCCAGCTATCTCATAATGTGCTTATTAATATAGCTTTAGAATAGAATTTGAAACTCATCAGTGTTTTTCTTCATCTGTGTTCTTCCCCTTATTATTTTATCCATTCTATGTCCTTTCTGAATCCATACAAATTTTAGAACTAGTTTCTAAATTCTAAATCATTTTCACATCTACAAAATTGCCCTTGCAGTTTTGATTGGTATTGCATTAAGCTTATAGATAACTTTGAGGAGAATTGCTACCTCAAAAATATTGAGTCATTGTGTCAAAAATATAGACTATCTACCTGCTAAGGTCATCTAATGTCTTAAGCAATGATTTTAGTTCTCAATGTAGTGATTTGCACATCCTGTATCAGATTTACTTCCATGTATAGACATTTCATGCAGATTTAAAAATTTTATTTTCTAATTGTTGCTAGTGTATAGAAATACAATTGGTTTTTACATATTGACCTTATATTCATTGAACTTGCTACACTTACTAATTTTAATCATTTGGTCATACATTATTTTGGATTTTCTAAGTCCACAATCATGCCATCTGCAAATGAAGAAAAATTTGTTTCTTGCATTATAATCTTTGTATCTTATTTATTTTCCTTTCCTTCCTTATTGGCCAGACTTAGTGGAAGAGTTGGCCACTCTATTTAGATCTGCTTATCATCCCAGGGAGGCAGGGACTTAAAAATGTAAAAGATATAAAGTGAGCGAGTGGTTTATGGAGTTCTAGCTATTGAGTCAAAGTAATGACTAATGCCCTACTTATAAATAGACTCTAAACAACAGCATCGGCTCTTTCCACCTCCGCTTTGTGTAGAAGAAATGCAGGGAGGCCTAGAAAAAAGGGAGCAGAAGTAGAAGCTTCCTGATTTAGGAAGAGAGGCACAAGTGTTATTTTACCCACGTCATCTGGTTTTGTTGTATTTAACCCTTTGGGTTTACAGCCTTACAGTTTGCCCAATGTGTTCAGGTGAAGCGATACAAAAATCACCGAAGGATTCCTGCTTTACCTGGTACCAATTTTGTCATTCTCATCATCATCTTTATCGTCACAAAAACTATGAAGTAATATTAACCCATTTCTCAGATTGGGAAACTGAGGCTTACATAAGTTTTGAGATGAAAGCATTTCTGAGATAAAGTAAATGCTGCAGGTACCATAAAATAAGACGAAGAAAAACATATAAAACTTCAGAGTTAACCAACTAGACAGCACTTCTCTAATTTTACTGTACATTTAAGAATCACATGAAGAGTTTATTTTAAAAATGCTTTATTTCCATAGATTCTGATTCTATAGGTCTGATACGGGGTCAGGAGTCTGCTTTTTTTAGTGAGTTGTCTAATGATTTTGATCATTAGATCTGGAGATCTTACTTTGAAAAACACTGCAACTGGGAGAGTACTGCATTTCAGGAGGATGGATGATATAGACATGCAGGTGATTTTGTGTTAACTTAGATAACAGGGCTTAGGGAACCAGGAAACACACCTGGGAATGCCTTAATGTGGGTTATGCCTATTCTGATTAAACTATATCCTATCATAATTAGTAGAAGATACTTTGTTTTGATGATAAAGAAGGGAATGATTTTTGTTTCAACAACAGAAATTTATTTATGATTTGAAAAGCAGCAGAGAGATTAGGGGATAGACAAGCCTTTTAGTTGCAGACTTTCCAAGAAGAAAATAGGCTAAAACAATATATGAGATTCTCCACTATGAATTAAACTTTTTCATTCTTTATTGTCAATTAAAAAATAAAACTTCTATATATTTTAAAGGCCATAAACCAATTATCTTAGTGTTTCCTTCAATGTTCTAAAATTTAGACAGGTTTTATCTAATTATTTTATTTACTCTTTTTACTCTGCCTGGATTCTTTACAACATTTTAACTTTCTATTAAAGAAAGTTGGTTCCAATACTGTTAAGGCTCTGTTTATTACATAATATAGCACAATAGTGCTCTAAACTCCACCTTTAACATGCTCATATAATTCCAGTATAGACCATGCTAATACTCATAATTGTTTAATGACCATGGTTAATCTTCTGCTGCATCCTCATAGCCAGGCTTTCCTTTTCCTGAATCCATGATGAGTTTGGTTGGTGTGAAGACTGTAATTGACTTTTGTCCCCAGAGCTCACCTAATATTATATTCCTAATATTATTGGAATACAAATATGTCTATTTACATTTATATATTTATAATCTATATGTTACACATTACACATTTATATTTATTTATATGTTATATGACATCTAATTATTGGAATATATTTTTATTTTGTCTTTTGGAGAATTTGTTATGGAATCAAACAGACTTATTTTTCCCATGAGATCAATAGGATATATTGTGGGACATTTTCTGTTACGAATTTGGCAAATAGGACCCAAAGCTAGGAACCAAGATTCATTAGGCATCCACCATTTTTCATTAAGAATGGCTCACATTTTAAGCACAGCTGCACTTCTCAAAAAATTTTTTTAAATAAAAAAATTAAAAAAAGAATGGCCCACAGTTGGACATTCTCTGTAGAGGTAAGAAGCAGCAACTGAACAGGCTCTGCAACCTCCAATTCTCACCTCTTAGCTGGTGTGAGGAGGTAGCGAGGGATGGGAGGAGTCAAGAAGAGAATATCATCAGAGTATTCCCCCTTTCCCACAAGCCACTTGAGGGGTCAGTACTCCAAAATAATTACTTCCAAAGACAGAGATCTGCTGCATAAAAAGGAACATTGTGTGACATTTTCATCTTTGTTCTGAAGCAGATTTTAATCTATGTTTACATCTACTTAAGAAGAAGACGAGGAAACTGGAGAGAGATGGTGGAGTGGAGAGGGGGCAGCCATGGCCTGCCTGGGTTTCTGCACTGGGCATGGTGAGGAGGCACGTGTATTCTGTGGGCAGGTGCTGCCTCTGAGGTGCCAGGGCTGAGCTGTCCCACCAGAGCTTCACCCAGAGGAGAAAGTAAGGGGCTGTGGAGGGTTCTCCTGAGGGAGGGGCTGACAGGAAGGGGAGACACCTCCCTTGAGGAGCCCCTGAGGTCCCCTGGGTGCTCTCTCATAGGGACACTCACCATACACAGCCATCAGTGGTCGGCCAGGGAAGCAACAACACTAGAGGTGCACAGTGGTTAAGTAAGAACAGTTTTGTTGTTTCTTCCCCTTAATCTTTTCCTTTCACCTTAATCCCGGGAAGTTAAAATCAAAGAAAAAGGAGGAAAGAAGAGAACAAAGTAGGCCATGTCCACCTCACTGTAGCTCGGGATCAGGCCTGAAGTTTGGAGAGCAGAGGAAAGGTGAAGACTGGAGTGTTAAACAGAACTGCCCTGAGGTTTATTTAACCACTGAAAGTGGCCCAGAGGTTTGGAGCTTTCTTTCCTAGACCTCTTCAAGGGCATAAGGACCAGGGCCCCTCTGAAGGACCCAACCATGCTTAAGCCTCTTTGATGCTCTTTTCTTTGGCATCCTTTCCTCTCCCTATCGCTCCACCCAGAAAATGTTTATATAGACTCTGGTAGGCAGACTTGCATTATATCTTTGTATCATTTCCTATAAGTCAGTTTATGCTGGATTCCTTAATTTGCCTATAAAGCTGAAAGTTTTGAAATAAGATGGTAGGAAAGACTTCTTTATTTTTGGTTTCCAGCTATGCCTCCTTTCCTGAAAGTGATAAGCAGAAAATCACCCAACTGCCTCAATGGAGGAAAAATTGTGAGGTTAATTAAAAATAATAATATAAAAAGGCAACCACTGTTAATATTGAAAAATGGCTTGTCACACATGGTGATCATTCTGAAACCACAAATGACCAAAACTGGTGAAGTCCTTTCTGTAACATCACAGGCACGTCTAAGTGATTCTTTTCCATATCTGTAAAGTAACTTTACGAAAGCAGGTGAAGACCTGCCCAGGACCTGAATGAAAGCATTCATGTATTTAGTCACAAGAGGGGGCTGCTGTGTCTGTCAATAAGATGCCTGTTCAGCTGGGGAAAGAGTGTTTGGCTCACAGTCAGTAGTGAAGCCGTGCAGAAACTGTGACAAATGATACTCTTTATTCTCTTTGTTCTAAGCAGAGTAGTCTGTGCATAGCTTCCAACATTCAATAATTCCTGGCCTTGCCTCAATCCATTATGAAAAGTTTTGTTTCTACTCAAAATAGGACAATATAGAAAGACAGAGACAGGAAGTAGTTATACAGCTTTCAAGTTGAATTGATCTTTTTTTTGTCGTTTTTGAAATAGAGAAAAGTAGATATTTTTGGTGGGGAAGATACTTTTTTTTCTCAATCTATTTCATTTCTCTTAAACTTGAGAAGATAATGAGAAAAAGTCTTCTAGGTTGCTCCCTTCCTTCTTACAGTCCCCTCCTTTCTTCTGTCTTTCCTCTTCTCTGCATTTCAATTCTTAGTGTGTGTCACCACTAGGCACACACATGGAGAATGGGGAAAGGTGGGTCAGGGATAGGGTTTCTGGGGTGTAAGGATGTGTGTGACCCCAAGTCTCTTGTTTCCTTTGTACCAAGATATGCAGTCTGTAAATGCTCTCCTAGAGATAGATGATATCTAGAGGCATTTCAGGCATCTGGAGACATGGCTTCCTGATCAGGTTCTGATTATACTTTTCTGGTCACTTTGGACACATTACTGTCTGCGTCTGAGCCTCATTTCCTCTTTATTGTTATTTAGATGGGCTTTCTCCATCTTCTTATGATGGTATAAGCCTTGGTAGGGTTTTCCTGAATATAAAGAAACTTGTGACAGAGTGGACTGTACTCCTGGGTAAGAGTTTCAGGCCTAAGAAAAGATGGTGTTCTAAACCAAGAAATCAGAAGAGGAACCTGCTGCCTGCACTGTCTTACTCTCCTTCACCCAAGATGCTAAGGGCAACCAATCAAATAACAGCTGTTAACTTTTTGAGGAGGTCACATCCTCAGTGTGAGGGGCTACATCATACCCAGTATATTAGTTTGTGCCATAGGCTGGGGACTTAAAAATCAGAAATTTATTGTCTCATGGTCTGGAGGCAATGTCTGAAGTCAAGATGCCAACAGAATCCAGGAAAGGAGGATCTGTTTCAGGCTTCTCTCTTCGGCTTATAGATGGCCATCATATCCCTGTGTCTTCATATCATCTTCCGTCTGTGTATATCTGTGTCCAAATTTCTCCTTTTATATTGCATTAGATCCCACCTCATTTTACTTAGATACCTCTATAATCAAGAAATAATCTTGAACCCAACTCCAAATAAGGTCACATTCTGAAGTACTTGGCGCTAGGAGTTCAACATATAAATTTTAGAGGGACAAATTTTAGCCTATAACCCTCAGTGAAAGCTCACAGAAGAGTTTTCTTTGCTGTAGAATTTCCTGTTTTATTGAGCCCAAGGGAAAATGACAGACAGATCCAGGGAGTCCTGCCTCTTAACTAGTGAGTCTACATGACCCCAGCCGTATTTGGCTCTTTCTAGGGGAAGGGAGTCATACATAAAATTACTTCTCAGTACTATACCAGGGGTCTTCAACAAGTTCATGAAAAATGCATATTACAAAAAAATTATGCATAATTTTTAAATTTTTGCATCAAAATAAACTCCTACTAACTTGTTATGACATTGTACACAGTATCTAATTTGAGGCACTAAGAAGGATGAAAGACAAAACAGTGTGAAAAGAGCTCCTGTCAGAGCAACGTGAATTCTGCCAATATTGAAGCAAAAACAAGCACCAAATTTAAGGTAAAGCTTGGGTGGAAGAATGGTGAAATCATTGACAAGTTTATGGGGGCAATTCCCCAAAGAAATTAGCAGTTTACAAATGAATAACTCATTTTAAGAAGAGACAAGATGATGTTGAAAATGAAGCATGCAGCAGCAGAGCATACACATTGATTGAGAGGAAAAAATTCATCTTATTCATGCCCTGATTGAAGAGGACTAATGATTAGCAGCAGAAAAAATAGCCAACACCATAGACACCTCAACTGGTTCAGCTTACATAATTCTGACTTGAAAATTAAAGTTGAGCAAACCTCCCACTCAGTGGGTGCCAAAATTGTTGCACCCATATCAGCTGCAGAGAAAAGCAGACATTTCAATGGAATTTTAAACAAGTGGGATCAAGATCCTAAAGCATTTTTTCAAAGGATTTTAACAGAAAATGAACACAGATTCACCAGTACAATACTGAATACAAAGTACTGTCAAAGCAATGACTGCCAAGAGGTGGAAGTGGTCCAGTCAAAGCAAAAGTGGACTGGTCAAGAGCAAAGGCTGTAGCAACAGGTTTTTTTGTTTGTTTGTTTGTTTTTTGTTTTGCTCAAGGATTGTTGCTTGTTGACTTTCTGGAGAGCTGAAGAATGACAACATCTACTTATTACTAGAGTGTTTTGAGAAAGTTAGCCAAGGCTTTAGCAGAAAAATGCCCAGAAAAAGCTCACCAGAGAGTTCTTCACCACGACAATGTTCCTGCTCATTCTTTGTGAGAGTTTCAATGGGAAATCATTAGGCCTCCATCTCACAATACTGACTTTCTTTCTTCTGACTTATTTTTGTTTCCTAATCTTAAAAAAAATCTTTAATGGGCACTTACTTTTTCTTCAATTAATATATAAACAAACCTGCATTGACATGGTTAAATTCCTGGACTCTCAGTTCTTAGGGATGGACTAAATGGCTGATATCATCACTTAAAAAAGTGTCTTGAATTTGTTGGAGCTTATGTTGAGAAATAAAGTTTATATTTTTTAATTGTTACCTTTTAATTCCATATTTCTATAAACTTTTTGAAACCCCCTTATACCTTGATCTGAAAAATCTGCCTTGATTTGAGGGTCTGGGGATAATCTCGTTTTTCTCCTCAGGGATTATGTGTAATGTTAAAGCCACAAAAGTAGGGCAGTGCTGAAACAAGAAGTGAATATACCCTGTTCCCACTCTACCACTGGAGGAAATGAGGACACAATCTGGTATCAACAGTTTGATAACCATGGCTCACAGTATCTGATTGGAGGTTTAAAGAACGAGGTGACCAGTCAAATGGCTTCACTGCCTGTATTAGTCTGTTCTTTCATTGCTATAAAGAAATACTTGAGACTGGGTAATTTGCAAAGGAAAGAGGTTTCATTGGCTGTTCAGGTTCCGAAGGTTGTACAGGAAGCGTGTTGTTGGTATCTGTTTGGCTTCTGGGGAGGCCTCAGGAAACTCTCAATCATGGCAGAAGGTGAAGGCAGAGCCAGCACTTCACATGGTTGGAGTAGGAGGAAGAGAGAGAGGACGGGGAAAGTGCCACACACTTTTAAATGACCAGATCTCAAAAGAATGCACTCACCATCACAAGAACAGCACCAAAGGGAAAATTTACCCCCATGATCCAAACACCTCCCACCAGGTCTGACCTCCAACATTGGGGATTACAATTTGAAATGAGATTTGGGTGGGGACACAGATCCAAACCATATCACTGCCCATTCCTGTGGACAATAAGGCTAGTACCCTGGTCCTGCACCAGATAACCCTCAAAGGCACCACCATGTGTTACTACACTGTGGGCAGATTGGACCACATCTGTCTCCCAGGTGAAGAGGGGAGATAAAATCCATTTAAAGAGGGCATTGCCCAAGAAAATGTGAGATTAATGGAAGAAGGTAGAAAATGAAATGAGAAGAAGGAAAGGGGAAAAATAAGGAAAGGTACATGAAATCAAGAACTGCACCAGTAAAGAAAAAACAAGGAGAGAGAAGATCCTGGATATTGCTCTTTCTCCAATCTAACATTTTCATTCTTGGTAAAGGTCCGGTGTCAAGTTCATAAATTGAGCATTATTTTTCTGAGAAATATCTGGGCTCTCTCGATTTTTTCAACTATAGCACATGCATTGAAAAGTAAATGAATTTTGAAAATTTGCTAACATGAAATCATTATATCAATATTTTTATTTCAACATTTCCCTAGTTTTCTATGTACCTGTATTCCATTTTTATGACTAATCACTTTGTAAATTAATGTGTAATTGTTTAAGTATCTACGCAATATAGAATAAAAAGTGATACTTCATTGATTTTCTTCTGACAAGTTCCTAATCACTGTTGGGTTTCATCACACTTCCACTGTTTCTATACATTTAAATACAAACTCACAGTAAACATACTTTTAAAAATCGTAAATAGGATCACACTATATATAAAATGCTGTGGTTCAATTGAATAAGAGACAGAAGCTTTTGCAACTCAGAAAGTTTAACCCACCTTATACTTTTTTGCAAGTGTAGTAAGTAACTCACAATACAGAGCTACCATAATGTATTGACTATCTATATTGAAAGAATATTTAAATTTTTTTCCACTTTTTTAACCATTGCATGCAATGTACAGTGCTGTAAGTGTATTTATAAGAGTATTTCTTAAGAAAAATTCCTGGCCAAATGGAAATTTTGCATTCAGTAATATGTAAATAACATATGTAGACATTTATTAATTATATTTCAGCTATCAGAATATCAGAGTATCCATTTCCTGACATTATCAACAAAACTGAATATTAATAGTATGATTCTGAACTCCTTTTGCAATATGACAAGTAAGAGATGATAGAAAGGGCCTTTTCACAAAAATGCAAGTTACGGGAAACCAGTCCTTAAGCACTGAAGTGGCAAGAAGAGACAGCAGTCAGAGGAATCTGGAGAAAGTTGCTGTAACAGTATGGAAAACATTTATATATTTTTTCTTTTCTAACATAAGCATTTAAGAATATATATTTCTCTCTATGCACTGATTTGGCTGCATTCTACAAATCTCATATTCAAACATTTTTGTTTCTTTAGGAGAAGGAGGAGGAGGTGAAAGTGGAGGAGAAAGAAGCATTTCTCTAGCAGTACTGTGCTTGGTTCTGAAGTGGCAGTGTTTTCATTTCTTTCATTCCATTTCCACCTCCCACATTTTGCAGATCTGTGTGTGTGTGTGAGAGAGAGAGAGAGAGAGAGGAGAGAGAGAGGAGAGAGAGAGAGAGAGAGAGAGAGAGAGAGAGAGAGAGACTTGTCTCAGATTGGCTGGGCCAACTCTGTGTTTCCTGTAGAAATGTTTGAACATATGAGAGAGCAAAGCAGAGTGTTTATCTTGTGAGCCATTCTCCATATTTCAGATATAAGATTTCAGTTCTCAGTGAGTCTAAGTGACAGAAGGAATGGAGACCCTCTTGGGCCTGCTTATCCTTTGGCTGCAGCTGCAATGTGAGTTAGAGGGAAATGGAAATGAGCAAAGAGCAGGCTGACTCCAGGACGTTTCTCCCAGGAAAGAGGGAGAAAGAAAGGGAGTTGTTATGCCTGTATGGTTTACTGGGAATTTCTGTGGAAATTGAAAAAATAAATTTAAAGGTAATTTCTAAGGAATCATTAGCCACTAACCAGTCTATTGCTCTTTTTCTGAACAGGGGTGAGCAGCAAACAGGAGGTGACGCAGATTCCTGCAGCTCTGAGTGTCCCAGAAGGAGAAAACTTGGTTCTCAACTGCAGTTTCACTGATAGCGCTATTTACAACCTCCAGTGGTTTAGGCAGGACCCTGGGAAAGGTCTCACATCTCTGTTGCTTATTCAGTCAAGTCAGAGAGAGCAAACAAGTGGAAGACTTAATGCCTCGCTGGATAAATCATCAGGACGTAGTACTTTATACATTGCAGCTTCTCAGCCTGGTGACTCAGCCACCTACCTCTGTGCTGTGAGGCACAGTGCACAACAGGCACCTGCAACCAATACCCAAACTCTATAGCTGGGGCTCTAACTGCATGTTTTATCTTGAGACTGAGCAATGTTTTTGCATTAAGAGGACTTCTAAATTGACACTGTCTCCACACAGAAGCAATCAAATACACAAAACTTGATGTAATAATCTGAAATTAAACTATGAATTCTCTGATCTTTAGATTTTTATCAATTTTAATATAAATAATAGTTTTATTTCAATTAATTTACATGCCATGAAGTTCAGTCTTTTAAAGTGAACAATTAAGTGTTATTTAGTGTATTCACAATGTTGTGCAGCTTTTATCTCTGTGTAGTTTCAAAAACTTTTTAACATCTCAAAAGGAAACCACATGTCCATTAAGCAGTTACCTTGCCCACCCTCCTCCCAGCCTCTGGCAGCCACCAACCTGTTTTCAGTCTCTATGGATTTTCCTATTCTGTACATTTCATATAAATGGAATAATATAGTAGGTAGTGGCCTTTGTGTATGGCTTCTCTCACATGGCATAATTTTCTGAGGTTTATTCAATGTAGGAAGGACCAGAGAAAGCTAAATATGCACATCTAACCAATGACATGCTTATATCTTCCCCATGCAAGAGCCTCCAACCAGGGCATACCTGAAGCTTTGTTAGTTTTCTTCCACTCTAAAGCTTCCCTACTCCTCTGCCTATCTTTAAGTCTCTGCCAAACACAAGGGACGGTAGCTGATTCCTTTGGTATACCAAGCTCTGAATAAATTGCCTTTGCTTTTTTCATTTAGGTGGTCTTCACTTATATCCACAGAACTATTGTAAAGACACTGAGTTTTTCTTCCCTGCCAAGTTCTCACTTCACCATAAGAGTCACTTTGCACATGAAAAATTAATGAATCACCATAAGAAATGTTAAAGCTGGAGGGCAGCTTGTCCTCCATTCAGATAGGTCATTGAAGCCTACATCAATCAGATAGTACTTCTTAGATAAGTCAGAGAGATGCATTGATGTAAAGCCCAGTTCTCAATATTTACGTGTCAAACTCTGTCCTCAATAAAAGCTCGAAACTCCAAACAGATATCTTGGCCTTCCTGGAAGATTTTCTTATCAACAAGTCCTTGTTCTCATTTATTTCTTTTACTAAATATTCAGGCTCCATATTGTGTGATGAGGAGTTTGCATTCACAACCTCTGCCATATCTGGGCTACAAAGCTGCTTTCTTTCTTGACATTACAAACCAACTCGTGGGTAAGTAATACATTCAGATATATGAGCTATAAAGGAGCTTAAATAGTGGGGGACTTCACCACCCCACTGACTATGTTAGGAAGATCATCAGGGCAGAAAACTAACAAAGAAATTCTGGACTTAGGGCCGAGCGTGGTGGCTCAAGCCTGTAATCTCAGCACTTTGGGAGGCCAAGGCGGGCGGATCATGAGATCAGGAGATTGAGACCATCCTTGCAAACATGGTGAAACCCTGTCTCTACTAAAATACAAAAAAATTAGCCAGGCGTGGTGGTGTGTGCCCGTAGTCCCAGCTACCTGGGAGGCTGAGGCAGGGGAATCACTTGAACTTGGGAGACAGAGATTGCAGTGAGCGGAGATTGCAGTGAGCCGAGATTGCGCCACTGCACTCCATCTTGGTGACAGAGTTAGACTCCATCTCAAAAAAAAAAAAGAAAAAAAGAAATTCTGCACTTAAACTTGACCAATTGGATCTGACAGAATTTTATAGAATACTTCAGTCATCAACCACAGAATATATATTCTTCTCATTGGCCATAAAGCAAGCCTCAATAAATTTTTTTAAAAATTGAAATTATACCAACCATACTCTTAGACAACAGTGAAATAAAAATGGAAATCAATACTAAGGAGATCTCTCAAAATCACATAATTACATGGAAATTAAACAACTTGCTCATGGATGATTTTAGATAAACCATGAAATTAAAGCAGACATCAAAAAATTATTTAAAATAAATGAAAACAGAGACACAACATACAAAAATCTCTGGGATGCAGCAAAATCAGTGATAAGAGGAAAGTTTATAGTGCTAAATGCCAACGTCAGAAAATAAGAACGATCTTAAATTAATAATCTAACATCATATGTAGAGAAACAAGAAAAAGGACAAACTAACTCCAAAGCTAGTAAAAGAAAAGAAATAACTAAAATCAGAGCAGAACTAAATCAAGACACAAAAATCCATACAAAGCATAAATAAAACCAAAAGTTGGTTCTTTGAAAAAAAATAATAAACAAGATGTATAGACTGCTAGCTAAATTAACTTTGAAAAAAATAATAAACAAGATGTATAGACTGCTAGCTAAATTAACAAAGAAAAAAAGAGAAGTTCCAGATAAGCACAATGAAAAATGACAAAGGCAGCATTACAAATGATACCACAGAAATAAAAAGATCCTCAGAAACTATTATAAACACTTCTATGCACATAAACTAGAAAATCTAGAGAAAGTGGTTGAATTCCTGGAAGCACACAATCTTCCAAGATTCAATCAAGAAAAAAATTGAATCAGTCATTAAGAATCTAGCAACCAAAAAAACCTCCTGGGCCAGAAGGATTCACGGCCAAATTGTACCACATGGACAAAGAAGAGCTTGTACCAATCCTGCTGAAATTATTCCAAAATATTGAGGAGGACGGACACCTTCCTAACTCATGCTATAAAGCCAGCCTCACCCTGAAACAAAAACATGGTAAAGACACAAAGAAAAAAGAAAACTACAGGCCAATATTCCTCATGAATCTAGATGTGAAAATTCTCAACAAAATACTAGCAAACCGAAACCAGTACTACTTCAAAAAGTTAATTCACCAGAATCAAATAGGTTTCATTCTTGGGATGCAAGTTTTGTTCAATATATGCAAATCAATAATATGATTCACCACATAAACATAATTAAAAACAAAAGCCATAAGATCATCTCAATAGACATGGAAAAAACTTTTGATAAAATCCAACATCCCTTCATAATAAAAACCTTTAACAAATTAGGCACTGAAGAAACATACCTCAAATTAATAACAGCCATCTATGACAAACCCACAGGCAACATCATATTGAACAGGTAAAAACTGAAAACATTCCTCTTGAGAACTGGAACAGGAAAACAGTGACCCTCTTACCACTCCTAGTCAACATAGTATTGGAAGTCCTAGCCACAGCATTCAGGCAAGAGAAAAAATAAAAGACTTTGAAGTAAGAAAAAAGGAAGTAAAAGTATCTCTCTTTACTGACAATATGATTCTATGCCTAGAAAATCCTAAAGACTCTGCCAAAAACTCTGCCAGAAGACCCCTGGAACTGATCAATCTTTCACTTCCTTGGTTAGATGGATTCCTGGGTATTTAATTTTTTTGTGGCTATGGTAAATGGTATGAGAGTGAAAGATCTCTACAAGGATAACTACAAAACACTGCTGAAAGAAATCAGAGTCAACACAAATAAATGAAAAGCCATTCCATGCTCATGAATTGAAAGAATCAATATTGTTAAAATGGCAATACTGCCAAAAGCAGTCTAGAGATTCAAAACTATCCCTATCAAACTCCCATCATTATTTTTCACATGATTAGACAAAACTATTCTAAAATTCATATGGAACCAAAAAAGAGCCCAAATTACCAAAGCAAAAAGAACAAAGACAGAGGCATCACATTACTCAACTTCAAATTACACT
Source organism: Homo sapiens (assembly GCF_000001405.40). Lineage (NCBI taxonomy): Eukaryota > Metazoa > Chordata > Mammalia > Primates > Hominidae > Homo > Homo sapiens. The sequence goes on from NC_000014.9 coordinate 22,056,763, forward strand.
ATAATGCTACAGTAACCAAAATGATAATGGTAGCAGTACAAAAACAGACAGATAGACCAACGGAACAGACTAGAGAACTGAGAAAGAAAGCCATACACCTACAATCATCTAATCCTCCACAAAGCCAAGGAAAACAAGCAATGGGGAAAGGATTCCCTATTCAATAAATAAACAGAATTAAAAACAAAAGATTTACAGTAAGACCTCAAACTATCAAAATTTCAGAATAAAACCTAGGAAATACCCTTCTTGATATCAGTCTTGGCAAAGGATTTTTGGCTTAAGTTCCCAAAAGCAATTGCAACAAAAATAAAAATTGACAAGAGGGATCTAAATAAGGAGCTTTTGCCTAGCAGAAGAAACTATCAACAGAGTAAACAGACAACCTACAGAATGTGAGATAATATTTGCACACTACACATCCAACAAAGGTCTTATATCCAGAATCTATAAGGAACTTAAACAAGTCAATAAGAACAACACAAATAACTGCATTAAAATATGGACAAAGGACAAGAACAGACACTTCTCAAAAGAAGATACAGCCAAGTGGCCGACAAATGTATGAAAACAATTCTCATCATCGCTAATCATCAGAGGAATGCAAATCAAAACCACGATGAGATACCATCTCACACCAGTCAGAATGGCTATTATTAAAAAGTCAAAAAATAACAGATGCTGGCTAGGCTATGGGAAAAAAGGAACACATACTCTGTTGATGGGGATGTAAATTAGTTCAGCCACTGTGAACAGTTTGCAGAGCAGTTTGGAAATTTCTCAAAAAACTTAACTTAAAATAGATCTACCACTCAACCCAGCAATCCCATTACTAGGTATATATCCAAAGAAAAATAAATCATTATACCAAAAAGACACATGTACTCGCATGTTCATTGCAGTGCTATTCACAATTGCAAGGACATGGAATCAACCTAGGTACCTGTCAAATGTGGATTGAATAAAGAAAATATGGCACATATACACCATGGAATACTATGCAGCGACATAAAAGAATGAGCTCGTGGCATTTGCAGCAACATGGATGCACCTAGAGGCCAAATTTCTAAGTGAATTAGTGCAGAAACAGGAAAACCAAATACCACGTTTTCTCACTTGTAAGTGGGAGCTAAGCATTGGGTACACAAGGACACAAAACTGGGAACAATAGATACTGGGGTTTCCTGACAAGGGTAGGACTGAAAAACTACCTATTGGATACTATGCTCACTACCTGAGTGACAGGATCATTCATACCCCATACCTCAGTGTCACGCAATATACCCATGTAACAGACTTGCACATAAACCCTCAAACCTAAAATAAAAGTTGAAATTGTAAAAAAATTAAAAATAAAATTGGATATAGTTATGAAAAAGGGGGCTTGACTAGTGCTACTTTAATAGCTATTATATTCCATAATATAAATGAACTTCTATTGTTAATGACAATTAATGAACTACATTGCAAGAATAAATGTGAGAGTTCACATTTGAAAGAAGTTGAAAGAAGTTACTTTCTCCTGCACATGGGGTAACAGCATCTTAGGTAGGCAAACACTTTGCTGTTGGCAATATGGCAGTGAACAGTTACAATTTAACAGGGAAGATGTATACACACAACAAAGCAATTCAAACAAATATATAATTTCAATGCATGATAAGGACAATAAATTTTAAAAATGGATATGAAAGATGATAAAATTGTGTTTACTTTGGCACGGTGGGGATTATGCTGCTGGTGGTCAGAGAAGGCCTCTCTGAGAAAATAGTTACATTGAGATATGTAGGAAAGATTGCAATAGCAAAGTTAAGGTTCCTGCTAAAAAGAGCTGCAGGCAGAGAGAACCACTTGTACGATACAGTGAACTTAATCAATAAATCTTTTGTGTGTGTTCTGACTTCTCCACCAAGTGACCGTTTGCCCCTCTCTTTCTCTCTCTGCAGGCCTTTCTATCCCCTAAGACATAACAATATTGAAAATTGGCTAACAGTGACTTCTAACTGTTCAAGGGAAAGGAAGAGTCGCATATTTCTCACATTATTTATTTTTCTTTTTGTGGAGATGGGGTCTCACTATGTTGCCCAGGCTGGTCTCAAACTCCTGGGCTCAAGCAATTCTCCTGCCTTTGCCTCCCAAACAGCTGGGATTATAGGTATGAACCACCACGATGGGACTCTCATTTTAAGTCAAAAGCTAGAAATGATTAAGCTTAGTGAGAAAAGCATGTCAAAAGCCCAATCAATAAGCTGACAGATAGACCTCTTGAACTAAACAGCCAAGTTGTGAATGCAAAGGAAAATTTATTGAAGAAAATTAAAAGTGCTACTCCAGTTAAACACATAAATGATAAGAAAGTAAAACAGCCTTACTGCTGATATGGCAAAAGTTTTAGTGTTCTGGATAAAATATCAAACCAGTTACAATATTCCCTTAAGCCAAAGCCTAACGCACAGCAAGGCCCTAACTCTCTTCAATTCTGTGAAGCCTGATAGAGGTGAGGAAGCTGCCAAAGGAAAGTTTGAAGCTACAAGAGGTTGTTTCCTGAGGTTTAAGAAATGAAGTCATCATCATGACATAAAAGTGCAAGGCGAAGCAGGAAGTGCTGATGTAGAAGCTGCAGCGAGTTTCCAGAAGATCTAACTAAGACCACTGATGAAGGTGGCTACACTAAACAACAGATTTTCATTGTAGACAAAACAGCTTTCTATTGGAAGAAGATGCCACGTAGGACTTTCATAGCTAGAGAGAGGAAGTCAATGCCTGACTTCAAAACTTCAAAGGACAGGCTGATTCTCTTGTTAGGTGCTAATGCAGCTGATGACTTTAAGTTAAAGCCAATGCTCATTTACCATTCTGAAAATTCTAGGGCCCTTAAGAATTATGCTAAGTGTACTCTGCCTGTGCTCTATAAATGGAACAACAAAACCTGGATGACAGCACATCTGTTTATAGCATGTTTTACTGAATATTTTAAGCCCAATGTTGAGATCTACTGCTCAGGAAAAAAAAGGTTCCTTTCAAAATAGTACTGCTGATTAACAATGCACTTGGTCACCCAAGAGTTCTGATGGAGATGTACAAGGGGATTAATGTTTTCTTGCCTGTGAATGTAACATCCATTCTGCAGCCCATGGATCAAGGAATAATTTTGGCTTTCAAGTCTTACTATTTAAGAAATACATTTTACAAGGCCATAACTGCCATAGATAGTAATTCCTCTGATGGTCTCAGCAAAGTAAATTGAAAATCTTCTACATGATACCATTAAGAACATTTGTAACTCATGGAAGTAGGTCAAAATATCAAGATTAACAAGATTTTGGAAGAAAGTGATTCCAACACTCGATGACTTTGAAAGGTTCAAGACTTCAGTGGAGTAAGTAACTGCAGGAGTAAATACTTTAGTGGAATAAGTAACTGAGATAATTTTGAAATGATATTGATGGTTCTTGTATATTTTAACTATCTAGGACACTGCTGTAGAAAGCTTTTAAGAATGGGAGGGAAATCATGGGTTTGGCATGGTTAAGTTGTTTTCTTTCCTGGAGGCAGTAAACGAGTTGAAAGGCTCTTGAGGTGCCCTCTGGAGCTCAGAATTTTTAAATGCCAGTTTTAAAAGATCCAAATGATTATCAAAATATAGTGGTAGATAGCAGGAGAACTAGAATTAGAAGTGGAACCTGAAGATGTGATTGAATTGCTTCAATCTCATGATAAAACTAACAAATAAGGAGTTTCTTTTTATGGGTGAGCAAACAAAGTAGTTTCTTGAGATGGAATCTATTCCTGGTGAAGATGCTGTGAACATCGTTAAGATAACAACAAAGGATTTAGAATATTTTATAAACTTAGTTGATAAACCCATAGCAGGGTTTTAGAGGCTTGACACAGATTTTGAAAGAAGTTCTACTATGGGTAAAATGCCATCAAACAGTATTGCAGGTTACAGAGAAATCTTTCATGAAAGGAAGTATTAATTGACGCAGCAAACTGCATTGTTGTCTTATTTTAAGAAATTGCTATAGTCACCCCAACCTTCAGCAATCACATCCTGATCAGTCAGCATCCATCAACATCAAGGCAAGACCCTCCACCAACAAAAAGATTATGACTTGCTGAAGAATCAGATGATCGTTAGCATTTTTTAGTAATAAAGTACATTTTAATTAATGTATGTACATTGTTTTTCACAGTGCTATTATTGTCCACTTAATAGACTACGGTGTAGTGTAAACATAGTTTTTATAAGCACTGAGAAACCAAAAAGTTTGCATGACTCACCTTATTATGGTGGTCTATAATCAGCAATATTTCAGAGGTATGACTGTATTTGACTTTGCCATCAACTCAATGACTTACACTCCAGAAATTGTTATTAGCAGAAGCATACCAAAGGTCAGGCAATGGGAGTGGTTTGTCCCAGTTGCAGGTAATAACAGGGTGCTTTATAGAGAGCTTTTTAAAAACAATATAAAAATGATTAATAGCCAATCTGATTTTTATTACCGTATGCCAGGAATTCTAAACAATGTCAATGATAAAAAATATTTTTTGACCTAAGTTCTAAACAAATGCAGAGGTTACTATTTATTTTAATAATAAATGTATGCTTCAAATTATCACATTTTTATTTCTTATCATGTAATAAACAGTTTTCTACATGGAAGTTATTTTGGAGAATTCTCAGTTTTGCAGCTGTCTTCAACACACATGGATTGTAATACAGCGATTTTCCATGTACCTTTTATCCAGTTTCCTCTAATAATATATTATCTTTGATATGTTGTATATATATCAAAACAATGATATAATTACAGCCAGAATATGGATGTCGATATAGTCAAGATACAGAACATTTCCATCTCTACAAGCATCCTCATGTTTCCCTTTTATTAGCAATAGCAACTTCCATTATGCCACCATCTACTATTTAACCCCTGGCAACCACTAATTTGTTCTCCATTTCCATAATTTTATCAAGAATGCTATATAAATGGAATCATTCAGGATATTTATGAACATGAATATTTTTCACTCTGCATAATTATCTGGAGATTCATACAGGTCGTTGTATATATTAATGTTTCATTCCTTTTCATTGCTGAGTAGAATTTCATAGCATGGATATGCCAGTTTGTGTAAACATTCACTTAATGAAGGACATTTGGGTTGTTTCCAGTTTTGAGCTATTATGATTAAAGCTTCTATAAGTGTTCATGTTCAGGTTTTTGTATGAAGGTGAGTCTTCGTACTCTGGAATATATACCAAGTAGTACAATTACTGAGACATGGAGTAAGTGTATGTTTAGTTTTATAAGAAATCGCCAAAGTATTTTCTAGGTTGCTGTACTGTCTTGCATTCCCACCAGCAGTGTTTGAGTAATCTAATTTCTCCACATTTCTGCTAGCATTTTGTGTTGTCATTGGTTAATACTTCAGCAACTCTAAGAGGTATGGAGAAATCATTGTAGTTTTACTTTGCATATTTCTAATAGCCAGTGATGTTAAACATTTTTGGTTTTTCTTTCTTTTTTAAATTAACTAAAGCCCACACTTTATTCCTATTTCCTTTGTTTTTGCCAAATGTCCTTTTTATGTCTGCAGGGTCTGTAATAACACTCCCTGTTTCATTCCTAATATTAGTAATTTGCCTTTTTTTTCTTTGTTTTACTACAAGTTTGTCAGTTTTACCCATCTTTTTAAAAACGGCTGTTTAATTTTTGTTTCTGTTTTCAGTTCTATTGATTTCTGCTTTTATCTTGATTAATTCCTTCCTTAAATTTGCTTTGGATTAATTTTTTCCTTCTTTTTCTTGGTTCTTGAGGTGGGAACTTAGATTTTTGTTTGGATACTTTTTTCATTTTTAATATTTGCATTTAGGGATATACATTTTCTCTCAATGCTGCTTTGACTATGTCCTACAAATTTTGGCATGTTGTATTTTCATTTCCACTCGGTTCAGTGTATGATTGATTTCCCTTGAGCTTCTTTGATCCTTGGATTATTAGGATGTATGTTGTTTAATTTTCAAATATTTGGAGATTTTTCTGCTCTCTTTCTGATATTTACTTATAGTTGTATTCTATTGTGGTTATAAAACATAGTCTTTATTGTTTCAATTCTTTTACATTTAATTTTTTGAGGTTTGTCTTGTGGCCTAAGATATGGCATACTTGGTATACGTTCTACAGGCATTTGAAAAGATTGTTTATTCTGCCATTGGTAGGTGCCATGTTCTAGAAATGGCTATTAGATCCTGTTGGCTAGCAGAGTTGTTGAGTTCGTCTATGTCCTTGCTAATTTTCTGGCAAGCTCTTCTATTAGTTATTGAGAGTGGGGTGTTGAAGTTTCCAACTATAATTCTAGAATCATCGGTTTCTTCTTTCATTACTATGAGTTTTTCTTCCATGTATTTTTCAGCTCTTTTGGTTGGTGTATACACATTTAGCATTGCTATTCCTTCTTGAAAGACTGACCCTTTCAACAATATATAATGTTCCTTTCTGTCTCTTCTGTCTCTGGTACTTTGCTTTGCTCAGAAGTCTACTTTACCTGATATCGATATAATTATTTTGACTTTCCTTTGATTAATGTTTGCACGATATATATTTTACTTTCTTTCTTTCTTTCTTTTTTTTTTTTTTTTTTGAGACGGAGTCTTGCTCAGTCGCCCAGGCTGGAGTGCAGTGGCGCAATCTTGGCTCACTGCAGGCTCCGCCTCCCGGGTTCACGCCATTTTCCTGCCTCAGCCTCCCAAGTAGCTGGGACTACAGGCGTCCGCGACCACGCCCGGCTAATTTTTTGTATTTTTAGTAGAGACGGGGTTTCACCGTGTTAGCTAGGATGGTCTCAATCTCCTAACCTCATGATCCACCAGCCTTGGCCTCCCAAAGTGATGGGATTACAGGCGTGAGCCACCGCACCTGGCCTATATTTTACTTTCAACATGCCTATGTCATTAAGTTAGAAATGAGGTCTTCGTAGACAGCTGTAGTTGGATCATATTTCCACTCTTTTCACTTTCTCTGTATTTTAACTCTCTTTTCATTGCTGTTTGTAGACCAATCTCTGTATCTTAATTGGTATATGTACATCATTTGCATTTAATGTAATGTATATTTTAGTGATTAATCTTCCATTTAATTTTGTTTGTTCTGTTTTTTGTTTCCCTGTGTTTTATCTCCTAACTTCTTGTGAATTATTTGACATTTTCTAAAATTCCATTCAATTTACCTATAATGCCTTGGATGTGTATTTTTGTGTAGCTTTCTTCAGTGTTTGCTCTAATGGCTATTATAAATAGATAACACAGTTGTCTATTGGTGATGTCATTCCACCAATTTAAATGAAGTATAAAAACATTGTCTCCCTTTACATTCAGTTGTCCTCACCAATTCATGATACAGTTTTCTTTATGTTTTCCCCAATATATATTTAGAACCTCATCAGACAGTGTTATTATTTTTGCTTGATCCATCAACCATAACTGTGAATTAAAAAAATTGATCAAACATGTTTGGAGTAAAGACTTCATTATCTTATTTTCTCTATATAGGAAATATTACAAATTTATTGTCATATGAAGTCAATTAAGAAGTATGGAACCAAAAAATATAAAAACAAAAAATCTTAATTCTGGCAAGGACGTGGAGAAAAGGGAACTCTTGTACACTGTTAGTAGGAGTGTAAATTAGTATAACCACTATGGAGAACAGTATGGAGTTTCCTCAAAAAACTAAAACCTGAGCTACCATAAGATCCAGCAATTCCACTGCTGGGTATATATCCAGAAGAAAGGAAATCAGTATATTGAAGAGGTATCCGCACTCCTGTTTGTTGCAGCACTGTTTACAACAGCTAAGATTTGGAAGCAATCTAAGTGTCCATCAATACATGAATGAATAAATAAAATGTGGTACATATACACAATGGAGTATTATTCAGCCATAAAAAACAATGAGATCCTGTCATTTGCAAGAACATAGACAGAATTGGAGCTCATTATGTTAAGTGACATAAGCCAGGCACAGAAAGACAAACATTGCATGTTCTCATTTATTTGTGGGATCTGAAAATCAAAACAATTGAACTCATGGACATAGAGAGTAGAAGGATGGTTACCAGAGGCTGGGAAGAGTAGTGAGGGAATGAGGGGGGAGGTGGGGATGGTTAATGAGTACAAAAATATAGAAAGAATGAGTAAGACCTACTATTTGATAGCACAACAGGGTGACTATAGTCAAAAGTAATTTAATTGTGAATTTTGAAATAATGTACAGTTAAACTAAGAGTGTAATTGGATTGTTTGTAACACAAAGGACAAGTGCTTAAGGAGATGAATACCCCATTCTCCATGATGTGATTATTTCACATTGCATGCCTGTATCAAAACGACTCGTGTACCCCTAAAATATATACAACTACTATGTACCCACAAAAATTGAAAATTTAAAAATAAAGTATTATAGAAGTGTGTCAGATAAACAAGGAAATATGTAAATTTCTGAATTCTGTATTTATGGTATTCGTGTTTTAAAATTTATAGTTTGTTGTGATTTTCTGACCTAAAATTATTTTTGTACCCAGTTTTATTCTTATTTTTATGTTATTCTTTTTAAAATCCTCCATCTTGTAAGTTTCAGGCTTACAAACATAAATCCTCCTTTGTACATTATCATAAATCTTTGAAATTCAACACTAGAAGGGCAGGAAGGATGTGGAGGAAGTTCACAAAAATTGTGAATTTCTCTTAGCCCTCTATTTGGCCCCTGGAGGGTGTTGTTGCCTAAATTGGAAATGGCTTTTCTTTAAAAGATTAGAATAAGCTCCTTCCTTCTCTACAGGTTAAAGAGGTGTCCTTTCTGACTGAGCATTCTTTTAGACAGCGATGTATAAAGAATCTCAGACACCAGAGGCAGGCAAGTTTGTCAAGAGAGCATCTCTTACTAGCAGTTTCTACAAGATCCCTAAGAAGAAGAAATCTAAATCCCTGCCATTTCTCCTTAGTTTCAACCTGGATTCAAGTTACCCCGTGGTCAGATTGTGTCTGTGGGGAATCTCCTGGAAAGGTGCATGCTGCTCCCTCAGTGCTTGGCTAGATCTCATTGTGTGTCTTGACGCTTGGGGTACTCCTGTTCCCAAGTGGGTATCATTCCATTTTACTCTCTTGTCCACAAATGGAGCATTGTCTATTTGACTCTGAATACGGACTTTTTGTGTTAGCTGAGTTCACTGACATAGCATTGGCATTGTAGGAAAAACCACTGCCCATTCTGTGACTCAGCCTGACGTTCATGTCGCTGTCTCTGAAGGAGCCCCTCTGGAGCTGAGGTGTAACTATTATTGATCTTCTGTTCCAACATATATTTTCTGATATGTGCAATACCTCAGCCAAGGACTCCAGCTTCTCCTGAAGTACCTATCAGGATATAGGGTTCTTTCAGGAATTAACGGTTTTGAGGCTGAATTTAAGAAGAATGAAAACTGCTTCCTCCTGAGGAAACCCTCAGCCTATTGGAACGACACGCTGAGTACTTCTGTGCTGAGTCCCGCATTGCCCAGGACTGTAGTGGGGGCTACATAAAAACTACCTGAGACACATAGCTTAAACAACTAAGGATCTCAGCCTCAGTTATTTTCAGGAAGTTGACGTGTTCTGTGAAAGCAAACAGTACAAAGAAAGTAGAATCCTGTCTAGCATTTAGTTCCTATGGACATCTTAGATTTCTTTAATTTATTTTCTTATTTGCCATTTTGCAAAGGAAAGAGCTTGTACCTGATTCTAGAAGAAATTAGACTATAGGATTTGTAACAAGCAGGAGGAGGTGATTTGCACCAAGGTATTTCAGATAGTGATGGACTGGGATGACTTAAGGTTGGCCATGTGGATTGGTATAAGGCAAATCAATTTGCTTTTAGTTATTAATCTCATCTCTCAAACAATCAGAAACCCAGAATGAGTGTTTATTTCAAGCTGCATTATCTACAGATTATTTTACCCAGTATCCTGACTTCAGTGAGCTACAGTCCTTTGAGGAAAGAAGCCTCTTCAAAGGACTTCAGCTCACTGATGAAAGTATTTGAGACTGGGAGACTTAATTAAAGCTGACATTTAAGGATGTGTGCAAGGCAATCTTTCCAAAGACAATATAAAAGGGAAAAAAAAGGCTTTATTTTTTTAATCTGGTGGTCCCCAGCGAAAGGCAGTCTAAATTAAACACAACATCATGGCAGAGTTCCATGTGGAATCTTGGGGTTGGTTGTTCTATGGATGACCTACCCTTTATCAGTTCTACCCAGATTACCTCTCTCTGTTTTTCTCCCTTTCAATTCAATTTCCCTAATACTTGCTGAGTGTCCAATAACTATTGTTGATTCCTTAACCATATTTAATTATTTCTCTACACCATTCCTCATAGTGCCAATAGTAACTATTTGCAACGTTCTTGAGCAGTTAATCCAATGTTGTGCCTGCAGAACTTTTATTTCTACTTCAGTAAAAATATAGGTGTTCTTATTTTTCACCCCCTTTACCTCCAAATCCATTTCCAGATTATTATTATTTATGGAGTCTGGGGCAAAAGCAAAAACAAATTATTTTCATAACTTTTAAAAACAGCTAATTTTCTTTTAAACCATTAGAATAATCTAGTAAACCTAAAAAGCAAAATATAAATAATAATTAACAATGAATAGCTTTAATAAAATATATTTAAATAAAATTAGAATTTATTTGTTTTTAAGTTTAATTCGATCACAGTATTTAAAATAAATGCTAGTTTCAACATTCATCTAGTATATAAAGAAGCTAATCAGTGTCACTCTTTATGCAGATTCAATCTAGGATAAAATATATGCAATTTAAAACTAATGTTGTTGAATATTACAAAGTGTTCCAGCCATCATGAGCAACTATAGTGAATACTATGCTGATTCATGAGTACCCTGAAGAACCACAAATGAGTACATAAGAGATGCAAGAAAATAGATCCTCAGCACCCTCGGGAAACAGTATTTCTTTTTGTAAGAATCTATTGCCTCCGTGCTGAGAGGAAAGATGGGGCTAGCTAATTAATTTTTTCCTTCCCTTCCTTGAAACCCCTCCACCCTTGGCCCCAATTCCAAATCAGAGTCATATGAAGTCAATTAAGAAGTATGGAACCAAAAAATATAAAAACAAAAAGTGTTAATGCTGGCAAGGACATGGACAAAAGGGAACCCTTGTACACTGTTGGTAGGAGTGTAAATTAGTATAGCCACTATGAAGAACAGTATGGAGGTTCTTCCAAAACCTAAAACCTGAGCTACTATAAGATCATATTTACTTATTTTTCTACACCATTCCTCACAGTGCCAATAGTAACTATTTGGAACGTTCTTGAGCAGTTAATCCAATGTTGTGCCTGCAGAACTTTAATTTCTACTTCAGTGAAAATATAGGTGTTCTCATTTTTCATCCCCTTTACCTCCAAATCCATCTACAGATAATTATTATTATTGATGGAGTCTGGGGGAAAAGCATAAACAAATTATTTTCGTATAAACAGAGTCTGCCTCCTATGGCAGCAGTGGCACAACCCACAAATATTTCTAATATTTGAAAAGGACAAAGGTCAAGGTATGTGAAGAAGTATTTTTCTCAAATCTGAAAAATTGTGTTAGTGGTTTTTTAGGTTACAGATTGTGCCCGGTCCTGAGTGACAGAGACAGTCCGTGTTCTTCAGTACATTTGCGTGTGTGTGTGTGTCTGTGTGATTGAGTGGCCCTGTAAAATATGAGGCTCTGGGCAGGGCTCTTGCCTGAGTCTAAGGGTCATACTGTCCACAACCTTGCTCATCTTCTGTCCTTCTTGTATTTAAAACAAAGGGTCACTTTTCAAAGTTTGCCATCTTTGCTTTTGTTACTCTCCAGTCTCGTCACCTCCACAGAAGGCATGTAGCATCACATCCCCCATCAAGTCACATCCTGTAATAGAAGTTTGACATAATTGTTACTGTCTTGGTGCTCATGTGGTGTTTAAGGATGCTTTTTAAAAATGATATCCTGTAAACCTTTATTACATTCAGAGAGATGTTTGTCTCCTCACTATATCACAAGCTCTCTGAAGGAAAAACCGTATCCAATTCATTTTTTTTTTTAATTTCCAAGGTCTCAAACACTCTTAAATATATTGACTTAACTATAACTGAATCAAATTGGTGAGCTCATATTTTTTCAGTTCATACGTATGAATTAAATGGATGTTCTAATTACATAAAATTACATTTAAAGTATTTATCTTCATAAAAGCCACCGTGGGGTCTCATGGCCCTATTTATGGTACTCTCCATTCTGTGGACACTTCTGTTGTTTCATGTCAACCCACAGGTACAGCCCTAGGAAAAGACAGCTGGGCTGAGCTGTCCATATATGCTGAGGAAGATGTAGTCTTTCTCAAGGTTTAGCACGTCAGGAGGCATATAGGCTTCTCTTAAATTGAGGGACGGCTCTGAAGGATCTAGTAGTGAATAGTTGTTGAAAGATTTGAGAAATATATTGAGTATAAGGATGAGGGCCAGTAAGAGTAAAGAGGGAAGAATAATTATGTGCAAGGACAAACTAAATCATTATCAGCACATAAGAAACATATTTTTGCTGAGTATTCTTTTCAATTGTAGCTCTGTCCTCTAAAACAAGATAAATGACATATGAATATTCAAGTTCTAGGTTATATTTGAAATGCATATATATATACCTATATTTAAATTTTTGTCTTTATATTATTATCTTTATCTGTATCTATCAGAAAATCCTGGATCAAACAGAATCATATACAGCAAAAGGGAAAGTGGAGAATTCCAAAGAAGGGAATTCGGATTTTAAAAAATTTTTATTTCCTAAGATTTCCTAAGAAAAAAATATGAACTTTTATTTCACAGGTCCAAAATTATTTCTAAACTGTTGAAAGCCATCTTTTCTTTAGTATTCTTCTGTCCCTTTCATGTAACTAGAACCCCCTACCCTCAACCAAAAATAAATAAATAAATAGATAAATAAATAAGTAAATAAATAAAAGAGAGAGAGAGAAAAGGAAGAACATGGAAACAGAAGGTAATGATAGGAGAAAGTGGAAGGAAAAAAGGAAGACAGAAAAAAAAAGAAAAAAGATTTACTGGACTGTAAGATAAGCTATAAAGGAAGTTTGTATAAAATAAGAATTAGAAAAATAAAACATATTGCCCATCCAGGGTAATACGTAGAAAAAAATTTGAATTGATCTTATTTTTTCTCTCACAATTTACAGTCTTACTAGGGTCATTTCTTATAACAATATTTACCACAATTCTTGATTATTTCAGAGGAGTCCTAATCCACACTTTTCATATATTCTAATAATAAAAATTATTACATATATAATACATAACATGTATGTTCTTATTACTTTACATGACTGGAATGACTTTCACCTAAATTGGCTAATAAAGACCTTCTTGTCAGAACACATTCTTGTTTTGGGGGTTTAAAATGTGGACACTCATTCTGTGATCCTCTCCAGGCTCGAATTAGTATTACAGTTGAGGCACGTTGTCCTCCCGAGGAGGCCCCTCCCTTTCCTTCTCACAGGATCTTTCACATTCTTTACTATATCCAGAATTATTAGAAAACATCCCTCAGGTTACGGAATAATGACCTTTCTTTTTCCCTTCCACTCCACCCCTTTCCACCCCGGCTCTCAGCCAGGTTTAAGTCGGCGGGTGGGGCTTCCTGTCACAGAACGCTGTTTAAAAACTCAGTAGCATCTGGGCGTGAGCAGGCTTTGTCGGGTGGAGCTGATTGGTTGCAGGAGCAGCAACAGTTCCAGAGCCAAGTCATGACACCGACCTCCCCAAGGTTTAGTTAAATATATCTTATGGTGAAAATGCCCGGAGCAAGAAGGCAAAGCATCATGAAGAGGATATTGGGAGCTCTGCTGGGGCTCTTGAGTGCCCAGGTTTGCTGTGAGTTGGGGCTGTCCAAGGTGGGAATCTGAAAGGATTTAGCAGCTGCAGCCTTGTTGAGGGGAGGAAGGGCAAGGAGTTAAAAAGTCATGCAGTCTTTCTATTCACACAACCTGTGGGGGCATTTTCAGGATTCTTCAGATGTTAAACTGCCCATCACCTATGACTTTTTCTCCATTTCTGACCAGGTGTGAGAGGAATACAAGTGGAGCAGAGTCCTCCAGACCTGATTCTCCAGGAGGGAGCCAATTCCACGCTGCGGTGCAATTTTTCTGACTCTGTGAACAATTTGCAGTGGTTTCATCAAAACCCTTGGGGACAGCTCATCAACCTGTTTTACATTCCCTCAGGGACAAAACAGAATGGAAGATTAAGCGCCACGACTGTCGCTACGGAACGCTACAGCTTATTGTACATTTCCTCTTCCCAGACCACAGACTCAGGCGTTTATTTCTGTGCTGTGGAGCCACAGTGCTCCCCAGGCACCTGCGGCCTGTACACAAACCCTCATCCGGGCTCGGTTCCTCTACCAGTAACAACCACATCACGAGGCCACCGCAGCAGCATTTTGCACAGCTTAATATTCCTTTTGTACATAGGTAGAGTTTTAACCGTAGATTCTTTTTGGCTCTACAGGTTTGAGACTTTGGTCTTTATTTTCCCTTTTCAATACACACCTCCTCCTACCCTATAAATATCTAACTTGGAAGGAGTAGAGTAGCTGATAAGAGGACAGAATCAAAATAAATATTTAAGTGACAGTATGCAGGACTCCAAAAGGGTAAAAAGTAAAAAGAATAAAAAGAAAAGAAACACCATTCCAATAAGCATGTTGTTAGACATTAGTTAGACAGTGATCCAGCTTAGTTGTGTGTCTCAAGCACATTCAGGTCTACCTCACCACATTATGTACCAACAGACAAGGGCAAATATTTGCATACTATCCCACTAGTGCAGCAAAGTAAAATTTCTTTAAATATTCACATATTGATAAATAGCTGTGGAGAAAAAACTTTAAAATGTTATGTTCCCATATGTGTTTTTCAGGCTTGTTGTATAACCTAGAATATGATCTATCCTGGAAAATATAACCATGCATGATTGAGAAGAATGTGTAATCTGATCTTGGGTAGATAGATGTCTGTTAGGTCTACCTGGCTTTTGTGTTGTTCAAGTCTTCTATTTCCTTGTTGGTATTCTATTTGTCCTATCTATTATTGAAAGTGAGGTATTGAGTCTTCACCTGTTATTCTTGAATTTTCTGTTTTTCCCTTCAATTCTGTCAGTTTTTGTGCATCATGTATTTTGGGATATGTCATTAGGTGCATATATGTTTATAACTGATATATTCTTAATGGATGCCCTTTTATCATTATAAAATTTCCCTTTTTATCTCTAGTAACATTTTTTGGTTTAAAGTATACTTTGTCTAATAATAATGTAGTGACTCCAGTCATATCTTTTCCTATCCTTTTACTTTCAACTTATTTGTATCTTTGTATCTAAAGTGTGTCTCTGACAGTGTATAGTTGTGTGTGTGTGTGTGTGTGTGTGTGTGTGTAGCCATTCTGATAATCTCTACTTTTTGATTGGATTGTTTAATCCATTAACATTTAATGTTATCATTGATATAGATTATATCTGGCATTTTAATTTTATTTTCTTTCTGTCTTATGTCTTTTTTGTTCCTCTGTACCTCCTTAACTGCTTTCCTTTGCATTAGGTGAATATTTTATAGTATAATATTTTCATTCCTTTATTTTTTTCACTATGCTTTTTCAATTATTTTCTTGGTGGATGTTTTAGTACTTACAATATATATACATCTAAACTTGTCAGAATTCACTTCAGACTTTATGCTAACTTAACTCCAATGGGATTTTCAGATGTCACTTCTATATAGGTCTATTTCTTATTCCCTTTATTATTGTTATTCACATTATATGTATATATGTTACAAACAATAGGTTATTATAATTTTTATATAATTTTATAATTATTTCTTTATATAATCTTATGTTTTATAAGCTGAGAAGGAAAAAAGGAAAGCAAATATATATTGAAGTGTTTGTTGTTAACCTTCTTACTTATCATTTCTGGGTCTCTTCATTTGTTCCTGTGCACTTAATCATAGCCAAAAGGTCAAGAAGTGATCATTTGTTCCTGTGGATTCAAGTTGCCATCTGGTGTCACTGTCTTACTCCAATATAGTTTTGCAATCTGCCTTCCTCCTTTATTCTTTTATTATCAAATATGTTACATTCCTGTAAGTCCAATAATATAATTATATATGTATTGTTTTATACAGTAGTTATTTAAATCAGTTAATAGTAGAAAGGGGATAAATATGCAGTCACACTATCTTTTTAGTAAGTGTGTGGATGCAAATTACTGTTTGAAGTCCCTTGCTCCCAGCCTGAAGATCTTCCTTTATTATTGCTTGAAGGTGAGTCTGCTTGCAATAAATTCTCTCAGTTTGTATTTATCTAGGAATGTCTTTATTTTACCTTCATGTCTGAAAGATACTTTTGCTGAATATAGGATCTTCATTGATGGTATATTTCTTTCAGCACTTTGAATATATCTTCCCACTGCCTTCTAGCTCTGTTGTTTTTGTTGAGAAGTCAGCTGTTAATTTTATTGAGTTTCTCTCATAAATATTTGATTTTCTCTTTCTACTTTGAAGATTCTATTTGTCTTTTAACATTTTTGCTATGATGTGTCTGAGTGTGGATCTCTTTGCATTCATTTTACTTAGAGTTCACTGAGCTTCTTAGATGAGTAGATTAATGCTTTTTTGAATCTGGGAATTCTCAGCCATTGTTTCTTCAAATTTTTTTGTTCCTTTTTCTTCCTTTCCTTTTTCTGGTACTCTCACTATGCGTATATTGGTGTGCTTAATGATGTACCACGTTTCTCTGAGTCCCTGTTTATTTTTCTTTATTCTTTTTTCTGTCTGTTTTTCAGATTGCATAATCTCTGTAGATGTATCTTTAAGTTCACTGATTCCTTGTTCAGGGAGCCCGAACCTACTGTTTGACCCTCCAGTCAATTTTTTTATTTGGTTATTGCACTTTCCCAACTCTAGAATTTCTATTTTGTTCCTTTCATAAAAAAATAATTTTTACCACTTTATAGATATTCTCTGGCTGATAAGAAGTCATCATCATATCTTTTTTACTTCCCTCAGCATGGTTTTATTTCTTTGAGCATACTTAAAACAGCTATTTTGAAATTTTTGTCTGTGAAATCCAACATCTAAGTCATAGAAAAGGAAGTTGCCATTACCCAATTTATTTCTCTTGTGTAAGAATCACACTTTCCTGTTTGGGGTATATCTTATAATTTTTTGTTTTAAACTAGACATTTTAGATAACATATTATATTAGTTTTCTATGGCTGCTCTTATGGGTTGAATTGTGTTTCTCAAAATTCAAGATGAAATCCTAACTCCCAGTACCTCAGAATGTGACCTTATTTGAAAATAGGGTCATTGCAGATGTAATTAGTTAAGATAAAGTCATAAGAATGGACCCTAATTGTGATGGTTAATGTTAGGTGTTATGTTGATTGGACTGAAGGATGCCTGGATAACTGGTAGAGCATTGTTTCTGGGTGTGTCTGTGATGGTGTTGCCAGAGGAGATTGACATTTCAGTCAGTGAACTGGGAGAGGAAGACCCACACTCTTTGTGGGTGGGCACCATCCAATAGGCTGCGCAGCTACAACAAAGCAGGTGAAAGAAGGTGGGAGGCTTCTGGCTGCCTACTTTCTCCCATACTGGAGGCTTCCTTCTGCTTCTCTTGTCCTTGCGTTCCTGGACCAAACTGAGGTTTGGGCTGCTATTTTTTTACAGACAAATAACGAGATGCAGATGAACTGGGGAGGAAGAGAGTTTTTATTTCTGTAGTCAGTTACAGGGACATGGCCCGGAAATTATTGCCAGACTAACTCAAAATTACAAAGTTTTTTCAGAGTTTTATATACCTTCTAAGTTATATGTCTACATGTAAGTGTGCATTCATTTAAAGACATAAATGATTAACTTCTTTTAATTTATAACTAAGGTCTGAGTCCTGAAGACCTTCTTCTAGAGTCTCAGTAAGTTTATTTAACCTAAATGGGTTTAGGTGCTGGGGTGATTAGCCTTATCTGGTCTTCTGCCAAATCACAGAGGTTTGGGGAGTTCCTTCAGACCTCCAATAAATGTGTTTGTGGAGGCCTAGCGAGTTTCTTCAGACCCCCTATAAAACTTGTTTAATCCTAAAGAGGCCCTGTTAAGAATTACTCCTTTATTTTGTCATGCTTAAAAGCCCAGGAAAGTCCCAGGCAAAACTCTTGGTGGGCTTTTGCTACATTCCAGCCTTTGTATAAGGGCACTGGCTTTTAATATTTATCTTAACCACTCAGTCAGTACCGAAACAGTTGTTATGGAGTCCTGCCACACTTGGACATCAGACTCCAGGTTCTTTGGCCTGTGGACTCTGGGACTTGCACCAGTGGCTTGCAGGTGGCTCTCATGCCCTTGGCCGTAGACAGAATGCTTCACTGCTGGCTTCTTTGGTTTGAGGCTTTCGAGCTTGGACTGAACCACTACCAGCTTCTCTTTTCCCCAGCTTGCAGATGGCCTATCATGGGACTTGGCCTTGTAACTGTGTGAGCCAATTCTCCATAATAAATAAATAAATAAATAAAGTTTATTAGGGAGAATTGGCACACACAATTACAAGGCCAGGTTTTATATATATATATGTGTGTGTGTGTGTGTGTGTGTGTGTGTGTATGTACATACATGTATACACACACATACACACACACACACACATACACATATATCCTATTAGTTCTGGAGAACCCTGACCAATACACTAATCTAATATGACTGGTGTCCTCATAAAAAGTGAAAGTTTGGAAACACACACACACAGAGGGAGAATACCATTTAAAGATGAAGGCAGAGATCAGGGTGGTACTCCAACAAGCCAAAGAATGCTAAAGATTGCCAGAAAACCACGAGAAGCTGGGCAAGAGGAATGGAGTAGATTCTCGTAGCCCTCACAGGGAGTCTCTCAGACTTCCATTCTCCAGAAATGTGAAACAGTAAGTTCCTATTGTTTAAGTCACCTAGCTTGTGGTACTTTGTTATAGCTCTAGCAAACTAATAAAGCTGCTATAACAAATTACTGCAAATTTGGTAGCTTAAAACCAAACAAATTTATTCTGTTACAGTTCTGGAAGCAAGAATCTGAAACCAGTTTTACAGGGCTACAGTCAAAGTGTTGGCAGGGCTGATTTCTTCTGGAGGCTCTCAGGGAGAATCTGCTTCCTGGCCTTTTCCAGCTTCTGCTGTCCACCTGAATTCATGGCTCATGCTCTTTTTTGAATCACTCTAAACTTTTGCTTCCATCATCACATCTCCTTTCTCTTCTGGAGCCACATCTTCCCCTGTTTCCCTCTTATAAGAGCACTTGTGATTATATTTAGGGTCCACTCAAATAATCCAAAATATTTTTCCCATCTCAAGATCCTTAATAATGTATTCAAAGACATTTTTGCCATATAAGGTACCATTTGCAGGTACCAGGCATTAGGGCTTGGTTATCTTTGGGGATGATAATCCAGGCTATCACATATAGTGACTCTGGATATTGTGTCTCTACCCCATCCAGGGCTTGTTGTTATTTGCTTGTTTATTTATTGTAACAACTTTACTTGACTATTTCAGTTAAGTCCATTTTCCTGCAGGGTGCAGCCTATGATGTTATTCCTCAGAGGACAGTCTTTGGTATGTGCACAGACATCTTGATATGACGGTGGTTTCAGCAGTGTTTTCTTTAACTGTCTTTCTTCCTGATTTTTCTGTTAAACTACCTGCATCTGTTTGTATCACACTTAGCCATGAGCCTCCACACTTATCCATAGTCTGGTTCAATTAAATTCAGGCCCCTTTGCAGAGGTAATCTTTGAGGTCAATCTTTGAAGCTTCTTATAACCTCAGGAGGACTCTTCCCAGCTGTCTTTATTCCCGGTTCTCTCTATTAGATTTTTAGCTAGTCATCTGTGGTTTAGTTTGTTGCTCTCGTGGAGCTACCAGCCTCCTCTTAATTGCTTACCACAAAAATCTTCATTCATTTCCACTGTACCCTTAAGGCTTGGACTTCCTGAAGCTCTGTTCCAAATAGAGTCTTCCTAGTGGAGAGCTCTCTGTTCTTATAACTCCTCCTCTCCCTGGGCACAACTTCTGTGCCCCTGCTCTGGAGCAATGTGAGAAGAGACATTGCTTTTCTTTCCTCAGAGTGATAACCCTACTTTAGGAGCAAGGTGCTTGATGGGGGCAGTATCCCATGGTCTTCTTGTTTGCCTCCCCCGGTATGAAACCTCCACCTTATGAGCAAGCTGGGGTGAGGGAAATAAGGACCCAGTATTCTTGGTCTGCCATGCCAGGGTAGAGCTTCTGCCCTAACAGTAGGTGCTAGGAAGTGAAAAGGAGCCCTAGGCCTTTCAGCTTCCCTGGCCCAGAATAGGACTTCTGCAATACAAAATTGAGGAAGATGAGAATTGTTG
This sequence comes from Homo sapiens, assembly GCF_000001405.40. Lineage (NCBI taxonomy): Eukaryota > Metazoa > Chordata > Mammalia > Primates > Hominidae > Homo > Homo sapiens. The sequence goes on from NC_000014.9 coordinate 22,077,306, forward strand.
GCAGACTGTCCCTCCCAGGCAGATATCGTAGCTCAACACTGGAATCTGAGGGAAGAAGGAGCCCTGTATTCTTGGTTGCTCCCACCCGAAGTAGAGTTTCTATTATGCTGAGCTCTGTGTGGTGGGGGAAGTAGTAGTCATGGCTCAAATTCCAAGGATTTTGTTCTTATGGTGATTTAGTAAATTTTCCTGAATAGATAATTCTCCATTTGCTATATACCCAGGACAATTTCCAGAGACTTAAGTTTTTAAAATAATTTTTACCAATTAATAGTGTTTTGTTACTAATTAGGGAGAGTAACCATGAACCTCCTCATATTGCAATTCTGAAAGTCACAGCCTCCCATTCATGATGTTATCACATAGAACAGGCCTAAACAGAAGATAATCAGAAGTTCAACTTTTCTTTGACTTTCTCCATTGAGAAATAAAGGTGAAGCTGCCATCTTGTTTTGATCCTAAACCTGCCACAGAGATAATTATTCAAACACGTCATGTATCACCATCATAAAATAAGCATGTATTCTGAGAGTATTAAAGATGAAAAACAGGAACACTATATTTTCTTAAATCATAGTTTTTGTAGGAAGGATGGAGTGAGGTAGAATAAACAAGTCTAGGATTGCCTAGTTTGAATAATTTCGGTGGGCTCTGAGGCCAGGACTATCCCTAGTTGCCTGGTACCTGGCCATGGGATGCTTAGGGCAGGGGGAATAGTGGATGGAGTGTAGGAGCCTAGTGACAGCCTGATAAAGGAGGTGCTTGGAGTATGGGCTCTATATCGGTTGGTTTGCATTTGAAAGATGTGCTCCCAAGTGAGTCTTTACTATCTCTAGGAATTAGCCAGAGATGGTTAAGGCCCTTAGATGTCAAAACATTTGGGTAAAAAGATGTGGTTGATACACCAACACTGTTGGAATATGAGACTTCTCTATGCCTCACTTTCCTTTGGATACTCTTGTTCATTCATATTTTTTCTTTACTTAAAGTTAGGTACTCTGACTTTGCCTATTATGTTCCTTTTATGATTAATAATAACTTGCCTAAGTCTAGTCTTTACTAGAGACAACAATCATCAACTTAATTCACTCAACTCTCCAAAGCTAATGTTATTACAGCCAATTTGAAAAGTGATAAAAGGGTATGGTACACTAACACTACCAATAGTGATAGTCTTTGTAGGCAATCCATAGGTGAAAAAAGTCCTTACATTACAAAAAGTATAACATATGATGGTCATTATTTGTCAAGAATGAATTCCATTTGAGTTCCATTCAAAATGGAATTTTCATTTCATACCTACAGCTACTGGGAACTGTTTTCTGTTTGGGAATCAGTCTCTTCATGGCCAAAACAGAGCCAAGGCCAATCCTTCTGTAGGTCTATTCATTAGGCTATTTTAAGGGCATGACCCCCAACAATCCTCAGTGGAGCACATTATTTTACAAAAATCATAAAGCAACGAAAATCTTTCTGAAGAAAAACTCCTGAGGGTAGTGACACCATCCATATCATTAAACAATTTGCAGTGGTTATCAAAAAGTATTTTCTCACATTAGCTAATACAATAAATATAGTAGTATATCCAAAATCTTGGAATCACAGCAAGCCAGTTAAAATTTCTTAATCCAAAGGCCTATGTGTAGTAGAATAGTCACATATTTTTGTGGGGCCAATCAGGAAGTGATCTTTGTCATTGCTAATACTTCATGTTGACTCTACGTTAATACTGAAGATGAGTAAAAACACTTTTAGCATAGATAGATGATAGATAGATAGATAGGTAGATAGATAGATAGATAGACAGACAGATAGGTAGATAGATACATAGATGAGACATAGATAAAAAGCAACCTAGTTGTGTAAGATAGACTCAGAAAATCATTTGGACTTTTTTTTTTTAATCAAGTCTGGGAAATCTTGGATCATGGTTGCAAAATATCTTACCCTTTTTATAATATTTAATACTTCAGATTTGTTCATTTGTTGCATGGCTCTGTTGGTATTCTAAATATCACTGTCCCCACAAATGGTTGAACAAGTAATCCAAAGACAAAAATTCAATAAAAGTCATGCTTTTAAATATACAAACTAAAAATCAAATCTCTACAGGCCAAAACTCTTTGTCAAGAAAATCGACAATAGTGGAGAAGACCTGGACAGTTCTTGAACATCTTTTCTGCAGCTTTGGCTGCATAAGGACCAAAAGGGGATGGGGGGTGGGGAGAGGGGAGGAAAATAAAATTATTCCCATAGATTTAGGAAAAGATAGATTGTTACACAGCCATAATAAGTAGCCACCAGAACCAGTTTTATACCTGTTCAACTGATTAACAACTCGTCTCAATGAACATGCTTTTGCAAGCCAACTAATCAATGTCAGCTCCTGGCTTCTGAAAGTCAGCCAGTCAGTGCCCCTGAGTGCCAAGCAATCAGCAATAGCCTCACCCTAGTGACTCTGTTTCTGCAGATAATGTTAACTCATTTACACCTCTGAAGTTTGCCAATCCCTGAATTCCATGCTTCCCCAAAACCCAGTATAAATCAGCTGTCTGTTGTGCTCAGCAAGATTGTGTCTGATTTTCATAGGTCTCCTTTGCTATTATTTCCAATAAATGCACATGGTCTTTGTATTTCACACATTGAGTAGTGTCAAATCCTTCGACAGCTGCCAAAGTATATTTTCTTGTGGGACATTTGGACTTGGACAACTTTTCTTACTATTTTTCTTCAATGCTCAAAACAAACCTAACATAAAGGATATTTATTCTTGTTTGAAATGATATTCAGCATCAGCAGAAATAGTTAACATGCTATCAGAACTTATAAAATCAACATTTAGTATTATAAGAAAATGAATCTCTCTGCAGATCATTCCAGCCAGAATAGTGATGTTTATTGCTTTGTACATCATTGAAGTCACTGATTCCAAAATCAGCTATTTCAAAGCAGTTGTGGATTACATTTAGGGTGATTGTGTCCCACATAGCATAGCAACAAGATTCTTCACTGCTATCAAAAATATTCCATTAAAAAATCTATACTAGAAATATTTCTTCTTATTTTACATAATATACTAAGTGCATAAAACTTTTAGGTAATTAATTATGCCTTCATCTAAAAACCGCATATATATTATGGTACTAGAGGACAAAAAAAGATATTGCAAATACTGAAATAAGTCCCCAGTTCCTTTGGGCAGCACGTTTATCAAAACAGATTTTATCTATTTTGGCAAGCTATTCTCCTCTCTAATTGTAGGAACCATCTCCCAAACAATCTTCCAACATCAGTGGATTTAACTTTAAATATACATATAGGAGATATGTGTATATATAGGGGATTTTCAAATTTTTCTACAAATGGTCTTACTTATTAGTCTCAGCATTGTAGCACAGTCAGACTTCCTCTTAATGAATGTATATATGTACATATGTATGCATAATATATGTCTGTGTATATATTTTTCCTTGAGAAAAATGCTTTTCACCAAGAACTAACATCTGGCTTGGCTGAAGATTATAGAAGAGCCCCATCTTATAATTATTAATTATGCCCATATGCACATGCTTATCCTGAATAGATCTGCTGATTTCAAGCCAAATATTAGTAGCCAAAAGAGTTTCTGCAGATGCTGTATATTTTAGAGTAATGGCATAATGTTCTGACAATGCCAGCAATTGACCTATATCTCCATTCAAAATGTAATTGTATTAATCTTTTATTTAGAAAAATGATTCAGATCTAATTTTTTTCACTCTAGATTAGTAAAGCAATCTAAGAATTTCGTTTTATAAATTAACCTTTTGTTTCCCCTCTCATTCTTTTTACCTTCCTTGGCAGGCTGTTTTTCTATTCTGTTCTGGTTTTTAAGATACATACATACACACACACACACACACACACACACACACACACACACACAGATGTACCTTGGAGATAATGTAGGTAGGGTTCCAGATCACCATAGTAAAGTGAATATCACAATAAAGTAAGGCATATATTTTTTTTAGTTTCCTGGCACACATAAAGGTTTAAAGTATACTGCAGTCTGTTAAATATGCAATAGCATTATGTATAAAAGTGTACATACCTCGACTTAAAAATGCTTTATTGCTAACAAATGCTAATTATCATCTCAGGCTTCAGAAAGTTGTTACTTGTTTTGCAAATGTAGGGTCTTGCCTCAATGTTGGTGGCTGATCAGGGTGGTGGTTGCTAAAAGTTGAAATGTCTGTGGCAATTTCTTACAATAAGATAAAAATGAAGTTTGCCACATCAATTGACTCTTACTTTCATGAAAGGTTTCCCTGTAGCATGCAACACTGTTTGATAGCATTTTACTCAAAGTAGAACTTTTTTCAAAATTGGAGTCAGGATAAAAAGAAGGAGGTTAATGGTTACAGAAATACAGTTAGAAGAAACAAATTCTACTATTTGATAGTACAGTAGGGAAATTATGGTTAACAATAATTTACTGTATATTTCAAAATAACTAGAAGAAGAGAATTGTAATGTTCCCCAAAACAAAGAAAAGAAAAATGTTTCAAATAGTGGATATCCCAATAACCCTGATTTGATCATTGTACATTGTATACATGTATCAAAATATCACAAATGCCCCAAAATACATACAACTATAATAAATTGATTTCAAAATCTTTATTTTTTTTTTTTGAGACGGAGTTTCGTTCTTGTTGCCCAGGCTGGAGGGCAATGGTACAATTTCGGCTCACAGCAGCCTCCGCCTCCTGGGTTCAGCCGCCTGGGTTCAAGCGATTCTCCTGCCTCAGGCTCCCGAGTAGCTGAGTTTACAGGCATGTGCCACCACGCCCAGCTAATTTTGTATTTTTAGTAGAGACGGGGTTTCTCCATGTTGGTCAGGCTGATCTGGAACTCCAGACCTCAGGTGATCCGCCCACCTCAGCCTCCCAAAGTGCTAGGATTACAGGCGTGAGCCACTGCGCCCAGCCTAATTTCAAAATCTTTTTAAAACTACTAAGAAAATTTTTAAAAAAATGGAAGTTAATCATCTCAAATCCTGCCACTGCTTTATCAACTAAGTTTATGTAATAATCTAAATCCTTTGTTGTCATTTCAATAATGTTTACAGCATCTTCACCAGAAGTAGATTCCATCTTAAGAAAGCAATTTCTGTGCTTATCCATAAAAAGCAATTTATCATTTGTTAAAGTTTTATCATGAGATTGTAGCAATTCAGTCACATCTTCAGGCTCCACTTCTAATTCTAGTTCTCCTACTATTTTTAACACATCTGCAGTTACTTTCTCCACTAAAGTCTTGAACTTCTTGAAGTCATACATTTGGATTGGAATCATCTTCTTCCAAATTCTGACAACATTGATATTTTGACCTCCTCTTATGAATCATGAATATTCTTAATGTCATCTAGAGTATGAATCCTTTCCAGAAGCTTTTCAATTTACTTTGCCCAGATCCATTAAAATACAAGCACGTTTTATTTTATTGCATCTATTTCTTGAAAACTTTTTTAACCCATTGAATTGTCTTGAAAATTAATTGAATATGAATTTGTGAATCTATTTCTATTTTGTTTCTTTGATCTACAAATTTTATTTTCACAAATACCAAACTGTTTTGATTACTGTTCTTTATAATGTCTTGAGATCAGGCAGGGTGAGTCCTTCAATTGTGTTCCCTTTAAAAATTGTTTTAGTGGCCGGGCGCGGTGGCTCACGCCTGTAATCCCAGCACTTTGTAAGGCCGAGGCGGGCGGATCACGAGGTCAGGAGATCGAGACCATCCTGGCTAACGCGGTGAAACCCCGTCTCTACTAAAAAATACAAAAAATTAGCCGGGCGTGGTGGCGGGCGCCTGTAGTCCCAGCTACTCGGGAGGCTGAGGCAGGAGAATGGCGTGAACCCAGGAGGCGGAGCTTGCAGTGAGCCGAGATCGCGCCACTGCACTCCAGCCTGGGCGACAGAGCGAGACTAGGTCTCGAAAAAAAAAAAATTGTTTTAGTTATTCATTAAGGTTTATTTTTTGCATTTCCATATAAATTTTAGAATTAGTTGGTCTATTTCTATAAAAAGGCCTGCTAAAATTTTGAGTGATATTGCATTGCACTTACAGAAAATTGGGGGTAGAACTGCCATCTGGAAGCTATTAAATCCTCTAATTCATGAACATGACATATCTGTCAATTTATTAAGGTTCTTTAATTTTTGTCAGCATTGTTTTTGGACTTTTCAGTGCAGAGGTCATGGACATCTTTAAGAAAACATAAAGGCCATTGACTTGAAGAAACTATTTGAAACATGTAAATTATTCCAAAGTCTTGTGTACAGCATATGTAAAAAGCTCTTACAACTCAATAAAAGAGAAGAAATAGCCCAATTTAAGAATTAACAAAATATTTTCGTAGAATCTTCACAATAAAAAAATAAAAATGACCAATAAACACAGGAAAAGATGCTCTACATCAGGAGTCAACAAAATATGGCCCATGAGCCAAATTCAGCCATCCACCTATTTTCATAAAGCTTTATTTAAACACAGAGATGCTTGGGTTTTTTTAGTGTGTTATCAATGGCTTCTTTCATGCTGCAACGGTAGAACTGAGTAGTTGCCATTGAGACTGAATCACCTGCAAGGCTTAAAATACTTACTATTCAACCCTTTATAGAAAAAGTCTACTGACTCTTATGTCGTTAATAATCAGGGAAGTGCAAGTTAATACTGTAATAAAATATATAGCCACTATATGGAGCATATATGCTATATAATATATATGCTATATATATGTTATATAATATATATGCTCTTTATATATGCTATATATATGCTCCTATATAGCCACTATGTTGGCTAAAAGTGAAAAAATGACTACTATACCAAGTGTTGACAAAGATGAAGTGTAATTAACTAAGTTAGATCTATTTAAGGACATATTCTCTTTAGTGCGAAGACTTCTCCCCGACCTGATGTTGCCATTATGTGAGGAAGGAGATCCCATGAAGTGACTCCATCTGACGGCCAGTTTCTGCCTCTGAAGGAACCCCAGAGCAGTTGCGGTGTCACTGTTTCAGTAGCCCTGTTCTCTCCTGGTACCTCCAGCATCCCAATCAATTCCTCCAGATCCGCCTGAGACATACCTGACCTCAGCAAGGACAAAAATCTCCTTTCATCTGAAGAAATCATTGGCTCAAGAGGAGGACTGAGCCACTTATTTCAGTGTTCTGATAGATGTAGGGGTTGCTGAACCGTTTTAAGAAGCTGTAGGAAATTGTTTGATGTAAACTCCCTATATGGCCACAAGGGGGCAATGCTTCTTCAAAGAAGATTAACATTTGTCCAAATACACATATTCAGCAATTAGCCAGAGATTATCCTTTTAAAATAGTAAATTATCTCCTACTCTGTTTCAATTCACGTGTCTCTTTCATTCAATGCATCTATGCATTTATCCATTCATCTACCTAACTAGTATCTGTATTTATTCTAGTCTAACAGAGTGGAAAACATCACTTTGGAAGTCAACACTTTTTTGAATTATACATGTTATCCTTCAAGCCCACATTAACTTCTGTAGTATAACTTTACAAGGTTTTCACCCACATACAGCCCAATATCCAGTCACACTAATCTGTGCCTAAAATTCCCTTATCCATTCTTTTTATGGGGAAATCTATCATGGTTTGTGGCCCAGTTCAAGCATCTCCCCATCCGTACTCTTCTTTGACTGGGTCCAGAAACAGATTTCATCACCCTTTCCTTCGTCACATCATCTAGACACACTGGTGTCTTTGGCAGGTTCCATTGGCTGATACCTGAGTCTTGGGACTAGGTTGACTGAAGACTTGGACTGTGTCTCTTTCGTGAATGAAATGAGGCCCAAGTACTGCCTAATTTAGTAGGCACTTTGTGGACAGTATATATGTATTGAATATATGCATATATAAATTAAAAGAAAAGAAAGCACATCAAAACTTAAACAACTTTTAAAAAGCACCTTAGGGTACTGGGGAAGAAAAGGTTTGGATTGTAGATTGAGGAACGTGGACCATTGTCTCCTATTGGACTGCGATGGTGTTTTCTTTGAGTGGATTTGAGATGACACCAAATATAAATACAAAAAAATCATTTTTGTGCTTCTGAAAAAAATGTGCTTCTCATGTTATTTTAACTTATATGACTTATAATACAGATCATCCCTATTTCAGGGGTGCTTTAGAATTTATCTTCAATTTCTCCCTTGTATCTTGCCTGTGTTAATATCAAAAGTTAAATTTATTCTTTATATTTTCATAGTTGATCGATTTTGAAGTGTGAATAAAATATCGAATGTTTATTCAAACTCAGGATAAGAGCCACCAAAAATGACTGCATTACGGATGGTTATAGATCTATATCTTCTGCAGAATTTTTCTATCCTCTCTTTCCATTTAAAGATCACAGCTCCTCCAGAACAGATAATTCCAGTATTTCCTATTTTCTTTTTCTAGGTACATTTAAAAAAATATTTAATTTACCTAATGTGTAATTTAGAAAAAAATATGGAGAAAAAATAAAATTGACTTAATTGTATTATATCATTTCTGAGGATCATCTAAAATATGGAATGAATACATCTGAAAAATTGCAACAAAATTTAAGTTCTCTGAGGACAAAGGGACCATATATTCTCTATGTTCTGATTCATGACCTTAGCTTGTAATGGGGTATTATGCCCATTGTGTGCCCTCAATAAACTTTATTAATACTCACAATAAAAAAGAAATGCCACTGTACATGTTAATCGTGCGGTTTCACAAGAGTTCCTCTCTTCTACCATTGTAAAATAAGGCCCTTTCTATTGACATATCCAGCCATCTTAAAGGTCTGAGGAAAAGTTGAGGGGGCTTGACAGACAGAAATTCTAAACTGATGCTTATCTGTGTGTAAAGAAAGGATTACTGATTCCCAATGAATATATCTTCAGCAATTCTAAATTTGGACAAAGTGGGGAAGTGCTTCCTTTGACAGAGACAGCTTTAAGTGAAAGCACTTGTGAAAGGGCGGGGCCTGCTGAAAGAATTCAGTTGAGGGTGAATTTACAGAGTTTCAGCTGGTTGGGAAGACTGGAAGACCACCTGGGCTGTCATTGAGCTCTGGTGCCAGGAGGAATGGACAAGATCTTAGGAGCATCATTTTTAGTTCTGTGGCTTCAACTATGCTGTGAGTTATGGAAGAGAAACTCCAGGATATGTTACTAACTTGGGTGAATGAGAAAATTGGGGTACAGACAAACTCATGCAGGTAGACACTTTAAGAAGAAAATATTATTTTGGGGCCTAATGACATTTTGTTATCTCTCTAAGCAGGGGTGAGTGGCCAACAGAAGGAGAAAAGTGACCAGCAGCAGGTGAAACAAAGTCCTCAATCTTTGATAGTCCAGAAAGGAGGGATTTCAATTATAAACTGTGCTTATGAGAACACTGCGTTTGACTACTTTCCATGGTACCAACAATTCCCTGGGAAAGGCCCTGCATTATTGATAGCCATACGTCCAGATGTGAGTGAAAAGAAAGAAGGAAGATTCACAATCTCCTTCAATAAAAGTGCCAAGCAGTTCTCATCGCATATCATGGATTCCCAGCCTGGAGACTCAGCCACCTACTTCTGTGCAGCAAGCACACAGTGCTCCCCAGGCACCTGAAGCCTGTACCCAAACCTGCAGTTGAGGTTCCAGCCAAACCCCACAGTGGGAGCTTACGTAGGCAGAGATGTAGCCTAGTTTTCATCTGCATATGCAAGTGATAAATAAATGTATAAACACTAGTGTGGCAGTATGAGAATGGTAATTAAAGAAAAGAAACTTAGCTTAATAAATGACCATCTCTAACAAATGTTTTATTATAGTTACAGTATTTGAAATTGTTACAAGCATCCAGCCAGTTTTGGGGCAACTGGGAATTTTATGCCTTGCTGATGGGATGCAAATCAGTATTATGACACTGGAAAATCATTTGCCAGTTTCTTATAAATTGCTCTTAACATAGGACCAGAAATTCCACTCCTAAGTATTTATCTATAATAAATGAAAATATATCTTCACACAAGACTTTTGTTTACAGCAGTTTTAACCATAATAGCCCCAAGCTGGAAACAACCCAAATGTCCATTAGCTGGGGAATAGAAAAATAAATTGTGGACTATTCCTATAATGGAATACTACAGAGCAATAAAATGCAATAAGCTAGTGATACAGGTAACACATGACGGATCTCAGAACTTTATGCTTCATTGAGTGAATGGTTAAATATACTGTGGCACATACCCACATAATGGAATATGATTCATCAATAAAAAACATGAATTATTGATGCATGCAACAACTTTGATGAATCTCAAGGGCATTATGTTGAGTGAACAAAAGTCAATCTCAAAGGCTATATAATGTGTGATTTCCCTTATATAACACTATCAATATGTAAAAATTACAGGACAGTGGTTGCCAGAAGTTATGGGTGGGGAGTGTGTATATAGGGAGTTTATTTAGGGTGATGGATGGAATAGTTCTGTATCCTGATTGTAGTTGTTAGGGAAATCTATACATATGATAAAATGTCACAGAAGTATATATCAAAAAAAGAGTGCATATAAAAATGGGTGAATCCAATAGCAAAGACTTGGAACCAACCCAAATGTCCAACAATAGACTGGATTAAGAAAATGTGGCACATATACACCATGGAATACTATGCAGCCATAAAAAATGAAGAGTTCATGTCCTTTGTAGGAACATGGATGAAACTGGAAACCATCATTCTCAGCAAACTATCGCAAGGACAAAAAACCAAACACCGCATGTTCTCACTCATAGGTGGGAATAGAACAATGAGAACACATGGACACAGGAAGGGGAACATCACACACCAGGGCCTGTTGTGGGGTGGGGGATGGGGGAGGGAAACCATTAGGAGATATACCTAATGCTAAATGATGAGTTAATGGGTGCAGCACACCAACATGGCACATGTATACACATGTAACAAACCTGCACATTGTGCACGTGTACCCTAAAACTTAAAGTATAATAATAATAATAATAAAAGTTCTTTAAGCAAAAAAAAAAAGGGTGAATCAGAATAAGATCTGTAGTTTAATAAATACTATTGTATCAATATCAATTTTCTGGTTTTGATACTAGTACATAATGATAATGGTACATAGCTATGGTTATGTAAAATGTTATCATTAGAGAATGCTGGGTGAAATGTGCAAGAGAACTCTGCGTTATTTTTGCAACTTCTACGTGAGTCTAAAATTATTTCAAAATAAAAAGTAAGGATGTAGAAAAAAGATTTTTAACAAACATTTACAAATTTTTGGAATATAAAATTTTGGAATGTGGAATTTTAGAACATGGTTGGAACATAAACTGGGCAACCACTTTGGTGGATTTTCATAAAACTAAATGCGTTTCTACCACAACCCAGTGACTCACATCTAGGCATTTACCCAAGAAAAATAAAAATGTGTCAACACAAAGACTTGTACAAGAATGTTCACAACAGTTTTATTCATAATAGCCATCAATTTGAGAAAACACCCATAAACAAGATACTAAATCAATAAATTTTTGTGTCACACACATTCAATGGAATATTAATCAGCAATAAAATGGCCTGAACCACTGATACACATAACAGTACAAACAAGCCTAGATTATATAATGCCTAGCAAAATTGCCAAATACAAAAGGGTATATACTGTTTGATTCAAGTTATGTGAATTTCTAAAGTAGACAAATTAATCCACGGTGAAATAAAGCCAAACAGTGATTACATCTGTGAGTGGGAATTATTTGGGTGGAGCACAATGAATTTTTATAAGCTAAAGGAAAAGAAATGTTCTATTTCATGATAGGGGTGTGGTTTACAAGGCTGTTTGCAATTTTCAAAACTCATCTAACTCCATACTTATGACTTGTTTATTTCACTATATCAATTATACTTCAATTAAAAATAAACTACAGAAATTAATCAAATAGGAAACAAAAACAAAACAATTAGGGGAAAATCCAATGCCGAATAAATTTGAAGAAATAAAAGAGTTAAATACTCGATAATGTTGATAATGAGGAAAATAGAAAATAGTTAAACAATGCAGTACGCTGAATTCTGGCCCCCAAAGATGTCCATGTCAAAAACCCCAGAGTCTATGAATATGCTGCTTCACATGGTATATTAGTTTTCTAGGGCTGCAGTAACAAAGTACCGTGGACTGGGTGGCTTAGGACAACAGAAATTTACTGTCTCCTGGTTCTAGTGGCCAAAAGTCTGGAACCAAGGTGTTGCAGAGCCATGCTCCTTCTGGGGCGCTAGGGAAGATTTGTTTCAGACCTCGTTCCGAGTATCTGATGGTCACAAGCATCCCTTAGCTTAGAGATGGTCATGTCCTCCCTGTGTCTCCTCCCATCATCTTTCCTCTGTTTGTGTCTCTGTCTCTTCACGTGACATTCTTTTCATAAGGGCACCAGTCTTATTGGACTAAGGGCCCGCACTACTCCAGTAGGATCTCATTTCAACTTAACTAATGACATTGGCAATGACCCTATTTCCAAAAAAGTTCACATTCTAAGCTTCTAGAGGTTAGAACTTCAACATATGAATTTTCTGGGGATACAATTTAACCGAATAACATATAGTGAAAGGAACTTTACATATATGATTAATTCAAAAATCTTGAAATGAGAAGATTTATCCTCAATTATCCAGGCAGACCCAGTGGAATCACAAGGATCTCTATAAAAGGGAGGCAGTAGACTTGGAATGAAAGAAAGCAATGTGATGAGAGAATGAGAACAGCCTCGAAGTTGGAAAAGGCAAAAAAAAAAAAAAAAAGAAAAAAGACAGATTATTCCCCATAGCCACCAGAAGGAACTCAGACCTGCTGGTACCTTGACTTTAGTCCAGTGAAACTGATTTTGGATTTAAGATCTCCAGAATTGCAAAATAATAAATGTGTGCTGTTTTAAGCCACTGATTTTGTGGTAATTTCTTATAGCCACAATAGGAGACTAATAAATTCAATAATAGGAGAGATTAAAAAGGAGACATGTCTGGAGATAAAGTAGAAATTAAAAAAAAATTAGCATAAGTTAAGTACAATTTAAGCCAATAAATTTTAAAACTTTAAAAAGTAGAAACAATTTGAATGAAAAACATATACTACCAAAAGTAACTCAAGAAGAAATAGAAAAACTAAGTAGATTTATAACCATTAAATTATTTGATAATTGGAAATGAAAATCCCTAAAGATTTAGTAATAGAAGGGAAATTTTTAACCTGCATGTGCGCCCACTACAAAATTAAAAACAAGACACATGCTGGATGCATCTGTAAATAATATAACCAATAAGATTTTAGAAATTAAGGTTAGATGGGGAACTCTTACAAATAAATAAGAAAACATTCAAAATAAGAAGAGACAAGGATATAAAAGGCAATTCAAAAAGAAGAAATAGGAATGGCCACTAAATATGTAAAACATCAACTTCCACAGAACTCGAGGAAATCAAATTAAAATAAATTATTGTTTCATTTCTATTTGATCAACAAAATCTAAAATATCTGGTAACATTAAGTATTGGTAGGAATACATGGAGATGAAGCTGTTACACTTTTCCAGATGAAGAAAAACACCACACAGAGAATTTAGGATAACAATTTGCCTAAACTAGTTATGAATTTGCACATATCTAATAATCCAGCAATACAAATTTCTGATATCTACATAAAGGTAGTCAAAATGTAAACTAGGAGGCATTTACAAGGATGCTCACTGCAACCCTCTTTAAAAATAAGTATAATCACAAGAAAAAAACAACCCCATCAATAAGTGGGCGAAGGACATGAACAGACACTTCTCAAGACATTTATGCAGCCTACAGACACATGAAAAAATGCTCATCATCACTGGCCATCAGAGAAATGCAAATCAAAACCACAATGAGATACCATCTCACACCAGTTAGAATGGCAATCATTAAAAAGTCAGGACCACTTTTACACTGTTAGTGGGAGTGTAAACTAGTTCAACCATTGTGGAAGACAGTGTGGCGATTCCTCAAGGATCTAGAACTAGAAATACCATTTGACCCAGCCATCCCATTACTGGGTATATACCCAAAGGATTATAAATCATGCTGCTATAAAGACACATGCACACGTATGTTTATTGCGGCACTATTCACAATAGCAAAGACTTGGAACCAACCCAAATGTCCATCAATGATAGACTGGATTAAGAAAATGTGGCACATATACACCATGGAATACTATGCAGCCATACAAATGAAGAGTTCATGTCCTTTGTAGGGATGTGGATGAAGCTGGAAACCAACATTCTCAGCAAACTATCGCAAGGACAGAAAACCAAACACCACGTGTTCTGACTCATAGGTGGGAATTGAACAATGAGAACGCATGGACACAGGAAGGGGAACATCACACACCGGGGCCTGTTGTGGGGTGAGGGGAGCGGGGAGGGATAGCATTTGGAGATATACCTAATGTAAATGACGAGTTAATGGGTGCAGACACCAACATGGTATATGTATACATATGTAACAAACCTGCACGTTGTGCACATGTATCCTAGAACTTAAAGTATAATAAAAAAAATACAATACATTCATTAAAAAAAAGTATAATCAATAGTGGAATAAAAAATAGTGGTTTAGTCATACAATGGAAGTATTAGCCATTACAAGCAAAGAAGTGGTTCTATACATATTTTCTTAGATGAATCTTACAAATAAAATGTTGGATGTAAAAGCAGAATGATACATACTGCATGGCACCATTAATAAGAAATCTTAAAATACAAAATAATGCAGTATATTGTTTTGTAATACATACCTGTAATGGTTAAATTCTTTTTTTTTTTGAGACGGCATCTTGCTCTGTCGCCCAGGCTGGAGTGCAGTGGCACGATCTCGGCTCACTGCAAGCTCCCTCTCCTGGATTCACGCCATTCTCCTGTCTCAGCCTCCGGAGTAGCTGGGACTAAAGGGAGCGCCACCACGCCCGGCTAATTTTTGTGTGTGTGTGTTTTTAGTAGAGACGGGGTCTCACCATGTTAGACAGGATGGTCTCGATACCCTGACCTCGTGATCTGCCCACATCGGCCTCCCAAAGTGCTGGGATTACAGGCGTCAGCCACCGTGCCCGGCCTGTAAGGGTTAAATTTTAAAAGACATGCGTGGAAACTTCCCAAGAGTGGTTACTATCTTTGAAAGAATAAAAGGAACAAGGACTATTGTTCTAGCTTTGTCTGAAATGTTTGAGAAAATCTGAAATGTAGAGAGAGAAAGAATATTTTTAGAAAACATAGCAAAATTCATCATCTGTTTATGTGTTTATTCTCATTGCTGGATACGAAGGTGCCTGCTATATAATTTTCTGTACTTTTGCTCATGATAATTATTTCATAAATTTAAAAAATAATTTTTAAATGGATAGCGACAATCATAGTTTTTACTATCTTCACCAGTCCACAGAAGAGAATAGCACCTTCATTACCTACAACTTTGCCAGATGTATTTCTGGTAGGCCACATAAATGGCAATAAAACATCAATTGGAAAAAATCTCTAATTTATGAATAAAAGGATGTTCAACCTGAAATAAACAACCCAAGACTCTTTCCCCTGAACCACAATGCATACATTTTCAATATATTAAAAAGAGGATGTGGAAAAAAAATCCAATTAGTTACCTCTTAGCAATGGGAGATGTGGCCACAAAATGTCAGCATTTTGTGAATATTAACTCCCCTGGGCTCTCAAAGTTTATTTTACTTCCTTTTTTAGCAGTTTGAAAAATCGAAGAAGAAATTGGAATAGTATTTATGTCTGATTAGAGTGGCTTTCATTGGACTGAAATATTCAAGAATAAAGTAGAATACAGTGCCTAGGATGAATTCGTGGTCAGCATGAGAAGAGGGCTGTTGTCAAGTATATGAGAGAGAGGAAGAAATGGGAAGAGCTGGGAGTCTCAACAGTGATTCTGTGGCTTCATACAGATGTGAGTTTGGGGATTTCTACAAAGAACCAGGAAGAGTCTGAGGACAGTTTGCCACAGAATCACTCAACTATTCCCATTTGGATTTCTTTATGGGGCAGTCCAACAAAAATACAGCTTTTGGAATTTGGTGCTTTGACATAAACTGCTCTATCAGATGAAGTTTCAGCATAAAGTGGAAAAGAATCTTCATTCTTTCAATGTCCAAAGAGGGAAATATTTTTATTTTGGACATTTATACTATTAATAGTTTTGAATATTTTTACTGATAAAGCAGCATTTTGTGAGAAGCCTTGTCTTCCTGATAATTATTAAAAATTATAGAATTGCACCAAACAGTACACATGCACTCATGGCAACAGCATAGCTAAAGATTTGAATTCAGAGGGCCCATGGATTCTCCCATCCTAGAACTTCAAATAAAATTAAGCATAGAGTTATAGTAGAAATAATAGGCCTTTGCCGTTACTATTGACAGTAGAACACACAACTGGAGAAAATACAGAACCTGGGAGTCTTTTTTTTTTAATCTCATTTGTCTGAGCTGTTGCTTTGCCATTGTGAAGTTCCAATTCCCTTGGTTTGATGGGTAAGTAGGAAGGACGGGAGGTGATGACTTCTGGTTTGTCTCCTGTGTCAAAGCCAAGGATTGGTGAGCAGCTTCACCTTTGACTCAGGTTGGTAGCAAGTGAACAATCAAAACATGAATGTATATTTGTAATCAAAGCCATGATTCATAATAAATTGGTTTCAGATAAGCCCCTCAGATTTATCACAGATCAATTTCCTAAACTTGGAAATTTTAAATGACTAATCTCCTTTTAAGAATTCCTTCAATATTGTTTCATGCATGTCCTTTACCAGATATAATCCTTTGTCATTTGTTAATTAAATTATAAGAAAGGGCAAAACGATGTTTAGGATAGAACCAATTTCCCAGCCTAGGGATTATCATAGCACATTCACACTTGACCCACCCAGAAACCACATTTCAGAGGCAGCTTCCATACAGAACTGAGGGACCCTGCACCTGTACTGTCAGGGTACAGAGCAGGGCTATTTCAACAGGAAGGAAATCCTGCCATCATACTGCTTCCCAGTCTACTGTGAGTATTCATGGTCTCCATCTACTTAGGTACAAATAATTGCAAACCAGAGCATGGATACCTCTCAGCACTCAGAGGTGAAACGGGACTAAGGAGTAGATGTCTCAAACAATGAGAAACTATTCCCTGCACCACTCAGTGATATGCTATTTTGACCTTTATAAAAGAACTGGAAATGTTTTAGAGACCTTGTCTGCACTTTCTTTCTTAGCTATCTCTTGGTCCCTTTATATTAATTCGTCCATTAAGTTAGTGAAACTAGAGGCTGGGTTCACACATATAATCCCAGCACTTTGGGAAGCCAAGATAAGGTCACTTGAGGCCAGGAGTTTGAGACCAGTCTGGGCAACGTAGAGAGACTCCATCTCTACAAAGTAAAATAAAAATTTAGCCAGGCCTGGTAGCTCGCAACTGGAGTCCTAGCCATTTGGGAGGCTGCGGTGACAAAATTACTTGAGCCTAGGAGTTCCAGGCTGCAGTGAGTTCTGATTGTGCCACTGCACTTCAGTCTGGGTGACAAAGAGAGACCCCCAACTCTAAAATAAAAATTTTTCTATTTAAATTTTTAAAAAAGACAATGAAATCACATGGAAGATTAACATCTAAATTCCATACAATCACGTAACAGCATACAAAAAATTCAGCCACCAACTTCTGTGGTATTGACATGCACAAAGTTCTTGCAACCTTCAGATAACACGTTCTGTGGGAGTATATTATAGCATTGTATCATTTGCATCACAGAGAGATCTTGTATGCTTATCATGACAAACAATGTCTTATGCTTATCATTAAAAATTTTAAAAATGCCCAGCCACAGAATGTAACAAGTGAGACTGAATACTTTGGATCAATGGGATAGAAAATGTGATATCAGGACAATTCTAGGACACATGATCTAAGAAGTATAATTCTACTTGTGAAGGCAACAGGACTGAATATACTGATCCTCCTCAGTCTAGTAAATAAAACTTAGTGTCAGATTTTGAAATGATTACATTTTATTGCTGTTATAATTTCATAAAGAGATAAAAAACTGAGCAGCTTCTGAAAGTCGAGAAGGACTGATTTTTATCATTTGATTTTGAAGTAGCTTTACTTATTATAGAACTTAACTAGGGCCCTAGACCTCAGTAAGGAGGAAGAAAGAGATGCAGTAATTGTTTAGAATAGGACTGCCTTTCACAGAGAAAGTCAAATATCTGAGTATTTTTCTTTTAAATTTAATTAGTTTCTGATGGCAAAAAGTAAATATATGCTAAATGAATAATATCAATGTATGTCAACTGGTTCAACTGCAGTTCCCCTCAATACAAATTGCTTTTCTTATATCCCTTTTCTAGGTTCTGTCTATCCTAATGACTAGGGAAAGACAACTAGACAAAGTAAAGATTCAGGGGTGAGCCAGACATTTTTCCTCATCTGTGCATAGCCATGTAGTCTATGAACATGAGACTCAATTTCCTGTTTGGGGAGATAGCATCAGAACCCAGGAACTACATATACACACCGCAGGGCCCTGGTAGGCACTGAACTTTGAGCTTCAGGCAGCACAACTCACATTTGTGCAAAGAGCTACATGCCACATGCTGTTCTCCAGCCTGCTGTGTGTATTTGTGGCCTTCAGCTACTCTGGTATGGATGGTTCCAAGTGTGAGTAAAAATGTTAAGGATGGAAGGATTCCAAACAGGCATATGGTATTTCTCATGGACTTGAGGAGGAAAGGAGAAATTGTAAAAAAGCGAGCATATTATGATTTTAGTTTGGTTTGTCTCTGGGTCCTAAATTAGTCTAGCTCTTACGATATTTTATTCACTATATCAAAGGATCAGCTCTGTTTTCTGATTTTTCCCACAGGATCAAGTGTGGCCCAGAAGGTTACTCAAGCCCAGTCATCAGTATCCATGCCAGTGAGGAAAGCAGTCACCCTGAACTGCCTGTATGAAACAAGTTGGTGGTCATATTATATTTTTTGGTACAAGCAACTTCCCAGCAAAGAGATGATTTTCCTTATTCGCCAGGGTTCTGATGAACAGAATGCAAAAAGTGGTCGCTATTCTGTCAACTTCAAGAAAGCAGCGAAATCCGTCGCCTTAACCATTTCAGCCTTACAGCTAGAAGATTCAGCAAAGTACTTTTGTGCTCTTGGGGAACTCACAGTGTTTGAAGTGATAGTAAAAGCAAAACAAAAACCCTAGGGCTCAATAAGAGAACCCCTCTACTCCCCATCCTTTGCTACAGGAGCCAATCTGAAATGCACACCTGCAGATCTCAGGCAAGAGAGGGTAGTGACTGTGGTCTGTGGATTTAATCTGTGGTCTGGATCAGATGATTTAATTCCAAGTAAAACCTCCTTCTATCTCACTTGGAAACAGGTGTTCAGAGCAACTTTCTTCTAATACTTCAATTTTTACTTAAAATAGATCATACAGAAAATGTGTAAAGTTGTCTAAAGTTGGAAAGACTTCCACATAATAACTTAAAGTGGCAGTCTCACTTAACGATGCTCACAGCAGAAATCTGGGTCTAGTTATCTTGAATCACCATAAAAATCATTTCCTTAGCCCTTTCCTCTTAAGCTTTATGTCAGTTAGGATACAATCAGGGAAGCAGAACCATCGTGAAAGATGTAGAATAAGATTAATTATAAGGATTAGACCTCATGCAATTGCTGGAACGGGTGGCTCTCGGAAGTTACTTAGTTGTTTATGTTTTTATGAAATTGTAACAGGAATAAAATGTAATCTTTTCAAAATCTGACACTGAGTTTTATGTACTAGGCTGAAGAGGATCAGGACATTCAGTCCTATTGGCTTCACAAGTAGAATAGTACTTCTTAGATCATGTGTCCTAGAATTCTCCTGATACCACATTTCTATCCCATTAATCCAAACTATTCAGTCTCACTTGTTAAATTCTGTGGCTGGGCATGTTTTTCATGTGTAAAATAAAGTCGTGATAAGCATGCCAGATTTCTGTGATACGATGCCATAATCTGCTCTTACTCCTATGCAAAGCTGTTTGCTGAATTTACTCTAGGTCAGCTAGACTCACATTTGGGAAGGAGAGTTGAACATGGACAAGAGCATGCAAAAGCTGTGATTTGTAAAGACATTTTGGAACCCATGGTGACAGGTGGAACCCACGAGGACAAACTAAAACTTGTCTGTCTCTTACCTCCTTCAATCTCATAGTGTTGGTGACCTTCAGAAGAAATGGTGTTATTTGCTATCATGCTCCCTGGGTACTTGGCCCAAGAAAAAGAGAAGCTGAAAGAGGAGATCTGGGGGGAGTGGGGGAGTTGTGAATCAACAATAAGATGAGTTAGCAGATCAGAGCAACATATGTGAGTTGCCACAGTGCCTGGAGCCTGGCACCTGCCTTACACAATTTTTTTCAACTTAATCGAGAACAATATAGGGAAGGATTTTCTTAGAAATATATTTCCAGGTAGTTACGACGAGACAGTACAAAGTTACCACAATACCCCCACCTTGTAAACTTGACATCCATATGCACCTCTTTTAATAGCACTTAGCTTTCAAATAAAGGCAATTTTAAAAAGCATACTTCCTGCCAATATGATGCCACTGTTCTTCATTCAACCACACATACCCTAACCCTCTCCCCTAAAGAGAATACAAAGTATTTATTCATCTTTGGGTGATGTTCTTTCCTCTTCTAGCTGAGTCACACTCTCCCATTGATATCCTGTAGTTTAGCTTCTGAGATATAACAAGCTATAAGAGTAACTTATTAACATATCTTTCACTATTATGTATAGGCAAATGGGAGGAGAGTAAAAAATGGTTGACATGTATTTTAATATTTTCATATCACAATGAAAAAGAAATGTTTATAACAGTATAGTCTTTTTTTCCACAAATGGTCACATGATTGTAGCTGGTTTCTATAACTACCTCTTCCATTACCCATTTCATAATCTGTTTTCAGCAAGCACCTCAACTCACTGGTACACTTGACTTTCTATAAAACAAGCTCCTTGGTCAGGAGCAATGTTATACAGAATGCCATAAAGTTGAGTAAGGAATTCTCTAAGCCCACCACTGTGGTTTTGCCAGAAGCACTGCAGATGTGGAAGGAAAGTCCATATTCAGAATGTCTAAGTGGACTAAAACAAAGCAAAACTTGCCAGCAGCCAGAGAAAGTTGATATATCATGATATATCATGATATATCATGTCTTTAAGAATGATTGCTGAATTCTCATCAAAATCAACAGAAGCCAAAGAGGAAAAAGTATTTTTAGAGTACTTACAAAACAAACAAACAAACAAACAAACAAAAAAACTCTCTAGCTAGCTTCCTATGAACATGAAAGTCTAATTTTAAACCCTTTGTCAAAAATCATTGTTAAAAAGGTGGAAAGTCAGTGCACAGATTGGGAAATTATATTTGCATTGGTGTATTTCTGAAAAAGATTCAAATGCAGAATATATAAAAAACTTGTACAAGTCAACAAGCAATGAGAAAACAATACAAATGGCCAAAACTTGAAGAGACACTTCAGAAATATGATATCTAATAGTAATAAGCATACACAAAAAGCACTTAATATAATTACTCATTAGGAAAATGAAAATGAAACCCCATTGAGTGATCCCCCTGTGCCCTTTCAGCACCCCAGTTGTATTAATGTAGCCAGGAGGAAATGACCACAAGAGGATAATGAAAAATAGTGACTACTTCCAGGGGAAGGGATGGCCAAGTAGGTTTTCTAGAAACTTCTGTTAAATTAAGTTTAGCCTAAAGCTGCCTCCTTATTTATTTAAAACTCAGGGCAAAGGTTTCTCCATACATAGGGCCCTGTAACCTAACAGGATGCATAAACAGGCTACAGTCTGCTCTCTACCAATCCCTAAGTTTCGGCCATAGGTGGCCAACTGTTCAAACATGTTCAAATAAGGCAAATGCCAAGCTTTAACCAATCCATCTGTTTCTGTACCTTACTTCCTTTTTCTATAAGTCACTTTACTTTCTCTGTCCATAAATATTCTTTGACCATGTGGCAGTGACAGAGTCTCTCTGAACCTGTTCTGGTCTGGTGGGGGGCTGCCTGAATCTCTAATCGTTCTTTGCTTAATTAAACTCTGTAAAATTTAATTCGTCTAAAGTTTTTCTTTTAACATGTCCATCATTGAACCATGTTCAGTGGAAGAAGAAAAAGCAGTAACAGGCTAAAGACCGGAACACTGAAGGAAAGCAGGTTTTACTAGGAAAAAAGAAAGTTGGTATTCATTGGCCATACTATATGTCAGGCACTATTTATACATTTCAAATTCATTACCTAATTTAAGCATCATACACCCTACGAGATAGGTTTTAGTCTTCCAATTTTTTATATTTGGGAAATGAGACACAGCTTTCCCTAACTTTGAAAAGCATCTCTAACTAAAGTCAGCCAGGGTGTAACATCTTAGAGGGCTCCTAAAAAATCAAAGTTTGGACTATGGAGAAGCAAATAGCCACAAAGCAGCAGCATTGGCTTTCTCAGTGAGGATGACAAGATGACAAACCTAGGCACAAATTGCCTCAGGATCAACAGATGGAGGAAATCACCGACTAAGTATTTAAGAGTGCTGAATGTATCAGTGAGTCTCTTCTACAGTAGTGTGCTATGAAGCACAAGAGGCTAGAGGGAAAGATGAGATACTATTCCTTAAACACTCCAAGCGGGCTTCCATATCAAGGCCTTTGCCCACTCTGCCTGCAATGCTATACCCCCACAAAACCTCATGGTGTAGCTCTGAACTCCTCTACGTCTTTACGCAAAAGTCACCACTTTGTGAAGCCTTTATCGAAATCTTTCTATTGTATATTCCTTCTTTGAGAATCAGGCTCTAGCGTATTCCACGTGTTGAGAACTAAAGCACCAAGTTCTGAAGCACTGCCACCTGGTGTCCCGCTGAACTATTTGGTGAGGTTTACGCTGGCTTCCCTGCTGCCCTCCAGTGTTCACGGGCTAAGCTGTGATGAAGCCTGGTTGCAATAGGAGCTAGCATTTCTGAACCAGTCAGTAACCTTCCCATGGTAGTAATCATGTGAGACAGGATTCAGCAGGACTGGCTGAGACTTTTTTTTTTCTTTGAAGGAAGCAATTTTTATCCCTTACGCAGCTTGTCCCTGCTACTGTGTCTTGTCTCCATTGCCTGGATCCAGACCTCACAAGTTATTTATGTATTTATGTATTTATTTATTTATTTATTTATTCCAAGGCAGAAGAATTTTTCTTAGTACAGAACAAAATGGAGTCTCCTATGTCTACTTCTTTCTACACAGACACAGTAACAATCTGTTCTCTCTTTCTTTTCCCCACATTTCCCCCTTTTCTTTTCTACAAAACCGCCATCGTCATCACTGCCCGTTCTCGATGGTCGCTGTCTCTTCGGAGCTGTTGGGTACACCTCCCAGACGGGGCGGCCGGGCAGAGGCACTCACTTCCTAGACGGGGCGGCCGGGCAGAGGCGCTGGCTGGGACTTTTTTAAATTTCATTTTTAAAATATTTTTCCCTTAATATGTGAGGTTGATTGATTTCAAAATGGCAAATATAATATATGGGATGGTTTAAGCTAATAGAATACCTTGGAAACAAAGGTTGGCATTATTGCACAAGGTGGGAAGTTTTTCTCTATTAAGTGAGAGTTCATCTACTGCTCTGTCCCTTACTGTAGTATAGAAATATCCTAAGAAGTGAGAACAAGAGTCAATGATGGAGAGAAATAAGCCATTGTAGGGAACACAGTGCAGCATACTCTCTCCATGTTATCATATGCTGCCCAACCTCCCAATATAGCATCATAACGCCACTGATTTCCCACTAACAGTAAGAAACATGATAGAACATGGATATGTATTATAGTACATAAAATATGCTATGCAAATTGCAAAATGCCCCTCGGAAAAATACTGAATTTTATCTTGTGGATAGACTGCACTGCAATTTCAGATACAGTCTCCCAACCCCCCAATATTTTCTATATTGAATGCATCTGGTTGAGTGCCTAAGATACAGAAGTTATTGTATTAGATGATTTATTCGGTTGGTGTAAAAGTAATTTCTGCTTTTTCCATTACTTATAATGTAATGGCATAACCATTATATAGGCTTGGATTGCATTTCTGGACCTACCACTCATTGGTTGAATTATCTTGAGCAAATTACTTAATAACTTTTATGCTTCAGTCTCCTTATCCCTACAATGTGGATATTGATAGTACTTACTACAAAGGGTTATTTTGAGAAATAAACAAAATGACAAATGCCAATGCTTAGCCCAGTACCAACAAAAAGCTACTGGTTACTTACAGAAAAGGAAATTGAATATGAGAGAGATTAAATGTCTTGCCTAGCATCACAAAGTGTCAGAGTTGAGCCTTCCCTCCATGCCTTATGTAGAGCAGATACCTTTTCTCACCCCAAGAATAACTCTCTATCTCATTACAGTGCTATATTGTCTTTATAGAGCTTATCACCGTATAGAATTATCTTATTTTGTAAAAACTCATTTATTTAACTTCTTCTCATTGCACTCTAGTCCCTTTTCTATCTCTTCACCACCATGTTCTCCATGCCTGGAACAATGCCTAGCACACAGGAGACACAAACAATACATGTTTGTTGAATGAATGCACAAAAGGTAAAATTATGTCCAGAGTCCTTGCAATTCAAATATTAATATAACAGTTTAAGCTGGATTAATCTTTGTGTTATTTATCCAGAATTGTCAAGATTTATATCCTGTAAGTTTCTTAACGTAATATTTAAATATGTAAAGGCTAAATAGTTGAATACTAGCTTTGGTTTATCTACATTGGTTTATTTTTGCACTTTGGGGGAATTAATAAATAATCTTACTAAAAATTTTATCTATAAATCCCTCACTTTACTCACTGTGGATATGAGGTAGAAAAAATTCTGAGGCATTTTTCTCTGTAGTGCATGCATCTTATCTTTTATGTTGCAAAAGTTTTTCAGAGGACTCATGTATATGTATATATTTTTATGTTTTAAAAAATTCTGTGTGCACACATACACACACACACACACACACACACACACTCCTTGCATAAGAGTTGATATACAGGCCCACTGTTTGCTCAAAACAGAGAAAGCAAATTGACCTTGTTTCCCTTCACTATCAGGGTGGGTACATTTAGAATCCTCCCTGATATATTAGGCTGTTAAGAATGATAAAGATTGATATTACTAGTTGAGTTGTCCTGTGGCCAAAGTGGGGAGGAAGGAAACTAGGATCATGCACTCTTCCAGAAAGAGAATCTCGTAAGGCTGTATTTAGTTGCCAACAGGCTTGGCCTTTACTTCAGGTCAAATGTGTGGCTATACCTTGCAGGATTCTGTCCTACTATTATAGATAGAGGAATTCTCCCTGCTGTTAGAGGTATATCTTCTTGATCTGGACACTGCTCCTTCAACATGTGGGTGAATTTATCAGTGGATCGGTGTTCTCACCAGAAATGAGCTCCACAGCATGTAGGCTTTCTGAGTGATTGTGGCCATGACTTCACTCTCCTATGATAAAGTTACCTGAATGCTATGATCTTCTCCATGCATCTGGAGAAGAAACTACAGAAAAGAAACTACTACAGCAAAGACTTGGAACCAAGCCAAATGCCCATCAGTGATAGACTGGATTAAGAAAATGTGGCACATATACACCATGGAATACTATGCAATCATAAGCAGGATGAGTTTATGTCCTTGGCAGGGACATGAATGAAGCTGGAAACCATCATTCTCAGCAAGCTATCACAAGACCAGAAAACCAAATACTGCATGTTCTCACTCATAAGTGGGAGTTGAACAATGAGAACACATGGACACAGGGAGGGGAATATCGCACACCAGGGTCTGTCAGGGGATGGGGGACTAGGGGAGGTATAACATTAGCAGAAATACCTAACGTAGGTGACAGGTCGATGGGTGCAGCAAACCACCAGGGCATGTGTATACCTATGTAACAAAGCTGCACGTTCTGAACATGTACCCCAGGACTTAAAGTATGATTTAAAAAAAAGAATGGCTTGTTTGTCTAGCAGCCATCCCTAACCCTAGTCCTCATGCTTCTGAACTAGGAGTCATTATTGAGGCTTCCAGGATTTCCTTTACTACCCATACATTTATCTCCTTTTCTGGGAAGGAAAGCTAGAAGTTAACCATTGAGATACTTTCTAATCCTGTTCTAATTTTTTAGAACGTGATTTAAATGTATGTGGAAAGTGCTGTCCCCTGATTTTAGTACATACCCCATGCTGTTTCCTTTGCTTACTTCAGTTGTTCACTGGAAAGGTTTTAAAGGCACTTCATACACTAAATACCTAGAGGTTAAATTTATATTCTGAAAAAAATTAATGCTATCTTATATTATTAAATTTCCCTTGGATATATCTTATTTCTCCAATTATATTTTGGGCTCACAGGGAATAGGGAATGTTGCTTTGTAATCTTTTTTTCTTTCTTTTCCTCTCCCCTAGATGAGGCTGTAGCTTTGTAATTTTTAATTCCTCAGAGCTCCTAGGGAAATTCAAAGCACAAAAATTACTGTTTAAAAAATACATGCATATTGAATCAAACTAACGTTATATCTGGACTGTGACAGAAGCAAGACAGCATAATTCTTATTTACTTTTAAACAACTTTATTGGAGTATGTTTACGTTCCATAAATTCATCCATTTTAAATGTATGGTTCAGTGATTTTTAATTAATAACTGATTTATGAAACTATTACCATAATCTATTTGTAAATCCTTTTCAACACTCTAGAAAGATCCTTCATGCCAAACTTATAGTTAATCTCTAACCCAACCCTGGCCCCAGGCAACCGGCTTACATCTTTATAGATCTTCCTTTTCTGAACATTTCATATAAATGGAATCACTCAATATGTAATCTTTTGTGGCTGGATTCTTTTTCTTAAAATAGTATTTTTGAGGCTCATCTGTGTTGTAGCATATATTATGTTTTATTTTATTTATTTCATTTTTGCTTATTTATTTTATTTTATTTATTATTTATTTATTTTTGTTGCCGAATATCATTCACATCTTGTATGAACATACTGCATTTTGTTTATTCATTCACCAGCTGATGGACATTTGGGTTGTTCTCATTTTTTTAGCCTTAATAAAGAATATCCACAAATTAGACTTCCATTATTTTTAGAACATATCTAACATGTAAAACATTCATGGTGCATCACAAATGTAGGTGGCATATCAGATTCCAATTATAAAGTCTAGAGCTAGACAGATATATGTTCTAATTCTTAATATGCCACTTAGGTAATTGACCTTGAGTGAATTATTTAATCTCCTTGAGCTTTGGGTTATTTTTTGTTTGTAAATTAGAAACAGTAATGTCTCTATTGCATGACTTTCTTATTAGATAGATGTACATAAAGAAAAAGGTAATTTAGATGTGTGCACATTTATAATTTGAGGGGGATTCAAAAGTTGTTTTTTAATGTTTGAAGATTCAAAGAAAAATGCTTTTCCTGCCACAAATGCCATCCCACCTGTAACTCCCTCTAAATTTGAATAATAGCAGTCCACAGTTAGGCAGCGCACTTCTGAAAGGGTGTCAATTCTCGTTGTGTTCCACACTCATGGGGGATTTCCTCAAAGTTTATGAAGTTGGCCTGAAGAAAGCAGTTACTTCGACTCCTCTTTGTGAACCACAGGAAACTGAACATAGGGCAGAGCGTTTCTAGGACATTTATGGGAGCTGGTCTCTGATTGGCTAGGCAACCAGATGCAGAATCCTGTTTTCTGAAGCAGAATATTTCCACAGATTTTGGCTGCAAAACGTTTTTCTGCTGTGGGTACGTGAGCAGGAAACATGGAGAAGAATCCTTTGGCAGCCCCATTACTAATCCTCTGGTTTCATCTTGACTGTAAGTCCAGGGGTTACAGGAGACATTCTTAGTCTGGGGTGATGATGAGGAAGGAGGAGGATGCAGTCAGACACTCTAGGTTTTATTTGGGGATGTGTGAAGAAAATGCCAACTCTGTAGAGAGACCAATTTCTATGTCTGACTCTTTTTTAAAAAAACAGGCGTGAGCAGCATACTGAACGTGGAACAAAGTCCTCAGTCACTGCATGTTCAGGAGGGAGACAGCACCAATTTCACCTGCAGCTTCCCTTCCAGCAATTTTTATGCCTTACACTGGTACAGATGGGAAACTGCAAAAAGCCCCGAGGCCTTGTTTGTAATGACTTTAAATGGGGATGAAAAGAAGAAAGGACGAATAAGTGCCACTCTTAATACCAAGGAGGGTTACAGCTATTTGTACATCAAAGGATCCCAGCCTGAAGACTCAGCCACATACCTCTGTGCCTTTACACAGTGCTGTTCAGGCACCTGCAGCCCATACGCAAACCTGTGTCTGGTGTTGCACTGTTACCAGCATTGACAAAGAACCATGAGTAGGATGGAAAAGACAAGTTCGTTGAATTACAGTTTTTTTTCAAGAGGATTGTGCAAACATAGAAAAATAAGCATGCTAGTGATCATAACTAACTACCACAAGAGCAAATTAAGTAAACATATTCCTTATGACAGATAGATGTCAGAGTGCTAATGAAGCATAACACATGACCTGGTAACTGGGCCGTTACTAAACAATACTAACCCCAGCTCCCAACAGCTCATTAACCACATCATGGAGTCAGACCCATTGCCTGCTCTTTTGGCATGATTCTGAAAGAACCCAATAGTTACTCAAATCTATCTAAAACAATCTGGGTAAACAAAGGCGATATTTACCCCCTCATTGTTGCTATGTCCTGAAAACGAATTCTTCTATTATACTTTATCACAGCACAAAAGGAGCATGTCGGCATGCCCCTCCCTCACACACCTGGCCTGGAAATATGCATGTTTAATACCAGAACAGGTGATGCTGCCTCCTTTAATCCATTGGGGATTTTGGTTTTGCTTTAGTTCAACTTTTCCCCCACATGAACATTTGTATTTTTATTTCTTCTCACATGTGGCTATTTTCATTTTTAAATATCACTGATAATATCATAAAGGAGCACTGATGAAGGACCTTCACTATTTTACGTGGTCTATACCCCAGCTTGTACTGTGATTGTGATATTGGATGACTAACTGAACTCTATTATCAAAGTCTCTTCATTTGTAATTTCCAGGTATATTAAGTAGGCTGAGTGTTTGGTGCTCTCCTCCTTTTGCAGATTTCCAAACAACCCACCAGTTTAAGGTCCCACTTGTACTCTAGAGGCATCTAATTCTAAGCGTTCTTGGGGGCTGTTAAGATGAAGTAAGTTGCTTCTGGGCCTCCTCATCTAAAAGCTAGAATTTCAACTTTCTCTAAACATCTACATTAATAATTATTTATCCAGCTCCTGTCCAGTTTCCTAAATTATGCTGCTATTGCATTTTCTCTCTCTTTTGTGGATTTATGTTTTTAAAAATATTATTGTTATTATCACATATTTAGGAAAAAAAGCTGGTACATTTTAAAAATAATAATGGAGTGTATACAAATCTCTGACTGGACCCATTTAGAGATATATATATATAGAGAGAGAATTACTTTTTTCAAAATTTATTCACAAGGTAGTAATGAATCTATTTGACTATCAGATCAGAAGCGGCTAAATTTGTAATATTATTTGAACATATATGGAATCAGAAGGGTATAGCACAGGACTGAGTGCGGAGAAGCTATGGTTCATTGTACCCTAGTGTCGGTGGAGAAGAACTACACAAAAGAAGACTGATCACTGTTCCAGCTGCTAGTCAAATTCCCAAACCAGCTCTCCATTATTGGCATAAAGATCAATGGAAGAATTTCTAATATTTCCAGCAATGATCTTGAGGCTTGAACTAACTCTGAATTGGTAGAATCAAAAGGCATGAGTAAAATAAAAGATGAACATCTGACTCATTTGTGTGTGGCTGCAACACAATGCCTCACAGTCTCCCGCATGTCAAGGCACACATAGAAATTAATTACATTCATACAACACTTCAGTGTGGAATGACGCTGCTTGAAACCAGCCCATGACTCCAACTTCCTTGAGAACTCTGCCTGCCTTAAGCCACGATGAGATAGAGATCTTCCCACACACACGATCAAGAAAAATGTAAATCTGTGGTGCATGGTCCTTACAAAAATATCCCTATCTTTATGAAAGCTGTATGTAACCAAGTAAATATGGATGAAAATTTTCAGTGTCTTTGGATTCTAAAACTGATCTGAAATTGAAAATAATGTGTCAAATTCTGATTATTTATAGAGACACAGGCATGTTCTTGTAAATTTTGTTAGTTTAGACACATGGAAAGAGAAGAGTGAGTGAAATATAAAAATGTTAAATAAGAAACACAGATCTCTGTTGATTGCAGGGCCCCAACCTGAGCAATCAGCCACCTGCTCCTGTACTGTGGCTGCACAGAGCTCTTGTTACCTCTGATCATTGCCACCAGGTCTTCTGTGCCAGTGCAGAAGCACAAGGCTGGCTTTTGAAAAGAAGTTTGGTGAAACAGGCAGATGTTTCAGATCAAGCTATTAGAGACTAGCAGAAATCAGCCAGAGGAAGCATACATTTTTATTGTTGATTTCTCACAAGTTCTCAAAAAGACTATTTTTCATTGAACTCCAGAGCTTTTGTGGCTTGCTGAATAACAAACTGTTGTACAACTCACTTAAGCAAGTGCCATTTTACTATCTCATGATACTTCTGCTCCTTGTGATGCTGACTGCAGCTAGGGTCCTCTGGGGGCTTGCCTGACTAGAACCCCTGGAGCTCACTTCCATACCCGGAGCCTTGGTGGGAATGCGGAAGGCTGGGCTCATCTCTCATCCCAACTATTCTCAGGGCTTTCATTACACATGGCCTCTGCATGTGGTCTCTCATCAAGATCTCTCTAGGGCTTCCAATATTACAAAAGTGGAAGGTGCCAGGCCTTTTTAATGTTTAGGCCAGAACTGCCACAATATTATTTCTACTGCATTCTCATGCATACATAAGAACCATGAATGTGACATTACTTGGAAAAGGGGCCTCTGTAAATATAATTAAAATTGAGTCATAGAGCCAACCCAGAGTCAACATAGAAGGGAAATACACAAGGGCATGAATATCAGAAGCACGATTTTGAGGGCATCTTTGGATACTAACTCCCACAAGAGCTAACTAAGTAAACATATTCCTATGCCAGATAGATATCAGAGTGCTAATGAAGCATAACACATGACCTTGATAATCCAGTAATTATCAAGGTCATGTCAATTTGAACTTCCAAATACTGCTCGTATCTGTTTCTCTATTTCTATATTGCTTACTGCTTTCCTAATTTAGGCATTCAGCACCTCTCACTTGGATGATTGCAATGGCTTCCTAATTGTCTTCCTGCCTCTATTCTCAACTCTTTGAATCTAACTTCTACATGGCAACTAGAGTTATTATAAAATGTATCTAATAAGATCACTTCCTGCCTCCCTTTGGGTAGTAAGGAACCACTAGAAGTTGAAACTCTGTATTAAAACTACAAGGCCGGCTGGGTGTGGTGGCTCATGTCCGTAATCCCAGCACTTTGGGAGGCCGAGGCAGGTGGATCACCTGAGGTCAGGAGTTCGAGACCAGCCTGAACAACATGGCGAAACCCCGTCTCTACTAAAAATACAAAAATTTGCCGGACGTGGTGGCATGCTCCTATAATCCCAGCTACTCAAGAGGCTGAGACAGGAGAATTGCTTGAACCCAGGAGGTGGAGGTTGCAGTGAGCTGAGATTGCCACTGCACTTCAGCCTGAGTGACAAAGCAAGACTCCGTCTCAAAAAGAAACAAACAAACAAA
The DNA here is from genome assembly GCF_000001405.40 of Homo sapiens. Lineage (NCBI taxonomy): Eukaryota > Metazoa > Chordata > Mammalia > Primates > Hominidae > Homo > Homo sapiens. Next base: position 22,109,336 of record NC_000014.9, read on the forward strand.
CAAACAAAAATACAAGGCCATCTACAGAATCCTGTTTACCTTCTATTTTAATCTTCCATCCTTCTCTCATATATGTAATATATATATATTTATATTATATATATTTATATATTATATATGTATATTTAAATTCTAACCCTTTATGTGAATATTAAGGGCCTTCCTAAATCTGACCCCTTTTCCCAGAATATATTTTTCCCATTGTAATATGCACACAGGTCTACTCACCCTTTATGGCCCAATTCAGGCATTATTTATTTTTTATCTGAGATTTCATAGAATCTCATAGAATCTGAGATTTCATAGAATAACACTTGTAACATCTTATTATAAATATTTTTGAATCTGATCCTCTCTTACAATTGTTTTGACAAAAATATTTGCCACTGAGAGCTATTATATGTTTATATTCAATGGAAATGTTTCCTACTAGGAAATGCAGAGATTCAGTCTAAGAGTGCAGAGATTTCTTTTACTCCTTGAACCAATGCATGGCCAGCTTCCCTTCTCTTCCTTTAGTAAATTTCCACTTCCAACCATAAGATCTAGAGAGAGGCTACAAGACAGACCATGCTGCGAGTTGGGAAAGGGCAAGCTTGACCCGGGCGAGATTCCTCTGTCTGGGTTTATGCCTCCTACGTAAACTGCACCAGTACTGCTGCCCTGGATGAAGAGAAGAGGATTTCTAAAGCCCCCACAGGTGCTCCTTGCACACTCCTTGCTCTTCTTGAATGGGGAAGGAGTCCTTATTGCCTTAAAATTGTTAGCTTTGTCTTCATTTTGAGATCCAAATCCAATATTCCTACGAAGGAAAAAAAAGCATCCCAGTGGCATGCATTTCAAAAGTTTATCTTAATTCACAAGATTTGCCATTTTTCAGCACATCCGAAAACTGCTTCTTGGTCTGTTTCCATTTCATGCAGTAATTCAGATTTAGATTCACTTTTTACCCTACACAAAATGTTGAGATTTCCGCCATTAATACATTTACAAGGCAACACTTTAAAGACATTAGATTTCTTGTAGTGGGTTGAATGATGACAGAAGATATGTCCATGTCCTAATCCCTAGAAATAGTGAATGTGGTGTTATTTGAAAAAGGGTCTTTGCAAATGTAATTGAGTTAAGAATATCAAGTTAAGATCACCCTGGATTATTCAGGTAGGCCCTAAATCCAATGACAACTGTTCTTTTTTTTTTTTTTTTTTTTTTTTTTTTTTTTTTTTTTGTTGAGACGGAGTCTCGTTCTGTCGCCCAGGCGGGAGTGCTGTGGCGCGATCTCCGCTCACTGCAAGCTCCGCCTTCCGGGTTCACGCCATTCTCCTGCCTCAGCCTCCCGAGTAGCTGGGACTACAGGCGCCCGCCACTGCGCCCGGCTAATTTTTTGTATTTTTAGTAGAGACGGGGTTTCACCGTGGTCTCGATCTCCTGACCTCGTGATCCGCCCGCCTCGGCCTCCCAAAGTGCTGGGATTACAGGCGTGAGCCACCGCGCCCGGCCGACAACTGTTCTTTTAAGAAACACACGGATGAGGCTGGGCACATTGGCTCATGCCTGTAATCCCAGCACTTTGGGAGGCTGAGGCGGGCGAATCACCTGAGGTCAGGAGTTCGAGACTAGCCTGGCCAACATGGTGAAACCCTGTCTTTACTAAAAATACAAAAATTAGCCAGGCATGGTGATGCACACCTGTAATCACAGCTACTCGGGAGGCTGAGGCAGGAGAATCGCTTGAACCTGGGAGGTGGAGGTTGCTGTGAGCCACTGCACTCCAGCCTGGGTAACATAGTGAGACTCTGTCTCAGGAAAAAAAAAAAAAAAAAAAAAGAAGCACACAGATGAGAAGGCCATCTAAAGACAGCGGGGTAGAGGTTGCAATTATGCAGCCACATCCAAGGGATGCCTGGAGCCACCGGAGGCTGGAAAAGATGAGGAAGGATCCTCCCCTAGAACGTTCAGAGGGAACATGGCCCTGCTGACACCTTAATTTCAGACTTCTGGCCTCTAGGGGTATAAAGAAAATACATTTTTGTCAAGCCACCAAGTTTGTTTGCTACGGCAACCCTAGGAAAGTAGTATCTCCTAAAGGTGATATTTCTAAATAGCTACAACCAAACCTTGATTGTTTTTATAGAAGGGCACATTGTCAACCAATACCATTTGAATATGGTATTGATATGGTTCTAATATTTTAATACTTTTTGGAATATTTTAAGTTTAAATCGTGACACAGTGTATATACAAACACACACTTTTTTTTTTTATCATTTAATGAACACCTGAGTATCCACAATTTACCCGCTATTAGAGTAGGACATGTTGGTGAATAATAGACAAATACTTTCCAATAGAAATTGATTATCTGTTAGATAAGACTT